>NC_000012.12:54960128-56210128 GCF_000001405.40 Homo sapiens
AAGCAAGATTTATTTACTTAATTCAATAAAGATTTTAATTTATACTATCTGGGGAAAATACCATTATCCCTTATGCCATTTTCTTTGTGGTTGTAGCAGATAGGTGGTTAAAACTACAGAAAGATTAATTTTCATTAGTTTAAATAATAAATTACTGGCCAAACTATTTAAAGGTATAAGAGATATCTCTGAAAAAATTAATACTGAAAAACTCATATCTGGAGGAAAGAAATTTTAGCTGCAATAAATAACAATGTGAAATTCATTTCCTGCTTTGAGGAGGGGAGGGAGAGCTACCTTCATCAGACCACAGTTGCAGAAGGGAGCTCAGACCCTAAATGAGCATAGCTGTGAGGTACATTGAGGAGTCTGCTCTGAGTTCAATGATGTGGGCTGATTAGAACATAGCTGAAAGCAGGTGTTGGGATATTGATTTCCATGGCTGGTCCTCACCTGTTACAAAACTTCTACTACAATGAGTTTCAAACTTCAATATGCAATCAATTATCTAACCTAAAGATCTTGGTAAAACTGTGATTCATTAGGTCTGGGGTGGGGGCTGACAGTCCACATTTCTAACAAAATCCCAGGGGATGCTGATGCTCCTTGTATCTGTACACTACAGTTTGAATATTAAAGTTCTACACAATGTCTCCTGGAACAGCAGTTCTCAGACTGTGATTACCAGACCAGCAGCAATAGCATCACCTGAGAACTTCTTAGAAATGCAAATTCTTTGGTTCTATCCAGGCCAATTCAATCAGACACTCTGGGAGCTGGGATCTGGTCATTTGTATTTTAACAAGCCCTCCAGGTGATTGTGATGCCTGCCAAAGCCTGGGCATCATTGATCTAGAGAGGTATTTTCCAGCCATAATAGAATTACCTGGAAGCTTAAAATAATTAGTCATTGGTTTCCAATTAAATCAGAATTACAGAATGTGGGACCCTTTATTATGGGTTTAAAAAAAAAAAACCTTCCTCATTTGATTACAATGTGCAGCCAGGTTTGAGAACTGCCTGAGAGAGGCCCACTTACTTCACGAGTCTTTGCCAGCAAAAGTCTGGTGGTGGTGGGGGTGCCTGGGTCTGCTGGGCCAGCGACTCTGACTCTGCTCCTCCTCACTGTTGCTTTGCACCTGTAACCAAGATCCCACAGAACTCAGCCAGAGCCAAGGGGGAAAGGGGGTAAGGAAAGGTGCAGGTGGCAGGTAGCTGTAGGGGAAGGAGGCTGAGTGTACTTGAGAGACAGCCTCTTCTGTGGTGTCAGGGACACAGTAATGAGGAAGGCAGGAGCGGAGGTGTAGCTCTACATTCAAGGAGAGGTGACATACATGCAAATGATATTTCAAATAATCACGGCTTCTTTTTGTGGCAAGGATTTAAAAGCTTTTTAAAGAGATCCCAACACTTCATGGAAGTATCTTCCATAGACCCAGGCGAGAGGAGTTCTGAGTCTTAGAGGGTCAGAAGAGTTGGTGGACTTAGAGAACACGAAGAGTTGGTGGACTTAGAGAATGTGCCCACCTAGTCCTGCACTATTCCTTCTAGAACATTCTTTGGTTACCCAGAATCACAAAGTTTGCTGGTCAAATGGCCCCAAGCCGGTTGCAGGAATGTGCGCTGGTTTTGCCTGATGACTGTTCTCTCAAGGGCTGACCTCTCCAGTAGTGTATGCAGCCTAGGCCCAAATGATGACCAATGGCTCTTTGTGTAGGTGGGAGCTTGTGGCATTTGGATGTGCAGGCTCGGGTAACCAAACATGGACATGCAAGGTCCCTTATGGTATAGGACAGGTCTGGGCACTGGAAGATAAGGGAACAGGTCAGGAGCTGGGGAGTGGTTCTGCTCACACTGTCACATTTTAGCACAGAAGTCCTAACAGTCTGAGAATCCTAGATTGAAATCTGGACTTCTGGGTCTTTATGGTTAGATATTTGTCAAGGTAAGGGAGAATTTATTTTATTTAAGAGTGGTTAGCTTTGTGTAAAACTGCTCTCCATTTGTAATCTCATGAGGACCACAACAAATGGTGATGAGAGGTGTACTTAATGGGAACATTAAATGGCAATCAGATCAGGTATTACCAAAGGAGCTCTGAAAACTCGACTGCTCTTAGGAAACCAGGCCTCTGTCTCTTTCTCCCTGTATATTAACCCTGAATTGAAATCAGAAAGTGGTATATCTGGCTAGGACAGGAAGCCTGGATTATTTTTCCCCCAAGGGTTCTAACCCTTCATCTTCTGGGAAAGAATCTACAGCCTTTCTCTGCCAGTCTCTCCCTCACCTCCAACCCACTTACCTCCTCCAAGTCAAAAGTGTCCTGTGGCTGCTGGCTTAAAGACCGACGCAGTTCTGGTCTGTCTACACTCTGCTTCCATTTCTGCTGGGTGATGGACAGGTCCAAGGACTTAACCTTCCTGCCCATGAGATTCTTCTGGAAGAGGCTCTTTCTTGCTCTGCTCTTTCTTTTCCAGAAAGTCTCATCCTTGGCTGGATGGGTTTCCGTATTGGTGGCTGGTAGACTACACAGCTCTCTCCTTATCTGAGCTGGGTCTGTGCTCCACTGTGGATCTTCTATGGGCAGAGAATGTGTGCAACAGGGTACCTTGGGGTTCGAATCCAGAGTTTGGGATGGTGCTAGCACTGTGGACATCCTCTGCTGTGTTTCCTCTTCACAGCAGAAGACACATGGATAGGGAGAAGTGGGCAACTTCTTACCCTCAGCAGGGGGCACAGGATCTTCCTGTGAGAATTGCCCCAAATCAGAGTCTTGCTGGAGGAACTGCTTCTCTTCTTTCACTTTGTCCATCACTTCCAACACAACTTGGTCCAAACTGTTCCTTTTGGGGGTGTTGTGGGGTGGTGGTGGCCGGTCTCGGGGGCATGTGTACAGACACATCTTGGAGATGGCTTTCCGAAGGCGGTCTCTGGGTGACTGGGGTTCAGGCTCTCGGGACAGAATCCTGATGGATGGCACATCAGTTGGATGGTTGCAATTCCAGAACATGTGGGATGGTGTGAACTTTTGGACAGGTGTCTTAGACACATAGGAGTAGAGACAGAAGAAGGCATCAGCAGTGACAGCCAGTGTTTGCACCTGCTTAAACCTGCCTGGGTACAAGAGTTAAAGATGGTAAGTCTGGGGTTCATCAGCAAATCTTCTTAAATCTCTCCCTTCAGGAGGCTCCCCAAAGCTCAAAATTCAGGGAGAAGCTTCCAATTTTCCTACTAGTGTTTCTCCCTTTTAGATTTCTAACACTCTTTTTCTGGAATTTCGTAACTTCTTGACACCCCATCCCATGTAGATATTCCAACTGGGAAACAAAAAAGAGGGATAAGATTTATAGACATCATGCTGATATGATTGACTGAAAGGCAAGAAGGCCTAAAGGAAGCAGTAGTGGCCTGAAGTCTCTTAAAGGCTATTTCTTTAAGAGAAAGAATCAGACAGAGTTCTCCATCTTCACTGAAGACAACATAAGAGGAAATAGACACAATAGGCAAAGGGTTAAAGATAACCAAGAGAAAGCAGGATTTGAAGCCACTGAGCCCTGCTGTGAAAATCTAAAGGAAAAGGGAAGTAGAGCAGGTGCCTGGGAGGGACACTCACTGGCCAGCATGAGGCAGGGGTCTTCCATTTCAATCCTCCGCACCTGGGACTTCAGGAAGAGCTGGAAATCAATGCCCTTGGCCTGAGAGGGGGTGGTGAAAAATCGGGCGGGTATCCGAGAAGTGTCTTTGTGATCCTCTTGGCCAAAGCCCAGACTGAAGAGGACATCTTCTGCATCTTCTTGCACTTTGTCCAGAATTTCTGAGATGCTGAAATGAGGGAGTTTGGGTAAATAAGGGACAACTTTGAGACACATGGTAATTCAGAATATCAGAATATCTAATAAAAGTGTCAGAAGACTGAAATTCTTTTCTGTCCATTTCTCTACTTTTCACTGTGACTTTGAGAAAAGCTTTCACTTCTCTGAACCTAAATTATCTGTTGGAAACATGGAAACTACAATCCAACCCTAGTTATAAAAACTGAATAAAATTTTAGTACAGTACTTTGAACAACTTATTGCAGACGAATAAAAATTTAAGTAAATATAAAAGGATTTTGAAAAATAAGAGCAGCATAGATACAAATAAATTTCACAGTTGCATCATTAAGTGCTCAGTTCCCAAATTTGCCATCCGACTTGCCCCAGTGGTTGTTGCGTGGGACAACTAAGCAATGAATATGTAAGAAACATAGAACCCCTGAAGGTAAACATTTTTATTCTTGATCTTAGGGCAAAAAGTAATCAATAAGCACATCCAAAACCTGATTTTGAGAGGTATGCTCCTTTCTAGCACTATTTTCAGTACAGAAGTCCTGTGTCACAGAAGATCCCGTGCACGCACTCTCTCTTTATGGTATCAACCTGGATTTATGTCTAAATCGGAGTTCCACCAACTTGGGTGACACTAGAGCTTAGTAATTGTGTTTCAGACAGTGAGGCTAAGGGAAGCTGTTATTATTTGAGGCTTTGAATAATCACTATCACTCTCTTCAGAAAGTATGCTGGGCTTTTTGATCAAATAGGGACCATCTTGTTTAGCTAATAGCTGGACGGTCGGAATCCCTGGATCTACTCTTGTCCTTGCCAGCTTTTATCTCCATGGTCCTAAGTTTCCCTATCTGTGAATTGTGGGCGTAAAACTGGATCAGTGCTTCTCAACCATGGCTACATGTTAGGGTCACCTTTGCAGGCTTTAAAAATGCATATATTTGAATCCCATCTTCAGACATTCTGATTAAATTGAACTAGGGTATGAACTAGGACTAAGGCTCAGTGAGGATAAATTACTAAATTTGGTCATGTGACAAAATTTAAGTCTCAGAACCAGGTCTCAAATTCAAATTTTGACTTCAAATTTCAGATACTTTTCATTATATCATACTAGTTTTCCTGACTTTTCATCTTTTTCAAAGAGTTATTTGTGTGTATATTTTGTCCACCCTATGAAATCATTCAGCTCCTGGGATCAAGCTATTTGTCCGCTTCATCTTTTCTTTTTTTATTTTCATTTTTGTTTTAAGTTCTGGGGTACATGTGCAGGAAGTGCAGGTTTGTTACATAGGTAAACGTGTGCTAGGGTGGTTTGCTGCACCTATCAACCCATCACCTAGGTATTAAGCCCAGCATGCATTAGCTATTTTTCCCAATGGTCTCCCTCCTCTCACCCCATCCCCTGACAGGTCCCAGTGTGTGTTGTTCCCCTCCCTGTGTCCATGTGTTCTCATTGTTCAGCTCCCACTTAGACGTGAAAACATGTGGTGTTTGGTTTTCTGTTCCTGTGTTAGTTTGCTGAGGATAACGGCTTCCAGCTCTATCCATGTCCCTGCAAAGGACACGAACGCGTTCCTTTTAATGGCTGCCTAGTATTCGTGTATATGAACCACATTTTCTTTATCCAGTCTATCACTGATGGGCAGCTGGGTTGATTCCATGTCTTTGCTATTGTGAATAGTGCTGCTTCATCTTTTTCAAATTCCATACAGTCATTGCCTGGCCTGCCTGTCCGAATGAATTAATATTTTATTGCTTCATTCAGTCAACAAATTAGTCAATTAATCAATACATTGTTTACTGAGCACCTACTCTGAGTCTTGGAACTGTGATGGTACCAGTACTATACCTCCTGGGGTACAAGTTTCAGTGGGAGGAGACACCTGTATTTTACACATAGTATTCAGCTCTGAGAAGACTCCTCTGTGTCTTTCACAATTCTTGAAACAAATATGGTCACATTTTTCAAGTATGCAGTAAAAGTGCATAAAAGCTCCAGTAAGATATCCCAGAAAAAACAGGCAATGGCTCTTGGTTCCATTCTCCTATGCTTCTCATCTTCTCCACCCTTCCACCCTGCCAAACTTCAGTACCTACCTTGAACTAGTCTTGTTGGTCCCCCCAGTCATGCTGCTGGAAGCCAAACTACAGCCAAGATCAAGTAGCTGGCAAGGCCTGGCTGTCTCGAGGAAACTCCTGCAGAGATCAAAGCTGATGTCATACAAATCTTGTTTCCAGTCTGCACCCTGGCTTCGAGGAATCCCTGCTGGACTTATTCACCCCCTGAACAGTAGTCTATGCAGTGCTTGTTCGTTGGAAAGTCTCACTCTCTAATGTGAATCTTTAGCTCTTTATTTTAATCTCTTTGACCTACCCCAATTCACTGATTCTTAAAGGAGACATCATTCACCCTGGCTGAACCTAACACTTACCTGGAGAAGAGTTTGCCATTGGCGGCCAGTAGTGTGGCTGGACAAGAAACAGAGAAGCAAAGAGCAAATTAGAAGGGAAAATGAAAATCACCTGTGTTGCCCCTCTGAACCTAAAACTCAGTCCCCTCTGTTTCTTTTTGTGACTATGACAGGCTAGCTGGACCCCATAAATTCTGCACTTCTTGGGGCCTCAAGATTACCTAACACAGTTCTGGAATAGGGACAGATATGCCAGAGAGTAACTGGCCTTAACCCTATGAACTTCTGACCCATGACTGATGTTTAGGCAAGAGCCCCTCTGTCCTAAAAAGGATAGAGTCATTTGGCCTTCCTGGCTAGTGTTCCTGTCCCCCTACACAAGTCTTTACAGCTCCCAGGAGACACTGGTAGGTTGCTGTGCTTTCATTCTTTACTGATGTCCTTCTCCTCCTGCAGTATAGTCTCTATTTTACATCCAATGCACAGACTTGTTTGGAGTTTCTGTACAGAAAACAGTCTTAAAGCTATCTGGGCAGCAAACATTATAGTAATTTTATATGTTATCATCCCAGGGGCCAAAGGAAAGTTCCAGTGATGAACCAGTAAGAGTCATGGTAGGCTGATGAGGAGGTGTTTCTGGGCATGTGATGCCTTCTGCATTTTACATTAGATAATAATGAGACTGCCCTTTCCCTGTAGATAAGACCCCAGGGATGGGCTGTTTCTTTCTGAAGTTTTGCACTTCCATCCTATCCTGAATTCATACAATGTATATCCTGTTTTCTCATCCCAACCTCAGAGAACTGTGCCACTTACCCTCCGCTCCCAGGGTCAAGTCATCTTCAAAGCTGGTCCCATGGCTGCAGAAGCCTGTCCAATAATCAGGTGAGGGTCACAGAAAACCAGGATGGAACATATACACATGCACATGCACACCCCTGCATACACGAACATCTTCACATGCCCTTAGACTAGACTTGCACAACCAGATAATCATACTAGATACCCACGTTTGTCAAATTACCACAAACTGTACATATATCACCTCAGAAGTCATATTCATTTTTGATTCAGAAACAATCATACATGCATTCACCTATAACCTTTCCCCTATATCACATAGTTATGTACACAATCCCCTGCCAAACAGCAAACATATGGGGATGTGCACTCACACCCATATAAACACATATTTTATAAAGTTCTTTTCCTATAGCAGTGGTTGTTATCTGAGCAACCACTAGCAGAACATAGCCTATGACTGTTAGTGAGCCTGTGGGCTCTGAGCCAGCACTTTCTTCTGGATTTCCTGAAGTCTTGTGACCACGAATAGTGTTTTGCAGCCAGTTTAAGAACACTCAGGGACTCTTTTGCATGCCTATGCATGTATATGTGCATAAACACTCACATACACACACGCACAGGTATATCACTCTCCAGGTAGAAGAAAAATAGATGGACAGAACCTATACTCACCATTGTAGATAAACTGTCCTGCTTCCTCAGAAAATCCTTCTTCAGAGTATCTAAACCAAAAACAGTCTTATAGGTTGAAGTCACTTACTACATTTTCCAAGGAGCTTTTTCATGGAAAAACTCACACATATTCATATTCTTTTCCAGTGAGAGTCAGTAGTATTTAATTTGCTTTTATGTTGGAGAAAACAAAGACAGAGTGGTTACTTGTCTGAAAAATTCATAGAAGTAGTTGGGGAAACTGGGGCTGGAATGCACTATATTTTAGATTGTGCTTCTGTTGTCCTGGCCACAGGACTAAAGGACGAAAGTCAACTTAACAATGATTCTTCGGTCTTTAGGTGAAACAGGAAAGAAAGAATATTGAAGCAAAACGGGAGAATTACATTCATAGAAGCAGGCGTTTGCATGCCATAATTTCCAAATCACAAATATAAATTTCTAGGTTTTCTTAAAACTTTTAGATCACCTTAACTACCCACACTTCCTTCCTTCTCTCTGAACCATGTTATTGCTGAATATCATGTCACTCAGGAAACAGCAGAAATTGTATCCTGGTTAGAGATATTTTAAAATTTTCAGACATGGTCTTATCAAACATTTACCATCTCCACCAGAAGAACAAACCGAAATCAGCACAAATGGTGGTGAGAGACAGCTCAGTTTTACAAACAAGGAAGAAATTCTCTCTGTCCAAAACAGGTGTGTGAAGTAATCTGTGACAGGGCTTTGAAATGTGATCAGCACATCCAGATTCTAGTCCTGGCTCATTGTGGCTGTTTTGTTCTCAAATATTACGTAAGGGAATTTGGAACCCTAGATATTATCATCATCTGAGTCTACTTCAAACACTGATATGTTGTGAATTTTGTAGAGTTTGCTTTCCTAAAGCTTTTTACATGGAAGTTATTCATGGTGCTTTAAATGTAATCTCAAGTGGAGGTTGGAGGGGAAAAGGGTCAGTAACGTGAGTTAGCAGAGAAACTGAAGTGCATCCACTGGTGCTGGTCCTAAAGGAGCTTTTCTCTTTATCAGTCTCCAGCAATCCAGATTACTCTCAGGCCACTGGAGTATCACTTCATGGCGTGTGTAACAGTGGGAATAGGCTTACTAACCAAATATCTGTAGGTCAAGTTCTGCCTAAATTTTACAAAATAAGTCACTACATATTTATATATGTATATATATATATATATATATATATGTGTGTGTGTAGATAGATAGATATAGATATATCTTTTGCTTGTAACTCCTTTCAATAGCAAAAAAATCAACCATGTTTACCAAAATCTGAATTTTAATATGTCCTTATGAAAAATACTACATCAAAGGTTCATTATAAAATATGAAATAATAGGCAAGCTCATTAAGAATAGGTAACTCTAATAATGCACCTAGAACTATAAATATATTTTTCTCTTCCTAATATATAATTACATAAAGTATGTTGTGGTATAATACTACAAACATGTGTAACTGTAATATTTACTATTACTACTAAAAACAGCATGATAGCTAATATAGTCAAGTACTAGAATATTGCAATTTACTACTGTATTTAATGCTTGTGTTGTAGCTGCACAGTAGTGCCACTACTAAGGCCTACTATTACTAGAGGTACATTTAAATAGACTACAATTCCATTTCTAGGTTGTACCCAATGGACATGCCTGCATAGGTTCCCCCAAGTAAATACTAGTCATGATAACCAAAAAATGGAAGCCTCCAAATCCCTATTTATTATAAAATTAAACAATTATATAATAACTATACAACTTAATATTACACAATAATAAGAATGAGTTACTGCTGCATGCGAATACTTGGATAAGCATCATAAACATAATGCTAAGCAAAAGAAACACACATAAAACAGTACATGTTATATGACTCTATTTCTATAAAGTTCAAAATAATCCCAAACATATCTATGATGTTACAAGTCAGGGTATTTGTTACCCTTGGAAGCAGGATAGTGAACGAAACGGACGGAAAGGAGGCATTTGGAATGCTGGTGATGCTCTGCTTTAGGTTTCATGGGTGTATTCCCTTTGTGAAAATTCATTGAGCTATTTATGTATTTATTTATTTGCCTATTATTTATTTGTTGACAGGGTCTCACTCTGTCTCCCAGGTTGGAGCACAGTGAGAATAGCTCACTGTAGCCTTGAACTCCTAAGCCCAAGAGAGCCTCCTGCCTCAATCTCCTGAGTAGCTAGGACTAAAGGTGCTGCCATGCCTGGCTAATTTTAAAAAACTGTTGTTTTTTTTTCCTTGTAGAGATGGAGGACTGGTACATTGCCCAGGGTGGTCTTGAACTCTTGGGCTCAAGCAATCCTCCTGCCTTGGGCTCCCAAAGTGCTGGGGTTACAGGCATGAGCCATGTGCCTAGCCTCAGCTACATATTTAATACTCATTCATTTTTCAGTAAGTATATTATACTTCAATATAATTTATATTAAAAAGGAAAATGTTACTGATATGTATGCTGAACTTCAATACAATTTACATTTAAAATGTCACTGATAAAATTTCTGGTTTGTCCAAAGCAAAACTCACTTGTATTCATTGGATACAAGTTTTTATTGGGTGCTTATCCTACATTTCTCTTCTTTAGTTATAATCTGCCAAGTATTTCTATTCTCTTTATGAGGAATAGCCATTGGTGGGTCTTGGGGCATTCTGTGGAACCTACAACAGCAGTGTGGACATGGGCCTGGAGCTATTGATGCTTTCTCACCGAGCACAATGATTTGAGACTTTATGTCCATCACTCAAGTCCCAGGCCTTCCATGGGTTATCGGATAGGCCATAAAATCAATGACCAGGGACTAGATGTATAGTTGCTCCCCTTTTCCCACCCTTGCATTGAAAAATTCCTTAGCATCATTTTAAGTCTCAAATGAAAGAGCCAAGGTATTGCTCTTTCTGTATATGCAGTTCATAAACAAATAGTAGGGAGGAGGGGTTGGATTGTGGGAAGAAGTATATGGCTATTTTTAGCTTCTTCTAGATGTTTCCATAGCTACCTGCCTGCAGAGATTTAAGCTGAAGCCCACACAGATGATTTTTGGGCTCCCAACCCCACCTCTGGTGATTCATGAGCAACACAGTCATGTCCCAGAAAATCCCGAGAGCTTAGGAGGAGAAAGAAAAAAGGAGAGGCATAGTTTGCAAAGACATGCATGATCAGATCCTGTGGCAGAATAGTCGGCCGCTAGATTCAATTGCACTGAGAAACATTGACACTAAATTGCCTGAGATGTTGGTGAACTCTCCTGCAGAGCTTGTCAGAAAAGAAGATGCTCTTGCTACCAGAGGATGTTAGGCTTTGGAAAGAAAAATGGAAACTATATGGTCTTGGAATAAAATTTGAAAAGTGCCCCTCAGGGCACCTGGCAGAGTGGACAGATAATCAGTAAATGCGGGCTCCTTGTTTATCCTCTTTCCTCTGTGGCCTTGGAGCATGGAATACTGTGGTAATTTAGAATCTCATGTTTAGAATGCGTTTTCCCTCTATCTTCTTCATTAGCTATTACCAAAAGTCAAGTGTACTCTCACTATCAATCATTGTCATTATTGTCCTTTAGTTTTTCTAGCTTTTCCATGCAATTAAGAAGTATTACACACTTAAACAGAATTAGAAAACAGAGGAAATTGGAAAATGTTCTGACTCCAACAATTCCCCTTCCAAAGACAAATGCAAGTCTGTTGATTAACTCTTTATGGCCATTTTGAAGTTTAAATATTTGAAATCTTTTCAAAACACAGATACATAATGAAAATGTAACAGATACCCTTGCACCAGTCACTCTATTTTCACACATGTAAACATTTTGCCATATTTGCTTCGGAAAAAATAAAATATTAAGTAATATATAATGTAAAATAAAAAATTAAATATTAAAGATATAACTAAAGTCTTATTTTACTTCTAAAGTCAATTCTTTTCCTTCTTCCAGGTAATCACTATCCAAGAGTTAATATGTATCATTTCTGGGAATTTTTTTTCTGATAAATAAACAGATGTAGATAGATGGATAGATATAGACAGACATTTTGTGGAATTATAGGTAGGTATAAACTCCTCCTTTATAAAACTCACCAGTCACTCACTATTAAAAGCATAAAGCACATACACATATATCATCTCATTTAAACCTCACGAGAACCCTTAGACTGTATTATTTTAAGCGTCCCACTTTATAGCTCAGGCGTCTACAGTGAACAGAATTTAAGTTATTAGCTTATGGTTGGTTAAACACTTAGTAGCACAAGAATTAGGCTCAAGTCTTGGAGACTTTTCACTAACCAGACCACCTTTTTGTCATAAATTTTGGTTCAGGGTTTATCTTTGTAGAGCATGAGTGAAGAAAGATGATTTCTAGAGTTTATTATCTTGTATTTCTGTGAATTTATTATTTTCAATTAGAACGAAATATGTTCTAAGTCAATGAGCATATTTTAAACTACTTGGCACCCCTCTAGGTTATTCAGATAATCAGACAGTTAGCAAAAGCGTAATTAATAATTGCTGACATGAATTGATGACTCAAGAGTAGTTAATGAGATAAGGACATTAACTGAGCTGACTGTTTCCCCTGTACATATCTGGTAAGTATTTTAAATCCTAGGACAGTTCTCATCCTAGGCTTCTCACCCAAACCTGCAAACATGCTGATTACCACCATTCTTTTCTTCCTGTATTCTGTGGGTCCTCTAATTGACTTTGAAATCAATGAATTATGAATAAGATGAGGGCAATGAGAACAATAGGTTTTTTCAAACAACAAAACAAACACAAAATAAATCCTTCCTGGCATTGCCTTCTTGGGTACAGGTGAAATAAACAACCTTGGATTATTTGGTGTTATTTATTTCCTACCAAATAAGCAAGAATGGGTTTCTTTATGCCAATTAATAGATGAGTTTAGATTAAAGGCTATATAAAACTTGAGCCATTCCTGGAGGGAAAATAAGGAGCAGGCAGAAGTTGTCCATTCTGAGAATTCATTATTACACAGAAGACTAAATAGATCACAGAATTCTTCCTTTTGTGTCTGGGTATACTGAGCCTAAGAACGGTACAGGCTGATGGGCTGTGGGGTCTCATAATTTAAAGTATCTCTGAGGAAAGAGATAATGCACTGCCTTGAAGTGCCTGCTCCAATTCTCCCCTGCTTTGAATGACTGTCATAAACCCTAAGCTTCTCCTGTGCTCTGCAGTAGAAATAAATAACACAGATGAATTGCTCTTCAGCAAGAATGATCAGGTTTCCAATTCCTTTTGTTACACAATGTAAGACTCCAATCTAAAGGGGGAAGTCAGGGGAGTAGGGGTCTGGAACTCACCCCAACTATTCCCCATCCACTCTTAGCTTTAGCTCAAACCCAACCTCTATTCCTAGACCTCGTGCCTAATTTAGTCTTAGCCCCAAGTTGCACTTGATTCACAATTGTGATCACCAGTTCACCCTAAACCCGCAACACCCCTCCAACCACCATCTCAACCTTACTTCTAATCTTTAGGCCCAAATCAAATCCATCTTCCCGTCTCTGAGTTTCCAGGAGTTGTGTCTGTTAGCAAATTCAACCATCAGCCACATACCACCCCATTGCCTGTCCAGCACTTACCCGCAATCCTGCAGCCAGTCTTCAATTTTATTGATTGGATTCCCTAGAAAAGTCAGACACTAGATCACTGTGAGAACTGAACGAAATCAGACCTCCTCCCTGCAACTAATTCCATTCCACAAGTTTATTCTTACATAAGCTGCGTCATGAATCTTTTTTTCTACATAAAGCTTTTCTTTAAGATATGAGAGGAATACACCGTATATAAAAATAGTAGATATTTCTTCTCTCTCTCTGCTTCTTTTCTCCCTTCCTCCCAAGAACCTGGAAAGTGCCCAAGATGTCAGGCCCACTGCTGTCTTTTGAGAGTTCCTTTCCCACAAGGGTGGATCCTTCTCATTTAAAAAGAAAAAGAAAAAGAAAGACAATCTTGTTTTTGTGCTTTTTGCTTCCTACCAAATAAGCATTTATTTCCATCAGAATTTTTGTTTTACTCTTATGACTGTGGTCTCATCTGAACCTCAAAGAAGCTCTGAGAAGTGTAGGAAAGGTACTACTACTTCAATTGGACAAATAAGTCTTAGAGAGGTGAGTGACTTCCCAAAGGCCACACAGCTTGTTAGTGACAGCATTGTGGCCAGAGTCCAGGCATCCAGCTTGGGTGTGGTCTTGTTACACAGACAAAATAGAAACACCCCAAAGCATTCATAGAGAGCCCCCAGCCTCAGGTTCTTACAGAAGCTTCTCAGGATGATGCAAAAATGTGCCCTTCCCTTTTTCCTAATCTTATGCCTGTCTCTTTCTCACATAATTCATATTTCGTATTACTTTAGCTTTTCTCCTAAACATATTTAAACCAGTCAAAACAGTCCTCCCTGAGGGCCTGGCTAAACAAGGAACCTGTTCACACTCTGCAGACCTGGGCCTGCTGTCACCTTTTGCCGCCAGACAACATAGACGCCTGTCTGATGTTCGTCTCTTACCTTCTTGGAAAACGTCATCCAGGCTGGAAGGCTCAGGATCTGGGACATCCTGCAGGGCGGCGGCAGCCTCCTCTTCTAGGACCTGGGTCTGCCAGTTACGGCTCTGACGGAGCCAGGCCCGCCGTTTCTCCCAGGATGTGGGGCTCAGCACAGAGGCCTCCATGGCCCTGGCTCAGACTTCAGGGCCTCCCGTAACAGTAATGCCGTCCTAAGAGTTGAAAAACAGTGATACTCCCTCATCATATGCTCAGAAACCATCATGATGCTCAGGGTTGCCCCCTGAATTTTCCTGTGTCTGCCCAAAGGAGCTTGGTCTCTCTGACCATTCAAAAGCAGGGAGGACATGCCTAGCTCATTTTCTGTCTCTCCTGCAAAAAAGGAATGCTCTGAAAACTCTAAATACCGGGATAAGTCTTTCAAGCCAGAAAGTTTGAAAGCTTCAAACATCATGATTTAATGGACATTAAGAAAACTCTTCTGACTTAAAGAATCTCTATTTCTCAGGGTAATCGAAATGCTGTATTAGAAAACATTTTTTCTTTAATCCTTAAGAATGTTGTCTACCAGAATCTTCCATTATGACTAAAACATCTTTAAGTTTACAACTTATAAAATTCACTTCATTTTTTAATCCTCATCAAGACATATGAAAAAATTTAGGGTCTCAAAGGTAAAACAGATTTTCTAAGGTCCCACAACCAGGATGTCACTCCAACTATAGGAATTCTGGGTTTTGTTTGTTTAGTTTTTGTCTTGATTTTTTATGTTCCTGTTTTATATATTAGGAGTCCACATATGATTTCTCTCAGAAAAAAAAAAATACCCTGTGATTAAAAGCAGAGAGACACTGCCTTAAGCAATTAGCAGCCAGCACCTTCAGGATAATGACTTTCTAATTTGTCAACTTGTGCTTCTACCTAACTATGAATTTATTCCTCAGCTCATCAATGCAATTACTAATCCTGTCGATTCATATTTCATGTAACATTACCAAATATTGATGTATTTTTCCAAGAGACACAATGATGGCACTAGATACACATTCAAAGAGGAACAGAGGGGAAGAATCATTCAATTGTCCAAATAGAGCTTAAAAAAGCTTGAAGCTAATGTAATATTCATTGGCTCATACTCTGTCCTGCTGCCTCTCCCCAGCTGGCCACACTTGCATCCCACCACACTGAGCAAATAGGAGTGGGGCTGAAACTCTCCAGGTCTTATCCCCCTATTTCCTCGAGCTGCCATAAACAACATCATCTTAAGAGCTACACTTTTAACTATTGGAATAAAATAAAATAAAATAAAATAAAATAAAATAAGAAGACTACCAGTTTACAGAGACTTCTGTTCTTCCAACACTTAAAACCATTAGTGAGGCATCCAACAAAATAGGCATTAAAATAGCTTTTTTGAAAAGAACATCCTGAACATAAAATGCATTCCTAGGGCAGTAAAATTGTTTTTAGTGCCTCTGCTTGTTACAGGCAAAACATACCTAGGAAAAAATAATACATAATTACTGTTGTCTGATCTAACTTCCTTCACTTCAGGTCCAGTCCAAGACATATTTTTCTTCCAAGTGAGACGGTAGTTAGCACTATGAGACTTTGCTCTTTAACCCCGGGCACGTGGCTCTTTGTCTACTGCCTGTGCCTTTTAGAGAAAATTAAATCACTGAATGAAGTTAATGTCATAAAGAAGCCTCGAAGAGGAGTAGCAGAGATGACTTGCTATTCTTTGGTCAGAGCTGTCGTGAGGAGATAATGTCCATTAAATCGTGATGTTTGAAGCTTTCAAACTTACTGACTTGGAAGACTTACCCTGGTATTTAGAGCTTTCAGAGCATTTAATGCAACTGCCACTAGAATGACCTTAGGACAAGAATCTAAAAAGTCTTATCAGTTTGTTTACCTAGTCCTGTGATCCAAAATATTTAAGAGATTGGTTCCAAAACCCAGAGAAGAAAATCACAAAGGCCGACTTGTCTATTGTTTTTAATTCCCGAAGGAAATGGACCTCCCCTAGATCACTGGGAATCTTCAGCTCACAGAACATTTTTGGTCGTAGAACTCAAAAGGAAGGCAGGAAACCAGGAAGCCAGGAGGGCAGGAATGCAGAAGGGCAGGAGGGTAGGCAGAGAAGGAGGAAAAGAAGGAGGGAGGGAGGGAGGGAGGAATATCTGGATTTCATACTTTATTCTGCCACTTCAAATGGTATAACCTTGGAAAATTTCATCCTTTTATTGGATCTCAGTTTGTCAGTGAAAACATTATAGCCCTAACATTGATGCATCTAATACTACAAACTTCTGGATGTGCTATTTTATGTCAAGCCCCTATACTGCCTAGCACAATTCCAGAATCTCACTAACTGAAATGGAGGTGGGGGGTTTCAACGTCCTCTGTGATATGAATCTATTTTACATTCCTCCCACATCTTCAAAAATATATCGCAATAATATAGGCTAATTTCCTCTGCATCCCCTGAAAATACTTACCTCTTTTTTTAACCTCGGTTTTCTCAAATTCTTTCCCTCCTTCTCTTCATCTTCCTCAGTCTTTGCCACACTCACCCTGCAGTGTCCAGCTCTTAACCAGCGTCCTCCATGGAGCCATGCCTGGCTTCCACAGCCTACCTTAATCGCTTTCACTGGGCTCTTTCTCTGCTTGATTTTTTTCTTCTTAGGTCTTATCACTAACATACCTTACATTTTATTTATTTACCCAATTTATTGTTTACTCTTCTGATTAGAATACAAGCTCCACGAGGACAGAAATTTTGGGTCATTTACTGCTGTGTTTCTAATGCCTAAAACAGAATCTCACACATTGTAACCACTTAATGAATACTCATTGTCTAAACGAGTGAATGTTTAGAAGGTGCCCTTTCCTCATAGGAGCCCAGTGCCTTCCAGAGTCATCAGAGACACATGCAGGGAGATCGGCTGCAAAACAGTAACAATAAGCTGGTAACTATGTGCTTACTAAGCATGTAAAAATGTTGTGGGTTGAAAGTTGGAGAAAAGAGAGATGGTTATTCTAAGACTTGTTTTTATCCTAGAAGTTCCTACAATTGAGAACAAAGATTGCATTTTCTTGACTAATCCCTATTTACTCCCTGTCTCTATGTCCTATGTACAGAAGTTTTACTTAATGTTAATTCTTAAAGGAAAATGCCTATGAAGGCAGAATCCTTAATGCTTAAGAGTTCCAAAGAAAGGCTTACAAATAAATGGCAATTGCAGGTATGACAATAAAAAGACCAGACAGGTTAAGTGTTCACTGAGAATGACAGACATTTTCCTGGCAATTTGGGTGAGAATGTAATAATTTTTCTACTTGAAAAAGTAATAGTGATCTCAAGTCTTGAAGAAAAGACACAAGGTAGATCTAAGCTAATCTTCACAACTCTAGCACACAGGATAGAGGACTGGGAAATTGCATAAATAATTTTTTTCCCAATCTCAGCAACACTTGAATTGTAGAGCCCTGTCCATGGAGTGTTATATGGGAATACTATAAGTACAGCAATATCAAGAGGCAAGAAGAAATGGTAGTGTCTGGTTAGTGGTAATAGGAGGAAGCTGTACTGCTGGGAGACAAGAAACCGTTTTTTTTTTGTTTTTTTTTCTGTGGAAATCTGCAGGAAGCGGCAAATGATTATCAGACAAGCACATCAGCCATGAGAGTGTTAGACAGAATTAAAAAGCGAGTGCACACAGATGTCAAGATAGCAGCTTTGTAGGTCTTGGGGCCCCTTGTAATAGAGACAAAGATATGGAGATGTTTCCTCCAAATAAGTCATTCGAAAACGTACACTGATAATACAATGGAGTTTGGTGCAGTGAAAAGAAAACTGACTAGAAATCAGAAGACTTGGACATTTTTCTGACTTGTCCAATTAATTGACTTATGGCATGTCAGTTAGGCTTTTTTATTACGGTTTCAGTTTAATCCTCTAGGAAAGGGATTGGCTGGACTCAATGTTGTGTAAATTTACTTCCAGTACCAATGTTTATTAATTTATTTAGGTGAGTTTGAAATATGCATAGGAATAGTACCCATAAAAGAAAGTGCATTTATACAGTTTTTCCCATTAAAAAATGCGAAATGCTTCAGTGGTCTCTAGAGTTACTTCCCATATACCAAATTCCCTTTCAAATTAACACCAACATATGGAGCTCCTGCACATGCGACCTTCACATTGGATCCAGGAAAGTGGTGAGCCTGAACAGGAAGGCCATACAGGAACTTATACAGGGAGTCAGTCAGGTGCTACTCATTGACTCTCAACATTGCTTGAACTTTTCTGCTTTTTTGCTTTAGCTTATAGTTTCATCCCCCTTCCTCTCTAATCAAACGAATTCTTTCTACCCTTTAAGGGCCTACTTAAGTCATCTCCTTTCTCTGTCCTACCTGTAGCAACAAACACCCATGCCTGCGCCATATGCAACAAGACAGTAAGTGGCTACCTCTCTTGTCATCATTCACCACTACTTGTAACTTCTCCCCTAAACCCATCATAGAACATAGCACAGTACTTTGCAAAAGAAGGGACTCCATAAGTGCTGTACCTGCAGAGGAGCAAGAATCACCCTGGCACTGGGAAATTATCCCCAATTAGTATTCGTCATAGGACGGGTGCTCCTGACTGTCCTCATGGCCTTGGATCCTAATGTACATTTTTGCACAGTTAGTGAAGAGGAAAAAGGCTTGGAGCATAGTCTTTCCAGTCCTTTGTTGACATAACATAAGGTCACCCAAGTCTGACTTAATTTATGAAGCTTGAACTACCAAATTCTCCTATTTAAAAAAAATATTTTCCAGAGTCTTTCATTTCAAGTTTTTATTCACTTCTTCATCAAAATTTCCTTCTGGAGTTCATCTATCATCTCTCTTGATGCTGCTTATAGTATGTGATCATATTTAGTCTTCTCTATGAGGATAGAAATATAAAGCCTGTAGATATCTGTTCTCCAATTTTCCCATGAAACTAAGAAATTCCCACAGTGGTACTATTGCTTCTTGCCTGAATCCGCCCAAACCCTCATGTCCCCCCTCTGCTACCATTTCCAGCCTTTTGTTCTTTCCTCTTTTCTACATTTCTCTAGACGTTCATTCCATAAATCCTTCTCCACAATCTTTCAAGAGTTCTGGAATCTGGGTTCAGCCAAGTGGAGTAAGATATAATTCTTGTTCTGAGGATGCTATAGTTAAAAGCAGAAATTGTAGTAGATAGGATTGAGGTTAGACAGGAGAAATATCCTCCACTGGTTTAAGATGAGGGAGTTAAGAGCTGTGAAATGAGTATCTTCCAACAAAAATTATTATCAGAGGCAGTAACTGTAGCAGCGGCAGAAAACCTGTAGAGGTATGTCATAATTATGACTCGAAGAATATCGCCTATTTCTAGTCTCTGTTTTCCCAGGGAAGCAGGTGGGGATTCACTACACATTGACACGGGCAAGTCAAAGGTAGGTAGTCATAATAACTGAAATGTATAGAGTACTGCATATTTATCCATAAAACTTTCCTGTAAACTGCTTAACTTAATCCTGACAACCACTTTAGAGCTGATTATGGTTACCTGACCCTCACAGAGATACGTTATTTGTCCAAGGCCACATCCCTGTAGTGCTGAGATTTAAACTCAAGTTGGTCTGACTCCATGTTATATAGTTTTTCCACTGACATTAGAATAAGAAAATGGCCCAATGTCACCATCCAATGTAATTTGGGATTAAAAAAAAAGGAGAAGTTATTTTAGTAAATTCTCCATTTTGCATCTATGTAAGCTCTCCATCTTATAGTCTAGTAGAGAAGAAGCACCATAAACACAATGTAATTTATATTTGGTTCTGTGACAGTCTTAGTGCAGGAAGTGTTGCTTTGTTTGTGTTATTAGAATAATTTCCTTTCTGACTCCAGCTAGGTGATTATGAAGCAGTTTAGCCTTCCTCAGGCTTACAGAGTGGTTTTTTTGGCAAGGGCCCACCTAACTTCTAGTTGGGAGGAGAGAATCTGCCTGGAATTCCGCATTACTTTCAGGTTGTTGTGGCATTCAGAATATTTCATAACGGTTTGGGGCACCACAGAGCAATGAGAGCTGATACCATCACCGCCCTGTGGTGGGGCCCCGCCCGGTACATGGCTGATGTGGCCTTGAATTTCTGGGGCCTGTCTGGGGAGTCTTGAGGAAAGAGCTGGGATAGCTGGGCTGGTCATGGGCACTCAGAGGGCTTGGGAAAGTGGATAATTATCATTAGTAGACATATTTTAATATTTTAGCAACTATTAGCCTACCAGTTTGCACCTGACAAATATCAGCTCTGCTTACAGATACTTCACCATGGGGCAATTTTCAAGGGGCTCAGTAAGGATGACCAATGCTTCTTTTTCTTTAAAGTTCAGAGTGTTATTTAGAAATTAAAGAAAAGGAAAACTGTAGAAAGAGTTTGGGCCTTGGAATCAGAGTAAGCCTAATTTGGAATCATAGTTCTGTCTGCTTTCTGCATATTTGTCCTTGGTAACACTATCTTTTCTTCTATACCTAAGTTTCTTCTTTTTCTTTTTCTTTTGTCTTGCTGTGTTACTCAGGCTGGTCTTGAACACCTGGCCTCAAGCAATCCTCCCACCTTGGCCTCCCAAAGTGCTGGGATTATAGGTGTGAGCCACCACACCTAGTCTATACCTAATTTTCTTCATAAAATAGATACTGTGCCAAACTAGTTGGGTGATTGGCAGTTGTAATCAGGTAACACATATTAAGTCCCTGATGTATAAAGGTGGTGCTTAATAAGTGATAGATATGATTATGATTATGAATCTCCCCTCAGTCTAAGATGTTCACTAAAGTTGAAACATCTTGAGGAATAAGGAAGGAAAGAAGGAAGGAAGAAGGTGAGAATTGCAGGGTACAGTTGACAGTATAAAATCAAGATGGTGAAAAAGATTTTTTAAATCTGTGTTAAGCAGAGATAAAAAGTAAGCAATGAAAAGTCTTTCTTTCCTGGGGCCTGTCCTAGGGTGGGGGGAGGGGGGAGAGATAGCATTAGGAGATGTACCTAATGTAACTGACGAGTTAACGGGTGCAGCACACCAACATGGCACATGTATACATATGTAACAAACCTGCACATTGTGCACGTGTACCCTAGAACTTAAAGTATAATATATTAAAAAAAAAAAGTCTTTCTTTCTTACCTAATTCCCAAAGGGACCAGAGAGATTACCTAATCCTGTTCACTCATTTTGTAGTTGAGGAAACTGAAGAGAGAGAGAAAGGAGGGAGAAAGAGAGAGAGAGAGGGAGGGAGAAGCAGGCTTGCCTGGAGTCACAAAGAATATTAGTGGTTTTAAATGGGAACCAAACTCACAAGTTCTGAGTTCCAGATGCATGCTTTCTTCCTTTATATCATACAGCCTTCCTCCTGCCACACTTGGTTTCCAAGGCCCAGTCCCAGGTTTGCCTTTAGTGCTCTAGGGGACATGTATGAGACAGACCTCTCTTCTCTTCTGTCTGTTTTGTACCTATGCCCCAAGCAGTGCCTGTGAGTTGAGACTGAGAGTGAGAACCAGTGTGGGAGGAGAGAAGAAGGAAATGGGGTTTCCATGATGTGGCCCATAAGACCTTCTGCATCCACAGCCAAGATATACATCATTACCATCGCAGAGCTGCGGGAAATCCCAGAGTAGCTAACATTTCTCTGTTCATGAACTGGACAAACTCCACCTCAACCCAGGTGGATTGTCCCCCATTTGACATACCCCAATCTGCAACAAATTCTCACATTCCTTCATAGAACTGTCTTCTAGCTCCTAACCCTCTTCCATGTCACTCAGGTTGGAAGATCATCAGAACAAGAATTTCCCTGAGTATAATATTTGAGCATTCTGAGACTTCTATTGTCTAAGGAGCAGTTCAATCTGTTCGGGGAAAAGGAGAGATGTTACTTGGTAAATAACAGAAAGAAAAAATGCCCATTAGTCAATAGAACTCCTATTCCCCTCCCTTTTCATACTCTTTCTCCCACAAATAAGCGTAGCTGAATAAATACTGAAAGAAGACCATCTAAGACCTTTTTCCTCTCCTTCCCTTTCTTCCTTACTTCCACTTTTAGGATATGAATTTTAAGAAAGGCTTGTATAATTGCTACAGGAAATATTAAAGTTGTGGATTTGGAAAAAAAATTAATCGCTTGTTCTCAATGTAGGGAGACATCAAATATCTTCATTTGAATGGGCAATAAAGACATCAAGAATAAGAAACAGCAGTTTATCTGAGCTGATTTATAGATGGCTTCATCAAGAGAAAGTAGGGAGAATGAGCAGATTTCTCAACCATTGTGTTAGCTCTGTGAATTCGTATCTTTAATTCTTCAGTTTCATTTCCTTGGTAATAAGCTCTGTCCTGCATATATTCATTTTTCTTCTTTCCTGCTTTTCTTTTTCAATATCTACACACTCTCTTCTCCTCGTCCCTCTACTTATTTGACTGAACTCTTTTCTCAATCTGAAATCTGTGTTTAGGCCATTCTGCATCAGGCCTGGGTGTTGTAAGGCACACAGTACTGTGGGTACTGGAATATCCACTTTGGTCTTGTGCCTTAGGTGGAAAAGAGAACAGTTGTCAGTTTGCAGGTGGAAATAAACGTGTGATCTTTTCCCCTTACTGTAGCCCAGAAGGAATCTTGTAAGTCACAGCATTGGCTGAGACGAGACCTCCATACTAGAATCCAAATCAAACATTGAACTGAAAATGACGGTTGGGGCTTCATGTTCACTACATAATGCTGAATCGCAGGGTTCCATCTTAATTTTCAAAAAACCCAAGAGTTATGAGAACATGTTGGTAGCGTGGTTGTAAATGGTTTCTAAACACCCTGGGGTGCATGCGAATAACTCAGATGTTAAATTGCTTTCTATCCCTTCTGCTATATCTTCAGCTTGTTATTTCTGATAATAGTCCAAGTAGAGACAGACAATAAACCTGACTTCCCTTCTTCCTACTAACACTTCATGCTGCAAGACAATATTGTGAGATCTTTATCTCTAATCACTCAGCTGAACAACTATTGAGTCTGATACTTGGACACACAAGTTGAAGGTTCCTACCTCCAACCTCCCATCCTAGGTACTGCCCTGCACCATCTAGAAAGTCTCCTTACCTCTCTACTCAGGACCATTTGTGGTATACAGAGTCACTAGTACTTCCCTGGATATCTCCTGTAAATGCTCACAGTCTTGTCAAATCACTTCTGTGGAACTCTCCTTTCTTGTCCTTGCCCTGCCCTGGGGACCCACCCTTTTTCTTCCACCCACTGGTGAGCTTAGTGGCACAGAAGGGGCATGGGAAAACCCCAGGGTGGAGGATCTTTCCACTCCTCCATCTACCCCAA
The DNA here is from genome assembly GCF_000001405.40 of Homo sapiens. Classification (NCBI taxonomy): domain Eukaryota; kingdom Metazoa; phylum Chordata; class Mammalia; order Primates; family Hominidae; genus Homo; species Homo sapiens. The sequence continues at coordinate 54,983,796 of NC_000012.12, forward strand.
AACTCATGTAGGTGGTGATATGCTCTGCCTGCTACCACTGGGGCAAGGGGTGTTGGAGGAGCATGAAGCCCCCAATATTATGTAGGTCACTGAGAAGGCAACACATCCATCTATCTATCTTTGAGATGTGAACCCTGAAATCTGGTCCTGATGGTGGCTATCCATCTATCTTGAGCCTCCCGGTGAATTTGACCTTACCTCACTCAAGTGTGTACATCCTCCCTCGTAGCTGACCTCAATATATCTTGCTGCAGTTTATCTCAACAAGTTTCTTCTACAGCTTCTGAAGAAAGAGGTCATACCCACAGAAAGCAAAGTTGATTTCAGCCAGGTACTCTCAATGGTTGGAGCTATGGACACTAGAGTAGGGCCTGAAATGAAACCGGGAAACTTCTTCCTTGAGAACTTTTCGATGTTATAATCAGATGGAAATTGCAGCAACAATGAGTTCAGCAAGACACAGAGAAGAACTTTGCAGGTGAGAAAGGTGAAAAAAAATTCCTAAAATGTTATTCAAGTCATCAAAGAGACCCAAGTTTTGAGAATCTAGAAAGATTACCTCTCTGATAATAAAGAGAAAACAAACAAACGAAAGCAAAAGGGCACCCAGCATCGTTCTCCTAGGCATAATGATGGATGCTTTTAAGGTTGAAGTAAGAGTGGTGGGAGATTTTCTCTTGATTTTCCCTTGACTTGACAGCCTGATTTTTCTCTGACATGTTTCCTTCTTTCTCCTAGCATCACCCTAAATCAGTACAGCCTTGAAACTGAGATAAAGGCTGTGCTTACCTGTCTGCTGGTAGAAAGCTGAGTTTGAGGCAAAGCAGTTGTCGAAGCTGGGCCGAGGCCTTCACAGGTGTGGGCACAGAGGTGAAGCAAGTGAGAAAGTATCATGTTGTAGATTATGCCTTTCTCCCTGAACTCATTCAACTGCTGTTGCCTGCTCAAAAGGGGAAGCGGAAATGAGAACACACCACACACACACACATCCACACATGTAGATGCAGTCCCCGCCTCCTGGCCCAGCCACATCCTTTGCTCCGGCTCAGGAGACTGAGCGAAGGACAAACCATCCGTAGACACGGTGCTCACAACTAGGAAGACCTTCCTGCCCCAGAGCTGCCTCTGTCTTTCCAGAAAAACAGGAGATCTTTTCCTATTAAGGCAAAGGTACAGTCCATTTAAAGAGGTGTGTGCAGGAGTCTTCCTACCATATAACTAGAATTCCACTGCTGCAGATAAATCCTTCTGTCCTCAGGAGAGCTGTCTGAAAATGGGAAAGCTCTCTCTCATAAATGATCTGGCGTTTATCTCAGAGAAGAAGTTTCCAGTCGTATCACACACTTGAGAGGGCTCTGAGCCAGTCGCTCTGTGTTGATAACTTTCATACTCTGGTAAATTCCCCCGAAGCTTGTTTTTGAATACTGACTACTTTTTTTTTCTGTTAGTTTCTTAACTTTGTTTTATGTTCAAACCACTTCAAAGTTTTTGTTTTTGTAGTAAATGACTGCTTTCCCCAACGTTTTCAAAGCTGAACTTTTAAAATCGGTTACACCCTGAAGATGTCTTCAGTTTATTGGTTTTCAGTTTGGAAAAGGCTTGTTGAACTCTAAAAGGTTTCTCCCAGGCCTCAATCACTTTCACCCACCGGGAGCATCCAGCACTGCTAACTATCCCTCCTCGCTTCTCCAGTATCTCTGAACACTCTTCTCCGTAGGATGCTGCTGCATTTTGGATATCTTCTTTCTGTCTCTCTCCTGATTCTACTGTTTCCTTCTTTAAATCATTTATTTATGAATGTATATCACAATATTTATTCTACAAGGCACTCCTCTAATGTGTTAATTGTGACTGATTTTCACATGTTCATTACCTTCTTTCTGATTTTTTGGCTATAGGTATAGTTAGATTTTTTTTTTACCATGTTTCTAAATTCCATTTCCAATCATCAATGGGACAACTCCATTGAGTATCCATAGTATAGCTATAATATGGTAGAAATAATCCTAAATAAAATTCTTGCTTGGCAAATTAAGTTCTCAAAACATTATTTTCTTCAAGTATAATGTGAGGAAAATAACAATTCTCTCTGTTTCTCACTCAACCCTTCTCCCACGCTATTCCTTTTACGTAGGCATGAAAATATCTAACATATTTTCTCAGGACATAGTAGATGCTAAATATGTGCTTCTCTGAGAATTAGCTTCACAGTCAACAAGTAAAATGCTAAATCCAACACGCCCTAATTCTCTTTATTTACTATTCTTTTCCGTACAAATTAACTATAAAAGCTGAACTAATGGAAACTTAACAACTCTTTTAAATCCTAAGTTTCTAGAATTCAATGTTTTCCTTAACAGTTGTTTTCCAATATGTTTGGGAAATGGAGAATATAACTTCGGTAGGGAGTTTGGAAATATGTGAGAGAGATTTAATTTTCAAAGAAATGGGAAGCTGATACTGGTATTTAGTACCTGAGGGCCAATGATGATAAGTGCTTTTGAAGGGATGGGACTCTTCAGTATAAGGAATAATTGTCCTGGCCCAAATGTCAACATTTTGTTAACATTGATAGTTTGATGGTTAGGAGAGCAGGCTTTAGAGTGAAGCTCTGGCATCAAGTAGCTCTGTAGTCTTGGATACGTTAACATCTCTAGGTCTCAGTTTGTTAGCTGCTAAATGGGGATAACCTTACAGGAGTGGTTGTAGAGCTATAAGAATAAAGGAATACAGAGTATTCAGTCCAGCGCCTACCTTACAGCAAATGCTCAAGAAATTGCAGCTATTTTTAAGACTCTTGAAATATAATAGTTTCTTTTAACTTTTATTTTAAGTTCAGTGGTACATGTGCAAGTTTGTTACATAGGTAAACTCCTGTCATAGGGGTTTGTTGTACAGATTATTTCATCACCCAGGTATTAAGCCTAGTACCCAATAGGTATTTGTTTTGATCCTCTCCCTCCTTCCACCCTCTACCCTCCCATAGGCCCCAGTGTGTGTTGTTTCCCTCTATGTGTCCATGTGTTCTCATCATTTAGCTCCCACTTATAGGTGAGAACATGCGGTATTTGGTTTTCTGTTCCTGTGTTAGTTTGCTAAGGATAATGGCCTCCAGCTCCATCCATGTTGCTGCAAAGGACATGATCTCATTCTTTTTTATGGCTGCATAGTATTCCATGGTGTATATGTGCCACATTTTCTTTATCCAGTCTATCATCACTGGGCATTTGGGTTGATTCCATGTCTTTGCTATTGTGAATAGTGTTGCAGCAAACATACATGTGCTCGTGTCTTTATAACAGAATGATTTATATTCCTCCAGGTATATACTCGGTAATGGGATTGCTGAGTCTAAAGATATTTCTGTTTTTAGGTCTTTGAGCAATCGCCACATTGTCTTCCACAAGGGTTGAACTAATTTACACTCCCGCCAACAGTGTATAAACATTCCTTTTCCTCTGCCACCTCGCCAACATCTTTTATTTTTTGACTTTTTAATAATAGCCATTCTGAGTAGTGTGAGATGGTATCTCATTGTGGTTTTGATTTGCATGAAATATAATATTTTCAGTTTCTGCAGAATACTATGTCTATCTGTCAAAATTACCTCACTCATTAAAGATACCATTTCACAAGCAATTGCTAGAGATTTTTTTGTTAATAAAAAAGATGTATTAATTTTTGGTTTTTATTTATATTTATTCTTAATTTTTATGAGTACATATGTAGGTTTATATGTTTATAGTATTTGTGATTTATTTTTTGAAAGAAATATTTTTCTCTTCTACAAGCAGCTTCTGAAAGACAAAGATGAAGACTATATGATTCCTAGGAGGAGGAGGCGGCCCAGGGTATTCCTCTGTTTATCTTCTTTCTCAGTTGTATAGTCTTTCTCTTTCTTTCTTTGTTTCTTTCCTTCTTTCCCTTCCTTCCTTCCATTCCTTTTCCTTCCTTCCTTCCTTCCTTCCTTCTTTCCTTCCTTCCCTCCTTTCCTCCTTCCCCTTTCTCTTTTTTCCCTCTCACCTGCCCTTCCCACCCTTTGAAAACATTGTCTCTATATCTTTGGCACCATGAACTTCTCTGAGCATATATTCCAGGTGCTTCATGAAAACAAAATGACTTGTTCTTTTTATACGAGACGCAGTAGTTCAGGGTTTCTGAAGGTTTTTTTGTGAGCTTGTTCATTTTTTTTCCCTTGGTTAAAAATAAAAACCCTTATGCTAACTGAGATAATGAATTAGCTCTCTACTGCCTATGTGATTCAGCAGTTTGGTGCCTCATGATAGGGCCTATTTGTCATTCCATGGCTCCCTCTCTTGTGTTTTATAGAATTTAGTAAAAACCCTGAACTAGGGGTAAAAGAGCAATCTGAGTTTAAAACTATACTAGTTACTTAATTTCACTGGATATCGGTATCACCTTCTGACAGAGAAATATTTTCTAAGATCCTCTTGGCTTTAGATGTCAGTAACACCTGTACAGACTATTTTTCTCTACCCTTTTATAACTGCATGTAGTTTATTATGGAAAATGAAAATATTAAGTGATATTTGGTAAGAAATTATTATAAAGGTATTAGAAAAAGTATTTTGAAAGACTCTTTTCCATTGAAAAGCCAAGTAAATATTGCTTTTGAATAATATTATCCTCTAGACATGTAACCTGATAACACTGATAAATAAGAACAATTTCTGAACACTGATGAGCCCATCAAACAGATGGGCTGTAGTGAGTATAAGTTCTGGAGCTGCAGAACTACAGGCTGAGCTGGCAGGTTGCCCAGACCTGGGGCAGAGCCAGGACAGCTGTCCATAGAGGCTGTCCCAAGACAGAGAAGCTGCTGCTCAGAGCCACTGCTCTGGGCCGAGCAGCTGGGCCCCTCTGCCCAGGCCCAGATGCAAATCATCTGCCTCCATTTCAGCTCTCAACCTTCTTCTTTCTCAGATCCTGGGGTTTGCAAATGCCATTTTTGTTTTGTTTTGTTTGGCTGTTTTGTTTTTTTTGCTAAGAGTCTGTTCCTCCAAATTGCTGATGTGGGAATTTGAGTGACTTTGTCTCCTTCCTGTACCAAAGGCTCAAAAGTAGAAAGAGAGAGTGGATAGAATTGTAGGGGAGAGAGCAGTGATTTAACTCACCAAGGATTTTCTGAACTTTCTCCAGGCAGAAAAGTGTCCACCAAGGTCATCTTGTTCTTTTCTCTGCTTCTATGTTCTGGTTGTTAAGGATACAAACAAATGGGATTCTCTAACTTTTCTAACCTACCCATTCTACTAAATTACTCCACTCAATGCCAGAAAGTTCTTCCTTCTGTCTGGCTGTATCTTCCCTCTGTAAGAGTCCAGCAAAACAGAAGAGCAATCCATCTCAGGCCTCTGCAGAGGGTGTTCTTTCAGTGATCTGGATTGTAATTCTACCCAAAATGTATTTTATTGGATACCTTCTGAGTGTCAGAAATGAGATAGATCTGGGGAAGGGACTGAGGGGAGTATAGAAGGAGAGGAAGATATACAAGGGGGAGAAACAGTATCAAATACTGTCCCTTAGAGGGCTTATTTTCTAGTATGATCAAGTAATTTGGGGAAATACAGGGTTAACAAAAGACAAACATGTTCCTTTAAGGCAGTGGTCCCCAACCTTTTGGCATCAAGGACTGGTTTCATGGAAGACAATTTTTCCATGGGAGCAGGGTGAGGGGGAGGGTTTGGCGATGAAACTGTTCCACTTCAGATGATCATGCCTGCCACTCACCTTCCTGCTGTGAGGCCAGGTTCCTAACAGGCAACCAAACTGTGCTGGTCTGTGGTCCAGGGGTTGAGGCCCCCTGCTTTAAGGCATAACTTCTTGAGGCTTTTAATAGATTAACATGAATTGTGACTCTCCTAGAAGGAGAAAGTTTTGTATTTCCCAAATGTATTGGCCTATGGATTCCCCTGCCCTCCCCTCCCCTCCCCTCTCCTTCCCTACCCTTCCCTTATCTTTCCTTCCTTCCTTGGAACATCCCAAGGAAATTATTTTGGAAAAGTTTTCTTCCACTACAGCCACTTCTCTGGATTAAATCGTGACATTAACATCTTTGATTATATTCAGATGGCTATGAACACAGGATTGAATTCTCAGTGAGCCTATGTTTCATCTTTCTTTTGATCAAGCCCATTTAACTCAGAATCACAGGTCTTAATTGAGTTCTTCTGTGTGATTTGCATGGTGAGTGCTCAGTGTTTTGTAAGCCCATGGAGGAGGACAGAGCCTGGATGTGGGTGTAAGTGCAGTGGAGGAGGAGAGATCTGAGGGTTTCATAGGATGGGAGGCAGGAGACTTTCAGGGCTAGAGAGAGATCTATCAAGAAAAATCTCATGGACTTGACAAACAAGAAATGTGGAAGAGTTTTAAAACTTGATCTCTCTTCCCAAAAGAAAAGAGGGCTTCCAGCAGGGTTCCTCCCTACACCTGGGACCTGGTACAAAGTAAACACTTATAGCAACGGTATAATTATTGATGGGGAAAGAAAGAAGAGGAGGAGTGAAAAGCAGTCAAAATTTTTAGATGATAGAGGATTTAAGGTGGGTTGAGCTATTACCTTAGTATGTTCATCTGCTACAACAGAGAAAATCCCATAAAATGGGTGATTTACAAACAACAGTAATTTATTTCTGGCAGTTCTGGAGAGAAGTCCAAAATCAAGGTGCTGGCGGATTTGGTGTCTGGTGAGAGCCTACTTCCTAAGTCATAGATACCTGTCTTCTCACTGTGTCCTCATGTGATGGGAAGGGAGAGCTAGCTCTCTGGGGTCTCTCTTATAAGGCCCTAATCCTGATCGTGAGGGCTCTGCTCTCCTGACCTAATCATTTCACCAAAATGCCACCTCATGATACCATCACCTTGGGGGTTAAAGTTTCAACATATGAATTTGGGGGGCTGGCATGAACATTCAGACTATAGCAACCTTGGAGAAACCATGAAGGGAGCATCAGGGGTTAGTGACTTCATGGATTTGGGGAACATTTAAAACCAGGTTCTTCAGACCCAACATTCTAAAGCCTTGAAAAGGATAGGCATCAAAAGACACAATAGCAGGTAAAATTCGGGCGTTGTTGTAGATTTGGTATAAGGGAAGAATAGGTAGGGTGAATGAATATGGGGTTAGAGATTAGAGGTAGAACATGAAAACATGGGTTATTGTGAGAAAGGGGCAGGAGGTCACAGATTGGAGGAAGGGGCAGATTTTTTTTTAAGAGCCTAGGTTCTTCTCTCACCTCCACAAAGGGGAGGCGCTGAAGTCTGAGGCCACTCTACCAAAGTCAGACTGCACTCGCTGTCCACAGGAGACTGGAGACCCTGGTGCGCGGTGGACACAGGTCAAAGCAGAAGAGGGTGTGGGGCAGAACCCAGCAATGAACTGCAGAACGATAGACCAAGGTTTCTGGAAAGATGTTAAGTGTTTCCTCAGTGTAGTGTCAGTTAATCAGAGGAAATGGGACAACTGCGGCCTTCTGATCAGAGGGATATCTGCAGGTGGCGAGATGGTCCATGTGGCACCCCAGAGTATGTTCCGCGCGCGCAGGAGTGTCAGATCCAAGGAGAGTTCTCTCTGTTAGGTTTGAGAAAGAGTAGGAGGAAGAGGTGGAGGAGGAAAAGAGAGAAGAGACACTGAATCAGAGAGAAGCAGAGAGAGAATCTGAGGGAAATGATTTACATGCAAGAGAAAGTGAAACTGAAGTGTAACCACCCACCCAAACTGCAAAAGGCAACTTCTCTTGTCCACCCACTGGAGGAAACATCTCATCTTTCTCAGGCACCTGGCCTGGCAACACTCATCCTGCTCCCATAGCCTGTCCTGCCTCCCTTAGAAGGTAGGAACAACTGAGAAAGTGGGAGTGAAGGAGATTTAAATGACTTAAAGTGCTCCACAGCTACATATTATAATTTTCCCTATACTTACACTGAACCTGTCCCTTTTGACCTATGCGTTAAGGAGTGAGAAGTAAAAAATCCTGTCCTTTAGGCCTTACTCTGCTTCTTTTCTGGGTTTCAGAGTCCTTAAATGTAAAATGAGGAAGTAAAAATAAACTGTCTTTAGGGTTCTTCCCAGTGTAATGTTTTATATTTCTAATAATACTATCATTTAATGAGTGAATACTCTGCGAAAAATGACTAATATATCTTAACTTGAATCCTGAAAACAATCTCAAAAGTGGATATTGTGATCCATAGATGAATTAAGTAAGATTGTGTCTCTTTCTGACTTTTCCCACCCTGCAAACCTCTGTCTTCACAGATGAACCCCCAACCTGTTACACAGTCATACATCACTTAGTGACGGGGACATGCTCTGAGAAATGCGTCCTTGTGTGAACATCATAGAGTGCATTTACACAAACCCGGATGGTATAGCCTACTGCACGCCTTGGCTATATGATGCAATCTATTCCTCCTCGGCTTCAAATCTGGACAGCATGTTACTGTACTGAATGCTGTAGGCAATTGGAACACAGTGGGAAGTGTTTGTAGCTCTTAACACATCTTAACATAGAAACAGTACAATAAAAATATAGTATAAGAGATAAAAAATGGTACACCTGTATAGGACACTTACCATGAATGTGGCTTGTAGAACTCGAAGTTGCTCTGGGTGAGTGAGTGAGTGGGTGCAGGTGACCGTGAAGGCCTAGGACATTACTGTACATCACTGTAGACTCTATAAACACTGGACACTTAAGCTACACTAAACTTACTTAAAAATATTTTTCTCTCTTCATTAATAAATTAACCTTAACTTACTGTAATTTTTTTATTTTATACAATTTTAAATTTTTGACTTTTTTGTTAATAACACTTAGCTGAAAACACACATTGTACAGCTGTACAAAAATATTTTATTTATATCCTTATTTGATAAGCTTTTTTAATTTTTAAATTATTTTATTTTACTTTTTAAACTTTTTAAAAAAATTATGACACAAATACACACATTACTTTTGGCCCACACAGGGTCAAGATAATCAATATCACTGGCTTGCACCTCCACATCTTATCCCACTGGAAGGTCTTCAGGGGCATGGAGCTGTCATCTCCCTATGAGGACGATGCCTTCTGGAAGAGGTCCTGAAGGACCTGCCTAAGGCTGCTTTACAGTTCACTTTTTAAACAAGTAGAAGTAGTGCACTGTAAGACAACAATAAAAAGTATAGTGCAGTAAACACATAAACTACATAAACTATACATAACTATACATAAACTATACATAAAAGTATAGTGCAGTTTAGTATATGTATAGGTACAGAGCACTATACATAAAAGTATAATGCAGTAAATACATAAACTACATACAAAAACTGTTACTCCAGTAACAGTTGTTTATTATCATTATTAAATATGTACTATACGTAGATGTATGTACTCTACTTTTATATGACTGGCACGCAGTGTTTGTTTACACGAGCAATCAACACAAACATGCAAGTAAACGTGAGTAATGCATTGTGCTACCACATTACCATGGCTACGACGTCACTAGGTGATAGGAATTTTCCAGCTCCATTATAATCTTACGAGACTGTGGTATATGCGGTCCATCCTTGATCAGAATATTGTTATGCAGCTCAAGACTGTACTCCTAATGACCACCAGGTGGCAGCCTATACCCATTCTTTAATCTCACAGTTACATAGGTGGAAATCTCAGATTAGCCCACTGCCCAGGAGGTTGTCTAACCCAGACTGATGAATTAACCCAATTATGGAGTATCTGGACAACCCCTGTTTGTCTGATTTGTATCACAGGAGATTGAACGAATTTAGGAGCTGAATAAGCAATCGAAGATTTCTTCCTTTTATTTTTTTGGATTTCTTTTTCGTCTTTGGAGACAGGGTCTCCCCAGGGCCCAGGCTGGAGTGCAGTGGCACAGTGATGGCTCACTGCTGCTTCGACCTCCTGGGCTCCAAAGATCTTCCAACCTCAGCCTCTCGAGTAGCTGGGACTAGGCACCACCACCATGCCTGGCTAATTTTTTTGTAGAGACAGGATCTTACTTAGTTGCCCAGGCTGGTCTCAAACTCCTGGGCTCAAGCAATTCTCCCCCCTCAGCCTCCCAAAGTGCTGGGATTACAGGTATGAACTACCACCATGCCCGGCCAGATTGCTCATTTTAAATTAAACAGTTTTCAGGGTTGAATAGAATTTCAAAAGGTTAAGGAGTAAAAAGTAGTCTGTACTCACAGAGAGATTTGAGTGAGCATAAATACCAAGATGGAAAAGTATAGGGTATGTTTGGGAAAAATCAAGTAGCTCAGCATGGCTATACTGTGAGTTGTGTTATGAGAAAGAGTGAGTGGAACCTAAGATAATTAACCTAAATTAAGTTTAGATCTAAGAAATCTTGAATACCATATTTTGGGTTATGAAATTTGTTTTAACTTTAACAGTTTTCCTTTGAAATAGAGAACTTCTGTACACCTGTCACTCTGACTTAAAATTGTTAATATTTTGCTTTATTATAATGTATTTTTTCCCAACATTTTGAGAATCAGTTGTAGATATTATGCCCCTTTGCCTCTTAAAATTAAAGACAATAATTTTCATAACTATAGTATAATTATCAAAATTTTAAAAATAACATTGATACAATCATCTAGTTTACAGACTTTATTGTTTTCCAAATAATATGTAGGATCACACACTGCATATAGTTTTCATGTCTCTTTTGTCTCCTTAAATCTGAAATTCTTTCTCTACTTTTCTTTATCTTTCATGGAAATTGAATTTTTTTCCTTTCCAATTTTTGTTTTAGGTTCAGGGGTACATGTTACATGGGTAAATTGGGTGTTGCGGGGTTTGCTGTACACATTCTTTCATCACCCAGGTAATGAGCATAGTACCTAATGGGTAGTTTTCTGATCCTCACCCTCCTCCCACTCATTACCCTCAAGTAGACCCAAAGTTGCTTCCTGCTTTGTGTCCATGGTGTACTTGATGTTGATATTTTTAAAGAGTATAGTCCTTCTATTCTGTAGAGCATCTCTCAATTTGATTTGTCTGCAGTTCATGTGATTCAATCTGCGTTAGACAATTTTGTCAGGATTACTACATGTGATGATGTCTCCCCAGTGCATCACATCAGGAAGTATGTAGTATCAGTTTTCCTATTATTGGTAATATAATGTGGTATTCTTTTTTTCCACTGTAAATTTATAATTTTCCTTTTTAAATTAAAAAGTACTTTTAAATATTTTCAAACTATGTCAATATCCTATTCCTTATTAAGCTTTCAACTCTCACCTACTAGTTTTGGTATTTTATCTTCTTAAGAGTTGGGAGTCATCAAAAATATATTGAGCTGGATAGGATAAAATCAGAACCATGTTTAGAAATGTCACCCTAGAAACTGTGAGTGTGTGATTTTACTATCTTCAACTCTGACACATTGTAGACCTTCCTTTTTTTTTTTTTTTTTTTTTTGGTTTGTTTTATTTTTTGAGATGGAATCTCGCTCTGGCTCCTAGGCTAGAGTACAGTGGTGCGATCTCAGCTCACTGCAACCTGTGCTTCCTGGGTTCAAGCAAATCTCCTGCCTCAGCCTTCCGAGTAGCTGGGATTACAGGCGCCTGCCACCACACCCAACTAATTTTTGTATTTTTAGTAGAAACGGGGTCTCACCATGTTGGCCAGGCTGGTCTCGAACTCCTGACCTCAAGTGATCTGTCCGCCTCAGCCTCTCAAAGTGCTGGGATTACAGGTGTGAGCCACCGCACCCAGCCTAGGCCTTCCTTTTGTCTGGGACTCTGGTACCCAAGTTCTGACCTGCTCCAGGTAATCTTTTAACCTTGAGTCTAGCACATACGAATCTTGGTAGATTGGTGATGTCCTCCTATCAGGCCAGTGCAGCCCAGGCTCAGATCACACATTTTGGATGGATTTGTTCCTTTGGGCAGATTCCCTTGTGCAAGGAACAACCAGCACAATCATAAGTGCAGAGACCTAACAGCTCTGGATTAAATTTGGAAAACATTAGAATATGGGAGAAAAGAAACATACATTAAGCTCTTCCAACTCACCCATCTCTCTTCTGGTTGTTTCTCTGTACATCCTCTCGTGTAAATCTCACAGCAACCCTTCAAGGCAGGCACTAGCATTCCAATTATACAGATGAAGAAACTGAGGTTCAGGAGTCTCTGTAGAAGGCCACGATTTAAAGCTTGATGTCTCTGATTCTGAAACCTATATGCATTATATACGCTACTTTATAATCCATTGATTGCAGTGACAATACTAACATTGGCTTGTCACTGACATACCAGCTTTTTAAATACACATTTTCCTCACATTCTCATGACAAGTTGTGGGAAATGGAGAGCAGATGCCAATTGTCTCATTTGACAGATGAAAATCAATGCCCACACAGCTAGTGGGAAAATCAAGCCTTTTGACTTTTAGTCAAGAGATCTGTGTAATTTTATCATGTGCCCTTTTAGGGCACGTGTGGATTTAGAGGAGTGAGGGAGAAGAGATAAGGAGAGAAATCTGTAGGGGTGGAGGACATCAGCAGGAGGAAATCTGTACAATCAAGATGGTTTCCTGAACGTGAGCTGTGGGGCTGCCCAGTGATGCCCGCAGGCTTCAGGATGCAGGACACATCTGCACCCCTGGTTCCTCTTGCCAGAGCCCAGGAGATTGGCAGGAACCCTAGGGAAGACCCAGTTCTGGGTGCAGGGCAGATGCTGAGCAGCTGAGCAAGCAGAACTCTGCAGGCGGGCGTTGGGGGTTCTCCTCTAGCTAACTTGGGTTTCCAGAGGCCTGAGAGCACAGCTTCCATATCTTCCTCCTTTGGGAGGAGGAAAGCTGGCTTCTCTTGCCTCTGACTCCCAGTGGTTCTCAAGGCCCCAGTGGGAGGTATTTGCCTGGGAAAAACAGAGCTGAAAGAGCAACAGAACCTCAAAGTATGAAGGAAAAGGAGAAACTGGCTTCTCCTCTGCTTTTTCTTAGAAGACAAGAGGCAGTTAGGGTAGGGCCAGAATGATTTTGCGAGTCCTTGAAGGGGAGAGGAAAGGTTAAAAGCCACAGGGAAAATTAACTCTGAGGGTAAAGAAAAGGATCCCCAGTGTATCCCTACATGTCTACCTACTCTCTGCAATAACAGACAGACATCTGAGTGGGACTGGCTTATGTTTGTCATAAAGAAAGATTTCTATGGATCTCCAAGATTTTCTGACAACGGGAGGGATGCGATGATGCCTGGAGGGGCCGTGTGTTCCATAGGGAGGCAGTGACTAGAGAATGGCCTGTCTGGGTTTGACTCCCTGCTCTGTCATTAACCTGCTATTTGAATTTGGGCAAGTTACACATCCTTGAAGCCTTCGCCTTCTCATGTAACACGAGACGATCATAGTGGCGACCTCAAAGTGATGTGCAAGTGAAATGAGGGAGTATGTAAAGCTTAGTATATCATCTAGTACTTAAGAAAGGAGCAGAGACTTTAGCTGTTGTCACATTTGTCACTTACAGTGAAAGAGCATTGGGTTGAGGGTGAGGAAACCTGGTTTCTATTTGTTTCTTTCTGTATATCCAGCTCTTTCCTCGGCAAACAATATCTTCTTCTTTTCCCCCATATGTCCTCTGGTAAAGAGACAGTATTGCATAAGATCCAAATTCTATTTTAACTTCTGATAGTAACTCACATTTTGAGCAAATGCAAATTACTTTACCACTCTGAGCCTCAGTTTCCCCATATATAAATGGAGAGGATAATAGCTATTTGGAGTTGTGGATTATTAGCACAGTGTTTAGAGTCAGACAAGCCTGGATTTGAATCATACCTTCAAAACTTACTAGCTATGTGACTGTGGGCATTTTACTTAAAGTCTCTGAGCCTCAGTTTCCTCAATTGTTACATGAGGATTATAACACCTAACACTTTTGTTGAGCTTGGCAAGGACTACTTAAGACAGTAAGTGTAAGCTGCTTAACCTAGAGCCCAGCTGAAAGTAAGTACCCTGGCAGCAAATTTGTACCTGGTAGCTTTCCTGTATGAACGAATGAAATCACCTAAGAAGTATTCTTTTAATCACATCTCTTCTGCCTGAAACAAAAAGGAGATAATACATGTGCAAATTTCATGTCTTCATTCTGCTTCCCCCATTTAGATTGATCCTCTGAAAAAGTATCTAAGGATATTTGTCCCAAATTCAGCCATAACCTGCTCCAACATCCCCCATCTATTCCCTCCAGGGTAACTCACAAAGCCCATCCATCAACTCTCAAGCTCACCTTTGTCATGCAGAGTGGACCAGCCTGGAGCTACGAATCCCCCTCCCCCAACACCCAACATCCCAACACACACACACACACATATATATACTGCACACTAATTTCTCAAAAGCCAAATTAAAGTCACCGTCCATCCACTGCCAGAAGCCCCTTTCCTCTTCCTTACTCCCAAAGGAATCCTCGCCCTCCATAGACATCACCCTCCCCCCAGCTCCATCCTCTATCACAGACACACACTGGTCACCATCCCACTTCTCCTCCCCTTCTCTATTGCTCAGTAATTATATTCTCCGCCTCCCAGTGTCATGCTAATATAAGCTCCTGGCACAGCTGCCCAGATTAAATTAGAGCCCAAACCAGCAGGCTGACTAATTATATTTTCTGGGATGGAATTGTCTTCCCCCACCTTTGGGGTACAGGGCCAATAAAAAGTAAATGAGCACTGCCAATATTTGCAGAGGATATTTGACTCTTCTTGCCTGGGTGGTTTTGTCTTCCCCAACCAATCTGGGCCCTTGAATTAGATTACACCAGAATGGGAGAAGAGAGTTTTACTCAAATGACCCTTCTAAGTCCCATCCATTGTCCTGCAGGTCAGCTCAGCTGGGCCTGACCACCACCATCAGGCCAAGGAAGAGAACATAGCATGAAACTCTTTCTCGTGAATGAGACTCTTCTGCTACCTTTGTGAGTCCCTCCCTTGTTCCCAGCACCAAAATCTTTCCTTCAGATACTCACTGCAACCTGTCCTGAAATGATTGTTGCTGAATTCTTTTTACTTCTGTCTCATGTGAAAAAGAGTGTTGCTTCCCTTACAGAACACTGTTTCAAGGCTGATTCTTCAACTTTTACCTTTCCTTATTTATGGCTGGAACAACATAAAAGTTTCAATTGTGAAAAGAAATATTTTAGACAAGTTAAGTTTAACAGAGTTTAATAGATTTTTTAATTAAATTTCTTTTTCTTTTTGCAGAGACAGGGTCTTGCTATCTTGTCCAGGCTGGTCTCAAAATCCTGGGCTCAAGCAATGCTCCTCCTTTGACCTCTCAAAATGCTGGAATTACAGGTGTGTGGCATTGTGCTGGCCAACAGAGTTTAATTGAACAAGAAAAAAAAAGATTCATGAATTGGGCAGCCCCCAGAATCACAGCAGATTCAGAGAGGCTCCAGGGATGCCTGGCGGTCAGAGTGAGTTTATGGACCAAAAAAGGAAAGTGATTTACATAAAACGGAAGTGATGTACGGAAATAGCTAGGCTGGTTACAGCTTGGCATTTTGCCTTACTTAAACATGGTTTAAACAACAGCCTGTGAATGGCTGGAGTATGGCTACTGGGATTGGCTGAGACTCAGCTTTTGTTACAGAAGTATACTCCTCAGTTAGATTTCCACCCTGCCTACCTACTAAGTTCGGTTATGGTTCATCCATAAGGACTTAAGTATGAAAGTACGGAAGCTTTCCAAGCCCAGGTTTTAGTTTGATGTAAAACAATTTCCCTAGAGACAAGGTTTACTTAATTTCTTGATTCCACAAACATTTATTGCTCACTTGCCATATGCCACATACTGAGATGGGTATTGAAACATGTAAAGGCATAATTCTTGCCTTCAGAAAGATCAGGACCTCATGATGGGTCTAAATGTGTGTAGATGTGCAGAAATCAAGAAATCTGTGCAAGGCGCAGTGGCAACACAAGAGGCTTGCAATAAGAATCAGAAAAGGCATCAATGACGAGGTGATTCTTGGTGAGGTTTTGAAAAATTGTTCAGAAGGCCAATAAAATAAGGATAGGAATTCTGGGTAGAGAGAGAAAAGATATAGGGACAAGAAAGTCATAGCAATTTCATGACCTGCACGCATAAAGGATAAGACGAAAGGAGTAGCCAGAGATGGCCTTGAACAGCTGACGGATGTTTTACTTCTGGAGTTTTCTGGACCCCAAATTCATGTCCTCCTAACTGAGGGAGAGCAGATCTGCCTCTTAAAGGTCTGGGCAACCCCCGTTAGGGCCCTTTCTTTTGCCACCAACTTTCCTCTCAAATTTGCCTACAATGATCCCTCCCACAAATAATTGTTCCATTTTTGTGTGACTACTTCCTTTGGAAGTGCATTTAAGGAAGAATCTGATATTTCAAAGCATTGAAGGAAAAATTTCTGGTAGTAGAATTTCTAAAAACAAAAGAAAACCTCTGACTGGATCTCTGATGTTCTTCCATATACTCAGCAACCTTCTCTGCCTCTTTATTCATTCATTTGATCATTTAGTGCCAAGTTTTCAGCACCTTACCAAGCACTGCTCTAGAGATGATCCAGGGTAGAAGAAAAGGAGAGTCTTTCCCCTGCAGGAACTCAGTCTAGAGAAAGAGAGACAGATGCATAGATAATTAGAAGTTGCAATGAGAGCTCAGAGGAGGGGCATTGTGTTTGTTTCCAGTCACTGCCATTAACAAAGTACTGGAAATTGAGTGGTGTTTATTGTAGGGTAGCAGCCTGAAATCAAGGTATCAGCTGGCCACATTCCAT
Organism: Homo sapiens; assembly: GCF_000001405.40. NCBI lineage: Eukaryota > Metazoa > Chordata > Mammalia > Primates > Hominidae > Homo > Homo sapiens. The sequence continues at coordinate 55,000,578 of NC_000012.12, forward strand.
GAAGCTTATAGGGGAATTCTCCCTTGTCTTCTCCTAGATTCTGGTGGTGTGCCGGCAATCTTTGGCATTCCTACTCCTGTAGATGCAATACTCCAAATCTCTGTCTTCACATGGAGTTCTTTGTGTGTGTTTTTGTCTTCACATAGTCACCTCCTTTTTTTTTTTTTTAAGATGGAGTCTCACTCTGTTGCCCAAGCTGGAGTGCAAAGGTGCCATCTCAGCTCACTGCAACCTCTGCCTCCCGGGTTCAAGCGATTCTCCTGCCTCAGCCTCCTGAGTAGCTGGGATTACAGGCCCGCGCTACCACACCCTGCTAATTTTTGTATTTTTAGTAGAGATGTGGTTTCACCATTTTGGTCAGGCTGGTTTCAAACTCCTGACCTTGTGATCTGCCTGTCTCGCCCTCCCAAAGTGCTGGGATTACAGGCATGAGCCACCACACCCGGCTCATAGTCGCCTTCTTATAAGGACAACAGTCATATTGGATTAGGGTCCACCCCGCTCAAGTATAACTTCACCATCATTTAACTAATTACACCTGCCATCGCCCAGTTTCCTAATAAGGTCACATTCTGAGGTTCTCATTAGGATTTCAAAGTATCTTTTTTGGGGGAAACACAATTCCACTTGTAATGGGCACCTAATTTTTCATAGGTGTATCAAGAATATTCTTAGAAGCAGGAATGATTGAAGTAAGTGTTTATTCCAGAGAGTCAAGTAAAAATGAACTAAAACAGTGATTTAGAGAGAAATGGTCCCATGGAGGAAATGACATGAGAAGAGACACGTGAGTGTATAGAAAAGGCACAAATAGACCAGGGCAGCGTGAAGAACTTCCTGTAGCTGTAGTATACAGTATTCAAAAACAAAGTGGTGAATGTTGGGATGTGAGAAAGGCATGCAGATCAGATAGTTACGGGCTTGGTAGCTGTTTTATCCTGGTATCAGTTGAGACCATTTCTTACTTATGGACTTGGGATTTACTGCCCTGACACCACTGAAAAGCAGGAGGCTGAGCAGTTAGTAAGTGTGATGTGGGAAAGGGGAAGTGGGAGACAGCTCTGTCCTCAGCAGCTGCAGTGGTCCCCCTGCTCCCCTCCTTCCCTTCCAGAGTAGGCACAGCCATCATCACTGGACTTTCCTGTGAAATGTAAATCCCATCAGAAAGAGACTCTGTTGTATTCATCCATATATTCTCAGCACAACAGCTGGCCCAGTGTACACACTGAATTTAGATTGGTCGAATGAATGAATAGATGGAAAAGTACATTTAGCTCAGCAAGACCCTGAGCAGGCCCTGCTGACCAAGTAATGCACCTAGGCGGATGCCATTTACGCATCCTGGTGCCTGCTTTACTTCTCTTTGCTTCTCTGTCTTTAAGATTCCATCAGGGAAGGTCTTTCAAGTGATAAAGAAAGACTCGCAGAAGTCTCTAGTAATCTGTGTTTACTACAAGGCTATGTGGGGAAGTGAAATAGTACGGGAGTATACAGCAACAGAAGCCTGATTATTCCGAGTCCCAGGGATGCCAGGATGGTGAGCACAGAGAGGGAGAATGAGATAACTAAGGCACCAACCTGGACTCAAACTCACTTTCTGTGTATACTTAATATTGTTACTTCCCAAGAGAGGATCTGCTAAGTTCCTCTCACCAACATCCAAAATGAAGCATTTCTACTGGCGAAAGTTTTGTCTTTGGCCTCTTCAGAGGGGTTTGGTCTCTACGTCAAAGCTACACAAGGTCTTCTCTGACCCTTAGCCCAGTCAGCTACACTGTTGGGCTTTAATTTTTACACAACACCTATATTATAATTTTAGAGAGAATGAACCACTGTTCTCAGAAAGGGACAGTAGACCAAACAACTTATTTTAAGACCTCTCTTCAGAATAAACCACTGACTGTATCAGCATGATATAGGTCTGGAATTCCGTAGCCCGTGAGAATTTTTACACTTCCTAAACACATGCCTTATATGGACATATTTCTGTCTTTCATGCTGTCTTTCAAGCATTTCCTCACTCAGTTATCTGTCTCCCCAACCACTCTGAGCAATGAGAAGATTATGAACCTTGCAGTCAGGCAGACAAGGGTTAGAGTCCTGCCATGGCATTTAATAAGTTTGCACATTGGGTGATTAATGTTCCTCTTAGCTCCTCAGTGTCCTTATCTGTTGTAAAAGATGCAATAGGCCGGGCGCAGTGGCTCATGCCTGTAATTCCAGCACTTTGGGAGGCTGAGGCAGGCGGATCATGAAGTCAGGAGATCGAGACCTTCCTGGCTAACACGGTGAAACCCCGTCTCTACTAAAAATACAAAAAATTAGCCGGGTGGGGTGGCACCTGTAATCCTAGCTAATCGGGAGGCTAAGGCAGGAGAATCTCTTGAACCCAGGAGGCGGAAGTTGCAGTGAGCTGAGATCGCGCTGCTGCACTCCAGCCTTGGCGACAGAGTGAGACTCCATCTTAAAAAAAAAATGCAATAATGTTTCTTCATAATTTATATTGAGTATTAAATTAGAAAATGGTGTGAAATTAGCTGAAGACATGCCAATTTTCTTTCTCATTTCCTTAAGGGCAAAGATAATTTGTCGGAGTTCTTTGTAAGCATTTTCCTAGGACCCGTATCAGAGCAGGCACACGGTTTGCTTATTGATGGACTAAATCAGTTTGAACATATGTCTGAAAGAACATAGCTTACAAGGCATAACAAACATTATAGCTACCGACAACAATGAGTCTGGGTCTGAAGTTCAAAATTGTAAGTGTTCCCGGCCGGGCGCGGTGGCTCATGCCTGTAATCCCAGCACTTCGGGAGGCCGAGACGGGTGGATCACGAGGTCAGGAGATCGAGACCATCCTGGCTAACACGGTGAAACCCCGTTTCTACTAAAAAATACAAAAAATACAAAAAATTAGCTGGGCTTGCTGGCGGGCGCCTGTAGTCCCAGCTACTCGGGAGGCTGAGGTGGGAGAATGGGGGGAACCCGGGAGGCGGAGCTTGCAGTGAGCCGAGATCGCACCACTGCACTCCAGCCTGGGCGACAGAGTGAGACTCCATCTCAAAAAAAAAAAAAAAAAAAAAAAAATCCTGTAACTGGCGCTGCTTTCAGAATACGGGAAAGGAACGTATAATTTGTTTCTTGCCTAATTTTGAAAATGCTGCAGAGCCTGAGCGGTTTACTAGACCTGCTCCCTCATTAGCAGTTCCTCGTGTCCCTTTGCTGCTTTTTATGGCCAATTTTTTCTGTACTTGTATCCACCCAACCAAAGGATGAGTTATTCAAGAGCAAGGTATGGAGAGGAGTAGAGAGGATTGGAGGGGAGGAAATCATCCAGGAGAAGGAAGAGAGCTGATGGGAGAAGAGAGGCGGATTCTAGACAAAGACAGAGAAGGCAGAGTTCTACATCTTTTTTCTCATTTTAAGCCATTCTCCTTTCTCTTTTTTGCAGACTGACTCTTCAAATAAATTATTTGACCTTCCGCTATGTCCTCTTGCCAGCATGTATATTCTATAACACATTTAATTCAATCGTTTCTACAGTGTCTTAAGCATTTTAAAGTCATAAGCTCCTTGAGGCATAGGACAAAGATATTTGTTTTGAGTAAAGAATTCTCAACAATAACTTCTCCCTGGAAAAGAGAAAAGGATTTCTTTCATAATAGGAGGGATCTAGGACAAGCTGAAACCAAGGTAGAACATCTGACTGTTAAGTGTCAGGAGATTTTTTCCTAAGAACAGCTGTGAAATTTAATTTTCAAGTTTGGATTTAAACATAAACAACATCGTTCAATTGGAAAGAAACTCATTAGTCCAATTCCTCCACTAGATCCCCAGTGCCTGGAGCAATGCCTGGGAATCATAAATACTTTGTAAACATTTCTGCAATGATGTCAGGTTGTCACATCAATAATGTGGGGATTGTCGAGATAACCAGAGTTCTGCTCAACATACGTAGTAAGTGTACTGTGTTTTGTGTTGCAGAGACTACACTGAGGAGTATGACAAGTTTTCAGCTTGAGAAGGGCTTGCATTCTGTAGGAGAAATGAACAAACAGCATTAATGTTGATGATGCAACATGGAACAAGTGCTATGACAGAGATTAAAAAACAAGTGCTTGTTCATTTACTGGAAAGACAGAAGACCGATTCAGCCTGGAAAGAAAAATCCCTGAGAAGATGGTATGGACTAAACAAATAAATGGGATTTTAACAAATAAAGAATAAAAATTATTTTATTTTATAAAGGGAGGCACAATAATCTAATCTGAATATGATTTGGATGTGAGTAAGGGTTGCAGGAGGTGAGTAAGGGTTGCAGGAGATGAGGGAGGGAGTATGTAGATATCTGGGGTAAAAGCATTTCTGGCTGAGAAGACAGCAAGTGCAAATGCCCTGAGACAGGATCAGGGCTTTTGAGGAATCACAAAAAAACCCAATGATCTTGGAATAGAATGTGCAAGCCAAAGTGGGTCCAAGACCAGATCAGAGTGATGGGAAGCGGAGGGGGGCAGAATATGTAGAGCCTGGGATGTCATTGTAAGAACCTGGGCTTTTACTCTGAGTAAAATATGAAGTCATTAGAACTTTTGGAACTAAAAAGGGGCAGAACTGTCTCTCTCACTGCTGTGTTGAGAATAGAATGAAAGGATCAAGGACATAAGTCGGAAGACCAGTCAGGAGACTATGGCGGTATTCCAGGTAAAACATGATGTGTCTCAGACAAGGGTGGTGGCAAAACTAGTGGGATTCTTAAATTTTGGATGTGGGATCAATAAAAATGTGTTGATGGATTGGAAGCATAAGAGAAAGGGCACCCAGGAATGACCTTAAGTTCTTGGCCTGAGCAACGGGGGAAAGGAGGTTGCCAATAATAACTGAGAACCTGAAGCTTGGAGGAGGAGTGATACAGGGGACGAGCAGGAGCTCAGCTATAGACACGCTAAATTTGAGATACGTTTTAGTCATTGTTTGGTGATATCAGGTTGGCAATTGGATGTACTGGTCTAGAGTCCAGGGTGGGGTCTGGGCTGAAAATGCATACTTGGACATCATCAATTTTTGACAAGATGGCTTTAGAGCATCATAATACACATTTAGTTGATTGTAGAAGGAATATAGAATTGTGATGCCAAAGTTTGTGGCTTGCTCCACCATGATGAATTGCTTTCTAAATGATTTTAATGTTCTCTGTGTTATAATGATGTGGAATGTTTATTGGAATTGCACATTTGACCGTTAACTTACTTAAAGTGGTAAAACATTTTTACTCTAAAAATAAAAAATTAAAACAATCACACATAGCCTACTGCCTAAGTGATAATCATTGCTAAAAGTCTGCTATATTTCTTTCCCATCTTTTTTCTTTGAGTGTTTCTAAATGTGAATTTTCTAAAAAGTCTAACAAAATAAGTTGTTGATAAGACAAAGCTGAGTTTTCTTTTTTTCATCAACTTTTATTTTAAGTTGCGGGGTACATGTGCAGGATGTGCAGGTTTCTTACATAGGTAAACTTGTGCCATAGTGATTTGCTGCACAGATCAACCCATCACCTAAGTATCAAGCCCAATAGGCATTACCTATCCTTCCTGATGCTCTTCCCCTACCCTGACAGGCCCTAGTGTATGTTGTTCCCTGCAGTGTGTCCACATGTTCTCATCTTTCAGCTCCCACTTATATGTGAGAACATGTGGTGTTTGGTTCTCTATTCCTGCATTGGTTTGCTGAGGATAATGTCTTCCAGCACCACCCTTGCCCTTGCAAAGGACATGATCTCATTCTTTTTTATGGCTGCATAGTATTCCATGGTGTACATGTACTACATTTTCTTTATCCAGTCTATCATTGCTGGGCATTTGGGTTAATTCCATGTCTTTGCTATTGTGAATAGTGCTGCAATGAGCATACCTATGCATGTATCTTTATAATAGAATGATTTACATTCCTTTGGGTATATACCCAGTAATGGGATTATTGTGTCAAATGGTATTTCTGCTTCTAGATCTTTGAGGAATCACCAGACTGTCTTCCACAATGGTTGAACTAATTTACATTCCCACCAACAGTGTAAAAGCATTCTTATTTCACTGCAACCTCACCAGTATCTGTTATTTCTTGACTTTTTAATAATTGCCATTATTGCTGACATGAGATGGTATCTCATTGTGGTTTTGATTTGCATTTCTCTAATGATCAGTGATGTTGAGCTTTTTTCACGTTTGTTGGCCACATGAATATACAAAGCTGAGTTTTTTGCTGGCAAGAGAGATCACTATCTTGTTAGAGTTTTAATATTATTTTTTATGAAGAGAAGGAGGAGTCAAGATATTTATAAGGTTTGCAGGCATAGTTTAAGAAGGAGCTTTCAATGTGAGGAATGAATAGAGCTGAGTAAGAATTACAATATAATACTTTAGAATAGGGAGAGGAAGCAAGATAAGAGTTATGAGGTGAGAATTTTGAAGGATCTTGGATGGTAAACAGTCATTTGATGTTCATTTAATCTTTTTTTGTGAATTCCGAAAAAAATTTATTTAATACATATTTTTGGTCAGGCATGCTGGCTCATGCCTGTAATCCTAACACTTCAGGAATCAGACGGATCACTTGAGCCCAGGAGTTCAAGACCATGCTGGGCAATATGGTGAAACCCTGTGATATGGGTTGGCTTTGTCCTCACCCAAATCTCATCTTGAACTGTAGCTCCCATAATTCCCACATGTTGTGGGAGAGTCCCCAGGAGGAAATAATTGAATCACAGGGGCAGTTCCCCCGTACTGTTTTTGTGGTAGTGAACAAGTCTCATGAGAGCTGATGGTTTTATAAGGGGATTCCCCTTTCACTTGGCTCTCATTCTCTCTTTCCTGCCGCCATGTAAGATGTGCCTTTGCCTTCCACCATGGTTGTGAGGCCTCTCCAGCCATGTGGAACTGTGAGTCCATTAAACCTCTTTTTCTTTATAAATTACCCAGTCTCAAGTATATCTTTATCAGCAGCATGAAAACGGACTAATATACCCTGACTCTACAAAGAAATACAAAAACTAGCTGGGTGGGATGGCAGGTGCCTGTAGTCCCAGCTACTTGAGAGGCTGAGGTGGGAAGATTGTCTGAGCCCAAGATGTTGAGCCTCCAGTCAACCCTGTCTTAAAAATAACAACAACAACACAAGACATTTTTCTTCTGGGCAAGAGCTTTCTGGAATTGTAAAGCCACGTTAATATAGACGATAAGCTGTATGGGTGTAGAAAGATTTCAATTCGTAGTATGCCTTGTAGGAAATTGTGATCATATTGTATATATAATTTTGTATATTATGTTATTTTAATTTATTTTATGCCATTTTCTATGTTGTGTGTATCTACTGCAAACTCTATAGGTAAAAGCTATGAAGTTTCATGTTTTGAACTTACCTAAATTGAATTAATGATTCTACTGAGCCCATTTCAGTTATTCCTTATTTTGACTTATACAGACAACAGATGAATTTACTTGCACACAAGAATAATTCTGAATATGGGATTGTTTCCTGTAGATAGAAACATGTGAGGTAAAATATGAGATAAAAGGATTATAGCCACATCTTAACTCCAAAGAGGCTATAAGTGGTTTGATTTTGTTTGTTTCCAGATAAACTCCACTCACATAAGTCAAGCCATCTTAGTGGGTAACTTCATTCAAGTCACTATGGGTATATTATTTTTTCTTTTATTTTCATCCACAAAATAATCCAGACTTTCTGCCCAATGAAGGAAAAATAAATACAAGGCAGACATTTAGAGGTCTTGGCAAATATGAGTTTGATATTCTCTATGACTCCAAATGATTAGAATCTTAAAAGCTGGTATTATTATGCAATGCTTTTCTCAGAAAACAAATATTTGCATTTTCAATCCCAGTCAAAAATGATATACCAAGGAAATCTGCTGACTTTCTCCAGCTCTCACAACTCTTCCACACCAAAATCAAAAATAAAACACCTAAGTTTTAAAAAAAATCTTCTTAAGTTAAACTTCTTCAACTTTACTTACACATGGTACCTACAGTAGGTTACTGTGAAGCTTTAGAGAAAAATTCATGTAAATATCCAGACCATATTTGGTGCTGAGTTAATGGGAATACAGTACAAAGCTGCATCTGTCTCAAAGCACAGATCAAATTTCACCTCCTACTGGAACCATTCTCTGAGCCATGAGACATCTTCTCTTAGAATCTTAGAGCATGTTTTATACTCATCATACTTTTTCCTCTATTAAAGTTATTCGTATGTGTGAATAGTCTCCATTGGACTATGAAACTCTGGAATTCCTGAATCATTTCTTATTTTATTCACATTTGCATCCCCAGCACCTCACAGGATTTGAACAAATAGATATGTGTTGAATGGGATATAATTTTGGATTATCAGGTGATTGGCATTTTCTGCATCACTGCTCCCAACCATCAGTGTGCCTGATCCTGACTTTATTGATAACCCGATGTACTGTTGCATCAGTAAGTCTTAATTATGTAGCCTCAGGCATCCCAGTATGAGAGCAACTTCACTAAACAGTACTGTTCTCACTGACTTCGGTGACTTCAAAGGCTTTCCTTGAGGGGATAGCAGGAATTAAGTTGAGTGAGCGTGGGGGAGAGCAGGGAAAATAGAGGCCTCCAGCTAGGGATGAAGTGGGCTGAAGTGGGGAAAGGGAAGTTTACCTAAATCTTCCACAGCTCTCTTAGAAACTGCCCACAGGGAAGAGAAAAGGGAGGGGGTGATGGCTGGGGGCCAGAGTGGGGATGGTGAAAGGCTGACAGATGGAGTGCTCCCTTTGAGGGCTCTCTAAGGACCAACCGTTGCACAGCCACACAATGTACAGAAGTAAATCAAATCGAGGAACATGTGCACTAAAGAAGAAGAAAGAAGGGAGGGGGAAGAGGGCACACAGTAGGGAGGGGGCTGCGAGGGAGGTGGAGATACCCAAAAGCCTGAAGAAGAGAGAGTGAAGGGAGTTAGTTAGGGAGAGGGGAAAGAAGCTCATAGATCCGGAGGCCTGCATTTTTCTGGAGCCGTCTGGGAGAAAAGGGGAAGATGTGGACAGGGAGGGCAGATCTATCATATCTTAAGGCCTCAGGGAACTTGATTGGGCATTTCATCCATTCTTAAGCGCAAGATAAAATCCTTAATGCCACAAATAAATAACTATACATGAGTGTGGACAGGCGAAGACTCCACCAGCACCCTTAATAATAGGGAGCAACATCTCCCCGCAAATTACCACAGGAGGTTCCTAGAGGATAGTGCAGTGGTTTAAGCCTGGCCACAGCTGGTACCCACAGGAAATATTCAGAGCCTCAATTTAGCTATTAAAGACATTAAATCTCTTTTAGCCTGGGGGAAAACAACTCTCACCCTTAAAGCTGGATTTGGGCTTCTAACTCCTGGATTCATCTGGGTGAAGGTAGGAGTGGGGGCTGAATATAAAGAGAATATTTTTTCACTGAGTCATTGGATAGGGTAAAGAGAGCTTGGTTTTGTTTTTGCCTTTTTACTTCCCCTCCTTCACCTTACTTTTCCAATTCTCATTTTAATCATCTTTCATTTGTTAAACCCTGAGCCCCCAATATCTCTATACTCCTCTAACCCCCTTCTTCATGATCCTTTTCAGCCTAGTGAGGATGAGACAGAGGTTTTTCCTTTAATGATGGAGTTAACTAGGATGAACCAGGGAGCGTTATGGTCCTAAAGTCAAGGAATGGGTAAGTTTGGTACTTCAATGCACGGTGTGAGTGGGGGACAATACAATATACATACGAGCTGTGGTATTTTAAAAGTAAATGAAGCTCTAAAAATAATTAATAGGCATTAGTTGATCTATAACAGGTGGTAACTATGACTGTGCTAAGCAAACCAGAACTCATTGTCACCCTGGATGTGACTAAATTGTCACGTAACCATATAGTTGTGTATTCTCTCTCTCTCTCTCTCTCTCTCTCTCTTCCTCTCTCTCTCTTTCTCTCTTTCTCTCTCTCTCTCTCTCGTGTGTGTGTGTGTGTGTGTGTGTTTGCGGAGAGGGCAGGGGTGGGTTGTGGAAACTATTCAACTTGCCATGGAGAATCTCCCTTTATGGTAACTCCCTGGGACCATTACTTCCCTTTATCTAACCAATGTTACTCCTTGGAGAAGACGGGATTTTGGAATGGGGCATTAACTTATTTAATTTTTATTAAAATCTATCCTTCCAGTGCTTAAGAATAAAGGGAATAGAAAAATAATAAAAATAAATAAAAGAGGCATAGAAATAAGCAGGCTTTCAAAGTACAGCATTTATTTCCCGGTTGTGTGATCTTGAACAAGTTACTTGTCCTTTCTGTTTTGTTCACTGATACATCCCCAGTGCCTATTGCGCATAGAAAGCACTCAAATCTTTATTGAATGGATGAATTAATGGACCTCATTCTCCTCATCTCTTAATAAAAGTGATAAAATAGCACCCATCCTAAAGAGTTGTTGCAGCAATTACATGAGGTAATTCAGGTAATTAGATGAGGTAATGCTCTCAACTCAATGCAAAAAACTCAGAAAATTCTGGTTATATGTATTTCTAAGGGAGATGATAATATATGCAGACTACTGATACAACAATCGTATGGTACAGACCCTTAGAAAATGTCAGTTTCTTCATCTATATTTATCCATTTTCCCACCCTAAAATTCTGGTATCTTAAAATACTTACTTTTGAACCCCAAAGGGCTAGTACAGCTTTGTGTGGCATGTGTTGCCTCTGTTTCCTGACTCCCTGCCATCCTAGTTCATACCAGCATTAATGAGTCTAGAAGTTAAAGTAGTTGTAGCTGAGAGAATAGGAGGGCAGGAACAAGGGCAAAGTGAGAATTTCAACTAGACCTTGTGGTAAAAGAATCATTTATAGTAGAAGCAAAATGTCAGAGTTGAAGAACTGGGCTATGTGAATGTTTCTTGTATTCTTTTGCTATTTTTGATTCTTAAAGTTAGTGGAACAATGAGAAAACTCCACCTGGAAGCTGAGTCTCAGGCTGGTGAACAGAATATGGCTTGCTTTTACAATCAGCTCCCATAAGGTTCTCCTTTCAACACTCTAATTGGCTCAAATCTTAAAGGGTTTAGTATTCTATTTTCATGAGACAGGTTATTCTTTACACTCTATATTCATGATTTAGAGTCTTCAGACATGAGATTAAGGAAAGGTAGGGCTCAGGGAAGAGCCCATGAGTGGGAGGATATGTTTCTTATTGTAAGAGCTTCTAGGGACCAAGATACTACCATCCCCTCATGTTGCATTGTGAGCTGTGGTAGTGAAAAATCTTTCCTAAAATTGAATCTCCAGCAAGCATATTGTGGGCAAAATATGGCTCTTCTGAACATATTCTGGACAATGGGGAATCAAATGGGGATGCCATTTCACCAGCTGCTTCAGGATGAGTCAACAGAAGAACTACTGATAATCATTTTACTTTCAGTGTCTCTCCTAGAGCAACCAGAGAATAGATTCTGGACTTATACTTAACTATCCATTACCTGCTTTAGGATGGCAATATAGTGTAGTGGAGGTAGACTGCTTATATCCAAATCCCAGTACCGTAGGATTTGGATACAAGTGCTATGATGTTGAGCAAACAATTTTCTCTGTATCCCATTAATTCATTTATAAAACAGAGATAATAATAATAATACCTACCTGATATGGTTTGGCTGTGTCCCCATCCAAATCTCATCTTGAATTCCCACATGTTGTGGCGGGGACCCGGTGGGAGGTAATTGAATCATGGTGGCAGGTCTTTCCCATGCTTTTCTTGTGACAGTGAATAAGTCTCAGGAGATCTCATGGTTTAAAAATGGCAGTTTCCCTGCAGAAGCCCTCTCTTTCTGTCTGCTGCCACCCATGTAAGACGTGACTTGCTCCTCTTTTCCTTCCATCATGATTGTGAGGTCTCCCCAGCCAAATGGAGCTGTGAGCCAATTAAACCTCTTTCTTTTATAAATTGCCCACTCTCAGGTATCTCTTTATCAGCAGTGTGAAAATGGACTAAATACAGTAAATTGGTACCAGTAGAGTGGGGTGCTGCTGAAAAGATGCCTGAAAATGTGGAAGCAACTTTGGAACTGGGTAACAGGCAGGGATTAGAACAGTTTAGAGGGCTCAGAAGAAGACAGGAAAATGTGGGGAAGCTTGAAACTCCCTAGAGACTTGTTGAATGGCTTTGACCCAAGTGCTGATAATGATATGGACAATGAAATCCAGGCTGAGGTGGTCTCAGATGGAGATGAAGAACTTTTTGGGAACTGGAGCAAAGGTGACTCTTGTTATGTTTTGGCAAAGAGACTGGCAGCATTTTTCCCCGGCGCTGGAGATTTGTAGAACTTTGAACTTGAGAGAGGTGACTTAGGGTATCTGGCAGAAGAAATTTCTAAGCAGCAAAGCATTGAAGAGGTGACTTGGGTGCTGTTAAAGGCATTTAGTTTTAAAAGGGAAATGCAGCATAAAAGTTTGGAAAATTTGCAGCCTGACAATGCAACAGAAAAGAAAATCTCATTTTCTGAGAAGAAATTCAAGCTGGCTGCATAAATTTGCATAAATAATGAAGAGCCAAATGTTAATCACCAAAACAATGGGGCAAATGTCTCTAGAGCATGTCAGAGACCTTTGCAGCAGCCCCTCCCATCACAGGCCCAGAGGTTTAGAAGGAAAAAGTGTTTTTTTTGAGCTGGGCCTAAGGTCCCCATGATGTTTGCAGCCTAGGGACTTGGTGCCCTGTGTCCCACCTGCTCCAGATGGGGCCGAAAGGGGCCAATGTAGAGTTCAGGCCATGGATTCAGAGGATGCAAGCCCCAAACCTTGGCAGCTTCCATGTGGTGTTAAGCCTGTGAATGTACAGCAGTCAAGAATTGGGGGTTGGGAACCTCTGCCTAGATTTCAGAGGATGTATGAAAATGCCTGGATGCCCAGGCAGAAGTGTGCTGCAGGGGTGGGGCCCTCATGGAGAACCCCTGCTAGGGCAGTGTGAAGGGGAAATGTGGGGCAGAGCATCCACATTGGGTCCCTACTGGGGCACTGCCTAGTGGAGCTGAGGAAAGAGTCACTGTCCTCCAAACTCCAGAATGGTAGATTCACTGACAGCTTGCACCATGTGACTGGGAGAGCTGCAGACACTTAATGCCAGGCTGGGAAAGCAGCCAGTAGGGGGGCTATAGCCTGCAAAGTCACAGAGCTGCCCACTTGCATCAGCGTGACCTCGACCTGAGACATGGAGTCAAAAGAGATCATTTTGGAGCTTTAGTATTTGACTGACCTGCTGGATTTTGCATGGGTCCTGCAGCCCCTTTGATTTGGCTAATTTCTCCCATTTGGAATGGTTGTATTTACCCAATGCCTGTACCCCCATTGTATCTAGGAAGTAACTAACTTACTTTTGATTTTGCAGGCTTTCAGATGGAAAGGACTTGCCTTGTCTTCAATGAGACTTTGGACTGTGGACTTTTGAGTTAATGCAAAAATGAGTTAAGTCTTTGGGGGACTGTTGGAAAGGCATGATTGGTTTTGAAATGTGAAGACATGAAATTTTGGAGGGGCCGGGGTAGAATGATATGATTTGGCTGTGTCCCCACCCAAATCTCGTCTTGAATTCCCACGTGTTGTGGGAAGGATCCAGTGGAAGGTAATTGAGTCATGGGGGCAGGTTTTCCCCATGCTGTTCTCATTGATATTGAGTCTCAGTAGATCCGATGGTTTTAAAAATGGGAGTTTCCCTGCCCAAGCCCTCTTCTCTTATCTGCTTCCATGTGAGACATGCCTTTCACCTTCCCTCATGATTGTGAGGTCTTCCCACACACGTGGAACTGTAAGTCCATTAAATCTCTTTCTTTTGTAAATTGCCCAGTCTCAGGTATGTATTTATCAGCAGTGTGAAAACAACTAATACACTACCTCATAAGGTGGTGCAATGATAAAATGATATATGAAAACACTTTTAATAGCATTTGACACATGGTAAGTGTTCTGTAAGGATTAGCTACAATTTTTACTGTTAATAATTAGTTTCTTCTCACTGGCTTCTACCTCCCTCAATTGATGAGTGCTTAGGAGAGATGGCATGACTAGAGCACAGGCCTAATGGAGCAGACCACCCAAAGCTACCATGCATGCAAGGAAACTGAACTTAATAGAGCTTTGACTTTAATCTGAGAATGCTCAGTGTAGTGCTCTGTTTGGTCCTTCCAGAACACTGAATGCACCTTGAGGATGGTATTTGGTTTTCATAATCTCTTTATCCTATTATTTTTGCAGTGGTATAAATTAAGTCTGCATTCTCAGGAAATTCTCACTGCCCTCCATCAGATATTTGTCAGAACTTAAGAGAGTCCTGATTGAAGCCTTTTAAATTCAACTTAAAGTTTGCTCCTAAGACTGGGCAAGTGTTCCTGGGGCTGAGTGTATAAGGGGAGAGTTGGTGGAAGCCAGTGTGGTAATCTTTTCATGAAAGAGTCATATCAGCTTATATATATATTCCAGTGATTGGTGATGTAGGGGGTGGCTATCAGATCCTTTCCTGAAAATAAATTTGGCTATGAGTGGGGAATAGGATTTTAAAGATAGCATATTTTAATTATGTTTTAAAATCAATTTCGCATTCACAAGTTACATATGAATAGATTATACTTGTGTAAAAAAAAAAACAATTTCCCTCAATAACTACCTGATCTCAATGTATTTCATGCCAGTTCTGAGATTTCCTGAGATAAAGACCCACTGTTCTCAGTTCGTGTGTGTGTATATGTGTATCTGTAAATTATATGTATTATTTGATGCATGTGTATACATTAAAAAAATAAGTATATCATATTGAACCTATAGTTCTATAATGGTTTTATATTTCCCCCTAAGCATGTTAGTATATGTGGTATATTTTTGTTAGTATAGATAAATGGCATATCTTACTTTGGCTAAACCACTGGTCACTTAATGTATTGATAATAAACTTTTTCATTATTAAAAACAATGCTGCAATTAATATCTCTGATACATAATAGCTCCCTGGGCACATTATGTTAGAAAGTCAGACACAGAGAAGAGGTTTTAGGTATATTTGTATATTTAGTTTACTGCCTCTTCCACTACACTGAAAGTTGGTTAGGAATGAGAAGTCTTACAGCGCTCTGTAGTCCCAGAATCTTGCACGGTGCCTGGGACTTTATATAGGCATAAAATGCATTTGTGGGGTAAATTAATAGTGTGGTCATTATTATAATAAAGGAATACTTGGATTGAGATAGGAGCACAAAAACAGGGCCTTTTTAAGGAGATCCTGATAATAGCTTTTCTTTGATTTCTAAGACATACAAATTTGATTTAAATGTTTAAGATAAAATACCAATAATAACTATCATTTATTGAGCACTTGCTAAGTGCCAGACTGTATACTAGGTACTTTGCATGTATTATTTCATACATATTTATCAGAGCAAGTTCATTGAATAAGCAGTATTACCTCCAGCTTACAGGTAGAAGAACTGAGGCCCAGTGAGATAAATAACTTGTCTGAAGTCACGTGGTTAATAAATGTCAATGTTATGATTCAAGGATTCCATTGAATCCTAGAGGACCTTGCTCTTAGGAATTAGATATGGCAAGTGCAGAAATGGACGCTGGAGGATGGTACAGAGCTTTTAAAGGTAGAGAAGTTTCCCCAGCAGATCTGAACAAATTCAGGCAGTTTTGTGTAGCTAAAAACTACATAATGAATGAGCCACTCTGTATACCCTGTGAATGCCCATATGTATAGCTCTTGAATGAATGTGGTGTGAGAAGGTTGAATCAAGTGTTCTTCTCAACAGGGACCAGTAATCTAGATGGAAAGAGGACACCCAAATTTATTACCTGGTTTCTAGACCCACTTTTGCCATTAACCTAATATATTGCTTTATTCAAACCTGGGGACTCTGTCTCCATACCTTTGAATGGGCCAGTATTATTCACCCTCAAAAAAGAATTGTGACACTTAACTATGTTATATCATTGAGTATCAGAGCTGGAAGGATTCTGAGAGATCATAACCCAAGCTGATCATTGCCTAATGAGGAATGTGAGGCCAGAGAGGTTAGATAACTCATCACAGCCACACAGAGGCAGACTAAGATTTAGAGCCCAGGATTCCTTAGTCCTAAGCTTTTCCCCGACCCCACTTCACTACGGAGTTTTTGAAAAGAATGAAGCACTTCACTTTGCTACTGTAAGGGAAGGTTATTGAATCTCCCTGATGCTATTCTCCAAACTATTCATAAACCCAACTGACACCTCTGTGTTTTTCTCTAGTCGTTATGCAGGAGAGGTTCATGTCACAAATCACTTTTTGTTTTAACCTGTTTCACAATTATTTTTGAACCTGTATTATTTCCCTACTGGAACGCTGAACTTCTCGAGGTCAAGGACTATGTTTTATTTACCTTCTCCCCCAGCCCTCACCCCATCCCAACCCCATCCCAGGCCCCAGTGCCTAAAACTTGGAGAGCAACTTTAGGTTCTGCTCAAGTCTAACCTGAAGATGGGCAGCCCGAATCATTTCTTCCTTGGAAGTCCACCTTCTTGCTCGCTACAGTTCCTGATATATGTCCCTGGACTCCATTTGTTGGTCGCATTTGATTTTAATTCAGCAGAAGCTAGTGATCTCCGATGGGAAGGTGAGAAGGAGAGACATCTGGGGACCATCAGCAACAGGATCCGTGGCTTGAGGCTTAGCACCCTGGGGCCTAATGTCAGACATTGGTTTCAGGTCTTCAGTGTCTGACTGAAGAAGGCAGTTTCTACCCCGCTTAGGGGCCCACAGGCAGGTCTCCTTTGGGGGTCAGGATTACTGGGAATACTAATTAATTCATTAGTGGGGTTGATGGATTATCAGGCTGTCTCCTGGCAAAGGGTCCTTGGGGGAGGGGGGGAACAGATTGCTGCTCATAAATCTGCCTGTTGCCTCCCCTCTCTCTGCTTCAATGGCTCCCGGGCGTTAGGCCTGTGGGCCAGCAACTGAGTACTGGTCTCCTTTTCCCCACTCAGCAGATGGTTCTTACAGGTTAGCTCAGAGCTTTATAAAAAGCAGCAGAGAAAGAAGGAAGGGCTGGGGATTGGCCCTCTGGCCCAGGAACCATGTGGGGGGAGGAGAATGCATGCAAATGCCTTGTATTCTCCTTTCCTAGGGCAGTCACCACCCCTTTTCCTTTGCTGACAGCACACACCCCTCCTGCCCCTTCCTGCCCTCTCAAAGTTGAACAGCCAACTGTACAACTGTCAATGAGTTGTGACGAGGGTGACCCTGATGAAATAGATTCAACCCATCCCTCTGCAAAAAGCAGCTCTTAAAGAAAATTTGGCATTCACAACTCCCTCCCCATTCTTCAGGGGTGTGCACGTTCATGTACGCTTGTGTATGTGTGTGTGTGCACTCACATACACACACACACACGAATGTATTTTGAAGGCTAATCCTATTGTGTCCAGTCCCTTACATCTGTCAGAGAAAGCAAGGAATCCTGCAGAATGTTTTATCCCCACCCTCATCTTTGTCTCAATATGTTCACCTTTCTGCTAATCTGCTATTACTCCCTGCCCCTGAAAATTTCACAGGCATCAGTGCCATCAACTTCTAAATATCCATGGACAGGGCTTTGAAGACACAAAGCAGGAGATCAATTCATTCAGTAAGCGCTCATTGAACAATGATTAAGCACCTCTATCCTAGACATAAATTACCTCATAGATAAATTTCCTGTGGCCGAGGAGTGAATTCTGATTTGTTTTTTAGAGATCTGCTATTCCCATCATGTGTTGTTTAATTATTCTGAAAATGAAGTTTATTTTCCTGAGCAGATATTTTTCTGGATAGGGATACAAATAAAGATAAGTAAGAGATTAAAGAGCTGCTGAAAATAAATAACTTCCCATGAAAACTGAAAAAAGTGTTAATTTTTATTTTCTTGTTTTCTGTGAAAAACAAGAGTCATATGACACATATCAGAATTAAAAATAACTATTTTCAAACTTAAGATACTCTTTTCAACTTTATGAGCAGTGAAACTATCTTTTGTTTCAGCCCTCTACAGTTTTCCTTGCACACAGGCATATTAATAGTTTTTCATTTCTGTTTGACGCATGTGCTAGTTATGTTGTTAGACCACGCGATTCTCAAAAAGCTGGGGATACTCTGGTTTCTTTTCAGATTGTATAAATGTTTTGCCTTTTGCCAAAACGCCTGAGGAATTATCCTTCAAGTCAATTTCTAAAAGAAGTTGAACTTGGATTCGTAACTCTATCAGGCTACTGATGGAAAAACTCATTTTACAGATATGAAAACTGATGCCCAGAGTGAAGTTGACTTATTCAAGATCATTCAGCCAATTGCTTAATCTGAGCACCTTTCTTTTTCCTTCTTGGAAACACAAGATGATTAGAAAATCTTTGGTATCTTAAGTTCACAATCATTTATTTTTCCTTGGTGTAGTTTTAAATAAGATAGTATGAATATCTATATACTTAAATTATTCCAGATGTAGTTTTCTTTCTGTCTTCTAGCAATTTAATTCAACCTCCTAATACCAAAGGAGTTTTAGGAATTATTATGAGCCTTCTCTTCTTCTAAGCTTATTACTACTCAGGTGGACTTTTTCTACGTGAATGCTTAATGATGTATTTTTGAAAAACAATAGTAGATCTCAGTTTGTAACTCAAGGAACTAACTGCCCTTAAAATGAAGGATTTTATTAATTTCCTTTTTGTTTTTATAAATTTAAAGTGATCAGAAAGTTGAAAGAATAGCACAACAAATATAGCTTCACCTAAATTCACAAATTAAAAGTTTTAATGAGAGTAGCTTTGACGTGCTGAAAAGGTGGGAGAGACATACTTCTTCCTTCTACTTTTAGAACGCTGAAGTTTATAAGCCAAAGACCCCAGTCCACATGTGTAAGGAAGCAGCCACTGATGCTGTGTCCTTGACACGCATCTTTCTCACCTTTTGATTCTTTTCAGACGTGGGTCAGCAGCGTCATCTGCCCTTTTTAGCTCTCTCTCCAAGTCTATCCCCAATTTTCTTTCTCCATTCTGTCCACACTACTCCGCTCCCATTTCTTATCTTTTTAATCACAAAGGTTTCCAGTCCTCTTTTTCTTTACTCCTTAACTTCAGCAACTCTCCTCCCCTGCTCCCCTTCCACCAACCCCCATCTCTATTTAAACAAACAAACGGGCGGCAAAACTGGACCTGGCCGGAGGAGCCTTTCAAGTGGGCGTGTCTTTCGGCTGGGGAAAAGGGAGGAGTTAGACTCTGGGCAACATCACTCCTCCCTGGTCAGCTGGGAGAGCAATCAAAACTGCAGCAAGTCAGAGGCTCCGGCCAGAGAGCAGGAGCTGCCCAGAGGCTTGTGGTCCTGAAAGCTCCTCTCCGGGGAGCTAACCAGGGAGAGGAGGTACTGAAGAGCGACTAAACTGGCTGCAGCGGAGAGATCAGCCCGAAGGCGTCCTTGAGGAGCATACGGAACTCCAAGGAAGGAGTAGAATAAGGAGCAGGCAGAGAAACCAGACCCGGTGGAATCTCTAAGAGGTAACAACCGGGTTTGACATGGATCGCTGAAAGCGTCTCTTCTACCATCTGGATGGTCAGGGAGACTTGGCTTCTCTGACTGTCCTCTAAGACGCAGATTCACAGAGTTCACTCCAGGAACGGCCAGTGACCGAGGTGAGCCAGTGGTTGGGGTGGTAAGGGGGCTAAAGTTTCTGTGGGAAGTTCCCACTCACCTAGAGGAGCAGTTGGGGTGAGGAAAGTCTCTTCTGGGTAAGGCAGGAGGAAGTGAGATTTAGGAAACTTGGAATGTAGAAGCTAGTGAGTTGGAACACTTAGGGACAAATATAAACATTTTAAATAATTTTATTAAATTTTATAGCACTTGCCACCCAAAGTGAAACACATAGACACTCACAATCATTTTAATAAAGTGAAGAATACAGATGATCTCCCCCAATTCCTGTCAAAGCCACTCTTTCATTTTGTTAGTGGTGAAAATGTCGAAAAGTTTAACTGCTTTTCCAAGGTGGCCCAGCAAGTAGGTTGGAAGAATTGACCCAATCCACCACTCTGCTCACAGCATTTTAGGGCTATGCAAGGACGGAGGGGGAGGCAGGGAAAGGAAAACAGAATGAGGAATCAGAGAAGATTGTGGAAAATCCTCGGGGTAGATTCTCACCATTAACTATTTTGTTTACTAAAAATGCTTGAATAGTTGGCACAGGGTGGGGGAAATTTCCTTTTCCTCAGCTCTTTCAGATGGGAAATTAGAAGAAAAAGATTGTCCAAGTATATTTTTCCTTTCTCTGCTTCACACTCATCATTTGCCCGCAAAAAAAGTATACTCAGAAAATACTAATTAAATGTAAAATACCCACCCCCATTTTTTTGACAGAGGAAGCAGAGGTGAAATGCTGAAGAACATGCAGGGAAAAATAAGGGACTGAATAACTTCTGTTAACTATTAAGATCTGAGGCAATGGCACCTGAAGTATTACATGGCTTTGCTGGACAAAATGTGTGTGTATGTGCATGCATGTACATACATGTGCACATATATTAATAAAGGGGAAAATAGTAGAGTAGAAAAGAAGAGCATAGAGCAAACTACTGGCTTTTTCCAAGCAGTACAACTTGTGAACATCCTGATTTGGATTCTGTCTTTTTAGTGCCAAGACTGTGCAACTCTGGGAAAAGAATTTAGTCTATTTAGTTCTTAGATTTCCTAGAAACTGGGCTGGACAGCCCCCTTTCTGTTGTATTTAGTCATCGGATCAGGAGGTAAAGAGATTATCACCAGCTTTTAAGAGGAAAGACACCATCTAACTACCACAAATCCACATGTGAGTTCCCCTTACCTATTAATTAGTTGAAATATCTCCACAATAAATAAAAAATTTGTAAAAGTGTAGAAAGAATTCCAGGATAGCTTCACATAGTAGTAATGCTTAACGACTTTGGCCCTAGTAGTAAAAATATTCAGTAGTAACAATCATTGCCTAAGCAAACACTTTGCTAGAACAGATTTAAAATTTTTAAAAATATGAGAAATATTTTGAATTAAAGAGAATTGGCCAAACTTGAAATTTCACTGAAAGACCCTATAGAACGAGGAAAATTCTGTTATATTGTGTAGGTATAAAAGAAAATCCAAATACCAAATGGCTAAAAATGGACTTTATAAGACCAGAATGTGTTTATGTGTATGTGTAGGGAAGGGCCAGATTCTGCCCCTTGAGCCAGTATTCATTGATTTTTGTCATGTTCGAGCCTATTTCCTATGTAATTTGTGAGCTAATTTCTTTCCTAGGAATTGAGGCAACCTTAAGATGGTATATCATGATGCTTTGTGAGATAGTGCTACAGACTTTCTCAAACAGCTTCTGTAAAACAATTGCCAACCCTCACATTGGCATAACAATTTTACAAAGTACTTGTGCTTGCATTATCTCCTTATTTTTCATGAAAACTTCTAAATGATGTAGCAAAGACAATCTTATTTTCATTTTGCCCTAAGGGTACAAAAATTACAATAATTACAATAATTTTTCTGTGCTCCTTTAATGAGTGAATGATGAAACAGTCTTGGTTCCATGCTTCTTTCAGTACACCTGTGAGATGGTTCCTTAACAGGCTGAAAGCAACATTAGATTTAGGCACCTGTTCTGGAGACAACCCTTGGTTTCTTTGATCACAACTTTTGTTGTGATCAGTATGTGTGATCACAGTACACATATTTTCAACACTCAAATTTAAAACTAGATGTTTCTATTTTTTTCCTGTTAACCTTTTTGATGCATTGAAAATATTTAGGTGAAAAAAGTCAGATAAACATTTTTCTTTATATTTCAGGAGTCTTGGCTTTCACTGCTTTCACTTCTCTCTGATAGACACTGCATATTATCCTCAGAGCTCTGCCATTTGGTTTTGGTGGGAAAAATTGTATTCGCAATACAGAAGGTTCATGAATCTGAAAATGTATGTGATTGAATAGGAGTGTCAAGCTAACTGTTTTCTCCCAATTATAAAACAGAGTGAAAGTTTGGGAGCTAACTTCCATCTTGAATATGATGGAAGAGTTCTAGTCAACTCAGTGGAGGCAGTTGATAGGGCTTGGTTTCCTTACCTCTTGCTACAGAACAGAAACTTTGATTTCAGTTTCAATAGGAGACTGGAGGAGTAGGTGTATTGGGGAATTTTTTCAAATAGATGTTGAAATGAAGCCATTGGCTTTTGTTGATGCAAAATCAATATTAATAACAGATTCTAATTATACCTATTCTTGTCCAAGTGGCCAGAAAAATTCATGGTGATGTTTAGGAGAACAATACCTAAAACTTAACATGAAATTCATGTTGTATGACACTATTCAAAATGCTTCAAATATATCAACTCATTTTATGCTCCTAATAATCCTATGAGGTAGGACTGTTATTATTCTCATTTTAAGGAGAAGGAGACTGAGGCAGATAAGGGTTATGAAACTGGCCTAAATTCATGTATCTAGTGAGTAGTGGAGCTGAAGTTTGAATCCAGGTAATCTGACACTGGAGTCTGTGCTATCTATCCCACCATGGGAAAAATGATAGGCTACTGAGTAACTGTCAGATGATTTTCTAAACCAATCAGAGGTAATATCCAGATAATAAGAGACACACTAGTTGATACAGTCTGTTTTATTATTCATCTGTGAGAAATAATTTTTATTTTTGAATAAGCAAACGTGTGTGAATAGATTAGATAAGAAAACCCAAGAATAAACAGGAAATAAATGTATAGATGTTTTATAGCATTTACAGCTATAAAATTTTTTATTATATTTTTCTCTTACAAGAATCACATAACCTGTATGTTAGCCTTATTTTATTAGAGGAAATGGAAGAACAGATAACTTTATATAATGTGTTTGGGATCAACAACCCAGGAATTAGAAGAATTGGGACTAGAGTTCACATTTGTGTTATTCTAGCTTCCATTCTTTTGAAACCATACTATATACTCATGGGATTCTCTTGGAAGTTAATGGACCGGCACCTGTGAGAACAGAGGAAGTTAAACTGGAGCCATCTGTGTCCTTCCCATGATTAGTAAGAGAACAAAGGTGAAAGAAAACTGGTTGACCTTTTCATTACTTTGGCCAAAGCCAGTTGATTCTTTTCCTTTATACCCACCAACAAGCTGATTTGAAAGCAGCTCCTTGACTCTTACAGAAACCATTAAATATGTTAGAAGTAAAAGATGGTCTATTCTATCCTCCCAATCTCACTTATTTTGATGTGTGTGAATATTGACAGATCTTAAAAAGAGTCCAGAGGTATAGAGGTAGGGATGGTGAAAAAGGCTAAATCCCCCACCTAGGATGGTATTCAGATCCAGGGACAATTCAGGAGACTCTCCTCTCTTGCACCTTCCTTCTTTCCTTCCTTCTCTCCTTTTCATGCATCTCAGTATGAGCCAGTGATCATAATGATAATGAAGATAAGAGAATGAGGATAAGGAGAAAAAGGGGGAGGATGAGGAAGAGATGATGATCTCTTGGATGATGATCACTCCTGTTGACTCATTTCTATTGCTGTACATCTCCTGAAGCCAAAGTGCCTTTCTTTCTTCCTATAGCTGTGATAGAAGAAGAACAAGGAAAATAAAAACATAAAACCTAAGATGTAAAATAAGAAGAATTAATTTTATGTCCCACTCCACCAGAACTATATCTTTGCATTTCCATCACTTAAACTACCTGACCCACAGTGACCTTGAGTATAAAATGAGCATAAAAATTTCTATCTCCCTCAAAGGTTTTCTATAAGAAACATATGAATTAATGGATACAAAAGTGCTCTGTAAACTTTAAAATGCTACACAAATGTTATTATAATTACATGGGGAGCATTAGGTTTCCCAAGCCCACTCCATCCTTTTTGGCCTTAGAGTGCACCTGCCTCTGGAAGAGCTGTGTTACTTTAACAGAAAGTTAATTAGGTTCTTTACCCTCCCTCTGGATATCTGCCTGAGTTAGAAGTGCAGCTCAGCACACAAGCTCTATCATCCATATTAAAAGTGGGATTTTCTGAGTTGGCCTGGGCAGCTAGTTGACCAATAAGTTCCAATGTGTGTTTTCAATAAAGCTGCTTACCCAGGAAGCCTTATTAAGTGAGTAAGTCAAGCTGACATGATTTCCGTGCTGATTAACATGAAACCTAGGCTGCTTTCGCAATGCAGTTACATTAATTATTTATAGGAGGTAAATGAGGTTACAAGGAAAACAAGCTCCAATTACCAGAAACAAATCAAATAATATATCTTTATTTTTAAAAGCTATGTACTAATCCCTGGGTTCATTGATTTGAGGCTCAAGCATCAAAGAACAGAAAACATTTATTACATTCTCCTCTTTCTCATAATAAAAGGTGATAGTGGGTTTAATATTTCAAAGAGTAGCTGGTAAACTGGGATGCCCCAATGGAGCTTATCAGATACTTTTATTTGGTAAACCATATGCCTAAAAATTGCTTAGCAAACTTTAAAACAATTCAAACTCTTCCAGAATTGAATGCAAAATGTTTACTAAATCACTAGTCTCTTCTGGTTTTCAAATAGTGAATTTTGCATACAAAATTCTGATTAAACAGTGTGTTAGTGAATTAAAGTAGTCAGGCTATTCCTGTGTTTGCCTGAAATAGTCCTCACTTGTGTTAGCAGTCACTATGTTCTGTTCCACTAGTTCCACTAGTTCCACTAGTATTTGTTCCAGATTTTTCATTTTAAATAAAGTATTATTATAGTAGTTGTACTAAACCTTGGATGGGTTTGGTAGACCACTGGCTGCACTCCTAGCTGTTGCCATTGTCTTGTCTGACAGTGTGAGATGCATGTGCAAAGAGATCTCACTTTAACATATGGGCAAATTTGAAAGATGAGCAGTGATAACCCTCCTTTCTTTTCATGATCCTTTCAAGATGCCATGTCACTAACACTTCTAACATAACTCACACTAGACAGAACACAAAGTGCTTACTGAAAAACAGAATGCTCCTCTGGTGATAGTGAGAGTAATGTTTGATGGTCACGTGTTGGACCAGCCAGTGAGAGTAATGTTTGATGGTCACATGTTGGACCAGCCAGTTGTGTCATGGACAACTTGAAGGAGATGATTGAGGCCACCAGTTAGCAATACTGGTGAGAAACATCGGGTATTATAGGCTAGATGGATGTGAAATGCTTCTAAATACAGGTTGAGTAGTCTTTTGTAGAACACATACAAAGTAGTCTGAATGATCTTGCTACAGTTTTTTATTTTGTATGGTGTAAATATACAACAGTGTGCTTATTTGACTATTTGATGGGTTTTTTATTTTGTAGTAACAATAATTATTACACACATAGACTTATTTTTAGCATGCTCTTTCACTTTCAGAAATTTCTCTACTTGGACAGTAATTTATATACTCACCTCATTTTTTCCCTTTTATGTTCTGGATTCTGGAAAGAAAGAAAAATATATCTTTGGACTGGTATATCAGTCATTTTTGTATAAAATATTCATGAGATAAAAAATCTAAGAATAAAAACAGGCACTAACACTGCAATGAATAATCAAGTCAATTTTCTTTTTCTATAATATATTTTCTTATACTATGCCATAACTAAAGGAGTATTCTGGGAATTTCTTTCAGTTTTGGACTGGTCATTTAGAATGGAAGACTTGGACAAGATAATTACATATAAAAAACTTTAGTTTCAAATAAAATCAGGTACTCACAGGAATTAACCTTTGATATTTCCCTTTTCCAGAGTCTGGAAATGTCAAAAACTTTTGTAAAATCCAAGGAGATGGGAGAGCTAGTCAACACACCATCCTGGATGGATAAAGGTCTGGGCTCCCAAAATGAGGTGAAGGAGGAAGAGAGCAGACCAGGTACTTATGGGATGCTCAGCAGCTTAACTGAAGAGCATGACAGTATTGAGGAAGAAGAAGAAGAGGAAGAAGATGGGGAGAAACCTAAGAGAAGGGGTCCCAAGAAAAAGAAGATGACCAAAGCTCGCCTTGAGAGATTCAGGGCTCGAAGAGTCAAGGCTAATGCCAGAGAACGGACCCGGATGCATGGCCTGAATGACGCCCTGGATAACCTGAGGCGAGTCATGCCATGCTACTCTAAAACCCAAAAACTTTCCAAGATAGAGACTCTTAGACTGGCCAGGAACTATATTTGGGCTTTATCTGAAGTCCTGGAGACTGGCCAGACACCTGAAGGGAAAGGCTTTGTGGAGATGCTGTGTAAAGGGCTCTCTCAGCCCACAAGCAACCTGGTGGCTGGATGTCTCCAACTGGGCCCTCAGTCTGTCCTCCTGGAGAAGCACGAGGATAAATCTCCTATTTGTGACTCTGCCATCTCTGTCCACAACTTCAACTATCAGTCTCCGGGGCTTCCTAGCCCTCCTTATGGTCATATGGAAACACATCTCCTTCATCTCAAGCCCCAAGTATTCAAGAGTTTGGGAGAATCGTCCTTTGGGAGCCATCTGCCTGACTGCAGTACACCCCCTTATGAGGGCCCACTCACTCCACCCCTGAGCATCAGTGGGAACTTCTCCTTGAAGCAAGATGGGTCTCCTGACCTAGAAAAATCCTACAGCTTCATGCCACATTACCCTTCTTCAAGTCTAAGCTCAGGGCATGTGCATTCAACTCCTTTTCAGGCTGGTACCCCCCGTTATGATGTTCCTATAGACATGTCCTATGATTCCTACCCCCATCATGGTATTGGGACCCAACTCAATACAGTCTTCACTGAGTGAGGCAGTTAAGTTCAATGTTTCAGAGAATGACGTGGAGACATTTTCCATAATTCAAGTGGTTGAGCTAAAGATTCAATGACCTTAAAGGATCCCTATGGATATATATCAAACAATAGTTCAAGTCCATTTAGGCTTTCCTTCACCTATCACCTCTTTTCTCATCACCTTCTCACATTGCATTGATTTCTTTATAGAGTCCTCAAGTGAAAATATTTGATGATTTAACAACCATGTGAAAATAGAACAGAAGACCTGGGCCCTATTCCAGTGGTGCCAAAAACTCATTGCATAATCTGTGCCAATTAATTTTCCATTTCTGGCCTTTGTTTATTTACTAGCAATTGTAAATAAACAAATTGTATTTATATGAGGCAACTATTCTAAGTCCAGATGATTTCTAAAGTCCTTCACAGTTCTGAAATGCTATAACTGTGGTGATCACTCTTGACAATTTCTTGAAACTGAAAGAATAGAGAAATAATAGGAAAGGGATGCTATGCATAGAATGATCAAATTGAATTATCAGAGGGATCACAAGGTACATGTCTCTTGGCTCACAGAATGCAAAGCTTGTTTGGATTTAATGATAGGACCTCTTTGTATCTATTGAAAAATAGCTTCTGGAAGCTAAAAGTCTAACATGGCTGTCACTGTGAAGAACAAAACATGTTCGTTAAGAGACTAACTCTATTTGTTATTAGACTAAAAGTTGAACATATCTTCCTTATGATTTGAAGAACCATAATAGAGAACCATAATAGAGGCCTCATGCCAACTTTATTCTTGATAATATTTCAAAACCATTTTTCTCAGTACTAGAGGTAGGGCAAACAAGTCACTGAAGCCTCAGAC
The DNA here is from genome assembly GCF_000001405.40 of Homo sapiens. Taxonomy (NCBI): domain Eukaryota; kingdom Metazoa; phylum Chordata; class Mammalia; order Primates; family Hominidae; genus Homo; species Homo sapiens. Next base: position 55,028,288 of record NC_000012.12, read on the forward strand.
TCCTATAACTAATGGGACATAGAGAAGTCTTTTAGACCATGACCTCCATAACCAGAGGGCTCTGGAACTTCTGATGAAGCTCAGGTGCTGCTGTTAGAATCAGCACACAACACAGGTTTATATTAAAGAGCAATAAAATAGCTATTGGCTATAATAACTACTATAGTTCAGGGACTCTCTCCAGCTCACAGTTGCCCATGGGAAAAACCAATGGATTTTTTTTTAAGCAAGATGAATTTCATTTGGTTAAACGTGATTAAAACCATCCACCTCTGTCCACACCAATATATTTTCCAGAAGCACAAGCACCAATCAATTTATTGATCAAGGTTAAATTTTTCCAACATATATGTAGTTCCTTATCTCTCCCCCTACACTAATTGTTACCTCTTCCTCACTTCTAAGATAGAATATGTTATTATATATTGTAAATAACATTTCAGGTGACCAAACTTAAGGATGCAGAAATGAAATCCAAGGTTGGTGAATATTTTTACCAACTATGTCTTCATCACAGGTTTAACCCAATTTGCAGAGTGTTTATTTTTCTTTATGTAACTCCTTTTTCCTTTATATCAATGCTAACTTCATCAAATTTGTATTTTTTTTCAGAAAATGGGACCTGAGAAATTTTCCTATCTTGTTCAATCAGCCAGGACAGTTATTTAAGTCAAACCAGAGCCTGAATGGCTTATTTGATAGTAGATTAGGTCCTGCTCCTGCCAGAAAGGATAAGTTTAACATGCAGGGTACATCAATAGGGCCAATTTAAAAAATGATAACACATATTAGTATGTCATTTTCTATAGCTCAGCTATCCCCTAAAATCTGCCAACTATATGTGTATCTTGTCTGTTTACCTCTCTTATTTATTATCTCCATACAGTATAAGTTATTTTTTTTCCATTTTGCTCTCAGCACTTACCCTGCTGTATTTTGCACCCTTGGTTTGTAAATTCACTTGAAAGTAGCCTTGCAGAGAGATCTTAAGCCCCATCAGTCACCAAAGTGGTTCCCTTCATCACAATCTGCCCTAGAGGAAATAGGCAAGTAAAATGATATATAAAGCCATACTATGTGCTTTCTGAGTATATACTGCACTTACCTTTGTGAGCGGCTGTAGGAGGGTCTATCCTCGAAGCTAGCATTTTCTGGCATTTAAGTTTGTAGATAATCACTGTTGTTTGAGTTATTTATTAGATATTATTTATTTAATTTATTTCTCTCTTCCTTTCACGAAAATTCCTTTAGCCCCATAGATGTGCTTGCAAACCCTTCCTAAAATTTTATTTGGAAAGTAGCTCATAATTTTGCTAAGAACTGCTGAGTTTTGGAGTGAGGGGAAAGGAAAAAATAGAGAATTACCTCTGTGATAATTTTTATAAAAAGCAGCAATAATTCGAATGGCTATGCAAGTTAATGTTTTTAGAGTCTTTTCTTCAGTCTAAAATGAGCCAGAGTTATTCTTTAATAATCTGCTGTTTATGCCTTTGGGGAGTATGGTACCCATGAGCCAAGCCTCCCTGAAATTGTACAGAGGGATTTTATAATTGAATTAAAATTTAGGAATGCAATAGCTTGTAAAGAGCCTGCTCTCCAACATAGGGTGGTCTCATTCTTCTGGAGACTTTTTTAGATAAAGTAAAATAATTGTTTAAATATTTTGTTTAAAATATGACTGTTTTTCCTCCCTTTTTCCTAGCAGAAATAAAGCTGTAAGTCTTATTAGATGTTGTGTTGTGCTGTGTTGTTAGTCTTCAGATCTTTCATTCACTCTCATTTATTCATTTTCTTGGGCTCTATGTCCTACAAGCAGCTAGCTGAGCAAAGACTGGTCTGTCAGGAGGATTTACACATCCCGTAATTCAATTGATCTTGCTAGAATATTCGAAATATGCAGTTAGAAGTCTAGAAGCACTGGTCTCTGCCACTCATATAATCAAGTATAAAATCTACAGTTAAGAAAAAATAATCTTACAGATTACAGGGCTATGGGCAGTCTAAGCAATCAAACCACAGATAAATGGGAAGATGTGCTATTATCCAAAGTAGGTGGGCTGAACAACTTTTCAAAAAAATTATGAAATATGTTTTTTGGCAACTCTTCCTCTTGATTTTTTTCTTTCAGGTTTCTCTAGTTAAAACTTTCCAGGATCCCTTCTTGCATGTGTAAAGTGATGATAATAAAGAAATAATAGTAATGATATTATTAATAATAAATATAAATAGAAAAGTTAGTTAATCAAGGTAGGGACTTGACTTAAAATATTTAAGAAACAAAAATATAGCATAAAACTTATCTTTCCACCCCTATCTTCCATCTTCCAGTTCCCACTCTCCAACTAGAAAATACTTAAACATTTTTTTTAGCTTACTAGTTATCAGAGACCTTTTATGGATATATAAACAAATATTAGGTACAAATATTAAGGTGTATTATTCTCTTTTTTCCTTCAAGTGGTAACAATATAACACATTTCTGCATATTGTTTTTTTACATTTAACCACAAATCTTGGGGTATTTTAAATAAAAGTTTCTTAATTCTTTGTTATAACTGGCTAGCATTCCATACTAAAATAACATCATTTATGAAATTGAGTCCCATAATTTAGATTTTTTTCCATCTCTTGCAATATCAAATAAATGATTATGTACACATGTCATTTGACACATTAGAAGAATCTTTACCTTGCAAAGAATGGTCCAGAGGGGCAAATAGAAACGGACAGATAACAACAACCCCATCTAGCAGATTGTGGATGCTTACTACGTAATGTTACATTTCTAAGTGTCTTACACGTATGAATTCATTCAATTCTAAAGCCACTCCCATAAGGCGGTCAATATTAGTATTCCCATTTCACAGATTAGGAAACTAATCCGTTTAGTTTAGTGAAACTAAACAAATCCTGGTGGAACCAGGATTGATTTGAGCTAGTGGGTTTATCCAGAAGATTTGAAATGATCCTCAGTAGCTGTTTGCCTGGTAGGTATATGAGGATGTCATATCTGTGCAATGCTGGAGCCAGCGAAAGTGGAATTACTATTTGACACCCCTCAAATTGTCCTTTACATATGACGCCCTGTTACATCTATGACCCAGGCTGACCCACGTCCACATTCTGCAACAGAATCTGAAAGAAGGCCATCTTTCCCTTGATAGAAGCTCAATTTTCTATTCGACTTTGCCCAGGTAGACCACATAGTGTAGGCCAGATCACAAACCAATGCCTTGTTGCTTGAAAGTACCCATTTTTGAGAAGGCTTAAATCCATTTCAAGCTTTAATCTCACATATCTTTAGAATTTAAGAAAAATGTTTTAAAGGGGAATTATGGATATGAAAATAACAAAATATTCTATCAACATAGAAACATCCTATCTTCAAGATTATTTTAAAAATCTATATAAATTTGGAGTATAGTTTGGTGTAGTAATTGCAAGCACTGGCTTTAGAATGAAATAAATAGTACTTAAGCTATGCCACTTACTGATTGAATGACCTTTGTTAAATTGATTAACCCTGCAAAGGCTCAGTTTTCTTGATTTTTTTAAGTTTTTATAAACAAAAAATAGTTTTATAGGTGCTAACATTTTTTCTACATTTCCCCCCTTTGGCTTTTTTATTAATTGACACATAATAATTGTGCATATTTATGCAGTATAACGTGATTTTTGGTACATGCACACAATGTGTAATGATCAATTTGAAAATAGCAATCATAATAATGCCTTCCCTTCAGGTTTATCATGGTGAATTAATTGAGATAATACATCTGAAGCACATAGCAAGTATTTAGCAAATGGTAATTATTACCATCTATGTTCTATTAATTATTCTTTGATTACAATCATGTTACCTTTTCTATTTGCCTCCAATATATGGCCAGGAGAGTGCTGATGGTGACAACAGCAGGCTTAGGGAGTCCATAGAATTATGGAGTCAGATAGACTTAGATTTGAAGTTAACTGGCTGAGAAGTCCTAGGCAATTTATTTAACGTCTCTGTCTCAGTTTTCTTCTTTATAAAAAGGGCATACAATACCACCAATCCATAGAGTTGTATGAGGATTAAAAATGATGATAATAGCAGTGAAGTGTTTATCTGAGGTTCTGGAACCTGGGAAGCACTTTACTCTTATTGTTATTATTATTACTGGGAGTAGAGTGAGAATAGGTGAGGTAATTGAGAACCAGAGAAAACAATAGATTCTTTTCATTTAAACAGTACATAATTTACTGGAGCCAACGACAAAATCCAAGCCTATTGACCAGTATTCCATACATTGGACATGACATTTTCCAACTCTTCATGGGGATAGTTCACACAGAAATCTTCAAAGGCAAACTTTCTGAATTCAGAATATAGGAAATATTGAATTTTTCTTTCTTTTCTAAAAGTTGGCATAGAGCTAAAAGGAGCCTTGTAGTAGCTCTTTGCTGTCATCTGGCTTAAGACTATGTAGAGAAAGAATACTATTACCTCACAAATATATGTTACTATGTACTTGATTTCAATTTAATTTTTTCAAGTAGTAATAGTTACTGAGAATTTCCTCTAGGCCAGGAACTAAGCCACTCTGTCATAGCTAAGGAACTCTGTCATAGCTGTCAGAATACACATGATAATAAAGATGTTTGGTCAACGCCTTACATGTAAGTAAGTGAATTCAGTTATTAAATGTGAACAGGAAGATTTTAGAAACCAATAGCTAAAAACTCAGGGGAAAAGGAAATTTCTGTTTATTGAGTATCTTTACCATGTACAAGTCATCAAGTTAAGTTCTCCATATTGAATCAGTCTTCAAAATAAACCACTGAAGTAGGTTCCAGATGTAGAAACCTACATAGAAATGTGCAAATAAATACGAGAACATGGAAAGTCATGTAAATCTCAGAAGTGCCTGAGCTTCTATTTTCTCATCTATAGAGTGAGATGATTGTGCCATTAGACATCCGAAATTTCTCTCATCTTAATATTTTAACAGTTCCATGAGCAGCTAATGTCCATTTTCTCTCTGGCAGAGAAGCACATGCCCACACTCTTGGAAAAAAAAGAGTGAATAAGTGATTGAGTAAAAGCTAAAAGATGAGGCAAAAATCGACTACAAAACATTAAAATCAAGGTGGTGTTTGGATGCCTTGTGTGGTTTGCTTGCTGGTCAGCTATCTTAAGGAACTGGGGTACTTTCAGTTTATCTATTTAGAAGACAGTTTTCTAGGCAATGATCTTATTCTCAAGAGACAACTACTCTAACATGTTTAGCAATTAAAAGGCCTAAATCTACGTTGAGCTAAAATAATTTTACTGTAAATCAAATTGAGGAATTATGCTATTCCTAGAATTGTACAATTGCCCCTTTTCCTTCCTCAGTTGGAAATAATAGGAAGATGTTGACTATATTGTTTACTTGATTACAAATACAGTAAGTTCTCAGTTATCCATATGAATAATCTCTGTTGAGGATTATGGAAAGAAAATATTGTATATAAGGCTTGTTTCTCCATGTCAGCTGACATGTTTCTAATTTTTGTTTTTCTTTGTGTGTGTAGACACACATATTAATATATGCATATTTGAAAAAAATATATGAAGGTACATAGATGTATGTTTATCTATATATCCATAAATATATATATATCCATAAATATATATATTTGAAGACATGTATATTTAAACACATACACTTCAGTACATGTTGAATACATACACATATGTGTGTATATATATAATTTGACATATGTATTTGAATGCACTCTAAAGTCAAACGGAAACACTTTTTGTATCATTTAATTATTGGCAACTCTACAGGCTGAGTTCTTTCTTTTATTAACTCAGTGTTAAGAACTAAGCTAGAAGGTTAGGCACTGAGAAAGGAGGTGGAGGCAGAGAAACAGGAAGGAAGCATGCTGGGGGTCTAGTTTCTTCAATTGGGATAGACCTGAAGGGGCATCCTGGTAATGGAAAACGTTCTTCCTTGATCTAAGCCTGTGCGCTCTCTTCCTTTGAGAGCTGGCCTCTGAGCTGAGGCAGATCCAAAGCAGGCAGGCACGTGGCTGGCCCACTGAGGGCCGGGAACAGCCGCAAGCTGCTCAGGGAGTTGGAGCAGACTATCCCCTGGCTCCTGCTCAGCCCACTGCTGCCAGCCGGCAGCTTCCCTCCTGCCAGACCCCTGGGCATGCTGATGGGAATGGCACAATTACTTAATCCCTGCCCAGGGAGATCTAGGACACATGCAGACAGATGGAGGACCAGGGGGATTCAGAACTATTTAGTACTGGAGGAGCAAAGGAGACAGGCCTAGGAGCAATAGGCCAGGCTTGAAAGGCAGTCCTGAAACCTCTTCTCTCCAAGCAGCTCCAAGGCAAGCTGTTTTCTCACCTGAACAGAAGCTCTGGAAGAAAGGACCTAGACCTTCCCTTAGCTGCTGGCAAACAACCTGAGAGGGAGCATTGACCCACAGTGTCTGGGTTTCCACAAACAATAGACGGTCACGGACAGGTGCTGAGGAAAGAAGAATTGAGGAGAGTCAGAGCTCCAGAAAGGCCCATATAGAGGGGGCAATACGGAATTAGAGATACAGAGATTAAAATAGCACATGCATGAATTTACCACATGCATGGATTTAAGAATGAAACTGCTATTTCCACATCTGTCTCCTCTACTAGTTTATATCCTTTCGTGTTCCTTAACCCTCACTAATGCATTCTCACACTCACTGCCAACTGCCCTGGTTCAAGTATTCACTATCTATCTGTCTAGATTCATGTAATAGTGTTCTTCCAAACCTCCAATCTTTTTGTACCCAGTACCTCCTTCCTTCTACAATTCATCCTAGCTGTCTTAAAATAAAGCCATGACCATGTCATTTCTTTGGTCAAAAATCTGCGTTAGTTTTCTCATCATTATAGAATGAAGTCCAAACTTCCCAAGTTAATATTTAACCTGCCTCATCACAACTGGTCTTGGTCTACATTTCCAGGTATATGTATACCACACATTCTTCTCTTACGTTCCTCGAAAGCAACCCATCCCACTTATCCACCCCATTTCACCACCTTACATACACTTTTGTGTTGCCCACCTGGATTACTTTTCCTCTAATCAATACGAAGTGAAATTTTCCCTTACCTTTGCTCCTGGCAACACCTTTCCCTGGAGTGCTCTCTCCTCTATCTTCACTTACTGAAACAGTGTCGATCCTTCGGGGCCTAGCAAAAATCTTTCCTGATAAAGCCTTTACAGATTACCCCTGTAAGAATCATTGCCTTCTTCTTTTCTAGTTTAGGGAATTATGACAATTGACTCTAAGAGTGAAGCCGCTATTTCCACATATAGTGAAGCTGCTATTTTTCCTCTACTGGTTTATAAGCTTCTTGAGAGGAGAGGCTGTTTTATCCACTTGTTATATTGACAACTCCCAGTGCAATCGTGTGCACACAGTAAGGAAGAGATAAAGAAAATCTGGGTGGCTGAGCACATAATCACATCATCAGGTGCTAGCATTGTGATGTTACAACATTCTAACAATCTTAAATAACTTTAGGAGAAAGTGTTTTCTTTTCTGCCTTAGAGAAGATCACAAGGAGGTTCAGATAATGTCCAACTCTACTCAACTCATAAAAAGGGAGGGATGGAAATTCTTATCTAGGGTTGTTTCTATGTCAGAGTGACTTTTGCACTAATATATGTGTGAATTAAAAAGAGTAAACATGGCCGGGGGTGGTGGCTCATGCCTGTAATCCCAGCACTTTGGGAGGCCAAGGTGGGTGGATCACCTGAGGTTGAGAGTTCAAGACCAGCCTGACCAACATGGAGAAACCCCGTCTCTATTAAAAACACAAAATTAGCCGGGCATGGTGGCGCATGCCTGTAATCCTAGCTACTCGGGAGGCTGAGGCAGGAGAATCGCTTGAACTGGGTAGGCAGAGGTTGCGGTGAGCTGAGTAGCGCCATTGTACTCCAGCCTGGGCAACAAGAGCGAATCTCCGTCTCAAAAAAAAAAAAGAAAAGAAAAAAAAAGAGTAAACATTTCATGAATTTTGTCTACCCAATGTCCACTAAACTATTGACTATATTAATAAGAATAACTTGGGTTAAAAATTTTTGCTTAGCCAAAGCAAGAGTGGCCAGTTGAAATAATACAGAGTAATATACAGAGACAAAAACTACTAAAGAATCGGAATTTCAGAAATGAAACCAGAGAAACAAAATAAGCCAAGTTAGGGGGAGGGAGAGAGCAGGAAGCCACAAGAGGAAGTTTGAAAGAAAAATAGAATCAAGGCAAGATAAAAGATTGTGGGTGCGAATTCTTCAGTAGGGACATCTCATGCATTTTTAGGTGTTGTCCCAGAGTGCCAAGGGCTTCCATGAAAGTAGCTGGAAGGTGAGGGAATCGCTATCAGGGAATAGGAAGCTGCTGCCTCTGTCTTTCTCTGGTGGGAGCCATGTGTCTTGATTCCTGTTGTACTACAAACCCTGGGCACCATGATTCTCATCACCAAGCTTCCTTGAGTACGGTCCCTTGTTATTTGTCTTCAGAGCAGCCGAAAATCACAATCACTTGTTTAGGAGAGGAACAAAGATTACCAGTTTCCCAAGTTTTCTTATTCACCAAAAGACTTATTTTGCAACATGAAAGTTTCTGTTTGGTTACTGGATATGTCTTCTTTTATGAGAAGGCACAGCAAATACAACATTGTTTAGTAATGGTGTGGATGAACACATTTCACTAGCTCCCACAGCCATTGATGGTCTAATGATTTGTTTTGAGCTGGTGAATCCAACAAATTCTGTGTGAATGCTAGGTTTGCCATTGACTCTGGGCAAGTAAACTAGAACTTCAAAATCTTTATCTGCAAAATGATGAGAATGATATCTTGCAGGGTTTTTAAACACTAAATATAACTGGCATAATACATGTGGCATGAGGCCTGGCACCTTATTGGTGTTTAATAATCGGTAGTCATTCCTTTTTTCTTCTTCATTATCGTCATCACCATCATTCCCTCCTATGTGGGTGAGATCTCCATCACACTGCTCTGGTGGAAACAGAGACTAATGCAGAGGTGGACTATTGAGAAAAGGTGACCCATGGGAGTAGAAGCAGTATTGAGTAATGATTAAAACCATCAGAAGGAATTACTGGGTTGCAGTCTGGAGTGTGTGACTCAGCTGGAGTCTGAGTACAAAGGTCCCCAAGCAGAAGCATCAGGGACAGACAGGGGGCAGCTGATACTGTGCCCACAGTTGGCACAGTCCAACAAGATATTCAAGGATAAATGGGGAAAAAAAAATCAGTCCTGAGAGAGAGCACTGCTGAACCATGTTGCCCTGTTTCTGAGCAGCAGCTGCAAGCAGAGCTAGCAGCTGCAGCTGTTCTTAGGAGCCTGGATTCCCAGGGAAAGTGGGCATCAGGCAAAGCAAAAGGGAAGGAGAGGCAAGCACAGGGTAATACCTTGCGTTCTCAGGATGGGAGATTCCACCGCACAGAAATAAGGGAACTGGGCAAAGAGGGAGGTGTGAGGGATGACAACGACTGGGCGTTCTGTATGTGAAATGATGCCGATTATTGAAAGCAAGCTGATGGATCCATAGAAAGAGCTAGACTGGGGATCAGGATCTTTCTAGTCACTTATATCTTTAGAGTGCTACATAAACATGGACCAATAATTACTAACATGAAGTGAGTGCTAAGCAAGTACAGGAAACGTTCTTAATCTTTTACAAACGTGAAACTGTGTAATTCTTACTACAATGTTACGACGTCTGAGGCACACAGGGGTAAAGCAACTCTACCAGGCTGTATAACCAGCAAGTGTCAGAGCTGAGATATAACCCCAGAAGTGTGGCTTCTGAGCCTGCATTTTAATCTATCACTCTCAACCAGATCTGTCCAATAGAGCTTTCTGCAATGACGAAATGTTCTATAACATTGAGCACTTGAAACTTGGCTAATGCAATGAGGAACTAAATTTTAAATGTTATTTAATGATAATTAATTTAAATCTAAGTAGTCTTATGTAACTTGGGACTACACAATGGGCAGCACAGCGTTATATTGTCTCTCTAAAGAGACAGATCTCTTTACGAACCTCAGTTACTAATTTATTTTCTATCTGAAAATTGTGGGATTGTACTCAGGCATGGGAAATATGTGAAATGATTCCCACTAATTTATCTTTACCTGCCCATATAGATACCACGATTCAAGCATGAATCTCTTTACTACTGAACCTAGACATTCCTCTGAATCTGTCATTAACAGAGGACTCTAGGCAGTTGCTGTTAAGAACTTAGACTCTTCATTTGAGAATAAGGCAATATCCATCTCTGAGCAGTAGGTGGGAATTTCTGAGGAATGACTAGGCTGAGGCCTCAGAGGGAAGGGGCTACCTGGGAAAAGTGTCTCACTCAGCCCTCACATTCCAGCAGCACTGCCTTTCTTTCCTCTCAGACAGTTGTACCCCCACCAAGTCACTCTTCTCCCACATGGTACCTCTCTCACTTAAGTCTAAATCTGGGGGGACCCACATATTGTTGTATACTTGAGTTTTTCATTGGTTTTTCTCAGAATCCCTGATCCAAATCATTTCTGCTGCACTGATTGTCTATTTTCCTTTCAGTGGATGTGAATTGGCGCAAAAGGAACACTTCTTTTCCTTCTATACATATCACTGAAAAAGTTCTCTACCAAGACCCATGCAGGAAAATGCGATGTCCTGCAGACACACAGGAAGCAGCAAGCAACAGTTCTCCATATAATTCTCAAAACTGGATTTTTATTTTGAGCCTTGAGATCCCCTGAATAACTCATCATTGACATCAGCCTAAGCCTCTGGAAGCTCCAGGGCCTTATTGGACAAGTATTTTCCTAGTTGGTTCCTAACTAACTTATTCTCTGTGTTTGCAATGTCCTACCAGCTCCCCTGCCTTCCCTTGCCTTTTTGCCTGTCAAACTTCTACTTAGATTTCAAAATGCAGCTCAAATGTCACTTGCCCTAGGAAGCCTGTTTGATTTTGCTCCCAAAACACACGTCTCCTAGGCTGGGTGAGGTTCCCCTACTCTGTTATAACTCCTTTTCTCACCCCTACAAAGCATTTTGTTCACACCTCTAACAGAAGAGCATTTAACTAATTCTGCTGTAATACTGTTTCTAAATCTGTCTCCCTGAAAGCTCTTAGCTCATCAATAGTAGAAAGATAAATTACAGATTGCTGTCCCTACTACCTTGCAGAGCTTGATATATGGCATGAGTTAAATAAATATTCATTGAATGGACAGAAGAATAAATGAGTGAGCTAGACAAGATCAGACTCGCGTGGCAGAGCAGATCAGTGTTACTGACAGACCAAACCCAAGGTCGGGAACAAAAGAGGCTGTTCCCTGGCCAACCTGACCTTTTCTGCTCTGAACAGAATAATCAAGGATAGACTCTCTCCTCCTCATTCCCTGACACCCCCATAAAAATTCAGCCATTCTAATTTTATCCTCACATTTGCCTTCCCCCCTCACCAAATCCTGCACAGTTCCAAAACACTTGGCTTCTCTCTCCCTCTGTCCCAATTGTTCCTCTTTCTATAGCATCGGAATCTCATTGTCCTCCCTGCCCTATTCCCTCCTGACCTCTCAACTGCCCATTGTAAGATGTCAGGAGGACCCGGGTGACAGCTGGGCCCCAGCAGGGCAGGCCTGGCATCCCCAGGGCATCCCTGGCAGGTGCTGGAATACTCAACAGCCGGGCTTGTTATCACCACCCCCCTCTCTCTTTCCATAGGTTTCCTGTCCCCTCCCTCAAGCTCCAACTCCCCTTCTCAGGGGTTGTTAGGGACTGTATGAGCAGCATGGCTGGGTGCAAGTATAACCAGAGGAAACAGTCTGATCTTTTCTCTGGACTATTTGCACTCCTATGCATATCTCTTCTCAGATGGACGTCTTGTATGCTATTAGCCTGTGTCCCCGAGAGCAACTCGGAAGCGCTGCTGTTACCTCCCTCTGCAAAACTCTCACTACCACAGCATTTGAGTCCTTCAAATGTTGATCAAATCATTCAGATCTCTACTCCACAAGAGAGCCTTTTTCAATTCCAGCATCTCCACCTTCTATGACCCTTTCTGGACCCTGAGTATGCCTCTGCTAGGGCATGAATCCCACTGTTACCTCATTACAGTTGGTGTGTGGGATAGTGACCAACAAACCTAGTTCACTGCTTGACACATAAGAACTAAATACTAATATTAAATACTATGTACAGTATTTATCAGGAAGTTTACCCTTCCTTATAATTTCATTTAGTTTGATTCTTATAATAATCCATTGCAGGGATCTTATTCCCATTTTACAGATTAGGAAACTGGGATGCTGTGTTTATATTATGCCCAGAGTCACACAGCCAAAAGGTGGCAGAATCAAGACTTGATTTTTAAGGTTTTACATCACCTGATCTCTACTAAAGTTTACCAAACATTTAATTAAATTTTATTAATAGAATTGCTAAGTTTAAAGATAACACAGATATCAGGGACACAGACAGAATGGGAGAATACAGTTTAGATATTAAGAAGGACTTCCTAATTGTAAGAGGGAAAACTGTTTATCTCCTTACGGAATTCTGAGAAAAGAATAGGAAATTCCTAATTTTATGGGGATGGATTAAGTAGTGATTTAAGATAGAGGGATGGATAAAATGATTTTTAAAAAATTCTTTCACTTCTCATTTGAACTCTTCACAACCGTGCTTTCTCCTCGCTTCCAATGAATTAACAGCAATATCAAGTAATTAGTGATCCTCATACTTAGGGAAGTAACTTCTCCATGAAATGGGAAGTTTATGCACTTCCTTTTTTTCCACCTTTATCCAACCCTTTACATCCAGACACTGAAGTCCATGAGCCTTCTTATTTGGCAAAATGATACTTGCTAAAACACATTTAATCCCTGAAAGAGGTCTGGTTTATTTATAAGCTATTTACTCCAAGCCTCCTCAAGGCACTAATGTGTCTGAATGAAATCACCAGTCAGAATTCAACTCTAGACTTCACATCTGGAGACTTAGTCATCATCCTCCCTGCTCCTTATTGGATACTGCTAGGTTCGGGACCCTTGATTGGGGTGTGAAGGCTGTGGGAAAATCAAGTGCAGTGAACGCTTTACTCTCTTCTACTGGAAATGAAGAAGACAGAAATTTGATGATGTTGATTTTTTTCCAAGGCCCAGCAGAGAGGATTGTGGGGTCTTAGTCCCTCCTGCATATTCATGTTGGCTTAGGGAGGCAGCCAAGCAACTAATTGGGTAACTCCTCGATAATTTGTCCTCTGAGGAAGGCTGCTGACTCACTTGGGGCTCACAGAATCAAATGTTCAGCTTCCAGTCTTTGATTTGAATTGTACCCAGAGGTGAGAAATAGACAACTTGTTGATTCCCTGGGGCAAGAGAATAGATTTTTTTGTAAAGATGTATAATAGCTGGAAACTCAAGGTTCTGGGCAGGAGGAAACATATTTCTATTCCCAGCTAAGGGCTGCTTCTGCTGCCTTTGCCTCATTGCTACCCTCAGACCCTCCTCCCAGATACTTCCCATTTCTACACCAGTGTAGCGCAGATAAATGTGGTTTTGTAAACCAAGTTATATCTTAATGAGTAACATTTGAATGACTTCTGTGTTGGAAAATTTTAACTGCCACCTTTCCAAAGCAAATTCTCCTTATTTTCTCTCTCTGTCTTTTAAAAGAATGATTATAATTTTCTTTTACAAAGAATGATTCTTTACTTTTAAAGAATTATCGAACCTTTCTTAAAATGGGTCAGACCCGTATATCTATGATTTCCCTGATATAGCTTTCCCGTTTTTTGATTCCATTAACAACAATTAATGACATTGGTTGTATACACATCATTTTCCCATGCCTCAATTAGCATATCTGGAAAAGAAGAGGGAAGAAATGAATCTCTGTTTTTCTATCCCTAAGAAAACCAATCCAATAATAATTGTGCATGTTTCTAGAGAAATGCAAGGTGGCATTAAAAGTAATTTGGAGCACAAGTCTGTAAGAGTCCATCAATGTGATATAGATTAAATTTTATCTTTTTAACCTCTTTTCCTGAAGCAAAAATCCCACTGGCATCCTCTTGCCATGAGGATTAGACTGCACACCACCAGGCTCCAGCTCTACTGCTTCAATAGCCTTAAGCAAGTCACCTTCTGCTCAGCTCTCCTCTAGAAAATCACTGCATTGACTTGAATGGCATCCACTGAGATAGAGTCTAATTAGTGATATTTAAACTTGTGCTATACAATTTTTTGTTAAAAGAAAGTTTAGGAGAAAGAAAAATGGATATATTCTTGACGAATAGCATAAACACAAGCAGATTTAGCTAGTTTGTCATCCCTTCCATCAGCCTGTACTTTCTCCCATTCATCTCCCCAACTTTTCCAGAGGCAGACCTGCAGAGCAGTTTGAAAATCACTGTTGTGGACTCTAAAGGACTCAGATCTGTGCTCCTCATCTTAAGAAAGCAGATAAAAATAGGGAATAGTGCATAGTGTAAAATAAAAATCTACAAGTCTGTACCGATGTAAATAAATAAATGAATAAATAAATAGACAGATGGGGGCAAATAGACCAATATATTGTGCAGAATAATTTTAAATAAGTTATGTAGATGCTCTGTCCTCAAGGAGGTAGAGCATAACTTTCTACTCTTCAATGTAAGCTGTGCATAGTGACTTCCTTTGAAAGAGTACATGATGAAAGGGGGTAAAGCATGACTTTACAGTAAGGAAATCTGACAAACACTACCTCAGCCAGGTGATCAAGGTTAATATTTGTAGTGATAGTCATGATAAGTCATCATGTCAACATTTCCTTGATGTAATGAAAATGACACTTTGCCTCTGCAATCTTCCTACAAAAAAATAAAACTCCAATCTAATAATGAGATAACTATCAGACAGATTGCTATTGAGGGATATCCTACAAAATACGTAACCATCACTCTGCAACACTGTCAAGGTCATCAAAAACAAGGAAAGTCTGAGAAGTCATTATAGCCAAGGAGCTTAAGGAGACATGATGACTAAACATAAAGTGGTATCCTTTTTTTATACTTAAAAAAAAGAACTGAAAACAGATATTCAAACAAAAACATATATGTTTATAGCAGCGCTATTCATAATAACAACAAAAAAAGGAAACAACCCAAATGTCCATCAAGAGATGAATCGACAAACAAAATATGGTATATCTATACAATGGAATAATATTCAGTCATAAAAGGGATTGAGGTGCGACACTTGCTACAACCTGGAAGAAGCTGAACACAAAGGGTCACATACTGTATGACTCTGCTCATATGAAATATCCAGAATAGGTAAATCCATAGAGAAAGCAGGTTAGTGGTTACCAGGGGTCAGAGGGAGGGCAGATGAGGTCACAGCTGCTTAATAGCTAGGGTACTTCCTTTTGGGATGATGAAAATGTTTTGAAACTAAGAGCTGATGGTTGCACAATATTGCGCGTGCACTAAATGTCACTGAATTGTACATATGAAAAGTTAATTTTTTTAAAAAAGTGGCTTCCTGGATAGGATCCTGAAATAGAAAAAGGAAAATAGGTTAAAAAGAAGGAAATCAGTGTAGACTTTAGCTAATAATAATGTATTAATATCGGTTCATTATTTATAACAAATAAACCATACTAATGTAAGATGTTAATAAAAGGGGAAACTTAGTGAAGGGGATACAGGAAATATCTATACCATTTTCACATATTTTTCTGCAGATCTAAAGCTGTTGTAAAATTCAAAGCACTTTAAAAAAATTTAAAAGCAGGGTGGGGAATTAAGTTTATACGAATACAGAGAATTGTCTGCTGAGGAGACAACTGGAGTGGGCATCACATTTCCGAGGTTATTGGAGGAGAGTGACCTGCTGTGCTGTATCTCCATGGGGGATGATGCAAGAAAAGATGACCTTCAATTATACGAGAAGGATTGAAGTCAGGGGCGAGAACTCACTTTCCCGCTTCAGATACCTTGACTTTAAGACCTCTCTCCAGGGGAGGGATTGCTATCTACATATGGATGGGATCAAGGGGAAGGATGTGCTCACAGCTGCTCAGGGCAGGCAAGGTTGATCCTTATTTTGGGGATGGACAGCTAGGTAGATCAGGAAAAATGTGTGAGGTTCAAAGAAAAAATTGCGGTACTGTTCCCAGCTGCCCCTCTGCTTCCATACAGCCTAGTGACTTATATCAATCATATTGACCTCTAGCAAGAGACAACATCTAACTATCCATGTTACTTAGTATGTAGTAACTAAAAGCATTCCCAGTCATCTTCATGGTGTCTGGCATCTACTAGGTGTTCAATTAATATCTGTTGAATGACTAAATCTATTATAAGGTTAATTTTTATTTCCACTTACTTAAATAAATTTCCCATTGATGCAATACTTTCTCTCTTTCTACTTATTTTAGCTTCATAACAACTCTGAAAGATAGGCTGTGGGTATAAACAGTGAGACCTCAAACCATCAGCCCTGAGCACTGCCTGGTGCACATCCAGCTCCTTTCTTCCTGAGGTGACAGAGTTTGGTGTGTGAACCGATCAAACCAATATGCATTGCACCACTAAAGTGTCCGCATATTTTTGACCCTTGCAAAGGCTTCCTTTTTCTAGGACATATGGGAAATGAGGGTAGAGGGGATTACCTCATAACCCTCTATAATCATCCTCCTGGCAATTTTTCCTCAGGATTATGTGCTCATCCAAGCTCACCCCAGTTTGCAGTCGAACATTGTCTTTAGTCCATTCAGGCTCCTGTGACAAGATGCCTTAGACTGCATAATTTCTAAAATGCAGAAACTTATTGATCACTGTTCTGGAGTCTGGGAAGTTTAAGATGAAGGTGCCAGTAGATTCAGTGTCTGGTGAGGATTCCCTCTCTGCTTCAAATTTGGGCCTTCTAGCTGTGTCCTCACATGTTGGGAAGAGCAAAAAGGCTTCCTCAAGTCTCTTTTATGAGGGCACTAATCCCATTCATGGGTGCAGAGCCCTCATGACCTAATTACCTCCTACAGGCCCTATGTCTTAATACTATTGCTCTGAGAATTAAGTTACAACATAAGAATTTTGGGGAGACACGAGCATTTAGGCCGTGGCAGGAACATCTCTCATTTCATAGCTCATTGCTTAGGTCTCATGGACACTACTAGATGCTGCTCCTGTGGGTCGACATTGGAGAGGCCACAAAGAGACGCAGAACACACCTTCCTCTACTCTTGCATACCTTCCTCCTAAGTTCTCCTCCTAAAGAATTAAGATACATTAAGATAAATATAACATTAAAGGAAGAAAGATTAAAATTGTCCCCTAAAAATGAGTGCTCTCATAGGCCACATGAAAAGTATTCCAAAGTACTTACTTCACCAAAGGCCCCCTTCTCAGTGTTCCTAGTTTCTAAACTTGTTTCCTGTTCTGCTTGTGTCTATGAGGTGAATTTTCTTTTTTCATAGTTTTAAAAATGTTTTTAAAATTTTTATTTCCATGGGTTTTGGGGAGAACAGGTGGTATTTGGTTACATGAGTAAGTTCTTTAGTGATGATTTGTGAGATTTTGGTGTACCCATCACCTGAGCAGTATACACTGAACCCAATTCATAGCCTTTTATCCCTTGCCCTCTTCGTATCCTTTCCCCTGGAGTCCCCAAAGTCCACTGTGTCATTCTTATTATGAGGTGAATTATTTTCTTACTGCAGCTTTATGCATGTGATCTTCCTACCAATATGGGCTGGTCTCAATCTAGGATCCATCTTCTTCCCTGAGAACGTACCTTTCCAGCTCTTATTTTATCAAATCTAGAATAATACCCTAAGGTCTCCAGTAAGTGAATTCCTGGAGGTTTTTTATAGTATTCAGGGTGGACACAAGCACTCCAAAGCAAGAATCCTTAAAAATCTTTCTAGGAGCCTGTGTTATGATACACATTTTAATTATTCCAATTGTCAGCAATTAACTGTTAGGTAAGTACTATACCAAATAAGTAACATATGTGTACTCACATATCACACTCACACGTAAAATTCATAAGACAAATGAGAATTCTCAAAAAGAATAGAGGCCAATATCATAAGAAGGATGATACATATATTTTCTGTTTCGAACTACACGTTCCTCTCTCTTCACACAGAAACAGGCCCAATTCTGTACCTTTTGCCTACTGATGGTTGCTACTTTAGCATCAGGAAAAATAATACAGCTTGTAATTGTTCCATTAAGTACTTAGACATGAGCCACCCTCCTTCCACTTGGAGAGCTAGGGGTTGGTGGAATGAGGAGTAGGGTCAGTGGTGTCATTCTTCCTCTTAGGCGTGATTGGTGAAAAGAATATTGCTGTGTGCCTTTGGATTTTCCTTCCTTTTGCTCTGTGTGATCTTGGGAAAATTCACTCAATATATCTAGGTTTTAGTTTCTTATTTGTAAAATAATGATAACAATAAACTTTCCTACAGATTACTTAAAAATCAGAATTAAAAGGGGTTACATGTAACAGGTAACATGGACACAGTGAGTGTTCCCCCTTCTCACCCTCTTGCTTCTCCCTCCTTTCTCTTCCACTGGTTAAGATCTTGTGAGAAAGAAGGATGAGTTAGATTAGGTAGAGCATTGTGGACAACTGGGACATGCATATCCTGCTAGAGTTTTTTAAATTCCCTGTTAGTTCTGAAGAATTTCAATAATCTTTCAGAATTAGGATTAGCTCAAGAACTCTCATTTTTTTTTATCCTGGTGTCACTGTATCACCTACTCTCTTCCTGAGCATAATCTTTAATTCAAATAATATTCTCTCTTCTATGCTTGGCCCATATTCCTGAGGCAGAAGAAACACCCAGGCTGGGCGTGGTGGCTCATGCCTGTAATCCCAGCACTTTGGGAGGCCGAGGCAGGTGGATCAAGAGGTCAGGAGACCTAGACCATCCTTGCCAACATGGTGAAACCCCATCTCTATAAAAAAAAAACACACAAAAATTAGCTGGACACGTTGTGCATGCCTGTAGTCCCAACTACTCGGGAGGCTGAGGCAGGAAAATCACTTGAACCTGGGAAGTGGAGGTTGCAGTGAGCTGAGATCGTGCCACTGCACTGCAGCCTGGCGACAGAGCGAGACTCAGTCTCAAAAAGAAAAAAAAGAAACACCTAGAAGCTATTCTGTTACCAGTTAACTGTATCATCTCATGATGGTTTTCAATCTTGATGAGCTACATTAAAAAAAACCCGGCTGGTCCTTTCAAAAAACCAGCTCCTGGATTCATTAATTTTTTGAAGGATTTTTTGTGCCTCTATTTCCTTCAGTTCTGCTCTGATTTTAGTTATTTCTTGCCTTCTGCTAGCTTTTGAATGTGTTTGCTCTTGCTTTTCTAGTTCTTTTAATTGTGATGTTAGGGTGTCAATTTTGGATCTTTCCTGCTTTCTCTTGTGGGCATTTAGTGCTATAAATTTCCCTCTACACACTGCTATAAAAAAAAAAAAAAAAACCCGGCTGGGCATGGTGGCTCACGCCTGTAATCCCAACACTTTGGGAGGCCAAGGAGGGCGGATCACGAGGTCAGGAGATCGAGACCATCCTGGCTAACACGGTGAAACCCCGTATCTACTAAAAATACAAAAAATTAGCTGAGTGTGGTGGCGGGCGCCTGTAGTCCCAGCTACTCTGGAGGCTGAGGCAGGAGAATGGCATGAACCCGGGAGGTGGAGCTTGCAATGAACCGAGATCAGGCCCCTGCACTTCAGCCTGGGCGACAGAGCGAGACTTAGTCTCAAAAAAAAAAAAAAACAAAAAAAAAAAAACCAGTAAATTTCATGAATTATACTCTAATATAAATGACTTCCAGATTTTACACTAATGAGTCTAGTCCTCAAAAGTTTATACATAATAAGTTGTGTTTAAATTCAGCCGATTGGTCTCTGACTCCTAGATCCTGAATTGAATCACTATAGGTGATTCTGGGATGGCACTGGGAGAGGAGAGAGGTGACTGCTTTCCCTGACCTGGGCAAATGGAGAGAGAATGGTAATCCTCACTTAATATCATGCCTTGATGCACTGCTCACTGGAAAATTTGCCACTGAGTCACTTTGAGGAACTTTCATAGAGTTTATTAGACACAACACAAATTACTCCTTATCCACGTTTGCCAGGGGGAAAAATACCCCAGAAACTTATGGGAATGAATTTTGCTAAGAAGGAGAAAAACAAGTTTCTTATGAAAGGCCTGCAGGATCCATTCCCCCCGTCAAAGCTGACATAAATCCTTTTCTCCCCCCTCACTGCTTTAACAAGAATGGACCTCGGCCTTCAGATAGATCCCAAAACTCTTGATTCAATAGGTGTGTGTGCATATGAGAATGGCTTTGTGTCTGCATGTATGTGTGTGTTTATTCTTTCAGCATATGCCAAAGCTTACTCTTTGTTTATATGTTTAGCCATGCCATTGACTGAATCTCATAGATTTTAGACACACAAAAATAATTACCAGTTTCCTGAAGCTAATGAACCATAATCCCCTCCCTGACCTAATTCTTTGTCTCTAATCCCCAATAATCAAAGTGCTTGATACATGCTAAGTCTTCATCAAATCTTTGTTGCTAGGATGATCAAAAAGATAGCTGACCTAGGTCTAAACACCATGTCCTCCACAATTCTACACAATATCAGGAAGGAAAGTGGGTGTAGGTGGTGAACCTGCTTTTCTTGGTGGTGTCATTCTTCCTCTTTATTTCTCTCTTTTAATTAGTTAAAAAAATCAGTGTGGGATTGACTGGAATTTGTGCATCCGCAGATGAAAGCAAGACTAGCAACATGAATACTTTGTATTTTTCACTCCGTATCACCTGAGGCAGCCTCCAGTGATTGAGAATAAGGGAAATGGGAATGACAACCGGGTAGGCAACCAATAATGCCTGCCAGAGTAACGTTTAATCAAAGCTTGCAATGACCTCAAAGTTTACAAGGTATTGTAAATTATTCATTTTTTTCTAGAGAATATTTTTTCTTACTTGGGAGTTGTCCTACACACAAATTTTAATGAACTGTGTTAATCTGATCCATCATTGTTTAAATTATTTAGACCTGTTATGAAAATAAAAAATCCTCAAACTTGTAGCTGTGTTTATTTTCTATGAAGTCTGGGCAAATAAAATAAAAAGTGGCTGTTGTGGACTTAAATCCCAATACATCTGAATTTGCAATAGCTGCACTGAGAAACACACTGAATAAGATAGAAAACAGGAACCGTTAGCTGCGTCATCCATTTTTCAACATTGTTACAGAATAAAGTCAAGCTCATTATGTACAGATTGCAGAATTTTTCTTCTACTGAAAAGCATGGTAACATTTTCTTATCTCAAAAGTTTCCTAAATATTATAAAGCAGCGATTCCCAACCTTTTTGGCACCAGGGACCAGTTTCGTGGAAGGTGAAAGACAATTTTTCCATGCGGGGTGGAGAGTGGGGGGTGAAGGTACTGGGGAAAGGCATTAGCTCCTCGTAGGGAGCGTGCAATCTGGATCCCTCGCATGCGCAGTTCACGATAGGGTTCGTGGTACTATGAGAAGCTAATGCGGCTGCTGATCTGACGGGTGGTGGAGCTGAGGCCATAAAGCTCAAGCGTCCACAGCTCACCTCCTGTTGCGCGGCCCAGTTCCTAACAGGCCAAGGATGGGGACTGGCCCACGGCCCAGGGGTTAGGGACCCATGTTATGAAGAGCAAGCACATCGCCAATCAGATTTTCATCTTTATTTGGCACTACTGTTTCGAGAGGCTTAAGTTTACTTAACCCAACTCAGTGCTCTCTGATAATCTTTTCTCCTTATGAGCTTCGAAGTTCACCTTCAAAATATTTATTTTCCTGTATTTTCCAGACTGCTTTCTGTACTGGGTCAGTCAGAAGTGGAATTCTGCCTTCTCTCTGCTACTTGTTAGAATAACTACATCTTCACCAAACAGCACCTAACTCTTCCTTTTTTATCTTCTTTCATAAACCTTGGCTTATAATCAGCCCCCTTTTTACTGGGCAATATTTATGGCCATAGTATTATTTTGTGTACAAGTTTGAATATAGGATCTTTATTCCGAACATCATATATGTCTTTTTAACTTGAGATTTTTTTAAAGGATCTTTATTGTCATATTGGTTCTTTGTAAACCTGGAGAAGTGGAATTGGATTTGTACCCTTATAGTGAAACCCTGGTTCTGATACACGATAGGTTTATAATCCTTATCGAATCATTAATCTTATTTGACTATCAGTCCAGGTTTATTATTTGCTTTTTCATTGGCACTATAATGATTTCAAGTTTTAAAGTTTTCTGTATAACTGTGTGGCCATCTGAGGACTAGAATATAATGTTATTTTAAATAATTCAAAAGAGAAATGTGTAATATAAAAAAGTTCTTTATAACCCATGCCCACTGCAGATAACTAGTATGTAGGGGTGTGTGTGTGTGTGTGTGTGTGTGTGTGTGCACGCTTAACTGAAAGGGAGGTAGACTATATATGATGGTCTGATATTTAATGGCACTTCGAATTTCTTCTCTGTTTGTAGTGATGGTTTCAATGTTCCTTTTTTTGAGGGAGGATGGATCATTTTGTCCTATGTGTACAAGTAGCCAATTTCTTCTCTTCCTCACTGTCAGAAATTATTTTTCCTTAACGTTTACTAGTTTACCTAGTTTAGGATTGCTGACTCAATCCTGGTTAGAGTATCTGGGCACTCTGACTCCATGGTCAGCTTGACTTGGTCTCTAGCATCCTTGGCCATGCCTACGGTTTCCATTCTGCATTTCTGTCCTTCTGTGGACAAGCCACTGCCTCATAGTTTTGGTATGATGATATCCTTAAAGAAATCATACTCTATTTCCCAACCCTAACTGGAATTTTCCCATGAGGGAACATACGTAATATCTTCTTAAGTTGTTTAGGATCAGGGAACACTTTAGGGGTGAAGAAACAGCAAGTTTAGGTAATCCATTAAAGGTCATAGATCCTGTGAGCAGGAGAGCTGGGTCTACACTGAATGTTCTAGGACTCTTCTGTGGATGGCGCTGCTGAGCTTGCATACTTGTGGGCAGCAGGGTGAAAAGGCAGAGGTAGCAGGGGATGCACCACAGTTACTGATGGGAGCCTATACGCCAGACATCCTCTCCCACATTTGCCTTTGTCTCTTTTGTTCTTATACTTTGACCAGGATATTTAACTCAGTAATCTCAATATGGGCTTGGGTAAAGAAAACAAAAAAAAAAAACAAAAAAACAAAAGTGGGTAAGCTAAGTCCTCTGACAAGTAGCAAGTACTACATAAAATAGAAAAGTGACTGGACATAAGAGGAGGTGTCAGGTGTGACTGCTGTTGTTGTGAAGCCGTGACTCACTCTGTGCTGCATATGTCAAAGTAGGCAGTCCCAGACTCGTTTGTGTGAATGTTTTCTGCTAATTAACTGCATTCAGGCAGACGACCTAGTAACATCAGCAAACTGGGGCGGGGAGGTGGTGCACAGAGGGTGGTCATTTCTATGAGATCAACTTTGGAGCAGTGCCATGGGATCTCAGGCCTGAGAACTCCTGGGTTTGAATCCCAACCCTTTACTGGTTGTATGACCTTCAGCAACATATTTAACATTTCGGGCACTCATTTTCTCATTTATAAAAATGGCATAATAATAGTACCTTCCTCAAAAGCTGCTATGATGATTGAGTAAACTAATGTGTAACAGATAGTTGGCTACATCATTCCTGTGACTTACAGTGATGGTGAGCAAGTTAAAGGAGAACTTCTCCTGATTCTGTGGGAGTGTTAGAAACGAATTATAATCACCTTTATTTTACATGTGGTGGAGCTAAGGCCCAGAAAGAGAATGTAATTATTCCAAGTTTATTCTGATAATTAATAATGACATTAGCTCAAAGCATTTTTGTTTCTTAGCTCCTTCTTTTATGTAAATTACAATCAGTCTACTCTGATTCTCTGGGGAGTATCTTCATTACTTTCCAAAGAAGGCCGGTCAATCCTTTGAAGTGGGACCTATAAAATCGGGGACTTCTGTTCTAGCCACAGCAGCCATCTCTGACTGAGTTCTACTGGCTAGTAAAATTTTCCCACCATGTCCCTGAGTGTCTCATCTTTTTTCTTTTTCTTTCTTTCTTTCTTTCTTTCTTTCTTTCTTTCTTTCTTTCTTTCTTTCTTTCTTTCTTTCTTTCTTTCTTTCTCTTTCTTTCTTTCTTTCTCCTTCCTTCCTTCCTTCCTTCTCTCTCTCTTTTTTTTTTTCTCAGAGTCTCGCTCTGTCTCCCAGGCTGGAGTGCAGTGGCATGATCTCGGTTCACTGCAAGCTCCGCCTCCCAGGTTCACACCATTCTCCTGCCTCAGCCTGCCGAGTAGCTGGGATTACAGGCGCCCGCCACCACGCCCGGCTAATTTTTTGTATTTTTTAGTAGAGACAGGGTTTCACCGTGTTCACCAGGATGGTCTCGATCTCCTGACCTCGTGATCCGCCCGCCTCGGCCTCCCAAAGTGTTGGGATTACAGGCATGAGCCACCGCACCCGGCCTCATCTTTTCTTGAGTTTAGAAAAAATATTACTTATTTTTTCATAAAGCTGTTTGTTCAAGGATAAGAGAGATTTGAACAAGACCAGGAGAATCATCTCAGTCCTAGGCCATTTGTTGATAACAGCCCTACAAACTTTTGATGCAATCCTATATCAGAGCTGGAAGGGGACTTATCCAGCTTAGAGACACAATGAAAGGGGTAACCATCACACAGTCAGAGTCAGGGCTGAGTTTAGAACCAAATTACCTGACTTCTAATTCCTGTGAAGGTCTCTGAGACTCTGTACCTCTCTACCCTGAGCATCTTTGCCTATGTAATGCCCAGGTACAGGCTCACCACTCCTTAGTCTCTGGGATCAGGTTTGGTACATAGACTCCACATGTGTTTTCCATAGAGACCATCTAGTTGCTCAACTTTTTTTTCTTTGTGTAGTCTGATTTAATACTTATAACTGAATTATCTCTTGTCTTCAGTTTTCAAATACCTCTGCTTTTCACCTACTTTCCTGGTAATATAGATTTTCTGCTCTGTTCCTCAATAATTAAGTCCTTATCTGGGACTTCATTTATTGGATATTTTCTGTTATTATTGCCAGATTCTTCCTAGGATGTTCATCAGTACTGTGGAGCCACTTGGATACCAGTTAATTGTGTATCCGTTGATTATCTGCCTACTCCTCCTGTCCCCTGTGCATACTCTGCTTGGACTCAGTTGTGTGTGCATATGTATACATTTTGTTTCTTCCCTCTATTGTAAAATGAATGATCATTTGAAGTGTACCCTATGTTTGTATTCATCTTCCTATTTACATGTCACTAAATTATCAGTCTTATATGCCTTTCATGCTCTCTTTACCCTTCACCTGACCCTACAGTTCCTTCTAGATTCTTAGTCATTTTTCCACTAGTCTGATATTTCTGGGTTTTTGATGTCATGTTCTAAAATCTCATGTTGTTCTATCCCTTAAATGTAGGAGGCAGAAACCGAGGATATCCATGTAAATTTTGGAGATAATTTGGGGGAACTTTGTGGTCTAGATTTTCTTTTTTTCACTGTAGATTATACAGTGGTACTTCTTTCAGACTCTCCTGATCCCAGGTTTATTTCTGTGTTTTATTTCATTTTGTTTTCTTTTTCTATTCTTATAATATTTAGTAATCCAAAACATTTGTATTTATAAATATTTGTTCTCCTTTTCTGTTCACTTGAAGTAAGTTTAATAGATGCACAGAATTTTTGCACACACAGAAATCAAATGAAGCTTTAAAGTACTCCTCCCACAGTCTCCTAAAATTAAATTCCTATTAGTCACCTGGAAACCTAATAGGGGAGGGAAGTTGCATCTTCCAAAGAAACTGGATTAGGGAAATGAGAACAGAAGAATGCAGGCCAGGCGCAGTGGCTCACGCCTGTAATCCCAGCACTTTGGGAGGCTGAGGCAGGCAGATCACGAGGTCAGGAGATCCAGACCATCCTGGCTAACACGGTGAAACCTCGTCTCTACTAAAAAATACAAAAACTTAGCCGGGCGTGGTGGCAGGTGCCTATAGTCCCAGCTACTCAGGAGGCTGAGGCAGGAGAGTGGCGTGAACCTGGGAGGCAGAGCTTGCAGTGAGCCGAGATAGGAGGACTGCACTCCAGCCTGGGCAACAGAGCTAGACTCCGTCTCAAAAAAAAAAAAAAAAAAGGGAGAGAACAGAAGAATTCATCCTTATAATGCTCTCAGGCTCTGCAACTCAAACATCATGACTACAGCCTCAACTAGCAGGTAGCAGAGTAGATGTCAGCATTGTGCTTCCTAGGGACTCCAGCTTCCACAGGTTCTGTAGAAGAGTCATATTTACAAACTCATTCATAAAGGTGGGCAACCTCCCCCTACCCCGCCAAATCCTTGCCTATTTTCTACACAGGACTCTTTCAGCTCATCTTCAGATTTTAGTCTGGTCCCCGAATTCTCTGTGAAGCAAACAACTCGATGTCTCTCTATCCAAGACTGAGTTCAGTGTTTTTATTTTCTTGTGTATACACTCTTTACTCACCTACTCGTTAGTGAGCAGCTCAGAGTTTGGAACAGTTCTTTGTGTACACAGAACCCTCTACACTTTGAGTGACGTTAATTTTGCCAGATATCAATGAAGAGGTTGTCGTAACCCATTTAGCATTTAATGTCCCTCTTTGAGTTAAAGTGATCTGTGCCTATATTTGTTTCCTCTCCTGCATTGTGAGTACTTGGAAGGCAGGGATATGCTTTACTTATCATTATTTTTTCATATCTCTGCATCCCTCTGCATCTAACACAGAGGCTGGTGCAAAGAAGTAATTTATAATTTCTAAATTCAGTAGATGGTTGGTTAGGTGGGCTTTTAGGCATTGCCCATGTAGACTATGGGGAGAAAATTTTGGCTTAACTTTTGAAGAATCTGTCATAAATGATACCCACTATAACTTTAAGCATACTATATTTTAATGAAAAATAACCAAGCCAGGACTTAGCTCAATATCTAATGTATAGTAGTTGCTTAATAAATATTTGTCAAATAAATGAAAAGCTTCTGTCATAAATTGATTTGCATGACAAATTATAAACTCAAAGTAAGAGAAATGAAGTGAGCTGTAGCAAATGTACTGAGGAAGTTGTCAAGCAGTAATTGCACTGGATAAACCTTAAGCAGGCAAGGGAGACATTATTCAAGGCTATTGCAATAGGGTAGAGAGTCCACACTCAGTCTAATCTCGAGTCCTCTGAAAAAAAGAGGGGGAGGGTTTTTAAGCTCTTGGGTGAGCTAGTGGAAAAATACCAAAAGACATTAGGAGGACCATATATCTTCTATGCTTGTTAATTGGCTTCATCCAAAGGAAAATATAAACTTCTCATATCTTTAAGAAAGTAGGCAGTTTTGCAACTTGGAACAAGCAAGGCATCTGCTGAAGTAAGGCTCCTACCTTCCCACAGAGACTAGGAAATAGCAACACTATCCCCCTTGATGGCTACATTTCAAAGGGATGGCTCCCAGGCCCCTGAGCAAGACATTCCTAGGTTGTAGAACTGGCAAGAGGATTTTATTTTATTTTTATTTTTATTTTTTTAACTCTTATTTTAAATTCAGAGGTACAAGTGCAGGCTTGTTACATAGGTAAACTTGTGTCTTGGGGGTTTGTTATACAGATTATTTCCTCACCCAAGTATTAAGCCTACTACCCATTAGTTATTTTTCCTGATCTTCTCCCTCCTCCACCCTCTGATAGGCCCCAGAGTGTGTCATTCCTCTCTACATGTCCATGTGTTCTCATCATTTAGCTCCCACTTATAGGTGGGAATGTGGTATTTGGTATTCTGTTCCTGTGTTACTTTGCTAAATTTAATGGCCTTCAGCTCCATCCATGTCCCTGCAAAGGACATAATCTCATTCTTTTTTATGACTGCATAGTATTCCATGGTGTATATGTATCACATTTTCGTTATCCAGTCTGTCATTGATGGGCATTTAGACTGAATCCATGTCTTTGCTGTTGTGAATGATGGTGCAATGAACATATGTGTGCATGTGTCTTTATAATAGAATGATTTAGAGGATTTTAAAAATATTTATATCTCAAAGGAGCAGAGACAAAATTTGCAGTGATAAGTTTTTTAAAGAAAATAGTCTAAGAGAAAAGGGGCCATGGATGTAGAGCTAAGAAGAAGCCTATTTAAGGCTTAGTCTGGCTGAGGACAACATTAAGGCCTTCTTGGTCAAGGTCTCAGATGATCCATGACTCAGTGGAAGCAGCTCTGTTTTGAATGTTGGGCTTTCTGACTTCTAGACACAGCTCCTTTTTCAGTTACTTTATAGCCTGGCCCTGTTACTTAATCTTTCTTAGCATATTTTAGGACAGATGAGAGTAACAGTAATGGTCTAGCTCCTTCATAGGTCGAATGGATCTAATCTCATCAGATCAGATTGCGTTGTAAATTAAAGGTGTTATGCTGTTGTCCTGCAGGGAGGGGCTGAAATTATTCTATTTTCTTAAGATGTGGGAACTCTTGGGCTCTGTCTCAGACCCTTCAAGTGTATTTTCTTCATTCTGAGAGATTCTACTTGAGCATTTGTCTGCCATTCATGAGTGAGGGAAGACTCCTTCAGATCTTATCCAACCTTGCAATTTCATATAAGGGAAGACTGAGTTCTTGAACAGGGAAGGAACTTGCCTTCGGACATACCTGAGTAATAGCAGCAGAACCTAGGACTCCTGCTTCTTTTCACTACACAATAATGCATAAAACATTCACTGATAAGCCAAGCCTTTTCACTCAGGAGCAGCTCTAAGTGCACTCCCTAGGAAGCCACCTTTACTCTGGGACTACTGTTTCTATTACACTCCACGCACTGGTTGTTGCCTTGACAGCGCTAAATTATTGCTGATGTCAGTTATCCAAGGTTGCCTTTCCCATGTCTCTGTGCTCCTCTGGGGCCTTGGACATCCAGAGACAGGGCAGACTGGCCACCCAGAAACAGGATTGCTTTTCTGAGTTGTTGTATACTGATCTCTGCTTATCTGCTGTGGTTTGTTTCTTCATCTCACAGATGAGAGTGAAGATTTGATAATTCTGGGGCCCTGATAAAAGAACTGCAGCAGTCTGGGCAGGGTGACCCAGAACTTGATCCCAATAGTCCCCATGGGCTAATCCCAACCTCTCTTCCCCCGCCACCATCTCAGGAGGTCAGGCAGTGAGGTTGCTGACGTTGGTGTGGGGGTGGGAGTGGGATTTTGAGCTTCCCTCCCTGTCAGCTGGTGTCTGTTTTCATGGCAGATGGTGGGTGGTGACGTGGCCCTATTGTCCTTCCCTGCCTGCCCTGGAGGGAGATTTCCTTTGCCAACAAATGTGCTATACTTCCAGAGGAAATGGCATCTGCCTCTGAGGGCACGTCCAGAAGGCATCTCTAGCATCTCCATTGCCTCCCTTGGCCTGAAGGCAACTCTAGGCTCCTTTAAGTCACAACGAGTAACCTGTTGTTCTTAGTTGGCTGGAAGTGTTATAGCAAATGAGTGAATTTAACCTTCCTCAGGAGGCACTAAAGTTAGACATCAGCATGGACTTTTTAAATATAAGGATGATTAGATATGACTTAACAAGGTAAAACATTTGAAATAAATTGATAATCATGGCCGCTTTCCCACTCCATGCTCTTCGTCTCGGGTACCTGTCCCTGTCCCAATACTGTGATATTTCCCTCTAAGATTGCACAGTAGCAATCCTACCTTTAGATAGTGGAAAATGGAGAAATAGAAAAATGGATGCCTTTCTGAATCTTCAGTAGTGCTTAAATTTTAACATGCATCAGAATTGCTTATGTGCTTATATTTGTGTGGGAAGGGTATAGGAGAGCTTGCAAAGAAGCATGTTTTGGGCTATGTCAGCAGATTCATAGTAGGCATGGCTACCTTAGGGTATGCATTTTGTGTGTGTGTGTGTGTGTGTGTGTGTGTGTGTTTGTGTGAGAACCTCCATGATAGTAAATTTAAATAATATTTTCTATAGTTTTAGACGGAGGTTTTTCATTTAACAGACAAGAAATGTTTTGGAGGAGGAAGAAATAGAGAAAAGGTAGGAAGACTCATTGCTGTTGGAGGGCAGATGAAGGAGGCAAGAGACATACAGTTAGATAAGAAAAGAAAAGGGTCGGGGGACTCTGGAAATTACAGAGTGCAACTACTTGTGCAGAAGGATGTTCTGGAGACTAAATGATAAAAGGTGAAGTGAAGGGATTTGGCAGTCTCATCTAATGTGGGAAGTAATCGGGATGTCGAGCCCCTTCAAAATAATGCTATGACATTGTTCTTTGGATTAAGCTAAACTAAAATGAAAACAGTGCTCTGCTGAATGGAAGCTGTTTAATGTAGAAGCTAAAACTTGGAGGTTTTCTTCAGGACCACACAGGTTATAGGGCCTTGAGATATCCCTGCTCCTAGGCAGCTACTAGAATAATATTAATAATGACAATAATAATAATTTATATTTATAGAATGGTGGAACGGTTAGGATATTAGGATATCCATTTGGTTACTGAATCAAAGAAATTCAAAATAGTCATTGCGTAACACAGCAGGTTATTTTTCCCTTATACGATGTCTAGAAAGTATGATCAGGAATGATGGGGTAACTACACGGTTATCAGAGACTCAGGATCCTTCTGTCTATTTTTTTGCCATCTTAACATGAGGTTTTTATTTATCTTTCAGATGGCTTTCCTAGATGCTTCTCTCATAGTCACATTCCAGGTGGTATGCAGGATAGAGACTGGGAGTAGGGGTGGAGAGAGGAGAGGCACAAGCTTGCTGTATAAGAGCATAAGCTGTAATTTACTGTATACCAGTGGCCTGAACTTAGGCATACATAGCTGCGAGGGGGCTGAGTGGCCCTACGTCTAGCTTCACCTTATATTCTACATAAGAAACAAAAAAATAGATATTGAAGACTGTCAGTGATCTTTCCCACAAGCAGGTTATAGTTATCTAAGATCTAACACATGAATCATATCTCCTTAGAGTGAGACAAGTAAGATGGTTACTAGTATTTCCATTTTCAGCTGAGAAAACTAGGAATATAAGTGGTAAGTGGCTGAGTTTGGCTTGGAATTCACATCTTTGGATCAGGTATGTCCTGTTCTTTCCACTATGTTGGGATGTTTTCCACTAAAGTAATGTGAAGGTAGAACTCTCCTGACCTTCCTGATTGTTCTCAGTAACCAAGAACAACTCACATTGCTCTGGCACCTTCAAATTTAGTCAACCCCCGCTCTACTCTCCTCCCTACCCTAGTTCATTCTCCCATCCCTCTATGCTTGATTAAAGAGAAGTTTCTAGGTCCCTTGCTTTGAGCTCAACAGCTGCCAGGAATAAGAGGGCTATACTTTGTGGCTATTTTAATACATGTTTTGGGAGCAGTCTCTCAGTTTAATCCTTGACAGATAAACTAACAGTAGAGAGATTGGGAGTTATTTGCGAAGACTTGCTGGCTGTAGGAGATTGGGCCGTTGTTAATCTTTTCAGCTGAGGTTGAGGGAGCCCATTTTAATCAGAATTTGTGCAGGAATAATCCTTTCTTTAAATTCTGACCCAATCCTTCCAATAATTACAATGAGGGCAGTGCTCTTTGGAAGCCAATGTGTTAATATGGCATTTAAAGGGATAAAACAGGCGACTGAAATACTACCATAAGAGTACCTGACAAGGGCAGTACCCTTGATTACTTAAGGTTTCCATGACTGAAGGAGTCTAGAAGTTACCATCCTTCCAGTTGTGTCTGGGGACTTATCTGAAGTTATCTCACATGTGATTTTGGAAAAGGAGAACCAAAATAAAAATAATCATGACTTTCTAGAAAATTTTACTCAAAGAAAACATAAAAAAGAAGCAAAGATAATTTGTATACAGATCTATAGAGAGGACTTCTTATGATAGAACCACTGAGTAAATGCATAATTGTGTTTGGGTGGGGAGAGAAGAGATCCCTCAGATATAAGGGAAGAGACCAAGTAGATTAATTCAAGATGTTTGAGAAACAGATACCAAGATATAAATTAGACAACCAAGAGAAGTTTGTGGGAAGAAATGCCTATGACAGACAAAGGAAAGAGAGTATGAGTAGCCAGGGACAGCCTTCAGATCATCATGCCGGTCTGATACCTATAAAAGCAGAGGAGAAGGAAGAAGTATTGTGCAGAAAAGGACCTGAAACTGCAGCATGGTTCTAAGACAGTTTCAGGCATGCCAGTGGGGAGGCTCTGAGTCAAAATTGTCTGTTGGAGGAGTCCCGCATGCTATAGGACCTGTGCTGTGCTGAGTCATTGGCTGGGAGCAGCACAGGGGTAATGTGGCCTCCCTGCATATACAGTGGCACATCCAAGAGGGGCCAAACTGGACTTGTCAGTCAGTTATGCTCTCTGCAGTAAGTTTTCTTGCAGAAGATCTATGTAGTGTAGTTCCATGGCCATCACACGAGGTTTCTCTGCTGTTTGTCTTTGGGGAATTTCCTTCCTTACCTGGGCTTTAGTTTCCTTATTTATAAATCAAATTGGTTAAGGCTAGATGATCTTTAGGGCTTATGCATCTCTTTCATTTTCTAATTTTGCAAAGAGTCCCAGCCTTTGATCCCCAAACGGTGGATGTGTGTGTGTTGGGCAGGGAATGCAGGCAGTGGGGGAGGTTGTCATGGAGAGAAATGGATTAATGGCTAGGAGGAAAGACAGATCACTGTCAGGTGCCTTCTTTCTGTCTGAGCCTGCCCCCTTTTTCTGTGCTCCAACTTGGGCTGAGGGCTGGGCTGGCCACAGCTTCAGCCTAATCTAATCTAGTCTATCAGAGAGGTAATGAACTATAAAAGTGTGGATTCAATTACAATTAGAGGGGAGTTTTGTGTTGGCTGGAGTCTGGTGCTAGCCAGAGAATAGAAACTCAGGCAGCGCTGAAAGGCCCATCTGTGCTAGCAAGGTCTGCCGTTAGGGGCTGGGCAAAACCTTACCAAACACAATGAGGAAAGAATGGTACCCCTATCAATAATTTTCTTTTAAGGAGAAAAAGTATTCACTCTTTAGATTTTGCCTTTTTTTCATGACAAGGTAAGAGGAAATGATTTCTTTCTTAGGTTGTCTTACCCTCATTCTCTGGGTAGATCCCAAATATACCCAGAGCCTCCATGAATCTGACTTTTCCTTCTCTATCAAAGTCTCCTGGATCCTCCACTTCAGCCCTCCTCCCTTCTCTTCCTAAACGGTAAAGATTGAGGCAATGGGTAGCCTGTCCTTTGGATTTTGAGAAAAGTCTCATTCTGTCGGAACCCCTACAAAGTCTGCCACAGAGCTTCCTGAGCACTCATTTGCCCTTTATATCTGTCAGAGTGTAGTCTACGTTTTTACTAATTTTTCAAGGTTCAGGGAAAGGATATTTGCTCAGAATGCACCCTCAGAAGGCTCTTAAAGAATCGTGATTTTTTTTTTTCCTGAGCATCCATGGCATTTTGTAACTCTCAATGAGATCTATCATATTCTGCCTTCCTTTAGAGATATTTACATACTTATTTTACTCATTTTTAGTCTTTTTTACTCAATTATAAGCTGATTTCAATGATTTTTTTTTTTACTACTCTCTGCATCCTCTGTACTGAGCCCATCTTTGACCTGCATTTAATTGTCATTAAATACAGGTTTACTGAGGACGATAAATACATATTTGAGAGGGGTTGTTTTCTCTGTTCTCTTTTGCTTCATTGTTACCCTTCTTTCTTGTTTCTTTGGCTAATTTTCCTTTCCAAAGAGCACATTGAGCAAGACAATTAAAAACAGTAAATTTTTAAAAATGAAGTTTTTTTCTTCTTCTTTTGCCATGCTATTTGCTCTTCTGCTGTTCCTTGACCCAGCTATAATTGTTCTTACCTGAGCTACTTTAATTTAAAGTATCAGTGTGGGGAGCCCCACAGCAATATGTGGCTTTCCTGAAATTCTGTATAAATTTAGACAAAACTTTCTCAGTATTCATCCACCCATATGCCAATGTGTTAACGTTATTTGTATATACTTTTTTTTAATTTTTAACTTTTGTTAAACGAGTGGTATGAGGTATCCTTCATCCCAGCTGTTCCCCTTACTAACAATATAATCTCGGGCATACAAGAGTTCTCTGTGTCTCAGTTTCCTTATCTGTAAAATGGGTAAAATAATTTTATCTTTGTTATAGATCTGTTGTGAATATATTGTGCATAGCAAACGATATGTATTTGCCTTTTTATTGCTATTATAAAAATTATTAAAAGCAAAATATTTTTTAAAAACTATAATAGTCATTCATAGCCCATTACCATGTGCCCAGGTTTCTTTGGAGAAATTTTTAAAAAATGGCTAAAATCGAGATTGCACCACTGCACTCCAGCCTGGGCAACAGAGTGAGACTCCGTCTCAAAAAAAAAAAAATGGCTAAAAATTTTTTTTCTTCTTTCAAAGGATACATTTATGTCAGGGACTGAACCAATATTTTGAGGATTTATAAAATGTCAAAAAAGAGAGGTTTGTGCCTTCATACAGCCCTGATTTAACTTGAATTGAAGAGCAATTCCAAGATTAGATCCTGGTGACAGCTTAAAAAATGCCTATGGTAAGGAATTTTTTGATTCTGGCAATTTCTTGAGATGATAGATGTCTTTGGACCCATCCAACTGTAACTGAAGAACACCTGGATCACGTAGGGAGTGAGGATTGATGCACTCTGTTATGGAGTGGGAACCAGAGAGGAGGGCTCCTGCTTATTTTAAAATCAAGTAAATAACATGAAAATCAGATGCAAAATAAAACCCAGATTAGCATATAATCACATTAGCAGACTAATTGAGTCAGGAGCTCAACACTTTGTGTAATAAGGTTGCACCCTTCAAAGGGGGAATAAGAGAAAGTCCAAATTGTTTATCCATCCTTCTATTTCAATGCAGAGCAGAGGGTCCTGAGACCAGATGTGGCCAGAGTCCCATCCGGGCAGTTAGCACAGTATCACTTACTCTAGGGGACCTATAAGAGGGGATTAGGGGTCATCGACTGAGTGTGGCAGCCCCCTAAGGCCTGAGGGATTAGCATCTAATGCATCCAGCTTTGCAGAAAATAAGGCTCAGATGAGGATCTAACCTCCTTTATTCTTCTTTGTTTTTCAAAAGCTCTAAGAGTAAGAGGATTTCTTTTTCTTTTCATACAGTGAAGTCCTTCCATCCTGAGAAGCAGGGGTGGGGATGGGGATGCTGGATCTACAGGTGATCCAGCAGCTCTGAAACAGAACTTATTTTCCTTCTATCCATACTTCTCTTCCTTCTGGGCTTTTGTTCTCCCAGCCAAATTTCCCTTTATCCTCCTCTCCTCTTAGATGCCTGATACCAAATATTTATTTTTTAATTGAAACCAGTTTCTTTGCTCTTCCTAAGTTCTCAGAGGAAACATCGAAACATCTCTTACCTTCTAGCACCCTCAACTTACTTGAATCAGTCATTAATGTTGTAACCTTTGCTTTCAGTCCTTCAAAAGATATTTATTTAATGCTTACTCCTAATTTCTGCTACCAAAATCATTAAAATATATTGAAGGTGATGAGAATATAATAGACTAGAATTTAATGCAATGATATATCTAGGCTGACTATAAATTCATCCAGTCCAACGAAAGGAACTGTAAGCAAAATGTGTAAGATGAAGTTATAAGATATTTAACAAGGTGTTTATGAACCTGGATCTAGTATAAGATGAAAAAGCTATAATCCACGGCTATTCACCTTTATAACAGTGTTCTTTTCACTGTACCTCTCTGTGTACAATTGTTTTCTAATTTAATTTCCCTCTGATTATTTTTTAAAATAACTCATAAAGTTGCAATGCTTACAACTTATCTACCTCTTCTGTAGAGAAAGAGTTCAGGATGACAGTGGAACATTTTGTCCTCATTTTTTTTTCTCCCTCAAATTTGCATTACATGTTATTCAAGGGAATCAGAAATTTCTGTGAAAGACTCATATCTCCTGCCCTTTTCTCTGAGACATAGGAAAAGCACAATAGCAGAAACTGAAGAATAGATTTCTTAATAATTCTATGACCTTAATGAGAACACAAGGGACTGTGGAAAAAGCATCAGAGTTGAGCCGGGGTTCCAGTAACACTTCTAATACTCACGACTGTGTGGCAGTTAGCAAGCTCCACAACCGAGCTTCAGATTTCATTATCTGTAACTGTGAGAAGGCTTGACCCTCCCAGGGTGGTTTTGAGAATGAAGGTTTTATACTGTCTATGTCAAATGGCTGGCATGCAGAAGTCACCAACAAAGTGGTAATCTGTAGGCAAATACGTTTATTAACCACCCACTGTATAAGCTGCCTTATACTTTGTGGACCTGGCATGACAGCAGGGGAATTTAAAGGAAGAACACAGCACAGCATAACCTATGCTCCAAAGACATCTATAAGCTTGAGAAATGGCCAGAATAAAACAATTCAATTCCATAGGCATTTTTAAAAACTGTCACCAGGATCTAGTCTTAGAATAAAAACATAAGGCCTTGCTGAATCCTTCAAGGGAGTTTATGTCCCTTACAAAGACAGAGTATTACATAGGTACAGAAAATGTGATATTTGCTAATGTGTAAGTATTGACTCAGTACCACATGACACAGAGAAAGGAGGTTTGTACAGAGAGAAGTCAGAGTTATAAAGACGTTTAAGCTGTACCTAAAATAGTGAAAACAGAGAGAAGTAATCCAAGCAGTGGGAATGGCAGGGAAAACACAAACTTGAAAGTAATTGGGGTATCTTGGGAAGAGGGAATATTCTAAGGGACATAGATTGGTGGTCACTGTGTGTGTGTGTGTGTGTGTGTGTGTGTAGAAGTCTGGTTAAGGATGAGATTGGGTAAACTATGACAGACTAGAATCAACCTCAGGTGTATAGATTTGGCCCTGCTGACCATGGGGAGACATTGTGGCATTTCTACACAGAGAAGTGACAAGATTCAATGTCAGTGGCTGTATACTGGCTCTGGGAATGGTATATTTTGGTGAAGTTGCCCTCAACAAACGATTGTTTCCCGGAGGAAAGTTTGTTGTCTTCTTAGGATGGCATATTTTCACCAAAACTTGTCTAGGGAGCTGTAGATTGCTCATTGCCTCTTTGATAAGTGGAGGGTGGGTCAGAAGCAGGGATGGCCCCAGATCTGGTCTCCGCTCCTATCCCTCTGCAGGCCCATGAGAAACTTTTTCAAGATGCCGGTCTGGTATTCATACCCCATCTGTCATGATCCCAGTCTCAGTCCTGACTCTCATTAGAGCCGTGGGCAGAGCTGCCCTTCTCAGGGCTACCTCCACCTCCCTCTCATCCAGCCTCTACACCCGAACAATCAGACCAGAGTCAAGTTGATTGTTTCCTATGGAAATCAGCCATGTGGAGCCCTGGGGGAATAGCTCTGCTCTCTTGTGTTCATTTTCTTCCAGTGTGGACAGGGATTGGGGAGGGCAGTTTCTAGCCCTTCACATATGCCAGAGAGAGACTGAGACAGAAAAATAGAAGAGAGACCTGGAGGTATAGGCAGGGGTTTAGGGTGGAAAAGGGTAAGAAAGTAACAATAGAATTGCTTGCCTATGCCACAGACCATTTTGTTTGGGAAGAATCTCATATTTCTGGGGCTATGGGAACTGAGAGAGGGCAGCCTCATAGCTAGCTATCCTAAATATTAGCATGTTAGGACATCAGCATAAAGGTGGCATGAGTAGACACCTCATTCGTTTTACTATTACCCCCCAAATGCCAAAAGTGAACAGAGCATCATGCAAATTTGTAGGTCATGTGTTTATCTTTGTTCTGCTGGATGTAACTGAATGGATTTTTGAAAAAACTGATTAGTTACTCAGTGATGTTCAAAGAGGCAGAATATTTGGCATGCAGATAAAATATCTGCAGGTTTGACAATTGGTTTTATACTTCATCTGATTACTTACTTTGAATCTCCCACATTACTTTCAAACTTCACTAGAATTGCTTTGCAATTTGATATATACATAATTTATTTTGTTTTTGTTTTTCACTTTGTTTCCTTGACATCTTGTTGCATTTTTAAAATTTTGCTAGATATACCTTGTCCATAGCCCTTACTACTCACCTCTCTATCCTGTCTTTTGTCAATGAAAGCAAACATGATTTACTGTATAAACGTATTCTTTTAAAAATCCAAAGTTGATGTATTTATGAGGAAAAATTTTTATAATATAAAATTAGGAATATTCCTGCTAATCAGAGACATTGGTGCAAATTCAAGGCTGAGATCAGCTCAGGGACTAGGTGTTCTCCCCAAGGGGCGATATGGGTGGATGGTGGGGTTGGCAGTTGGATCAGAGGATGACCGAATGGACAGATCTAGGCAGCTGAGATTTTGATTCTTTGATTGGAGTTGAGAAACTTAGACACAGAATAACCATGTCCCTTTCTTTGGCTTTCCTGGTGCTTAATCTTTGACGGTATCTTTTGGAACACTTTTTAAAAGAAATTACAAGACCTTCCTAATTTCTTATTGAAGTAAGTAGTAATATTGAGAATAGTCTGGCATTCAAAGCCTCCACACAACAGTCTTAATCTACCACTCTGATCACTTATTCAAATACTTCCTAATAATGTACTTTATACACTTGCCAAACCAGACCATATTTTTTCCCCATTTAATGCAGACTTGGCTTTTGGATTTTCTTAGTTACAGTGCTTTTGCTCTTACGTATCCCTTTGATTGAGATTCTTATTTTTTTCAAGCCCCCTTTTCTCCCCTCCATGAACTATTTCAATCTTGCCTGACTTATTGAAATCAGCTAAATGGGTTCTGGCTCCTTCCTTTAAGTCTTCATGATAGTTTGTTACTTCATCTGTTATTTATCACTTTTTAATCTTAAATTTCTTTTTTTTTTACTGAATTCCCAGCTGCAGTTCAGACCCTCATTTAGAGAAGTGGGTAGCCTCCTTTTATTCCCATCCCCATTCTCATCCCATCAGACCCTCATGCCTGAAAAATATATGATCTCTCATGTATATATATATATATATATGTATATCTATATATATACACACACACACATATGTATATCTATAACTGTATATATAATGAATTTAAGTACCTTTTCATCTTCAAAATTTACAATTTTAACAGGTATTGATTGATTGGCAAAGTGTTACAGATTATACAGTGCTTTCTTGCTCCATCAGTAAGGGCATACTTTATGATTGTTGGGGTCAGGAGCTAGCCTTTAAAAATAACGTCTTACTCATGGAATCTGTCCCACACATATTTATTGGAATTATAAACAAATATCTAGAGTGTTCTTTACTTCTGTAAAGTTTAAAATGAGTCTGTTTTTTCCTCCGTGCCGTCGCCATTTAGCAGTGATCCTCTGTGACTGTGGCATCCGTCCCTGAACCTGGGCCTCAGCTTGCTGGGAGCTGAGCTTTCCAGAGAGGGCTGCAGACGCTGGGAGGGTGACAGATGGCTCCGCAGCAGCAACAGTTTGAGGAAGGAGTCATTGAGGGGCATCCAGGAGGGGCGTGTGTCAGACCTTCCTACTGGGTAGAAGAAAAGACCCAACGGGGGTATACATACCAGGGGTTATTTTATAGACTGGCTTTTGCAATTTGGATTAGGGAAACAAGTGCAAAATAAAAAGCTTCTTCCTTGCCAAAGACTTATTTTTCACTCTCTTCACCATCCTCAGAAGCCTCTGCACAGGTTACTTGTCCCTGCTGTCTCTTCCTGGTCAGCCTCCGTTTGTAACTTCAGACAGAGTTCTTTTCTGATTTAACAGGTTCTGAGAGGGGTCAACACCTCTCACACCCAGGGCTAGGCCCTAACCTGACACTTGAGCTCTGGGTCATGATTTCTAGAATGCTGGTGTTCCAGGGCTGGAAGGATGCTAAGGGGGACTGAGATTTGAACCCTGAAAGTCCAAAGAAGGATCCTGCAGTGGCAGGAATGACCAGGGTGTGGACAGGATTGGGGGACTGCTATGATTTTGTTTTCATGTCTACTTCTGAGCAAATGATTAAATCTCAGGGCTTAATCGTGCTGTTGAGAGTCTGTTCACTCGCCTGCAGCCCTGGCCTAGTCCCTCCCCATGGGGCCATTAACTCTGGAAATCCTAAACCCTCTAAGCCATTTCCATTAGCTCCTCAGGATTACACTGGGTATCCACCTAGTGGCTGACAAGGAAAACTGCAGCTTGGAAAGGCTGTTCCTCAATCACCTTCTGCACAGGCTACTGGGAGAGAGAACAGGGAGGAGCAGCACCAAGGCCCAGCCATCCAGCCCACACTCCCCAGACCTGTCCCCAGTCAGCTGATTCCAGCGTCTTGTAACACTTTTCATTCAAGCAAGTTCTTCTGAAGCGCCAATCATACCGCTTTCACCAGAGGCTAAACCTACCAATTATTTTATTTTATTTTAATTTTTTAGACTGAGTCTCTCTTTGTCGTCCAGGCTGGAGTGCAGTGGTGCGATCTCAGCTCACTGCAACCTCCACCTCCTGGGTTCAAGTGATTCTCTTGCCTCAGCCTCCTGAGTAGCTGAGATTACAGGCGTGTACCACCATGCCTGGCTAAGTTTTGTATTTTTAGTAGAGATGGGATTTCATTATGTTGTCCAGGGTGGTCTTGAACTCCTGACTTCAAGTGATCCTCCTGCCTTGGCCTCCCAAAGTGCTGGGATTACAGGTGTGAGCCACTGGGCCCAGCCTATGAATTTCTTTAAATACACCATGGATCAAGTTTTAGCCTCTTTCTCTGCAAGAGTGTGATCAAGTTAGTGGTTGTGTGGTCTAGGATATTGGACTTGAGTATGGCTTGGACAAATCAATTTGTTGAAAATCCATTTCCAAATTATTAAAATGAGGATGACATTTTTTCTGTTTTACGTAATGATTAATGCTTTACAGTTCATAAAAGTGTTTTTAAAATATTATTTATATAATTCATAGTGGTATGGTAGATGGTCAAGAGATACTGTTAACATGAAAATGTAGTTTATACTACTGAGAAGTTTCATATTATTCAGGATCTTCATCCTAACAGAATTCTGAGGGAGATCTGAGGTGATTCTACCCACTTCCTAGCTGGGAAATCTGAGGTACTGAATGAGAAAGCGACTTGTCACAGAACTGGTCAGCATTGAAATAAAACTAGAGCCTGGCTTCTTCTCATGACCCTCCTGGCACCGTCCATTAGATTACACTGTCTTCAACCATCGTAATATAGACTCACCCATGAAATGATGGTATAGTGCCTGTTTCTTGCACATGCCTGAGCCAAAAGTGAGAATTCAGTTATCCTTTGACGTCGAAGAAGTAGCGGTAAGTTCCCCCTGACCACTGCATCCAGGATGTTTGTGGATTTTTTTTCAAAAACAAATTTTTCTGAGTCCTAGCTGAAGGACTGGAGAGGAAAAATACTTACTGAGCTTAATTACGTGCTGGTGACTGAGATAACTGTGGGCTATTTTACGTTTATCATTCTGACTTTAATCCCAACAACAATTCTAGAGAGAAAATATAATGAAAGAAACCAACTTATATCAAAATGAGAGAGATACAGAAGAATTTTCTGACTTAGATTGTCAAATATTTGAAGAAATATTAGACAAATAAAGCTCATGCAATTTCCTTCTCAACCATTTAAATCTTTAAGGGGCAAATGAAACATGTTTATTGATTATTAGTGCCAAATACTGTATATATCTCTTTAAAACTTACAGCAACTATCTAGTAGTATTATAATTATTCTCATTTTATAGATGAGGCAACTGAGTCTCAGAGAGATTTAAAGAAAAAAATGTTACTCTAATTCACACGGTGGTTGAGTGGTGTGGGCACGAATAGCAGGCTGAACAGTCTGATTCTAATGTCCACTCTTTTTACGTTACACTACATTGATCTACTCTGTTACATTCACATGACATAATACAAACCCAGGCCTGTGCTGTCCAATACAGTAGCCATTAGTCCTATGTGACTATTTAAATTAATTAAAATGAAATAAAGTTAAAAATTCAGTCCCTCAGTCACATAAGTCAATATTTCATATGTTCAATGGTCATGTGTGGCTAGGGGCTACTCTATACTGGAAAGAGCAGATATAAGACATTTTCATTAATGCAGAAAGTTTTTGACAGAACAAGATCCCCTCTAGATGAGAAGTGGTACAGTGGAGTGGGTGAGGGCATAGGCTTTAGAGTCAACAGATTTGGGCTTGAAACCTACTTTTCCCACTGTTATTTGTATGATGTTGTCCTTGATTAATTGTACTTTTCTTATTTAGTCCTCAATTTACTGGTTTGAAGCCTGAGGACAATAACAGATTTTCCCTCAAAGAGTTATTAGAGTCAGACAGAGAGCAGAATTCCAGAAAATTGGTAAGGAGTTGGCAGAAGTTAGCTATTATCACAAGCTATCTACAGTTTTGAAAAAAATGACTATGTTTTGTTAGAAATAGGCACAAAAGGGTATATACATATTTGATTTACTGTATTTGTAAAATAAGCCAGGTTGATATGAGAATTTTCCTAAAGCAGATTTAGTAAAAATTTTGTCCAGGAATCATATTTGTGCAAAAATTTGCTACCCTACTCAGAGTAGGGATACTATATTTCATCCTTGAATTCCTGTGGCCTAGCACAGTGTGTGTCTTGATTAGTTTTTTGTTGCTGTAACAGAATACATTATAGTGTATTCTGGGGAAACTTATTAAGAAGAGAAATTTATTTCTTACAGTTCTGGAGACTGGGATGTCCAAGGTCAAGACACTGGCAGGCTTGGTGTCTGCTTCCAAGATGGTGCCTTGAATGCTGCATCCTCCAGAGGGGAGGAACACTGTTCCTCACATGGCAGAAGAGCAGAAGGGGAACCCACTTCCAAAAGCTCCTTTATTGCAACATTAATTCATTCATTAGGACTGAGCCCTCATGACCTAAACACCTCCCATTTGGTGCCACCTCCCAACACTGTTACATTGATGATTAAGTTTCCAACACATGAGTTTGGAGTAGACAAAAACATTCAAACCATAGCAGAGCCTTACATTTAGTAGTCCTATATATGTTGGCTGAAGTGAAGTGAGAGATGGCAAGAGGTACAAAAAGGGATGGTCAGATGCATTTTGTTTTGTCTGGTCCATCATGTTGTACATCACACCACAAACCCCAGTTTCACATAAATGAGCTAGGGTGACCAACCATCCTGGTTGCCCACCTCAGAACTTTCCCTGTTTTAGAACTGAGAAACCTCTCAGGCCCAGGAAAACCAGAATATTTAGTTACCTGACTGGGTTCAGCTTTAATGAGAATCTGACTTTAAGGTCAAGTAAAAGGTTTATCTACTTCTATAGCCCAATATTACTTAAACGTGAGAGATATCCATTCCTTTTATCATCAAAATAAACAAATGAAGTTCAGCCAAAATACGAATAAGGCTCTTGATATCAGAATATCTCCTATTTTGTTGTGGGAAAGGGGGTAGGAAATGGGAAGATA
This sequence comes from Homo sapiens, assembly GCF_000001405.40. Taxonomy (NCBI): domain Eukaryota; kingdom Metazoa; phylum Chordata; class Mammalia; order Primates; family Hominidae; genus Homo; species Homo sapiens. The sequence continues at coordinate 55,071,937 of NC_000012.12, forward strand.
CTGAAAGGAGAGTGTTAGGTCAGGGAGAGCTGGAACTAGAAAAAGGTCTGGAGTGATGCAGGATTTTTCTCAGCCCCTTTGTCAGACTAATGACAGGGGTGCCCTGTTTACTTGGCCCACCACACTCAACCCTTTGTGAGAGAGAGCATGTGAGTAAGTGAGTGGGATCCAGCCAGCTGCTTTGGGCACCAGCAGGAGCAAGCTCAGTGTGGAGCCTGCAGTGGTGCCCAGGTGGGGGTGCCTGCCACCCCAAAACCCCAGAGGGCATGTTTGCAGTGCTCTCATAGCTCTGCCATCTGCAGACAGCAGTGTCTTAGCAGCTCGGTTGGCCCGTTGCCTCATTGTGTGGGGTGGCTGCCCTCTGCTGGCAAGGGCAAAGAGCCAATGTGGCAGCCTTTTTTGGGTACCTGCACTCAGTGGGTTCTGAGCTCTTGGATGCTGGACAAGAAGAATGAGGTTAGCCTTGAAGGATGGTGAAGGCGGAGAATTTTATTAAGTGATGGAAATTGTTCTCAGTGGACAGGGGAGCTGGACAGGGGATGGGACAAGCAGGTAGTCTTTCCCCCAAAGTCCGGCTGGCTCTTTCACGAAGTCCAGCCAGCTATTCCCTGAAGTCAAGCCACCTCAGTGAAGTCAAGCTGCCTCTCTTCTCTACTGACTGAGTCTGGGGTCTTTATAAGCACAGGATGGGAGTGGGGGCAGGCCATAGGTAGTTTTGGAAAAGGCCATGTTTGACTGGTAAAAAGACATTACTCAGAAAGAGCCAATTGGGAGAGAGTGGGCAAAGAGGAATGGAAGTTCTCACTTTGGGCTGCAGGTCTCAGGCCACTTTGGCATGAAGGTGGGTTTTCACCGGGGACCCGCCCCGTCTGCCTAGAATTTCTCTGCCTCCTGCCTCTATCAGGAGGACCTAAGCAAAAATTTTGCTCACTACTTAGTTTACATATTTTGTTATTCCACCGTATCATTTCTCTTAGAAATAACAGTCCCTAGAGGATCTGGGATAGAGAAAGGCCACAGTGAATGTTTATAATACTGTGAAGGAGCTGCCCTGGAAACTAAAAGATCAGGTTCTAATCCTGGTTCTGTCATGAACTATTTTTGACCTTTGATAAGTCGCCTACATTTTCAGAAATTCAGTTTCCTCTTTGGACTCTGAAGGAAAATGTGGGCTCAATTGATCAAAAGATCCTAGTTCTTTGTAGATCGAATACTTAGGATTTAATAGGAACATCCTCTCAGAAGCCCATCATGACTTTTCACCACTGACTAGGCCAAGTATTGATGGTGCTATCATGGGGATGTGCTGCCACCTTGCGGTAGTTTGAGTTGTCCGCATGCACTAGTTTACTAGGAAAATCTCTGATTTATTTTCCTACAATATGTTGTTATTTTCACCCAAAGGAACACATTCTTTTAAAATTTGGAATCCTTAGGATATCTTCATTTACTTAGATTTTTTTGTAGCAATATTTTGTAGTTTTAAATGTAGAAATATTAAACATCCTTGATAAAATTTATACCTTTATTTTGATATTATAAATGGTACTTTTAATATTAAAATAAATTTAATTTTACAATTTCTGTTGTTAGTATATAGTAATAAATTGATTTTTATATATTAATTTTGTATCCCAAGATTTTTTTAGATTTATCTTTCGGTTTTAGCAGTTTTTTGAGGGTGGTAAGGGGGCTAGATCCTTAGGATTTTCTATATGCAAAATTATGTAATTTTGAATAAGGAAATTTAAACTTCTTCTTGACCAATCTGTATGCCTTTATCTTCTTTTCACCATTGAATATGATGTCAAAAGGTTTTAGTAGACAACACTAATAGAATGCTTACTGTTGTTTCTGTAGTCTTATAAAAGTATGAAATACATTAATCTTATTTATTTATTTATTTATTTATTTATTTATTTATTTTTGAGATGGAGTCTTGCTCTGTCGCCCAGACTGGACTGCAGTGGCGTGATCTCAGTTCACTGCAACCTCCACCTCCTGGGTTCAAAAAATTCTCCTGTCTCAGCCTCCCAAGTAGCTGGGACTACAGGAGCATGCCACCACGCCTGGCTAATTTTGGTATTTTTAGTAGAGTCGGGGTTTCGCCGTATTGGGCAGGCTGGTCTCGAACTTCTGACCTCAGGTGATCCACCCACCCTGGCCTCCCAAAGTGCTGGTATTACAGGCATGAGCCACTGCGCCTGGCCACATTAATCTATTTAATCATCATAGTCCTCTGGGATATGTACTATCATTGTTCCTGCTTTAAAGATGACGAAATTAAAGTTTAAGGAGGTTAAATGTCTTACCTGAGGTCATCAATGACAGAGCTATCAAATGGAGGAGCTGGATTTTAAACTTATTCATTATGTTATTCTACTGCTTTATGCTTCTTCCAAGAATTCTTAAAAGTTACATTTATTGTGGTACAGTTTCTTAGGCTTTGTTTATCTGAGAATATTTTTATGATATCCTTACACTTACGTTATAAAATTTTAGATTCTAACTTCTTGACTCAATTCTTTCAGTGCAACCTTTAAGAAATCAAATGGCAACATCATTCTTCTTTTAAGATCATCTGCTGTTTATTTCTGAAGGGTTTTCCAGATCTCTCTGTATTGTAGATATTTCTAATTTTTTCTATAACATGTCACTGTATTTTCTCCTTAAGTGTCATGTTTAGTCTTCTGTGTTCCCTTTTTGTTTGAAATTGTTCACATATGTATGTTTTATGTATAATTCTTACAAATTTTCAATCAGCGTGGCTGTTCTTAAGCATGTTTCCATTCATGTTTGAGCTAGGGATAAAAATAATGAGATGGTGAGGGACTTCCTAAATTTAAAATAAACATCTATTCATCTAAAGATCATGGAATTCTATTTTTTTTCCCAATTGCTTTGATAAAAAGCAAACAACATGAAAAAGTTATTGGCAGGTTGAAAAGTCTAACAGAAAACATTTGCTTAAAGCTGGTCTTCGGCTCTTTGTTTCCACTTTTATGACGATTAGGAAGCACCTGGACTAAGCCGGCAAGGCACCATGCCAAATGGAGCAGAAACAAGTTGCTCAGAAATTCATTAAATTTACATCTTAATGAAAACTATTTTCTGCCTAGAAACAGTATGAATATAATAAATCCCAGTGGGGAGATTCTGGGTTTGTTGGATAGGACTGAAAATGAAGAAAGTTTTTGTGTTGTAGTTGCAATTGTTAAATGATGAAAGAGAAGTTCTAAGAGCACTAGTGATTGGGAGACTAGGAGACATGTTTTTTCTATATGTAGAGTTCCAATTCAAACCCCCTAAATGATTCATAGACTACTTGACATTGTCTATAAATCACTAACCAGTGACTTTTATTGGGTTTAACTCATCTTCTCCAACTTCTAAAACTGAAGAAGCTTCTGGGCAATCTCAATTGACAAAATTATTTAGCCACCTCTTCTAATATTACTTCTAAAGGATATATTTAACATGAATAACAGACCTTGGATTCAATTAATAAAATGATTTATTCTTCATAATTAAAAAAGAATAATCAATTTCTTTTTTTAATTTTAATTTTTATTTTAAGTTTCAGGGTACATGTACAGGCTATGCAGGTTAGTTACATAGGTAAACATGTGCTATGGCGGTTTGCTGCACCTATCAACCCATCACCTAGATATTAAGGCCTGCATGCATTAGCTATTTCTCCTAATGCTCTCCCTCCCCCTACCCCATACCCTGACAGGCCGCAGTATGCATTGTTCCCCTCCCTGTGTCCATATGTTTTCATTGTTCAGCTCCCGCTTATGAGAACCTGCGGTATTTGGTTTTCTGTTCCTGTATTAGTTTGCTAAGGATAAAAGCTTCCAGCTCCATCCATGTCCCTGCAAAGGACATGATCTTGTTTTTTTATGGCTGCATAATATTCCATGGTGAATATGTACCACATTTTCTTTATCCAGTCTATCCATGATGGGCATTTGGGTTGATTCCATGTCTTTGCTATTGTGAGTAGTGCTGCAATGAACATATGCATGCATTTATCTTTGTAGTAGGATGATTTATATTACTTTTGAGTATGTACTCAGTAATGGGATTGCTAGTTCAAATGGCATTTCGGGTTCTAGATCTTTGAGGAATCACCACGCCATCTTCTCCAACGGTTGAACTAATTTACATTCCCACCAACAGTGTAAAAGCATTCTATTTCTCTGCATCCTTGCCAGCATCTGTTGTTTCTTGACATTTTATAATTGCCATTCTGACTGGAGTGAGATGGTGGCATCTCATTGTGGTTTTGATTTGCATTTCTCTAATGATCAGTGATGTTGAGTTTTTTTTTTCGTGTTTACTGACCACATGAAAGTCTTCTTTTGAGAAGTGTCTGTTCATGTCATTTGCCCACATTTAATGGTTTTTTTTAATGTAAATTTGTTTAAATTCCTTGTAGATTCTGGATATTGGACTTTTGTCAGATAGATAGATTACAAAAATTTTTTCCCACTCTATGGGTTGCCTCTTTTCTCTGATGATAGTTTCTTTTGCTGTGCAGAAGCTCCTTAGTTTAATTAGATCCCATCTGTCAATTTTTACTTTTGTTGCAATTGCTTTTGGCAATTTTGTCATGAAGTCTTTGCCCATGCCTATGCCCTAAATGGTATTGCTTAGATTTTCTTCTAGGGTTTTTATAGTTTTGGGTTTTACATTTAAGTCTTTAATCCATCTTGAGTTAATTTTTGTATAAGGTGTAAGGAAGGGATCCAGTTTCAATTTTCTGCATATGGTTAGCCAGTTTTCCCAGCACCATTTATTAAATAAGGAATCCTTTCCCCATTGTTTGTTTTTGTCAGGTTTGTTGAAGATCAGATGGTTGTGGATCTGTGTGCTCTTGTTTCTCTAGTTCTTTTAGTTGTGATGTTAGGTGTCAATTTGAGATCTTTCTAGCTTTCTGATGTGGGCATTTACTGCTATAAATTTCTCTCTTAACACTGCTTTAGTTGCATCCCAGAGATTCTGGTACGTTATTTCTTTGTTCTCATTGGTTTCAAAGAACTTCTTAATTTATTCCTCAATTTCATTATTTATGCAAGAATCATCAATTTCTAAGATAGTTTCTGAAATTTGCTATCATTCTTATTTTAAAAATGCAGATTAAATTGAGTTGAGACTCTTGATTTCATGTGTTACACACAGAGCATATAAATATTAGATGAAGCTAGTGTTTCAGGATGTGGAAATGGATTTTTATTGTAATATTCTATTCCAAAGGCAGTCCTAGCACATGCTAGATATCAGTGGAGAGAAATTGGTGATACTGTGGGGTTTCTAAGTGCTGAGGCAAAACTAAATAACGAATAGAAATTCTGAGTAGTTATTCTCACCAAGGGAACCATTGGGGAGAGAGACTCAGGAATTGGGGAGAATTTTTGAAGAACCTGCAAAAACTCATTAGTAAAATAGTCAATTTTCAAGCTTTTCCTAGCAAGAGAGCTATGACGGTATATCATAATAACAGTATCTTCAAATCTGAATTTCCCTATCCTCTTTCTTCATTTCTCCACTTCAATTATGAAAGGTTAGAGAGATGGGAGAGAAGAATTCCTATGCAAAGGAAGACTAAACTAAATCTTGCACCCACTCTTCTATTGCAGAGCTTGCTGCATGTGATGTGTTATAAACTTTAAAATAGGTGTTTACCCATCATCTCTGTGGATTTTACATTATGATATAACATCCACCTTGGTATCTGGTCTGTATTATCTCTATACTTGCAGCTTAAATATTTATTAAACTAGCTACATATACGAGTCCTATCTTTTAATCTACAGATCTATATTTATGTATAGAATATCATGGGTGAATCTGCCTCAGAGGGATCAAGTCTATAACTTTCATCAGCTCTTTAAATAACTCATACTTTTAATTGCTATACTATCAAATAAGTAGTTTCTTGCATAGTAAAAACTGCTTCTATTCAAAATCTAAAATCTGAATTATATGTGTAAGCTTATTTTCCAGAGATATTTGCTGTTAACATTAAATATATCTGCATATATCTTATAGTTATTTTTCTTAAAGCAAATGATACAGCATATTTAGATTTTAAATTTAATAGACACCTATTAATTAGTTGATACATTAGTTACATTATTTTATATTATTACTTTTCTATGTCTTTCAATTGGCTTTTTACTCCAGGCATGGTACAAATTACCTAATTTAAAGATAATTTTTAAAGCGCAATCAGAAACAACAAAGTTGACATTACAACCGATGCCCCAGAAATGCAAAAGATCCTCAAACACTATTAAGAACACCTCTATGCACACAAACTAGAAAATATAGAGGAAATAGATAAATTCCTGAAACACAATCTTTCAAGATTGAATCAGGAAGAAACTGAAACACTGAACACACAAATATTGAGTTCCAAAATCGAATCAGTAATGAAAAACCTAGTAACCAAAAAAAGCCCCAGACCAGATACAGTCATAGTCAAATTCTACCAGATGTACAAAGAAGAGCTGGTACCAATTCTACCAAAACTATTCCAAAAAATCAAGGAGGAGGAACTCCTCTCTGACTCATTCTATGAAGCCAGCATCATCCTGATACCAAAATCTGGCAAAAACACAGTGAAAAACAGAAACTAACAGGCCAATATCACTGATGAATATAGATGCAAAATTCCTCAACAGATTACTGGAAAACTGAATTTAACAGCATGTTAAAAAGCTAATTCACCATGAACGAGTGGGCTTCGTTGTCGGAATGCAAGTTTGGTTCAACATGTGCAAATCAATAAGTGTGATTCACCACATAAACAGAATTAAAACTGAAAACCGTATGATCATCACAGCTTTTGATAAAATCCAACATCCCTTCATGATAAGAACCCTCAAGATAGGAACTCTCAAGAAACTAGTCATTAAAGGAACATACCTCAAAATAATAAGAGTCATCTATGACAAACCCACAGCCATCATCCTACTGAATGGGCAAAAACTGGAAGGATTCTCCTTGAGAACTGGAACAAGACAAGGATGTCCACTCTCATCACTCCTATTCATCATGGTACTGGAAGTGCTACCCAAAGCAGTCAGGTGAAAAAAGAAATGCAAGGCATCCGAAAAGAAATAGAAGTCAAACTATATCTCTTCATAGATGATATGATCCTATATCTAGAAAAGCCCAGAGAATCTGCCAAAAGCCTCCTAGAACTGATAAACAACTTCAGTAAAGTTTCAGAATATAGAATCAGTGTACAAAAATCAGTAGCTTTTCTATACACCAATAATATTCAAGCTGAGAGCCAAATCCAGAATGCAATCTCATTTTTAGTAGCCACACACAAAACTAAAATACCTAGGAATACATCTAACCAAGGAAGTGAAAGATCTCTGCAAAGAGAACTAAAAAATACTGCTTAAAGAAATCATAGATGACACACACAAATAGAAAAATATTTCATGCTTATGAACAGAAAGAATCAATATTGGTAAAATAGCCATACTGCCCAAAGAAATCTACAGATTCAACACTATTCCTATCAGACTACTCATCTCATTTTTCACAGAACTAGAAAAAACCATTCTAAAATTTATATGGAACAAGAAAACAGCCTGGATAGCCAAAGCAATCCTGAATAAAAAGAACAAAGCTGGAGGCATCACATTACCTGACTTCAAACTATACTATAAGGCTACAGTAACCAAAACAGCATGGTATTAGTACAAAAACAGACATGTAAACCAATGGAACAGAATACAGAACACAGAAAAAAAGCTGCACACCTACAGACATCTGATCTTTGACAAAGTCAACAAAAACAAGCAATGGGGAAAAGACTCCTTATTCAATAAATGGTGCTAAGATAGCTGGCTAGCTGTATGTTGAGGAATGAAATTTTGCCCCTACCTTTCACCATATACAAAAATTAACTCAAGATGGATTGAAGTTTTAAATGTAAGATCTCAAACTATAAGAATCCTAGAAGAAAGCCTAGAAAACATCATTCTGGATGTCAGCATTGGGAAAGCATTTATGACTAAGTACTCAAAAGCGATTGCAACAAAATAAAACATGGACATGTGGGATATAATTAAACTAAAGACCTTCTGCACAACAAAAATATCTATCAACGGAGTAAACAGACCACCTACAGAATGGGAGAAAATATTCACTAACTATGCATCAGACCAATATCTAATATCCAGAATCTATAAAGAACTTGAACAAATCAACAAGCAAAAAACAAATAACCCTATTAGAAAATGGGTAAAGGGAATGAACAAACATTTCTCAAAAGAAGAGATACATGAGGTCAACAAACATATGAAAAACTACTCCACATCATCAGAGAAATAGAAATCACAACCACAATGAGATACCATCTCACGCCAGTCAGAATGGCAATTATTAAAAAGTCAGGAAACAATAGATACTGGTGAGGCTGTGGACAAATAGGAACGCTTTTACACTGTTGGTGGGAGTGTAAATTAGTTCAACCATTGTGGAAGTCAGTGTGGCGATTCCTCAGGGATCTGGAACTGGAAATACCATTTGACCCAGCCATCCCATTACTGGGTATATACCCAAAGGATTACAAATCATTCTACTATAAAGACACATGCACGCATATGTTTATTGCAGCACTATTTACAATAGCAAAGACTTGGAACCAACCCAAATGTCCATCAATGATAGACTGGATAAAGAAAATGTGGCACATATACACCATGGAATACTATGCAGCTGTAAAATAGTGTTTTAAAAAGACAAGTCTAGAAACTAAAAATAACAAAGGTTGAGAAGAACAAGAAAATCGGGGTATGATTTAAAAAAAACACACATTAAGTGAAGTCAAGGTGATGCTAAGTCTGGATTATTCCTGTAGCAGTGAAAATAAACAAAAATGGATGAATCTGAGGGTTATTTTGAGGTACTAGTTAGTTATGTTGAGGTACTAGGCTAAAAATATTATCCTAGAAAATAGAAAATATCGTATTATCACTTAAAGAAGTGTGATAACTAGTATAGAAACCTATTAAAAGTCATCACATTAGCTATTGCTGTGTGTGTGTGTGTGTGTGTGTGTGTGTGTGTGTGTGTGTGTTGGATGAGATGGAGAAAACAGAGAGCTACATCATGTGTTTGATGGTTGGAGGAGTAAGCATGTAAGAGTAACACACTTCCACTTTTTGTACTGGTTTATTTGTCTTACTTCTGATATTTCCTGTTTCAAAAAAGTAGTGTTTAATCTGTCTTTTAATATGTATGTTATACAATGTGATATTCTGTTGTATTGAAAACAAAGATACAAAACAAAAGAAACATTAGGATCCTAATTCAATCTGAAGGGATAAAAAAGTCCAGCTGACTTTCTTAATAACATAACACTAAAATGACCATACATTTCCTGGTTGGGAAATCATTTTCTTTTTTTTTTATTATTATACTTTAAGTTTTAGGGTACATGTGCAGATTGTGCAGGTTAGTTACATATGTATACATGTGCCATGCTGGTGCGCTGCACCCACTAACTTGTCATCTAGCATTAGGAATATCTCCCAATGCTATCCCTCCCCCCTCCCCCCACCCCACAACAGTCCCCAGAGCGTGATATTCCCCTTTCTGTGTCCATGTGATCTCATTGTCCAATTCCCACCTATGAGTGAGAATATGCGGCATTTGGTTTTTTGTTCTTGCGATAGTTTACTGAGAATGATGATTTCCAATTTCATCCATGTCCCTACAAAGGACATGAACTCATCATTTTTTATGGCTGCATAGTATTCCATGGTGTATATGTGCCACATTTTCTTAATCCAGTCTATCATTGTTGGACATTTGGGTTGGTTCCAAGTCTTTGCTATTGTGAATAATGCCGCAATAAACATACGTGTGCATGTGTCTTTATAGCAGCATGATTTATAGTCCTTTGGGTATATACCCAGTAATGGGATGGCTGGGTCAAATGGTATTTCCAGTTCTAGATCCCTGAGGAATCGCCACACTGACTTCCACAATGGTTGAACTAGTTTACAGTCCCACCAACAGTGTAAAAGTGTTCCTATTTCCCCACATCCTCTCCAGCATCTGTTGTTTCCTGACTTTTTAATGATTGCCATTCTAACTGGTGTGAGATGGTATCTCATTGTGGTTTTGATTTGCATTTCTCTGATGGCCAGTGATGGTGAGCATTTTTTCATGTGTTTTTTGGCTGCATAAATGTCTTCTTTTGAGAAGTGTCTGTTCATGTCCTTCGCCCACTTTTTGATGGGGTTGTTTTTTTCTTGTAAATTTGTTTGAGTTCATTGTAGATTCTGGATATTAGCCCCTTGTCAGATGAGTAGGTTGTGAAAATTTTCTCCCATTTTGTAGGTTGCCTGTTCACTATGATGATAGTTTCTTTTGCTGTGCAGAAGCTCTTTAGTTTAATTAGATCCCATTTGTCAATTTTGGCTTTTGTTACCATTGCTTTTGGTGTTTTAGACATGAAGTCCTTGCCCATGCCTATGTCCTGAATGGTAATGCCTAGGTTTTCTTCTAGGGTTTTTATGGTTTTAGGTCTAACGTTTAAGTCTATAATCCATCTTGAATTGATTTTTGTATAAGGTGTAAGGAAGGGATCCAGTTTCAGCTTTCTACATATGGCTAGCCAGTTTTCCCAGCACCATTTATTAAATAGGGAATCCTTTCCCCATTGCTTGTTTTTCTCAGGTTTGTCAAAGATCAGATAGTTGTAGATGTGTGGCATTATTTCTGAGGGCTCTGTTCTGTTCCATTGATCTAGATCTCTGTTTTGGTACCAGTACCATGCTGTTTTGGTTACTGTAGCCTTGTAGTATAGTTTGAAGTCAGGTAGTGTGATGCCTCCATCTTTGTTCTTTTGGCTTAGGATTGACTTGGTGATGCGGGCTCTTTTTTGGTTCCATATGAACTTTAAAGCAGTTTTTTCCAATTCTGTGAAGAAAGTCATTGGTAGCTTGATGGGGATGGCATTGAATCTATAAATTACCTTGGGCAGTATGGCCATTTTCACGATATTGATTCTTCCTACCCATGAGCATGGAATGTTCTTCCATTTGTTTGTGTCCTCTTTTATTTCCTTGAGCAGTGGTTTGTAGTTCTCCTTGAAGAGGTCCTTCACATCCCTTGTAAGTTGGATTCCTAGGTATTTTATTCTCTTTGAAGCAATTGTGAATGGGATTTCACTCATGATTTGGCTCTCTGTTTGTCTGTTATTGGTGTATAAGAATGCTTGTGATTTTTGTACATTGATTTTGTATCCTGAGACTTTGCTGAAGTTGCTTATCAGCTTAAGGAGATTTTGGGCTGAGACAGTGGGGTTTTCTAGATATACAATCATGTCATCTGCAAACAGGGACAATTTGACTTCCTCTTTTACTAATTGAATACCCTTTATTTCCTTCTCCTGCCTAATTGCCCTGGCCAGAACTTCCAACACTAAGTTGAATAGGAGTGGTGAGAGAGGGCATCCCTGTCTTGTGCCAGTTTTCAAAGGGAATGCTTCTAGTTTTTGCCCATTCAGTATGATATTGGCTGTGGGTTTGTCATAGATAGCTCTTATTATTTTGAAATACATCCCATCAATACCTAATTTATTGAGAGTTTTTAGCATGAAGGGTTGTTGAATTTTGTCAAAGGCTTTTTCTGCATCTATTGAGATAATCATGTGGTTTTTGTCTTCGGCTCTGTTTATATGCTGGATTACATTTATTGATTTGCATATGTTGAACCAGCCTTGCATCCCAGGGATGAAGCCCACTTGATCATGGTGGATAAGCTTTTTGATGTGCTGCTGGATTCGGTTTGCCAGTATTTTATTGAGGATTTTTTGCATCAATGTTCATCAAGGATATTGGTCTAAAATTCTCTTTTTTGGTTGTCTCTCTGCCCGGCTTTGGTATCAGAATGATGCTGGCCTCATAAAATGAGTTAGGAAGGCTTCACTCTTTTTCTATTGATTGGAATAGTTTCAGAAGGAATGGTACCAGCTCCTCCTTATACCTCTGGTAGAATTCGGCTGTGAATCCATCTGGTCCTGGACTCTTTTTGGTTGGTAAGCTATTGATTATTGCCACAATTTCAGATCCTGTTATTGGTCTATTCAGAGATTCAACTTCTTCCTGGTTTAGTCTTGGGAGAGTGTATGTGTCGAGGAATTTATCCATTTCTTCTAGATTTTCTAGTTTATTTGCGTAGAGGTGTTTGTAGTATTCTCTGATGGTAGTTTGTATTTCTGTGGGATCGGTGGTGATATCCCCTTTATCATTTTTTATTGCGTCTATTTGATTCTTCTCTCTTTTTTTCTTTATTAGTCTTGCTAGCGGTCTATCAATTTTGTTGATCCTTTCAAAAAACCAGCTCCTGGATTCATTAATTTTTTGAAGGGTTTTTTGTGTCTCTATTTCCTTCAGTTCTGCTCTGATTTTAGTTATTTCTTGCCTTCTGCTAGCTTTTGAATGTGTTTGCTCTTGCTTTTCTAGTTCATTTAATTGTGATGTTAGGGTGCCAATTTTGGATCTTTCCTGCTTTCTCTTGTGGGCATTTAGTGCTATAAATTTCCCTCTACACACTGCTTTGAATGCGTCCCAGAGATTCTGGTATGTTGTGTCTTTGTTCTCGTTGGTTTCAAAGAACATCTTTATTTCTGCCTTCATTTCATTATGTACCCAGTAGTCATTCAGGAGCAGGTTGTTCAGTTTCCATGTAGTTGAGCGGTTTTGAGTGAGATTCTTAATCCTGAGTTCTAGTTTGATTGCACTGTGGTCTGAGAGATAGTTTGTTATAATCTCTGTTCTTTTACATTTTCTGAGGAGAGCTTTACTTCCAAGTATGTGGTCAATTTTGGAATAGGTGTGGTGCGGTGCTGAAAAAAATGTATATTCTGTTGATTTGGGGTGGAGAGTTCTGTAGATGTCTATTAGGTCCGCTTGGTGCAAAACTGAGTTCAATTCCTGGGTATCCTTGTTGACTTTCTGTCTCGTTGATCTGTCTAATGTTGACAGTGGGGTGTTAAAGTCTCCCATTATTAATGTGTGGGAGTCTAAGTCTCTTTGTAGGTCACTAAGGACTTGCTTTATGAATCTGGGTGCTCCTGTATTGGGTGCATATATATTTAGGATAGTTAGCTCTTCTTGTTGAATTGATCCCTTTACCATTATGTATGGCCTTCTTTGTGTCTTTTGATCTTTGTTGGTTGAAAGTCTGTTTTATCAGAGACTTGGATTGCAACCCCTGCCTTTTTTTGTTTTCCATTTGCTTGGTAGATCTTCCTCCATCCCTTTATTTTGAGCCTATGTGTGTCTCTGCATGTGAGATGGGTTTCCTGAATACAGCACACTGATGGGTCTTGACTCTTTATCCAATTTGTCAGTCTGTGTCTTTTAATTGGAGCATTTAGTCCATTTACATTTAAAGTTAATATTGTTATGTGTGAATTTGATCCTGTCATTATGATGTTAGCTGGTTCTTTTGCTGATTAGTTGATGCAGTTTCTTCCTAGCCTCAATGGTCTTTACATTTTGGCATGATTTTGCAGCGGCTGGTACCAGTTGTTCCTTTCCATGTTTAGTGCTTCCTTCAGGAGCTCTTTTAGGGCAGGCCTGGTGGTGACAAAATCTCTCAGCATTTGCTTGTCTGTAAAGTATTTTATTTCTCCTTCACTTATGAAGCTTAGTTTGGCTGGATATGAAATTCTGGGTTGAAAATTCTTTTCTTTAAGAATGTTGAATATTGGCCCCCACTCTCTTCTGGCTTGTAGAGTTTCTGCCGAGAGATCCGCTGTTAGTCTGTTGGGCTTCCCTTTGAGGGTAACCCGACCTTTCTCTCTGGCTGCCCTTAACATTTTTTCCTTCATTTCAACTTTGGTGAATCTGACAATTATGTGTCTTGGAGTTGCTCTTCTCGAGGAGTATCTTTGTGGCGTTCTCTGTATTTCCTGAATCTGAACGTTGGCCTGCCTTGCTAGATTGGGGAAGTTCTCCTGGATAATCTCCTGCAGAGTGTTTTCCAACTTGTTTCCATTCTCCCCATCACTTTCAGGTACACCAATCAGACATAGATTTGGTCTTTTCACATAGTCCCATATTTCTTGGAGGCTTTGCTCATTTCTTTTTATTCTTTTTTCTCTAAACTTCCCTTCTCGCTTCATTTCATTCATTTCATCTTCCATTGCTGATACCCTTTCTTCCAGTTGATCGCATCGGCTCCTGAGGCTTCTGCATTCTTCATGTAGTTCTTGAGCCTTGGTTTTCAGCTCCATCAGCTCCTTTAAGAATTTCTCTGTATTGGTTATTCTAGTTATACATTCTTCTAAAGTTTTTTCAAAGTTTTCAACTTCTTTGCCTTTGGTTTGAATGTCCTCCCATAGCTCAGAGTAATTTGATCGTCTGAAGCCTTCTTCTCTCAGCTCGTCAAAGTCATTCTCCATCCAGCTTTGTTCCATTGCTGGTGAGGAACTGTGTTCCTTTGGAGGAGGAGAGGTGCTCTGCTTTTTAGAGTTTCCAGTTTTTCTGTTCTGTTTTTTTCCCCATCTTTGTGGTTTTATCTACTTTTGGTCTTTGATGATGGTGATGTACAGATGGGTTTTTGGTGTGGATGTCCTTTCTGTTTGTTAGTTTTCCTTCTAACAGACAGGACCCTGAGCTGCAGGTCTGTTGGAGTACCCTGCTGTGTGAGGTGTCAGTGTGCCCCTGCTGGGGTGTGCCTCCCAGTTAGGCTGCTCGGGGGTCAGGGACCCACTTGAGGAGGCAGTCTTCCCGTTCTCAGATCTCCGTCTTCCCGTTCTCAGATCTCCAGCTGCGTGCTGGGAGAACCACTACTCTCTTCAAAGCTGTCAGACAGGGACATTTAAGTCTGCAGAGGTTACTGCTGTCTTTGTTTGTCTGTGCCCTGCCCCCAGAGGTGGAGCCTACAGAGGCAGGCAGGCCTCCTTGAGCTGTGGTGGGCTCCACCCAGTTGGAGCTTCAGGGCTGCTTTGTTTACCTAAGCAAGCCTGGGCAATGGCGGGCACCCCTCCCCCAGCCTCACTGCCCTCTTGCAGTTTGATCTCAGACTGCTGTACTAGCAATCAGCGAGACTCCGTGGGCGTAGGACCCTCTGAGCCAGGTGTGGGATATAATCTCGTGGTGCGCCGTTTTTTAAGCCGGTTGGAAAAGCGCAGTATTCGGGTGGGAGTGACCCGATTTTCCAGGTGGGTTCGTCACCCCTTTCTTTGACTCGGAAAGGGAACTTCCTGACCCCTTGCGCTTCCCAAATGAGGCAATGCCTCGCCCTGCTTCGGCTTGCCCACGGTGGGCGCACCCACTGACCTGCGCCCACTGTCTGCCACTCCCAAGTGAGATGAACCCGGTACCTCAGATGGAAATGCAGAAATCACCCGTCTTCTGCGTCACTCACGCTGGGAGCTGTAGACAGGATCTGTTCCTATTCGGCCATCTTGGCTCCTCCCCCCAGGGAAATCATTTTCTTTTTCTTATACTACCTTTTTTTTTCATAGTTGCAGTTTGCTTTCTTTTCTTTTTCTTCTGTTTGTAGTGTGTGTGTGTGTGTGTGTGTGTGTGTGTTAAGAACACTTAATATGAGATGTCATTTCAATCAAGTACTGAACAGATACTTTCTTGGTTTTACACTACACCACCTAAAGTTTTAAAAATGATTTTCTCAACAGCCATCATGTAAATAAGATGTCATAAGCTGATGAAAATCTATTACTTTTGAGGAAGCAATGTTCTTTGTGTTCCCTCCTGTCTTTCCTATTTGTAGCTATGCCACCAAGCCAGGATTGAGAGAAGGGTTGGTTGGCCTAAGTTGTTTGATATGCTGATAGGACTTCCAAATAGGCACCTGGTTTTAAACTATACATGCCAAATTCATATTAAAGGCAATATTTTAAGTTGTGATGGCAAATGAATACACCAAGTGTTTAGAGGTTGTGTTGATGCTATCAATAAGTTATTTTAGTATAGAAGTGAAAATAAAAGGGCGGGAAAGAAATTCAGGTTGATAAGTGAATGAATGAGTAACAACAGGGAGCCAGGAAACCCCCATCTATTCTGGAAATGGGAGTAGTAAACTTAGGGTGATTATAAGCTGGAGAAGAAGGAGGATGGGACTTAAAGCTGGAGATACATGTTGTGAAGTCAGATTGTAAAGAGCTCGCATTGGAAGCGAGTTTCTGGATCCTCAGCTTTGTGAATTAGAAGCATCATAGCTCACACATTTGAACAGTTTCTGAGATGACAATTCAGTATATCCATAGACAAAATGATGAAAGTTTATTTTATGTATTAAATTTGTAGTTATGTATACATATCACAATGCTTGGAATATATCTGATAATTTGATACAATATCTTAGGTTTTACAGAATCATTAGGTTCCTGAAGAATCAGGAAAAGTGAATTGAAACCCTTTTCTGATTAAAGAAATTGTCATTCAGAAGATTATCATATAATGTATCTTTATCTGATAAAATATTTTATAGTCTTTGTAAATAAAAGGCTAGATTTATAGTGGTCGAAAAAGTGTACACTTCTCAAGCTGATTAATTGATCTTCATTAACCTGGAAGCAGGCTTTATCAAACAACCTTGAATTATTTCTGTTTAAAAGTGATATCAAGGCCGGGCGCAGTGGCTCACGCCTGTAATCCCAGCACTTTGGGAGGCCGAGGCGGGTGGATCACGAGGTCAGGAGTTTGAGACCAGCCTGGCCAACATGGTGAAACCCCACCTCTACTAAAAATTACAAAAATTAGCCGGGTGTGGTGGCGCACGCCTGTAATCCCAGCTACTAAGGAAGCTGAGGCAGGAGAATTGCTTGAATCCCAGAGGTGGAGGTTGCAGTGAGCCGAGATTATGCCATGGCACCCCAGCCTGGGCAACAGAGCAAGACAGTCTCAAAAAAAAAAAAAAAGGTTATATCAATAAAAACTTAAAAGCAATAAAATGAAACTTCCTTATGTCCAAAAACATGCAGCACTCACCAATAAGACGTGAAGGACACACAAATATATGACATTGGTTTTTATAACATGGAAATATAGTATGAAAGCAGCAATCTAAAAGGTAAAAAATGGTTAGACATAAAATATTGCAAAAGTGTAGTTAAAGAAAAGACAATATGAGAGAAGTCACAGAACAAGAATATGGAACACCAAACTCAGTAGCAATTTACATAAGACCAAAATAAAACAAAAACAAGAATAAAACTAAAGTTTCTTTTGGCTGAAAGATCAGTATGAAGCAATATTAAAAAAAAATACTTTCTGTCTCATATGCCTTAAAAGAGTATACATTGCAAATAATTAGGCAGTCATATTTCAACTTGATAGACTATATACAGCCTGATGTCAAATTGTGGCAATAGACTTTTTGAAAAGGAAACTTAGAAATTATTCAATCGCTACTAAAAGATCCTAACAAATTAAGGATGCTGAATCCAGAAATGTAGACTATGGGGCATTAATGTATTTGTCTTTTAAAATTTAGAAAGCATGTCAGAAGATAGAAGTATTCAGTGGACCTTCGGAAAGCAGAGTAATGGGTAGAGACTCTGACATTCAGGTGGTTGGAATTTATAGAGAAGCAAACTTTCTCTTAATATAAAGAAAAAACTTTATAATAAGGAGTCTTGTCCAAAATAACTTGGTGATTACCCCAAGAGTATTCAACAAGTAAAGAAATCACACTTAGTGTTTGCTCCTCATATGTCCTCATGGGATGGCTCTAGAGTTTAAGCTTGTTATGAAATTATAATTGACTTATTTTTCAGCCTTCTCTCAGAGGAACTTCTTCCTCCAAAATTCTGAAAAATGTTATGCTGCAATTCTCTGAAATAGTTTCATGAGATTGGAAAAACCTAAGACAACTATGGATGCTAGCTGCTGCTATCTTTGTAGGTCATCAGGGACCAGGGAGTTTTGTTCACCTTAAATTTCCATTTTGCTCCCATGTTCATGCTAAGGCCTGTGAAATGTGACAGCAGGGAGGCAAGAGATTTTCATGTAGTTTGATTTCATAGATTCAATGAGCATTTATTCAATTTTGGTAGGGAAATACCCATTATTCTCTGAGAAAACTACAGAGATTCCTAGTCCATCATCTTCATACTGTGTGCAGAAAGACAACTATAACAGGTTTTCAAACAAAATTAAAACTTTATACAAAAATCCACATCGAAAAAGCTTTTAATATAATGATATGATCTTGAGAGGCTGAAGATTATATTAGGCTTCTTAAATGCTCAACGTACTTGTATTGCATTGTTTTATTTTCCCTCGTTATAACTTTTCATGCATACACATATACTGATTGATCCGTAGCATCATGTACTTCACTTTGTCTTTAAATTTGATGTGATGTTAGTGTTTACCTAACATTTAGTTCTATTAACATTTGGCGTACTGATATGGAATTTCGGTGAGGGTACTTAGAATACTATTTTCTATTACCAGGGTGCTAAGATTCTCTGATTCAAATAGTTGCAAATGATAAGTATTGATTTAAACTTCACAAATTACGTTAAAATCACTAAATTAAACATTGTTTACTAGCACCTGGAGCTTGCTCCATTTGCTTTCAAATAGTTTCAACTCCTTATTATGGGATTTAAATTATGTTGATTGAAGTAGCTGAACTAATAAAGTATTATAAAAGTGTTTCAGTGGTGGATTGATACTGAACTATGTTATTCTTACCCTTGTGAGTTGAGAATGATACCACTTTGCCCAATTTCATGATACCAGAATAGGTGATAAAATCAATAAAAATTCTGAATGTAAACTATTATCCTAGTGATCTCAGTGAGGACAAAACTACTAGTTGAGGTGGGGAGAGGAAGAGGAAGAAAAGGGAAGAGGTGGGTTAAGAAAAAAAGCAGGATATGTCAGAACTGAAAATAACATGAATGACTGAGCAAACTATTGCAAGGACAGAAAACCAGACACCGCATGTTCTCACTCATAGGTCGGAATTGAACAATGAGAACACTTGGACACAGGGTGGGGAACACCATACACCGGGGCCTGTCGTGGGGTGGGAGGGAGGGGGAGGGATAGCATTAGGAGATATACCTAATGTAAATGTAACAAACTTGCACGTTGTGCACATGTACCCTAGAACTTAAGTATAATTAAAAAAAAAAAAGAAAAAAGAAATAAACACCAAAACACCAAGACCAAAAAATAAATAAATAAATAAAAAGAAAATAACATGAATGAAAAAAAGAATTCATTTCAAAGTCGTTTCCTAATTATCCTAATTTTGCATAAAAAGACAAAACAACAAAACCCAAAACCTTTACAAATACTAATTTCCATATTTCTTAGGTTTATAAAATATGGCTTGTAGATTTTTGAAATAGCTCCTTCTTTCTCTTTTTTGTTCTGTTTTGTTTTTTGAGACGGAGTCTCACTCTTGTCGCCCAGGCTGGAGTGCAGTGGCGCGCTCTCGGCTCACTGCAACCTCTGTCTCCCGGGTTCAAGCGATTCTCCTGCCTTAGCCTCCCGAGCAGCTGGGACTACAGGTGTGTGCCACCACGCCTGGCTAATTTTTTTTTGTATTTTTAGTAGAGACGGGGTTTCACCGTGTTAGCCAGGATGGTCTCG
This sequence comes from Homo sapiens, assembly GCF_000001405.40. Taxonomy (NCBI): domain Eukaryota; kingdom Metazoa; phylum Chordata; class Mammalia; order Primates; family Hominidae; genus Homo; species Homo sapiens. The sequence goes on from NC_000012.12 coordinate 55,091,562, forward strand.
ATTGCCTGACCTCGTGATCCCCCGACCTCGGCCTCCCAAAGTTCTGGGATTACAGAATGGAGCCACGGCGCCCAGCCCCTTCTTTCTTTATCAACACTTTTAAAGCACCCACTTGTTCAAATTTTTTGACACTCTGATGATTGGCCAGCTTCCTCAGTTGAATGTCTTTTAGTTAGATTTCTGTTGTGACAACCTACACAAACTAGCTTTGGGTTTAAGCAAAAGATAAACATTTAGTCATATAAATTTCATTTCGCTCTGTCTGCACATACACGATGGTAAGGCTGGAGAAGATGAGTTTCTCCTGAACATTCTAGGGAACTAGAAAACAGAAAACAGACAAAACTTCACATGCAAGCCAAACTTGTCAAATGCTACTCTTGGAAATGTTTACTTCAATAAATTTAAGGCTCTTTTTCCTTCTACTGGAAAATTAAATTCCAGTGAATAAGACCCTTATGTTCCAGCTTTGAGTATGTGTCCACTCATTATTCTAACAATCCATCTCATCTATTTCACTGTCCAAATTCTTTTCTTTCAGTTAATACAGTTATGAAACTTCCAACACGTAACATAATGCAAGAAGTTCATGTCTTTATAAAATTATTGTCATTCTATCCCTTAAGAGACATGATTCAAAATATTATGTGTTGCTATATTTAACTCCTAGTCTAACATTCCTGGTCGATTTCCATTCTTATATTAATTAATTGAGTATCCTGTTTTAATAGTTTATAATCTATACACTGATGGTAAGCTATCATCATCTCTACTATAATTAATAATAAATAAAATATGTAAACAAATATACATTTCAATATGAATGAGAAAACATAAACAATTTAATTAAATGTTAAAGTTGTCTTAAAACATTCATCAAGGAAGTAAATTTGAACCAAACTATAGTCCTTATTTTTGAAACAGGTCATGAGGTTATATTTCTTACTATACATTTCTTACTTCTCTTTGTATTTGGTGTTTTCTTGCCTTTGATCTCAGCTTTTCAGAATCTAATGTCTAGTGAGTTTGTTCTAATCTGCATCCTGGATGGTTTTAGTTTTGTGGGGTACACGTACTGTAGTAGATACTCTCAGTTGCCTACATAGGGAGGCACTGTCTTCTTTCTTCTTGACAAACCTCGCGTCAGAAAAGTTTCTATCACCAGTGGTAGATCTCTAGTTTATTCTTATTATAGGGTTTTTATTCCTTTTTAGTGGTAACTAGTTCAGGAATGGAAACATATTCTATTAAAACATACTTAAATAAGTTGAAGTAAATAGTCTGCTGGAGAGTTTGGGAACTACATGCATTTATTTTTCCTTATTTTAAAAAAGAAGCAGAATTAATGAAAGAGTACAGCTCCTCAATTTCTTTTTGGACCATGTGAGAATAGAGAATTTACAGGATGGCAAATATTTATTTTTTTGTTATCAGGTAAAAACAAAGTGATTTTGTTCCATCTTCAGCAGAAAGGAGAAACATTTTCAAATAAATATATGCATAATATATTCTCATGCGCTGAATGTTTTTGTTCTAGTAAGAATCATATCTGTTTTAATAACTACCACTACACTCATCATTTGATAAAATTATGATAAGCTAAACTGGCTCTCAAGCGCCCTAACCTTTCACTGGCTAAACTATAAGATAAATGCAAAAAAAGCATCACATTTCTTTGTCATCTTTGCTGGTGGCACTAATTCTCTGCTATTCCTCTTGTGATCTGTATACATTTTAATATGATATTTTAGCAAGAAGTGCCATGAAATTCCATTTATCCCTTACTACTTTATTAGTCCTTACTCTATGTCATGGATCAACCGTGCATGTTTACCAACTTCTTCAGCCTTATACCACAATTACATATACACTTAGGAAGTGGGAAATATACTACTGATTTTTAGGTTCCATGGTACCTATTAGGAGATGAAGACAAATCAAAACCCATTCCCTGTCTTACCCTCTAGAGTCCTTCATTCTGATGAGCAGCCTGGGTAACATTCTGGGTTCTTAAGATTTGGTGATAGTTCTAAAACGGGATCCAAATATCTCTAAAGGTCCACAAAATGTTTGGGTGTACACTTTTCTTTAGTGTTTGTTAGCCATAAATCAGCCACCAAAATACTCAGAGAAGGATTGTTGGAAGGATTTCAGTTCATATCTTTGGTATTAGAATGAGAACCTTACTTAGAGCTACCTAGACTTCTTCATGTTGGTGACTCTGTCAGAATTGGAAGTGAACAGGTTGTGAATTATAGTGGCTTAAGTTAGGTCTCTGTTGAGTGGATTGGTTCTCTCTCTCTGTCTGGGTCGCTGGAGTGCCCACTTATTTCATTCCCCATGATTAACTAACTATAGGTGGAGATCACTGTGCCACATCCATCTTTTTGACTAATAAGCCAAAAGCTTCTACTATCGTCTAAATGAAATTTTCCTTGGCTCTCTCAGTCAAATGCCACAATTTGAAGTCTGTAACTACACAATTACTACTAATATCAGGGAGATCGTTTTAACTTTTATCATTGCCCCATGAACATTCTTAGGGAGAAACATCACAGCTGATTTGAAAGTCGCTGGTTGTTTCCTTGGTCACTGGTAAATGAAAAATTTTATAGCACCTCAGGGTGCACCTATCCAGGATATATTAAATAATTATGAAAGTAGGTCTTCTTAATTGATTAAAAGTTTAATAGAAACACCTTTAGGAGTTTATTAATATGATGTTGGAGATAATTTTGGAGATATGTTTAAAAATATTTAAAATAAAATAATTTACTTAATATTTTAAAATATTATAAAAAACGAATTCTGTATTATTGAGTTAACTCTGAGGAGGGTGGGGATATACAGCATTTTCATAATACTTCTCTATTAGGCTGGTCCAGGGCAGAGAGCCATCTGTAGGAATCTGATTTAGACAATGTTAAAAAAATGAGAAGGTTGGATTTATCATGAGATTTGCATGACTGAGGGCAGAAATTCTAAGTCAACAGCACTTATGTTTAACAGAACCTTAATTAAATTTGAGACTTAAAATAGATGGCTCAAAGTCTACTTTAAAATAGACCATTGAAAGAAAAGTAAGTTAGGCATAATTTTAAAGGTGTTTTGGCAATGTGAGCTAGCAATTGCAGAGAGATTATAAGGGGAGATAAAGAGGGCACAAAACCATAGCAGATATGAGAGCCGCTGGCAAAAATATAGCAGTGACAAGCTCCATGGTGAGGTTATTGAGAGACATTTAAAAGTGTGAGGTCTAGCATCCAGTTTAAGTAAATTTCTATACCCCTTTTCTGTTACCCTTAAGCTCTTAAGAGAAGTCTGCTTTGCAAAATAGGTGTGTGCTAGTGTTGCTGTGGGAGGCTAACAGATTGTAAAGGTCATGGAATCTTTAGGAAATCATCTCGACTTTTGAGTTCAGGGTGGTAACTTCACAAACTGGGTGGACAGTATTTTTAGTAGTTTCAGTTGTAGCAGCAAAATGAGCACAGGACCAGAGTCTGCCTGAGAGTCACAGGCAGGAGCCAGCTGACAAATGAGAATAAGCAGCAATGTGGATGGGCTTGAGAATAGCATTAGAGAAGCTTAGGGACATGGATGAAGCTGGAAACCATCATTCTCAGCAAACTATCGCAAGGACAAAAAACCAAACACCGCATGTTCTCACTCAGAGGTGGGAATTCAACAATGGGAACACATGGACACAGGAAGGGGAACATCACACACCAGGGCCTGTTGTGGGGTGGGGGGGTGGGGGAGGGATAGCATTAGGAGATATACCTAATGCTAAGTGACGAGTTAATGGGTGCAGCACACCAGCATGGCACGTGTATACATACGTAACAAACCTGCACATTGTGCACATGTACCCTAAAACTTAAAGTATAAAACAAAACAAACAAAAAAAAATGACTTTAAAGTACAGAGTTTGCCTTATACACTATTAGAAAACTATGTGTCTCTAACAGAGAATGTTATGTATCCCTTGCTGTATATTTTGCTATTATTTAACTTAAAATTTCATCAAATTCATCTATTTGTCTATCAGTAGGAAATATTTTATTTTTCCTGAGCTCCCTTTGCAGCTCTATGTTACCTTGTAATAAATTTGTCCAGGTCGTGAGTGAAGTGTAAGGACAATACACAGCCAGCTTTTTGGAGGGAGACTGGGCATTTTCCTACCAACAAAGACGTTCTCCTGCATGATCATATTTCAGTACTCAGAATCAGGATTGCTTTACCATCGTCTAAACCTCCGAACTGACCAGTTGTTCCAAAGGCGTCATTGATAGTAAAAGGAATGGTAATGTGTAAAGTTTAGAGTCACATTTTGCATCCAGTTGTATATGTAAGTCTCCTTAAATATAGAACAGTTTGAAACTTGATTTTGAAACCTGGGCAAGGAAGGGGCTCTAAAAAATATAGAGTAAACTCAGACAATATTCTCCTTCTCATAGTTGGAGCAGAGTGTCTCTTCCATTCACATGAAAGATATTTTTAACCTATTTCCAAATACACTCGACTGGCCACTAAATATGTACTATAGTGCTATAGGGTAGTGCTATATAAGTGGATCATCAGATAAATATGATGTTTTGAGAGTTAACACACAGAAACATTACATTTAGAAATAATCTCAAACTTATAGAGAATTTCTGGTACAAAAGAAAAAACTTTTTTTTATTTTTTTTTAAATTTTTTTTTTTTATTATACTCTAAGTTTTAGGGTACATGTGCACATTGTGCAGGTTAGTTACATATGTATACATGTGCCATGCTGCTGCGCTGCACCCACTAATGTGTCATCTAGCATTAGGTATATCTCCCAATGCTATCCCTCCCCCCTCCCCCGACCCCACCACTGTCCCCAGAGTGTGATATTCCCCTTCCTGTGTCCATGTGATCTCATTGTTCAATTCCCACCTATGAGTGAGAATATGCGGTGTTTGGTTTTTTGTTCTTGCGATAATTTACTGAGAATGATGGTTTCCAATTTCATCCATGTCCCTACAAAGGACATGAACTCATCATTTTTTATGGCTGCATAGTATTCCATGGTGTATATGTGCCACATTTTCTTAATCCAGTCTATCATTGTTGGACATTTGGGTTGGTTCCAAGTCTTTGCTATTGTGAATAGTGCCGCAATAAACATACGTGTGCATGTGTCTTTATAGCAGCATGATTTATAGTCCTTTGGGTATATACCCAGTAATGGGATGGCTGGGTCAAATGGTATTTCTAGTTCTAGATCCCTGAGGAATCGCCACACTGACTTCCACAATGGTTGAACTAGTTTACAGTCCCACCAACAGTGTAAAAGTGTTCCTATTTCTCCACATCCTCTCCAGCACCTGTTGTTTCCTGACTTTTTAATGATTGCCATTCTAACTGGTGTGAGATGATATCTCATAGTGGTTTTGATTTGCATTTCTCTGATGGCCAGTGATGATGAGCATTTTTTCATGTGTTTTTTGGCTGCATAAATGTCTTCTTTTGAGAAGTGTCTGTTCATGTCCTTTGCCCACTTTTTGATGGGGTTGTTTGTTTTTTTCTTGTAAATTTGTTTGAGTTCATTGTAGATTCTGGATATTAGCCCTTTGTCAGATGAGTAGGTTGCGAAAATTTTCTCCCATGTTGTAGGTTGCCTGTTCACTCTGATGGTAGTTTCTTTTGCTGTGCAGAAGCTCTTTAGTTTAATTAGATCCCATTTGTCAATTTTGGCTTTTGTTGCCATTGCTTTTGGTGTTTTGGACATGAAGTCCTTGCCCACGCCTATGTCCTGAATGGTAATGCCTAGGTTTTCTTCTAGGGTTTTTATGGTTTTAGGTCTAACGTTTAAATCTTTAATCCATCTTGAATTGATTTTTGTATAAGGTGTAAGGAAGGGATCCAGTCTCAGCTTTCTACATATGGCTAGCCAGTTTGCCCAGCACCATTTATTAAATAGGGAGTCCTTTCCCCATTGCTTGTTTTTCTCAGGTTTGTCAAAGATCAGATAGTTGTAGATATGTGGCATTATTTCTGAGGGCTCTGTTCTGTTCCATTGATCTATATCTCTGTTTTGGTACCAGTACCATGCTGTTTTGGTTACTGTAGCCTTGTAGTATAGTTTGAAGTCAGGTAGTGTGATGCCTCCAGCTTTGTTCTTTTGGCTTAGGATTGACTTGGCGATGCGGGCTCTTTTTTGGTTCCATATGAACTTTAAAGTAGTTTTTTCCAATTCTGTGAAGAAAGTCATTGGTAGCTTGATGGGGATGGCATTGAATCTGTAAATTACCTTGGGCAGTATGGCCATTTTCACGATATTGATTCTTCCTACCCATGAGCATGGAATGTTCTTCCATTTGTTTGTGTCCTCTTTTATTTCCTTGAGCAGTGGTTTGTAGTTCTCCTTGAAGAGGTCCTTCACATCCCTTGTAAGTTGGATTCCTAGGTATTTTATTCTCTTTGAAGCAATTGTGAATGGGATTTCACTCATGATTTGGCTCTCTGTTTGTCTGTTGTTGGTGTATAAGAATGCTTGTGATTTTTGTACATTGATTTTGTATCCTGAGACTTTGCTGAAGTTGCTTATCAGCTTAAGGAGATTTTGGGCTGAGACGATGGAGTTTTCTAGATAAACAATCATGTCGTCTGCAAACAGGGACAATTTGACTTCCTCTTTTCCTAATTGAATACCCTTTATTTCCTTCTCCTGCCTGATTGCCCTGGCCAGAACTTCCAACACTATGTTGAATAGGAGCGGTGAGAGAGGGCATCCCTGTCTTGTGCCAGTTTTCAAAGGGAATGCTTCCAGTTTTTGCCCATTCAGTATGATATTGGCTGTGGGTTTGTCATAGATAGCTCTTATGATTTTGAAATACGTCCCATCAATACCTAATTTATTGAGAGTTTTTAGCATGAAGGGTTGTTGAATTTTGTCAAAGGCTTTTTCTGCATCTATTGAGATAATCATGTGGTTTTTGTCTTTGGCTCTGTTTATATGCTGGATTACATTTATTGATTTGCGTATATTGAACCAGCCTTGCATCCCAGGGATGAAGCCCACTTGATCATGGTGGATAAGCTTTTTGATGTTCTGCTGGATTCGGTTTGCCAGTATTTTATTGAGGATTTTTGCATCAATGTTCATCAAGGATATTGGTCTAAAATTCTCTTTTTTGGTTGTGTCTCTGCCCGGCTTTGGTATCAGAATGATGCTGGCCTCATAAAATGAGTTAGGGAGGATTCCCTCTTTTTCTATTGATTGGAATAGTTTCAGAAGGAATGGTACCAGTTCCTCCTTGTACCTCTGGTAGAATTCGGCTGTGAATCCATCTGGTCCTGGACTCTTTTTGGTTGGTAAACTATTGATTATTGCCACAATTTCAGAGCCTGTTATTGGTCTATTCAGAGATTCAACTTCTTTCTGGTTTAGTCTTGGGAGAGTGTATGTGTCGAGGAATGTATCCATTTCTTCTAGATTTTCTAGTTTATTTGCTTAGAGGTGTTTGTAGTATTCTCTGATGGTAGTTTGTATTTCTGTGGGATCGGTGGTGATATCCCCTTTATCATTTTTTATTGTGTCTATTTGATTCTTCTCTCTTTTTTTCTTTATTAGTCTTGCTAGCGGTCTATCAATTTTGTTGATCCTTTCAAAAAACCAGCTCCTGGATTCATTGATTTTTTGAAGGGTTTTTTGTGTCTCTATTTCCTTCAGTTCTGCTCTGATTTTAGTTATTTCTTGCCTTCTGCTAGCTTTTGAATGTGTTTGCTCTGCTTTTGTACTTCTTTTAATTGTGATGTTAGGGTGTCAATTTTGGATCTTTCCTGCTTTCTCTTGTAGGCATTTAGTGCTATAAATTTCCCTCTACACACTGCTTTGAATGCGTCCCAGAGATTCTGGTATGTGGTGTCTTTGTTCTCGTTGGTTTCAAAGAACATCTTTATTTCTGCCTTCATTTCGTTATGTACCCAGTAGTCATTCAGGAGCAGGTTGTTCAGTTTCCATGTAGTTGAGCGGCTTTGAGTGAGATTCTTAATCCTGAGTTCTAGTTTGATTGCACTGTGGTCTGAGAGATAGTTTGTTATAATTTCTATTCTTTTACATTTGCTGAGGAGAGCTTTACTTCCAAGTATGTGGTCAATTTTGGAATAGGTGTGGTGTGGTGCTGAAAAAAATGTATATTCTGTTGATTTGGGGTGGAGAGTTCTGTAGATGTCTATTAGGTCTGCTTGGTGCAGAGCTGAGTTCAATTCCTGGGTATCCTTGTTGACTTTCTGTCTCGTTGATCTGTCTAATGTTGACAGTGGGGTGTTAAAGTCTCCCATTATTATTGTGTGGGAGTCTAAGTCTCTTTGTAGGTCACTCAGGACTTGCTTTATGAATCTGGGTGCTCCTGTATTGGGTGCATATATATTTAGGATAGTTAGCTCCTCTTGTTGAATTGATCCCTTTACCATTATGTAATGGCCTTCTTTGTCTCTTTTGATCTTTGTTGGTTTAAAGTCTGTTTTATCAGAGACTAGGATTGCAAACCCTGCCTTTTTTTGTTTTCCATTGGCTTGGTAGATCTTCCTCCATCCTTTTATTTTGAGCCTATGTGTGTCTCTGCACGTGCGATGGGTTTCCTGAATACAGCACACTGATGGGTCTTGACTCTTTATCCAACTTGCCAGTCTGCGTCTTTTAATTGCAGAATTTAGTCCATTTATATTTAAAGTTAATATTGTTATGTGTGAATTTGATCCTGTCATTATGATGTTAGCTGGTGATTTTGCTCATTAGTTGATGCAGTTTCTTCCTAGTCTCGATGGTCTTTACATTTTGGCATGATTTTGCAGCGGCTGGTACCGGTTGTTCCTTTCCATGTTTAGTGCTTCCTTCAGGAGCTCTTTTAGGGCAGGCCTGGTGGTGACAAAATCTCTCAGTATTTGCTTGTCTATAAAGTATTTTATTTCTCCTTCACTTATGAAGCTTAGTTTGGCTGGATATGAAATTCTGGGTTGAAAATTCTTTTCTTTAAGAATGTTGAATATTGGCCCCCACTCTCTTCTGGCTTGTAGGGTTTCTGCCGAGAGATCCGCTGTTAGTCTGATGGGCTTTCCTTTGAGGGTAACGCAACCTTTCTCTCTGGCTGCCCTTAACATTTTTTCCTTCATTTCAACTTTGGTGAATCTGACGATTATGTGTCTTGGAGTTGCTCTTCTCGAGGAGTATCTTTGTGGCATTCTCTGTATTTCCTGAATCTGAACGTTGGCCTGCCTTGCTAGATTGGGGAAGTTCTGGATAATATCCTGCAGAGTGTTTTCCAACTTGGTTCCATTCTCCACATCACTTTCAGGTACACCAATCAGATGTAGATTTGGTCTTTTCACATAGTCCCATATTTCTTGGAGGCTTTGCTCATTTCTTTTTATTCTTTTTTCTCTAAACTTCCCTTCTCGCTTCATTTCATTCATTTCATCTTCCATTGCTGATACCCTTTCTTCCAGTTGATCGCATCGGCTCCTGAGGCTTCTGCATTCTTCACGTAGTTCTCGAGCCTTGGTTTTCAGCTCCATCAGCTCCTTTAAGCACTTCTCTGTACTGGTTATTCTAGTTATACATTCTTCTAAATTTTTTTCAAAGTTTTCAACTTCTTTGCCTTTGGTTTGAATGTCCTCCCGTAGCTCAGAGTAATTTGATCGTCTGAAGCCTTCTTCTCTCAGCTCGTCAAAATCATTCTCCATCCAGCTTTGTTCTGTTGCTGGTGAGGAACTGCGTTCCTTTGGAGGAGGAGAGGTGCTCTGCGTTTTAGAGTTTCCAGTTTTTCTGTTCTGTTTTTTCCCCATCTTTGTGGTTTTATCTACTTTTGGTCTTTGATGATGGTGATGTACAGATGGGTTTTTGGTGTGGATGTCCTTTCTGTTTGTTAGTTTTCCTTGTAACAGACAGGACCCTCAGCTGCAGGTCTGTTGGATTACCCTGCCGTGTGAGGTGTCAGTGTGCCCCTGCTGGGGGGTGCCTCCCAGTTAGGCTGCTCAGGGGTCAGGGGTCAGGGACCCACTTGAGGAGGCAGTCTGCCCGTTCTCAGATCTCCAGCTGCGTGCTGGGAGAACCACTGCTCTCTTCAAAGCTGTCAGACAGGGACACTTAAGTCTGCAGAGGTTACTGCTGTCTTTTTGTTTGTCTGTGCCCTGCCTCCAGAGGTGGAGCCTACAGAGGCAGGCAGGCCTCCTTGAGCTGTGGTGGGCTCCACCCAGTTCGAGTTTCCTGGCTGCTTTGTTTACCTAAGCAAGCCTGGGCAATGGCGGGCGCCCCTCCCCCAGCCTCGTTGCTGCCTTGCAGTTTGATCTCAGACTGCTGTGCTAGCAATCAGCGAGATTCCGTGGGCGTAGGACCCTCTGAGCCAGGTGTGGGATATAGTCTCGTGGTGCGCCGTTTCTTAAGCCGGTCTGAAAAGCGCAATATTCAGGTGGGAGTGACCCGATTTTCCAGGTGCGTCCGTCACCCCTTTCTTTGACTCGGAAAGGGAACTCCCTGACCTCTTGCGCTTCCCAGGTGAGGCAATGCCTCGCCCTGCTTTGGCTCGCGCACGGTGTGCACACACACTGGCCTGCGCCCACTGTCTGGCACTCCCTAGTGAGATGAACCCGGTACCTCAGATGGAAATGCAGAAATCACCCGTCTTCTGCGTCGCTCACGCTGGGAGCTGTAGACCGGAGCTGTTCCTATTCGGCCATCTTGGCTCCTCCTCCAAGAAAAAACTTTTAAAATAAACCATTTGAGAGTAAGTTGCCAACATAATGATCCATCTTTCCCAGATACTTTGATGTGTAATTCCTACCACCAAAGACATTCTCCTCATAATCATATTTCAATACTCAGAATCAGGATTGCTTTACCATCGTTTAAGCCTCCGAATTGACCAGTTGTTCCAAAGGCCTCATTGATAGTAAAAGGAATGGTAATATGGAAAGTTTAGAGTCACATTTTGCATCCAGTTGTGTATGTAAGTCTCCTTAAATATAGAACAGTTCATCAGTCTTTCTTTGATACTCCTTGATTTTTTTCTCTTTATATTCTTGATGATTTCAGGCCAGTTATTGGGTAGAACGCCCCTCAAATTGTGTTTTTCTGATTTTCTTAATGATTAAATTCAGGTACGTATCCTTGTCAGGATTATCAAACAAGTGTAGTGAACCATGCTTACAATATGTTATCTCAGTGGCACACAATGCCAATCTGTCCCAAACCCATTTGATTAAAATAGTATCTGCTCTCTTTCTCCTCTGTAAATTTACTTTCTCTTTTTGTAATTAGTAAGTATTTTTATTAAACATTGTGAGACCATGTAGGTATTCTAGTTTTCTAAGTTTTGAAAAATTTATTTATTTATATAAGCGTGAACTCATGGTTTTCTACTTTATTTAATGTGTTATAATACATTATTGACATTGTTTATTTTGATGCTCAGATTATCCCCAGTTTAGCCAGTGGGAGTTTCTTTGAGCTAGCTTCTGTGTTTTTTTGACTTATCTCCAACATTCTTTTAACACTTTATACTTTTTGACACAAAACAACAGAACAGATTTTTGTGTTCTTTGCCTATCTGATATGAAATTACGCATTTCTCCAAGGATCCCTGGTTCCTTTTAGTGGAGAAGTGTATTTAGAAATCAAGACATGGGTGATGTGTGTTCAATGTTACTGCTATTTAGGTGCTGGTAGGTCTCTTAGTTGGCAGACATACATATGTATATATGTATATGTACACATCCACATACATTCATATGTGCACTCATTCATGTATGCATACATACCATCATTTGCACCTACATTTCTATATCTATTACATATTGAAAATGATGAGTGATATGGTTTGGATTTCTGTCCCCACCCAAAGCTCATGTTGACTTGTAATCCCCCATGGTGGAGGCGGTACCTGATGGAAGGTGATTGTACCATGGGGGCAAACTTACTCCTTGCTGTTCTAGTGATAGTGAGTGAGTTCTCATAAGATCTGGTTGTTTAAAAATGTGTAGCACCTCCCGCCTTCTCTCTCTCTCTCCTGCTCCACCATGTGAAGATGTGCCTGCTTCCCCTTTACCTTCTGCCATGATTGAAAGTTTCCTGAAGCTTCCCCAGCCATGCTACCAGTACAGCCAGCAGAACCATGAGCCAATTAAACCTCTTTTATAAGTTACCCAGTCTCAGGTAGTTCTTTATAGCAGCATGAGAATGGACTATTACAGTGAATCTATTCTGACACTATAAATTCCAATCCAACAGTACAGAGTTTATTCTGGTTTCTCAATTTGCATATTGCAAACTCCCTCTCCAATACTCATTATGTTTAATATATTTACTTTTTGACTAATTCCGCTTTATATTTTCTCTATACTCTCATTACTGCTGTCTCTCTTTCCCCTACATGATTGTTCTTTTTATCCTAATCTGGCTTCTGCACCTGTTGCTGGGCTGCTGCTAGTATAAACCTGTGTAAATACCCTTTGCATCCTGACCACTATCCAACACTCTGCCTTGGGCCTTTCTGCTATATGGAAACCATCTACAACTCAACCATGCTCTGATATCCTATGCCAGGTCCCACCAATTGACTACTATGAATGCTTTCCTGATCCCACATTTACTCTGATACCATTATAAATATGGAGAATCTCATGGATTTCTTCTGTTATAATGTTACGGCAAAGATCTTTGTAAATGCTCTCTGGGAAAGTTTTTGTGGATGCTGTTTGGGAAAGAGACACCAAAAGAGTTTCATTATTCTGAATTTGTGGCTTGAATTTGGGAAGAGTTGATAGAAGAGACAAGATATGAACACTAACCATTAAAAATGGTTATAGTTTCAGGCTAGAGTGAAAATAAACAGAGAAGCAAAAACTGATAATTAGAAATTCTAGCTTATTCAGAATAGACAAAATTAAAAACTGTTTTCAATACATAGAAAAGTACACAATGTTAATAGTTCTCGAGTGAGATTATTTTGACACTATAAAGAGCGTCTGCACTCTGTGAACCAATTAACTTGTTTTAGGGTAGACTATGTACTCAAAAATCAGTTTGTCATGTTACCATCTGTGTAACATGTTGCATGAGAGGATTCAAAAGATTTTCCCCGGTATATAAATAAAACATGAGGCACCCAACAATGGCCAAAATTGTAAACATTTTATTGTTTTTTCTCATACTCATTTTTTGAAAGTCTACCTCCAAACCTTCTACAACATACTATAACAAAAAAGTTGTCTTTTATATTTTATAATGTGTTGACACAACCAGACAATTTTAAATTGGTGTTATTCCCTTTATTTTCTTCCATACACATGCTCCCATAGTCAGGCATGACTTTTCAGATATGCCGTAAAGTGTTAAATATGAAAATGATACTAATGCATCCCAAATCCTACATATTCTTTTCCACATATTAAATGATGGCCAGTTTATATTCTATGTAATAAAAGAAGTCCATGTATATATTAAACCTATATTTGAAGACTGAGCATTTTGTCATGCATGGATATGGTATTTAAATGTTTTTCCAAGTAGTGTAAGTAGAATTATTAAATTTTCATCATAATCAGCATTATAAGAAGTAAATATGTTTATAAGAGGAAATACTTGTTAAAAGTAACCAGATATTATACTTTGCTTCAGTTGAGCTTTTAATTGATTTAATTATAAATTCCCGCTTATTATATCATTTATGTGAAAGTGAGAACTTACTTATTATAAAATCTAGTAAAGGTAATTAAAGAAATTTAAGTTGATTAGGCTTTGTGTGAGAAAATGAACCTAAATCTTGTATAAATGAAATTATTATTTTCACATTATTTTTAAAACTGATAAGAGCAGGCAGAAGAAATAACATTGTTTCTAAGCCAAAATTGTCAGCTTACACAAGGTTTTTTTTTTACCACATTAATATATCAAATATAAATCCCATTTTTTTGAGAATACTGAAGTTTACTTCGTACTCTTCTCTAACAACTTGCACTACATTGCCACCTGTCGTGAAGCCTAATAACCAAAACCATTACAAATTTAGCTAAATTATTTTTCTCCTTAAGTAAGTTTTATCAAGTGTCGGAAGCTTATTTTAAGCAAGCCAACAAATGTAGAACATTTTGCATGAAGTATTTCTAGAAAATTTTACAGTTCTCTCATATTAAAAATGCTTTTCTAGTCTTTATAAGCTAATGAAGAACAGCTTCATTTGATAAACAGACTACTGTGTAGTTCTATAAGTGAAGATATATCAATATGTTTGCTGAGAAAGTATTTCTGACTCAAAACACACTTTATTCTTATCAAACTCTTAGGTAGATTAGCACATTCAGGAACAGTTTTTAGCTGACTAACTCTCAACATATTGTGTGTTGCTTTTTCTGTAGCACCTGTTGAGTGAGATTGAGGGTTCAGCTAGGGTCATAACTTTAAGCACCATTAAGTTCGTGTTGTCAGTACGTGAAGCACAGTTTTACATCTGAATTTTCCATCATTTGTATATTTCTATGGGCCTTTCTTATAGTATGAAAGAGGAGAAAGAGAAATCATGTACTCAGAAGCATCAGATTTTTCATAGTCATGAAACTCTTCTTCTCAAAAGTAATTTTCCCCATTCTTCATTCCATTCTTTCATTCATTTGTTCTATTTTGTACAGTTTGTTCAAATTATGAACACTTTTCTTAAAAGCCAGAGGCTTTGCCATACAAAACCAGTTTCAGAAGTTTTTGGGAAACATTTACACATTTTCTCCCCATAGATGGGAATGTGCCTGTTTGAAATAGATGTTATTACAGTGTGTGAAAATGGCTTTACAACCAATTAATTTCCAAATATTTCCTGACATAAGAGAGAATTTGCCACAGATACAGAAAAAGTACAAAAGATCTTTGTAAGAAATGAATTACTTCAGGATAGAAAAGGCATTTTTAAAATTTACATGCTCATTATGAGAACTAGAAGTCTCATTTTCCAGTGGCAGCTGTAAGTCAGAGTAAACTTAGCACAAAAGCTCCATAATAGTCACGGTTATTCCAGATCTCTAAGATCTTCCCTTTATTCCAGAGAGAAATGTATTGTTTTCTTTCTGATGATTTAGGCTCACAATGGCATACAAATAAAATGCATAGCTTAAAGGATGTTAAAAGAAAGTGAAGACTCCAGATGAAAAATAAAAAAGGTCAACTCTATAGAACATCTGTCTTGTTGACTGTCATCTAATAGATACTGTCCCACAATATCAGATTTCCATGGGGAAACATGAGGCTGGGGACAAATCAGGATCAGAGTTAGATTTGCTGAAAAACCAGAATTAGGAAAGAAATACAAAATTAGAGCAAGAGTTCTCTAGCTACATGACATTCACCCTGGGAACTGAGAAAAGAGAGATCTTGGTGAAAACACTTCAGAAGGCTCAAATCTCAGTACATGAGGTTGAGTTAGGTTTGGCTCTCAGTTTACCCAGCAAAACCTTCAAAAGAAGTTTCAAAGGAAAAAGGAAAAAAAGGTAGTTTTGTTCCTACCTTGAAAAAAAAAGGTAGTTTACTTGCAATGAAAGTTTGCAATAGAGTCCAGGCTTTAGGACTAGCTCACCAGATTGAAGAAAAAAGAAAAGCAACAGCCATTTAAAGGAAAAACAAAATCCCCCAAACTCTCACGAGATTATCAAGGTTACAGGTATTACAGTTAATTTGATCTTGGTGATAAAAAAGCCAGTTATGTCACACCCATAAAGGCCATAGCATATCTTCAGATATAAGCATTGTGAAATTCAGAAAAGAGTTGTTTTTAATTAGGAAGTCAGCAATTTATGGGGAATATCAAGGTTTATCTTAGGGAGGGGTCAAAATTAGACAGAAAGACTCTGTTTTTATTTTTTTGTTGTTTTATTTGATGTAAAGAAGCAAAACTCATGTGACATGATAATTAGTTACCACAAGGGCAGCCAAGCAAGCTGACATGTTTACATCAGGTAATTAACCACAGTAACATAGTGTGATGGTTAATATTAAGTGTCAACTTGATTGGATTGAAGGATGCAAAGTATTGTTTCTGGGTGTATCTGGGTGTTTCTGGGTGTTGCCAGAAGAGATTAACATTTGAGTCAGTGGACTGGGAGAGGAAGACCCACCCTCAGGAAGACCCACCCACAATGTGAATAGGCACCATCCAATCGGCTGCCAGTGTGGCTAGAGAAAGAAGGCAGAAGAAGGCAGAAGGACTAGACTGGCTGAGTCTTCTGACCTACATCTTTCTCCCATGCTGGATGCTTCCTGCCCTGGAACATCAGACTCCAAGTTCTTAGCTTTTGGACTCTTGGACTTACACCAGTGGTTTGCCAGGGGTTCTTGGGCTTTCAGACACAAACTGAAGGCTGCACTGTTGGCCTCCCTACTATAGAGGTTTTGGGACTTGGACTGGCTTCCTTGCTCCTCAGCTTGCAGATGGCCTATTATGGTATTTCACTTTGTGATCATGTGCGTCAATTCTTGTTAATGAACTCCCCTTCATATACACATTTATCCTATTAGTTCTGTCCCTCTAGAGAACACTGACTATTACACATAGTGAAGTCAGTAAGGATCCTGCAGCATTTTAACTCACATTGTCTGTCTAAACTGTAAAACACGCTAGAAAGAAGTCAGAGACATCTTTAAACAAGAATGAGAGGCAAGAATAATACTGGTAGAATATAAAAGAAAGATTTCTTTTGCACAATGAGTTTAGAACTTGAGTGTTTTTCATAAGATCATGTATCAATTCTACAACAAAACAAAACTACAAGAAATCTCAAGTGAATCAATATATGTAAATAAGAAGTATAAATTAGTTTGACTTTGTAACCTCAAATATATTCTAAGCTGCATAAGTTTTATTACCTATAATTATATTTCCTTGTTAGTGAGTTCAATGGCATGGTTATGCAATGAATAATATTTATATAATATTCTCTTAAATGTTTGTTGAAATGTTTTTGAATAAACTTAGAGCTAAAGCAAGAACACATTATTTTGTCTCAGTTTGACAGTAATTACATTATGTAACTTTCCTTTTGTACTTTTGTTTGTAGGGCATTTTTTAAACTACAAAATGACATTTTGTTACTTTTTGCTTTATCTATGGATTTTATAAACAGCAGATAAAATTATGTTTACCTTTATAGACTACAGATAAGTTATTTTAATTATGTGAGTTTAGCAAGGTATATTTAACCAATTTTCCAACTATTTTTATTTAGCAATGTTATAGAATGTAATATACTAAAACTAACATGCAAAAAAGAGAAAATATTATCCTTAATTTATCACACAGAGAGTTGCTTTTAGTTTGTTATCTATATACATTATAATGTATTTTTGAATTGCATGCTATGATTCTTCAATATTAAGAATATTTGACACTTAATAAACATTCTATTAACAGTTCAAATTACTGTTTTATTATAAAAGAAAATCTTTTATAGAAACTATAGAAAAATGATAAAGAGAAGTAAATACACGTGACTTTATCTTATGTCTTTCAAGTTTATTTGCTAGCAAGAATAAAATATTAATAAGTAGTACCAGAGAGTGCACTAATTTCACCAAACTTTAAAAGGTACTGATATGGTTTGGCTGTGTCCCTACCCAAATCTCATCTTAAATTGTAGCTCCCACAATTCCCACGTGAATCATGGGGTGGGTCTTTCTGGTGCTGTTCTCGTGGTAGTGAATAAGTCTCATGAGATCTCATGGTTTTATACAGGGGAATTTCCCTGCACAAGCTCTCTGTTTGCCTGCTGCCAACCATGTAACATGTAACTTGCTCCTCCTTGCCTTCCTCCGTGATTGTGAGGCCTCCCCAGCCATGTGGACTGTTAGTCCATTAAACCTCTTTTCTGCATAAATTACCGAGTCTTGGGTATGTCTTTGTTAGCAGCATGCAAATGGACTAATACAGGTACTATTCTACCTGAACATTCTAACATAATTAAGCAATTTATGTTTTTTGTTTCTGACTAGAATTATATTTTATGTAACACTTAATTTTTAGCACAATTTTTTAACCTTTCTTTGTCATTCAGGAATATCTTATTATTTTCCTTTATTCCAATGTTACAATCTCCAAAATTATCAGAAGCATGTATTTGAGAGCACCTGTCAAAATTCCACAGCTGACTATAAACCATCTTTTGAAAAGGAGGATTAAAACAAGACAACAATTGTCTGTGAATAGCAAAATGTCCAGGGTAGTTACAGTTATAAATATAATTGACAAAGAAATTTGGTTATCTCCATCCTTTACAATAACTTAACATAACAACCTTAATTATGATTGATAGCATATACTCACACCTTATAATTTTAGAAATCCCATGCAATTTTGGAACATATATTAACATTATTCACAAAAATATAACCTAAAGAAGATTGAACATCATTTTGGCAATCCCATATACCTGAATATGTCAAATAATTCTGTTTACCTCTTTTCTGGATGTTTCAGGGGCCCTCTGATCCATCCAAAAAGCCAGGCATCAGGAAAGACAATTTTGAAATTGAAGTTTGATTTTGGAAAGCCTGTTAAATATGTTCAAAGTTTAAAACACTTGATATTATGAAATAGAATTTCAGATTACTGTAAGTTACTTATTTTGCCAAAATGATAACTCAGAAATTTAAAAATTTTATAACCCCTTACAAATTTTGCTAAAGAGCAGAGTAGTGCCTTAAGAATACCTTGTTGTGCTTTTATTTTAATGCTCAATTTACAGAATAACCATATAATACCCCTTTTGAATGTAGTCAATATGTTCACACAGAGAATTTCTATTTCAAGATTAATTTTTAGAAACCTTCCACCACTTGTTTGAATTTAAACAATTTTTTAACCCTAGGCAAAAAACAACTAGAGAGAGCAAAACCAAATTTCATGGACAGACAAATTTATATAACAAAGTGTGACTATGAATCTCCAAATATTAGCAGGTGGGAACAAAGCATCAACCTCAAAATCTGAGCATTATTGGCGCTGTGTTGGAGAAAGCAAATGGAAGAAATCAGATTTCTTTTTATTTTATTTTATTTTATTATTATTATACTTTAAGTTTTAGGGTACATGTGCACAATGTGCAGGTTAGTTACATATGTATACATGTGCCATGCTGGTGTGCTGCACCCATTAACTCGTCATTTAGCATTAGGTATATCTCCTAATGCTATCCCTCCCCCCTCCCCCCACCCCACAACAGTCCCCAGAGTGTGATGTTCCCCTTCCTGTGTCCATGTGTTCTCATTGTTCAATTCCCACCTATGAGTGAGAACATGTGGTGTTTGGTTTTTTGTCCTTGCGATAGTTTACTGAGAATGATGATTTCCAATTTCATCCATGTCCCTGCAAAGGACATGAACTCATCATTTTTTATGGCTGCATAGTGTTCCATGGTGTATATGTGCCACATTTTCATAATCCAGTCTATCATTGTTGGACATTTGGGTTGGTTCCAAGTCTTTGCTATTGTGAATAGTGCCGCAATAAACATACGTGTGCATGTGTCTTTATAGCAGCATGATTTATAATCCTTTGGGTATATACCCAGTAATGGGATGGCTGGGACAAATGGTATGAGAACAAACAAATTCAAAGTAGCCAACAGGTATTCCCTAGAAAGTGTGGCAGACCAAAATGAGAATAGCAGCTGATATAGGAGAGCTTTTACCCACTCTAACAGTGAGTCTGTGTAAGGAACACATGGTAAGGCCTAAAAAGGTTATGAAAGCCTAACCCATGTAAACTTTCAAAACACACCAGCTTCATATCTGGACATAGCCTCACGTTGAAAAGAAGTGGTCATAATTATTCACCCCCTCCCTTTGACCATCCTTTTTGCTATGTCATTTTTCAGTGCTCTCCAACTCAGGGAAGGGATGTTCTGCCCATTCCTTGATTCATCCACATCACTTGCTTTGGCCAGTGAGATGTTTGCTTGAAAAGTTGCTTGTGGTATATTTCTGCTTTTATTTGTCTTTCTCAACCATAGCTATAAGAAGATGCCCAGGGTTGCCTGATGGAAGACAAGACACATGCAGAGAATATACAAGTTGCTTCAGTCATCCCAGCTAAGGTCATCCTCAACCAGCCAACAATAGAGACTGCATAGCTAATATCATCAGAGATTCCTAGTTGATGACCCCAGTAACATGAGTTTAACGACACTTAGGCTTTGTGGTTGTTCTGTACACGTTATTTTTGTAATAGCTGGTAAGTATGCTAAATAAAATTTAATTTAGATATTTAATCTTGTACATTATATTCTAAGTCTTTGGTAACTGAATTTCAGTATATGGTATACCGAATGGCTACATGTTCATTTCTTTCAAGCTCATTAGTTTTTTTCATTACTTCTTGTATTTCAGTGAGATAGGCACATTCTAATGTTTGGACTCTCAATCTTGTGGTCCAGCTAGAACCACAGTACTTAGTACTTCAGAGGTGACTTAGTACATCAGAGGCGACAAGGCCTTGAGATAATAATTGTCACTTATATTCAAATAGGCTTGCTTGTTAATTGAATCTTGCTCATTAATTTTAATTATAAATACATTGGTAACCTGGTATGTAATATATTGTATGATACAATAGGCAAAATAGAAATCACCTATGATCCCACAAGAAAATGGCAATAAAAAAACCTATAGAACATAAGACTATGAGCTATCATGTAAAAGAAGCAATACAAAAATTAATTGTGAATGTGGAAGGTATAAATTAAACTGAGAAATGGAAATTATGTGAAATACATTACCTCAACCTAAAGCAAGTTTTTCTAACAAGAAATTGTTTCCACAAAGACTCCGAGATGGTTCAAGGTAAGTAATAAGGATAGATAGTATCCTTTTCTTGTTGTCTCTTCCTTCCTATGTGGCCCTGGTGGAATGAACCTGGAACTTTTCATTGTTATCACCCATAATTGACTTATTCTTAGCTTCCCCCAGAGGGATCCCCTTCCACCCAGTCTATACCGTAATTACCTGAAATAGTTGCAATAGTGCTAACTAAGGGCACCACCAGTCCCTCCTGCCATATTCCATAGATCTTCAGGGATTACCACAGTTCACTGGTGATTTAATCTTTGCCTTATTTAAATTTCCCTTTTGCTTTCATTGTTCTCATTCCAATGCCTGTAATATACACTACAACGCAGGGGAGGCGTGTTCATGCAGTGCAATCCTTTAGGTTCAGTTGCATTTCCTTTTCAGTTTCAATAAAGAAATATTCATAGGCCTGGAAGAGGCTTTGATAGATTCTCTTCCATCCTCTTTTCTCATGAGAGGGGTATATAATTACAGGGGATTTTCAGGCAAAAACACTATTAAGGAAATGAAAAAAGACATTCTTAATTCAAGAATGAGCTATTATTAATCTATAAGGGCCTAAAACAGAACAAAATTACATATTTCAAAACAAGATTTTTATATCTTATGCTAAACTTTTATTTTTATCATGCTTAATTTTGACATTGTCTTTAATTTCCATCATATAGTTTTACAACCTTTTTGCCTTTCTAGAATTAAATACAATAACTTTTTTATCCTCACATCTACCAGTAGAAAATTGCTTTAAAAAAGTCAAGAAAGAAGACATATTCAGGTAAGAGATGAGTTTTTTTTTTTTTATTTTAGTCAAATAATTAATCATCCTTAAGTATTTCTGCATGCTTTATCAAATAAAAATTATTTTATGATTGGCAATGTTTGCTTGTTACCAATTATAAAATAAAGCCAGTATGCACCTTAAAAAATCACAATCTTTTTCTTGAAGGGCAGATCACAACATGCTGATTATTTCATAATAAATTGAAGGTGAACAAAGGAGAAAATGCAGGTGCACTTGTAGTTTGAGAAGAAACTAATTTCTAATACTCATGGGTCACCTTATTCTGGCTGGCATACAGTAGATGGCCCACAAGTGTTCAGCGATTGAACGAATGATTGTATGAGTAAATATTATTCTTGAAAAAAATTAATCTCAATAATTACTTCCTGATCATAGTGGATACTGTCAGGTATAGTTTCAGAAAATATTCTGTAATTTAATTAATAAAACTGGGAATTAGAAGAAAGAACATTTGCTGCTAAAATACTGCTGAATATCCAGTTGTGTGGTGTGAATTTGGTGGCTTCAATAAGGCCTTCTTATTTACTCTAAAAATTTCTAATATTTTACTTGTTCTATGAGCCACCTATTATCTGATGATGAGTGGTTGGAATTTCTCTGTTAAATCTTCATTCCCTTAGCCCTAGTTTTACCATGATATTTAAGTGCAATCATTCTTGCAGACATTAACAGGAACACCTAGTGCTTTTCTTAACAACAAATTCAATTAGGATTATTTAAGTGGGTTTCAAGATGGAGCAGTGGGGGAGAGAAGAAATCTAGGAATCATATTGAGTTGTTAACCAGTTATTTTTCTTGTGAACTAAGTTGCTAACTTTTAAAAAATATATAGTATTGGGAGGAGAGGAGAAAGATCGGGTGATGAGAAGATGATAACAACGGGAGCTGAGTGATTTGGGGAGAAGATAAAGCAGACAGAAAGGTCACATGTGTGAGGGAAGATGAGAGCCAAGGCCAAAATATGGTGACTCTGTCATTCATGCCAAACCAAGATAGTACTTTTTAGATTGTTTTCTGCGTTTGAAAACCAGAAAGCCTGCAAATTTATAAGACAGAGAAATCTGACTACTTAAGATTTGTGTGATAGATTCAAAGTAACCATCATGACTATTTTAATACATTCAGAAACGGGCTGGGCACAGTGGCTCACGCCTGTAATCCCAGCATTTTGGGAGGCCGAGGCGGGCAGATTGCCTGAGGTCGGGAGTTTGAGACCAGCCTGGCCAACATGGCAAAACCCTGTCTCTATTAAAAATTACATAAATTAGCTGGGCGTGGTGGCGTGTGCCTATAGTCCCAGTTACTCTGGAGGTTGAGGCAGGAGAATCGCTTAAACCCAGGAGGCAGAGGTTTCAGTGAGCCACAATCGCACCACTGCACTCCAGCCTAGGCAACAGAGTGAGACACCCATCTCAAAAAAAAAAAAAAAAAAAAAGCTCTCAAAATTAATACACTTTTTTCCTAGCCAAAAATTTTATTCAGTTTATTGTGTTGAAGCTTCCTTTTTTTTTTTTTTTTTAATTCCACATGTGTTTAAGATTAACTTGGCTTCTTGATAGACCTGTGCAGGATTTGTAAGGTTCATGGATTTCTTTTCCTGGTAATGTGTCTGCACTTTGTCCACTTCACGAAGGTGATGATGCATTCTATTTTTAAGGGTTTTTTTTTTTTTTTAAGTTTAGGAGACTCAGTTAAATCCCTTGGTAACCTATTTCAAACTATCACAAACAGTTAATACTCTATTAATGTCTAATGTCTATTCATGGAGTCTTAAATCATTTTTAAATTTGATTCTTCTATTGTAAAATAGAAGCATTATTAAGAATAAAATAAATTTGAAATTACTAGCTAAAGATGACAACAAATATTTATACATCTCTCAAAACTTTCAGTTACTGTATATTAAACTTACCATGAATATCAAGTGAGGATCTAAACAGGTATAAAGAAAAGAGTGAAAGGCACATTGTCGTAATGGGAAGAGCACTGGGTTTGGAGAAACACATTAGAAATCAATGAGTTTGGTAACTTATATTTTTGTGAAGATGGGCAATTAAAATATACCTCATGTTGAGTTCCTATAAAAGGGTGCAGCAGTTCATGCCTAACAGAATTGGGTGGCCAAAAGGACATGACAACACAAATTTCAATATCCTCCACAACTAAAAAAACGGATATTTTATCATCCCGAGAAATAGGCAGAAAGTTCAATTTTTAACCTTGTCTTTTACCTTTTAATAGGTTCTTGCCATGGGTGAAAAGGGAACAGGCAGAAAGTTCAATTTTTAACCTTGTCTCATACCTTTTAACAGGTTCTTGCCATGGGTGACAAGGGAACAGGCAACCATTCAGATGTAACTGATTTCATTCTTGAAGGCTTCAGGGTCCGCCCAGAGTTCTACATTCTCCTCTTCTTCCTGTTCCTGCTGATCTATAGCATGGTTCTTTTGGGGAACATTAGTGTGATGACAATCATTGTAACTGATTCCCAGCTGAACACACCAATGTATTTTTTTCTAGGCAACCTCTCCTTCATTGACGTCTCCTACTCCACTGTTATTGCTCCTAAAGCCATGGCCCACTTCCTGTCTGAAAAAAAGACAGTCTCTTTTGCAGGTTGTGTTGCCCAGTTATTCCTTTTTGCCCTGTTCATTGTAACAGAGGGGTTTGTCCTGGCAGCCATGGCCTATGACCGCTTCAGTGCCATCTGCAATCCTCTTCTTCATAGTGTTCACATGTCAAGACGCCTCTGCACTCAGTTGGTTGCTGGTTCTTATTTCTGTGGCTGGGCCAGTTCCATCCTCCAAGTCAGTGTAACATTCTCAGTGTCCTTCTGTGCTTCCAGAGTCATTGCTCACTTCTACTGTGATTCTTATCAAATTGAAAAGATTTCCTGTTCTAATCTCTTTGTCAATAAGATGGTATCTCTGAGTTTGAGTGTCATCATTATTTTGCCTACAATTGTTGTTATTATAGTATCTTACCTGTATATTGTATCCTCAGTCTTGAAGATCCCCTCCAGTGAAGGGAGAAAGAAAGACTTTTCCACTTGCAGCTCCCATCTGGGTGTTGTAAGTTTGCTCTAAGGGACTGTTTCCTTTGTGTACCTCACACCTCCAAGCAATCCTGAACTTCGCAAAGTGGCTTCAGTATTTTACATATTGGTTACACCCATGTTAAACCCTCTGATCTACTCTCTAAGAAACAAAGATGTCAAAGAAGCTTTGAGAAAAATCCTGTGTAACAAAAAAGCTTTATCCTAATTCTACTTCCTTATGATTTCCTCATTAATGGGTCCATTGATTCTTTCATTTTGATTTGCTTTTAATATGGGGTCAAGCTTGAGTCACTTAAGATCCTTTAACATTGAACAAATAAAAGAGATTTAATAGGAGCAAACCTTGATATTTTCTTCGGCAATCCTTTCTATCGATTTTATCATATTTGGAAATCTGAAGTACTTACAATTTACATTTAAAAGCATATGCTTGAATCAGGAAAATCATAGCAATGTGGAAACAAAATACTACTTGAAAAATATAAATATCCTCATTCATTAAAATACAACATCGATACAAGAGTTAATGGATGCTGGGCTTCATACCTTGGTGATGGGATCATCTGAGCAGTAAACCACCATGGCACACATAACAAACCCGTACATCTGGCACATGTACCACTGAACTTAAAATAAAAGTTGAAGAAAAATTAAATGTGATCATTTTGTCTACCAAACATTTGTTGTATTGATGCTGTTTTTTGTTTTTCGTTTTTTGTTTTTTTTTTGAGACGTAGTCTCCCTCTGTCGCCCAGGCTGGAGTGCAGTGGCGCG
The DNA here is from genome assembly GCF_000001405.40 of Homo sapiens. NCBI lineage: Eukaryota > Metazoa > Chordata > Mammalia > Primates > Hominidae > Homo > Homo sapiens. Next base: position 55,117,044 of record NC_000012.12, read on the forward strand.
ATCTCGGTTCACTGTAAGCTTCACCTCCCGGGTTCACGCCATTCTCCTGCCTCAGCCTCCTGAGTAGCTGGGACCACAGGCGCCCACCACCATGCCCTGGCTAATTGTTTGTATTTTTAGTAGAAAGGGGGTTTCACCGTGTTAGCCAGGATGGTCTCGATCTCCTGACCTCGTGATCCGCCTGCCTCGGCCTCCCAAAGTGCTGGGATTACAAGCGTGAGCCACCGCGCCCGGCCTCCATATGAATGCTGTATTTTAATGAATGAGGGTATTTATATTATATGTGAAAGTATCAAGGTTTGCTGCTATTATATCTCTTTTATTTGTTCAATGGGATAAAATTGTAATGCTGATGTAAAGATGTAGAAGTAAGGGGATGTTGTAAAATATGTCATACTATTTCATGAATGTTTGCTTACTTCCATAATATCAGAATATATCAATTTAGCGAATCAATTTTTTGAAAGATCCCAGTGATCATAGGGAGTATGATCCAAATTCCTTTCAAAGTTTAAAAAAGGAAAGGTAGAATAGGGAGAGATGGGGAATAGCAGAGCAGAAGTACCCTGGCATGTAACATAATCTTAATAAAAAAAAAAGGCTTCTCAATTTTTATGCATTCCAATTAGAAAGTTAGAAAAATTTCTTAACCAAAGACCACAATATCTTTTATCACAGTAAAGATCATTTTTATACTATTCCAAATGTGGTTCTCTATTTAAAAAATAAATTTTATTCATTTCTTACCATTATTTCCAATAAGTCAATTTATATTATATCATCACCTTCTGTGTTTCAACTACAAACATCTCTTTTTCATTGGCTTTATTGAGTGTATTACAGGTAGGTTTACATGTATGTAAAACATTGAAAATCACTTTGGCTAAAGTAAACAAGAGGGATATATTGGGTATGTATGTGGAGCACACTAAATAAAGAGAAAAATGAGGGAAAAAGTCTTGCAATTTGTTAGGAATTAAGGCACCTCAACGAATCAAGGACAACTGCTAAAGAGTCTGCTAGTAGAATCCAGTCTCACTGAGTGTTACATGTGAACTCCATGCATTTTCAAACTTTTTTTTTCATTTGATGTAAATTTGAGTTCTGATAGAGAGTATCATGTAGACCAAGTTTTGGGTAGTAGCCTGCCCTTATACTAGAGGATGGCTAGACCCTTGATTATGACTTTATCTAATTGGAAGTTATGAAATCCTCAAAGCATAATGGCACACCTAGTAAGTGGCTAAAATTTAAAAAACGGACAATATTAAATACTGGTGAGGATGCAGAGTAATAGGAATGCTCATTCATTGCTGTTGGGGATGGAAAATAGTACAGCAGACAGTGTGGCAGCTATGCAGCCAATTAACTGTACAAGCCAGCATTTGTGCTTCTGTGTATTTATCTCACTGATTTGAAAACTTATGTTCACATAAAAACTGCACATGAAATATCTGTCTTTCTGTGTCCAGCTTGTTTCACTTAAGGTAATAACCTCCAGTTATTAATTGTTGCAAAAGACATGATTTCATCCTTTTATGGCTGCATAGTATTCCATTGTATATGTATACCACATTTTCTTTACCCAGTCATCCATTGATGGACTCTTAGGTTGATTCCAAATCTTTGCTATTGTGAATAGTGCTGCAATAAACATTCAAGTTCAATTATCTTTTTGATGTATTGATTTCTTTTCCTTTGGGTAGATACCCAGTAGTGGTATTCCTGGATCAAACTGTAGTTCTATTTTTAGTTCTTTGAGAAACCTCTATACTGTTTTTCATAGAGGTTGTACTGATTTATACTCTCGCCAACAGCATATAAGTGTATGCTGTATTTTTCAACTCCATCAGCTCATTTATGTTTTTCTCTAACCTGGTTATTCTAGTTAGCAATTCCTCTAACCTTTTTTCAAGGTTCTTAGCTTCCTTGCATTGGGTTAGAACATGCTCCTTTAGCTTGGAGGAGTTTTTTATTACCCAGCTTCTGAAGCCTACTTTTGTCAATTTGTCAAACTCATTCTTCATCCACTTTTTTTCCCTTCATGGTGAGGAGTTGTAATCCTTTGGATAAGAAGAGGCATTCTGGTTTTGGGGATTTTCAGCCTTTGTGCACTTTGGGCACTTTTTTCCAGCTTCATCCATGTCCCTAAGCTTCTCTAATGCTATTCCACATTTGGAATAGTATAAAAATGATCTTTACTGTGATAAAAGATATTGTGGTCTTTGGTTAAGAAACTTTTCTAACTTTCTAATTGGAATGCATAAAAATTGAGAAGGCTTTTTTTTTATTAAGATTATGTTACATGCCAGGGTACTTCTGCTCTGCTATTCCCCATCTCTCCCTATTTTACCTTTCCTTTTTTAAACTTTGAAAGGAATTTGGATCATACTCCCTATGATCACTGGGATCTTTCAAAAAATTGATTCGCTAAATTGATATATTCTGATATTATGGAAGTAAGCAAACATTCATGAAATAGTATGATATATTTGACAACATCCCCTTACTTCTACAGCTTTTTTAAGTTTTAACAAACGGCTAATATCCAGAATCTACACATAACTTAAACAAATGTACAAGAAAAAAACGAACAACACCATTAAAAAGTGGGTGAAGGATATGAACAGACACTTCTCAAAAGAAGACTTTTATGTGGCCAACAAACATACGAAAAAAAGCTCATCGTCGCTGGTCATTGGAGAAATGCAAATCAAAACCACAATGAAATACCATCTCATGCCAGTTAGAATGGCGATCATTAAAAAGTCAGAAAACAACAGATGCTGAAGAGGATGTGGTGAAATAGGAATGCTTTTACACTGTTGGTGGAAGTGTAAATTAATTCAACCATTGTGGAAGACAGTGTGGCGATTCCTCAAGGATCTAGAACCAGAAATACCATTTGACCCAGCAATCCCATTACTGGGTATATACTCAAAAGATTATAAATCATTCGACTATAAGAACTCATGCACTTGTATGTTTATTGCCACACTATTCACAATAGCAAAGACTTGGAACAACCAAAATTCCCATTAATGATAGACTGGATAAAGAAAATACGGCACATATACACCATGGAATACTATGCAGCCATAAAAAAGGATGAGTTCATGTCCTTTGCAGGGACATGGATGAAGCTGGAAACCATCATTGTCAGCAAACACACACAGGAACAGAAAACCAAACACAGCATGTTCTCACTCATAAGTGTGAGTTGAAAAATGAGAACACATGGACACAGGGAGGGGAACATCACACAACAGGGCCTGTTGGGGGGTGAAGGGCTACGGGAGGGATAGCATTAGGAGAAATACCTAATGTAGATGAGGGGTTGATGGTTGCAGCAAACCATCATGGCATGTGTATACCTACGTAACAAACCTGCACGTTCTGACATGTATCCCAAAACTTAAAGAATAATAAAAAAAGGTTATTGGTATTCATATACTTACAAAAGGTTTCATTAGTATATGAATTTGTTTTAATGATTAAATTATGAAATTCCTGTAAAAGTGCTTAAAAAAATGCTTGGCTCAAATTAAATTTTGAATACATTTAATAAATTATTTTGTTACTGCAGTTGTCGCAAGTTACTTCAAAATTTTTTTTTTAAATAAGATGTATTAGTCATGGTTCTCTAGACGGACAGGTCTAATAGGATAGATGCATACATGAAAGGAAGTTTATTAAGAAGTATTTACTCATATGATCACAAGGTGAAGTCCCACAATAGGCTGTTTGTAAACTGAGGAGCAAGGAAACCAGTCCGAGTCCTAAAATCTCAAAAGTAGGGAAGCTGACAGTGCAGCCTTCAGTTCTGTGGCCAAAGGCCTGAGAGCGCTTGGCAAACCACTGGTGTAGGTTCAGGAGTCAAAAAGCTGAAGAACTTGGAATCCAATATTCGAGGGCAGGAAGCATCCAGCACAGGAGAAAGATGGGGGCCAGAAGACTTAGCCGGTCTAGTCCTTCCATGTTCCTCTGCCTGCTTTTATCCTAGCTTCACTTCGCTGGCAGCTGAATAGATGGTGCCCACCAGATTGAGGATGGGTCTGCCTCTCCCAGTCCACTGACTCAACTGTTAATCTCCTTTGGCAACACCCTCACAGACACACCCAGGAACAATACTTTGCATCCTTCAATCCGATCATGTTGACACTCAATATTAACCATCACAAATGAACTATAAATGAATTCAATAAATTAAAAATGAATGAGCACTTATGCTGCACTCGAAATTATGATAAGTGTTACTGAATCTTGCAAGTAATGCATTGCATTGTAAGGAGCTGAAAATTCAATTGTAAATGTAAAATGACATTCATTAAATAATCAAATCATAAATAGATACTATCATATATAGGGATAACTATAATAATATTTAAAAAGAGTATGGAGAAGTGATGCCAAGTTTGGCTACTGTAGCAAGACAGTGGTAATTCTGGGGAGATACGAATGGAATCTTAAATATTGGTAGGATTTAGAACTAGATTCAAAGAGAATGTATCAGGTATAATTAAAATCAACGTGTTAAGCCTATACTGTGCAAGATGAATGGATGCAGTGAGACATCTCATCTGGTTTCACAGAGATTACAATTTGGAGAGTAATAGAAATCCCAATTTGCTAAATAGGAAATTGGGAAGTAACAAAATCTCTTAAGAAAGAAGTGACATGATTAAAATAGTGTTTGAGAAAGATAAATCTGGAAGCTTAAAAAGTAAATGCTGAGGAGAAAAAGTAAATCAGATAGGATTTTTAAAAAATAACGTTCAAGTTGAGTTGAGTAGGTACCGAATCTGGATTATCAGTGTAGTAGTGAAAATATAGAAAAAAGGGGAAACCCGGGGTTAATTATGAAGCACTATATTAAAAATATTATATGAGAAAGTAGAAAACATAGTGTTACCACTTACAGAAGTTTGATAACTAGCCTATTAATAAAAAAGCCTATTAATAAATGTCACCAGTAGGCAATTGTATTAGTCTATCCTCACACTGCTATAAAGATATACCTGAGATTGGGTAATTTATAAAGAAAGAGGTTTAATTTACTCACAGTTCTGTATGGTTGGAGAGGCATAAGGAAACTTACAATCATGGCAGAAGGTGAAGGGGAAGCAAGTACCTTCTTCACACCGCGGCATGAGAGAGAGATAGTGAGGGGGAAACTGCCACAGACTTTTAAACCATCAGATCTTGTGAGAAGTCACTCACTATCACAAGAACAGCATGGGGGAAACCACCCCATGATCCAATCACTCCCACCACTTCCCTCCCTCAACACACAAGGATTACAATTTGAGATGAGATTTGAGTGGGGACACAGAGCCAAACCATATCAGCAATGCAGATGTGTGTGTGTGTGTGTGTGTGTGTGTGTGCATGTAAGCTTATCATGTATGGCCTTTATTGTGTTGAGGTATAGGTATATTTCTTCTCCACATGTTTTTTTGAGAGTTTTTATTATATTATTAAAAGATGTTTGATTTTGTCGAATTTTTTTTTCTGCATCTATTGAGATGATCATATGGTTTATGTTCTTCATTATGTTAATATAGTATACCATATTTATAGATTTGTGTTTGTGTGTTTGCACTCTGGGATAAATTTCACTTGATCAACTTCTATGGATTTATCTACAGAGGACATAACTTCTGATGATGCTGTTGTACTCACCTGTTCAACCGAAGAAACAGGGTTCCCATCGAGGAATGCAAGAAGTGGAAAGGCATGTACTGGATAAGCTGCTAATGTGGCCTGGATTTAGATTTTCTTCCCTCTTCCCAAACTGACTGAACTACATTGTTCTTGGTAGTTTCTAATCCTTTTTTCTCAGAGTCAACCAGGAGACCTGGGTCTATGCTAAATTGTCTTCCTGACAGCATGGCTTGGAAGTCGTCTAAACTGCAATCAGTACTGTCAAGATAATCCAACAACTCAACCTTTCCCAAAAGATTGATGTTATCATTCAAAATGGAATCCATCATGGTCACTGGATCTTCTGAGGTCAGACTGGATGAGCCATTTAGCTGGACAGCACTAGACATGAGAGGGTTGCTGCCATCACTGCCTGAACTTAGGGATTCTCTGGCTGGTTCACTCTGCTCTCCACTCTGAATGGCAGGTGCATACTCATCTTCATTGTCATCTTCAAAGACGACAATATCAGGGTACTGGCTACAATTGGAGGGATCAGACATAACATCCTGGAGAGATATATATACACATATACATATATGATATATGGATATGATATAATATCCCAGTTTCCCAGTTTCTGGAATAACTGGGATATTTTCTTCATTTGCATTATCATCAGTAACATTGTAAATAATGATGTCATCTGAAATCATCTCCCTTGGCTTTAAACCTTCAGTCCTACTGTGTGGAACTTTATGATGGTGATTATCAGTAGGTTCTCTGACTATGTGCTGAAACAGATTCTTTTGGGCTCCATTGGTGTTTAAAGTAGAGGACTTTTACATTTTAAACTCACAAGTTGGTTATTTTGAACCAATGCAACAGTAAACTGGACAATCTTTTGAATAACTTGTTCCTGTTGTGCATGCTTTGCTCATAATTCTGACATCTCCTTCCAAAGGGACTCATTCTCACTTTTTAATTCAGAAATCCTGTACTCAATAGTTTCCTGTTTTATTGAAACCTTCTGAGCACTACTTATAATTTTTTTTAAATTCTTCCTGAAGAATTTTTTTTTATTCTGGTTTTGAAGATGAAACCTTCCTTTTAATGTTCTCCAACAAGTCATCCTGTCCTTGTTTGAAGTAAGGATGCTGAAATTCTACAGGACCATCTCTTTCCTGCTTTACAATTTCAGAGTCGATATGTACTGCTTTACGGAAATCATACATATTCAGTTGCCTCACAAAGCTTGCCATGTTATTGTGCTTGAAATATTTGGGAAGAATTTCTTTTGCAAATCGTTGCTCATCCAAGACCAGAAAACTTTGGCCATTCTGGTTCCAGGTGATGAATTCCTTAGTGTGGGTTTCCTCCACAAGAGTCCACAGCTTGCTGAGGAAAGTTGGCAGTTCAAACTCTGCTTCCTTGTTAACAGGTGCACAGGGATTCCAAATTCTACATCCAAATGCGGTGGTAGCATCGGCGGCAGCGACCGGAATAATTTATTAAAGATTCAGTTGTTGGACCAACTGGATGTCATTACTTTAGAAAGGTGAGTAACTGTCATCCAGGATATAATCTGTGCTCTTCATTAGCGACAAATATATGAAACAATTACAGGTCCAAGTACAAGGAGTCAAAATGGGATTGTCAGCCACCACTGTAAAACCTATCAACTCACTCTCAATTTTTTTTTGCTGGATGCTTGCATGACATTTGTCCCTGCTGAATGAATATTCTTACTGCTTAACGGAGAGATAATTTTACTAGGGGAACACAACAATTGATAAAATGAGCTCTAAATTCAGTCTCCTTACTGAATTTACATTCATTTTGCTGAACCAACTGAGAGGTGAAGCTGGCTGGGCTTCTGGGTGGGGTGGGGACTTGGAGAGCTTTTCTGTTTAGCTAAAGGATTGTAAACACACCAATCAGCACTCTGTGTCTAGGTAAAGGTTTGTAAATGCACCAATCAGCACTCTGTAAAAACGGACCAATCAGCACTCTGAAAAATGGACCAATCGGTGCTCTGTAAAATGGACCAATCAGCAGGACGTGGGTGAGGACAAATAAGGGGATAAAAGCAACCCACTAGATTCCCCTTCCACCCTGTGGAAGCTTTGTTTTTCAGCTTAGCAACAAATCTTGCTGCTGCTCACTCTTTGGGGCCCTGCTGCCCTTATGAGCTGTAAAATTCACCACCAAGGTCTGCAGCTTCACTCCTGAAGCAAGCCAGACTACAAACCCACCCGAAGAAAGAACAGCTCTGGAGGTGCCACCTTTATGAGCTGTAACACTCATTGCAAAGGTCTGAAGCTTCACTCCTTTTTGTTTTTTTTCTTTTCTTTTTTTGTTTTTGTTTTTTAATTATTATTAGACTTTAAGTTCTAGGGTACATGTGCGCAACGTGCAGGTGTGTTACATATGTATACATGTGCCATGTTGGTGTGCTACACCCATTAACTCATCATTTACATTAGGTATATCTCCTAATGCTATCTGTCCCCCCCCGCCACCTCAGGACAGGCCCCGGTGTCTGATGTTCCCCACCCTGTGTCCAAGTGTTGTAGTTGTTCAATTCCCACCTATGAGTGAGAACGTGCGGTGTTTGGTTTTCTGTCCTTGCCATAGTTTGCTGAGACTGATGGTTTCCAGCTTCATCCGTGTCCCAACAAAGGACATGAACTCATCCTTTTTTATGACTGCATAGTATCCCATGGTGTATATGTGCCACATTTTCTTAATCCAGTCTATCATTGTTGGACATTTGGGTTGGTTCCAAGTCAGCGAGACCACAAACCCACCGGGAGGAACGAACAACTCCAGACATGCCACCTTTAAGAGATTTTAAGAGCTGTAACTCACTTTTGAAGTCAGTGAGACCACAAACCCACCAGAAGGAAGAAACTCTGGACACATCTAAATATCTGAAGGAACAAACTCCGGACACACCACCTTTAAGAACTTTAACACTCACCGGAAGGAACCAACAGTTCTTTAAATTATTTTGAACTATATACAGGGACTGATGAGAAGTTACTAACTTAATACATGACACCTGAATAAACAACTTTAAAGCAATTAAAATTACAATATAAACCCAACTTTAGATCCAGTTAATCATGTGGCCTTTACTTGATGGATTAGAGGGCGTTTGTTGGATTTTTGCCCATATCATGGTCGTGCTGTTCTATCTTTCTTCTCAATTACTATTGAGAAAATATAGTTTAAAAAGTCATCAAGGAGAGATTTGGGTGAATAGAATTCTGAAAGTAAATATGAAATTAACTTTATGATTAGGACTCAAAATTTTCCTACAAATGGCATTATGAACCACAACATTTCCTTTCGTATCTATTTCTACTTGCTTATCAAAAACTGTGCTATAATGATAAATTGAAAATGCTGCTTTTTCAGTGAAGAAATTAAAATTAAAAGATCCTTGTGATTTTTCCTAAAGAATGTCTCATATGTACTTTAAGTACTCTTAGGCTTTTTAAAAAAATATAGAATCTCTGAGGTCTTCATGGATCTTGCTTTTAGATCCTAGAAGTCTTACTAATTAATTGACTTGTGTTCTTCTCTCCCAGAGGTACTGTCTCCCAGAACATAGAGGAAATCTCAATACTGTAATTATATGAAAAAGCTGTAGCAAAACCGAAGCCCTCGTGGATAACTGCTGTTGATATTTTGGCAGTATTCAGAGATGCCAAAGAGCTCAGGACCTCTACTTGCATATCCATGGCAATCTATCCTCTTGCCTTGAAAGCATACAAGTTTCTGAGAATTCAGGATAGATAATATCTTGTGGATTGATTCCTCAGGTTCACTTTGCTTATCTATAGATTTTTGTTCCTGGAATCACTTCAGTTTTGGCAGAACATGATTTGAAAAATTCACCTTGACTCTCTTCTAAAAAGGACTATAAAACTTTTCAGGAAATCAACTACTGAAAAAAAGACTTTTTAAAATAGAGCAATGAGGCACATAAGCCACATTTATCTATGGGAAGAATCTAAAACTGTAATAATAAATGTGGATTTGTGGGGAATGATTCATTTTATTTCAAAGTAATTATTTTTCAGTATTTATAATTATGACAGTCATTAATTAACTTTATGTTTATCCTTTCTAGAATTAAAACAATAAACAGAGGAAAACATTGGAACTCTGCTGATTGATTTTTACCAGAATCTGACCAGTTACTAAACAATACAAGGTAAAAGTAACTTAAAACCTGTAAGTTTTTGAAAAATAAGTCACAAACTGACTACTTGTTGTTGGCTTCTGCGGGAATAACTCCCTTTTCCAGGTAAAAAATGTCATCAGCAATGCATTTATTAACATTTATAATGTTACAATGTTTATAACATTTATGATATAAATTTATTTTAATAAGTTTGTTTTTTTATATTCTCTGATTCCACATACTCATTATCATTCAGCTTTTTTCTACGTAATAATATGTATTGAATTATTGTCATTCACTAGATTCAGAACATTATGTTGACAATACGCAGCAAACAAGCTGAGTTTGATGTTAAGGATATTATTGTCAAGTGAGGAATAATTACTATTAATAATAATATTAAATTCTAATGTTGAAATGAGTTTGATAGAAATAAATCTTAGAAATTAAAATAATCTGTTTTGCTTCTAGATGAGAATAAAATGAAGATAAATTATATATATTATTTTTCAAAAAATGATTTTTCATGCTGACTTCAGTCAGCTTTCTTTCACTTCTTAAATGTCTCACATCTTTCCAGACCCTAAGTGCAATCTAATGTAAGCTCTTACTACTTCTTAATTACTTACATATTTAATTTTTGATAAAATGGGTGAATATTTTATTTTCAACATTTAATACAGTCTTAAATAATGATAACATCTTATTCAGCTTTTCTCTTAATAATCTTTTTTCTCAGGCAAAATATTCCATTTCTCCAAGAGTTCTTCATCTCTCTAAACTTTTAACAGATTGATTCTTCCCCTCAACTGAGAATGTTTTGTCCAAAAACGACCATATATATTATTGGTTTTCAACCTAATAAGCACTATTTGGTATGAATAGTGGGACTGAGCACTGAAACGTATAATAAAAATAATGGCTAACATTTACTGAATACTTAGTTTACCATAAATGGTGCTAAGTGATTTACATACGTATGTCATTTTCTATTCCCAAGAAAACTTTGAGGACTCTTATTTCCACTTTATATATGAGAATACAGTAGCATAGAGAGAGAGCATAAGTAACTTGTCCAAGATCCCATTTAGAAAGTGAGAGAAGCAGAACTGGAGCCTAGATTTATTTAAACCTAAAACCCATACTAACCACTGCAGTATTGGATGGATAGTTTTTATATTTTTCTCTGTTTCTGCATGATCATTATCATTCAACTTTTATCTATAGTAAATATGTATTAACTGCCATTTACCAGACACATAACGTTATGCTGACAATATATGGAGAACAAATTGAATTTTGTCTTAAGTTATTGTCAAGTGAAGAATAATTAATATGTAACCTCAATATTAAAATATGGTGGCAGTTGGTCTCTTCAAATTATCTTTGGATGAGATGTTTTGACCCAGGTTGAAGAATTAGAGATTTTATTTGGAAATATGAAATTTTAACTACACTCTAAAGTACAAGCAGAAGTAAGGTAGGGGAACAGGAAGGGTCCTTTATTTAAAGTTGATATAGTACAGTGATTAATCATTAATGATGATTAAAAGCATGGATTCTGGAGCCAGTTTTCCTGGCTTCAAATCTTGATTCTGACTCAAGTAAGTGAATTTCAGCAGACTTCATTTCTCTGTACCTCAATTTACTCATCTGTAAACTTGGGAATATAATAATAACCACCTAATGTTATTATTGAATGGATTAAATGAGCTACTATGAAAGCATTTAGAAAAGTGTCTGGCACATAAAAAGTGCCATATACATATTTGTTATTATTGTTGCCTAGACAGAATCATGCACATAAAGCCCTTAGGACAGAGAAAGAGTGGCTTGTATTGTTAACATACGAAGTTAAAAAATCTATTTGAGCAGTAATGAGTTAATAATGGCTACAAAAGTTGTATTCAGGGCAAATAAAAGTGTAATCAGCAATGCCCCCATATGTATCCTTTGCAGTATTAATTCCTAAAGTAACTCTTTTATCTGTGGAAGAGTTCTACTGTAGATCTCTTTTTAAAGAACTGCAAGTCACATGGACACATAGAGGGGAAAAACACACACTGGAGCCTTTTGCAGGGTGGAAGGTGGGAGGAGGGAGAGGATCAGGAAAAATAACTAATGGGTACTAGGCTTAATACCCTGGTGATTAAATGATCTGTACAGCAAAACCCCATGACACAAGTTTACCTATGTGACAAACGTGCACTTGCACCCCTGAACTTAGAAGTTAAAGATCTCCAAGTCTTGGGATCAAGAAATGAAGGGAAGTTTTCTTTATGAAAGTGCTTTGATGGCCCATCTGGGACAGAAATTCTTGAATATGAGTAGTAATAATTTTGTGCTTGGTTGCACACACCTTTTATCTTAGTGGGTACATAACTTCCATCAGAATCCAGTTTCCATGACTTGTGAAAGGTAATTGCACTTCTCAAGTAGGTTTTTTTTTTTAACTCAGTCACTTCCTTTATATTTGTTGGTACTCCAAATTAAGTCTCTGTTTTCCTAAACTTGGCTACTAAAACCCCAAATATCTCCCAACCCAAACTAACTAATGTGCTTCCCAAAGTCGTTTTTAAAATTAATTGTGCTCTCTTCCAGTCACTGCTTCATGATGTTGAAGTTATTGTGTGAATCATGAGTGGGAAATGTATAAAGAAGTGATACTTGGAAATGTGAAAGGCATTTGGGTAGAAAGGCATTGTATTAGATGCAGAGGCAAAAAACCTAACTCTAACACTTAAAGAAATAAGAAATGCAACTAATCTTTGGTTTCAACAGCAATTGATTGGCTTTAAGTCACAGTATACTTATGAGGCAAAAATTAATAATAACATTAATTTAAAAATAGCTTTGTAAATCCTAATACCATAAGAGATTATTTGTAATGCTAGGATCCAAACCAAGAGTTCATTTGTATATTTTGCCCTGTGCCTCTCAACAGGTTTCTACCATGGGTGACAGGGGAACAAGCAATCACTCAGAAATGACTGACTTCATTCTTGCAGGCTTCAGGGTACGCCCAGAGCTCCACATTCTCCTCTTCCTGCTATTTTTGTTTGTTTATGCCATGATCCTTCTAGGGAATGTTGGGATGATGACCATTATTATGACTGATCCTCGGCTGAACACACCAATGTATTTTTTCCTAGGCAATCTCTCCTTCATTGATCTTTTCTATTCATCTGTTATTGAACCCAAGGCTATGATCAACTTCTGGTCTGAAAACAAGTCTATCTCCTTTGCAGGCTGTGTGGCCCAGCTCTTTCTCTTTGCCCTCCTCATTGTGACTGAGGGATTTCTCCTGGCGGCCATGGCTTATGACCGCTTTATTGCCATCTGCAACCCTCTGCTCTACTCTGTTCAAATGTCCACACGTCTGTGTACTCAGTTGGTGGCTGGTTCCTATTTTTGTGGCTGCATTAGCTCAGTTATTCAGACTAGCATGACATTTACTTTATCTTTTTGCGCTTCTCGGGCTGTTGACCACTTTTACTGTGATTCTCGCCCACTTCAGAGACTGTCTTGTTCTGATCTCTTTATCCATAGAATGATATCTTTTTCCTTATCATGTATTATTATCTTGCCTACTATCATAGTCATTATAGTATCTTACATGTATATTGTGTCCACAGTTCTAAAGATACATTCTACTGAGGGACATAAGAAGGCCTTCTCCACCTGCAGCTCTCACCTGGGAGTTGTGAGTGTGCTGTATGGTGCTGTCTTTTTTATGTATCTCACTCCTGACAGATTTCCTGAGCTGAGTAAAGTGGCATCCTTATGTTACTCCCTAGTCACTCCCATGTTGAATCCTTTGATTTACTCTCTGAGGAACAAAGATGTCCAAGAGGCTCTAAAAAAATTTCTAGAGAAGAAAAATATTATTCTTTGATTATTATTTCTCTTTCACCAATTTTATTGTGGCTATTTATTTAATACACCTGTGTTCATTAATAAAAGTTACTCTCCCGAATGTCATAAAAATACTCTTAGATGTTTTCATGTGATGTGCTCTTTCCATATTTTACTTTTTTACCTCCCAAGACATCATTAATTCTGAAAATCTTGGATATTGGAGATATCCTGGACATTAGAGAAGTATTTTCATGATAAACCCTCTCACTGGTCTTCAACATTTTATTTCACAGAATTTATATCTATTGATTCTTGTGGCATAATGTAGAACAATATTTTGTATTTTGTTATAGTGCTTCAGCAAGATTTTATCTGGTGTTTGTCTTTGGGATTGCCCATCCCTCCTACACACAATCATGGGTAGTTGACAAAGATGCCCAGATTATTTTTAAATAAAATATGTCTTTAATTTTATAGCTAGTTTCATTAGCATGCTAAATGAGTATTCAGTTTTCACCTTATGTGTGCTAGATAGGAAGTACTAATAATAAGAAACAAACTATAAGTAATCTTTATACATTAATTTGGAAAATGTTGTACTTCATTATTGTGGAGTGCTCTAAGGTACTGCTAGTTGCTGAATCCCAGTGCAAAGAACTAAAATAGGAAATAGAGATCTTCAAACATTTTGATCAATCATGCCCTCAATTTTGATCTTCATGATTTTGTCTTGTGTTAATAATTGATAAGGAATAGTTAATAAAGGTATAGAATCAGGGAAGTCATCAAAACGGATTATGATCCAAAATTTACTTATCTATGCCTCTTAATATAGGTATATATTTGATTAATCTTATTGAATATCTGTATAATATGTTCTGGCCTTACAGTGGGCTCAGGGATAAATAACCTCATTCTTTTGAAAGTTTAAAAGTTAGTGAGATACTGAAATCCTTGGGCATAAAACCAAAATCCAGACATTTTGCCAAAGGTACTCATAGAGATCACAAAGTGGGGTGCCTGAAAGAAGGTGGTTGGTAATCAGAGAAACCCTTCTTGGGCTGCATGGAACATTGCGCAAAGGGGGATTAGATTGAAGTCAGGAAACCTGCTGCAGTGGTTTATAATATTGATGTGGGCTCAATGGTATGTCGATATTAATGAACAAAGGCAGATTTTTTAAACTGCAGGTAAAAGACCCAAAATATATTAACTGACTAGTATGAAGAGAATGTACAAAAGATGGTATGTTAGCCCATTTTTGAAATTGAGTGTGTGCATGGTCATGGTCTGAATAGATAAAAAGTATAGGAGCTCTCAGAAAACCTGAAATAAAGGGGGAACTTTCTTGCCTTGATGAACATGTATGAAAAACCTACAGTGAACATTTTAAATGACAAGAAACTAGAAGCTTTCCTACTATTATCAGGAAAAATGCAAGGATGCCTTCTCTCACCACACCTTTTCAATATTTTAATGGAAGTGCTAGCCAATGCAACAAAATGAGAAAAGGAAATAAAAGTGTTATGGGTTGAATGGTATTCCCTCAAAATTCATGTGTTGAAGCCCTAAACCCTAGTACTTCAGAATGTGACTTTAATTAGTGATAGGGTCTTCAAAGATGTAATTGAGTTAAAATAAGGCTGTAAGATAAATCCTAATTCAGTATCATTTGTGTCCCTATAGAAAGAGGAGATTAGGGCACACAGAGGGACACCAGGGGTGCATGTGCACAGAACATCAGTCATGTGAAGAATCAACAAGAGGGCAGCCATCTGCAAGCTAAGGAAAGAGGGCTCAGAGAAAACCAACTCTGCTGACACCTTGATCTTGGGCTTCCAGCCTCTATCACTAAGAAAATTAATTTCTGTTGTTTAAGAACCCAGTGTGTGGTGTTTTGTTATGGGATCTCCAGCAAATTCATACAAATAGGTCTATAAATTGGAAAAGAAGAGAAAACGTTCCTTGTTTGCAGATAACATATCTATGTAGAAAATTAAAAATAATAAACCCTTCTGAAACTAATAAGTGGTTACAGCAGAGTTGCTGTATATAAGGTTAATATACAAATGCCAATTTCTTTTTTACATACCAGCAATGAATATTTGGATTTTAAAATTAAGAAAATGACTGTGTAGGTGATATCAGCAAGATGGCAGTATAGGAATTTCTAGCCCTGATTCCCTCACAGAAACATTAATTTGACAATGAACCAAAATACTTTTATGAGAATTCTAGAATGCACTTAAGAAGTTGCAGTACCCCCAGGCAACCACAAAGCCAAGGAAAGCGACAATGAAATGGGTAAGAAGAGAAATTTCATTTTGCCCACATCACCTACTCTACCAAGCTGGCACAGCTCTGCACTAGGACAGCACCCTGCCTCATGACTTCTCCCTTGGGAACAAAGATAACAGTGCAGAATCCAATATTGTAGCTTTTCAGAGGGCTGCAGGAGGGACTAATTTCTATCATTCTCCACTAAGAGCACTGATGGAACTAGTATAGTTTTAGTGCCTGGAGGCTTCTGAGAACAAGGAGAGTGTGTATATGGGGTGGGAGTGGAGGTGGTTTGCTGTAGCTGGCATGGCTAGGCAGAATCAGAAAAAACCACATAACTTGAGCCTTCTACTTCAGAGGCAAGGAGAGTGGCAGAGTCTACATCTGGTTATAGGCTTTTGGGAAGGCTACTTGAAGGAATGGAATCAGTTTTGCCTGACTCAGGATGCTGATAAGGAGCAGCATACTTTGGATACCTGGTGACCACTGAAACCAAGGAAAGACAGTACTAGAGAACTAGCAGTACTGTGCAATGACACCAAAGAGGCAAGATATGAACTCCTGAAAAAGAAACGAGTAATCAGCTCTGAGAAATTGCATGAATGGACTCAGAGAAGTCACATCTTCCCCCAAACGGTTTCACATATCCCTGGAATTTCTAGAAGGGCTGATTGGGGAGGGTCTCTTATACAAAGCCAGTCTGTAAAGACTGGTAGAGGTGGCTGTTTTTTCAAATGGGTGGGTTCCAATGTAAAGTTATGAGACACATGACACATATGAGACATATGAGACACATGAAGAAAAAAACAGAAAAACAAGGCTCAAAATAGGAACAAAATAAATCTTCAGTGACAGTTCTAAAAATTTGGAGATATATAATCTAAAGAATTGGAGATATATAAATTATCTGAAAAAGAATTCAAAATAGCTATCATAAAGATGCTCCATGACTAAAGAAAACTATGCATGAACAAAATGAGAATATCAACAAAAAGATATAAAATATAAAAAGAAGCAAACAAAAATTTTAGAGCTGAAGAATACAATACTTGAACTAAAATTTACTAGAGTTTTACAGCAGACTTCACAGAGCAGAAGAAAATCAGCAACTCAAAGAAAGGCCATGTGAAATTATTCAGTAAGAGTAACAGCAACAAACAATAATGAACAGTAAAGAAAACCTAAAACACATCATCAAGTGAAATAATATATAAATTATTAAGGTTCTAGAAGGAAAAAAGAGAAGAGGCAAAAAACTTATTTAAAGAAATAGTGGTGGAATACTGCCCAATTCTGGGGAGGGAAATGAACATCTATATACAAGAATCCCAGTGGATTCCAAATAGGATGATCCTAAAGAAATCCACACAGATAAACATTATAATTAAATTTTCAAAAGTTGAAGACAAAGAGAATCTTGAGAACAGCAAAAGAAAAGCAACTAACCACTTACCAGGAAATCTTCATAAAACTGTCAGTATATTTCTCAGCAAAAACCTTGCAGACTAGAAGAAAATAAAATGATACAATTCAAAGTACAGGAAGAAAAAAATGCCATTAAGAATACCATATCTGGCAAAATATCTTCCAAAAATGAAGAATTAAAAACTTTCTCAGACTAACAAAAGTGACAGAGTTCATCACCACCACATCTGCCTTTAAAAAATACTGAAGTCCTTCAAATTGAAATGAAAGTACATTAAACAGCAGCATGAAAGCATATGAAAGTATAAAGCTTGCTGGTAAAGGTAAATAGGTAGAAAACACATAACACTTTGATACTGTAATGGCAATGCACAAATAACTTTTATTCTGGTATAAAAGTTAAAAGACAAAAGTATAAAAATATGTTAACGGACAGGCAATATTAAAAAAATGTAAGTCATGACATCCATAGCATAAAGTGTGTGTGTGGGAGGGAAGAATTAAAAGTGTAGAGTATTTGTATATGATTGAAATTAAGTGGTTATCAGTTAAAAATAGATTGTTATAATTGCAAGATACCTTATGTAAACCCATTGCCCCCACCCCTGCCACTGGTAGCTATGCCTGCAGGCAATGCCTTCTAGAGCTTCAAGCCTAGCAATCCCACTTCTGTGTGAACACAGCTGGTGGGTACAGCTTCCTGCTGTCCTGGGAACCACCTGGATGGCATCGTGGGTGACCCAACTCACTTCTGCCACTGGTAGCCAGGTGGGCAACACTTGCTAGAGTTTCCAGCCCAATGATCCCTCTTCTACCTGAACTCAGCCAGCAAGTTCAGCCTCCCACTGTCCTGGGAAACACCAAGACAGCCGGACACGTGACCCCCCCACCCCTTCTGCTGGTAGCCAGACAGGCAATACAAGCTAAATCTTCCAGCCCACCAGTCCTGCTTCTGTGTAAACTCAGCTAGAGGGTGCAGCCCCCTGTTGTCTTGGGAAGCACCCAGATGGTAGGGTGGGTGACACCTGCTGCTGGCAATGCCTGCTAGACTCCACACACACCTGCCAGGCAAGACATGTCTGCTACAGCTTCTAGCCCAGCAGTTACACTTCTGCTTGAATTTGCCAAGGGGTGCAGCCTCCTGTTGCCTTGGAAACACCCAGATGGCAGGGCAGGCAACTCCATCCACTCCTGTTTCTCATAGCCAGATGGGCTATGCTTGCTAGAGCTTCCAGCCCAGTGGTCTTGCTTCTGCCTAAACTATGTGGGCAGGCACAACCCTGTGTTCCCCTGGGAAGCACTTGGACAGTGGATTAGGGCTGACCTGTCAAAGATGTGGCCTGTCTGTTAACTGAAGCCTCAGCATGAAGAAGCCCCATGTACTAGATCACCCAACAGAAAAAAAAAACATGGACATGGAGACAGTAACTGGAGGGGGCTCTTTCAAGACCCAGGAGCAGATTAGAATCAAAGCCAGTCAACTGAACCCAGCTCATACTACAGTCAAACTCCCAAGGGCATCAAATAAGATAAAAGGAAAACAGAAGCCCAAACACATCCTAAGGAAAGCAGCTTCAAATATTGAAGGAATATCCACCCACACAGATGAGGGAAAAAAAAACAGCACAGGAACTCTGGAAGCTCAAAATGCCAGAGTAGAGTTCTTACCTCCAAATGACTGCATTAATTCCCCAGAAATGGCTCTTAACCAGTCTGAAATGACTGAAATGGCAGAAATAGAATTCAGAATATAGATAGGAATGAAGACCATCAACATTCAGAAGAAAGCCAAAACCCAATCCAAGGAAGCTAAGGAATACAATAAAAAGATACGGGACATAATAGATGAAATGGCCATTTTAAGAAAGAACCAAACTGATCTAATAGAGCTCAAAAACCCACTTCAGGAATTTCATAATACAATCACAAGCGTTAGCAGCAGAATAGACCAAACTGAGGAAAGAATCTCTGAGCTTGAAGACTGGTTCTCCAAAGTAACTCAGTCAGGCAAGAATAAAGAAAAAACAATAAAGAAGAATGAACAAAATCTTGGAGAAATATGGGATTATGTAAAGGGACCAACTCTATGACTCATTGGCATCCTTGAAAAAGAGAAAGGGAAATCAAGCAACTTGGAAAACGTATTGAAGACATCAGCCATAAACATTTTTTCAATCTAACCAAAGAGGTGAACATTCAAATCCAGGAAATGCAGAGAACCCTTGTGAGATACTATACAAGAAGATCATTCCCACAATACATAGTCATCAGATTATTTAAGGTAGAAATGACAGAAAAATGTTAAAGACAGATAGGGAAAAGATGCAGGTCACCTACAAAGGGAATATCATCAGGCTAACAGCAGACACTTCATCAGAAACCCTACAAACAAGAAAAAATTGAGGGCATATATTAAACTTTTTGAAATTATTATTTAACTTTTATTTTAAGTTCAGGGGTACATGTACAAGTTGTGTAGGTAAACTTGTATCATGGAGGTTTGTTGTACAGATTATTTCATCACCCGGGTATTAAGCCTAGTACCTATAAATTATTTTTCCTAATCCTCTCTCTCCTCCCACCCTTCACCCTACAATAAGCCCCAGTGTGTGTTGTTCACCTCTATGTGTCCATGTGTTCTCATCATTTAGTTCTCACTTATAAGTGAGAACATGCAGTATTTGGTTTTGTGTACCTGCGTTAGTTTGTTAAGAATAATGGCCTCCAGCTCCATCCATGTTCCTGAAAAAGATATTATTTTATTTTTTTTTATGGCTGCATAGTATTCCATGGTGTGTATGTACCACATTTTCTTTATCCAGTCTACCACTGATGGGCATTTAGGTTGATTCCTGTCTTTGCTGTTGCAAATAGTGTGGCAATGAACATACATGTGCATGTGTCTTTATAATAGAATGATTTATATTCCTTTGGGTATATACCCAGTAATGGGATTGTTGGGTCAAATTACATTTCTGCCTCTAGGACTTCGAGGAATAACCACACTGTCTTTCACACTGGTTGAACTAACTTATGCTCCCACCAGCAGTGTATAAGTGTTCTTTTTCTCCACACCCTCATCAGCATCTGTTATTTTTTCACTTTTTAAAAGTAGCCATTCTGACTGGTGTGAGATGATATCTTATTGTGGTTTTGATTTGCATTTCTCTAATGATTAGTGATGTTGAGTTTTTTTTTAAAATATTATTATTGGCAGTATGTATGTCTTCTTTTGAAAAGTGTCTGTTCATGTCCTTTGTCCACTTTTTAATGAGGTTGTCTTTTTCTTGTAAATTTGTTTAAGTTCCTATAGATGCCGCTTATTAGGCCTTTGTCAGATGCATATTTTGCAAAAATTTTCTCCCATTTTGTATGTTGTCTTTTCACTCTGTTGACAGTTTCTTTTTCTGTTTCTTTTTCTGTGCAGAAGCTTTTTAGTTTAATTAGATTCTATTTGTCAATTTTTGTTTTTATTGTAATTGCTTTTGGTGTCTTTGCCATAAAATCTTTGCCTATTCCTACGTCCAGAATAATATTGCCTAGGTTGTCTTCCATGGTTTTTATAGTTTTGGGCTTTACATTTAAGTCTTTAATCCATCTTGAGTTAATATTTTTATTAAAGAAAGAAATTACAACTAAGAATTTCATATCCAGCCAAACTAAGCTTCCTAAGTGAAGGAGAAATAAGATCCTTTTCAGACAAACAAATCCTAAGGGAATTTGTTACCACCAGACCTGCCTTACAAGAGATTTAAGAGAATGCTAAATATTTAAATGAATTACAATTACTGGCCACCATAAAACACACTTATGTACGTAGACCACTGACACTACAAAGTAACTACACAATCAAGTCTGCATAATAACCACCTAAAATCATGATGACAGAATGAAACCATGCAATCAGTCTTAACCTTGAATGTAAATGGGCTAAATGCCGCAATTAAAAGGCACAGAGTGGCATGTTGGATGAAGAAGCAAGGCCCAACTATATACTGTCTTCAGGAGACCCATCTCACATGCAATGACACCTATACGCCCAAAGTAAAGGGATGGAGAAAAATCTACCAAGCAAGTGGAAAACAGAAACAACAACAACAACAACAGCAACAAAACAGAAAACAGGGGTTGCTATTCTATTCTAATTTCAGACAAAACAGATTGTAAACCAACAACAATCAAAAAAGGAAAAAGAAGGGCCTTACATAATAGTAAAGGATTCAAGTCAGCAAGAAGACCTAAATATCCTAAATATATATATACAAAATACAAGAGCACCCAGATTTATAAAGCTAAGTTCTTAGAGACCAATGAAGAGACTTAGGTAACAACATAATAAAAGTGGGAGACTTCAAAACCCCACTGACAATGTTACACAGATCATTGAGGCAGAAAAATAACAAAGATATTCAGGACCTAAAATCAACATTTGACCAAATGGGCCTAAGAGACATCTACAGAACTCTCCACCCCAAAATAACAGAATATACATTCTTCTCATCTGCACAGGGCACATACTTTAAAATAGACCAGTCAGCCACAAAACAATCCTCAGAAAATCCAAAAAAATTGAAATCATACCAACCACTTTCAGACCGCAGCATAATAAAAATAGAAATCAGTACTTAAAAAATTGCTCAAAACCATACAATTACATGGAAATTAACCTGCTCCTGAATGACTTTTGAGTAAACAATGAAATTAAGGCAGAAATCAAGAAATTCTTTGAAACTAATGAAAACAAAGATACAACATACCAGAATCTCTGGAATACAGGTAAAGCACTATTAAGGGAAATTTATAGTGCTAAATACTTACATTAAAAATTAGAAAGTTCTCAATTAACAACCTAACATCACACATGGAGAAATTAGAAAAAACAGGAGCAAACCAATCCCAAAGCTAACAGGAAGCAATAGATAACCAAAACCAGAGCTGAACTGAAGGAAATTGAGATGTGAAAACTCTACAAAAGTTCAACAAATCCAATAATTTGTTTCTTGAAAGGATAAGTAAGATTGATAGACCACTAGCTAGACTAACAAAGAAAAAAAGAGATGATCCAAATAAACACAATTAGAAATGAAAAAGGGGACATTCCCACCACCCCCTCAAAAATTTAAAAAACCCTCAGAGACTACTGTGAACACTTCTATGCATACAAACTAGAAAACCTAGAAGAAATGGATAAATTTTTGGAAACATACAACCTCTGAAGATTGAACCAGAAAGAAATTGTATCACTGACAGACCAATAATGACTCCCAAAATTAAACCAGTAATAAAAAAGCCTACCAACCAGAAAAGCCCAGGACCAGACAGATTCACAGCTGAATTCTATGAGGTATATAAAGAATTGCTGATATCATTTCTCCTGAAACTATTACAAAAATGGAGGAAGAAGGACTCCTCCCTAACTCATTCTGTGAGGACAGCATCATCCTGATACCCAGACCTGCAGAGGAACAACAACAACAACAAACAGGCTAATATCCCTGATGAATATACATGCAAAAATCCTTAATTAAATACTAGCAAACTGAATCCAGCAGCACATCAAAAAGTTAATTCCTGCAATCTTGTAGGCTTTATCCCTGGGATGCAAGGTTGGTTCAACATATGAAAATCAATAAATGTGATTCACCACATAAACAGAACTTAAAACAAAAACCACATGAACATCTAAGTAGATGCAGAAAGGACTTTCAATAAAATTCAACTTCTTTCGTGTTAAAAACCCTCAACAAACTAGGTAGTGAAGGAACATATCTCAAAACAATAAGAGCCATCTATGGCAAACCTATAGCTAACATCATACTGAATGAGCAAAAGCTGGAAGCCTTCCCCTTGAGAACCAAAACAAGACAAGGATGCCCATGCTCACCATTCCTATTCAACATAGCACTGGAAGAAATAATAGGCATCCAAATAGGAAGAGAGAAAGTGAAAGAATAGGCATCCAGATAGGAAGAGAGAAAGTGTTTGTGTTGGCAGACAACATGATTCTAAACCTGGAAAATCTCAGTTTGCCCAAAAGCTTCTTAAGCTGATAAACAGCTTCAGCAAAGTTTCAGAATGAAAAAAATCACTGTACAAAAATAGGTATCATTTTAATACACTAACAATATTCAAGTTGAGAGCCAAACCAAGAATGCAATCCCATTCACAATAGCCACAAAAGGAATAAAATACCTAGGAATACAGCTAACCAGGGAGGTGAATAATCTCTATCACAAGGATTACAAAACACTGCTGAAAGAAATCAGAGATGACACAAACAAATGGAAAAAATTCCATGTGCATGGATAGGAAGAATCAATATTGTTAAAATGCCCATACTTCCCAAAGCAATTTACAGATTCAATGCTATCCATATCAAACTACCAATGATATTCTTCTCAGAATCAGAAAAAACTATTTTAAAATTCATATGGAACCAAAAAAGAGCTCAAATAGCAAGGCAATATTAAGCAAAAGTAACAAAGTTGGAGACATCAGGTTATTCAATTTCAAACTATGTTACAAGGCTACAGTAATCAAAACAGCATGGTTCCAGTACAAAAACAGACACATAGACCAATGGAACAGAATAGAGAGCCCAGAAATAAAGTCATATGCCCACAACCATCTGATCTTTGGCAAAATAAACAAAATCAAGCAATGGGAAAAGGGGTCCCTATTCAGTAAATGATGCTGGGATAACTGGCTAGCCATATGCAGAAGATTGAAACTGGACCCCTTTCTTATACCATCTACAAAAATAAATTCAAGATGGATTAAAGACTTAAATGTAAAACCTAAAATTATAAAAATCCTGGAAAATGAAAATAACCTAGAAAATACCAATCTGGACATAGGCCCTGGCAATGATTTCATTACAAAATGCCAAAAGCAATTGCAACAAAATAAAAAATTGACAAATGGGACCTAATCAAAGTAGAGAGCTTCTCCACAGCAAAAGAAACTGTCAACAGAGTACACATACAGCCTACAGAATAGGAGAAACTATGCATCTGACAAAGTTCTAATATCCAGCATCTATAAGGAACTTAAACAAATTAACAAGCAAAAACCAAATAACCCCATTAAAAAGTGGGCAAAAGACATGAAGAACACTTTTTGAAAGAAGACATACACATAGCCAATAAGCATATGAAAAAATGCTCAACACTACTATTAGAGAAATAGTAGAGAAATGCAAATGAAAACCACAATGAGATACCATCTTATACTAGTCCAAATGTCTATCACTAAAAAGTCAAAAAATAGATGCCAGAGAGGTTGTGGGGAAAAGGGAAGGCTTATTCACTGCTGATGAGAATGTGAATTAGTTCAGCTATCATGGAAAACAGTGTGGCAATTTCCCAAAGACCTTAGAAGTATCATTTGACCAAATAAATAAATAGAAATATATAAAAAAACATGAAAAATTTCCTTTCCTTTAAACACGTTAGCATTGGTAAGAAAAAGAAACTAAAATATATGACCAGATTAAAAAATAAGTACAACTTCTAGAAACAAAAAAAAGTAAAATTAAAAGCTTAATAGTAAAACAAAGTTTACCTTAAAATTGAAAATGTAAATACAGATGAAGGATAACTGAAGAAAGAATTAGGATACTTGAAAAAAAAAAACAGCAAAAAGAGACAGAGATAGATGATACCAATAGTGTTAGAGAGTCTGCAATATGTCCAGTGGAAATGATGGAATTAAAGAAAGAGAATATGGGTTGGTAAAATGATGCCAAACAGAAGGTACACTACAAAAAATGTACCATAGTGAAAACGCACAATACCAAAGACAAAGAGAAGAAGCCAGAAGGAAAGACAAAATAAAGATAAGTTTAGTAAAGGAAAACTTAGACTGATGGCTGAATTCCCAAAAGAGATGAAACTGATTGTATTATCTCAATAGATGCCGAAAAGGCACTTGATATAATCAGAAAAATGCAAAAATAAGTCCACAATGAGATGATGCAATATCATGACCATAATTGTATAAAAACATTTTAAAATATGATTGCTACCAGCTACTGGCAAGGATATCAATCAATGTGGCATGTAATATGATGATGATAGGAACTAAATGATTTGTTATTATCTTCTAAAATTAAGAAATGCCCTATGGTTCTGCATAGTTTATGCATATATATGTGTGTATACATATGTATGAAATATATTACATATTCATCAAATGCTTAACATTTTAACAGAATATTTATTCTTGAGCTCACATATTCTTTTTAGGGTAATCATCCCTTCTGATACACGTATGTTTAAAGCTGCATTGGTAAATGATACTTGCTCATAAGTTTTCCTTATTTATTTATTTGAAATCCTTTTTTTTACCAATTTGAAATGCTTTCCCCCACAACAGATATACAACATTAGGTGTAAAGCTATTTGTCTCAGGGCATTGATGTTATCATACCACTGTTTTCTGACTCATATGTATACACACATATATATGCATAAACTATGCAGAACCATAGGGCATTTCTTAATTTTAGAAGATAATAACAAATCATTTAGTTCCTATCATCATCATATTACATGCCACATTGATTGATATCCTTGCCAATAGCTGGTAGCAATCATATTTTAAAATGTTTTTATACAATTATGGTCATGATATTGCATCATCTCATTGTGGACTTATTTTTGCATCTTTCTGATTATATCAAGTGCCTTTTTGGCATCTATTGAGATAATACAATCAGTTTTATCTCTTTTTCTATTAATGTGGTGAATTATATTAATTGGTTTTCTAATATTAAACCAACTTTACATTTCTGAGATATAATCAACTTTTTCATAATGCACTACACTTTTTTACATTTTAAATCCTATTTTAACATAACAAAAAAGTTTCAAAATGTATTTTTTTCCCCTTAAGAGTAAGGATCTTGTTGTGAAGTAAATGGTGTGATCCAGGATGTGCGGAACTGCTCAGGATTTCTGGGTAGTTGTGGCTCCAGAAGGAAATCCTGTACTCAATTGTAGTTTGCTGCCATCTGGTGGCTGTTGTCTACTGCCATGAAATCTAAAGATTCTGGGTACTGTAAAGAATGGAACTTCGAGCACAATGGTAAGAAATCTAACTATTTCCAAGAAACCTGGTTTTCATCCCCACCATATTACCCTGAGCAAGGAAGATTGGTTGAAAATAAATGGAATTGTGCGAGCCACCCTCTAACTCCTTGTTTCCCAAGATAAAGTTGTCTGACACTGTCTGCCTTGTTTTCCCTCCCCTCCTTTTGTTTTTTTCCCTCACTGAAAATAATTCCTGTAAGATTTCATCCCTGTTCCAGAAAAGGGATGAAGAGAAAATGGAAAATATTTGCCAGTAACATTATATCTGAACTTGTCTTATTCTGAGGTGCATTTTCATGGAGTTTCACTGAACTTCATTTATAATTGTGTATATGTTCATCATCAAGACAGAACATTATTTATTTTCCTCATAATAACCATGGCACCTTTTGGACTCAAGCTTGTATTACATCATTAAAAGGTGAAGTTTTTCTTCTTTTTATTCTAAAGAGGTGGTTGAAATTTTCTGCTCCTTGAAGGTTTGCAAAAACTGACAAGATGCCATCTGGACAAGTGTTTTTTATGGGAAGAGTTTTGAGGAATGATTTTAGTGGTTAACAGAAGGGGTTATAATCAAAATATTTAACAGCTGTTCAGTAATTGATATATACAAATGCTTATATATCAATACGTAAATCAATAAAAAGTCCCTTTTATGATCTTAGTAAACTGCTTAATGAATGATAAAATTTTTAGCAAATCTATTGATTTTTACAAATTATTGGGGGAATCTTTGGATTTACATCTTACCACTAAATACTGTCTGAGCCACAGTTTGATGTGAAACAACTAGACTAGACCAAACCATTACAAAAGTTGTCCCATTAAATGAAAAGTTATCACATGATGTGGTGTTCAAAAGAATTTTTTTCAGCAAAATTTCTATAGTGCTGAATTCTCTTCAAATTTCTGATAACTATTATCAACATTTGAAGTTTTCTGGCTCCTTTAATGCTCTCTGATATTTTTTATATTCAATAACTCCATTATTCAAGAAGACAAAATCATTTTTCCACTGACATATTTAATTAGATGATTTAAATTTATTAATGTTTTTTATTTTCTTTCTTTCTTTTCTTTTTCTTTTTCTTTTCTTTTCTTTTTCTTTTTCTTTTTTTTTTTTTTTTTTGAGACAGCATCTGGCTCTGTCGCCCAGCAGAGGTGCGATCTTGGCCCACTTCAAACTCCACCTCCTGGGTTCCAGCAATTCTCATGCCTTAGCCTCCCAAGTAGCTGGGATTGCAGGCAGGTACCACCTCGCCTGGCTAAATTTTGTATTTTAAGTAGAGACTAGGTTTTGCTATGTTGGCCAAGCTGGTATGAAACTCATGGCCTCAAGCCATCTGCCTGCCTTGGCCTCCCAAAGTGTTGGGATTACAGGTGTGAGCCACCACGCCCAGCCTGTTTGTTTACTTTTTATTCAAAAAAGTATGCAAATGTTCAATAGAGTTTCTTATGCAATAGTTTGAAAGAACTTAAAAGTTCACTACATGTTTTTTACTGTTGTCTAAATCAATTTTTTTGCTTTTCTTTACATTTTAATTTTTAATTATTTTATCATCAAATTATTGATCATAGTTTTTATTTATTTTATGTTGGTAATTTTTATTTATTGTATATAAAAATAATGAAATAAAGTTCCTTGTTTTGCAATGAAAGTGTATTAGTCAAACTTCTCCAGAAAAGCAGAGAAACAGCAGGATGTATATAAATGAAGAGATTTATCATGAACAAATTGGCTTATTCAAATCCCTATAAGGTTGTCCTGAAAATATTTATTATTAAAACCAGTTTTTTAACATCAAATATAAATTTTGATACGGTATTTTAGGTATTGTGCTTTCCAAATTAGTGAAATTCACAAAAACTAATAAATGATCTTCTAAATCCCAAATTTTACATTTTAGATAAGTTATTTAAATTTTTAAGGTTAAAAAATAAAGATTTTTTGATAATAAGTAATGTGTCCATGATTTATATATTTTTCTAAATTAGATGCCTTTTTTAGTAGATGCACATTTTAACCAATTTGGAACATAGCTAGATTACAAAAATATTTCTCAGTACCATTATTTTTATCATAGACCCCACTGAAATTTTACCAATTGACCTGACAATTCTCTTGTTAGGAAAAAAAAAAATGCTTTCTTCTCTTATACCCTTTTCTCTCTTGTTCAGCATCTGACCCAGTATTACATGTTGCATTTGTCATACCTCTCTAATCTCTTTCAATATGAAAGTGTTTCTCAGTCTTTCCTTTTTTTTCACATCTTTGACCTTTTGAAATGTCTGTTCATTTTAGTTTAATATTTCCTGTTGAACTAGGTTCAGGATCTGTGTTTGGGGCAGGAATACCACGGAAGTGTTGCTTCTTTTATTAGTCCATAATATCAGGAGGCTCGCCATGGTGATGATTTGTCTCCTTACTGACAATGTTAACTTTTATTATTTTGTTAAGATGATGTCTTCCAGGTTTCTCCACTGGATAGATAATTAATAAGTGTATTTAGTGTTTAATAAGAGTAATTAATAAGTATTTTGTTGAGAGATATTTTAAACTATGTAATAGTCTCTTTCTTATCACACTTTCGTCCATTATCTTTAGCCCGTGCATGACTCAAATGAATCAGTTATGACTTTGAGGGTTGCCAAGGGCTAATTTTCTTATTCCATCATTTCTTCTATATCAGTTACTTTACATTTTATGGTAAGGTTGCATTCCATTCATTCATTCACAAATAGATAAAACACGGAGTATAGAATAGTAATTGTTGAAAATAAGTGGCAGGACAGACCTATTGTCTTGTTCCTGACCTTAGGGAAAATGATTCAGTCTTTCACCATTAAGGATCATACACCTATAGGTTTTTCATAGATGGCCCTTATCACGCTGAGGAAAATTCCTGAGAGCTATTATCAGGAATGAATAATTGGTTTTGTGAAATGCTTTTTTGTGCATCTAGTGGGATGATTATAGTTGTTTTTTTCTTTCTTCTTCTTTTTTTTTTTTTTTTGAGATGGAGTTTCCCTCTTGTTGCCCAGGCTGCAGTGCAATGGTGCGATCTCGGCTCACCTCAACCTCCGCCTCCCAGGTTCAAGTGATTCTCCTGCCTCAGCCACTTCAGAGTAGCTGGGATTACAGGCATGTGTCACCACACCCGGCTAATTTTTTGTATTTTTAGTAGAGACAGAGTTTCACCGTGTTAGCCAGGATGGTCTCCATCTCCTGACCTCAGGTGATCCGCCCGCCTCAGCCTCCCAAAGTGCTGGGATTACAGGCGTGAGCCACCACGCCCGTTTTTTGTTTTTTGTTTTTTTTACTTTTTTTTAGATTGTTAATATAGTAAATTAAATTGATTTATTTTTGAATGTTAATCTAGCTTTGCATTCCTAGGATTAAACCTTATGTGGTCATAGTGTATTATCCTTTCAATGTTTTGTTGGATTGAAATTACTAAAATTTTGTTTAGGAATTATGTTCACAGAAGATACTGGCCTGTAGTTTTCTTTTTCTGTTCTGTCTCCACTTGGTTTAATATCAACATTACATTGGCTACATAGAATAAGTTGAGAATATCCCCTCATTTAAAATGTTCTGGGAAAGTTTTCGTAGAATAGAATGTTTTTGCTTAAATGTTCAGTAACATTCACCAGTGATTAAAGTGGGCCAGGTGGTTTCTTTGTGGGAAAGTTTTAAACTATAATTTCAATCTTTAAAAATGCTATCAATGAAATAAACTAAGGCAATCATTGGACTTACCATATTTATTTCTTACCTTTGTGGAGCCACTGTTCTTTATTGTATGCTGTCTAGTGTCTTGTGGAATATATATACACATATGTGTGTGTTTCTGTGTTATATATTATATATATACATTTATATACATATCCTATATGCATCTATCGATCTATCACACAAAAAGGAGCAGGGAGAGAAAGAGGGAAAAGGAGGAGGGGTGAGAGAGCAAGAGTAAGAGAAAGGCAGAGAGAGAGACAGACAGAGATTGAAATTCTCTTTTGTTGTTGTTTACTCAGGAAAGTAAATCTGTTTTCTATTACTTCATCTTGGCCAGAATCAGAAGTCTAGTCACAGCTGTTTTATTTTCCCATTAATTAAACTTCTTTTCTAATCATCCTGAAGAGCAGAAAAGCAGGTATTTTCCGTTGGGACCTCCAAGTTTATTATTATTATGATGATGATGATGATTATTATTATTATTATTAATTTAACCAGAGACTCTCACAGGTATGATCAATATCATAAACCCATTGTTTCTCAGCCTGGTGTGGTGTCTCTTGCCTGTAATCCCAGAACTCTGGAAGACCAAGGCTGGTGGATCACTTGAGGCCAGGAGTTCCAGACCAGCCTGGCCAAAATGGTGAAACCCTGTCTCTACTAAAAATACAAAAATCAGCCTGGGGTGGTGGCGCATGCCTGTAGTCCCAAGCTACTTGGGAGATGAGGAGGGCTAATCACCTGAGGTCAAGAGCTCAAGAGCAGCCTGGCCTACATGGCAAAACCCTGTCTCTACTAAAGATAGAAAAATTAGCCAGACATGGCGGCACGCACCCGTACTCCCAGCTACTCGAGAGGCTGAGGCAGGAGAATCTCTTGAACCCAGGAGGCAGAGGTTGCAGTGAGCTGAGATCACGCCACTGCACTCCAGCCTGGGTGACAAAGCGAGACTCCATCTCAAAACACACACACACACACTCACACACACACACACACACACACACACACAAAATAAACCCACTGTTTCTCATTGAACATTCAAGAGTTACTGATGGAAGTTAAATTTCCCATGGATAAAACTGGCCTAGTGT
This sequence comes from Homo sapiens, assembly GCF_000001405.40. Classification (NCBI taxonomy): domain Eukaryota; kingdom Metazoa; phylum Chordata; class Mammalia; order Primates; family Hominidae; genus Homo; species Homo sapiens. Next base: position 55,148,364 of record NC_000012.12, read on the forward strand.
TGATGAAGTTGCCTGAAAAGTCTAGAAGATGATCAAGGAAGAAATAATATATTTCTGTTGATTTTTTTGCAGAATAGTCTTGTATTCGGAAAGTCAGATTCTGTCAGGATGGTAACTTTCTTAGGATCACATCTCTTAGTTCTCAGCATTTTTTGTTCTATCCTCAAGAATCTCTTTGATTCCATATTATAAATAATACAGATATCTGTCATTCATGTACTAGGAACTCCAATTCCTTATTTCCTTAATAGGAATTATCACACAAGAAGTCAGTCATGTATTTTTCCTTAATTTTAAAAATGTAAAGTCACTATGTTTTATGAGTTCGGGAGTCTCTATCTTTTTACCTAATAAGCATCGTCGGTCAGCTTTTCTGGACCGTAGAGCTCACTGATTATCTCCAGGAGACTTTACACTGTCACTCTCACAAATTTGGGAAAAGAGCTACCTTCATGTCTCATTAATGATTTACTCTCTTCAAATCATCTGAAGCAAATTTTGAACACCTCTATAACAAATTAGGGAAGAAATGGAATATAAAACTTACATCTTCCATAACATATTGTTTTATAGGACCCTAATTTTATAGATGATTGGTCTCTGTTTCAATTCTTTCAAAATTGTTTTGCTCTAAAGGATTACAACTTTCCTCTTTCAGGTGAAGCCTCATTTATCTTTTTTTCCCCTCACTATTCTGAACATTCCTAGTGCTAATATCGTTGTTACTGTTGCTCTTTGAACTGTAGCTTATTTTTTCGTAGTATATTTGAGATATAATAATGTTAACTTACACATACAGTGCTGTGTTTTACATACATTAATGTATTTAGTCAACACAGCAACTTCAAGAGAAAGTTACCATTGTCATCTCCAGTTTACTGATGAGGTATGTATGTGATTGGAAAGTGAAAAAAATAATACAGATTATGAAAAGTATGTGTGAAAATAAAAAATTTAAATGTATTTGATATCTTGCTTTGGGGGAGATTATAAATGCTGGTAGAGTTGACTATATAAATATTCAAAAATTAATACGTGTACATAAGAAGTTAAAATAACAATGTGAGAAAATGCAGCAATTTTGAAAAATTGAGAAAACGGAGGAACTGTAAATCAGCATACTTTTAGTGTTACAGAATTTTAAAGTACTTGGTAACTATTATATTTTATAAAATATATTTTTAAATATACTCATAATTTTAAAAATAATCTATAATACCAAATGTATACCATGTATTATGATGACTGAATGGTGCATATTAAAGACACTTCGGCAGTTTGAATGTGAAAAAGGTTACATATACTCTTTGTTTTCCTTGTCCAATTATTTTTGACCAATACGTATATCACTTGTCATTTTATTCCTACTCATTTTAAGTCACATTGTATTTAGAATTTAACATGAATCATGAAAGCTATTATACACACAAAATTTTGTTTACAATTATAGGAGTTTTATAACATCTTAGAAATTCCTTCAGATGTTCCAGATCAAGACCCCACACTCTATGTAAAATATACTTTCTATTTTTATGATATTTCTCAGTAGCTCTTTCAGAAACCAAGATAAAACTAGGTGTATAAAGTGGAAATGTTAACAAAAACAAAAACCAAAAAACCTAAAGAAATGCCTGGGAATGTGTGTGTGAGGGGGTGCGGGGGGAGATGGTGGTGAGCCCAATTTACGTAAGCGGCATTTAGTGATCACCATTAAATAAGTGTCATCAACTTAACCTAGTATCCATTGGCATCAGAAAGCATGAAATGAGCTCAGTTTATTGCATATTTGTGTATAATAAAGACAGAAATCCCTGGAAGTCATATTTGTGAAACAATGCAGGAAATATGAGAAATACCCTTTCAGAATAATCTTTACAATTATTAGTGACTTTGAGTAACTTTGAATGAGAAAATTGTTGTTCTGCTTGGAAGCAATGAACTGGTTCTCAAACTTCTAGAAACTTCTACGTCTACAGGGAGTGACTTTATGATTTAGTTGGGACTCTTGAAAATAAATGAGTACCTCCCCACACTCATCTCACTAATAGACTCTTTTCAATATTCAGATTAAAGTGTGACCGAGGAATTAGTATTAAAAGAAAAGCAAAACAAAACCTCCAGGTGATTCTGAGGTATGGGAAAGTTTGTCAAATAGTGACCTAATTCACCTCCAGGGTCCTTTATATTTTTCAAAAAGACGACACATTTATATATATATATATATATATATATATATATATATATATATATATATATATATATATATTTTCTAATTTACTTTCTTGTTTTTAAGAATACCTGTATTGCTGGATCAAAGGACTTAGAACTTACGGCAGGTAGCATGTAGGAAGATTTCTCAGTCCTGACTTTGTATAATATTAATAGCAAGATTTTCTTGAGGTTCAAGCTGAAGATTCAGTCTAAGATTCTCTTTTGATTCTAATAAGGAAGAGACATAAGAAACTTAGAAATAGATATACTTGTCTAGTGTACTCAGATACTTGAATAAATCTACATATACTGTGAAGCATTTTTTGTAATTAATTATGCTTTCTTCAAAGCTTCCTTTAAAAGAACAAAGAACTTTCTTTTTTCTTTTGAAAAGAACTTTCAAAATACTTCAATGAGGCTTTTTTGGGAAAAAGCTGGATATCAAGAGAGGTACTTGTTTTTTTGAAAATCATAAATTTTTCATAATACAGGTTTTAAAATTTAGCAAAAGTTTTTCATTTTTTCTTGCTCATTTTCTTATATATCAATTATTTATTGAGCCCTTTCTCTTTCCCATGTGTTACATATTTCATTTAATTTATATATATCATTTAATTTATTCCTTACAACAGAAATCCTGTGAAGCAGATGATCCAAACCATATTTTGTTGATGGGCAATCAGAGGCTCATGGAATTTAAATAATTTGCCCAAGATTACTCAGCCAGTGAGTGGCAGAGCATGAATTAAAAACTAGATTTATGTAAATGAAAACACCATCCTTTTAACTAATAAAACGTTGACTTCATAAAAAATTCATAACAGAAGCCAAATCAGCTTCATTTTTCTGACTATAATGTACATTTAATTTTATGAAAAATTTTTTTTAATTTTATTATTATACTTTAAGTTTTAGGGTACATGTGCACAACGTGCAGGTTTGTTACATATGTATACATGTGCCATGTTGGTGTGCTGCACCCATTAACTCGTCATTTAGCATTAGGTATGTCTCCTAATGCTATCCCTCCCCCCTCCCCCCACCCCACAACAGTCCCCGGTGTATGATGTTCCCCTTCCTGTGTCCATGTGTTCTCACTGTTCAATTCCCAACTACGAGTGAGAACATGCAGTGTTTGGTTTATTGTCCTTGCAATAGTTTGCTGAGAATGATGGTTTCCAGTTTCATCCATGTCCCTACAAAGGACATGAACTCATCATTTTTTATGGATGCATAGTATTCCATGGTGTATATGTGCCACATTTTCTTAATCCAGTCTATCATTGTTGGACATTTAGGTTGGTTCCAAGTCTTTACTGTTGTGAATAGTGCTGCTATAAACATACGTGTGCATGTGTCTTTATAGCAGCATGATTTATAATCCTTTGGGTATATACCCAGTAATGGGATGGCTGGGTCAAATGGTATTTCTAGTTCTAGATCCCTGAGGAATCGCCACACTGACTTCCACAATAGTTGAACTAGTTTACAGTCCCACCAACAGTGTAAAAGTGTTCCTATTTCTCCACATCCTCTTCAGCACCTGTTGTTTCCTGACTTTTTTAATGATCGCCATTCTAACTGTTGTGAGACAGTACCTCATTGTGGTTTTGATTTGCATTTCTCTGATGGCCAGTGATGATGAGCATTTTTTCATGTGTTTTTTGGCTGCATAAATGTCTTCTTTTGGGAAGTGTCTGTTCATATCCTTTGCCCACTTTTCGTTGGGGTTGTTTGTTTTTTTCTTGTAAATTTGTTTGAGTTCAATATTAGCCCTTTGTCAGATGAGTAGGTTGCAAAAATTTTCTCCCATTCTGTAGGTTGCCTGTTCACTCTGATGGTAGTTTCTTTTGCTGTGCAGAAGCTCTTTAGTTTAATTAGATCCCATTTGTCAATTTTGGCTTTTGTTGCCATTGCTTTAAGTGTTTTAGACATGAAGTCCTTGCCCATGCCTATGTCCTGAATGGTATTGCCTAGGTTTTCTTCTAGGGTTTTTATGGCTTTAGATCTAACATTTAAGTCTTTAATCCATCTTGAATTGATTTTTGTATAAGGTATAAGGAAGGGATCCAATTTCAGCTTTCTCCATATGGCTAGCCAGTTTTGCCAGCACCATTTATTAAATAGGGAATCCTTTCCCCATTGCTTGTTTTTGTCAGGTTTGTCAAAGATCAGTTAGTTGTAGATATGTGGCATTATTTCTGAGGGCTCTGTTCTGTTCCAGTTGTCTATATCTCTGTTTTGGTACCAGTACCATGCTGTTTTGGTTACTGTAGCCTTGTATAGTTTGAAGTCAGGTAGCGTGATGCCTCCAGCTTTTTTCTCTTGGCTTAGGATTGACTTGGCGATGCAGGCTTTTTGTTTCCATATGAACTTTAAAGTAGTTTTTTCCAATTCTGTGAAGAAAGTCATTGGTAGCTTGATGGGGATGGCATTGAATCTATAAATTACCTTGGGCAGTATGGCCATTTTCACGATATTGATTCTTCCTACCCATGAGCATGGAATGTTCTTCCATTTGTTTGTATCCTCTTTTATTTCCTTGAGCAGTGGTTTCTAGTTCTCCTTGAAGAGGTCCTTCACATCCCTTGTAAGTTGGATTCCTAGGTATTTTATTCTCTTTGAAGCAATTGTGAATGGGAGTTCACTCATGATTTGGCTCTCTGTTTGTCTGTTATTGGTGTATAAGAATGCTTGTGATTTTTGCACATTGATTTTGTATCCCGAGACTTTGCTGAAGTTGCTTATCAGCTTAAGGAGATTTTGGGCTGAGACCATGGGGTTTTCTAGATATACAATCATGTCATCTGCAAATAGGGACAATTTGACTTCCTCTTTTCCTAATTGAATACCCTTTATTTCCTTCTCCTGCCTGATTGCCCTGGCCAGAACTTCCAACAATATGTTGAATAGGAGTGGTGAGAGAGGGCATCCCTGTCTTGTGCCCGTTTTCAAAGGGAATGCTTCCAGTTTCTGTGCATTCAGTATGATATTGGCTGTGGGTTTGTCAATAGATAGCTCTTATTATTTTGAGATACGTCCCATCAATACCTAGTTTATTGAGAGTTTTTAGCATGAATGGTTGTTGAATTTTGTCAAAGGCCTTTTCTGCATCTATTGAGATAATCATGTGGTTTTTGTCTTTGGCTCTGTTTATACGCTGGATTACATTTATTGATTTGCATATGTTGAACCAGCCTTGCATCCCAGGGATGAAGCCCACTTGATCATGGTGGATAAGCTTTTTGATGTGCTGCTGGATTCGGTTTGCCAGTATTTTATTGAGGATTTTTGCATCGATGTTCATCAAGGATATTGGTCTAAAATTCTCTTTTTTGGTTGTGTCTCTGCCAGGCTTTGGTATCAGGATGATGCTGGCCTCTTAAAATGAGTTAGGGAGGATTCCCTCTTTTTCTATTGATTGGAATAGTTTCAGAAGGAATGGTACCAGTTCCTCTTTGAACCTCTGGTAGAATTTGGCTGTGAATTCATCTAGTCCTGGACTTGTTTTGGTTGGTAAGCTATTGATTATTGCCTCAATTTCAGAGCCTGTTACTGGTCTATTCAGAGATTCAACTTCTTCCTGGTTTAGTCTTGGGAGAGTGTATGTGTCGAGGAATTTATCCATTTCTTCTAGATTTTCTAGTTTATTTGCGTAGAGGTGTTTGTAGTATTCTCTGATGGTAGTTTGTATTTCTGTGGGATCGGTGGTGATATCCCCCTTATCATTTTTTATTGCATCTATTTGATTCTTCTCTCTTTTCTTCTTTATTAGTCTTGCTAGCGGTCTATCAATTTTGTTTATCTTTTCAAAAAACCAGCTCCTGGATTCATTAATTTTTTGAAGGGATTTTTGTGTCTCTATTTCCTTCAGTTCTGCTCTGATCTTAGTTATTTCCTGCCTTCTGCTAGCTTTTGAATGTGTTTGCTCTTGCTTTTCTAGTTCTTTTAATTGTGATGTTAGGGTGTCAATTTTAGATCTTTCTTGCTTTGTCTTGTGGGCATTTAGTGCTATAAATTTCCCTCTACACACTGCTTTGAATGTGTCCCAGAGATTCTGGTATGTTGTGTCTTTGTTCTCATTGGTTTCAAAGAACATCTTTATTTCTGCCTTCATTTCATTATGTACCCAGTAGTCATTCAGGAGCAGGTTGTTCAGTTTCCATGTAGTTGAGCAGTTTTGAGTGAGTTTCTTAATCCTGAGTTCTAGTTTGATTGCACTGTGGTCTGAGAGACAGTTTGTTATAATTTCTATTCTTTTACATTTGCTGAGGAGTGCTTTACTTCCAACTATGTGGTCAATTTTGGAGTAGGTGTGGTGTTGTGCTGAAAAGAATGTATATTCTGTTGATTTGGGGTGGAGAGTTCTGTAGATGTCTATTAGGTCCACTTGGTGCAGAGCTGAGTTCAATTCCTGGGTATCCTTGTTAACTTTCTGTCTCATTGATCTGTCTAATGTTGACAGTGGGGTGTTAAAGTCTCCCATTATTATTGTGTGGGAGTCTAAGTCTCTTTGTAGGTCACTCAGGACTTGCTTTATGAATCTGGGTGCTCCTGTATTGGGTGCATATATATTTAGGATAGTTAGCTCTTCTTGTTGAATTGATCCCTTTACCATTATGTAATGGCCTTCTTTGTCTCTTTTGATCTTTGTTGGTTTAAAGTCTGTTTTATCAGAGACTAGGATTGCAACCCCTGCCTTTTTTAGTTTTCCATTTGCTGGGTAGATCTTCCTCCATCCCTTTATTTTGAGCGTATGTGTGTCTCTGCACGTGAGATGGGTTTCCTGAATACAGCACACTGATGGGTTTTGACTCTTTATCCAATTTGCCAGTCTGTGTCTTTTAATTGGAGCATTTAGTCGATTTACATTTAAGGTTAATATTGTTATGTGTGAATATGATCCTGTCATTATGATGTTAGCTGGTGATTTTGCTCGTTAGTTGATGCAGTTTCTTCCTAGGCTTGATGGTCTTTACAATTCAGCATGTTTTTGCAGTGGCTGGTACCAGTTGTTCCTTTCCATGTTTAGTGCTTCCTTCAGGAGCTCTTGTAGGGCAGGCCTGGTGGTGACAAAATCTCTCTGCGTTTGCTTGTCTTAAAGTATTTTATTTCTCCTTCACTTATGAAGCTTAGTTTGGCTAGATATGAAATTCTGGGTTGAAAATTCTTTTCTTTAAGAATGTTGAATATTGGCCCCCACTCTCTTCTGGCTTGTAAAGTTTCTGCCGGGAGATCCGCTGTTAGTCTGATGGGCTTCCCTTTGTGGGTAACCCAACCTTTCTCTCTGGCTGCCCTTAACATTTTTTCCTTCATTTCAACTTTGGTGAATCTGACAACTATGTGTCTTGGAGTTGCTCTTCTCGAGGAATATCTTTGTGGCATTCTCTGTATTTCCTGAATTTGAATGTTGGCCTGCCTTGCTAGATTGGGGAAGTTCTCCTGGATAATATTCTGCAGAGTGTTTTCCAACTTGGTTCCATTCTCCCCATCACTTTCAATTACACCAATCAGACATAGATTTGGTCTTTTCACACAGTCCCATATTTCTTGGAGGCTTTGTTCATTTCTTTTTATTCTTTTTTCTCTAAACTTCTCTTCTCGCTTCATTTCATTCATTTCATCTTCCATCACTGATACCCTTTCTTCCAGTTGTTCTCATCGGCTACTGAGGCTTCTGCATTCATCACGTAGCTCTCGAGCCTTGGTTTTCAGCTCCATCAGGTCCTTTAAGGACTTCTCTGCATTGGTTATTCTAGTTATCCATTCATCTAATTTTTTTTCAAGGCTTTTAATTTCTTTGCCATTGGTTTGAATTTCCTCCTGTAGCTCGGAGTAGTTTGATCATCTGAAGCCTTCTTCTCTCAACTCGTCAAAGTCATTCTCCGTCCAGCTTTGTTCTGTTGCTGGTGAGGAGCTGCGTTCCTTTGGAGGAGGAGAGGTGCTCTGATTTTTAGAGTTTCCAGTTTTTCTGCTCTGTGTTTTTCCCATCTTTGTGGTTTTATCTACCTTTGGTCTTTGATGATGGTGACGTACACATGGGTTTTTGGTGTGGATGTCCTTTCTGTTTGTTAGTTTTCCTTCTAACAGACAGGACCCTCAGCTGCAGGTCTGTTGGAGTTTGCTAGAGGTCCACTCCAGACCCTGTTTGCCTGGGTATCAGCAGCGGTGGCTGTAGAACAGCATATATTGGTGAACTGCAAATGCTGCTGTCTCATCATTCCTCTGGAAGTTTTGTCTCAGAGGAGTACCTGGCTGTGTGAGGTGTCAGTCCGCCCCTACTGGGGGGTGCCTCCCAGTTAGGCTACTCGGGGTTCAGGGACCCACTTGAGGAGGCAGTCTGCCTGTTCTCAGATCTCAAGCTGCATGCTGGGAGAACCACTACTCTCTTCAAAGCTGTCAGAGAGGTACATTTAAGTCTGCAGAGGTTACTGCTGTCTTTTTGTTTGTCTGCGCCCTGCCCTGAGAGGTGGAGCCTACAGAAGCAGGCAGGCCTCCTTGAGCTGTGGTGGGCTCCACCCAGTTCGAGCTTCCAGGCTGCTTTGTTTACCTAATCAAACAACTAACTTGGCAATGGTGGGCGCCCCTCCCACAGCCTGGCTGCCACCTTGCAGTTTGATCTGGGACTGCTGTGCTAGCAATGAGTGAGACTCTGTGGGCGTAGGACCCTCCAAGCCATGTGCGGGATATAATCTCCTGGTGTGCCATTTTTTAAGCCTGTTGGAAAAGCACAGTATTAGGGTGGGAGTGACCCAATTCTCCAGGTGCCATCTGTCACCCCTTTCTTTGACTAGGAAAGGGAATTCCCTGACCCCTTTCGCTTCCCAGGTGAGGCGATACATCGCCCTGCTTCGGCTCACGCATGGTGCGCTGCACCCACTGTCCTGCACCTACTGTCTGGCACTCCCCTGTGAGATGAACCCAGTACCTCAGTTGGAAATGCAGAAATCACCCCTCTTCTGCGTTGCTCACGCTGGGAGCTGTAGACCGGAGCTGTTCCTATTCCGCCATCTTGGCTCCTCAATTTTATGAAAATTTCTAAATAAAACTATGTAACTTCAAATATATTAAGTTTCTAGACAGAAAAAGCTTCTCTTTTGCTAATTCAGAAATTAAATGTAGTAATAAAACCATTGATTTATAATATAAAATTTATTTTTTCCACTTTAATTTAATGTTTTAGATATCTTAAAAATTATTAATGTTTTATCTCTGTGCCTCTTTAGTATTTACTATTAAGCATTAATAGTTAGAAAAATACAAAAAACAGAACCCATGCAATACAGAATTTCCACCCCCTCCCCCCACACTTATTTGCATTATTGTCTTGTGCTTTGTTAACAATATATAGAGGGGAAAACATTTCTTGTTGGGGAAGTTAATCTTATACCTAACCATAGTGTTCCTATATAAACAAAATAATTCATATGTCTATGGCAGTAAAAAGAAAAGGCATGCTGCAGTTTGGGTGCCAGAAAAGGGAGCCACCAGCATTCAGACACTAATAGTAAATGAAGGACCTGGAAGCTGAACAATATGTGGTTAATGTAGGGGATAAGAGTCTGATTTATTATTTTGAATGACATTCTCAAGACTAGTGGTTCATTCTACCTCATTAAACTATAACCCCATGTTTCCTAATGTCTTCTATGTAGCAGAATGTTTTAAGAACCAAATTAACTGCATTAATTATCTTGTAGTGGGGAAAGGAATTGACCTATGTTTTCACTCAGTTTTCCATTCTTAGAGCACAAGAAACTTTGTGTTTGTTTTTTTATTTATTTCACTGACGTGTATGTTTTTAAGATGTTTGTGTCATTATAAATATTGCTTTTCACACTCAATTTTGTGTAATCTTCACAGGTGCCTCCCATTTGGCAGAGGAGGACTTCTGAGGTATCAAAAGTGTAGATGGTTATCTTAGATTCTTTCATACTGAAAGATGTAAAATTTGGATGCAGCCCATATGACTCCAAAGCTCTTCACAAACAGCATAAAATGACTGATAATTTACTGCTGGAAATATCCCGTGCCCATTCAAATTTCTCACATAATACTAAAACTAAATAGACGGGAAAAACCTAAATAACCTTATTTTGATTTTACTGTGGTTGCTTCTAAATGTAAAACTATTCTATCAGATGCACTGCCAAGAAAACTCCAATTTGTATCAGCGTTTTTTTGTCTGTTTTTTCCCGTTGGCAACTTCAGGGACCAAAAGTTGACCAGGCTTCATTATAATCCACTCATTTTTCTCAGATAGGTCTTGGCTATGAAGAGCGAACTGAACAGGAATTACTCAGAGGTGACAGAGTTTATTCTGCTGGGATTCAGAACATCGCCAGAAGCACAGATTCTCTTATTCTTCCTGTTCTTGCTTATCTACATGGTCATTGTGTTGAGAAATCTCAGCATGTTAGTTGTCATTGAAATAGACTCCAGACTTCACACACCTGTGTATTTCTTTCTCAGAAATTTGTCCTATTTGGATCTCCGCTACTCCACAGTTATTGCTTCCAAAACTGACTACTTTATTTTCCAAGGAAAAGAAAATTTCTTACAATGGTTGAGCAACACAGTTGTTTTTCTTTGCTCTCTTTGTTGGGACTGAAGGTTTTTTTCTGGATATGATGGCATATGATCGCTTCTCAGCTATTTGTTCACCTTTCTTCTATACTGTATGTATGTCTCAGCAAGCTTGTGTTTGTTTGGTGGTTGGCTCCTCTATCTGTGGATGCATCAACTCCATGATACAAACAGGTTTTACCTTCAGTTTGCATTTCTGTGGAGAAAACAGATTAGAGCACTTTTTCTGTGATGTCTCAGTCATGATCAAGATCTCATGTATTGACATCCTTGTGAATGAGGTAGTACTGTTTATTCTCTCTGCTCTCATCACCACCACCACAACTGTCATTCTGGCTTCCTATGTGCATATCCTCTCCACTGTCCTGAAGATTCTCTCAACCCACGGCAGAAGGAAGACTTTCTCCACTTGCAGCTCTCACATCACTGTGGTGAGTTTATTCTATGGAACTGTATTCTTCATGTATGCCCAACCTGGGGCCATCTCCAAAGAGCAAGGTTATAGTTGTATTCTAAACTCTTGTCATCCCTATGTTAAATATCTGATTTATAGTCTAAGAAATAGGTGCAAAATGCTTTGAAAAGGACATTGATAAGAAAAATATCTTTTCATTGGCCTCTAGCCATCTATAAAACTATAGAAGCAACTAAGAGCAATACTATCAGTAATTTATTATAGAATAATTTCAAAGAAAAACATCTGAAAGTATGGAGATGAAAGTTTATTTTCGTGTTTTGACCATCAACAGATCCTTTTAAAAATGAATTAAAGGCCAGGCGTGGTGGCTCAAACCTGTAATCCCAGCACTTAGGGAGACCGAGGGGGGTGGATCATGAGGTCAGGAGATCGAGACCATCCTGGCCAACATGGTGAAACCGCGTCTCTACTAAAAATACAAAAAATTAGCTGGGCGTGGTGGCACGCACCTGCAGTCCCAGCTACTCGGGAGGCTGAGGCAGGAGAATCACTTGAACCCAGGAGGCGGAGGTTGCAGTGAGCCGAGATCGTGGCACTGCACTCCACCCTGGCAACAGAGCGAGACTCCATCTCAAAAAAAAAAAACAAAACAAAAGGAACTAAAAATCAATATAGATTTTTCATATTTCAACATAATTATTTTATGGTGTGCTGTCTAGGTATTCCATAGTTTGTTATTCTTGCTTCATTGTCTTAGTTGTACTCAAAACTGCAACTGAAATACAGTATTCACAAATTAATACATAAATACACGTTAAGTTTATTAATATATCTATATATGTATGAATATCTATATACTAATCTATTGGAGAGGGAAAAAGAGAGACACTACTTAACGTTCTTCAATATTTGTTTAATCTAGATCATAATCAAGTTGGCTATTGTACAACTTTTGCAAATGAGAATTAGAAATGCTATGGTAATCTAAATTATATAATGTAAATTATTGGCTTTGCCAAACCATTATGCAAAGGAGCAAGGCTAAATATTATACCAGTAATATTGCTAAAGCATCCACCTATATTAATGATTTCATCCAGAAGAAAAATAAGTAAATAAATAAATAAATGTGATATAGTTGCGGTAAAACTATCTTGTCATGGGGTTCAATAATAAATGTTTGATAAATAATCAGTATAATTTATGCTTATTGATCTATTAACTTTTATGTATGTTCTTGCATCACTTTTATAATTTATATATTGATTTGAAAATTTTTATTTTATTCTAGATTTGAACAATTATTACCATGTGTAAAATATTTTCTCAGATTAATAATAAAAATATTAACATAGTAAAGCCAAATAACCAAATCATAAATTTTAATTGACATAATAAAAGAAAATATTAATATCCTAAATTTTATTTTCTAATAATTTAATCCTTTCTATGTCTTTGGTTATATATACTTTTTATTTTTAATCCTGAGAATTTTATTTTTGTCCCTTAATTAAATTTGCCAGTGGTTTGACTTTATACCATTAGAATTTTGAGTTCTATATCATTATTTTCAAAGTAGTTGATGGTGTAATATCTAGTTATTGCATAAGTTTTTGTTTTTGTTTTGTTTTGCTTAAATACATTCAAAATTGCAACATATAACATCATAATTATATTAATACAAACATTAAAGTTATTATATCTGCATATGTATCTGTACATTCATGTAATTATTTTATGTTTCTAAGAGTTTTTGTTTTATTAGCCATCTTTTTTCTGCATTTAAACGTTAAATGCTTAGTATCTTATTTACAGTTTTTAATTTAATGAATTATGTTTAAAAGTTTTGAATAGTTTTCAGTGTAATTTATTTTAATTTTTATTATTGTATATATAACATTTTGTTAATTTTAATGTTCATTTTCACCTATGGATTATTTAGTTAAGGTTTCTTATTTCAATATAGTTGTTTTATTTAGACAATAACTTTTTATTGTTGATTTTTCTTTTATTTATTTATTTATTTATTTTTTATTAATATACTTTAAGTTTTAGGGTACATGTGCACAATGTGCAGGTTACATATGTATACATGTGCCATGCTGGTGCACTGCACCCACTAACTCGTCATCTAGCATTAGGTATGTCTCCCAATGCTATCCCTCCCGCCTCCCCCCACGCCACAACAGTCCCCAGGGTGTGATGTTCCCCTTCCTGTGTCCATGTGTTCTCATTGTTCAGTTGCCACCTATCAGTGAGAATATGCGGTGTTTGGTTTTTTGTTCTTGCGATAGTTTACTGAGAATGATGATTTCCAATTTCATCCATGTCCCTACAAAGGACATGAACTCATCATTTTTTATGGCTGCATAGTATTCCATGGTGTATATGTGCCACATTTTCTTAATCCAGTCTATCATTGTTGGACATTTGGGTTGGTTCCAAGTCTTTGCTATTGTGAATAATGCCGCAATAAACATACGTGTGCATGTGTCTTTATAGCAGCATGATTTATAGTCCTTTGGGTATATACCCAGTAATGGGATGGCTGGCTCAAATGGTATTTCCAGTTCTAGATCCCTGAGGAATCGCCACACTGACTTCCACAATGGTTGAACTAGTTTACAGTCCCACCAACAGTGTAAAAGTGTTCCTATTTCTCCACATCCTCTCCAGCACCTGTTGTTTCCTGACTTTTTAATGATTGCCATTCTAACTGGTGTGAGATGGTATCTTATTGTGGTTTTGATTTGCATTTCTCTGATGGCCAGTGATGATGTGCATTTTTTCATGTGTTTTTTGGCTGCATAAATATCTTCTTTTGAGAAGTGTCTGTTCATGTCCTTTGCCCACTTTTTGATGGGGTTGTTTGTTTTTTTCTTGTAAATTTGTTTGAGTTCATTGTAGATTCTGGATATTAGCCCTTTGTCAGATGAGTAGGTTGTGAAAATTTTCTCTCATTTTATAGGTTGCCTATTCACTCTGATGGTAGTTTCTTTTGCTGTGCAGAAGCTCTTTAGTTTAATTAGATCCCATATGTCAATTTTGTCTTTTGTTGCCATTGCTTTTGGTGTTTTAGACATGAAGTCCGTGCCCATGCCTATGTCCTGAATGGTAATGCCTAGGTTTTCTTCTAGGGTTTTTATGGTTTTAGGTCTAATGTTTAAGTCTTTAATCCATCTTGAATTGATTTTTGTATAAGGTGTAAGGAAGGGATCCAGTTTCAACTTTCTACATATGGCTAGCCAGTTTTCCCAGCACCATTTATTAAATAGGGAATCCTTCCCCATTTCTTGTTTTTCTCAGGTTTGTCAAAGATCAGATAGTTGTAGATATGCGGTGTTATTTCTGAGAGCTCTGTTCTGTTCCATTGATCTATATCTCTGTTTTGGTACCAGTACCATGCTCTTTTGGTTACTGTAGCCTTTTAGTATAGTTTGAAGTCAGGTAGTGTGATGCCTCCAGCTTTGTTCTTTTGGCTTAGGATTGACTTGGCAATGCGGGCTCTTTTTTGGTTCCATATGAACTTTAAAGTAGTTTTTTCCAATTCTGTGAAGAAAGGCATTGGTAGCTTGATGGGGATGGCATTGAATCTGTAAATTACCTTGGGCAGTATGGCCATTTTCACAATATTGATTCTTCCTACCCATGAGCATGGAATGTTCTTCCATTTGTTTGCATCCTCTTTTATTTCCTTGAGTAGTGGTTTGCAGTTCTCCTTGAAGAGGTCCTTCACATCCCTTGTAAGTTGGATTCCTAGGTATTTTATTCTCTTTGAAGCAATTGTGAATGGGATTTCACTCATGATTTGGCTCTCTGTTTGTCTGTTGTTGGTGTATAAGAATGCTTGTGATTTTTGCACATTGATTTTGTATCCTGAGACTTTGCTGAAGTTGGTTATCAGCTTAAGGACATTTTGGGCTGAGACAATGGGGTTTTCTAGATATACAATCATGTCATCTGCAAACAGGGACAATTTGACTTCCTCTTTTCCTAATTGAATACCCTTTATTTCCTTCTCCTGCCTGATTGCCCTGGCCAGAACTTCCAACACTATGTTGAATAGGAGTGGTGAGAGAGGGCATCCCTGTCTTGTGCTAGTTTTCAAAGGGAATGCTTCCAGTTTTTGCCCATTCAGTATGATATTGGCTGTGGGTTTGTCATAGATAGCTCTTATTATTTTGAAATACATCCCATCAATACCTAATTTATTGAGAGTTTTTAGCATGAAGGGTTGTTGAATTTTGTCAAAGGCTTTTTCTGCATCTATTGAGATAATCATGTGGTTTTTGTCTTTGGTTCTGTTTATATGCTGGATTACATTTATTGATTTGTGTATATTGAACCAGCCTTGCATCCCAGGGATGAAGCCCACTTGATCATGGTGGATAAGCTTTTTGATGTGCTGCTGGATTCGTTTTGCCAGTATTTTATTGAGGATTTTTGCATCAATGTTCATCAAGAATATTGGTCTAAAATTCTCTTTTTTTGTTGTGTCTCTGCCTGGCTTTGGTAACAGAATGATGCTGGACCCATAAAATGAGTTAGGGAGGATTCCCTCTTTTTCTATTGATTGGAATAGTTTCAGAAGGAATGGTACCAGTTCCTCCTTGTACCTTTGGTAGAATTCGGCTGTGAATCCATCTGGTCCTGGCCCCTTTTTGGTTGGTAAGCTATTGATTATTGCCACAATTTCAGATCCTGCTATTGGTCTATTCAGAGATTCAATTTCTTCCTGGTTTAGTCTTGGGAGAGTGTATGTGTCGAGGAATTTATCCATTTCTTCTAGATTTTCTAGTTTATTTGCATAGAGGTGTTTGTAGTATTCTCTGATGGTAGTTTGTATTTCTGTGGGATCAGTGGTGATATCCCCCTTATCATTTTTTATTGTGTCTATTTGATTCTTCTCTCTTTTTCCCTTTATTAGTCTTGCTAGTGGTCTATCAATTTTGTTGATCCTTTCAAAAAACCAGCTCCTGGATTCATTAATTTTTTGAAGGGTTTTTTGTGTCTCTGTTTCCTTCAGTTCTGCTCTGATTTTAGTTATTTCTTGCCTTCTGCTAGCTTTTGAATGTGTTTGCTCTTGCTTCTCTAGTTCTTTTAATTGTGATGTTAGGGTGTCAATTTTGGATCTTTCCTGCTTTGTCTTGTGGGCATTTAGTGCTATAAATTTCCCTCTACACACTGCTTTGAATGTGTCCCAGAGATTCTGGTATGTTGTGTCTTTGTTCTCATTGGTTTCAAAGAACATCTTTATTTCTGCCTTCATTTCGTTATGTACCCAGTAGTCATTCAGGAGCAGGTTGTTCAGTTTCCATGTAGTTGAGCAGTTTTGAGTGAGATTCTTAATCCTGAGTTCTAGTTTGATTGCACTGTGGTCTGAGAGACAGTTTGTTATAATTTCTATTCTTTTACATTTGCTGAGGAGTGCTTTACTTCCAACTATGTGGTCAATTTTGGAATAGGTATGATGTGGTGCTGAAAAAAATGTATATTCTGTTGATTTGGGGTGGAGAGTTCTGTAGATGTCTATTAGGTCCACTTGGTGCAGAGCTGAGTTCAATTCCTGGGTATCCTTGTTGACTTTCTGTCTCGTTGATCTGTCTAATGTTGACAGTGGGGTGTTAAAGTCTCCCATTATTAATGTGTGGGAGTCTAAGTCTATTTGTAGATCACTCAGGACTTGCTTTTTGAATCTTGGTGCTCCTGTATTGGGTGCATGTATATTTAGGATAGTTAGCTCTTCTTGTTGAATTGATCCCTTTACCATTATGTAATGGCCTTCTTTGTGTCTTTTGATCTTTGTTGGTTTAAAGTCTGTTTTATCAGAGACTAGGATTGCAACCCCTGCCATTTTTTGTTTTCCATTGGCTTGGTAGATCTTCCTCCATCCTTTTATTTTGAGCGTATGTGTGTCTCTGCACGTGAGATGGGTTTCCTGAATACAGCACACTGATGGGTCTTGACTCTTTATCCAATTTGTCAGTCTGTGTCTTTTAATTGGAGCATTTAGTCCATTTACATTTAAAGTTAATATTGTTATGTGTGAATTTGATCCTGTCATTATGATGTTAGCTGGTGATTTTGCTCGTTAGTTGATGCAGTTTCTTCCTAGTCTCAATATTCTTTACATTTTGGCATGATTTTGCAGTGGCTGGTACCGGTTGTTCCTTTCCATGTTTAGCGCTTCCTTCAGGAGCTCTTTTAGGGCAGGCCTGGTGGTGACAAAATCTCTCAGCATTTGCTTGTCTGTAAAGTATTTTATTTTTCCTTCACTTATGAAGCTTAGTTTGGCTGGATATGAAATTCTGGGTTGAAAATTCTTTTCTTTAAGAATGTTGAATATTGGCCCCCACTCTCTTCTGGCTTGTAGGGTTTCTGCCGAGAGATCCGCTGTTAGTCTGATGGGCTTCCCTTTGAGGGTAACCCAACCTTTCTCTCTGGCTGCCCTTAACATTTTTTCCTTCATTTCAACTTTGGTGAATCTGACGATTATGTGTCTTGGAGTTGCTCTTCTCGAGGAGTATCTTTGTGGTGTTCTCTGTATTTCCTGAATCTGAACGTTGGCCTGCCTTGCTAGATTGGGGAAGTTCTCCTGGATAATATCCTGCAGAGTGTTTTCCACCTTGGTTCCATTCTCCCCATCACTTTCAGGTACACCAATCAGACGTAGATTTGGTCTTTTCACATAGTCCCATATTTCTTGGAGGCTTTGCTCATTTCTTTTTATTCTTTTTTCTCTAAACTTCCCTTCTCGCTTCATTTATTTCATCTTCCATTGCTGATACCCTTTCTTCCAGTTGATCGCATCGGCTCCTGAGGCTTCTGCATTCTTCACATAGTTCTCGAGCCTTGGTTTTCAGCTCCATCAGCTCCTTTAAGCACTTCTCTGTATTGGTTATTCTAGTTATACATTCTTCTAAATTTTTTTCAAAGTTTTCAACTTCTTTGCCTTTGGTTTGAATGTCCTCCCATAGCTCAGAGTAATTTGATCGTCTGAAGCCTTCTTCTCTCAGCTCGTCAAAGTCATTCTCCATCCAGCTTTGTTCCGTTGCTGGTGAGGAACTGCGTTTCCTTGGAGGAGGAGAGGCGCTCTGCTTTTTAGAGTTTCCAGTTTTTCTGTTCTGTTTTTTCCCCATCTTGGTGGTTTTATCTACTTTTGGTCTTTGATGATGGTGATGTACAGATGGGTTTTTGGTGTGGATGTCCTTTCTGTTTGTTAGTTTTCCTTGTAACAGACAGGACCCTCAGCTGCAGGTCTGTTGGAATACCCTGCCGTGTGAGGTGTCAGTGTGCTCCTGCTGGGGGTGCCTCCCAGTTAGGCTGCTCGGGGTTCAGGGACTCACTTGAGGAGGCAGTCTGCCCGTTCTCAGATCTCCAGCTGCGTGCTGGGAGAACCACTGCTCTCTTCAAAGCTGTCAGACAGGGACATTTATGTCTACAGAGGTTACTGCTGTCTTTTTGTTTGTCTGCACCCTGCCCCCAGAGGTGGAGCCTACAGAGGCAGGCAGGCCTCCTTGAGCTGTGGTGGGCTCCACCCAGTTCGAGCTTCCAGGCTGCTTTGTTTACCTAATCAAGCCTGGGCAATGGCAGGCACCCCTCCCCCAGCCTCGCTGAGGCCTTGCAGTTTGATCTCAGACTGCTGTGCTAGCAATCAGCGAGACTCCATGGGCGCAGGACCCTCCGAGCCAGGTGCCGGATATACTCTCGTGGTGCGCCATTTTTTAAGCCCGTCAGAAAAGCGCAGTATTCAGGTGGGAGTGACCGAATTTTCCAGGTGCCCTCCGTCACCCCTTTCTTTGACTCAGAAAGGGAACTCCCTGACCCCTTGTGCTTCCCGAGTGAGGCAATGCCTCGCCCTGCTTCGGCTCGCCCACGGTGTGCGAACCCACTGACCTGCGCCCACTGTCTGGCACTCCCTAGTGAGATGAACGCTGTACCTCAGTTGGAAGTGCAGAAATCACCCGTCTTCTGCGTCGCTCATGCTGGGAGCTGTAGACCGGAGCTGTTCCTATTTGGCCATCTTGGCTCCTCCCCCCAATTCCATTTTATTATCTTAAGTTTAGAGAATTTAAACTCAAAAAATCTATTTGGTGAAATTTACAGTTATAATGCTTGCTTGACAAGATATTATGGTTTGTAAATATTCCATGAATTTAAGCAAAGGATGCTTATCGCTTACATATTATCAAATTGAAACTTACAATGTATTAGATATAATAAAAGTTGATCACTGTGGGTAAGTTGGTGTACCAGATAGACATTAATGGTTGAATATTAAAAATGCAGTCACATTCCCTTTATTAACTAAAAGATTTTTTAAAATTATTGTCTGAGAAGCTGTAGAAAGAGCATTTGACAAATTTTAACATTACCAAAAAACTTAGTAACCTTAGAAAATAACTAAGCTTCATTAACCTAATAAAGTAGGTGTATACAAACAGAATAAACACATATTTAAAATGGGAAAATAATAGAAGCATTTTCTTTAAAATTAGGAAAAAGACAGCCGGGCGCCGTGGCTCACGCCTGTAATCCCAGCACTTTGGGAGGCCGAGACAGGTGGATCACGAGGTCAGGAGATCGAGACCATCCTGGCTAACACAGTGAAACCCCGTCTGTACTAAAAATATAAAAAAATTAGCAGGGCGTGGTGGCGGGCGCCTGTAGTCCCAGCTACTCAGGAGGCTGAGGCAGGAGAATGGCGTGAACCTAGGAGGTGGAGCTTGCAGTGAGCTGAGGTCACGCCACTGCACTCCAGCCTGGGTGACTGAGCTAGACTCTGTCTCAAAAAAAAAAAAAAGGAAAAAGACAAGATGTCTATTATTTTTGTTGCAGTTCAACATTCTATCGGAAATCTAGCCAGTGCAATATGATAATAATAAAATTAAAAGTATAAAGGATCAAATGTGAGATTAAACTGTCATTTATATGATAATTTAAAGAAGAGTTCATACATTGAGTACACGTGGACACAAAGAAGGAACAATAGACAACGGCGCTACTTGAGGGTGAAGCGGGGAGGAGGGTTAGGATTGCAAAACTACCTATTGGATACCATGCTTATTACCTGGGCGACTAAATAACCTGTACACCAAACCCCCATAATGTGTAATTTACCTATATAACAAACCTGCACATATACCCCTGAAAGTAAAATAAAAACTAGTAAAAAAGATAAAGAAGAGTTTATAAAGATGTTTTGGTTAATGTACAAAAATCAATTGCACGTTTACACAACAGCAGTAAACAAATATGACGTTTAATTTAAAAGATTATACCCTTTACATGTGTATCAGAGATTATCAACTTTTTAGGGATAATTTAGTAAAAGATGTATAAGACTCTACGTGGAAAAGTATAAAATTCTTTATATCATGCAATAATTTTTTTTTTTTTTTTGGAGATGGAGTTTTGCTCTGTTCCCCAGGCTGGAGTACAATGGCATGATCTTGGCTCACTGCAACCTCCGTCTCCCGTGTTCAAGCAATTGTCCTGCCTCAGCCTCTTGAGTAGCTGGAATCAGAGGCACGTGCCACCACGCCCGGCTATTTTTCTATTTTTAGTAGAGGTGGTGTTTCACTATGTGGGCCAGGCTTGTCTTGAACTCCTGACCTCAAGTGACCCACTGGCCTAGGCCTCTCAAAGTGTTAAGATTACAGGTATGAGCCACCACACCCGGCCTATATCATGCAACACTTTTATTGCTGAAAAATTACAAAGTGCATCAACCATGCAAGAAAAGATAGGTACATGTAAATACAATAGAATTAAGTATTGTTTCCTCCAGAAGGATGTTTTGTAAAAAGTAAAAGTACAAAATATAAGCCAAAAGAATTGAACAAGATTATATACTAAGTGCCTACAGATCTATAATAATGTCTAATCAATTACATGAAATGGGTAAAATTGATTAACACATTTTATAGAAGAGCAACCAATAAAATGTATTGGGTTTTTAATAAAAGAAATGGAAATTAAGATTATAACAAAATTCCATTTTACACCCATTCAATTTGAAATAAATAAAAAAGTCTGATGATGCCAATGTTGGAGAGTATATGGTCTACAGCACGCATTCTTAACAGGGGCACTGTTGCCTCTAAGGGTGAAAAATTGCTTCTTGTATGTGGTAGAAAAATCTTACTCCCTATAATTTCTTAGAAATCATATCTTTTAAAAATTTATACATACAAATAAATATAAAAATTCTACATACAATAGATGAACAGTTATACAGTGGTCTATGGTATTAACATTATATAATGATGACTAAAAATGTACAAAGAAGGCATTTTTTTCATAATTTCTCATTGTCGTTGGGGTGATAATGAAAAAATAAGATTGTATCTACAGGTAGTCTACAGACTCTGGTTCACATTGCATTTGTAAATAAATGAAAATAATTAGAGAACACATTTGTCATTATCTCCTGTAGTGGGACATATATATCTTATGACCCAGAAATTCCTCTCCTGAGCAGATATCCAAGAGACTATCTTACACATATATTGGAGAAGATATATATATAAGAATGTCTATAAAAGCATAGTGAACAAAATAAAAATTCCGGAAATAAATCAGATGCTTATCAATGGGATTGTTCATTGATTAAAAAATGGTGTATTTACACAATAGAATATTCTGAGACAAGTAAATTACAGATACACCCCAAGCAATTGAATCTAAGCAATAATATATTAACAAGAAAAAGTAAGTCCCAAAAGATCACTTACAGAATGCTTCTTTTAAAAACACTGAAGTCTATACTTTATTCGAATTTTATTAGTTTTTTCCTTAAAAGTTCTTTTTCTGTCCCAGGAACTCTTCCAGGATATCACGTTGCATTTCATTGCCATGTGTCTTAGCCTCCACTGGACTGTGACAGTTTCTCAGACGTCTTTGTTTTTAATGACCTTGACTGTTTTGAGGAGTAAGGGTCAGGTATTACAGAATGCTGCTCTGTTGGGGTTTATCTGATGGTTTCTCATGGTTAGACTGTGGTTATGACTTTTTGGATGACTACTGAGGTGAAATGTCATTATCAACACATCATATCAAGGATACACACTATCAAATATAACTTATCCCTAATGACGTTAACCTTGATTACCGACTGAGGTAGTGTTTATCAGGTTTCTCTTCTATAGAATTGCATTCTTTCCATTTCTATACCATCCTCTTTACAAGCAAACTACTAAGTGTAGCTCACACTTAGAGGGTGGGTAATTAAGCTCTCCGTATTGAGGAGGAAATACATAAATGTATGAAATTCTGTATGTGATACAAATAAGATAAACATATCTAAAATAAAAACAATTAGCAATGTATACATATGCAAACTATATTAAATTATAACAACTGAATGATTCACATGGGAATCAGAATGTTATCTTGGTTGGGAGGATATAGGTGTATGGAAAGAGAGGGAACCACAGGGTTAGATATCTGTTATGGTTAATGTTCATATGTGGTCCAAAGATGATAGTGTAACATGAAACAAGAATTATTATTATTTTTTCTGCACATTAGAAAGCCAAATATATTAAAACTGTAATGTAGTATCCTTCTGTGTATGCTTTATGATTTTCCCAGAATCTTACCTAATATATTATTAATATTTTTGCTTCTACTTTTTTGTTTGAATTTGGTTTTCCTTTTAGCTCTTGTAACCATTTTTACTTTTGATATTTGTTTAGTTATTTTTCTTCCTACTTGGCTCATTTTTGCTAATATTAGTTTCTTCCAGAGGTTTGTTTTTTTTTTCTTTTGGTTTGTGGATTTTTTTATAGATGTTTCTTCAGTTAGTACTTCATTAACATTTGAGAATAAAGCAATGCAATTCTAATTAATTTGCATTTCCTTAACTTTGATATTGAATATATGTGTATATTGAAAATTATATATTCACTTTGATGACATGTATGTTCATATTGTTTATGTCAAATTTCATTGTCTTGTTCATTTTCTATTTGTTGAGATTTAAAAATTCTAAATGATGTTTTTAATAAGGTATGTGATTTGCAAGTATTTTATCTGAATATGTTGTTTTTTGCTTATCATAGCAAATATTTCAAAGATAAGTTCTTAATTTTAATGAAGTTCAATTTATCATGTTTTTATTTATTGATTGTTCTATGGTGAGTTATCAAAGAAATCCTTGTCTAACTCAAGGTCGTAAACATTTTCTTTTGTTTCTGATATGGTGCGGGTGTGTCCCCACCCAAATCTCATCTTGAATTGTAGCTCTCACAATTTCCACATGTCATGGTAGGGACCCAGTGGAAGGTAATTGAATCATGGGGGCGGGTCTTTCCTGTGCTGTTCTCCTCATAGTGAATAAGTCTCATGAGATCTGATGGTTTTACAAAGAAGAGTTCCCCTGTACAAGCTCTGTCTCTATGCCTGCCACCATCCATGTAAGACGTGACTTGCTCCTCTTTGCCTTCCACCATGATTGTGAGGCCTCCCCAGCCATGTGGAACTGTGAGTCCATTAAGCCTCTATCCTTTATAAATTACCCAGCCTCAGGTATGTCTTTATTAACAGTGTGAGCACAGACTAATACTGTAAGTTGGTACCAGGAGTAGGGCACTGCTGTAAAGACATCCAAAAATGTGAAAGTGACTTTGGAACTGTGTAACAGGCAGAGTTTGGAACAATTTGGAGGGCTCAGAAGAAGACAGGAAAATGTGGAAAAGTTGGAACTTCCTAGAGACTTGTTGAATGGCTTTTACCAAAATGCTGATAATGATATGGATGATGAAATCTAGGCTGAGGTGGTCTCAGATGGAGAGGAGGAACTTGTTGGGAACTGGAGTAAAGGCCACTCTTGCTACTCTTGCTATGTTTTATGTAGTGAAAGTATGAATACATTTCTGTTTTTTTGCAAATGGATATTCAATTGGTTCAGCACTATTGGTTGAAAGGTTATCTTTTTTTTTTTTTTTTTACTAAATTGCTTTTTTAGTGGACTGTCTTTTCCTTTGGTCTATTTGTGTTTCTTGATGTAAATTTCACACTATCTTAATTATTGTAGCTTTTTAAGTTCTCGTAAAATCAAGAGGTTTGATGCCTTCAGTTTTGTTCTTTTTGAAATCATTTTGGCTATCTTGGTTGTTTGCATATGTATGTAATATTTTGGATAAATTTTTAAATTTCTACCAAAAAGATCTACCAAAAAGAGGGTCCCCTTATCTTCCTTGAATCTCTGACACACCCCATAAGTGTTTATATCAGATACTTTTGTGAAGATGAGGGAACCTGCCCAGGGTCTTGTCTGGGCATGCCTGCCATAAACTGAGGGCCTGCCTGGGCACTGGGAGAATGAGTGGAGCCACTGGGAATTGGTGCCTTATGTAGTTAGGAGAAGGCTGGCCTCTTCAGCTTGAGTGTGGTGGCCTGGTATTCAATGAGGTGTGAGCCTGTTGGCAGGACCCCGTTTTTCTTGGCTGAGAGTTTTCTTTTTGCCTAATAAATCTGTCCTTCTCACCCTTCAAAGTGTCCATGTGCCTAATTTTTCCTGGTTGTGAGGCAAGAACGTGGATTTTAGCTAAACTAAGGAGCAAAATATCCCACATCATTTTGGTGGCCTGTATGGGGACATGAGGAAGGGTGAATCAAATGCAGAATCCCCCACAAAACCTCTTTCCCTTTTGTTTCTCAGCTTTTTCTTGCCCTCAGACATCTTCTGAAGGTAGAGAAAACTGTGACCCTCCACTTCCGTTGCCTTGGGGATTGCGAATGTCAACCTCAGTCCAACCCAGTCTTTTCTATGGCATTTTCCTTCTTTTGGGGGGGATTGTAATGGCACCTATCTTTTCTTTTACAATATTGGGGGTGTTCCACCACCACCCCAATGGTCACAGGCATGCATGCAAGACAGATAGGTGAGTGGTGACTCCCTGCCCACCTCCACCCAGCTGGGGCTGGGGCACCTGGCCCAAGGGCTCCACACAGCACGCTGGCCAGCATTCCCAGCAGCATCGAAAAGTTTCTCTCCAGTCCAACAGCAAGTAAAATTTCTCTCCCTGTTGGAGGAACACATTTGCATAAGAATAGGAGATTCTTCCCCCAGGCATCTTTCCAACTCTGTACTTAAGATGTTTTATTTTCTTTTCTTCACCCCATCAGCACTTAACACATCCCTGCACTTTAAGCTGTATTTTTTCTTTTCTCCACCAGGTCAGGAGTTGGTGGGTTGGTGCAAAAGTAGTTGTGTTATTTGACATTACTTAGCATGATGGGGACCATGAATGCTTTTGCACCAACCTAATAACACGCTCCTGCAAGTAGAAGGGACTTCTCTATGCCAGAGGCCTTTTTTCCTTTGAGAAGACATTATACTAGGCCAGGACTCAGTACACAAGACACCCTTTTCTCTCTCTTGTTGGAGGAGGACTCAGTTCCACAGCTTCACCTTAGCATTTGGCTTGTAAAGTGTCCACACAACCCGCCGAAGCAGTTCTTTTGTCCCAAACTCAATTCCAAGCTTTGAGTCGAAGCCCTAGGAAAGAAAACTCAATCTGGGGTATAGTGTTGAATAATATTCTATTGTCTAAATGTGCTACACTTTCTTTATCCATTCACCTACTGAAGAGCATCTTGATTGCTTCTGTTTTGGTAATTATGAAAAAGGTGTTACAGATATCAGGGCATAGGTTTTTTCGTGGATATAAGTTTTCAACTCTTTTGGGTGAATACTACACAGTGTGATGGCTGGGTCATATTGTAATAGTGAATTTAGTTTTGTAAGACAAGGCTAACCTGTCTTTCAAAGTGGCCGTGCCATTTTGCATTTCCATAAAAATTAAATGAACATGCTTGTTGCCCTATATCCTCACCAGTATTTTGCATTGCCAGTGCTCTGGATTTTGGCCATTCTAATAGATGTGTGGTAGTATCGTGTTATTTTAGTTTGCATTGCCCTGATGACATTTGATGCAGAACATCTTTTCATATGCTTATTTGACATTTGGCTATTTTTTGTGTGTCTGTTAAGCTATGTGGCCTATTTTTAATATTAAGTTATTTGCTTTCATATTGTTGAGTTTTAAGAGTTGTTTGTATATTTTGGTAACAGTCCTTTATCAGATATGACTTTGCAGAAATTTCCTTTCAGCCTGTGGCTTGTCTTTTTATTTTGCTGACTTTTTTTTTAACTGTACAAAGCTTACACATTAGTCAGATTTATTACTAAATATTTAATGTTTTGAATCTATTCAGTGGTGTATTTTTAGAAGAATCCAGTTATACTCTAACTCTCCCAGAGTTATATTAGAAATACCATATAACACTCCCAGAGATATGTTAGAAATAACATATCTAAACTCATCATGAGGCCAACATTACTTTGAAAACATATCCATCTCTCATGAATATAGCTACAACAATTCTTAATAAAATTTCAGAAAATCAAATCTGCAAATATAAAAAGAGGAAACATTAATGTTACCACATTATAAGAAATCAATGTAATTCTCAAGGCTACACTAGATTCAAAATATGGAGAAGTATATGTAAATTCTATCTCTTTGTAAGGATGAGCTGGCAAATATCAGAGTGATATTTGCAATTAATCACAAGATAGTATCCCCCTGTTGAAGGGTGTGAAGTAACACACTAGAAGGGGCAGGTTGATGAATATAGAGCCATTGTATAATCTCCACCCTTTTTCCTTAATACTCCAATTTTTTGAAAGAGAAATAAACTTATAGCTTATTCAGGTTGCATTGATTTTGTGATTTATGATCCTCATAATTTTCAAGAACAATCCTTGTAAATATGCTATTTCTGTGTGGATCCTTCCTCCACTCCTTGATGCTGGATGCTTCTCCCATACCGCAGATTTGAGGTTTACTTCCCAGAAAGTGTAAAGCGGAGGGTTTCTAGACTTGGAGACATAATGTACAGAAGATGAGTGGTTTTATACCAAAACTATGCGACTAAATTCCATATTCTGAACATATGTGAGATGTCCCAGGACTCCTCCCTCATTTGACAATTTTTGCTTCACATATTTTAATGGTCTGTGATTAAGTGTGTGAATGTTTATAATTGTTTTATCTTCTTGTGGTATTAAAACTTTTATTGATATGTCCTCCTTTTTTCTTGTTATTTTTAAAAATTTAAAGTCTATTTTTCTGATGTTAGTGGAGCCACTCCTGCCTTCTTTTAATTACTTTTCTATCATTTCACTTTTAATCTATTTCTCTCTTTAGATCTAAAGTGAGTTCCTTGTAGGAAAGTATATAGTTGTGAACCATGCTTCAAGGGGTTAAAAAAATTAATAAATTCTTGGGCTTACTGCATGGCAGATAAGAAGAGAAACAACTTACTAAAACTGTGCCCCGAAAGTAAGAAACTAGTAATTAATAGAAATTATTGAGTTTTCAGGATAGCAGACAAGAAAATAAACAACTTGATGAAATGCTGAAACTCTCTCCGCTGTAAGATAAAGAAAAAATTTGCTGAAGTCAGTTGGAACCAAGACGGCTGTATTAGTCCATTTTCATGCTGCTCATAAAAACGTACTTGAGATGGGGTAATTTATAAAGAAAAAGAGGTTTGATGGACTCACATTCTCAGTCTCACAGTTCCACATGGCTGGGGCGGCATCACAGTCACGGTGGAAGGTGAAAGGCACAAGCAAGCAAAAGTGGTTTCTCCATTATAAAACCATCAGATCTCATGAGACTTATTCACTACCACAAGAACAGTATGGGAGAACCACCCCCACAATTCAATTATCTCCCACCGGGTCCCTCCCGCAACATATGGGAATTATGGGAGCTACAATTCGAGATGAGATTTGGGTAGGGACACAGCAAAACCATATCAGTGGCCAACTAGAGTTTGCACATAATGAGCTTGCTGATGTCACCACAGCCTTAATTTCCGCTGCATGTTTTATACTAACTCCCCCTGAATTTGCATATGCAATGCATGAGGTAGTATGAAGAGATAACTGCACATACCAAAGGACTTTCCAGACCTCCTCTTTCCTTTCATCAATCACCTGCTAATTTCAGAATTAACACCCTAAACCTTTTCTAATGAGATTACTGCCTTAAAGCCAGCACAGGGAGGAAGACTTGAGCTCAACTCCTGTCTCCTTATGAGTCAACTTGGCAATAAAAAGCTTTTCTTTTCTCAAAAACCTGGTGTCATAGTATTGGCTTTTAGTGCATCAAGCAGCAAACCACTTTTGTTTCAGAAAAATTGAATCTTTTTTTGTTTTTTTCTTCCATTCCGTCAGTATCTATTTTTTTGATTGGAGAGTTTAATCATGTACATTTAAAGTAAGAATGGGCTTATTTCTGTTACTTTATTATTTCTATATGCCTTATAGTTTTTAAAAATCCTATTTTTCCTGCAGTACTTTTTTTTGGTGTTTAGCCTTTTTTTTTTTTCTACTGAAACATTTACATCCCTTTCCCATTTAACTTTTTCATGTATATTCTTTAGTTATATTTTTGTGGTTACCATGGGAATTACCTCTAATATTCTAAACTTTTAATATTTATACCAGCTGATTTAAATTTATACCAGCTTCAATAACACACAAATTCAATAACATACAAAAGCTCAGCTTCTTTAACAGATCCATCTCCACACCTTTCAGTTGCTGACATAAAATTACATTTTTATACATCGTGTTTCCAAAAAATAAACTAATGATTTTCTAATGCATCGACCTCTTAAACATTTTTCTAATATATTATTCTCTTGAATCATGTAGAAAACAAAAAGTGGAGTTACACATCATTGTTACAATAATACTAGCTTTTATAATTTCCTATGTATTTACTTTTACTGAGATTTTTACCTTTTTATATGGCTCTGAATTACTCTCAAGTGTCTTTTATTTCAGCACTTTAGCATTTCTTGCAGGGGCAGGTCTAGCGGTTACAAACTTCGTTGATTTTTATTGTCTGGAAATATATTTATTTTGCTCTCATTTTTGAAAGATAATTTTACCAGATATATGATTCTTGATTGACAATAGTTTAAAAAAATCTTTTAGCACTTTTAATATATCAACCCACCATTTTCTGACTTCCAAAGATTCTGATAAAAAGTCTTATAATCTTATTAAGTATAACTTTTAAGTGACTAGCCCCTTTTCTCTTGTTGATTTCAAAATTCTTCTTTGGCTTTGTCTTTCAATGGTTTGATTATAACATTCCTCAGCTGAGTCTCTGAGTTCATTTTTCTCGGAGTTTGTTGAGCATCTTGCATGTTTATGTTCATGTTCTTCACCAAAGTTGGGGTTTTTGGCCATTATTTGTTTGTGTATTCTCTCTGCCTCTTTCTGTCTTCTCCTCCTGGAACTCCCATAGTGCATATGTTTGTCTGCTTACTAGTGTCCCACAAACTGTTTAGGATTTTTTCACTTTCCTTCAGTCTATTTTCCTCTTTCTCAGATTGAATAATTTTTATGGCTCTATCTTTAAATTTGTTGATTCTTTCTTCTGCCTGCTCAAATATACCTTTGAATCCCTCTAGTGAATTTTTCATTTTAATTTTACTTTTTAGCCCCAGAATTTCTTTTTGATCTCTTTTTGTTTTCCATTCCTCTATTGACATTTTAATTTTGTTCATCTATTATTTTCTTGACTTTCTCCATTTCTTCTTTAGCTTGATGAATATCTTTAAGACGTTGTTTTACAGTCTTTGTCTATTAGATCTGCTATCATGCTGTTTTCAAGAAGGTTTCTGTCGCTTTATTTTTTTCCCCTTTGAATACACCATACTTTCCTGTCTCTTTTATGCCTTGTAATTTTTTTAGTGTTGAAAACTAAACATTTGAATCTAATGTTCTAAGTCTAGAAATGAGATTCTCCCCTTTACCCAGATTTTGTTGTTGTTGTATATGTTTTATTTTGTTTTTGCTTTTTTGATTGTTTTATGTTGTCTTGGTGCCAAGGATTAGCCTGAGGTGTAAAATTAAGGTTTTCTCAGATTTTTATTGAGCCTGCACCTCACCCTGAACATCTGTGGTGACTTTTTAATTTCCCTCATGTATGCTGTTGCTTTGGAATGTTATAGTTATCCTGATCTGGCCCCCAAAAGAGAAAAAAACAGAAAATCGACTACAGAATGAAAAGAGAAAGGATGCTGGTTCTTCCACTCTTCCGGAAGTCACTTTATGCAGAAAGGAGGAGCTTGCCACAAGTAAGGGAAGTGCAACAACAGTGGCCATGTTTCTTTGTCTGTGCCTGTGATCAGAAGCTGCTTTTAGTAATTAGAGCACAGATCTTGGCTATTTGGAGCAGAGTTCTTTTTGCCTACTTTGGCTCCTGCAAACTGTGTGTATGTTGCTCCAGGAACACATGCATAGCTGCCTGCCATGGGACTGAGGGAATAGGAGATAGGTAGCTAGCTACTACTGTGCTAAGAGGTGAAGGTGACCAGAAATAACCGTAATTCACCATCCAAGTCTTCTCCCTGGAAGTTGCAAGGCTTTAATAGACTCCAGTGTTTCAAAATGCTTAAAATCAGATAGAGTGTGACAATGCAATGATTGTCTAGGTAGGAAGACAGATCGATTTTGGATGCTTCCTGATCCACTATCTTCCTAGAATGTTAAGTATTTATTCCTTTTTGAGTAAATTGGGAGGATTTTATCTTCTAAGGGATTATTTTATTTTACTTCATTTATGTCACTGAACTTTTTTGGCACTGTTTTTAGTAGTCCCTAATAACCTTTTAATATCTGTGGATCTGTAGTGATGCCATCTTATTCTTGATACTGGTTAATTTGTGGTCTCTTTATTTCATCTTCGATTAGTTTAGATTTTTGTCAATTTTTACTGATGTTTTCATATAGCTTTTTGTATGTAATAATTTTCTCTACTTTTTAAAAATTTTGGTGATGTCCACTCTTATCTTTCATCTACTCTTATCTTGTTGCCTTCCTTCTGCTTATTTTGTGTTTTCTTTCTTCTTATTTTTTCTAGTTTCTTAATATAGAAGCTCAATTATATTCAATTTATCTTTTTATTTTATTTATTCAGTAATTGCTATACATTTCTCTTTAAGCCCTGCTTTAGCTTCATCTAAATAATTTTGATGTAATTTTTTCAATATTATTTAATTTATTTTAATTACTTTTTAAAGTTCTTGTTTTGACCTATCCTTTTAAAAAAGTTTCTAATTAAATGTTGTGTGATAGAAAAACATACCCTGAAAGATTTAATTATTTTAAAATGTATTAAAATTTGTATATGGCTTAGGATATGTTTTATTCAGCATTCTATGTGTAATTTAAAATAGTGTTGCTGTTGAAAGAATTCAGTTGTTGAATGCAGTATTCTACAAATATCAGTTAGACTAAAGTAGTTGATACTATCATTTGGCTCTTCTATATTAGTAATGATTTTTTTTTCTATTTGTTTTATATTTTACTAAGAAAGGCATGTTATAGTCCCTATCTATGACTGTGATTTTAATTATTTTCCTCTTTTCACCTGTCAGGTTTTGCTTCACACATTTTATGTTCAGTTACTAGAGACATTTATATTTACAGTTGTTGAATTTTACTGCACTATTGATCCAATGCTAGGTGGGGTAGATGCCCCTAAATTCTTGAGTCTGGACACCAGCTTGAGTCATTTGGGTATAACGTTCTACTTCTAATGCCCAGGCAGCAACCTTTACTGTGTTGTTCCAATTACAGGCAGATATCTGGATTAATCACACTGAGGAATTGGGAGGAGCTGTAGAACTGGATACAGTGGCAAGGGTGGCTGAGCTCTGCTTCTGGTATAAAAGTTAAACTTATATTCAAAATGGATGCTGAGGCAAAATAAAATTATAATAATTCACTGCATCACCATCCCCCAAAATTTCAATGATTATTTTTTAGCAGAATATATTCTCTTACATAATCCTTAATACAACCGTGAAAATCAGGAGACCAATGTTATTACATTATCATCTAAACCTTGGACTCTATTCAAGTTGCCTCAAATTTCCCAGTAATACATTTTTATATCAAAAGGATCTGTATTAGAAGCAGATACTGCATCCACTTGTCATTTTTCTTTATTCTCTTTCAGTATGAAACACTCTGTTTGTCTTTCTAACTTTTATGACATTGAAAATTTTTAAGATCATTGACCAGGTACTTTATAAAATATTCATTAATTTGGATTTGTCTGCAGTGCCCTTATGATTAGATTCACTTTGCACATCTGTTGCAGGACTATCACAGAAGCGATACTGTCTTCTCATTGTAGGTGGCACATGAATTCATTTTGTCATGTCCTTGAAAATTCTCATTTAACCCCTTTATGCAGATGTTTCTGCTAGAATTGTCATATACAAAGTGAAACATTATTTATTTTGAAATTAAATAAACAAATACAGATGAAGTAATAAAGTAGATCAGTGTAAAATGACATCCTATATTATTCAAGTGGTTACACTATTTTACTGTCAATCTCGATGCTCAAATTTTCCTAAGTTTGGCCTGTGGGATCCCCTCCAGCTGGTTTCTATGTATAAGTGACAAGTGCATAATGAAATAAATAATTGAATAAAGAAATGCATTCATACATTTATAAATAAATAAATAGAAAATTTTTATGAGCAATTAGGTATTTTCAAGATGTAAAATACAATCCTTGTTAACTGTATGAAATTATTATTTAAAAACAACAATAAAAATATAAAAATCCTTGCTTTTGTTGCAATTACTGCTGGCGATTTTGTCATAAAATTTTTGTCTGTGCCTATGTCCTGAATGGTATTGCCTAGATTTTCTTCTAGGATTTGAATAGTTTTGGGATTTATATTTAAGTCTTTAATGTGTGCTGAGTTAAATTTTGCATGAGGTGTAAGGCAGGGGTCCACTTTCAATTTTCTGCATATGACTAGCCAGTACTCCCAGCAACATTTATTAAATAGGGGACCCTTTCCCTATTGCTTGTTTTTGTCAGGTTTCTCAAAGACCAGATGGTTGTAGACATGTGTTCTTATTTCTGAGTTGTCTGTTCTGTTCCATTGTTCTAGGTGTCTGTTTTCATACCAGTACCATGCTGTTTTGGTTACTGTAGGCTTGTAGTATAGTTTGAAATCTGGTAGCATGATGTCTCTAGCTTTGTTCTTTCTCTTTAGGATTGTCTTGGCTATACAAGCTCTTTTTTAGTTCCAAATGAATTTTAAAATAGCTTCTTCTAATTCTGTGAAGAATGTCAATGGTAGTTTAATGGGAAGAGCACTGAATGTGTAAATTGCTTTGGGCAGTATGGCCATATTCACGATATTGATTCTTCCTATCCATGAGCATGGAATGTTTTTCCATATGTTTGTGTCCTCTCTGATTTCCTTGAGCAGTGGTTTGTAGTTCTCCTTGAAGAGGTTCTTCACTTCCCTTGTTAGCTGTATTCCTAGGTATTTTATTCCCTTCGTAGCAATTGTGAATGGGAGTTCATTCATGATTTGACTACTAAGAGCTTCTGCACACCAAAAGAGACTATCATCAGAGCAAACGGGCAACCTACAGAGTGGGAGAAAATTTTTGCGATTTGTCCATCTGACAAAGGTCTCATATTCAGAATCTACAAGGAACTTAAACAAATTTATAAGAAAAATAAAAACAACCCAATTAAAAAATAGGCAAATGACATGAACAGACTCTTCTCAAAAGAAGACATTCATTCAGCCAACAAACATGAAATAAAGCTCAACATCACTGACCATTAGAGAAATGGAAATCAAAACCACAATGAGATACCATCTCACACCAGTCAGAATAGCAATTATTAAAAAATCAAGAAACAACAGATGCTGGTGAGGTTGCAGAGAAATAGGAACATTTTTACACTGTTGGTGGGAATGTAAATTAGTTCAAGTATTGTGGAAGATGGTGTGGTGATTCCTCAAAGATCTAGAAGCAGAAATGCCATTTGACCTAGCAATCCCATTACTGGGTTTATACCCAAAGGAATAAAAATCATTCTATTACAAAGATACATGCACATATATGTTCATTGCTGCGCTATTCACAATAGCAAAGACATGGAATCAACCCAAATGCCCATCAATGATAGACCAGATAAAGAAAATGTGGTCCATACATACCATGTAATACTATGCACCATAAAAAGGAATGAGATCATGTTCTTTGCAGGAATGTGGATGGAGCTGGAAGCTGTCATCCTCAGCAAACTAACGCAGAAACAGAAAACCAAACACCCCACGTTCTCACCTATAAGTGGGAGCTGAATAATGAGAACACATGGGCACAGGAAGGGGAACAACACATGCTAGGGCCTGCCAGTGTCCTGGGGCGGGGTCGGGGGAGGGAGAGTTTTAGGAAAAATAGCTAATGCATGCTGGGCTTAATACCTAGGTGATGGGTTGATAAGTGCAGCAAATCACTATGGCACACGTTTACCTATATAACAAACCTGCACATCCTGCACATATACCCCGGAACATAAAATAAAAATAAACATTAAAAAAGTATATATATAAATCTTATTTCAGCTTCTGCAATATTGTTGTTATACCGTACCACTAGGATGTATACTGTCTTCTTCACTATACCTTTCAACTTTGGTACTTTGCCTTCCATCTGCAGCATAAGATAATTGGATTCAGGACAATATGAGGATAAATATATAATTATGAGAAATAAGTGGTTCATTAATAGAGAAAGCAATGCTATTCCCTATTCTTGCTTTTATTATTTTTTTCCTGAATTCAATATTTAGCTTATTTTAATTTTGTAAAATAAAAGCATTTAAAATATATAATATTTTCAATGTTGGCATATCTTCTTTTCATAATTTTATATGTTACTATATAACATTATTTCATAATTATACAAAATTGCAGATTTTATTTGCTATTGGATTCAAGAGTTTTTTATAAGGTTTTGTTTGTTTTTGTTTTTAAATTTGTTAGTTCCCTTTTCCTTTTTTCTCCTTTTGTAATTATTTTTCTGTTTTATTATAATTTTTTCAGAAAATTCAATCTTTACCACATAGTTTTATCTCATAAGTGTTACTTTTTAATAATGTGTGACTAAATTAATAATTTTAATTGAGATTTTGGGGAAGTTTTTTTCGTTTGTATGGTAAATTTTTTAATATTCAAGTAACAAAAACTTTTTTGAATTTTCCTATTTTCTACATTTCCTTATTAATTTTTTCCACTTGTTCTGTTGCCAGTGAGAAGCATATATAGATATTTTCTAATACGATTTTTATTATAGTCAATTTCTCCTTTTATGTAATAAAGTTAACACATATTTTGCCATGCTGTTTATAATGATACATTTTTATTACTGTTTTTTTCTATTGTATATTGCACCAAGAAGAAGAAAAATACGGCTATTTTTGAAGACTTATTTAACAATGAAAATTTATTTTGACAGCCAGGATTGTGAGACTAGAATGAGAAATTTAAAGGAATTGACAAATCTTTTGTTTTGGATTTTTTTTCCCACTCTAAAATAAGATAGGATGTTCTCACTCATAAGTGGGTCTTAAGCTATGAGGATGCAAAGGCATAAGAATGATACAATGGACTTTGGGGACTTGGGGAAAAGGGTGGGAAGGGGGTGAGGGATAAAAGACTACAAATTGGGCTCAATGTATATTGCTTAGTAAATGGGTGCACCAAAATCTCACAAATCACCACTGAAGAACTTACTCATGTAACCAAATACTACCTGTTCCCCAAAAACATACGGAAATAAAAAATTAAAAAATTGATAAATAAAATTAAAAAGTACTTAGCAGGGACTACTCTTATCATCTAGGTGACAAAATAATCTGTATACCAAACTTCTCCGAAACAATTTACCTATATAACAAACCTGCACGTGTACCCCTCAATTTATAATAGTTTTTTGTTTGTTTGTTTGTTTGAGACGGAGTCTCGCTCAGCCGCCCAGGCTGGAGTGCAGTGGGGCGATTTCGGCTCACTGCAACCACTGTCTCCTGGGTTCAAGCGATTCTGCCGTCTCAGCCTCCTGAGTAGCTGGGATTACAGGCACTCGCAATCATGCCCGGAGACGGGGTTTCACTATATTGGCCAGGCTGGTCTTGCACTCCTGACCTCAGGTGATCAGCCGGCCTCGGCCTCCCAAAGTGCTGGGATTACAGGCTTGAGCCATTGCACCTGGCCAATAGTTTTATTTCTACTAAAATGTCTAGTTCTATCAAATTTTTATTACTGAACAATGTTATAGGCTAATAAAATGCGACTTGCTTGCTTCAAAAAATGAGTGAATAAATAAGATAGGTACATGGTCATTTGAGTTGATTGTGGTGCAACCTGGGGAATGGAATAGGAGATAGAGTTGCATTGGTTAGAATTCTTTAACTTAGTTTTTAAAAGATTCTGCAATATAAGGCTGGAATGTTTAAGACTTTTAAAACAGGATCTCCACAAAATGTAAAACGATTAGTCTATGTCCCTATTTCTTATTTGTATAAATTCGCCAGTATAATCCAACTCTCTGTATTCCAAATTCCATGCTTTTTTTTCAATAACACTTTGCCCATGTTTAGATTAGATAAGAGAAAAAAATATTTCTTAATAACTAGTTTTTTGCCCTCCAATCCTGAGAATTTATGAAATTGATGAGGAAACTTTCTGATTAACATTTTTTTAAAGTCTCATCTTAATTATGGAAGAGAAGAAAATCTTTCTAATATATATTTTTCATGTAAATTGTCTAGGGTGCCTTCTGGAATCTCCTGTTAACAGAAATTTACATCTTGATTGTAACAAACCCTGGAGACTAACCAGAAACTTACATAGAACTCCTTTATTGTTGTCATTAATCATCTTTGTCCTGGGAGAATATTTATACAAATATGTTAAATTAAAGATGAAGTCATTCTTAGAGTAGCATGTTTGGAACCAGCTCTATTTTGATGGTTTCCACATAGTGTGAGTCCCTCTGGGTGTGTAAACGGATACTTTATTTTCACAGTTTAGTGTGTCAGTTAGGGGGAGACCTAAGAGAGATTTGTGCCTTTGAGAAGGTTAATGTGAAGATGAGACCCGCTGGTCTCAAGTATAATTGGGTATAGGGAAGCTAATTTCTCAAGTATACAAATTAATCTGGCTTTGCCGTAATTAGCTATAGGTTGCTCCAGAGTAATCAGATGATTCCCACTGGTGGAATGAAACTTTTGTATCCTGCTGTGAATTACCTAAAATAAAGCCCGCATAAAATAACTCATAATTTTAATCAGTCTCATTGGGCCCTATTAAAAAGTGAATATAGTAAGGAACAAAATTAAAAATAACCTTAAGAAATTCCTTAGATAAATGATTACAGTGCAGCTCAAGCTTGAGACAGCTTTAAGTGATACATTAAATGTTAAAAAATATAGGGTAAGATACTAGCATTTCCTTTATATTTTCATACTTGACACACACACACACACACACGCACACACACACCATAAGATTCTGTTGGGTGGATGTCAACATTATTAGGTTAATTCCCAAAGAGTCCGTATGTTAAAAGTAACTAATATATCTGCAAACACAATTTTCTTATTCCTTCTATGGAGAATTACATCTGCCCTTAACCACAAGTCTCTCTCTCTCCTTTTTTCTAAATCTTTTTGAAGGTGTAATGTATAGCTTCTAGTTTACCACATTTTACATTCTTGAATAGCTAGAAGTTAGTTTTAAATTGATTTACATTTATTATTCCTTCAGTGAAAGTGCTGTTCTTTAATTATTTGTTAGGTTTAATAGACATAACATAGAATAAATGGGGAAAAATATCTTCCTAAAACTGTTCCCCTTCTCTGTGGACAAATTTGTGTTATAGGTTCTCTTACTTCTAGAAAAATTAATTGTAAAATGTAAATGATAATTTACCCAATTCCTTGGCATTTTAAATATTTTTTTAACTCAGTTTGAATTGCAGAATGCAATTTAAACAATTTCTGTTAGGATACTACCAAGATTTTTTTGAAGAATTCAAAGAAGATATTAGGCAAATAAACATGTTACAATCTTCACTTTGCCTGTGTAAAATACTCTTATTTTTATTTCCTTCAGCTCACATCAGATGTATAGATACTGTATGCATTTATTGCCTCATGGCTGTTGTTTAGTTGATCAGATTGAATAGTTCTGGTTTGAATTATATTCGACACTATGTGGTATAATGCATTATTATTTAACCAGAGCAGCCACACAACAGAATAATGAAATAATGTTACCG
The DNA here is from genome assembly GCF_000001405.40 of Homo sapiens. Classification (NCBI taxonomy): domain Eukaryota; kingdom Metazoa; phylum Chordata; class Mammalia; order Primates; family Hominidae; genus Homo; species Homo sapiens. The sequence goes on from NC_000012.12 coordinate 55,186,790, forward strand.
TTAATGCCCATTGAACTTTATATGAGATAAATATCAAATTACATCACAAGCAACTTATCATAGTAATTGAGTATACACAGGATTTGAGGAATAGCTGCCAAAAAATAACCCTGTCCAAGTTTTCCCAAAGGCATCTATTATACTCAGCATCTTCTAAAAAAGTTTTCCTCTTGTCATGCTAGGGATAACTCCAGGAAAATAATTATGGGAAGGAATTCCCTGACTATAATGAATAAAATTGGTAAATATGAAAAAAAGATTAAAATGATGAGAATGCTGAACCTGCAACCTACCAAAAACAGTGCAATATTGTCTTTCTACTTATCTATTCAGAATAATTAGAAGGAAAACAAGGCAGTTGCTAACTGTTGATAAAAAATAAAATATTTTATACTTCCTAATTGAGGCTAATTTTAGACACCCAATAATTAAGTCATGATTCAAATTATTTCTTTTACATTTCCCAGAATCTCGTATCTCACAGAGGTGGGGGTAGTTTTATTAAGTGAGAAATCATGTTTTAAATTTTAAAGCTATCTCTTAAAGTGGGTAGATACTCTTGGTGTCGTTTTTAGTTAAATAAAATAATTTTAGTCTTGATAATAAGTATCAGATGATTATGGGACAGAAATTAATTATTCTTAAAGAAGTGTTTAATTATAATTGTCTGAATTATAGAATTCATGCATATAAATAATCCCCCAAAAGACTGGAAACCATATTCTACCTAAAGATAGGAAATGACAACCAGGTGAAAATAAAAAACCCTGCGATTTAAATTTTAGGTGCTCTCTTAAGTACCTTAAGTGTTTAATACCTTCAAATGCAAAAGATTCTGTGTTATGTCATAGATGCGTCTTAAATAATCTAACAAATAATTCAAAATGAATACTATCTGTATGCATTCTAAATCAGTAACCAATTAGAATTCACTTAAATAGCTTCATCAGTGCAGAGTCTTATATTTTTGAAGGCAGTTTATTTCATTTTCAAAAAACTCTGCTTCTTAGAAAATTTTCCTCACATTGAGCAGCGAGGTACTTTCATGTTGCTTCCTCCCATTGTTTTTTGTTATACTCTATGTATCCTTGAGAATAAATCAAACCTCTTGATACATCTGTTAACCGTGTAATGGCAATGACTTCAGTCTTCTTGTATAACATTCAACTTTCATAATGACTTCAGTTACATCTTATCTGTCATGGCTGAATATGACAATACTGGCCACCCTTATGAATGTACTCTACCATATTATCTGGGCCTTTCAAATGAAGCAATACCTAGAATTTAACACAATATTCATTCATTCATTTATTTTACAAGTACTTATTTAGTATGGTTTAGGTCCTTCTTTAAGGATGGGGATATAACCAATAGGCCTTTTGGACTGAACACTGTGGAAATCACTGATGGACATGAGAAAAGCTGATTCTCCTCTCAAGCAGTTTGTGTTATTGGGGAGAGAGATGCCAAAGAGTTATAAATTCTATGGACAAAAATAGAGTTAGACGACAGAAAATGAGTCATATTTGACATGTTCTTCATCTGGTATACACACACAACTGAGCAAAGGAAGGAATAATTCTATTTCTTTGTATAAATTTTAAATTGCTTAAACAAATGTAATACTGTTAATAAAATTGCATTTGTCACATTATACTGAAAGCTAAAATGTCACAAAGTGTCAGGTTTTTTTTAAAGTTTAAAAATGTTCAGACATGAGATCATATGGATACATGGTGGGGAACACCACACACTGGGGTCTGTTGGGAGGGCATGAGGAGGGATAGCATCAGGAAGAATAGCTAATGGATGCTAGGCTTAATACCTAGGTGATGGGTTGATCTGTGAAGCAAACCACCATGGCACACGTTTACCTGTTTTTAATCAGTAACTAAAAATTCTGCCAAACAAATGGGTGACTTGTTTATCTTGTAATATATGAATACTATTTGTTGAATTAATTTGTATTATTTTTGAATTATTCTTAAAAGATGTATGTATTAATATATGACGTTTGATTAAATAATAAAATTAATAAAATTTATTTTCATTCATGAAATTTGTAGGGGAAATCACAGAACAATGTAGTCATATGAAGATATGTCAAACTAGAAGTATAATCTATAGTAAAATTAATCTTTTCTAGAATAATAGAAAGATGGAGAAAAAAACTGTCTCTAGAACTTTAGTTAAAACGTCTTTTGAATTATTATATAGCCATTTTTAGTTACTTATTAAAAACTAACAAACCTGCATATCCTGCACATGTACCCTGGGACTTAAAATAAAAGTTGATACCAAAAAAATAAGTTCAGACATGACATATATTCACATACAATCACTATACGTTCTCTCCACCAGATGGCACTGTTAGGTAGCTTTTCATGGGCATGTCACTATCCTACACTTATGGGGATATAAGCTGCCTCTGAATTTCTTTGAATAGTAGGGTGTATCATTATATAGCAATTTCCTTCTTATAAGGCATTTATTTGGCAATTAGTAACTTAAATTGATTGTATTTTAAAAATTGAAAACGTATAATTTGGTGAAAAATGTGTGAGTGTACAAAATTCTATTTTGGGTAATCATTATTGTTACTAGATTAATCAATATTGCCAGATCAATCAATAAATAATAACAGATATTTGACACCTACTTTTAGGCGATGAAAACTGTATGCAGAAACTGAGAAGACATTATTTTTTGAATCTTTTTAAAGCAGTATTTTAAATTTTCAAAAATTAAAACATAATCACACTGCATGTATTACCACCCTAAAAATGGTATGGACGCTAATCATATGTTTTGGTTTGTGTATTTGGAAAATTTTTCTTCAGTTCAGGGAATCATATCACAAAGAGAACTTTTGCATTATATGATTTTTCCAGCCCTTTCCTTCTGTGGAAAATAGAAAAACCTCATAAAATAAAGTTAAAATCAGTAGGAATTCTGCCAAACAAATGAATGACTTGTTTATCTTGTAATATATGAATACTATTTGTTGAACTAATTTGCATTATTTTTGAATTATTCTTAAAGGGTGTATCTATTGATATATTAGATATGTTTGATTAAATAATAAAATTAATAAAATTTATTTTATTCATGAAATTTGTAGGGGAAATTACAGAACAATATAATCATATGAAGATTTATCAAACTAGAAGAATAATCTATAGTAATAATTAATCTTTTCTAGAATAATAGATGGAGTAAAAAAACCAATTCTCTAGAACTTTAGTTAAAATGGCTTTTGAATTATTATATAGCCATTTTTTAGTTACTGATTAAAAAATCCTTAACTCAGAGTGATGTAAGCAAATGATAAAACAGTAGGAGGAAGTTATTATCTCATGTCACAGAAAATTCCAGTGCATAACTAAAGCTGGGTTCACAGGCTTCTATGACATCATGACTCAAAACTTACACAGTTCTAGGTAGTATTTTCTTCCTATTGATACTACTGCAGAGTTACTCTCTTTGGTTGTGCTACAGCCTCAGAAGATCCACAGTTATATCCTCTCAGGTTCAAATCTAATGGAAAAGATAGCACTTCTATTTTCTTAAGTGAAAATTCAACTTCGTTTAAGTGGACCTGAGTCATGTATCAGACTTTGAGCCAATCTCTTCCGTGAGACCTTGGTCACATGCCTACCCCCATGTTCTCTGCTGCTAACATGTAGTTGGAGAATTGGCAAGGTGTGTTTCTTTAGTGAGAAACAAGGTGAAGGGAGAATGACTGCTAAGGAGTCGAAGATTCAAAAAGTGCCTCTCACATTAGGAGTAATAAGAATGTAGAAACAAAAGCAGAGTAAACATAAATAGAATACATTTCTTCCTTCTCCTTCTCCTTTTCCTTCTTCTTTTTGAGACAGAGTCTCACTCTGTTACCCAGGCTAAAGTGCAGTAGCGTGACCATAGCGCACTGCAACCTGGAACCTCCTGGGCTCAAGTCAAGCAATCCTCCAACCTCAGGCTCCCAAAGTGCTGGAATTATAAGCATGAGCCACTATGACTGGGTGAATAAATGTCTTTATTATAAATCAGGTTAGATGGGTGTCAAGCAAATGTACTGATTTAGTATTTTATATATTTCTAATTTTCTATCAAATTTCTGAAACTCAAAATGCATATCGATTAGTTGATTTTAGGATTGGGGTGGGGTTAGGTACAATAATACCATGTGACTGAATTAATATTCCATGTCTGTGTTTTTTAAAATACATTTATTTTAAGTTCAGGGGTACATGTGCAGGTTTGTTACATAGGTAAACGTGTGTCATGGGGGGTTTGTTGTACAGATTTCTTATTGCTCAGGTATTAAGCCTAGTATCCATTAGTTATTTTGTCTGATCCTCTCCCTCCTCCTACCCTCTACCCTCAGATAGATCCTAGTGTATATTTTTCCCCTCTATGTGTCCATTTGTTCTCATTATTTAGATCCCACTTACAAGTGAGAAGATGTGGTTTTTGGTTTTCTGTTTCTGCATTAGTTTGCTAAGGATAATGGCATCCAGCTCCATCCATGTCACTGCAAAGGACATGATGTTGTTCTTTTTTATGGTTGCATAGTATTCCAAGGCATATATGTACTGTATTTTCTTCATCCAGTCTATCACTGATGGGTATTTAGGTCGATTCCATGTCTTTGCTATTGTGAATAGTGCTGCAATGAACACACACATGCATGTGTCTTTATAATAGAATGATTTATATTCCTTTGGGTATATGCCCAGTAATGGAATTGCAGGATTGAGTGGTATTTCTGTCTTTAGGTCTTTGAGGAATCACCACAATGTCTTCCACAATGGTTGAACTAATTTACACTCTCACCAACACTGAGAGTGTAAAAGCATTCCTTTTTCTCCACAACCTCCCCAGCAACTGTTATTTTTTTAACTCTTTAATAATCGCCATTCTGAGTGGTATGAGATGGTATTTCATTGTGGTTTTGATTTGCATTTCTCTAGTGATCAGTGGTGTTTAGCTTTTCTTCTATGATTATGGGCTACATGTATGTCTTCTTTTGAGAAGTGTCTGTTCATGTCCTTTGCCCACTTTTTAATAGGGTTGTTCGTTTTTTTTTCTTATAAATTTGTTTAAGTTCTCACAGATTCTGGATATTAGACCTTTTTCAGATGCATATTTTGAAAAGTTTTCTCCAATTCTGTAGGTTGTCTGTTTACTCTGTTGAGTTTCTTTTACTGTGCAGAAGCTCTTTAGTTTATTTAGATCCCATTTGTCAATTTTTTCTTTTGTTGCAATTGCTTTTGTCATCTTTGTCATGAAATGTTTGCCCGTGCTTAAGTCCTGAATGGTATTGCCTAGGTTGTCTTCCAAGGTTTTTATAGTTTTGGGTTTTACATTTAAGTCTTTAATCCATCTTGAGTTAATTTTTATATATGGCTTAAGGAAGGGGTCCAGTTTCAATCTTCTGCATAGGGCTAGCCAGTTATCCCTGCACCATTTATTGAACAGGGAATCTTTTCCCCATTGCTTCTTTTTGTTCATTTTGTGAAAGATCAGATGATTGTAGGTGTAATATTGCTCTTTTAATTCCCCCTTTTAATGCTTTGTCTCTGTCAATTTTATAACCTTCAGATATCTATTAGTTATTAAAATTGAGAGAATTTAAAAATTTTCAATCTCATTTAATTCAAAACTCAGGCAATGCCAAATGTTTTTAGACCTTATATTCTCCTGTGAATTGATATGTCATGAATGAGGGAGAGAAAAGGGCACATTTCTTTACTGAGTGAGTCCCAGACAGTGATAATATGTAGTTAACAATGCAGTTCTGTCAATATGATTGCATGTTATTCCACAAAAGCTATTAGGTTTCCCAATGATAATATGCATCATTTTCTTGCAGCACTGTTAAGTCTACCTTACTTCAGTGTTGAGAACCTCTTCAGAAAGGGGCCAGCTATATTGCCGTTGCTCCCCTTGTAGTCTATACCCAAAACCTCTTCTCCTATTTCCTTCACAAGATTAAATTTTAGTGGTTATTTATGGAACCTGACATAATAATGGACACACTGTTTTTCTTAACTCATGTGTATCGTTTTCCCACTTCCAAGCTTCTTTCAAATAAATTAATTGCACTTGTATTAGAGTTTGACTCTAGAGTATCAACACTAAGATAAAATCAAAAAACTTTCAGGTTGACAAAATGTCTCTGAACATTTACATTTTTGTCAACTTCTCTAAAGTTGCCATAAGAAACCAACAGTTTTTTAAAGTTCTTTGTTTTAGTGTCTTATAGAAGACTTGCTTTTTATTATTCAAAGAGACAAAAACAATATATATTAGCTAGAATATATACACCGTGACAAAAGAAAATTATATTTAAATCAATACATTTAAACAGGGTTTACAATAGGTGTAATAAGATTGTATGTCTCAAAGGCAGACATTTCCCTAAGTCTTTACTCACATGAAAAACAAATAAACAAACCAACAAAAAACAGGTGGATAAGAGCAAAGGAAAACTCATGTTTCAGATAAAGAATTCAGGTCTCTCACTGGATTTACAAACTAAATATTTAAAGTTCTTTCATGGTGTACACCACTCATTAGTATTTATTAACAGTTGGTTATTTAATATGTATGACCTTAAGATGTACAGAGAGCACACTAATTAAAGGAGCATACTCCAATTAAGAACTTAAATTCTAATAGACTATATTTGATACTAAAATAGTATTACTTCCTGTTTATTTCATTTTTTGTTTTATACTCATAAAGGATATTTCATTTTCCTCAGGAAAATGGCATGAAACATACTGGACTTAATGCTATTACCACTGGAGAAGGAGAAAATGGTAGCTTGACACATGAGATGCCCTGTAAATACTGTTGAATGAATGAATGATTAACAATTGAATGAATCTACTGTGTAGTTTCCTTTTACTTACAGACATTGAAAAATGTGTGACAAATCCAAATGTTTTTTGGTAGCTAGGCTATAAATGCTTTAATAAAAGAATATGTTGGTAGAAGAATCATAAAATCGGGTAACCTCTCTGTACAGTAGCATAGGTTTCAGCTACTATGACTGGTTTAGGCCGTTTGTCTAAGAGAGTTCCTTTGGGTTATCCTTTGAAAGGCTTCCTTTACTTCCTTGTTCCTCAAGGTATAGATAACAGGATTCAAAGCAGGTGTGACCATTGTGTACATGAGTGCAGTTGCTTTGTCTGTTTCTGGAGTGTGTGCAGTCTTAGGTTGCAGATAAGTGAACAAGGCAGTGCCATAGAACAGAGAAACAACCAAGATATGAGAAGAACAAGTGGAGAAAGCTTTGTGTCTTCCAGCTGCTGAAGGGATTCTCAAGATGGTCACAGGGATGTGCATGTGGGAGCACAGAATGAGGAAACAAGGACTCACAATAAATAGCACGGAGAGAGAAAACATCACAATTTCAATTTGGGAGGTATCAATACAAGCCAGTTTCAGTACAGGCATTATGTCACAAAAAAGTGTTGAATCTTTCCTGTTCCACAGAAAGGCAAAGTGAAGATCAGGGTGATCTGGGCTGACTCCACCACCACTCCAGTGAACCAAGATGCTGCAGCCAATTTCAAACAAACACGAGGGCCCATGAAGAGAGTGTAATGCAGTGGGTAACAAATAGCTACAAAGCGATCGTAAGCCATAGCTGCTAGCAAGCAGCATTCTGTCAGTCCCAAGATGGCAAATATGTACATCTGGGTTGCACAGCCACCCACACTTATGGTTTTGGTCTCCACCAGCAGGTGCACCAGCATGAGGCACCACACTGGTGGTATAGCACATCTCCAGAAATGAGAGGTTCACCAGGAAGAAATACATTGGAGTGTGCAGGGCAGGGGTGATCCAGATCAGGGAGATGATGATGATATTTCCTCCTATAGTGCATAAGTGATGATTAAGAACACAATGAAGAGTACAAGCTGTAATTCTTCTATAGAAGAAAAAGCCACAAATGTGAATTTGGCACACAGGGACTGATTTCCATCTATGGTGGGCTCAGAGCTAAACATCTGTGCAGACAACAAAGAAGGCAGGTTAATGGGAATGCAGTCACCTAACACATCTCTCTACTGAACCACAGCAAAGGAGCTTTCCTAGAATCAGTAGTCTGAGATGAGAATCTAGACACCTGGATTTCTTCTGTTAAATCTTTCTAAACTACACAATTACATCGAATACATATTTCTTCCTGATTTTAAGTTATGGATTATATGCAATTTTCACAAACATTTGGAAAAAACAATGGTTTTTAAGTTGCATATTCTGAATCTTTTGTTTTTGTCTTATCACTAATTATATACAGAAGCTATTATGCAAGCAATATATGAAGACTTATAATTTTAAAGGAGTCACATAAAAATTAATAGATTCAGATGTAAAGGTGTTATACTCTGGTCTTCCAAATTCTATAACCTTCCTTAAAGCTACACTTAAGGGCTTAAAAGGGAATATATTTCCAGCTGTTTATCTATGTATTTATGTACATATTTTACTTGATCTGAACAGAATAAGCAAATAATTACAAAGCTAAGATCCAAGAAAGCCAAAATCGACAGAATCTCCTTTCTACAACCTCAGTGTAAATTTGCAAGAAATTACAAATAGGAGAACATACCTAGAACCACAAGGTAAGCTTTCTTTTCCTTTTTGGGCTCCTAGACTTCCTATGGCTCTAAATTATAGCACAGTGATAGAATAGGCAGTATTTTTATTTCTACTAGAGACCATAGGGAATACATCCACTGTGCAGCTTAATTATATTTGTCTCAAGAGGAGTATATTAAAAACAATGAGTGTTTAATGTGCAAGTTGGTTTTCAGTTGTTAAAGACATTTCCAGAGATACCTATTGCTGTCAGTTATATCACCTGTTCCAATGCATAAAACTAAAAGTTGCTAATTGGAACCCATCATACAACTGAAATTATTATTAAACTCTATGGATGTTTGCCATAGTAATCCTTTTTAAGCTCCTCAAATGGACAGTGACTAATTAGGCCTTTGTAATATTGGTAGGCACAGTGCATGGAACATAGTAGCCTCCATAAACCCCCAAAATAGCATTCACTTTATTCATTATTTATTATTCAATTGCTAGCAGCATTAAAAAAATAGGCACGGGAAGAAAACCCCAAATTTCCAATGGAATTAATTAAAGTAATTGGTCAAAAACATTAAAAAATGTATTTTTCTTCTACTGTCTTCAAGAAATGAAAATATTTTTCATTCTGAATGATCCCCATTGCTCCATTCCGGACACATTTTCTTTTCACTGTCAGGTCAATATGGTAAATTCATTGGGACATAGAGTAAGGCAAGTAAAAGAGGTTACAAGATCGATCAGTTTTGAAACTAATGCGTTAGATGGGACTGCTATTCTCGCCTCCCACGATTCCCATGCCAAACCAAAAGGCAGGAGTTTTAGACATTGTCTCTCCCTCCTAAAAAAATATGTATGCTTTTTTTGTGCCACTCATGCTGCCTCAGAGATGAAAGCCATGTGTTTTGGGGAGTGCTCTTCCATCAGTGTGGAGGTACTGCCAGAATGAATATACCACATTGAGAATGTTTAGGTTGGTGCAAAATTAATTGCGGGTTTTTGCCATTACTTTGCACCAACCTAATATTTAAGAAAACGCATTCTATTTGATGGTATAGCATCCCTGAAATACTGCAGCAGAAGGTCACATCATGCATAATCAGTGATATTTTGCCAAATCTCCCCACCAGGGTCTGGGAGTAAGAGTAAGTACATAGCTGTATTTCTTTGATATGTTTTTGCCACAAAATACTTACAAAACAAAAACAGCTGCTAATTTCTCCACATTAATTCCCACCTGGACTCTGTGTTGTGTTTATTTCTCAATCTGATTCTGAAATTAGAGGAATTTTTTTTAAATATGGATACATGATTGGATGTGGGGTATTTAAGTGAGAATAGTAAAAAGTCCTCTCCTGCTGCCTCAGATCTGCTTTTATCCTGAGTAAGTGGGTAAGAGGAAACAATGTTTGGTGAGATAATGGCCAGATTAGTATATGCACTACTGATAATAACAACAACATATAGACTCCAGATTCCATCATGCTATCTATCGCACATCCTCCTAGAGTCCAGGAGTTTTTCAATGGTCCTGGAAAAAGTACTTGAGATGAAAGGGTGCATCTTATCTATGTGGTATTTTTGAAGGCAAGAAAAGAGAGTATTTAGGAAGGGAGTGATCAACTGCACCAAATATTTCTGAGATGGTGTGAAAAAATAGCTTTTAATTATCTGTTGACTTTTAGCTCCACACAGGCTATTGATGACTTCAGAAAAAAATAATTTGGAAAGAGAAGTAAGAACATGAACCAGAGTGAAGTTGTTTTTGAGGAAATAGAATTTTAAAAATGAAAAAAACCAGTAGGAGCAATACATTCTAGAAATTTGGCCATGAAGGGCAGGAGGAAGACAGGGTAATAACTGGAGAAAATGAAAGGACAGGACACAATGACTTATTGTGATTCACTACGTTTTTAAGATGGGAGAACCATGAGCTTTTTTATTTTTATTTATTTTTATTTATTTTTTTGAGATGGAGTCTCGCTCTGACCCCCAGGCTGGAGTGCAATGGCGCAATCTTGACTCACTGTAAACTCCGCCTCCAGGGTTCAAGTGATTCTCTTGCCTCAGCCTCCCAAGTACCTGGGATTACAGGCACCCACCACCGCGCCCGGCTAATTTTTGTATTTTTAATAGAGACGGGGTTTTGCCATCTTGGCCAGGCTGGTTTTGAACTCCTGACCTCAGGTGATCCGCCCACCTTGGCCTCTCAAAGTGCTGGGATTATAGGCGTGAGCCACCACACCTGGCCTTAATAGCTGGTGTGAAGGAGCCATCTAACACACAGCTTTTCTTTCCCGCATTTTGAAAATAAAACAGTACAACTTTAATTTCAGTTTTTGATTTTTGAATTAAAAGTGTAATTTAAAACTATGAGTATCTCATGGTAGAACAATTACAAATAAACATGTTTATAATATTAAGTCCTTGGGCTTACACTGTTTGATATGAGATGAGGATTCATTGTAATGTCATTCCAAAACATGTTTTATGAGAGTTAATTTATCCATCACTTGTAACAGTATGAAGATCATCTTTGTCAATAGAAATAATATGATCAACATAGCAGCTAATAGTTTTAGTGTTTACCATTTGTTAGATACATGTTTCACTATATAGATATATGTATATGTATCTCCTCATTTAATTTTTATAACAATTTTCTGAAAGAGTTATTGTTATCTCCATTATAAAGACCAGGAAACTTAAATATAGTCATTATGTAATTTCCCGAAGTATTATAGGTACAAAAGAGTAGAGTTGGGTTCTGAAGTCAGTTAATACCAGCATATATATTCTTCCTTTTATTTTATTGTCCTATGCTCTTTCTTCTAGATTAATTTAACTATAATGAATGATAAAAATTGTGTTAAGAAACACTGTGAGAATACCTAAATCTCTGTGATCAGATTACTAATAGAGATATATATGTTAAAGGCACTTCTGGTAAGGGTTTAGAAGGAAATAAATGGTGTGTTATTGGAATGTGAAGGAAAAAGCATCCTTGCTCTATAGTGGCAGAAAGTTTAGCAGAATTGTATCCTGCAGTTGTGTGGAAAGGAATCCTTAAAAATGATGGACTTGTATATTTAACTGAGGAAGTTTCCAAGTTTTGAAATCTCTTGCTATTTATACTAAATGTGAGAGGAGAAAGGATAAGTTGAGGTAAGAAATATCAAATGAAAAGGAATCAGGAGTTGATTTCAAAAAATGTAATGTTATCAAATTAGAGTCAATGTAATTTAGCAGTTAAGGGGAATGGGCTTTGGGGTCAGAATGCTTAAATATTTACCCTCATTCTCAACTTATAACTATGATTTAGGGCAATAAAAATCTTTTTTTGTGTGTTCATGTATTGATTTATAATGTGGCAATATAAATATTTTATGCTTAATTAAACTTTTGTAAAAATTAAAGGCATAGTGATATCAGGAACATGGAATAGGAAGCTCCTAACTCCCCCTCCACCCATGGATTCACCAAGTAAACATCTGTTCACACATCAGTTCCCTTTGAGTGAAAGTCTGAGACCAGTTGAGAGACTCCTATCCACTGGGAAACTGAGAAAACATTTACATTGAAGAGGTAGGAAAAACCAAGGCATACATGGACACAGACCCAGCTATAAGCACTGCACCATAAAATTGGGAATGAAACACCCAACATTCAGCTTCTCCCTGTGGAGAAGAGGGTCTGGACCCCAGTAGAGGGTCTTAATCCTAAGTTTCCCCTTGGTTTAACTTTTGAGTCATCAACTATGGGAATGGAGGATATCAGACACAAATGTGTCTCTCTAGACAGTAAAGAATAAAGTGGCAGTTTTATATGGGTGCACAGGCACTTTTAGATACTGCATCTACCTGGGAGCATTGCAGGAAATAAACTTAAAAAACAGTCCTTTGTTTCTCCCTGGAAACATCTCGAAAGGCTGCGTAGCCGTTGGATTTCTGCCTAACTTGCATTGGAGAATTAAAAAGATAGTCAATTCTTAGCCCATTTTCCAACCCTGGAGAAATTTGCACTAACACTTGATATAGTTTGGCTTTGTGTCCCCACCCAAATCTCATGTTGAATTGTAATCCTGAATGTTGGAGGAGGGACCTGGTGGGAGGTGACTGGATCATGGGAGCAGATTTTCCCCTTGGTGTTCTCATGATAGTGAGTGAGTTCTCATGAGATCTGGTTGTTTAAAAGTCTGCAGCACCTCCCACTTCTTGCTTCCTCCCTCTTCAGCCATGTAAGACATGTCTGCTTCCCCTTTGCTTTCTACCATGATTGTAAGTTTCCTGAGGCCTCCTCAGCCATGCTTTCTATACAGTTTGTGAAACTGTGAGTGAATTAAACCTCTTTTCTTTATAAATTACCCAGTCAGGTAGTTCTTGATAGCAATGCAAGAATAGACTAATACATACTGAAACGTCAAACTATCACTTCACTTAGGGACTGCATCCTAAATCTCCTGGATCTGAGAGCAGAAAGGACTGGCATGTACATATCTCTCTACACTGCAGAAAAAAGTGGTATTTCAGATACATACCAGTTTTAGATTATCTGTATTGCTCCAGATAAAATCCCTTGAGGCTTATGCAAGCAACTTCAGGGATTTTATCTCCCTGGAGCAATAAGGAGAATCTAAATCTCCTGGCTCTGGGAACAGAAAGGACTGGCATACATACGTCTGTCTACACTGCAGAAAAAAAGTGGCATTTCAGACAGGCATGCAAGCACCTCCAGGGAGTTTATCTCACTGGAGCAATACAGAAAAGGGGCTTAAAAAGATGCTCTCTCTGTGTTTTCCCAGAAGAAATAGAGGTCACACATAGAGAACAAAAAGTTCTAACTCTACTTCCCAAGAACTCCACCCTAAACCTAGTAGTTCTGGAAGCAGAAGAGATTAGGCATATGCAAGTCTCCCTTGATCACAGAACTGAGAGGTGATACTAAATGGGTATCCAAACACTTCCAGATGCACCATTCCCTTGGTACAGTGCAGAAAGGGGGCAGGAATGTGCACTCTCACATTCTTTCAATAAGGAGCATATAACACACACTCCCAGTGGCTACCTGATGGCCTGGTTTCTAATGAACTTATATTGAGAAGCTAACAGGACAAAGAAACAACAAGCTTTTGGTTGCCAAAGCAAGAGCGAGGTACTTTCTGAGACCTCTTCTCAGCTTACTCCAGAGATAAATCCAGGCCTATTCATTCTTTCTGGAAGAAATTTAGCTATGTATCAAATGCCACAACTTCCATAGCTCCCACCTAAGGAACTGTCTCCTTAGAGACCTAGCTTTGAAATCAAGGGGGCTTTGTGAATCTGAGTGACCCAAGACCACAGAAAACAAACATGTAGACATATAGTAGGACCATTTCCAGAAGCTCTCTGTCTAGGATAAGAAAATGTAGCCTGCATGTGAGAACAGGCATTTGCTGCAGATCCCCTTCCTAGTTTAGTGCAGAGAGACTACAAGATAAATGCCCACCATCATCTTCACCATGAAAATAGAAAGAACTAGAACACATATCAAAAACCTCAACCTTTTCAGCTTCATCCTAAGAGCTTAGCTCTTATACTGATAACAGAGTACTGACAAAATGTGACATGCCCTAAGCTCCAGAGGGCCACCAAAAACCAAGATAGCAATCTGGACAAACACACAGATTTTGGAGGCATCTTAAAATCTTTGGCCAGTTGAATTGGCAAAACCTTCTCATACACAAGACCAGTCTAACAAGATGAAGAGAGGTAATCTTATCTAATTTGCAGAAACCAAAAGAGGGAATCAAGGAAAATAAAGAAAGAGGGGATTATATTCCAGACAAAAGTACAAGTAACCATCCAGAAACAGAAACAAATACAAAGAACTAGAAAAGCAATAGCAAACCAAACTAAAAATAAGGCAAAGAAAAGGAATAATAAAGATCAGATCATAAATAAATAAAATTGAAACAAAATAATACTAAATATCAACAAAACAAAACTTTTTTTTGAAAAGTTAAACAAATTTGACAAACCTTTAACCAGACTAAGAAAAAAAGAGAGAAGACACAAATAAATAAAAACAGAGATAAAAAAGTAGCTATTACAACTGATAGCACAAAAATTCAAGGGCTCATCAGTGGCTACTCTGAGGAACTATATGCCAATATGTTGGAAAATCTAGTAGAAACAGATAAAGCACTAGATACATACAACCTACCAACATTGAGCCATGAAGAAATCCGGAACCTAAACAGATCAATAACAAGTAACAGGATTGAAGCTGTAACAAAAAGTCTCCCAGCAAAGAAAAGCCTGGTGCCTGATGACTTCATTGCTGAATTCTACCAAACATTTAAAGAAGCAATATTCCCAACCCTATTCAAACTATTCTGAAAAATAGAGGAGGAGTGAATACTTCCAAACTTTTGCTACAAAACCAGTGTGATCCAGACAAAGCCAGACGGCTGAATGGATTAAAACCATTCAATTGCCAAAACCAGACAAAGACACAGCAAAAAATAAAACTACAGGCCAATATCTCCAACAAAAATTGATGCAAATATCCTCAGTAAAATACTAGCAAACCAAATTCAACTATAAAGATACTATTCATCGTGAATAAGTGGGATTTATCCCAGGGATGCAAGGATGATTCAACATACACAAATCAGTCAATGTTATACATTATATCAACAGAATGAAGAACAAAAAGCATATGATCATTTCAATTGATGCTGAATAAGCATTTGATACAATTTAACATCTCTGCATGACAAAAACCCTAAAAAATGGGTATAGAAGGAACGTCCTTCAGTATAATAAAAGCCATATACGACAGACCCATAATTAGTATCATACTGAATGGAGAAAAGCTGAAAGTCTTTCCTCCAAGATCTGGAGCATGACAAGGATGCCCACTGTCTCCACCATTATTTGACACAGTACTAGAAGTCCTAGAGCAATCAGTCAAGAAAAGATATAAACAGCATCCAAATTGAAAAGGAAGAAGTCAAATTATCATTGTTTACAGATGATGTGATCTTACATTTGAAAAAACTTAAAGACTCCTTCAAAAAGTATTACAAACAATAAAGAAGTTTGGTGAAGTTACAAGATACAAAAATCAACATATAAAAATCAGTTAGCATTTTAACATACCAATAACAAATAGTCTGAAAAAGAAATCAAGAAAGTAATCCCACTTATAGTAGCTACAATTAAAATATAATACCTAGGAATTAACCAAATAGGTGAAAGATCTCTACAATGAAATGATGAAACATTGATGCAAGAAACTGAAGAGGACACAAAAAAATGGAAAGATATTCTACTTTCGGGAATTGAAAGATTTAATATTGTTAATATTTCCATACTACCCAAAGCAATCTACAGATTGAATGCAATCCCTATAATTCCAATGACATTCTTCAAAAAAATTTAAAAAATCCTAAAATTTTTATGGAACCACAAAATTCTCAGTGTGGGCAAACCTATCCTAATCAAAAAGAACAAAACTGAAGGAACATTACCCGACTTCAATTTATACTACAAAGCTATAGTAACCAAAAGAGCATGGTTCTGGCATAAAAACAGACAAATAGACCAACGGAACAGAATAGAGCACCCAGAAATAAATCTATGCATCTCAGTGAACTCACTTTAAACAAAGATACCAAGAACATACATTGGGAAAAGGACAGCCTCTTCAATAAATGATGCTGGGAAAACTAGATATCCACATGTAGAAGAATGAAATAGACCCCTATCTCACATCGCATACAAAATCAAATCAAAATGGATGAAAAGCTTTAATCTAAGACCTCGAGCTATGAAACTACTACAAGAAAACATTGGGGAAACTCCCCAGGACATTGGAATGGGCAACCAAAACAAAAATGGAAAAATGTGGTCAATCACATTAAGTAGCTTATGCACAGCAAAGGATACAATCAAAAAAGTGAAGATACAACCCACAGAATGGGGAAATATTTGCAAACTGCCCATCTGACAAGAGGTTAATAACCAGAATATATAAGGGGCTCAAACAACTCTATAGAAAGAAAATCTAATAATTTGATTAAGAAATAAGCAGAAGATCTGAATAGACATTTCTGGAAAGAAGACATACAAATGACCAACAGATATGTGAAAAGGTGCTCAACATCTCTGATCATCAGAAAAATGCAAATTAAATCTGCAATGAGATATTTAATCTCACTCCACTTAAAGTGGTTCACATTCAAAAGATAGGCAATAACAAATGCTGATGAGGATATGGAGAAAAGGTGACCCTCCTACATTGTTGGTGGGAATATAAATTAGTACAATTGCTATGGAGAACATTTTGGGGGTCCCTCAAACTACTAAAAATAGATCTAGCATATGATTCAACAATTTTTCTCCTAGGTACATACCCAAAAGAAAGGAAATCAGTATATCAAAAAGATATTTGCACTTCCACGTTTATTGCAGCACTATACACAATAGCAAAAACTTGGAAGCAACCTAAGTGTCCATCAATAGATGAATGAATAAAGAAAACGTGGTACATACACACAATGGAGTACTATTCAGTCATAGAAAAGAATGAGATCCTGTCATTTGCAACAACATGGATGGAACTGGAGGTCAGTAGGTTAAACGAAATAAGCCAGGCACAGGAAGACAAACCTTGCATGTTCCCACTTATTTGTGGGAGCTAAAAATGAATACAACTGAACTCATAGAGATAGAGAGTAGAAGGATGGCTACCAGGGGCTGGGAAGCATAGTGGACTGGAAAAGAAGTGGAGATGGTTTATGGGTTCAAAAAATAGTTTAAAATAAGGAATGAGAACTAGTATTTGCTAGCACAGCAGGGTGACTAAACTAAGAAATAATTTAATTTTATGTTTAAAAATAACTAAAGGAGTATAACTGGATTGTTTGTAATACAAAGAATAAATGTTGGAGGCGATGGTTACTCCATTTACCCTGGCGTGATTATTACACATTGCATGCCTGTATCAAAATATCTCATATATTCCATAAATATGTATACTTACTACTTACCCACAAAAATTAAAAACTAAAAAAAAAATAGTAAGGTAATTGAACACCCCACTTTCAATAATGGAGAGACCACCTAGACATAAAATCGAAAAAGAATCAGTGGAGTTAAACTACACTCTAGACCAAATGGCCCTAACTGACACTTTTAGAGCATTACATCCAACAGCCACACAATAAATATTCTTCTCATCAGCACATGAAACATTCTCCAGGTTAGACCACAGGAAAGTCTGGAACAAATTTTTAAAAATCTCAATCATGGCTGGGCACGGTGGCTCATGCCTGTAATCCCAGCGCTTTGGGAGGCCGAGGTGAGTGGATCACGAGGTCAGGAGTTCAAGACCAGCCTGGCCAAGATGGTGAAACCCCGTCTCTACTAAAAATATAAAAAAATTAGCCAGGCATGGTGGCGGGCGCCTGAAATTCCAGCTACTCGGGAGGCTGAGGCAGAGAATTGCTTGAACCCTGGAGGCAGAGGTTGCAGTCAGCTGAGATGGCGCCACTGCACTCCAGCCTGGGCTACAGAGAGAGACTCCATCTCAAAAACAAAAAAAATCTCAATCATATGAAGCATATTTTATGACCACAATGGAATAGAATTAGAAATCAATAACAAGAGAAACTTTGGGAACTTACATGAAAATTAAACAACCCTCCCCCTAACAACCAATAGGACAATGAAGAAATTTAATAGAAAGTTTAAAAATGTATTGAAACAAATAAAAATGGAAACACAACAAAACTAAAACCTATGACATACAGCAAAAGCAGTACTAAGAGGGGAGTTTACACTAATAAATGCCTACATCAAAAAAGTAAAATGATTATAAATAATAAACCTAATAATGCACCTCAAGGATTAAGAAAAGCAAGAACAACCAATTCCAAATTTAGTATAAGAAAAGCAAGAAAAAAAATCCCAAATTTATTATAAGAAAAGAAATAATAAAAATCAGCATAGAAATAAATAAAATTGAAACTAAAAACCGAATTCAAGAGATTAACAAAACAAAAATTTGTTTTTTGGAAAAGATAAACAAAATTGACAAACCTTTAGCCACAGTAACAAAGAAAAAGATAGATGATCCAATTAAATATATTCAAACGGGAGAGATTACAACTGGTATCACAGAACTATAAAAGATCATTAGAGATTACTATGAACAACCATATGTCAACAAATTCAAAATATTTGAAGAAATGGGTAAATCTCTGGACATATACAATCCACCAAAATTGAACTATAAATAAATAGGAATCCTCAAAAGAAAAATAAGAAGCAATGACATTGAATCAGTAATAAAACCTCTCCTAAAAAAGAAAAGTCCAGGGCCAGATGGTCTCACTGCTGAAATGTACCAAACTTTTATGAAGAACTAATACCAATTATTTTCCAAATATTCAAAAAATGGAAGGGGAGGGAATTCTTTCAATTCTACAGGGCCATCATTACCTTGATACCAAAAACACAACACAAAAAGAAAACTATAGGACAATATCCCTGATGAATATAGATGCAAAAATCCTGAATAAAATACTAGTAAGAAAACTTGAGCAGCACGTCATAGAGATTATACACCGTGATCAAGTGAAATTTATCACAGGCATGCAAAGATGGTTCAATATATGTAAATCAATAAATGTGATACATCACATCAACAGAATGAAAGTCAAAAACCATAAGATCATCTCAATAAATACAAAAAGCATTTGATAAAGTCAACATCTCTTTATGATAAAAGCTCTCAGTAAATTAAGTAAAAAGAAATTCACCTCAATACAATAAAGGCCATATACATCAAGCCCATAGCTACCATCATACTGAAAAAGTTGAAAGTTTTTTTCTAAGATCTGGAAAAAGGGAAGGATGCCTACTTTCACCACTTTTATTTAGCATAGTATGGGAACTAGCCAGAATAATTAGGGAAGAGAAAGAAATAAAAGACATCCAAATGGGAAAGGAATAAGTCAAATTGTTCCCATTTACACATGACATGACCATGTAGTTAGAAAAGCCTAAGGACTATACTCGAAAAAAAAATTACTGTTGGAACTGACAAATAAATTTAGTAAAGTTGCAGAATACAAAATCAATGTTCAAAAATCAGTAGCACATATATACAAAAGGTGAGCATTCTGAAAAAAAATCAAGAAAGCAATTTAATTTATAAGAGCTCAGATGAAATAAAATACCTAGAAATAAATTCAACCAAAGAGGTAAAAGATATCTACAATAAAAACTATAAAACACAGATGAAAAAATTGAAGAGGACAAAAAAGTTAGAAAGATATCTCATGTACATGGATAAGAAAAATTAATATTGTTAAAATGTTCACACTATCCAATATGATCTACAGATTCAATAAAACTCTTATAGAAATATCAATGACATTCTACACAGAAATAGAAAAACCAATGCTAAAATTTGTATGGCAAAGATCCTGAGGAGCTAAAGTGATTCTGAGCAAAATGAACACAGCCAACTGGAAGCATCATGCCACCTGATTTTAAAATATACCACAAAACTATAGTAACCAAAAAAGTATTGTACCAACAGACACATAGACCAATAGAACAGAATAGAGAACTGAGAAATAAATCCACATATTTACAGGCAACCAATATTCAGCAAAGGCACTTAGAACATACATTGGAGAAAGACTAGTCTCTTCAATAAATGGTGCTGGGAAAACCATATGTAGAAGAATAAAACTAGACCCTTATCTCTCAATATATACAAACATCAACTCTAAACAGATTTAAGACTTAAATGAAAAACCTGAAACTACAAAACTACTAGGAAAACACATAGGGGAAATGTTTATGAACATTAATCTAGGCAAAGATTTTCTGGATAAAACTACAAAGGCACAGGCAACAAAAGCAAAACATAGGCAACAAAAGCAAAAACTGGATTATATCAAACTAAATATTTTCTGCATAGCAAAGGAAACAATCAACAGAATGAAGCAAGAACCTACAGAAAGAGACAATATTTGCAAATTATATATCCAACAAGGGATTAATATCCAGGATATGTAAGGAACTCAACACAATAGAAAAAAATAATCTGATTAAAAATGTGCAAGAATTCTGAATAGACACATCTCAAAAGGAGACATCCAAATGGCCAGCAAGTATATGAAAAATAATCAATATCACTAATCATTAGGGGAATATAAATCAAAACCACAAGATATCATCTCACCCCAGTTAAATTGGTTATAAACAAAAAAACCAAAACATAACACATGCTGATGAGGATGCAGAGAAAGAGGAACTCTTATATACTGTTGGTAAAAATGTATATTAGTACAGACATTATGGAAAATAATATGGAGGTTTCTCAAGTAACTAAAAATATAAATACCATATGGTCCAGCAGTCGTACTACTGGGTATGTATCCTAAGGAAAGATCAGTATGTCAATGAAATATTTGCACTCCCAAGTTTATCACAGTACTATTATAATAGCCATAATATGGAATCAAACCTGTCCATGAGCAGATAAGTGGATAAAATGTAGTATATATACACAACGAAATATTTAGCCATAAAATAATAAAATTCTGTCATTTGTAGCAATGTGGATGAGCCTGGAGGACATTATTATTATTATTATTATTATTATTATTATTATTATTATTATTTTTGAGACGGAGTCTCACCCTGTTGCCCACGCTGGAGTGCAATGGCGCAATCTCGGCTCACTCCAACCCTGGAGGACATTATTTTAAGTGAAATGAGCCAGGCATGGAAAGACAAATACTGCATGCTCTCATTCACATGTGGGAGCTAAAACAGTTGATCTCATAGAAGTAGAGAATAGAAAACTTCTTACCAAAGCCTTGGAAGGGTAGGGGTAGAGGGGAATAGGGAGACGTTGGTTAACAAGCACAGAATTAGTTAGAAGTAAGTTCTAGTGTTCTGTAACACAGCAGGTTGACTATAGTTTTCAAGAATTTATGTATATTTCAA
Source organism: Homo sapiens (assembly GCF_000001405.40). NCBI lineage: Eukaryota > Metazoa > Chordata > Mammalia > Primates > Hominidae > Homo > Homo sapiens. Next base: position 55,208,419 of record NC_000012.12, read on the forward strand.
AACAGCTAGATAAGAGGATTTTAAATTTTCTCAATACAAAGAAATAATAAATGTTTGAGGGGATGCATATGCCAATTAGTCTGATTTGATTATTATACATTATATCCATGTATCATAATTTCACATGCACCCATTAAATATAATTGTTTTCTGTCAAATAAAAAATAAGAGTAAACAAATAAAAATATTTAGAATGCATCTTGAATATATACATTTAATGTTTATTATCAAATAAATATTATCAAGAATGTCTTTATTAAGAGTTTTGAAGAACTGGCGCTTATCTGCTATATTCATCTATTTTGGAAGGTATAGTGTTCTTTTCCATGAGACCAGAACTGGATTACTAGGGGATAATAAACCTAATGTTTAATATCTGCAATATGCTTGAACACTATAGTAGATGCTTTACAATAATTATTATAATCAAATTTTTCCTGTGAGATAAGAATATTCACCATTTTGCTAAAAGGGAATGATATGGTAATTATCTTGCTTAAGATCATATATCTAGAGAATGAATCAATGGATATTCAAGACATTTTATTTGAAGTTTCTCCTATATACACTTACCTGTCTTGTCTGATTGTTGATGGTTTTAATTTATTGTTTATAATAAATTATTAAAGGAGAAATTATATTGTAATTATGTGTTGAATTGCTTATTTAATGCTGTCTGAGAGACAGAAATACTATGGCAAGAAGATAAGAATATTCTGATATTTTAAAAGGCATGTACACAATTCTCATAAAATCACTGTTCAACATAGATTTTCAAAGCCTATATGAAAACACCTCAAAAGTTCAGGCATTTAAAAAAATATTGTTTTTAAAGTAATATTTTGGCTACTATTTTAATTACTCAAGTGATTTGACTTCTAAACAGTAACTTCCAGATGAATTGAAAAGCTTAGCCTGGTTGCTAAAAAGATATATAACCTTCTTTAAAGCGTAGGAATGCTATTTTATACACCTTTAGTGTCTACATACCTTTAGTGCATACACACCACCTTTGGATAAATTTAACTTGTTTTTGCCATTCCTGAAGGTTTGATGTCCTCTGGATTAATTCATACGTTTAAGTTCTGAAACTGAAGTCTATGAACCAAGCCCTAGACCAATGTGAGATCACATTTGACTTTCTTCATGAAACACTAAATGGCCTCTCTTACTGACACTTCTTTATTCTTTATTTCCTTAAAATGAGCTTCATTAAATGAGACTTATGAACAATATAATCTTTTTTTAGATAGGAGTCTATGTCTATTTTACTCATCAAATCCACCACCTCACATAGTGTCTACCACTTCATGGGTGAACCAAAATATCTATAGAAAAATAACTATCGATTTTTTTTTTTACTTTATACACTTTTTTAAAATTATATTTTAAGTTCTAGGGTACCTGTGCACAACATGCAAGTTTGTTACATATGTATACATGTGCCATGTTGTTGTGCTGCACCCATTAACTCATCATTTACATTGGGTATATCTCCTAATGCTTTTCCTCCCCCCTCCCCCCACCCCACAACAGGCCCCAGTGTGTGATGTTCGCCTTCCTGTGTCCAAGTGTTCTCACTGTTCAATTCCCAACTATAAGTGAGAACATGCGGTGTTTGGTTTTTTGTTCTTGTGATAGTTTGCTGAGAATGATGGTTTCCAGCTTCATCCACATCCCTACAAAGGACATGAACTCATCCTTTTTTATGGCTGCATAGTATCCCATAGTGTAAATGTGCCACATTTTCTTAATCCAGTTTATCACTGATGGACATTTGGGTTGGTCCCAGGTCTTTGCTATTGTGAATAGTGCGGCAATAAACGTATGTGTGCATATGCCTTTATAACAGCATGATTTATAATCCTTTGGGTATATAGCCAGTAATGGGATGGCTGGGTCAAATGGTATTTCTAGTTCTAGATCCCTGAGGAATTGCCACACTGTCTTCCACAATGGTTGAACTAGTTTACACTCCCACCAATAGTGTAAAAGTACTCCTATTTCGAGTGGCACCCAAGATGGCCCAATAGGAACAGCTCCGGTCTACAGCTCCCAGCGTGAGCGATGAAGAAGACGAATGATTGCTGCATTTCCATCTGAGGTACCGGGTTCATCTCACTAGTGAGTGCCAGACAGTGGGCGCAGGACAGTGGGTGCAGCACACCATGCGTGAGCTGAAGCAGGGCAAGGCATTGCCTCCCTCAGGAAGTGCAAGGGGTCAGGGAGTTCCCTTTCCTAGTCAAAGAAAGGGGTGACAGATGGCACTTGAAAAATCAGGTCACTCCCCCCCTAATACTGCGCTTTTCCGACAGGCTTAAAAAACGGTGCACTAGGACATTATATCCTGCACCTGGCTCAGAGGGTCCTATGCCCACGGAGTCTCACTGATTGCTAGCACTGCAGTCTGAGATCAAACTGCAAGGCAGCAGTGAGGCTGGGGGAGGGGCGCCTGCCATTGCCCAGGCTTGCTTAGGTAAACAAAGCAGCCCGGAAGCTCCAACTGGGTGGAGCCCACCACAGCTCAAGGAGGCCTGCCTGCCTCTCTAGGCTCCACCTCTGAGGCAGGGCACAGACAAACAGAAAGACAGCAGTAACCTCTGCAGACTTAAATGTTCCTGTCTGACAGCTTGGAAGAGAGCAGTGGTTCTCCCAGCATGCAGCTGGCGATCTGAGAACGGGCAGACTGCCTCCTCAAGTGGGTCCCTGACCCCTGACCCCTGAGCAGCCTAACTGGGAGGCACTCCTCAGTAGGGGCAGACTGACACCTCACACAGCCGGGTACTCTTCTGAGACAAAACTTCCAAAGGAACGATCAGACAGCAGCATTCGCGGTTCACAAAAATCTGCTGTTCTGCAGCCACTGCTGCTGATACCCAGGCAAACAGGGTCTGGTGTGGACCTCTAGCAAGCTCCAACAGACCTGCAGCTGAGGGTCCTGTCTGTTACAAGGAAAACTAACAAACAGAAAGGACATCCACACCAAAAACCCATCTGTACATCACCATCATCAAAGACCAAAAGTAGATAAAACCACAAAGATGGGGAAAAAACAGAGCAGAAAAACTGGAAACTCTAAAAAGCAGAGTGCCTCTCCTCCTCCAAAGGAATGCAGTTCCTCACCAGCAATGGAACAAAGCTGGATGGAGAATGACTTTGACAAGTTGAGAGAAGAAGGCTTCAGACGATCAAACTACTCCGAGCTACAGGAGGAAATTCAAACCAAAGGCAAAGAAGTTGAAAACTTTTAAAAACATTTAGAAGAATGTATAACTAGAAAAACCAATACAGAGAAGTGCTTAAAGGAGCTGATGGACCTGAAAGCCAAAGCTCGAGAACTACGTGAAGAATGCAGAAGCTTCAGGAGCTGATGCGATCAACTGGAAGAAAGGGTATCAGTGATGGAAGATGAAATGAATGAAATGAAGTGAGAAGGGAAGTTTAGAGAAAAAAGAATAAAAAGAAAATGAACAAAGCCTCCAAGAAATATGTGACTATGTGAAAAGACCAAATCTACGTCTGATTGGTGTATCTGAAAGCAATGGGAACAATGGAACCAAGTTGGAAAACACCCTGCAGGATATTATCCAGGAGGACTTCCCCAATCTAGCAAGGCAGGCCAACATTCAGATTCAGGAAATACAGAGAATGCCACAAAGATACTCCTCGAGAAGAGCAACTCCAAGACACATAATTGTCAGATTCACCAAAGTTAAAATGAAGGAAAAAATGTTAAGGGCAGCCAGAGAGAACGGTCGGGTTACCCACAAAGGGAAGCCCATCAGACTAACAGCGGATCTCTCGGCAGAAAGCCTACAAGCCAAAAGAGAGTGGGGGCCAATATTCAACATTCTTAAAGAAAAGATCCAAAATTGACACCCTAACATCACAATTAAAAGAACTAGAGAAGCAAGAGCAAACACATTCAAAAGCTAGCAGAAGGCAAGAAATAACTAAAATCAGAGCAGAACTGAAGGAAATAGAGACGCAAAAAACCCTTCAAAAAATTAATGAATCTAGGAGCTGGTTTTTTGAAAGGATCAACAAAATTGATAGACTCCTAGCAAGACTAATAAAGAAGAAGAGAGAGAAAAATCAAATAGACGCAACAAAAAATGATGAAGGGGATATCACCACCGATCCCACAGAAATACAAACTACCATCAGAGAATACTGCAAACACCTCTACGCAAATAAACCAGAAAATCTAGAAGAAATGGATAAATTCCTCGACACATACACCCTCCCAAGACTCACCCAGGAAGAAGTTCAATCTCTGAATAAACCAATAACAGGCTCTGAAATTGTGGCAATAATCAATAGCTTACCAACCAAAAAGAGTCCAGGACCAGATGGATTCACAGCCAAATTCTACCAGAGGTACAAGGAGGAACTGGTACCATTCCTTCTGAAACTATTCCAATCAATAGAAAAAGAGGGAATCCTCCCTAACTCATTTTATGAGGCCAGCATCATCCTGATACAGAAGCTGGGCAGAGACACAACCAAAAAAAAGAATTTTAGACCAATATCCTTGATGAACACTGATGCAGAAATCCTCAATAAAATACTGGCAAAACGAATCCAGCAGCACATCAAAAAGCTTATCCACCATGATCAAGTGGGCTTCATCCCTGGGACACAAGGTTGGTTCAATATACGCAAATCAATAAATGTAATCCAGCATATAAACAGAACCAAAGACAAAAACCACATGATTATCTCAATAGATGCAGAAAAGGCCTTTGGCAAAATTCAACAACCCTTCATGCTAAAAACTCTCAATAAATTAGGTATTGATGGGACGTATCTCAAAATAATAAGAGCTATCTATGACAAACCCACAGCCAATATCATACTGAATGGGCAAAAACTGGAAGCATTCCCTTTGAAAACTGGCACAAGACAGGGATGCCCTCTCTCACCACTCCTATTCAACATAGTGTTGGAAGTTCTGGCCAGGGCAATTAGGCAGGAGAAGGAAACAAAGGGTATTCAATTAGGAGAAGAGGAAGTCAAATTGTCCCTGTTTGCAGATGACATGATTGTATATCTAGAAAACCCCATTGTCTCAGCCCAAAATCTCCTTAAGCTGATAAGCAACTTCAGCAAAGTCTCAGGATATAAAATCAATGTATAAAAATCACAAGCATTCTTATACACCAATAACAGACAAACAGAGAACCAAATCATGAGTGAACTCCCATGCACAATTGCTTCAAAGAGAATAAAATACCTAGGAATCCAACTTACAAGGGACATGAAGGACCTCTTCAAGGAGAACTACAAACCACTGCTCAAGGAAATAAAAGAGGATACAAACAAATGGAAGAACACTCCATGCTCATGGGTAGGAAGAATCAATATCGTGAAAATGGCCATACTGCCCAAGGTAATTTATAGATTGTATGCCATCCCCATCAAGCTACAAATGATTTTCTTCACAGAATTGGAAAAAACTACTTTAAAGTTCATATGGAACCAAAAAAGAGCCCGCATCACCAAGTCAATCCTAAGCCAAAAGAACAAAGCTGGAGACATCACGCTACCTGACTTCAAACTATACTACAAGGCTACAGTAACCAAAACAGCATGGTACTGGTACCAAAACAGAGATATAGATCAATGGAACAGAACAGAGCCCTCAGAAATAATGCCACATATCTACAACTATCTGATCTTTGACAAACCTGACAAAAACAAGCAGTGGGGAAAGGATTCCCTATTTAATTAAAGGTGCTGGGAAAACTGGCTAGCCATATGTAGAAAGCTGAAACTGGATCCCTTCCTTACACCTTATACAAAAATCAATTCAAGATGGATTAAAGACTTAAACGTTAGACCTAAAACCATGTAAACCCTAGAAGAAAACCTAGGCATTACCATTCAGGACATAGGCATGGGCAAGGACTTCATGTCTAAAACACCAAAAGCAATGGCAACAAAAGACAAAATTGACAAATGGGATCTAATTAAACTAAAGAGCTTCTGCACAGCAAAAGAAACTACCATCAGAGTGAACAAGCAACCTACAAAATAGGAGAAAATTTTTGCAACCTACTCATCTGACAAAGGGCTAATATCCAGAATCTACAATGAACTCCAACAAATTTACAAGAAAAAAACAAACAACCCCATCAAAAAGTGGGCAAAGGACATGAACAGACACTTCTCAAAAGAAGACATTTATGCAGCCAGAAAACACAGGAAAAAATGCTCACCATCACTGGCCATCAGAGAAATGCAAATCAAAACCACAATGGGATACCATCTCACACCAGTTAGAATGGCAATCATTAAAAAGTCAGGAAACAACAGGTGCTGGAGAGGATGTGGAGAAATAGGTACACTTTTACACTGTTGGTGGGACTGTAAACTAGTTCAACCACTGTGGAAGTCAGTGTGGCGATTCCTCAGGGATCTAGAACTAGAAATACCATTTGACCCAGCCATCCCATTACTGGGTATATACCCAAAGGACTATAAATCATGCTGCTATAAAGACACATGCACACGTATGTTTATTGCGGCACTATTCACAATAGCAAAGACTTGGAACCAACCCAAATGTCCAACAATGATAGACTGGGTTAAGAAAATGTGGCACATATACACCATGGAATACTATGCAGCCATAAAAAACGATGAGTTCATGTCCTTTGTAGGGACATGGATGAAATTGGAAATCATCATTCTCAGTAAATTATCACAAGGACAAAAAACCAAACACTGCATATTCTCACTCATAGGTGGGAATTGAACAATGAGAACACATGGACACAGGAAGGGGAACATCACACTCTGGGTACTGTTTTGGGGTGAGGGGAGTGGGGAGGGATAGCATTGGGAGATATACCTAATGCTAAATGATGAGTTCATGGGTGCAGCACACCGGCATGGCACATGTATACATGTGCCACTAACCGGCACATTGTGCACATGTACCCTAAAACTTAAAGTATAATAATAATAAAATTAAAAATTAAAAAAAGAAAATTCTTGATTGCAAAGTAATACAAAAAAAAAAAGTGTTCTTATTTCTTCACATCCTCTCCAGCGCCTGTTGTTTCCTGACTTTTTAATGATCGCCATTCTAACTGGTGTGAGATGGTATCCCATTGTGGTTTTGATTTGCATTTCTCTGATGGCCAGTGATAATGAGCATTTTTTCGTGTGTCTATTGGCTGCATAAATGTCTTCTTTTCAGAAGTGTCTCTTCATATCCTTTGCCCACTTTTTAATGAGGTAAGCCCAAAATTATAACAACATGAAAAGTTTTCAGCTAAAGTAATTATGATGAACTACCTACAGGATGGCAGTGATATATAGTCAGTTAATGAATTGTACAATTCAGTTTTAGGAATTGCATGATAAGGAATTGGACTACTCTGGAGTGGCAATTGGGCACATATATAGTAGGTTGTATTTTACATTTTTTAAAGATGTTTCTCCATGGTGGGATTAGGGTAAGACTAATTTAGGAACAGATAATGCAGAAATAACTCCACTGAAATTTCACCTTATCTTCGGATAATGGGATTTGCATGGTCTTCTTGTTAAGGTCTTATAAATCTTTTTAAATAATATAATTTCAACTTTTATTTTAGATACATGGGTACATGTATAGGTTTGTTACATGGGTATATTCTATGACCAAACTTATACCTTTCATTAAAAAATTTTAAAAACAAAACAAAAGCCTGATGTGTAATTCAGTAATGGACCATTTTTTCACTTGATTGTTCTTGCCCAATATTACAAATGTTTTCTTCAGTATGGTGCATAGTTAATTATTTGGTATAAGTGTGAATGAAGATAGGCCAAATATATTTTACAACTTGGTTTTTTATTGGAAATGATTAGAGATTTATTTTACTTGTTTGAAATGTAGGTGTACCCTATGGGGGATTTTTGTTTGTTTTTTGTTTTTTGTTTTTTTTATTTTTTATTATACTTTAAGTTTTAGGGTACATGTGCACATTGTGCAGGTTAGTTACATACGTATACATGTGCCATGCTGGTGCGCTGCACCCACTAACTCGTCATTTAACAATAGGTATATCTCCCAATGCTATCCCTCCCCCTTCCCCCCACCCCACAACAGTCCCCAGAGTGTGATATTCCCCTTCCTGTGTCCATGTGATCTCATTGTTCAATTCCCACCTATGAGTGATAATATGCGGTGTTTGGTTTTGTGTTCTTGCGATAGTTTACTGAGAAGGATGATTTCCAATTTCATCAATGTCCCTACAAAGGACATGAACTCATCATTTTTTACGGCTGCATTTTTTTAAAGAATAGATTTTGGCCTGGTGCGGTGGCTCACTCCTGTAATCCCAGTAGTTTGGGAGGCCAAGGCGGGCGGATCGCCTGAGGTCAGGAGTTCGAGACCAGCCTGATCAATATGGTGAAACCCCGTGTCTACTAAAAATACAAAAATTAGCCTTAGTGGCGGGCGCCTGTAATCTTAGCTACTCGGGAGTCTGAGACAGGAGAACTGCTTGAACTCAGGAGGCGGAGGTTGCAGTGAGCCGAGATTGTTCCACTGCACTCTAGCCTGGGTGACAGAGTGAGACTCTGTCTCAAAACAAAACAAAATAAAGCAAAACAATAAAAAAAAAATTAGATTTTAACCTATTATACTATTATTTAGTTTCCTGGGAAAATAAGGGTTAAGTAATTTTCCTTCAACTTCTAGAAATATAGGAAGCTTTTCTTTTTCTTTTCTAGAAAGAAGTAAAATTAGGAAATGATGAACCTTCCTATCTAGCTGTTTGTTAAGGCTCCTGTACATGCATAGGTTGACCTGAAACTCCAAGGGCCTTTTCAAGGTTTTTTTTGCCCCAAAGACTTATTCGAATTTTTTGAATTATTCCCACTGTGCTAATTTGTAACTGTTTTAAAGTTTATATTTATTTATAAAAGTTGCTTCTGCAACAAATATAGTGTAAGGAAATAAAGGGAGTTATTTACACAGTCCTGTTTGCTCATTACAAAATACTTCAAAGTATAATGTTATTTCTCAATATTAAAATTACCTCAAAATTTTCAAGAATAAACAATCCCAAGGAATACAAAAATTGCTTACTTCTTCCTGACAGTAACCATGTTAGACATTATAAGGCACCACTGACTGAAATAGTATATGAACCATGGTATTGTTTACAATGTTCTCATAGTAAAACGAACCAATAGCCAAATGACTAAGGGTATAAGACAACAATCAAATTCATGCCAATTATCAGCTGAATTTGATGTATTTGATTATTTAAAAATATTATGGAAATAAGTTTAAAATATTAACATTTTAAAAATCAGTTAAAAATAAAATTTAAAAATCATGTAAGTTTCATGAGCATAGATAAATTTCTCTCACCAATACTGAACCAAAATTTAACCCACAAAAAATACAAAAATCTTATACAGAAAATTAAAATCTGTGTTCTTCACATAGCCTGGCATGTTAAAAGTTGCAATTCCAAGAGACTTGACCAGTGTGTCCAGTAGCCCCACCACAAAATATCCATTATTGAGAAATGCATATTCAATTGCAAATATGACTTACAGGAAATATAGATAATTGTATGAACATTCTGTATTTCCCCCTGTGAGATAAAAGCAGTTGTCTAATTAACTATAGTCCTTTCTAGTGATCCAGGGATCATTTCCTCAAGGCCAGTCACACTTTTAAATGCTGTTACTAAAATATAGCAACCATGTAGTGCCAGTGCAAGGCATGTTAGCCTGTCTAAGGTATTAACTTCATTATGAAGATTTGAGCTATCAATAGGTTTCAAGATCATTTAACATTTCTCTGAAAATATTGCATATCTTTAAAAAAATCATTAAATTTCTAATTACAGAAGAAATATGAGGTTTTATTTGGTAAGATACATGCAGATATTTCTTTATGATTTGTTATATTTCTCAATTTTGTTAAACATCTAAATTTATCTGTACATCTGTGTATTACAAAAGCATTCTAAGAAAAATAAATAATGAAATATTAATTATCAGAAAAGGAATAACTTTATACTTCTCTAAAATAAAAGAAAACAAAAAATAATGAGGCCTTCATTCTGTCTGGAAAGCAACAGAATGCTAAAGAAGAGAGTATTAATAAAACAGTAGCTATGTAATAAAGAAATACTGTGGATTATAACTACACAAAGTACTTTTAATTCAGATACTATGGCAATTTATTCATTTACATGTAGGGTTGTTAGAAGTGTTGCTCCATTTAGATAAATTTAATAACTATCTCAGATTCATGTTGTATTCCAAATACTGAAGATATAATCGCATTCATCCATAATAATTTTATGAGAAAACATATACTTATAAAAAAGTTAGCTAAAACAAGAGGTAAAGTCTATTTTCTAAAAAAAAAAGGCCAAAGTTGACTGCTTAATGGGACATGAAAAAAACTATTTGGACTCATTAAGATATTACCAACTAAATTAATGAACTTAATTAAATGACATCAAGTTATCAAAATGCCATGCGACAAGTAAAACAGTACATTCTCTAGAGCAATGTAGCAATCATGGCAACTCAACACTCTGCAAGTTTTTTTTTTAAATCAGTATAAATTTGTGGTAGTGATTGCAACATCACTGCTAATTAATCTCTTAGTTTAGTGAATATATGCAAAGTAATCTGTAGGCTTTTTAGGATATAGAAAGACTGAGAGGAGTATTTAGAGGTACATCCTGTGACATTATAAACCTCTAATTGTCTAAACTTTTATTAAAACTTAAATGCCTTTGGGAAAGGTGAAAAATGTGCAATGGTAATTATTAAAAATTCGAGAAACTGACCATTTTTGGATATCCGTATTCATATTTCACATGGATTGTACATTATAGAACTTATTACTCAATGAAAAGCCATTCATCTTAGTACTGCTTTCTGCCACTGTTAATATTAGAATTCTGAGAGGCAGTTGGTTGAGGCATTTTAGGATGCACTAAATATTGTAACTACTATAAAATCTTGATGCCTTCATCAACTCCCATATTTTTTCAAAACAAAAGATGGTGTAATTTTAGACCCATAACAAGTTTAGAATTGCTCCAAAATGTAGGTAAGCATGATAATGCATATGAAGTTTTTCGTAAGTTTTTATGAATATACCAGGAATATGATGTTGTTGTTTCTATTCCTGATGACAAGAATGATAGTGAAGCTGGTTTTGCAATAGTAGTGAGAGAGTAATGGTTGTAATCACTGTCACATGTTACCTATTATTTTGGGACTTACAAGGGCATGGGAAACCTGAAATCACCAGAGTTGTTCCTTTCTTTTTGCTACTGAGGACATTCCTTTGAGAACTTACAATATGGAAAATACACAGGTAAGATGTTACATGTCTTAAGAGTAGAATTAAAACATAGAATTATTTAAATGAGCCACAGTTTCAGAATGATTCCATACACTGTAAGTTTTTACCTACTGACTTCAGGAGCGGATATCTATTTTAAATTATTTTGACTATAAAATGAAATATGCATTTTTTTCTGAATTAAATTTAAAAAGTATGTAAAATAATTGATACGATATTTACCCAGTTCTAATATTTGGAAAAAATTATTTTTCTAACACATCCTCCTGTAATTGCTAAATTTTGGTACTAAGAATGACCTCCTGTAAAGAAAACAATTGCATAATTTAATGTTGGCCAAAATATTTTGCTCTAAGTAAGATATAGTATTTGAGTTTGTAATGGTTGAATTAGTGCTTTTGGGACTGGATCAGCTGACATACAAAAGTAAGTATATGTACCCTACTTCTGATCATGAAGTTTTAAAGAAGATGGACAGTCATGAGAGGAACTATTTTGGCAGAGAAAAGTTAAGATGAGTGTTGGGAGGATATTTCTCTATTGTAAGTCATATTTGTTTGGAAGTTTTTAAAAAATATAGCTTAAACAATATAACTATAACTCTATGTATAATAAGAAGTGGGGGCCCAGTGAAGTTGAGTTATGGTTCAAAAGACAATATAAAAATGTCATAAACTATTAGGCTGATGGAGACTACAGAGAAGCACCAAAATCATAAGCATATATTATGTTTATTTATTAAGTTTCTTGTGTGTGTGTGTGTGTGTGTACTGGGCATGTTGGTATATGTATATATTTATAGTGGATGAATGGTATAAAATGTACTATATTCAGTAGAAATGTGATTAATATAATTAAATATTAGAATGTCAAACTAGCCCATTATTTATCTTTATTGCATCCTGAAATCATTTAAAAATTAGTACACTATTCTATTTTAATTATCTATCTACACTCTTTCCACTTTATCCTACAAAATAGCATGCCTACGTTGAAGAATATGAGCACAGACTATGACTACTCATGAGAAAAAAATTACATCTAGGTGGTAAACAATGAGTAAGATTTATACAGAATGTTTATTTTTCCTTAATTTTATCTTATCATAAACATCATTTCTGCTTCAGAGAAACAGAATGGTAAGACAACTGAGAATAAAGATGTTTTATGGATGTTATTATTATTTTTGAGATTACCTCTATATTGATTTAATACCCTTTGATGCACATACTTTGATTTTTAGAGAGAAACTCATCTAAGATATGATCTGTGAAAATCACACCAGAGTCACTGAATTTATTCTTCTTGGTTTTACAAACAACCCCGAGATGCAAGTTTCCCTCTTTATTTTTTTCCTGGCCATTTATACAGTCACTTTGTTGGGCAACTTTCTTATTGTCACAGTTACCAGTGTGGATCTCGCACTTCAAACACCCATGTACTTCTTTCTTCAAAATCTGTCACTTCTTGAAGTATGTTTCACCTTGGTTATGGTGCCAAAAATGCTTGTAGATCTAGTGTCCCCAAGGAAAATTATCTCTTTTGTGGGCTGTGGTACCCAGATGTACTTCTTCTTCTTCTTTGGCAGTTCTGAATGTTTCCTTCTCTCCATGATGGCTTATGATCGCTTTGTGGCCATCTGTAACCCTCTCCATTATTCAGTCATAATGAACAGGTCCCTATGCTTGTGGATGGCCATAGGCTCTTGGATGTCCGGTGTTCCTGTGTCTATGCTACAGACAGCTTGGATGATGGCCCTTCCTTTCTGTGGACCAAATGCCGTGGACCACTTTTTCTGTGATGGTCCCCCAGTGTTAAAACTAGTCACAGTGGATACAACCATGTATGAAATGCAAGCACTTGCCTCCACACTCCTGTTTATCATGTTTCCCTTTTGTCTCATTTTGGTTTCCTACACCCGCATTATCATAACAATTCTGAGGATGTCCTCTGCCACTGGCCGCCAGAAGGCATTTTCTACTTGTTCCTCACACCTCATTGTGGTGTCCCTCTTCTACGGAACAGCCAGTCTGACCTACCTGCGGCCCAAATCAAACCAGTCCCCTGAGAGCAAGAAGCTAGTGTCATTGTCCTACACTGTCATCACACCTATGCTAAACCCCATCATCTACGGCCTGAGGAACAATGAAGTGAAAGGGGCTGTCAAGAGGACAATCACTCAAAAAGTCTTACAGAAGTTAGATGTGTTTTGACTTCTATTGTGTAAGAATGCTTCCAAAGTAGGGACAGCAGAACCTACTAACCAAAGCTTAAAACGGAATGGAAGAGTTGCTCTTATTTCATCACTAACTGGTGGGTGCATTTCTGTGTATCATTCAGGTTCCTAGCAGGAAAGAGATGGTACTCCTGAATTGGGATAAGTGAGAAAACGCTTTATGAGAGGGCTATTTAGAAATTGTGAACAAGGTTAGGTAATAGCCACACAGATCATACAACAGAACTTTTACACTTCTTGGCCTGAAGGGGCAAGTAGAAGGAGTGTTAACTGGAACCAATAGAATGCTACAACTATTAAAAAAAAATCACCTGATAGGATCTCTGTTCTTTAGTACAGCAAGGCAGCCATCCCAACCTTATTTTGATCTGACTCTCTCAAATCTATTGCTGGCTTCTGTTCTAAGCCAAACCAAATACAACATGGGGACAAGAATGTTGATGCAATGTATAAATGCGAGTCTCCTGGGGCACAGAGCAGGATGAAAAAGGGTAAGGAAAGTTATGAAAGATAAGTAAGAACAGCCACCACAAACCACTGTATATTCTGCAGCTATTGCAGTGTAACAACGAATCATGGCATCTAACCTTACAAAAATTATAAAAGGTAAAGTTTTGCAGATGCCAAGAGTCCATAATACAAATTCTTTATATGGGTTGTATGTTTAAATAAAGTTATTTAATAAAATTACCTTAGTATTAATATTTGGTGACATGATTTTGGACTTTTTTAGTCATTGGCTAAATTATCCATTAATTATTTAATAGTAAGCTCTTCTTAGAGTTTAAACAAGAAATATTTGCTTGACACCAGAGTAAAGCAAAAGAGTAATAGTAGTAGCAAACATGGTTTATTGAGGAACTGTCTTTGACACATGCCCTTGCAACAACTCAAGAGATAATTATTATATCTATATTTTTCATAAAAGATAAATTACAATCAGAAAATGTAAGTAACTTGGTAAGGCAAAAGCTATTGAGATGTGGCCACAATAGTTTGAGTCAGACCCTTTTGAATTTGAAATTCAATATATTAACCTCTTAAAAATGTCTAGTCACATTTTTATTAAGTTAAAGTTGCCACCTACATGGGAATTTGGCTTTCAAAACAATGGAGAAGACAAGATTGTCAAATTTAATTATGCAAAATTTATATTTCCAGTAGAATAAGCTTATATCGGCTTTGAGAATGCAACTGGAACAATAATATATGTTCCCGTAAATCTTCCTTAACCAAGGTTTCTGTTAATTGTACAGTTTCTTCTTCAAGCAGTAACAAACCTCCATGTTTCTTTGTTAATTTTCAGAAAAATTTAAAAGCCACCACAAATTTCCAACTTGTATTGACTGTTTTAGTTTAATTTTGATTTGCTGAAGTACATATTTATTGCATGTAATGGGAGTTTGAGGTAAAAAAAAAAAACTATTCCTTTAAATCTTTCTCCTTCAATAATCTCTTAATTTTTAAGCCTAACTCAGATATTCTTGAATTAATGTAACTAAGTTCAATAACCATCTCATAAGACTCCATTATGATGGTTTTCTACCAGCTGCATGTGACTCACAAGTAGATTGTGAGGTTATAAAATAAATTTAGTAGTGCATGTTAATGTGTCCAACAAACTAGCACAGTAAAAAGAAGTATATTCTTGACAATTAAAACTTGTATATATTTAGAGTGTACAACATGATGTTATATATAACAATTATGAGACCAAAAAAATATTTAAGATATATATGCGTATGTATATACACATACACATATTGTGTAATGGCTAAATCAAGCTATTTTAACGTACGCATTACTTCACATACTTATCAACTTTTTGTGGTGAGAAAACCCACAGGCTATTTCCAATTCTTTCATTCAGTATCTTATTGTTCTTGGTTGAAACAGAAACTATTTGAAAATCACTCTAATAATCTGTAAAGAAGGTTCTAGAACTGTAAGAAACTAAAATTTGACAACAATAAATAATAAGGAATGCTTTGTGATTGACATGGGAACACTCATAGTGGAGGTCTAGTAGAACTCAGTCACTTTACAAGTTAATTGGTATTTCCTCTTTTTCTTACCCACTTTCTTACAGATTCAGCTTTTACATCTTTCATAAATTTACAGGCTATGTTTATAGCCTGTGTCATTTATGGTATTTTGTTTCTCTTAAGCATTTTTTACAAAATATACGTAGTCACTGTAGTGGACTGGTTTGTTTTCCCCAAAAAGATATGTTGATGTTCTCATCCTTGATACCTGTGAATGTGACCTTACTTAGAAACAAGGCCTGGCAATGTAATCAATTTAAGATGAGGTTAAACTAGACTGGGGTGGATCCTAAATCCAATGGCTAATGTCGTCACATAAGCAGAGAGAGAGAGAGAGATTTGAAGACAGAGTCATACACACAGGGAAGACAGTTATGTGAAGATGGATGTAGAAATTGGAGTGATGACTGTGCAAACCAAGGAACACCAAGGATTGTTGACCACCAAATCGAAGGAGAGGAGCAGCGTGGAACAGATTTTCCCTTAGAGACTTCAGAAGAAACAGACATGCTGGCATCTTAGTTCCAGACTTCTGGCTTCCTGAACTGTAAGAGGATAAATTACTGCTGTTTATTTATTTATTTATTTATTTTTTTGAGGTTACAAGGATTTTCTTTTTTTTTTATTTTATTTTATTATTATTATACTTTAAGTTTTAGGGTACATGTGCACAATGTGCAGGTTAGTTACATATGTATACATGTGCCATGCTGGTGTGCTGCACCCATTAACTTGTCATTTAGCATTAGGTATATCTCCTAAAGCTATCCCTCCCCCCTCCCCCCACCCCACAACCGTCCCCAGAGTGTGATGTTCCCCTTCCTTTGTCCATGTGTTCTCATTGTTCAATTCCCACCTGTGAGTGAGAATATGCAGTGTTTGGTTTTTGTTCTTGCGATAGTTTACTGAGAATGATGATTTCCAATTTCATCCATGTCCCTACAAAGAACATGAACTCATCGTTTTTTATGGCTGCATAGCATTCCATGGTGTATATGTGCCACATTTTCTTAATCCAGTCTATCATTGTTGGACATTTGGGTTGGTTCCAAGTCTCTGCTATTGTGAATAGTGCCGCAATAAACATACGTGTGCATGTGTCTTTATAGCAGCATGATTTATAGTCCTTTGGGTATATACCCAGTAATGGGATGGCTGGGTCAAATGGTATTTCTAGTTCTAGATCCCTGAGGAAACGCCACACTGACTTCCACAATGGTTGAACTAGTTTACAGTCCCACCAACAGTGTAAAAGTATTCCTATTTCTCCACATCCTCTTCAGCACCTGTTGTTTCCTGACTTTTTAATGATGCCATTCTAACTGGTGTGAGATGGTATCTCATTGTGGTTTTGATTTGCATTTCTCTGATGGCCAGTTTGCAGATGACATGATTGTATATCTAGAAAACCCCATTGTCTCAGCCCAAAATCTCCTTAAGCTGATAAGCAACTTCAGCAAAGTCTCAGGATACAAAATCAATGTATAAAAATCACAAGCATTCTTATACACCAATAACAGACCAACAGAGAGCCAAATCATGAGTGAACTCCCATTCACAATTGCTTCAAAGAGAATAAAATACCTAGGAATCCAACTTACAAGGGATGTGAAGGACCTCTTCAAGGAGAACTACAAACCACTGCTCAATGAAATAAAAGAGGATACAAACAAATGGAAGAACATTCCATGCTCATGGGTAGGAAGAATCAATATCATGAAAATGGCCATACTTCCCAAGGTAATTTATAGATTCAATGCCATCCCCATCAAGCTACCAATGACTTTCTTCACAGAATTGGAAAAAACTACTTTAAAGTTCATATGGAACCAAAAAAGAGCCCGCATCGCCAAGTCAATCCTAAGCCAAAAGAACAAAGCTGGAGGCATCACACTACCTGACTTCAAACTATACTACAAGGCTACAGTAACCAAAACAGCATGGTACTGGTACCAAAACAGAGATATAGATCAATGGAACAGAACAGAGCCCTCAGAAGTAATGCCACATATCTACAACTATCTGATCTTTGACAAACCTGAGAAAAACAAGAAATGGGGAAAGGATTCCCTATTTAATAAATGGTGCTGGGAAAAATGGCTAGCCATATGTAGAAAGCTGAAACTGGATCCCTTCCTTACACCTTATACAAAAATTAATTCAAGATGGATTAAAGACTTAAATGTTAGACCTAAAACTATAAAAACCCTAGAAGAAAACCTAGGCATTACCATTCAGGACATAGGCATGGGCAAGGACTTCATGTCTAAAACACCAAAAGCAGTGGCAACAAAAGCCAAAATTGACAAATGGGATCTAATTAAACTAAAGAGCTTCTGCACAGCAAAAGAAACTACCATCAGAGTGAACAGGCAACCCACAAAATGGGAGAAAATTTTCACAATCTACTCATCTGACAAAGGGCTAATATCCAGAATCTACAATGAACTCAAACAAATTTACAAGAAAAAAACAAACAACCCCATCAAAAAGTGGGCAAAGGACATGAACAGACACTTCTCAAAAGAAGACATTTATGCAGCCAAAAAACACATGAAAAAATGCTCATCATCAATTACTGCTGTTTTAAACCACCCAGTTAGGTGATTAGTAATTAGGTGATTTTTCATGAGCTGTGTGGTAGATAGATTAAAAAAGAAAAAAACAGCCATGCCCTTTATGATGTGACTCAGGAGTGCCTCTCATCAGGATTGTGTCAATTTCCTTATCTCTTGAATCTAGTCTAGATGTGTGACTTGTTTTTGCAAAATGAATGTGACAGAAGGAATATTGCACCATTCAGAGTGTAAGGGTCAAGAAACCATGCATGCATATTCTCTCTCTCTCTCTGGCACACACGTGATTCTCATGAGAACAAGCCAAGGCCAGCATGCTGGAAAAAGAGAGATGTTTTGAAGCAGTGTTGAATTATCCCAAAAGAGTCCATTCTAGATCAGCTTACAGCTAGCTGATTCCCAAAAATGTGGAGGAACCTAGTTCAGAATCCAGCATATCTGCCTAGCCAACTTACAACTCAAGAACAATTACAAATAATTATTGCTTGAATACACTATGTTTAGTGGAGATTTGTTACATAGAAATGGCTAAGTGGTAAAAGATGCACTCCAAATAATAAGTTAAGAATCACATCTGTCAGACTCATCCTTGACTCAATAACTGAAATTGTTCCCACTATGAAGTCTGGTGCAGAGAAGCCATAACAGATCTGGATCTGGTACTTGCCTTTCTTTTTTTTTTTTTTTCCTGCATGAAATGAATAATATCTTGCGTATTTATTGGTTCAAATTTACTATCAATTCAGTTCAAATTATTTCCATTTAAATTTAAAGTGAAGTATTTTAAATTTTCTTTTCCATTAGAAATACATAAGCTCTCTGGTGCCACAATTCTATGTGGATGCCAGACATTTCAGTAGCTATTCTGAGCATTAAAAATCTTATCAGAGCTTTAACAGTTAAAGAAACTATTTCAAGGGTCATCAGGTTCAGAGAAGTGATTCCTCCTGAAGAGTTCAAAGAATAAAAGTGTTAAAATTTGCGGTATCTCTAAGTTTTCAGTCCTGTGCATTTTTCACCAGCCTCTCAAAGCACAGAACAATTTTTTCTTTTTAAGATTTTTTTAAATTGACAAACATTGCATATATTTATGGTGTTTTGAGATATGTATACAATGTGCAATGACTAAGCTAATTAACATATACATTACCTCACATACTTTTTCGTGAGAACACAATATCTACTCTCTTAGCAATTTTCAATACATTTTTATTAACAGCAGTCATCGTGTTGTGCAATAGATTTCTTGAACTTATGTCTCCTTTCTAACTGAAATTTTGGGTGCTTGCCTTAGTGAAATCTTGCCTTAATCTGTCTATCTCTGAAAATTAACTTTGTCCTCGACTTTCCAATATTTTTCTAGCTTTTACTTGAACTCCTTTATATGGCTTATCAACTGAGATTTCCACTTACCTTCTGTCTTGCCTTAATCTGTCTATTTCTGAAAATTAACTTTGTCCTCAACTCTCCAATATTTTTCTAGCTTTTACTTGAACTCCTTTATATGGCTTATCAACTGACATTTCCACTTACCTTCTGGATCCAAATACTACATTGATCTCCAAATCAATGATTGCCTCAGCTAGGCAATACTTCTAACTCCATTAGCTCTTATATATCACTACTCTCAGTAGTGATTTATAGTCCTTATAAATTTCCTTTTAGGAAAGAAAACATTACTTAGTGAGGTTTATGATCAAAAATGAGTAAAATAACTATAAATAATACTTACTCTGTACTATATTTTAAAACTGTAGAAAAAGAAAAAATGATAGTGCCCCAACACTGGCTGTTTGTGGAAAATATGCAATGGAGACAGAATATCTGAATATCTGTCTCTATTGCTCATAATGCTTCATTGGGGAAATTGGCAATTGCTAAAAATAGGCTTTATATCCATTCTTTTGACTTATACTTACTTACCAGCACAGCTGAAAGGCTGATAAATCCTTCACTACTGAATTCAACCAGCATGTGAAAGCAAGCTCAGGGGAGAATAATATGAAAAATTAATATATGTACATTGCTGAGTATATGGCAATCTCTGTCCTAAAGTTATTTACCATGGTAAACTTTGAGGTTAGGGCTAATATGATCTACACTTTACAGGTGAGGAAACTGAAGACAGGAATATTAACGTTTTATTGTCAGTTTCTGATTCATTTCCTACTATAGATACATTCGTCAATCACTTTTTAAACCCATATTGTCGGGACTTAATCTTCTGTCAAGAATCACTTTATTTTTTCTTATTAAACAAGTTTAGTTCATTTGCTGAAAAGAAACCTGACTCTAGCTGGTGAAAAATAATTCATATATATGGTTTTTGTTCTCGTCCTGCTACAGTTAATGCGGTGTGGAAGGTATCCTGAAAAAATACCTTGAATTGAGAATGCATACATTATGTTCAGAGGACTGGAGGTTCACCAGGTATAGATGCCAAAATGTTCAAAGTTAACTATTGGCAAAAAAGACTTGACAGGTATATTTATGCCATAACATAGAAGGAGCTGGAGGCAGTTAATGAATTTGAAATAGTATGTAGGTAAAGAGGTCATTTTCAAGCAGAGTAATGACAGCATTAAAATTGGAGGAACAAGAATGATGGGAGGTACAAAGCACAGGTTTGATTCAGAGAGATCAACCAGGATATTAGTGTAATACAGCTAGTGTGAGGTGTTAAGCCCATATTCCAGTGCTAGGGGAGAGATGGAACATGTAGGGAAGAATGAAAGAGAAACCACAAAGGAGCTATTTGCTAATTCATTGGTTTTGTGAGACAAGAGAGAAAGAACATCAAATATATTTCAGAGGCTAGAGAAGTAGTGGAGTCAGTCATAGACGACAGGCTTCTATACATGAAATTAGAGTATGGAGAATGGGAAGCAGTTGAAATGACAGCATATATGATGATGCTCCTAATGACGTTTGAAGTAGTATTGAATGAAACGTCATTGAATCCATCTGTAGAATTTTACATTGATTTTGCTTACACATGTCACCCTAACTGGAAAATTTTTTTTATGAAGGGGAAGTAAAGATAAACCAGAACATAGAAGTGTTTTTTCCTTTTTTTAAATTTCAATCTCGCTTCTCTGTTTACACATATCCTCACTGCCCCAGGCTAAAGTATCTAATGAGAATTGGCATGGTACTTTTATTGACTTAAAGTTCCAATTGCAGTTACTATGATTCTCTATGGAAAGTATCTTTTTTCCTTTTCTTTAAAAAATTACTATGCAATATCTTGTATGCTCAGAGTGATTGATTCCCTTGATAAACTCTAATAAATTTCATTCTTATCCTGCAAAACATAAGATAGGAGATGTTTTGTGCTATGTTTCATGCACAAAATTATTAAAAGTGTTGCATAAAATTAACTTTAGGCTATGTTTATAAGGTGTATATGACATAGATGAATTTCATGTTTACACTTGGGTCCTGTCCCCAGGATATCTCACTATATATATGCAAGTATTCCAAAATCTGAAAAAAAAATCTAAAATTTAAAATACTTCTGGCCCCAAGCATTTTGTATAAGAGATATTCAATCCATAATGATAATAACAATAATAATTAATTTTAGTTAGTATAGCTACCACAATTTTTGTCTGTCATCCTCCCTTCGCTCCAGTTAACAACTTCACTGTGTAAAGAAATTTATTTTACACTCTGTCTTTCCCTCTTTCCTTTTTTAGAGTTTCTTAGGAATTGATAGAAAAACAATTAGGGCAAGTCAAACCCAGACATTTTTTTTTCTCCTCTGAAAATGCTACTTCAAATGAAATAAAAACAATAAAAGTTATAAATCAATAAGAAAAAAGAGTGGTAGAAGAGATAACAAAATAAAAACTTGGAAGCTGAAAGATGGGTAGGTGATAACGGAATTATCAGAGAAACTAAACTGGTAGAGAAATCCTAGAAGTAAGCAGATTTCCAAGGTCAAACACACATGAGAAGGCCACAAGGAAAATGATTTCTAAGGAAGGCTTGAAAGTTTGTATATAAATGAATTAGTTAGAATTTTTTCCATCTGAGAAATAACTTTTACTCTTGCCAGCAACTTTTGCTTCCTCATTCGAGCACAACGCTGGAGGGACTCTGGAATCAGACAGAAATGTCACAGTTTAGAGATGGTGTGGAGGAAGAAGTGCTTCACTAAAAGCCGGAGAATTAACTGGAAGGATATGTACTGATTGGTGAGAATCCCAGATTCTTCTGCCACTCAGATCCAGAACATTAGCAGGCAATAGGCTGTTACTTTAAAGGCTGAAATCTAGAAGATTTATTTCTGGAGAAACTTAGCAATCTGAAAGAAAATACTGTAGAAAAGCTGGATAACCCTGAAGTACAGCACTCTACCTAATGAGCATTTTCAGTATACACAGAGCTTCAGAGAGTATTTCCCCCCTCACACTTAAATATAAACCAGAATTTGAGAAAATTTATAACACAAAAATAGATACCAAAATACATAAATGAAAAAGGAAACTTAAGAAACATCAATAGAAGACAGGGAGTAGAAGGAAGGGCTCTTCAAAAACCAGTAATAGTTTCAGAAATATAAGAACCTACCTCACCTTCATGAAATAAGAATAAAGGGGCATAAAAATAACATACAGAAGTATTAAGAGAACTTTTGAAAATTGTGTATTTATTAGTTAAAAGTTTAATAAATAGTTATGAATATAAAGGTGAAAAGTTTTATAAACTAGAACAAGATTTTTTAAAAGACTAAAAAAAGAAGAAGAAAAATAGAGTAATCCAGGGAGTTCAGCACCTGAAAACTAAAAATTTCAGCATCTGTGAACAGAGAAAATAGAAGGTAACACCCTCAAAATAATATAAGAAAATTTAAGTTAGGATTATCTAAAATAAAGGGAAAAAATCCCATTTTAGCTAATACAATAATAGAAAATAAAAGCTATAGTGATTGGAAAGGAAGCTATATAACTGTATATTTTCTCTGATGACATGATTGCCCATGTAGACAAGACAAAAGAATCAACAAAAAATCTCTTTGAACTAAGTGATTACAGCAAGTTTACAAGCTACAAGGTTAATACACAAAAGTCAGTCATTTTACTATATACCAGCAATGAACATGTAGAATTTGAAGTTAAAAACAACCCATTTACATTAGTACTCCCTAAAATGAAATAGTTAAGTATAAATGTAACAAAATATGCCCAAGAAGTATATGAGAAAAATTATAAAACTCCATTGAAAGAAATCAAAGAACTAAAGAAAGCGAGAGAACTTCCATGTTAATGGATTGAAAGACTCACTAGTGTCAAGATGTCAGTTTTTCCCAACTTTATCTATAGATTCAATGCATTTACCATCAAAATTCCAGCAAGTTATCTTGTAGATAATGACAAACTAACTTTAAAGTTTATATGGAGTGGCAGCAGACCCAGAATAATCAAGAAAAAAATTGAAGGATAAGAACAAAGTTTGAGGATTGACACCACCTGACTTCAAGACTTGCTACAAAGCTACAGTAATAAAGAGAGCTTAATACTAGTGAAGGAATAGACAAATAGATCAATGGGATACAATATAGAAATAGAGCCACATAAATATAGTTAACTGATCTTTGGCAAAGGAGAAAAGGCAATACAATAAAGAAATAGCCTTTTCAACAAATTATGCTGTGTCTTAGTCTTTTTGGGCTATTATAACAAAATACCATAAACTAGGTGGTTTATAAACAACAGAGTTTATTTCTCAGAGTTCTGGAATCTTGGAGGTCCAAGATCAAGGTGCCAGCAGATTTGATGTCTGGTAACGGCTCACTTCCTCATGAAAAGCCACTTTCTCACTGTTAGCTTACATGGTGGAAGAGGCAGACGAGCTCTCTGGAGTCTGTTTTATAAGGGCACTAACCTCATTCATTAGAGTGCTGCCCTTACTCATGACCTAGTCACCTTTCAAAAGGCCCCACATCCCAGTATCATCACCTCAGGGATTACCATTTTACAATATGAATTTGGGGTAAGACAAACGTTCAGATTATAGCATTCTAAAGAAGAAACTGGGCTCACATGCACATTACACTCTTCACAAAAAATAACTCAAAATGTATCACAGACCTGTATGTAAACGCAAAACAAAACACTTTGACGATAACATAGGAGAAAATCTAGATGACCTTGGGTATGGCAATGACTTTTTAGATATGACATCAAAGACACATTCATGAAAGAAAGAAAGAAGTGATAAGCTGTACTTTATTAAAATTAAAGGTCCTTCTCTGTGAGAGACACGGTCAAGAGAGTGAAAGAGAAGTTTCAGACTGGGAGAAAATATTTCCAAAATATATTTCCAATAAAAGACTGTTATCCAAAATATGCAAAGAACACTTAAAAACAAAAATTAGAGAAATCAGCAACCCAATTACACAATGAGCTAAAGGCCTGAACAGACTTCTCACCAAAGAAGATATACAGATGGTAAAAAAGCATATGAAAAGATACTCAAAATTGTATGTAATAAGGGATACGCAAATTAAAACAACAATGAAATGTCACTACACACATATTAGAATGACCAAATTTCAAAATACTGATAACACCAAATGTTGAAAAGAATAAAAAGCAACTGAAACCTTCATTTATTGCCAATGGGAATGCAAAATGGTATAGTCACTTTGGAAGACAGAATGGTGGTTTTCTACAAAACTAAACATTCTCTTATTATATGATTCAGCAGCAATCATGTTGCTTGATGTTTACACAAAAAAAGCTGAGAACTTATGTCCACACCAAACTTGCATACAATAGTTATATCAATTGTTTTATAATTGCCAAAACTTTGAAACAACCAAGATGTCTTTCAGTAAGTTTATAGATAAAGAAACTGTAATACATCTAGACCACAAAATACTATTCATCACTGAAAAGAGGTAAGCTATCAAGCCATGAAAAGATATAGAGAAAACTTAAATGCATATAACTAAGAAAGAAATCAATCCAAAAGAGCTACATCCTATATGATTCCAGTGATATGACATTCTGGAAAAGACAAAACTATGGACGTAATAAAAAGAGCGGTGCAGGGAGGGGAAGATGAATGGGTGGAAGACAGAGGATTTTAGAGCAGTGAAACTACTCCATATAATACTATTATATTGAATA
Source organism: Homo sapiens (assembly GCF_000001405.40). Classification (NCBI taxonomy): domain Eukaryota; kingdom Metazoa; phylum Chordata; class Mammalia; order Primates; family Hominidae; genus Homo; species Homo sapiens. Next base: position 55,233,759 of record NC_000012.12, read on the forward strand.
CATGTCATGTGAATGCATGTCATACATTTGTCCAGACCAATAGAATGTACAACACCAAGAGTGAACCCTAGTATAACTATGGACTTTTGGGTAGTAACAATGTGTCAAGAAGGTTCATCGACTGTAATAAATGTTCCACTTTGGTGGGGATAATGATAATTTATCATTTAAAGATACAATAAAATAAACATTTTCCTCTCAATTTTCAATATGATGAAATACATTTTGGCACATCCTCGCATATTCCATTACACTAAATTGATAGAAAAATCCTTTGGTAGTGAGCAGAGAACATCATGATTGGGAGTACTTATAGTTTGAGAGAGTTGTTTTTATTTTACATTATGTATTTTATTTTTAAAAATTTTATTCAAGTTATCCATGTAAATAATGCAAAATATTTAATAATATTTACTATGAAAAACAGCTGTGATTCTTTTACCTTTTCTTAGATAGCCAATTAAAATTTTGATTGGTTCTTTTGGCATATATCTCTATAGTTTTAGTTAATGTTCAGGTATTACTAATTCCTAAGTTTTTGGTGCAGATATAATTTCTTGCCTTCATACTACAGAGGTTGAGGATGTGGCTCTCATTAACCTATTTCTCACCTTGCAACATGTGTGCATCATTCTTATCTGCCCCATCATAGGTTGCTTTTTAAAATATATATTTATGCAGTTTGCCATCATGTTTATTTCTAAGTCTCTCTAGCCATCTCAGTGAAGAAATTGCTTTCAAGAAGAATTTTACTGTTTTCTTGAAAGATTACCTAAAATAGTGATACAATTCTAGTCAGGGGCAGAAAGGACGTTTCAAAAAATAATGCCCCCAAACTTTCTAACTTGATAAAATACATGAAATGACACATTCCAAAAGCTCAACAAACTACAAAGATAAATCTGAGATCCACAGAGACACATGATAATCAAACTGTCAAAAGCCAAAGACAAAAAGAGAACCTTGAAAGCAGCAAGAGAGAAATAAGACATACGGAAGACATCCTCAATAAGATTAATAGCTGATTTATCATCAGAAGCCATGGAAGCCAGAAGTTAGTGGGATGATATATTTAAAGAGCTAAAATAAAAAACAAGCAAATCTATCAGCCAAGAATTCTACAGCTGGCAAAAAATCTTCCAAAAATCAATGAAAAATAAGATATTCCCAGATAAACAAAAACTGAGAGAGTTTTTTGCTAGTGGACATGCCTTACAAAAAATGCTAAAGGTAGTGTTTTGGGCTGAAATAAAAGGATACTCATAAGCAACTCAAAGCCAGATGAAGAAATAAAGGACACTGATAAAGTTAACTACATTGGTAAACACAAAAGTCAGTATTATTATATTTTTGGTTTTAAACTCTACTTTTCTCCTACATGACTTAAAAGACAAATGTACAAAACAATAGTTATAAATCTGTGTTATTGGGTTTCCAATATATAAAGTTGTGATTTGTAACAACAATATAAGAGAAAGAAATTGGAGCTGTATAGAAGTATATTTTTGTATACAATTGAAACTAACATTGTATAAATGCAAAATATATTGTTATAAATTTAAGATATTAATCTTAATCCCCAGGGTCACCATTAAGTAAATAAATAAAAATATAATAGCATAGGAAATGAGAAAGAAATAAAAATATACTACAGAAAATCAATTGAACAGAAAGATAGCAGTAATGAAAGAATAGAGAAACAAAAAAATTAAAACTCATGCAAAAACAATAACAAAATATCAGAGATTATCCCTTTCGTACCAGTATTTACTTTTGAAGCAAATGGAATAAACTTTCCAATGAAAATGCAAAGATAGGCAGAATGTATTTAAAATATGATTTAATTTTATACTCAGAGTGGCTCAATTTAGATTCAAAGTCATGGATAGATGGAAAGTGAAAGGATAGAAAAAATTATTCTATGAAAATAATAACCAAATTAGAGCTGGGATAGATATCCTAATAGTATAAAAATTAACTTTAAGTAAAAATGTTTTATAAGGGTCAAAGTATTAACCAATTAGGAAGATATAACAATTATACACATATACTAACCTAAGAGAAGGGCCCCAAATATGTAAATAAAACCTTTACAATGCTAAAGGTAGTAACAGATATACAATAATAGTTGAAAACTTCAAAACATCACTTTCAGTGAATTGTCAGAACAAATTAGATCTAGTAAGGAAATAGGGAATTTGAAAAACACTATAAACTAACTAGATCTAGAACATATAGAGAATTGTCCACCCCAAAACAGTAGAATGTACATTTTTCTCAGGTGTATATACAATGTACTCTAGAAGAGACCATATGTTAGGCCACAAAACAAATTTCAATAGGAACTTAAAAATTCAAATCATATGACGTATTTTATTAAACCACAATGGAATGAAACTAGAAATTAATGAGAGAAAAATTTAAAAATTAACAAATTTGTAGAAATTAAATAACACACTATCAATGTGTTAAGGATGAAGTTACAAGGGAAATTAGGAACTTGGGGACAAATAAAAACAAACACATATCAAATCTTATGGAATACAGTGAAAGGAGTCCTCATACCTATATTTTTCTGAATGTAGATATAAAAATCCTCAACAGAAAACAAGCAAAACAAACCCAGCAGCATATTAGAAGGGTTATGTATTATGACAAAATGGAATGACTCTTAAGAATGCAATGATGGCTTAACGTGGGGAAAAGGGAATGCTTATTCATGGCTAATGGGAGTGTAAATTAGTTCGGCCACTGTGGAAGGCAATATGGCAATTCCTGAAAGAACTAAAAACAGAATTATCCTTCGATCCAGCAATCCCATTACTGGGTATATACCCAAAGGAATATAAATCATTCCACCATAAAGACACATGCATGCATATGTTCATTGCAGCACTATTCACGATAGCAAAGACATGGAATCAACCCATCAATGGTAGACTGGATAAAGCAAATGTGGTACATATACACCATGGAATACTATGCAGCCATAAAAAGGAATGAGATCATGTCCTTTGCAGCAACACTGATGAAGCTGGAGGCCATTATCCTAAGCAAACTAATGCAGGAACAGAAAACCAAATACTGCATGTTCTCACTTATAACTCGTAGCTAAATGATAACACTTGGACACAAAGAGGGGAAAAGACACTGGGGCCTACTTAAAGGTGGACAGCTGGAGGAGGGAGAGGATCAGAAAAAATACCTATTGAATACTATGCTTATTTACCTGGCTGATGAAATAATCTGTACAACAAACCCCCGTGAAGCAAGTTTACCTACAAAACAAACCTGCATATGTACCACTGAACCTTAAATAAAAGTTAAAGGAAAAAAAAAAAAGAAAATCAATCAATATAATACACCACATTGCAGAATGAAAGGGTGAAACAAGTGATCATATCAATTAATGCGGGTAAAGTATTTGCAAAATTCAAACACTTTCATGATGCAAAGCATGACAAACTAGGAATAGGAAGTAATTTCCTCAATCTGACAAACAGCATTCATGACAAACCCACAACAAAAATCTATTCGATTGTGAAAGACTAAGAGACTTTCCCCAAAGATCAGGAATAAGAAAGGATGCACCCTTTCGCCACTGTTATTCATCGTTGTACTGGAAATTCTGGCTAGGACAATTGGGGAAAATAAAAGAAAAAAAAGACATTTGTATCAGAAAAGAAATAAAGCTATCCCTATTTTCAGAACACATAATATTACAGACAGAAAATCCTAAAGAATCCACTCAAAAATATTAAAGCTGAAAAAAATCCAGCAACATTGTAGAATACAAAATCAGTCCATAAAAATAATGTGTATTTCTATACATAAATGTGACTAATATGAAAAGGAAATGAAGAAAACAATTCAATTAACAGTACCATCAAAAACAACCAAATGCCTAGGCATAAATTTAACCAAGAAGGTGAAATACTTGTGTACTGTAAACTAAAAGCATTGCTGAATGGAGTTAAAGGTCTAAATAAGTAGACAGACATCCCATGTTCATGGGTTGGTAAGATTCCAATGCTGTGCAAACGATTTGCAGATTCAGTGCATTCTCTATCAAATTCCAAGGGCATTGTTTTCAGAAATGGAAAAGCCAACCTTTAAATTTATGTGGAAGTGCAATGAATCCTGAGTAGTCAAAACAACCATTAAAAAGTAGAAGCAGGTGGGAGGACACACTTTTCACTTTCTAAACTTACTACAAATCTTCATCAATAACTTAAAAAATGTGGTACTGGCATAAGAATAGGTATAACAAAAAATGAAATAGACTTTTTCTGGGATGGAATCCAGAAATAAGCCCATACATCTATGGCTAAAATTAATTGTTTACAAGAATATGAAGACCATTGAATGAGGAGAGAATAGTCTCTTCAAGAAAAAATGCTGGGACAATTGGGCAGCTACATGCAAAAGAATGAAGATAGATTCCTATTTCACACTGTATACAAAAAGTAACCCAACATGTATCAATGACCTAAATGTAAGAGTCAAAACTATAAAACACTTAGAAAAAAAATACAGGGTAAATCTTCATGACCTTGAAGTTATGAAGAGTGAAAAGACAACTGACAGAATGGGAACAATAGGTTCTAGTATATGGAATATTTAAACAACGATTACAATTCAGCAACAAAGAATCAACAGCCTATTTTTTTAAATCTGCAAAGAATTTGTAGAGACATTTCTCCAAATGACCAAGAAAGACATTTTTGTTTTACATTTACAGTTTATTAGGTAGTCAACATGCAAAAATAAGTGCTAACGACAAACCTCTACAATATGGTTCTGTGTAAACTACAATGGTTCATTTGTTTTGAAAAATCATCAGTACTTCTTTCAACTGAAGTATTAATTTCTGTAATGAATAGTATTTAGACTCTACGGTTATGGAACCATCTGGCAAGGCCCCTGCAGAATCTTGGTCCACTGGATTTCCACGTGAATACATTTTCGAAGCAGGAAATAAGGCAGCACACGGAAGACGTGATATTGAACCTAAGCACCACGAACACAGTCCCGCGGACACTGCCCGCAAGGCAGGCGGGGCAGTCCTCGAAGACAGTCCCCCATGGGCTGTGGCACCAGGCATTTTGGCAGCAGCTCTGGAATGAAGTCGTGAATGTCCCTCATGGCATGGCATCACAGGTCACTACAGGTCAGTCCAGAACCACTACCACCTTTCCCAGGCCATGCCAGAAAGACATGCAAAGATGCTCATCATCTAAGTCATTATGGCAATACAAATCAAAACCATTTCAAACCCACTAGGATGAGTATACCAAAAAACAAAAAACAAAAAAAGCCTGGGGTGGGGCGGGGGAAGTAGGAATAAGTGTTGGGGAGGATGTGAGAAATTGAAATGCTTGTACATTGTTGGTGGGAATGAAAAATGGTATAGCCACTGGAGAAAATAGTTGTGCAATTCCTTAAAAAGTTAGAATTACCATATAATATAGCAATTTAACTCCTAGGTATATACCTGGATAATTGAAATCAGGTAGATACCTGATTGCGTATATGTAAAATATCCAAAATAGGTTAATACATAGTGACAGAAAGCAGACAGATATGACCCAGGGGCTGAGGGGAAAAGAGATGGAGAATGGCTGCTTAATGCATACCATTCTTCTTTAGGGATATTCAGAATGTTTTAGAACTTAACATAGATAGTGCTGGCAGAACATCGTAAATGTACTAAATGTCACTGAATTTAACATTTAAAATAATTAGTTAACAAAAACCCAGAACTGTGGAGTATCATCAAGTAATATAGTCAAAAATGTAAGGGAAAAAGTATCAGAGAAATATAACTGGCATTTAATATTTTTTCTGGATTTTATTATTTTAATATCTTAATTTAATTTGTGACTTGTTATGATTCTCATTCTAAACAAAATTTATTTTTGTTCCTATTTCAGTGCTTCTGAATTTATCACTGATAATTTGTAATTGCTTTCTTCAAAGAGAGAATCCTAATATGAGGAAGCTTAAAAACTCCATTTGTGTCAACACATGGAAACAGGAGAAAGGTGAATATAGTTTCCATGATTATGGAAACATCCATTTCAGTACAAAAGTTGTGCGTCAGCCCCAGAAATCAACTAGCTGTAATGGCTTGGCAGAGAAATAACTCCAGGACTGATGCTGATGAGGAAAAAAAAAAAGTGAGGGTTCGCTTAATGTATTTGAATCTATCGAGGGTATATCTGTTCTTCTGTTGGCTAGCCTGGAGAAGGAACGCTGAAGAGCGCATAAATATCGATGCAATTATTTTAATTAGGCCCAGTGGAAACAAAACATTGATGAATAAAGAAACAGAATAAGGGTAAGGTGTGGCTCAACTAGGAAAAAAATTACGTTGTCAAAATAACAAATTAGAATATAATTTTACTGACAATTATAATAAAATTATTACAAAAAATAAAATGAAAAGACAGAGAAAAAAGAAATGTGTATAGGAGGGCTAAGTGTAAGAAATCAAATGTTCGTCTTTCATACTTAAAAGCCAATAACTAAACTACAACTGAAAATATCATTTAAGAAATAGTACTGGATAGAAAAGGAAGATAAAAGCTAACAGTGGAAGTCTCTGGGAGTAGGAGTTATGGAGGATGAGGACTGGAGCAGACGGCTACTAATTTTCATTAACAGAGTTATAAAATGTTTGACTTTTTGAACTCGGTATTAATAACAACAAAATAATAAACCTACTGAAATAATATTTAGGGAGGAGAAATAACACAGTTATTAAGTTACTTCGCTCGCACAAAATTCCTTAGTCATAATGAGCAGTTTTCTTGGCAGTGTATTCAATTTTTCTAAGACAAAAAAGGAAACTAAAGAGAAATTGAAGATTATTTCATTCAATCATGAGTGTCTGCTGCTCAGTGCATAAAAATTGGATGCATTTTTCATATTTTAAAACATTTTAATACTATATTCAAATGCTTTCAGAGTTGCACAAATTTGAATTACTGTCTTTTTTTTAGTGTTGGTTATTTTATTCAAAATTTGAGAAGAGTTATATCAGAGGATTTGTATACAGATGAATTCCTGAATTGAATGTTTAAAAATTAGCTTCTCATTACAGTCCAACTCCTCCAATTTTCCTCCATGCTTACTGCCAAGACTTCCTCTTCCTATGCTCTCTTAGTCAGTGACAGTGCCTTATATCTTATTTCTTCTTGTTCAGAATCTCAGAGTAACCTGCAACTATTTTCATATCCAAATAATTCAACCTTTTTATTGCTAAACACATATTTATTCAATTTGTGTTTAGTGTCAGGGATATTCCATATCTTAAGTATTAAAGATGAACAATACAATGAACATATTCTCAGCTCTGAAGCACTTATAATTTTGTAGAACTAGGAGAAAAAGGATTATGAAGAAATGATATTTAAAAACAAATATTGACTGTATTCAGAAGAACCAAAGTCTGAAATAAAGATTTTAAAGATTGGACATTTCTCCTCACATATGCTCTTCTTCTCAAACTGATATTTTTATGGAGATGATATTTAATCTTAGGCCTAGAATTTGGAGGTGGAGCAGGGGTGAAGGTAAGAAGGAGAGGTGACAAAGAGCTTGAGGAATGGAAAGAAAGTCCATGTTCTAATGAATAACATAGCAAATAGGGAAAGAGTGGAAGGACATGAAGTTAAATGGGGTAGTGAGGGGCTATGCCATGGGATGTTTTGCTGGCCAGTCATAATCTGCATTTCAAATATATTTCATGACCTAATTTTAGTACAAAAGTGGCATAATCTGAATTAAATTTTAGGAAACATAATTTTAGATTCTCCATAGAAAATCGATTCAATAATGGAAGAAAGCAAAAAAGTATTTATAAGGCTACTACAGGTTATTAAGTACGGGTGGGAGGTAGGAGTGATACAAAAGGGGAGCAGGAAAGTGCTGGGAAGGGAAGGGCGTGGTCCCTGGCTAAGGCTCCACCCCCAGGCCTGTACCCATGGACCTAAGTGAAGACTGGCATTTCTGTTTTCCTGCCCAAATGTTGCATTTCCCAAGACCACCCTGGTCCACCACACCCCTATCTTGTGCCTATAAAACCCCTGAGACTCTAGGGGGCAGGCACACAATTGACTGGACATCAGGAGGAACACATCAGTGGAAAAAGACACAGCAGCTAGACATCCAGAGAATGTCAAAGGGAGCATGTCAGTGGAAAAGCACACTAACCGACGCCCGCAGACTGGCAGACCATCGACCAGTGGAACGACATGGAGTTTGGCCGGGGTGGTTGGAGGAGAGCCCTGGCCAATGAGCAGCCCGACTCCAAGGGACAACCACTTTCCCACTTCATCACCCTTCTGGCTCCCCCATCTGCTGAGAGCTATTTCCAATCAATAAAACCTTGCAATTATTCTCCAAGCCAACATGTCCTCTGATTCTTCCAGTACACCAAGGCCAGAAACCCCAGGATACAGAAAGCCCGTCTGCATGCTCCCCCTAGAGGTTTGAGTAGTGGGGCATCCAAGAAGTGAGGAGGAACACATCAGTGGAAGAAGACACAGGTGGCTAGACATCAAGAGAGGACATCAAAGGGAGCACGCTGGTGGAAGAGCACACTGACAGATGCCAGCAGACCGGCAGACCATCTACCAGTGGAACGACATGGAGTTTGGCCGGGGTGACTGGAGCTAAAGCCCAGGCCGATGAGCGGCCCTACTCCAGAGGAAAACTCCTTTCCCACTTCATCATCTTCTGGCTCCCCACTGCTGAGAGCTACTTCCACTCAATAAAACCTTGCACTCATTCTCCAAGCCGACATGTCCTCTGATTCTTCCAGTACACCAAGGCAAGAAACCCCAGGATACAGAAAGCCCGCTGTCCTTGCGATAAGGCAAAGGGTGTAATTGAGCTGACTAACACAAGTTGCCTACAGACAGCTAAACTAAAAGAGCACTCTGTAATACTCACCCATTGGGACTTCAGCTGGAAACATTCACCCCGAGAAATTCCCATGGAGTTGGAGTCCCACAACCTGCCCGTCTGCATGCTTCCCCTGGAGGTTTCAGCAGTGGGACACCCAAGAAGTGAGCCACTCCCCCATCGCATGCCCTGTGAGGGGGAAGAGGAAACTTTTTCTGTTTTAATAGTAGGTTGATCCCAGCACTTTGGGAGGCCGAGGCGGGCGGATCACGAGGTCAGGAGATCGAGAGAGACCTTCCTGGCTAACACGGTGAAACCCCGTCTCTACTAAAAATACAAAAAAAATTAGCTGGGCATGGTGGCGGGCGCCTGTAGTCCCAGCTACTCGGGAGGCTGAGGCAGGAGAATGGCGTGAACCCGGGAGGCGGAGCTTGCAGTGAGCCGAGGTCGCGCCACTGCACTCCGGCCTGGGCGACTGAGCGAGACTCCGTCTCAAAAAAAAAAAAAATTGTAGGTTGGATTAGAATGATGGAAATTGTAGCAGACACTGCTTATCTCATCACAAAACTTTTCTTGCTGGACCCATCTAGACTAGATATCCCAACATTTTAGTATTTAGGTTTGGCTACGTAACTGAATTCATTCCATGCCAATGGAAGGTGAATGGACGTTATGAAAATCACTTCCATGCCTCACAATAAAAACCTCCTAAGTAATTCATTGCTCTGTCTTTTTCTTATCCTGCCCTGCTGGCTGTAGATCTACATTCAAGATGTCAGTGTTAATTAGGTAGACTCCGAATGACTGCATAGGGTTAAACATCACCATCTCACCTCTCCTAACAAACGCACACAATCGCTGCCCTACATGCTGCATATTTGACCTTAAAGTTTCAATAAATGCTTTCTATTTTGTTAAAAGTGGCAAAACAAATCTGTTCTGTTGGAATTCAAGATAGTGATAGGCTTGAAGGGTGAATGACCAGAAGGGAGGAAGAGCAAGAATTCTGGAATACTGCTAACTTTCTGTTTTTTCATCTGAATGCTGCTCACGTGGATATATTCACATGAAAGGTGACCAAACTGTACAATTAGGATAATTGCATTTTATACATCATTAAAATGTTTAAAAATGTGTGGTGTTCAAGCCTTAATAATTTTAAAGTTTATCTGCTATGGCAGCTAGTATTTAAGTACTTAGCAGTGGAAATGTTAAAAAGTACATGCACTTGAAATAAAATTTTTATGTAGAACCAATAAAATTTTCCTACAGAATGGATGTGGACACTTAGCAGGTGCAAACACGTTTGACTTGCATGTATCTGTCCTGAGAAACTCAACACTGGCCTTATTTCTCTTCAATCCAATTTTTTATACTTTTGACCCTGACATACTAATGTCACCTCACACACTATTTTCTTTGCTAATGATGACATAGCCTAGCTCTCTAGATTCTAAACCTGATTGTATCTAAATCTGCCACCCGAAAAGATAGCATTGAGAGTGAACCTAAGGAATGTAAGTCTTTATAAGTCTTATTTATGTCTTTATTGAATTAATCTGAATCCAAAATTTTAGTAATGCTCTGAAGTTGTTTCACCCTATAGATCAGTGAGTTTATTCTTTTTTGAAATGTGTGTTTTTTATGAACATGTAAGCCAACTTAAGTATTTTTAAACTGCCTTATAGTTTATAACATATAGCCACCTCAAAATGTAGTTCTTTTCTGGTTTTTAAACTTCAGCTTATGAATTATAGAGTTTTTGCCACTCAATAAAATGATTTTAATACATCTTCAGCATCCTAGTCCAATAGTCTTCAGGGAAATGTTTCCTTCTTTTATAAAATTACTAAATTAGTTAATCCTCTTGAGACAAATGGCACAGTGTATAAAAAGGATTATAGTTCTTCCAGTCTTAAAAACTATAAGCTATCGTATTCCTCGTATAGACTAGAAACACCTCAGCGTGAACAACAAGCTAGAAACCTTCTCTTTGTTCTTCTTCTCTCTAGATTATATATACACATATATGTATATATAGAAGAGATATGATAAACATAGAGGTAGATATATGCTCCAAATTTAATTTAATACAACATAAATCAGAGAACATCTTATTAATAAAAATCATGAGAAGAAATGAACCTAGGTAAGATTAATGTCATAATAAAATCTTCAAGCCTAAACATCCTGAGTGTTTCTGGCATTAATGTATTTTTTGGATGAGAAATATGGACAAAAGCAACATAAAAATATAAGAAGATGCAATATTCAAAAATTACCTCTGTGCTGGGACTTACCTGAAAAAAGACAATTGGGAATGAAATTGCTACTAAATACATTAAAGTTTGGAAAAAATTATGTCTTTATTTTAATCATACTAACTTTGTTGCATGAAGCTAGAGGAAGAAAATAATTTCTTTGTAAAGCTATTGAAACAGTATGGCATGAAATTATAACTAGTTTGTTTTTGTTTTTGTTTTTTACAAAGCAAACATTAAGCTAACCATTTGAGAAGTTGTACTGAAAAAATTAAGTGTGTTATAAGAAAGCTTTGAACCTTTCACCTTGCAGATGCCTAGTTTTGATGAAATATTCTTTGCAACATACAATTGAATCTCAGGAATGCATTTTATTAAATGAATGCATTTTCCCTTCTGTAATTATAATTGCATATGCCTCTAGTATTCATAGTCTTTGTAAACATTGTGAAATATAATACTGAAAAAATAATTTTTTTCCTGAACTTGAAAAAATTTTTCCCTATATGTAGTCATGTTGCATTCAATGTTATTTAAACATTTCATGTAAAATCTACTTTTCATATCCCAAAGGAATCTATCTTACCTATAACTTGCCAAAACAGCTGCAGTTGCCTTTGGGACTATACTGGTGGTTGGAAACATATGACTATTTTACTATCACCCAGCAAGCATTTTATTGTGGTATTCAGTAGAAAATTAATGCTGTCAAGTAGGTTATAATAGTTTTTTCATTGCTGTTTTGCTTGTTATTTTTATATTTTATAATTTAAATTTAGGCTGGACAGTGTCCATATAAATTACTTTCTGACTGCATTCTCTGGCTTATAACTCATCTTTTGTTGATTGAGGTTTTCCTGTGTTTTTTGAGCTTTAATATAAACTATGATTTTTAATTTTAAAAAACTTCCTAATGAATATGGACTACATTTAAATGACCATACATTTTTAGAAAAATGATCAACCAAAAATAATGGGAAAGGAAGGGGAAAAGTACAAAAGAAAATGAAGAGAGATTAGGACAAAATTTTATTTATTTTGTAATCATTTATAATCACTGGAAATGCTTGTGTATGTGTTTCACTCCAGAGCTGGAATATACACAATGTAATAATGTTCATATACAGTTTAACATATGGCACAATATTCTTCTTGGGGAAAGTGTTGTCATTATTAAGAAAAACTTGGTGATGATAGACTTGTCAGGTGATAAACGTGAGGACCTAAGCATGGTCTGGAAAAAGATAGAAAAACAAGAAAAATAAAAAAGTTAACATAATTTTGAATTGCTATGTGCTGAACTAGAAAAGAGAGAGAGGATGTGAATAAGATACAGAAGAAAAGAGATGGCCATGGCAACAGGGGGAAACATGCAGAGCAGTGACACTAATGACAATTACGAGGGAAGTCCAGCTAACATTTGATTTTCACTGATTTATTTATAGGCATGGTCTTGCTCTGTCATCCAGGCTGGAGTGCAGTGGCATGATCATAGTTCACTGAAGCCTTGAATTCCTGGTCTCAAAGCAATCTTCCTGCCTCATTCTTCCAAGTAGCTGGGATTACAGGCACAAGCCACATTTTATTTTTAAATAGTTTGTTTTGTAGGACCCTCCTCTGTCACTGCAAATATTCTGCAAATGCACTACATAACACAAGCATCATGTATGAGGATAGAGTTTATATCTGCTTGAGTAAATACAGAAAAGAGAACAAGCAGAGTGAGTGAGATAAATGTAAATTCAAGTTTTCAGGAAAATTGGGAAAGCAGAGATAAAAATGGTCATGAGGATGGAGACCTTGGAGAGTTTTTAGAAGTTTGGTGAGGGTATTGAATTCCCACTGTGGAAGCCAAGAGATGTTTAAATCAACTTTGCTTTGATCTTAAAAGACAGAGTTCTCAGCTGAAATCTGAATTAATGAATAGCAAAGTCTAGAAAAAAGACTAACAAACACAGAAAAAAACTTCATTGAGCAAAGAGTGAATCACCAGATGGTATAAAATAATTTAAATACTTCAGAAAAAATTCAAATACAGAATATAAAAGTTGAAATATTATGATAGTTCTTGTGTTTGTTTTTATATTGACATGACTTTTATCGATGCAACATATTATCCCTTCGCAATGCTTACATTTATGGCCATTGAGAAAACAGAACAAACTCAAAAAGTTGCATGTATTTAGCAACATTTTGAGTAAAAATCACATAAGTTAATTTTTATAGGCTGCTGTTAAAGGAGGTCGGGTGTGGGTAGCAATGTCTTTATGGTGGATTTCAAGAAAAATGGGTATCTCATGCAGACCTTTCCTCTTCTGTTCTAATTTTTCTTCTTATTTTTAAAAATAGAAATCAACTATGAGAAACCATACAACAGTAGCAAACTTTATTCTTCTTGGACTGACAGATGATCCACAATTACAGGTGATTATTTTTCTTCTCCTTTTTTTCACCTACATGTTGAGCATCACTGGGAATCTAACCATCATCACTCTCACCCTACTGGATTTGCATCTCAAGACACCCATGTATTTCTTCCTCCGAAATTTCTCATTTTTAGAAGTCTCATTCACAACTGTCTACATTCCCAAATTTCTTGTTAGTATGGCAACAGGTGATAAGACCATTTCTTACAACGATTGTGCAGCACAGCTGTTTTTCACTATTCTCTTGGGGGCAACTGAATTTTTTCTTCTGGCTGCCATGTCCTATGAGCGCTATGTGGCCATCTGCAAACCCCTGCATTACACCACCATCATGAGCAGCAGAGTTTGCAGCTTGCTGGTCTTTGCTTCATGGATGGCTGGCTTCCTAATAATTTTTCCGCCACTCCTGATGGGTCTCCAGCTTGATTTCTGTGCAGCCAACACTGTAGATCATTTCTTCTGTGATGTTTCTCCTATACTGCAGCTCTCTTGCACAGACACTGACATAATAGAATTAATGATGCTTCTCTCAGCCATTTTGACGCTCCTGGTTACACTGGTATTAGTGATTCTCTCCTACACAAATATTATCAGGACTATTCTGAAAATACCTTCTTCTCAACAGAGAAAAAAAGCATTTTCTACATGTTCTTCCCACATGGTGGTCGTGTCCATTTCTTATGGCAGCTGCATCTTCATGTATGTGAAACCCTCAGCAAAAGAAAGAGTGTCATTAAATAAAGGGATAGCTCTGCTCAGCACTTCTGTTGCCCCCATGTTGAATCCCTTTATTTATACACTGAGAAACAAACAAGTAAAAGATGTTTTTAAGCACACAGTCAAAAAGATTGAACTTTTCTCAATGAAATGAATCACTTTAACGATATTATTAAGGTTATTAGTAAAATAAAACAAGAAGAGTGGAGTATGTGCAAAGTTTTTCAATGTTTGTATTCAATAATATTACCTCTTTTTTGACTTATAATTTTCATTATGGCCTTCCTAATCTCCAAAGCCTAACCTTCACTGCCATTTCTCCCTCATGCTGAGATCACATAGAAAAGATATTTCTTGGTTTTGGTCAAAATCATTTGCCTGTTATTTATTGCCTCTTTTATTTCCTCTCAAAATTCTCTCAGAGGAAGACAAAGTGAGACTTCAGTTTTTCCATGCTCTTTTCCACTCTTCTGGAATTCAAGGACCCAATTTGTCATATATTCTACATAGAGTTCAGTAGACTACCTAGGTTTGATCACTTAACGCGTGCATTATTGGTGGATACAAAAGTGAAATCTGCTTTCTTTCTTAGTGTTTAGTAGAATCTCGAAGCAAATCAATTTAATGGCATTTCTTTAATTACACAGTTTAATAGCTTCAATTTTTTTTAACCAGGCTTAGAGATATAGTATACTCTCAGAAATAAATGAAAGAAACTTCAGAGAGGTTAAAGCATTACTGCTATTGCAGCTATCATATAGAACTTACAGCTAGCATTTATTGATTGCTTACAATGTGCCAGATGTTATTAAATTTATTAGTTCCATCTTCAAAACTCTGTAAGACAGGTATTTATATGCTCCATTTATGGATTAAAAATATAAGTCATAAGGATTAAATAATTTGTTGATGACAACAAAAATAAATACCCAAGGATGACAAAAATGATGCCTTCATGTCCACTCACCGCTTACACATTTTTAGCAAAACGAAGTGAAAATCTCTCTCTGCTCTTAAGTCACTTAGAATGCAAAAGAACAGTAAGACCTTTGTAGAACATTCTATAGATTTATGGATGTCATAGATAAAATTAAGACCTTACAGCTCCACAGAGTACCTTATTTTTCAAATTAAGTGGTTTGAACATTAAAATTAGATATAATGACTGATCATGTGCAGAGTATTTAAAAACTTTTCCTTTCAATAGTACCCTATCTCAGTGTTATAAGACAAGAAAACTTTTTCTGAAAGACTAATGTCAGTTTCCTCAAGAAATATTTGTCTATGATTTAGTTTCCACATAAGGTAACTGATAACCTTATGAATAATTCTGACTGGAAGGATTTATTTTTCTGACTTATAAAATTATTATATACATTTTATCTTAATGTATTTCCAAGTGTATATAACTTTGTCATATCCCCAGGCTAGCAAGAAATTTTATTTGAATTTTACAAGCATTAGTGAGAAGCTTTAAATATATATATATCTAAATAAATATTAACAGGGCACTGAGAAGCTGAGAAGATTCAAATAGACTTTTCAATAGTGGTCATGTATGTGTAAATGGTTTTTATAATACTGCAATACTTTAAGAACATTTTATTTGAAAATAGAAAATAAATATCTAGGGAGTATTCTTTAACTTTCACTATTTGGCTTTCTTTGCATCAGGAATTTAAGTTTTTTTTTATTATTATACTTTAAGTTCTAGGGTACATGTGCACAACGTGCAGGTTTGTTAACATATGTATACATGTGCCATGTTGGTGTGCTGCACCCATTAACTTGTCATTTACATTAGGTATATCTCCTAATGCTATCCCTCCCCTCTCCCCCCACCTCACAGCAGGCCCCGGTGTGTGATGTTCGCCTTCCTGTGTCCAGGTGTTCTTATTGTTCAATTCCCACCTATGAGTGACAACATGCGGTGTTTGGTTTTTTGTCCTTGCGATAGCTTGCTGAGAATGATGGTTTATACACAAATAATTATACTTTATAGATAATAACGACACTCAAGAAAAGTTGACTCAAAATGTTTGGAATCTGACAAAAAGTCTGATCTGGAATATCTCAGATTTTCTTCTGAACACTCTTCTCCACAATTTAAGTTGTTGCCAAATGCAAATATGTAACATATTTATTTTATATTTCTAAGTATTACATTGCTTACTTTTAAAACTTATTCTTTATACATGAACTCTAAGCTCAGCTCTTTTTAAAGTCTAATATATAGGTAAATCCATAAATCATTGAATGTATATTAAAAACTTTTTCTCCCCTTTTTTAATCCAAAAATGAATTATTGACAATTTTGTGAAATTCAGAAATATACTTAGTAGACTTAACTACTTAGAATAGATGGATTTTTTTCTATTTCTAGGTTGTTTGTAAGTAGATAACAGAAAAAGCAAAAGGAAAGAAACCCTAGGCCTAAGTTACGATGGGAAAAGATTAGTGAAGATCATTTTTTACTTAATTTGAAATAAATCACTAGCAATCTGATTTATTGTGTAAATACCAGAGATCAGGGTCCATTATAGGCACTTAAAATTTTTAAATTGTGCTAGGATTCTAAAAAATATTAAAATCTCATTTGTTCACCTGTTTAACTCATTTCTAATATTCATTTTTCTGGAAGTGAAAAGGAAAAAAATAACCAACTGTTTTTCACCAGTATTAGGTTGGCGCAAAAGGAATTGCAGTTTCACCATTAAAAGTAATTAAAATTTCACCATTAAAATTTAATTTCACCACTAAAAGTAATGGTGAAATCACAATTCCTTTTGTACCAACCTAATATATACTGAGTAAGTATTAAGACAAGCTAGACTCAAGGTATGTCAATTGTCTATTACATAGCCTTCCTGCCTTTGATCTCTAACTCATCCTCCACATTGCTAGTAGGATACTTTCTAAAATACAAATCAGTCATGCCACCACTCTACTAATACATTATTGATGGTTCTCCGTTGCCTGCAAAATAATGACAAAATTCCCCAAATATTTGCATAACCTGGCCTGTCCAGTTTGGTTTCTTATCTCTTCCAACTAGTACTTCTATGATGTAACCACACTAAACAACTAAGTATATTGCAAAACTTGTGTGCTGTCACGTATATTGAATGCCTGCCCATTGCCCAAATCTCTGTTAGCTTGCAAAACTTCAATCAGTTAAAGTTAATTAACATGGAGACTTCTGTGGAAGGCTGGTCGACAAGTATATGTTAGTCACTTCATACTCAAATTTTGTAGTGTTTGTAGTCAACTCTAGATGGTGCTTATCATAGCACATGTAATTAACTATATTTATTTCTTGCAACGAACTCTAAATCTCATAGTTTTCTACATTCTCTTCATCCAAGCCGGTGCCTAGTAAGGAATAAATAAAATAAATAAGGCAGCAAATGACAGGAGATGAGTGAAGTTAATATGTTCATCTATAAAATAAGATTAAAATGTGGCATTTGATAGGGCTTAATATAAAAATGTAAGCCTAGATTAAGGATGTCTACTATAAAATAATTAATAGATTGGACTTGATGACAGGCAATATGAAAAAAAAATTAGGTGTTAGAAAACTACAAGTTTACTATAAATATGGAGTGTTTATGAGCATTGAAGAGATAATTCAATTGTATGATACAATAAAGTCCCATTGTATCATACATATCTCAAAAATTCTGTTTAGTTTTATCCTTTAAAAATCTTTTGAAGTAAAAGAATAGTCAATATTATCATAAATTTAGAAATTATGTCATATGAGAAAATATTTAGGGTACTAATGACATGGAGCTTGAGAAAAAATTGCTTATAAGAAAAATAAATGCTACCTTCAAATATTAAGATTACTGTGTTCTCAAAAATTATGGACTTGCTTTTCTTTTTATAAGTGTAAGTGTGCAACTGGTGTTTATCAAACATTCAATTAGTAAATATATGTATATTTTTCATGGTACATGCACATTTATCAGTTTATAATTTATATATAAACAATAGTATAAAATATTTTGAAATTTTAATAGAAAAATAGGAATTAATAAAGGAAATTATACAAAATGATCAATATATTTTAATAATATAACTTTACAGTATAACTTTTAATTTTACTTATGGTACAAATATTAGTTTCATTTTAATTCAGCATACTTTATTATACTTGCAAATACTTATGTAATTATTGTGTGAAATGAACTGCAAGTCTTATTACAGTTTATTTTACCTTGTACTTAGTTATGTGGGTTGTTGTAGTGCAAAGTTAATGCTTCACAATAATGTGGATCCATTTTAAATGAACTGGAAATCACAATAATTATTCTTCAATCCCATTCAAATATGCTTTTTTTTTTGAAATTGACTACATTAATGTTAATCAGCTGTCTTGATTTTGCATTTTTATGTAATTTTCTAAAAGCACACAAATGTTTTAAAATATTAAAATGATTATGTTTTCAAGTTTTCTAATGAGTAGATGAGTATTTTTATATTTAATGAGTTTAAATAATTTCCAGTAACAAAAATCGTGGAAAGAATTTCAAACAGTCAATTTCCAAATTTCTCTTTTAATTCAACTTTCTTTTGATAATGGGTTACTTTTTCCCATATTTTTAAAACACCATCTGTTTTGGAACAGAGTAAGGGGGTGATATCTTCAAGAAAACATATTACTGATGGAGACCTGTTGTCATAGGGAAGGGAAAACTAGGCTATGTCTACTTATAAAATAAAATTCCATAATTCTCTTCAATGTGTCTTTTAAAATACTTTACATAAGAAATTCTGATTCTGTATCTGATACAAGTTTTTAAATTATTACTTAGCATATCATCATACATTTCTGATTTGCTTCTCTTCCTTTTTTTTCTTCTCCACCTCCCCTTCCTTCTCCTTTCTCTTCTAACAACCCTTTAAAAATGTAAAATACATCTCAGGATCTCAGGTGGAAGTCTGTACCAAAACAATCCTTGGCCTGTGGGCTATGGTTTGCTGGCCTGTGGAATAAATGATGGCAAAGGGCTAGAGTACAAAGGTATACCATTTTATTTGCAGGTTGTGCCAATAAATTCTTGTATTATCTATTAATCCATAAACATTCATTCCCAAAATCAATAACTGGATATTTAGTGCCAGAATTATTTTTGATTTATTCTAGTAAATGGGCCATAACTGAAAAGACAGTTGCAATTGAATTTACTACCTAATTTAACTTATGGGTTCATTATCATCTGCTAAAATTTATCTGTGTTAGGAGAGGCAGACAGTTGAGTTCAATGGGTATGTGGATTAAGTCACCACTCCTGCATCTTTGTTTTTTAAGTCTTTGATGGTGGCACTAGCTTTGAAGCTTTTCCAAGGATATAATGATGCTGTCTGTTTATTATCTCTTAGTGAGGGAGACCATATGGTTTTCCACTTGGCCCTGAATATATGTGTTTTAACTGTATGCACAGGACAACTTTGCACATGCACTAGGTTCACTGTAAAACAGACTAGCACATAATCATAACTTATCAGGAAAATGTCTCTGACTCCAATTTCTTCCACTCTTATAAGTAAACACACTGGCATTTTATAGTCATTGTAATTAAGCTTAGCTCAGAAATGAGGTGGAATAACCTCTGAAAAATCCATGTTTCATTGATTTCACTGTACGATTTTCTTGGGAAAGGACCACATATCTATTGAAGGACACTAGCGGAAGATTTGGATATTAATATGCATGACAGTTTTGCAAAGACAACTTTCTTCATGGGTTCTGGTTCTATGAAAGGATTGAAGTCTGTAATTGAATAAGGAGCTTTAACTCCATTATGATGGCTAATTCATTCTTCCTTTCACTTATCCTAGAGTTCTTTCAATTATATGGACCAGTTAGAAACCTAATGAGCTGCCTGTTTATTTTAGTCCTAGGAACTTCATAATCTGTTGTTCACTACTAAAGTGCATCATGCAATATTGATAACTACTTCGGCCATACTGACCAATAAGTAACCACACTGAATATGCTCATATCAGTTAAGTGCTATTACATAGCCTCTGACTTTCCATGATCCATCATGTCCACTGAAATCAGGGAGTTCATTTTAACAAAAGCATCTTCCATCTTCATTTCAAACCAGTGGTTACAATACTTTTTAAAGCTGCTAGCAAATACCCTTGTGAATATTTTAATATCTTGCCAAAAGATTTTCCTCTGGGTATTCTCCAGTTACATAGCTAAGGGGTATGTAAGTAAATTGCATACAATAAAGCTGTTCCATATTGCAATTCCTCTAAGTTTTAGATTTATATTTACATATATGAAATACATACACACATATATGTAATTCCCAGTTGGGATCCTTTCAGATTTCCAATCAATTAACTTTCACAAAAGATATCTGGGAAGGATGTAAATTTAACCAATATTGCTGTATAATAAACTGCGAGATCAGAGCCTACCTTTGTTTTCAGCACCAAGTGACATGAGGATTTAAGAGATAAATTTATTTAGGACAGTCATGGGAACTTCATGATTTGCTGATTATTGTATAATTCAAGATAATAATTAAAGGATACAACCTTGTAATTTTCTTTCTTTAAGATCCTCAATATGGATCTTACCATGTTATAGCCTTATAGCATGTGCAGTACTTGTATTTCACATGCTTAGCACAGTGCTCTTTACCTTATACATCTACTTTGAGAAAGCTCAGCCTTAAATATAAGCTTCTTTCCAAGTGATAATATTTGATGCCATAGACTTGTAATATTCCATTTTCTTATGGTTGCAGCACTTCTCAGACCTTTCAAGATGATATTAACTAATTATAAATTACCCTTCTTAAGGATCTATTTCATGCAACCACTTGTAGTACCAAATATATCAGTTATCACTGTTAGGTTGCAATTCTCCATGGCATTTCTACACATTTAATATTATGCTTGGTCTGGATTTTTTTTTACAAAGTTGTTTTAATATCATTCAGCCTTGAAAGATCGAAATAATACCTCCCTCCAGGGCAGAAGGGAGATTTGCTTCCTGACTAGGATTATAAAATAGATGTCTCCCAGGGTGGCCAGGTTGGGCAGGTTTTCTAGCTATCTCTTTAAAATAGTGGGGGTTCCCTAAGTTCAGGATTTCACAGTTGTGTTACAGACTGATTGTGTCTGCTCTACCCATGGAGCCCCCTCTGCATTGCACCCCCTGGGGACTGGGAGGCAAAGGGAACGAGGAAACAACAGATGTTGGTGAGGATGTGGAGAAGTAGGAACACTTTTACACTGTTGGTGGGAGTATAAATTAGTTCAACCATTGTGGAAGACAGTGTGGTGATTCCTCAAGGATCTAGAACTAGAAATACCATTTGACCCAGCAATCCCATTACTGGGTATATACCCAAAGGATTATAAATCATTCTACTATAAAGACACATGCACACATATGTTTATTGTGGCACTATTAGCAATAGCAAAGACTTGGAACCAACCCAAATGCCCATCAATGATAGGTTGGATAAAGAAAATGTGGTACATATACACCATGGAACACTATAAAATATACATCCATAAAAAACGATGAGTTCATATCCTTTGCAGGGACATGGATGATGCTGGAAACTATCATTCTCAGCAAACTAACACAAGAACAGAAAACCAAACACCGCATGTTCTCACTCATAAGTGGGAGTTGAACAATGACAGAGAAGAATTTTAAATGCATATTTCTCAATGAAACTAGGCAGACTTAAAAGGCTATAAATTATTTAATTTCATTTATATAATATTCTGGTAGAGATAAATTTATAGAGAAAGTAACATATCAGTGGTTGCCAGGACTTTGTTGGAGTAAGGATTAAACGAGGAAGCATAGGGAATCTTTGGTTAGGGTAGTAAAATTATTCTATATAGTAATGTAAAGATGAATACATAATGTAGGGAGACCCCCTGAAACTATTGCTATGGAATAAAAGGTGAAATGCTCCTGATTATTGTAAATACAAAATTGCATGCAGGATTGTGTAAAGACAATGCCAGGTTGGACTGCCAGAATGAGCCAACAGCACATGATGTGCTTCCCCCTGCAGAGAGCCTACGAACGGACATGCAGTCAGGGAGGTTTCACATCACCAAGATTCCTGTCCCAGAAAAGCAGATGTTCATAGCTCTGGGAATGGAATGGGACCCTTGTGTAGAGCCTATAAATGGACGCATTGGGGGGGCACCTGTTCATATGGATAAGATAGGGCTATAAACGCCCTCATCTTGCCACAGCTCTTCTAGGCCTCTTTGGGGGTAAGGCATACTCCCTTCTGATATTTTCCGGTCTAACCGGTTGTCTAGCTTCACCTCCTGTTTCTATGGATTGTTTGTAACCAGCTTTTGCTGCAACTGTTACTGCTGATTAATAACTTGCTAATCATAGGTTATGGAAAGACTGTGTTTCTGTTTTAAGGCTCTGTTAGAAATTACTGATGCACACACTATATTGTAAACTCTTATCTCTGTATACTGTACTTCTGCATACAGATGTTATGTTAAAGAACTACTTCATCCCCATGTGACCATCTCACCTCATAATCAAAAGACCCTAAATCCCTCACTAACCTGCCCCGCCCTCACTAAACTTAATAATAAATGCTGGTATATCCAGTGCATTAGTGGCATCGCGGGACTAGAAGGCGGTGACCCCCCTGGACCCAGCTTTCACTGTCTTGTGTGTGTCTATTATTTCTCGACCTGCCAATCTGCCTGGGAATAAAGAAAGAGCCCCTCATTGCATTGCGGACTGCTGGCCAGATCCTGCAATAACATAACACCGTGCAGTTGTCAAAACCAGTAGAACTTTACAATACAAAGAATGCTTCTAATGTGTGAAAATTAAAAAAAAATCTGGGATATCACAATAGAATGTGGAAGAATTTAGCTATATTACAAATGTGTGACACAACCTCACTGAAGGGCATAGTGTAAAAAGTTGCTGACCTAAGAGAAATAAGTGGAGTCAGTAAGACTAACGTCAAAAGGAACTATACATAACCAATACAGTGAAGTTAATAAAGTTTTCTCCCAATACACATACATACTGGAACTGAATGATTGAGCAAGTGGATGGCAGATGATGGAAGCCAGTATCTCACTGCTGCATTGGGAGATTACTGATAAGGAATGACTCGTGATGGCATTTTAAACATGGTGACGGTATAAACTAAAGTTTAATTTAATATATATACAGATTGATACTATAAAATATTTATCATTGTGTGTCTAGGCGTAGGTTAATATAAACACCTATATTTCCTTGCTCTGTCACCTGAGAGTGTCTAGAAGCAAAAACAGCCCAGTAGCAATAAGCACACCCAGTGCCCAGATCTTGGTTTTTAACACCATTTTCTCATAAGAAAAATAACTAGAATCAGGCTGCTGATAGAGTTTGGCTCTATGTTTCTAATGCAGATGCTATCATTGCATGGCATATTTGCAGCTCCTGTCAAAAGTTGACTTGCTTTTCTCATGCTGGGGTAGGCCATATTGCAAGGAATGTTGCCTCCTCCTGCTTTTGGCAACTTGACTACCTTGGGTCTATTGGTAGTGCCTCACCGGGTAGATGCTGTTTTAGGTTACTGATAAGTTGACTATGGCACACAACTGTGATCTTTGACATTATCTGTGTCATGTCTTTAGATCCTCAGAGCATCTACAGTTTGACAACTTTTATTGTCCAAGCTATTCAGCAAAGGACTAATAGCCTCTGCCTCCTCATCTCTTCCTGATCCATGCACCTAGGTAAAGCAGTATGGTCATTGAATGCAGCTGTTCCCAGACTTGACTACTCATCTTCTTCCAGGGTAATGATCAAGATAAAAGTGGTTGGGAATTATACAGACTTACTTTGAAAATTCAAAATTCCACCTCAGTCATTCAAAGAATGATGTACCTTTCTTTTCCCTAAGATCAAATCTAGATAAGGCTGGTGCCATACCTTCCAGGTGGTAATTTGGACACAAGGGGGCCTAAGAAATTAGAGTTTGATACTTGTTGAAATTTAAAAAAAATTTCGTTTTTCTTCATTTACCTGACTCTTCTAGATGAAAGATCTGAATATGAGTCGGCTATGATTGGGAGAAAAAAAAAGGTGAAGCTATAGCTACAGGAATGTAGAACCCAGATTTGAAGGAAGTATAGGTAGAGAAAAAGCTGGCATATGAGGAGAAAACACCTTGTATACTCAGGGGCCATGGAGAGAGGTATTAGTAATCTTTGCCTTTAAGAAGTATCCTGGGCCCTTTCCTCCAGAAGAAAACTTCCACTCTACGTCTGCCACAAGAGCCTTAATTTTGATGGACTGCTGCATCTTCCATCCTTTACCAGACAGAGATGGCTCTGTCAGGATAACAGAGACAATAAGGTACTATTACACCACCTGCATGTCACTTGATAGTGACAGGAGGTACTGTTACACCACCTGCATGTCACTTGATAGTGACAATAAGGTACTATTACACCATCTGCATGTAACTTGATAGTGACAGGAGGTAGTCAAATGCTTAGGCAGATAGGGGCACGTCCACAGTGAAACCTCACCTCCAAGCAGAAGACAGTTTAATGCCTGAAGGCCAAGCTACAAGTTAAATCCTTGAACTGAATTGAGAACCTATCTTCCCATTGGGCGCACTTTTCTTTGATTGATTCTCACCCTTCACCTATTTTACATAAACTTACACTTTCCGAATTGGTCTTCTACATTGTTGTGCCCACCTTTGAGAGGTGTCTTTCTTTTTTACTGACCAGAGTATTGTCTTCTAGTGGGAAAAAGTTAGGCAGCTTTGCAAGTAGTCTCTAAAAAGACTGGGAATTTAATATAGTTGGGGTCCCCCATTTGTGAATTGGGTGCATTGTGTGCACATTAGGGCCTCCTCTACATTGTCCTCCACCTTTAGGGGAAAAGAGATGCTGACAAGAACATGAAGGATGATTCCGGGAAATTGCACAAACTATCTATGTTTCCATCCTTTGGCCAGAATTTATCCACAAGGTTACCATAAATTGTACCAAAGGCAAAGACATGGAAACTTCTATTAATATGGAAGAAGTGGAAAATGGTTATCTATAATGAAATGTGTTTCAGACCACTAGACAATATCCCAAGGACTGCAGAAAGTATAACTTGCAGAAAAGAAAGTCAAATTTATATAGGACATAAAATGTTCAGTTGTACCTGATGAATTAATGATGTGCATTTAGCTTGAGGTGGATTTTGTCTATGACAGGCTACGTTCTCCATTTTATATTCCCACCTTTTAGTCTCGCATAAAATAATAGTTTTCTTTTTTATGTCTGTCAATGTTTAATGTAATATTTCAATTAAGGTAAAGAATGTTTATAAGCACTAAGTATACTTAGCTTCAAGCTTCAACCTTTTAAACAAGAAAAACAAGGCCCAGTACATTTTTTATTCTTTGTGGTTAATGCACAAAATATCCCCACTTCCCTTGAGAAAGAGTATCATATTTAAAAATACACTTTGATGAATATTGAATGTTAAAACATTATATGATACTATATAATGCTTCCAAATCCTCATCTATATATCTGGGATTTCAAAACATAGAGATGGGAGGACAAACACATATTGGGGCAATCTACACTGATTTCTCTTGAGACACTGTTTGTTTAATGTAGTTATTTTTAAGTAGGTATTTTGTTTTTAAAGTTATTTAGTGCCTTGAGAGAACATGTGAATAACATATGAAGTAGTCATCCTTTGGGAAATGGTGTTCTTGGATCTGATATTTTCCTGAGAATCCTTCATAATCTTTATTTTTCTTCAGGGCACAGAAAGCATAAAAACTCCAAGGGATCAAGAGTTGATTAATTTTATGTGGCACTGTGTGTAATACTACTTAGGAAAACATTCAATACATAAATAATTAACATACAGTTAAGAGGAATTTTAATGCACTAGTCTAACTGCAATAAAATAGCTAAAC
The DNA here is from genome assembly GCF_000001405.40 of Homo sapiens. Taxonomy (NCBI): domain Eukaryota; kingdom Metazoa; phylum Chordata; class Mammalia; order Primates; family Hominidae; genus Homo; species Homo sapiens. The sequence goes on from NC_000012.12 coordinate 55,260,042, forward strand.
AAGGCATTTCCAAGATTGCTATTTATAGGTGAGAAATAATCATCATAGATTATGGGATAGAGAGATTCATTCAGAGAGAAATGTAGTATCAATATGCTTGATTCAGCATAATGATAAAAGAGTTAAATGTTAAAGCAGAGATGCTTTTGTCTAAATAAATCTGTCTATATCTTTAATAATTTTTTGCATGTTTCATATAAATGTTTTTATTTTAAAATTTTGAAGAAATATAACTCAAAAAGATAAAAATAATTAATGTTTCTAAAAGCTAAAGGAAATATTTCCTTTCAGACAAGTTGTGATTAAGGTTTGTTCTTATTTTACCATTAAAGTTTAATCTTTCCTTTTTTTAACCTTTAAATTGCATTCATAGGCCTGACTTCTCTTGGTTTTATACAGTGAGTTTCATGATTTTTACAGTGCTGTTGGGGAATAGTTGATATGTATGATGGTTGAAGTTGGTCAAAGGAATGGTCTAACATGACAAAACTCTGATTTAGGTGTTTTAGATATATGGATTCCTACAATGATGGCTTCTACGGCAATTTGTATAAACAAGAAAAATTTTGTGACAGATTGGTTCATAATTATATGAATGTGAAAGCAATGTCCAGGGAAAAATAACAGTCATTTCATTTCACTCACGTATGCCTGCATTATTAACACGCACGGTTTTAATAGCAGAATGCTACTCGTTGTTTCTAATGAAGTCATGCATGTGCCCTTCCCTTTGTTTCTGTTCAGGCTTTCCCTTTGCTAGGAATAACTCGTCTTATTTCCTTATCTCCCTCTAAGACCTATCTTAGAATCCAAATTACCTCCTGCAAACTTCTCTAGATATTATTGGAAACAGCTTTGACTTGTTTTCATATGTTTATTTTTACTCATGTGTCTGCCTTCTTAGTAATGTATGCTTCTGTGATTGGAAATAATTAAATTGATATTTTCACAACAGAAAACATAGTCCTATATAATGTCATGCACATCACAAAGACTTATTTCATGTGTTTGGTGATTAAAATGCCCAGGAAGAAAATTTTCCCTAGATATATCATTAATTGCTTTGTTTTAAGAAATGCACTATAGCTGGTATACAATTGCTTGTGTACCAGAAGACATTTTGGAAAATAAACTCAATCTTAATACTGGATCTCAAATTTGCTAGCTGTGTAAACCTGAACAATTTTGTTTCTTGATCTCACTGTCTCACTCATCACATATACCGGATGTAGAAAAGTGCTAACTATTATTATTATCTCTTTAATTCCATATTATCTGGATATTTGAATATCATTATATGCCTCCTAAAATTTTGTGTCAACACTCTTCAATGATTCATTATGCATTTGTAATTTACCAAATATTCCTTTTTCAAGGCCATGCTGAACTCAAAATTGTTCATGTTTTCAATCTCTATTTTACACAAAGAAGAAATGTGAGTATGTAGAACAAAAACACAGAGAAATTTCATTACTAAAAATTTCACCCTTATAATTTTTATTAACTTACCTATTTTAATCTTCTTTTAATTCTTTCCTCTATCTCGTTACCCTATCTCTAAAATCTTTCTTGTCTCTCTAGCTTTTCATACAGCTTTGTCTTTACTTCTTTCACAACATACAATTTCCTAAACCCATATTTATGTATTTCTCTCTGCTTCTGTTTTCCTATATCCCACTTTTCACTTTATCTGGTCCATTCTCAAGAGCGAAACCTCAGAGGAAAACTGCAGTGGCTTGCTAACATTATTAGACTGTTACTGCTGATTTGGTATTGAGGTTCAGTATGGGAAAGCTTGGGTAGGTACCAACGGAGATTAAGGTGATGGAAACACTAAAAAGAATAGTGAATGAAATCATTCCCTGTGCCTCATTTTCACTGATCTGAAACTGGATCTTATTAGAAATGAAAGTTAATGAGACAGTAATCAAGCATTTGAGTTTGATTAGTTGAGTAAAATGATAAAGGTATACTGGCACTGGTTATCAGTGATGGTTAGATTTGTGTGTGTTTGTGTGTGTGTATGTGTGTGTGCATGTTAAATGCAAAATATGGTCACATGTACTTCTAATGACAGGTATCATTTGGGGTTTTATATGCAAAATTTAAAAATTTTTCTTCAATTAAACTTCTTTGAGCAAAAAGTGGTGTGCCATCCAAATTCTTGCATATTATCAAGAAAGAAAAAGCATTTTCTATCCTTTAAGTTCTTTTAATTTCTCTGTAATTAATTCACATAAAATAAACGAGCAATTACTATCAGAATGTAGATTATTCTTGGGTAGCAAAGTTTTAGTTCTCTATCCAAATCCTCTGGAAACACAAACTATTATTCTTCCTGTCATAAGCTTCTTGAAAATATTAATGAACATCGTATTGCTGTATCTGAAACCTCACTTTGCTAACTTTAGCTTAAACACTGTGATCACTGTTATTTTTCTGTAAAGATAATTATTACTTTTTTCTATACAGAGCTGATAAAATTCAGAGGATAGTAATGAGAAACCATACCAGAATGACGGTGTTCATCCTAGCAGGTTTGACTGATAACCCAGAATTGAAAGTTGTGTTGTTTATCTTCCTGCTTCTCACCTATGTGCTGAGCATCACTGGCAATCTGATTATCATCACACTCACCCTGGTGGATATTCACCTTAAGACTCCCATGTATTTTTTCCTTCGGAATTTTTCCTTCTTAGAAATTTCCTATACTACTACATGCATCCCTAAATTGTTAGTTACTATGGCAACTGGGGACAAAAGCATTTCCTATAACAGTTGTGTCACTCAAGTGTTTTTTGCCTTCCTACTTGGAGGGTCAGAATTTTACTTGCTGGCAGCCATGTCCTACAACCGCTATGTGGCCATCTGTAAGCCTCTGCATTACACCACCATCATGAGCAGCAAAATCTGCATGCATCTTGTGCTTGGGTGTTGGCTTGCTGGTTTTCTCATCATCTTTCCACACTCCCATTAGGCCTAAATCTTGACTTCTGTGCCTCCAACGTCGTTGATCATTTCTACTGTGACACTACTCCACTCCTGCAGATTTCTTGCACAGACACGCAGCTCCTGGAGAGGATGGGATTAATTTCAGCGTTGGTGACACTCTTAGTCACATTGGTAATGGTGATAATATCATATACTTACATTGCCCTGACAATTCTAAAAATCCCTTCAACCAGTGAGAAGAAAAAGGCTTTTTCCACATGTTCTTCTCACATGATTGTGATATCCCTTTCTTATGGCAGCTGCATCTTCATGTATGTTAAGCCATTGGTCAAACAAAAGATATCTTTTTCAAAGGGAATTTCGGTGCTCAATACCTCTGTTGCTCCACTTTTGAACCCTTTCATCTGTACCTTAAGAAACCAACAAGTGAAAAAAGCCTTCATTGCGTGTAAGGTACAGGATTGTCTCTTTCTCAAGGAAATGAACATTCAATTGTATTATATAAAGGTAATGAAGAAAGGAGTCTCAAATAATGTCATTGTAGTACAGTAGTAGCTTCCATGACACAGTTCTCTCTCTTTTTCTTTCTATTGCTTTGATATTTATCTTCATGTCTTTTCAAACTTTTTCATAAAATTTTTTGTTTTAGAGAAGCTAATTTTCTTTCACTATTTTATGATAGGTAGTTTTTATTTCTATCTTATTTTTTATTTAGACATCTGAAAGAAATTGAGCTAAATTTTTCACTATATCTCATTTGACTTTTAAGCATTCCAGTTAACCAAGACTATTAAGTATTATTTTATTTAAATTTCATTTGATGTATCATGCAATGCAAAGGTTATTATATTTTCTTTTACCTGTGATTAATTATAACCAAATTAAAACTAATATTTATTTATATTTTGTCAAACTACTAACTTATTGGTATATATTCTATTTAAGGAAATTAAAAGACAATTATAACATATTTGATCATAAGTGTTGAGAATAATTTAAAAATGTATATTAATGTATGTAATTTTTATTTTAAAACATATTCTACAGAATCTAGTTATTTTGTTTCTATGAGAAGCTATATTTACAAACAGTTTAAGTTATGGTTGAGAGACAATGCATTATTGTATTGGTTTATTTTTAAAATAGAATATTTAATTCATATTTTCATACCTCTCAAAACTCTCTTTGCCTCACTTGGGATGCTCTGAAGCTAACTGCAAATGATTTGTGAATGATTATTAAATAAGATCAATGTGAACTCAATGTAGTTATTTTTTCAGAATGTATTTTCTAATATATATATCAAATATATATATATGAATGGTATACATAGATATAGACATATGCATACATAGATATAGTTCCAATCAGTGAGACCAGGATAACAGAAGAATTAAAACTGTCTCTTAAGGAGATTTTCTAGCTATAGGTCAGATTCGATTAGAAATTAATTTCTGTGTGATGACCAGAATATTTTTAAATAAAAAAATAGAAAATATTTTCACAGATACACATCCTATTTCACGATTTTTTTCATAAATGTTTGTGTATTAGGCCACATTATTTTTTATTTCATATTTTAAAAATTGTGGATCTTGATTGGAAGAAAATATGTTTAAATAATAACATCTACAGGGGAAGAACAAAATATAGTCAGGGAGAAAAATACATATAGTATGTAATTAACTGGACAATTACACAAGTGTTTGTAGAAATTATAAAATGAATTAGGCCTTGAAAGATATTTGGATTATAAATATGATTTTAGGAAAAGGGGTTATTTAAACATTGATTAATTTTCTTCTGTCATTTAAGTATACTTACTTTTCCATTTCCATTTCCTATAGTGTTAGTTAACTTTTAGATTTTCTTTTTTTTTTGAGATGGAGTCTCACTCTATCACCCAGGGTGGAGTATAATGGCATGATCTCACTGCAGGATCCTCCTTTGGGGCCCAAGCTATTCTTTGCCTCAGCCTACCTAGTAGCTAGGACTGCAGGTGCGCACCACCACACCCGGCTAATTTTTGTATTTTTAATAGATGGGGTTTCACCATGTTGGCCAGGCTGGTCTTGAACTCCTGACCTCAAGTGATCTGCCCACCTCAGCCTCCCAAAGGGCTGGGATTACAGGTGTGATCTGCCATGCCCAGCCAAACTTTTAGAAATTTTAAGAGCACAGGAAATGAAAAATATACATACAACATTTTGACGCAATCTAATAAAAGCAAATCCTAAGGCTCTCTCAATCTTCTGATTAGTTTTTACTGTTATGTGCCAAGGAGGATCAGTTTGCTTAAAATATCTTGCCCAAGTTAAATCACTAATTTGTTCCTGAGTTATTCTGAAATAGTTTATATGTTTTAAATTTTCTGTCATCTACTTTAGAAAGTGAATGCTCTGTAACTCTTAATAAAGATCTAGTACACTTAAAGCAAAACTTCCCCATTCCTCCTGACTTCTTCCCTTTCCAGGTGGATTAGTTATATCATCTGCCATCTCTGGTGCTTCAGTTGGTTTATGACATATCACTTACATTATACCTATTAGAATCACTACCACTGGCCTCTGAATTATTAATCTCCAGGTAGTTTATTAATAGTGTCTCTTTTTGTTTTGTTTTAAATTATTGGTCTTCAGCTTGTAACACAGCTTTTTAAATACAGGTACTTCTTACTTCTTGAGAGAGCTTCTACCTGAAATGTTGAAATGCTTTATGCTAAAATGCTTTCAGCTTTTCTTCTCAGGTGATGTACAAACTGTGGTATTAAAATAAGACCTTTATCTTGTGTACTACTCACTAAATGACAGGGACTGCTTGATATTCTATCTGATTGACCAATTCTGGAAATAACAGTGTGATATAAAAATTATTATTAGCATTAGGCATAGGATCAAAAGATATCTCAGTGAGGTTAAGATGGCCTTGAAAGATGTGGAGCTAAAAAGCATGGTCAAAATTTAAGCTCAGCAAGGCTTAGTTTTCACTATGCAGTTGAAGACTTTGTTGTCTTTTAAACTTTAATCTTCTGTCCTTTCTGAGCTATGCATTAGAGGACATTTATTTTCTTTGCATACTGAGCACTCCAGGATAAAGACTAAAAGGATAATTAGTGGTATTACTTTTCCCTGGTTGGTAAGGATCCTCACATAAAGCTTCCACACTCTTTTGCCTCCTAATACCTTGTGTTACCTTTCTTAAGAACATTAACTGTCTTTACAAGGCAGAGTTAATCATTCAATTCTCTGTGCAACCTTTTTGTACCATTTAATTTTTGTTTAGCGACTCAATAGCAACTATCCTACAAAGGTCATTCTAGTCTGCCAGTTGACTTAGCCATCAAATTACTTATTTTACTTAGTTCGTTTCACAATAAATTATAATAGATATGTGCTTCTCCAACTAACTTTATATGCAGACATGTTTGGTTAATCCATCACATTAATATTTCCAAATTAAAATACATATACTTAAAAGACATTCATTTGCTATTCAAAGGAAAACTGTCAAAACTTTCATGTTTTGTTTCAAGAAATAGCTCAAAATTTGATCAATTAAACAGTAATATAAAATGCTTTCCTCTCCAGAATAAATTTTATTTGTAAATTTCTTAATGAGTAAATTTCTTAGTAAGTTAAAAATAATTTAAGGCTAAGTCACATTAGCTGTAATCTATGATTAGAATCTTTTAACATTTTAGGACATTTCTCATAAAAAGAAGTTCTCAGCAGAGCCTGAACTGTTACTGAATATTTCAAAATGTATTTTTTTTTTTTTTTTTTGAGACGGAGTCTCGCTGTCGCCCAGGCTGGAGTGCAGTGGCGCAATCTCGGCTCACTGCAGCCTCCGCCCCCTGGGGTTCACGCCATTCTCCTGCCTCAGCCTCCTGAGTAGCTGGGACTACAGGCGCCCGCCACCTCGCCCAGCTAATTTTTTGTATTTTTAGTAGAGACGGGGTTTCACCGTGTTAGCCAGGATGGTCTCGATCTCCTGACCTCGTGATCCGCCCGCCTCGGCCTCCCAAAGTGCTGGGATTACAGGCGTGAGCCACCGCGCCCGGCCTCAAAATGTATTTTTTTATATTTTAGAATATATTGCCTATCCTTCATGTCTCTTTTCCTCAAATATGTTAGAATACCTATAGTCAGATATTGTAACTTGTAACAAATAGATACTAATTTTCATTAGTTGGTAACGATTTAAAAAGTTTAGTTACAGATGCTTTCTTTTCTTATTTTTTTACTTTTTTTTTTTGCTTTATATTTATGGTATTATTTACTCAAAGCTGAATCAAGGTTTCTATTGTAATCAAATACTTGGAATATTCTACTTCTAAAAGATACTTCTTGCTTGTTTTGTAATATTGATTTGGAAAGCACCATTGCCTACCTATGGCTACCTATGGCTATTATTGTTATCCTTACTTTTCAAATTCACATTCTCTTCTCATTCTCAATCTCAATCTCTTCTCAATTTTTAGCCTGTAATTCACCAATCCTTCTTTTTCCAAATTCATGAATCATCTATTTAGTGATGATAATGAATCTCAGTTGATCAGTGCCTTCTATTTGATGTAATTTCTTTGTCTAGGTTTAATGAAATATTATCTGGTTTTCTACATAGGCTTATTAGTGGTTCTTTCTCATCTCCTTGGCTGCATTCTCCTCTGAATGATTCCTAAATATTAAATTTATCAATCAACACTTGATATGGTTTGGCTGTGTCTCCACTCGAATCTCATCTTTAATTCCCATGTATTTATCGAGGTACCTGGTGGGAGGTAATTGAATCATGGGGCAGGTCTTTTCTGTGCTGTTCTCACAGTAGTGAATAAGTCACGAGATCTGATGGTTTTGTAAGAAGGAGTTTCCCTGCACAAGCTCTCCCTCTCTCTATTTGCCTGCTGCCATCCATGTAAGATGTGACTTGCTCCTCCTTGCCTTCTGCCATGATTGTGAGGCCTCCCCAGCCACGTAGAACTGTGAGTCCGTTAAACCTCTTTCTTTTGTAAATTGCCCAGTCTTGGACATGTCTTTATTAGCAGTGTGAAAGCAGACTAATGCAGTAAATTGGTACAAGTAGAGTGGGGAACTGCTGAAAAAGATACCTGAAAATGTGGAAGGGACTTTGGAACTAGGTAACAGGCAGGGGTTGGAACAGTTTGGAGGGCTCAGAAGAAGACAGGAAAATGTGGGAAAGTTTGGAACTTCCTAGAGACTTGTTCGACACCTTTGCCCAAAATGCTGACAGTGATACAGACAATAAAGACCAGGCTGCGGTGGTCTCAGATGGAGATGAGGAACTTGCTGGGAACTGGAGCAAAGGTAAGTCTTGTTATGTTTTAGCAAAGAGAGATCATTTATGGTATCTGGCAGAAGAAATTTCTAAGCAGCAAAGCATTCAAGATGTGACTTGGGTGCTTTTAAAGGCATTCAGCTTTATAAGGGAAAGAGAGCACAAAAGTTTGGAAAATTTGCAGCCTGACAATGCAATAGAAAAGAAAATTCCATTTTCTGGGGAGAAATTCAAGCTGGCCGAAATTTGCGTAAGTAATGAGGAGCTGAATTTTAATCCCCAAAACAATGGGGAAAATGTCTCCAGGGCATGTCAGGGGTCTTCATGGCAGTCCCTCACATCAAAGGCCTGGAGGCCTAGGGGGAAAAAGTGGTTTTGTGGGCTGGGCCCAGGGTCCCCATGTTGTGTGCAGCCTAGGGACTTGGTGCCCTGTGTCCCAGCTGCTTCAGCCATGGCTGAAAGGGTCCAACGTAGAGCGAGTTCGGGCTGTAGCTTCAGAGGGTGGAAACCCCAAGCCTTGGCAGCTTCCATGTGATGTTGAGCCTGCAAGTCACCAATATCAAGAATTGGGGTTTGGGACCTCTGCCTAGATTTCAGAGGATGTATGGAAATGCCTGGATGTCCAGGCAGAAGTTTGCTACAGGGGTGAGGCCCTCATGAAGAACCTCTGTAGGGCAGTGTGGAAGGGAAATGTTTTGTGGGAGCACCCCCTGCAGAGTCCTTACTGGGGCACTGCCTAGTGGAGCTGTGAGAAGTGGGCCAGCATCCTCCGGACTCCAGAATGGTAGATCCACCAACAGCTTGCACCATTCACCTGGAAAAACCACAGACACTCAATGCCAGCCTGTGAAAGCAGCCGTGAGAGAGGCTGTACCCTGTAAAGCCACAGGGGTGGAGCTGCCCAAGACCATGGGAACCCACCTCTTGCATCAGCATGACCCAGATTTGAGATATGGAGTCAAAGAAAACCATTTTGGAGCTTTAAGATTTGACTCCCTTGCTGGATTTCAAACTTGCAAGGGTGCTGTATCCCCTTTGTTTTGGCCAATTTCTCCCATTTGGAGCAGCTGTATTTACACAATGCCTGTACCCCCATTGTGTCTAGGAAGTAACTATCTTGCTTTGGTTTTACAGGCTCATAGTTTTAAGGGACTTACTTTGTCTCAGATAAGACTTTGGGCTGTGGACTTTTGAGTTAATGCTGAAATGAGTTAAGACTTTGGGGGACTGTTGAGAAGGCATGATTTGTTTTGAAATGGGAGGACATGAGATTTGGGAGGGGCCAGGGGCAGAATGATATTGTTTGGCTGTGTCCCCACCCAAATCTCATCTTGAATTCCCACTTATTGTGGGAGGGACCTAGTGGGAGGTAATTGAATTATGGAGGCAGGTCTTTCCCATGCTGTTCTCATGATAGTGAATAAGTCTCATGAGATCTGATGATTTTATAAGGAGGAGTTTCCCTGCACAACCTCTCTCTCTCTCTTTCTGCCTGCTGCCATTTAAGACTTGACTTTCTCCTCCTTGTCTTACACCATGATTGTAAGGCCTTCCCAGCCATGTGGAACTGTAAGTCCATTAAACCTCTTTCTTTTGTAAATTGCCCAGTCTTGCGTATGTCTTTATCAGCAGCATGAAAACAGACTAATACAACACTACACCTAAAAAGAGTATAGTGAAACTACTTTTAACGTAACATACACAGAGATCTTTGTCAGAAAAATTCTCATTAAGAACAGTAACATTGACAGCCAAATTTTCAACAGAAAAGTGAGTAATACAGTTCAAGAGAAGCTTGAAATATACTTAGAACACACAACAATGCAAAATAAAAGTATTAAACGAATAAAGTCAAGAATGATAGCTCAAGAACATTAAAACTGACCCAAAGTAGCTTGTTGAAAAATGGATCGTGTATATTATTTATTTGTAAACTGACAAAGACAGTGCAAAAACAACAAAAAAATCTCAGAGATCAATATATAACATAGATGTGCCTGCCAAAATTCTAAATAAAATTTTAGTAAAAACTTCAACAACAAAATAAATAAAATAAACCAAAGAGAACTTATTACTAGACATAAACTAAAACTCATATTATTATTCCCACAGAAGCTTAAAAGGGTCTTAACAGTTTGAAAAATTATTTCTGATGAATAGAAAGCAATAAAGAAAATGTAAATTGGTTATATTTTTATAACAAGTGTGCACTGACACACACACACACAGACACACGCCCTTATATTAAAACTAGATTTTTATAGATTGTGCAAATAGTTGATACATTTTCACTAAAATGGCAAACAAGGAAAGAATATCTTCTATATCCACTTCTATTTATCATGGAGTAAAAATTTAGTTCAAAGATCTCAATTGGCTTTATTGCAATTCTAGAATCTGGCAATACTTCATTTCATAAAACAGAATACATGTTCCAATGAGTCCAGTGGAGAAGATTGGCTTTCTAAACAGAAAAAGGGCTGAAAAAAACAGAAACAAAGAACAGAAAGCAGATTGGTCGTTTCAAAGCCTTTCCTTGTAAGTTGGGGGCAGGAGACAGAACAGTAGAAAGATTACTGACTGACTAACATAAGGTTACTTCATGTTACTTTTGGTTGTAAAGATTAAAACAGAGGGAACTTAATTATCATGTCAATTGAAGATTAAACCTGGGCTATTTGGAAAACTGGCTGTTACTCTCTCTCCTGATTTCATAAAGTCAAGTAACAACTTAGTTTCCCTTTGTTGATTTGGATCTTTAGCATGAATGACTACAGTCTGATTTAGTAGTGTGGTCTGTTGGGGCCTAGTGCAAAGCTTAATCTAAAAAAGTAATTTCCTATAAGTTTTAGTTAACAATTGTAACAATGGCTAATTAACCATAATTAGCCACTGCTATTAGAGAAGTGAAATTAATCGAGGTAGCATTATTAAATAAGAAGTATTTTTAAAAATTTATTTTTATTTTATATATTAAAGATATACAACATAATGTTTTTATACATATACATAGTTAAGTGATTACTAAAGGTAAGAAAATTAAAATATACATCACCTTTCACAGTTATCTCTTGTTTGTGGTAAGACCACCTAAAATCTACTGTCTTCACAAATTTTCAATATATATTACAATATTATTAACCATGGTCCTGCTGTCCATTAGACCTCTAGACTTATTCATTCTACACAACTGCAAGTTGGTACCCTTTGACCTACATTTCTCCGTTTCCTTACCCTCACCATCCCTGGTAACCACTGTTCTATTCCATAGTAAGTATTAATAATATCATGCAGTATTTTTCTTTCTGTGTCTGGCTAATTTCACTTAGCATAATGTCCTCTAGGCTTCTCCATGTCATCACAAAATGACAGTATTATTTCTCTGTGTGTGTGTGTGTGTGTGTGTGTGTGTGTGTGTGTAACAAATTTCCTTATCCATTCATCCATCCATATTCACTTAGGCTGCTTCCGTATCTTACCTATTATGAATAGTGTGGCAATGAACATGAGAGTGTAGATATTTATATGAGGTGTTTATTTTAGCTCCTTTTGTTATATACCCAGAAAAGAGAATGCTGGATCATGTGGTAATTCTACTTTTAAATTGTTGAATATCCTCCCTACAGGTTTTTATAACGTTTGCACCAATGTACATTCCCACAAACAATGTACAAGGGTTCTCTTTTCTCCAAACCTTCACTGACACTTGTTGTCTCTTGTCTTTTTGATAGTAGACATCTTAACAGGTGTGAGGTAATGTATCATTGGTGTTTGGTTTTACATTTACCTGATGATTAGTGATGCTGAATACCTTTTCATATACATATTGGTCATGTTTATGTCTTATTAGAAATGTCTATTCAAGTCTTTTGCTCGTTTTTAAATTGTTTTCTTACTATCAAGTTACATTTCTTTATAGATTTTTTATATTAACCCCTTATCAATATATAGTTTCAAATATTTTTCCTATTCTGTAGGTTGTCTTTTCATTTTGTAAATTGTTTCTTTTGTGGTACAGAAGTTGTTTAGTTTAATTAGATCCCTCTTGTCTAGTTTTGCTTTTGTTGGCTGTGCTTTTGGTGTCATATCTAAAAATAATATTGCCAAGGCCAATATAAAAGTGCTTTTCTCCTATGTTTTCTTCTAGAAATTTAAGATTTAAGATTTTTCATTTAGGTCTTTATCCATTTTCAGTCGGTTTTTGTGTGTGTTGTAGATTTTTGAAAGATCTGTACACTGAATACTATAAAACGTTGATAATAGAAGCTAAAGAAGAGACAAATAAATAAAAAGATATCTCCTGCTCATGGATTGAAAGAATTCATATTGTATAAATGTCCACAATACTCAAAGCAACAAATAGATTCAATGATGTCTTTATCAAAATTCTAAAGGTATTTTTCATGGAAGTAGAAAAACTATTCTAAAATTCTTATGGAATCACAAAAGAAACTTTGTACATTCTCACAAAGAAGGACTATGCAGCTATAAAATATTTTGGGATATCTCCATAAATTGATATGGAGTGTTTGATTGGATATATTGTTAAGTGAATAAACAAAAAGGAAATAGGTATTTATAATATAGCACATTCAGCTCTAGGGCAATTGGTCTTCAAGAGGCTATGTTTTCCATCTCACATTCACTTTTCATACTCAGTTAAAACATCCTTCCTTAACTATGTATCTGGGATTTCAAAAGAAGAATGTGTGGTGGACAATCAATGTATATTGAATTCTCTGGGGGCATAGTTACAAGAAGTAAAAGTGTGTGTGTGCGTGTGTGTGTGTGTTTATGTCCATAGAGACCATTTTTGTAAGATCCAATATGGTAATTCCCTAGGAGATGATGTTCTTGGATCTCAGTTATTCTGAGAATTATTTGTTTGTATTTCATATTTTCCTGTAATGCACAGAAGGCATAAGTTTTTTATGGCTTAAAGAGATGATTAATTTCCATATTGCACTGTGTGTCATATTTAGGAAAGTATGCAATATTTAATATAAGTAAATTGTATAAAAAGTTATTTGATAAGCTTTCCTAACATGCAATAAATTATTTTAAAATAATATTTCTAAGACAATCATTTAAGCTGATCATATTTTGGGGTAGAATAAAGTGCTTAGGGAAAGAATGAAATATCAATTTTTCCTGTTCACCAGGATTTTTAGTTTAAGTATTGAAGTACAGAAGAGCTGCCTGAATCTGTGTATATAACTTATTAAAGAAAGCAGTTAACCTACCTATTAAGGAGTTAGTCTTTTTACCTCCTTTTACATTTTTAACCTGTAGATAATGGTGAAATATTATAAATAAAAAACAATAATTACTTAGATTTGAAAGTTTTAAAATTATTGATATTTATGTTATAATATTTAACAAAAGTAAATATAATTGCATTTATTTGTCCGTGTTATCTTGATTTTATAATGTGATTTTTTTGTGTGTGTTCTTTCACAGTGCATGTTGGATGGATAGATGGTATGTATGATTGTTGAATGGAACAAATCAATGGTTTGATATGATAAAATTCTAGTTTATGTAGCGTATCACTGTGCATTTGTATTAATGTTGCCACTAGCAAGATTTGTATAAATGAAAAACATTTTATAATCTATTACTTCACTATTACCTGAATGTGCTAGATTAGAAAACTCTAGGAGGTAAGGCCACTTTTCTTTTTACTAGTTTAGGGGTTTATAAGCGATTACTAAATAGAACTCTATTTTTTCTAACTAAATCATGATTGAGCCATTCTTTTTACTTTTGCTTATGCTACTTTGTCTGCCTTAAATATTTTGTCTCATCTCTTTGTCTTTTTGTAGGACTTATGAGATCATTGCATAGAGCAGGCTCATATGATGATACAGGGTCATGATAGCTAAGTGGTATACAGTTACTTTTGAGGCGATGAAAATGTTCTAAGATTGACTGTTCGTATATCTGTGAACATACTAAATGCCTTTGGATTGTACACTTTAAATGTGTGGATTGTATGGTATATGTACAGTACCTCAATAAGCCTGTTTTAAGTTTTATATAGTTGTTCATTGAGCAGTGCACTTTTGTATTCAGCACTAGTGAAAATGCTATATGGATCTGTATCCAATACATCAAAGTATGGTCTTTGTAAATAGTTTCCCTTTTTAATAAAAGGCATGACTAAAGAATGACATAGGGTTTAAATGGTTGCCCAAATTAAAGGGTGGAAGTGGGCTGTGTTTTTTTCTAGGGATAAAAAATAAAATAATTTTCAATTATTTCAAGTTATATAATTTTGTACCCCTATCAATTAGATTTCCTCAAATATGTAGATATCCCTCATCAGCCCATACTTTTAAAAACAAAAACACAGAGATCACTCCATATTTTTTAAAGGTGCGCAATTTCATTATTAATCAAATACATTACAAATGAGGACACAAATAACACTTACCAGTAAACAGACTGCACTGTCACTTAAGACAATTTATTGCAAAATCATTTTTATTAATCACTTCCTAAAATGCTGAATAATGTGGGGAGGTGGAGGAGTGAATAGAGAAAGTTGCCTACCTGGGCTACAGCCCAGCTGGTGAATTCACAAAATGCCCAGAATTTCAGACAGTTGATGTTTTCGTTACCTTATTTGTAATTTTTAATCATTCACAATGCTCTTTTGAGAAAGCTGTGACTTCTCAACCTTCATTAAAAGCAGTGTACAGAATGGTAATTACTTTTTCTCAATGCTAGTCTCAAGAAATATTATTTTCCTTTATTCTTTGTATTTTGGTTGATTCCTTTAAGTTTTAGTGTGAAAAAATGAGAAAGTGTTTTGGCACCATGACATTTCTTTATATGTCCCAAAACATTCTTCTCTTACATCTTTACTATAATATCAAATTGCTTGGAAATTATAATATAGTTTCTAAGTTTTAGGTAATATTAATCTCATATTGAGTTTCTCTGTATTTTTTTGTTTTTATTTTTACAAAAGAAAAAAGCTATAATAATTATTGCATAAATTAGACTTTTCCAATAGATTTTTTTAAACACCCGCATCCTGAATTTTTTAGGTGACTGAACTTGTATGGGGGTAGAAAATATTTACAGAGTTACAAGTTTCATTTATAAACCTTTGGTTGTAATCCTTTCCAATAAAATCATGAGGATTCAGTATTTTCCTCTAAAAATTGAATAAAGTGAGTAAAATTATAAATGTTATAATTATTTTGATATTATTTCAATCATGTTTTCACAAATTAAACAGAATAGTGTCAGATACTTCATGAAAAGTACATTTAATGTATAAAATTTGATGAGTTTGGACATAGACAGACAACTGTAATACCATCCCCAAAATCAAGTAATAAATATAACCATCACATCCAAAAGTTTTGTTGTGTCTTTTTGCATTATTCACGTGTGGTTGTGTATATGTGGTAATAACACAACACAAACTCTACCTTTTTAATGAACTTTAAGGGCACCATACCATGTTAACTATAGTCACTATGTTGTACAGAAGATCTTTAGAACTTTATTCATCTTGCATAACTGTTTAATTTATGAAAATTGAACAACTCCTCATTTTCCCCTACTCTTAATTTTTATCAACCACCATTCTATTATCTATTTCAGTGAGTTTGGCTATTGTAGATAACTCATATATGTGGAATCATGTAGTAATTGTCTTTCCATGACTAGATTATTTTACTTAGCATGATATCTTCCAGGTGTATCCATATTGTTGCAAAGGGCGGAATTTTCTTCTTTTTAAATAATAATATTACATTGTATGTATAAAGCACCTTTTCTGTACCTATTTGTCTGTCAATGAGCATTTGGGTCAACTTCATATCTCAGCTATTGTAAATAATGCTGCAAATAACATGGGAGTGTAGACATCACTTTGAGATCCTAATTTTAATTCTTACATATATATGACCAGAAATGGGATTGCTGGATTATGCAGTAGTCCTATTTTTAATTTTTTGAGGAACCTCCATGCTATTTGCCATAGATGTTGTACCATTTTATATTCCCACCAACTGCGTGTAAGGGTTCTGATTTCTCCACAAAGTTGCCAACACTTGTTATCTTTTTAAATTTTTTATGACAACCATCCTAAGACGTGTAAGGTGGTATCTCCAATAGTACAGGGAAAACAGAATAGTCACATGCAAAAGAATAAAATTAGACCTCTATCTTACACCATACACACAAGTCAACTCAAGATGGGTTAAAGATGTAAATCTAAGACCTGAAACCATAAAACTCCCAAAAGAAACCATATGCTTGAGAAAACTTTGTGACATTGGTCTTGTTAATGATTTCATAGACATGACATCAAAATCATAGGCAACAAAAGCAAAAGTAGGCAAGTGGTACTACATTAAATTAAAAGCATCTGTACAGAAAAGGAAACAATCAACACAGTGAAAGGCAATCTACAGAAATAGATACAATATTTTCAAACCTTATATCTGATATGGGATTTATTTCCAAAGTGTATAAGAAACTCCTACAACTCAACAGCCAAAAACAAAAAACAAAAAAGGGCAAAGGACTTGAATAGATATTTCTGCAGGGAAGACATAAAGATGAATAAAAGGTAATGTAAAGGTGCTCAACATCACTAAATGTAAATCAAAATCACAATGAGATTTCACCTCACAACAGGATGGCTTTAATTATGTGGTTTTGATAAGGTTCACCAAAGGGTAATAATAACCAATTAATGAAGATGAAGTTGATTGCGCTTAGACTGACAAATGATCTTTGATAATATACTGTGATTTTTCTGTTTGAATTTCTCAAGTGCATGTTGAGTATGATGCAGAACTTATTGTCTTCTTCACCCAGCTGAACCCTGCCTCAAAATGCCAATGCATTTCTTCTTTCAAATCTTCTTCTTGAAAATCTGAATGACATTGATTGTATTCCTATATTTCTTGTGTTAGTTCATTTTTACACGGCTAATAAAGACATACATGAGACTGATAATTTATAAGGAAAAAGGATTAATGGACTCACATTTCCTCATGGCTGGGGAGGCCTCACAATCTGGGTGGAAGGCAAGGAGGAGCAAGTCACGTCTTACATGGATGGCAGCAGGCAAAGAGAGAGCTTGTGTGGGGAAACTCTCCCTTATAAAATCATCAGACTTTATGAGACAAAGAGGCCACTGCTCGAACAGTCACTGGGGCAACTACAAAGAAGCACTGTGGAAGCACTTTGGCCTACGTCACAGCAACTAACATGACAGACAGAATAATTAGATTTATCACACAGCAAAAAAATTCTTAAGTTGTCCCACATCAGAGGAGATGTGGAAAGGTGCCATTTGAATCAGAAGGAAGGGAGAGGGCACTCAGGAAAGCCGGATAGGTATCTGAGGGATAACATTTTTATTTTCTTTCTCAAGTAGCCAATTATACCTTCACAACTTATAAAAAAGCATCCTGTGTTCACCTATTTGAAATACTAACTTTATCAAATATTAGTTTTGTAAGTTTTTTGTGGTATATGAATAGCAATCAATGTATCTATTGATATATTTGTCATATATAATCTAGCTCTGCCATCTATTTGTAAAAATTTCAAAAACTTTTACTTTATTCGTCTTCATTTCTCATTCTTTTTCAATATCTTCTTTTCTTTCATGACATCACCTACTTTTAGTGCAATCTTTATGAAAATAAAATTGGTTATTTATTTCATTATTAAACTCCTTTAAATTATTTTTCTTTTTTTATAATGAAGTATGAATTCTCTTAGAATAAACCAAAATCCTTTAATGGTTATTTTGTGTCATATGAATATCCACTTATTTCAGCACTGTTAGCTGATATAAAAACTAAAAATTTACTTAAACAGTCATAGATAATAATATCCTATATCCACTGAATCAGCAGAATAGAATTCCATAAGACAAAAAGCAAACAAATAAAGCAAATTAAAAACAAAAACCAACAATAATAAAGAACAATGAAGGCAAAATCCAATTCTTTGAGGTGGTAAATATAATTGATATAGCTCTAGTTAGAATGATCAGGGAAAAATGAAAAATTACTAATTTTAGAATTGAGAAAGATGACATTACTACATATCCTACAGATATTAAAAGAATGTTGAGGCCAGGCACAGTGGCTCACGCCTGTAATCTCAGCACTTTGGGAGGCCGAGGCGGGCGGATCACGAGGTCAGGAGATCGAGACTGTCCTGGCTAACACGGTGAAACCCCGTCTCTACTAAAAAATACAAAAAATTAGCCATTAGCTGGGTGTGGTGGCGTGTGCCTGTAATCCCAGCTACTTGGGAGGCTGAGGCAGGAGAATGGCGTGAACCCAAGAGGCAGAGCTTGCAGTGAACCGAGATCATGCCACTGCACTATGGCCTGAGTGACAGAGCGAGACTCCGTCTCGAGGAAAAAAAAAAGAATGTTGAGATACTATGAACAACTTTATGCTAAATAATAGACAATTTAGATGAAATGGACAAAATCATTGAAAAACCCTAAATGCCAAAGGTCACCCAAAAAGAAATACATAAGTTGAATAGTCTTATATCTGTTAAAGTAATTGATTTGTATTTTAAAAGCTTCACATAGAAAAAAAAAGATCTAGGACTGGATAGCTTTCCTGGTAAGTTATGCAACAAATTTTTAAAAATATCAATTACATACAAATTCTTCTAAAAACCTGAAGAGGAGGAAATATTTTCCAATTTATCTTCAGGCAGCATTACTCTGACACCAAAAATGGACAAACACATTAAAAACATACAACCACAGTTAATATTCCTCATAAGTATACATACAAAAATTCTGAAAAACAATC
Source organism: Homo sapiens (assembly GCF_000001405.40). NCBI lineage: Eukaryota > Metazoa > Chordata > Mammalia > Primates > Hominidae > Homo > Homo sapiens. Next base: position 55,279,109 of record NC_000012.12, read on the forward strand.
AAAATGTATTTAATAATATTAATATATAAACATGATAATATATAATGACCAAAGTGAGGTTTATCTCAAGAATGCACTGTTTAGTTTAACATTAGGAAAAAACTAATGCAATTTACGGTGTGTTAAAAAAACTAAAAATTTATTTAAAGAGTCATAGATAAATAATTTGATAAGATTCAATATTTATTGCTAAGAAAAACTCCAAGCAAGCTAGGCATAGAAGGGAACTGCCTCAATATGATGAAGGGCATCCAAATAATTTACAGCTAACATTGAAGCAAAAAAACTGAATGCGGCCAGGCATGGTGTCTCACGCCTGCAATTCCAGCACTTTGGAAAGCTGAGGCAGGAGGACTGCTTGAGCCCAGGAGTTCGAGACCAGCCTGGGCAACATAGACTCCCATCTCTACAAATAATAAAAACAAAATTAACTTGGCATGGTGGCATGCTCCTGTGGTCTCAGCTACTTGGGAAGCTGAGGTAGGAGGACCACTTTAGTCCAGGAAGTCGAGGCTGCAGTGAGCCAAGCCATGATCACACTACTGCACTCCACTGTGGGTGACAGGAGAATGAATCTCAAAATACAAAACAAAATGAAAAACCTGATAGCTTTCCCACTAAGATCAGGAAAAAGACAAGGATATTCACTCTCCTCATTTCTATTCAACAAGATACTGGGAGTTCTAGCCACTGACATAAGTCTAGAAAAATAAATAAAAGATAGCCAGATTGAAAAATAAGAAATAAAACTATTTTTATTTGCAGACAGCATCATCATGAAAGTAGAAAATCCAATGAAATCTATAAAAATTGTACTAGATTTAGTAAATGAGTATAGAGAGTTTGTAAGATATAGTATCAATCCAAAAATTAATCATATTCCTGCCTACTCTAAATTTAAAAAAAGTCAAATACCATCTTAAATTTTAAAGCCCAACATATTTAGAGACAAATTTGACAAAAGATGTATGTGATGTGTACACTGAAAACTACATAACATTGTCAAAATAAATTAAGAAGACCTTAAAAAATTAAGCAATAGAGTGTGTTCATGGGTCAAAATGCTGAATATTTTTCAATTGTCTATTCTTCCGAAATTGATCTATAGGTTCAATGCAATATCAATCAAAACTCCTAGAGCTTTTTTTTGGAGAAGTTGACAAACTGATTCTTAAATTCATATGGAAATGTGCAAAAGACCTGAAATTGTCAAACATCTTTGGAAGAAAATAATAAAGTTGGAACATTAAAACTATCTGATATTAATACTTGGAATAATGGTACAATGTAGCATTGCCCTAATTTAAACAAGTAGATTAATGGAACAGAATAGAGTACAGAAACACAGCACACCTATTATATATAGATAACTGATTTTTTGACAAATGTTCAAAGGCTGGTTAAGAAAGAACAAATTTGTTTTTATTTTTGTTTTCCCAAGGAATTGTTCTGATGTATTTCATGTATAAGAGTAGTAGGTCTGGACTGTTTTTCAACTCTGAATTTCTATAGTAGACCTGATGCTTTCTTAAGAATGGATGACAGTGAGCATTTTTTTCATGACTAAACATTAGTAACTAGTCATTTGGATTTGTTTTTGATGACATTTGTTTTGAGTCATGTTTTGTGGTCCTTAGGGCTTTGTTTAATACCTTTTAGAGCTTGGTTACAAAGACAATATACACTACCAATCCTTTTTACTCATTTTGAGTATAGTCTTTATATTAATACGGTTCATGGGCTTCAGATATTCAAATTATCCTGCACCTGCATGTCACAAACCAAATGCAATACTATTGATTTTTTCCAAATTTATAAAAAGGACACTTTTAAAAATAATCAAACCCATTACCCTTGCATACCCAGTGTCCTGCCAGTACACAATTGAAACCTCATTTTAAGTTTGAATTTGTTTGCAATATTCAAGCCTGCTGTACACTTGTTTTGAATTTCTTTTTTTTTAGTGAAAGTAACAGAAAGATCTTTTTGTTTGAAAAAACTAGCCCAGCAGATTTTCTCACGTTGCCTCATGACAGTGAGAACAATTGATGTTTTGTTGCATATTGCCTAGATTTTAAAAACAGACAGTATAGATTGTTATATGCATAAATAAACTTTTTGAACAGCAGTCTCTAAGGAATTTTTTCTCTATTTTCTTTTGTTTTGTAGTTTCAATAGATTCCCTTGTGTCTTTACTGAGCAAAAAGATAAAAATACCTCTAGCTTAATGGGATACGTGACATTTCTCTACTTAAAGTCTTTCTTTAAGTTGTTCTTTTTCCTAGGCTTTCATCTTTGGTGTAACAAGTCTAGTTAAGTATTAATGAAAACTTTTAGAAATTTAACCAGACTGTAGAGAATGATAGAGATACATTGGAATTTTGCGTGTGTGTCTGAATCCTGAGATGTGTAGTGAATATGAACTTAAGTGAAAGTGGAAAATATTTAAACAAAATATTGTCTCATTTTATCTTTACATGGATCCTTCTGAAGAAAACTAGGTATTTAATATCTCTTTAATAATGGGACAGTGTATTGAAATGATTATAAATATCCTTAATTTAGTTAGCCTTTGCATTCTATCATGTACCATAATATAAAAACAAATCCAATATACCCTGTGTAAGGTAACACCATTTTTAACTTATCTTTTTGTGCAACAAAAGTTAGGGCACAACTTTGGAAATCCAAGTCAGGGAATTAAATTTGCCCTTAAATTGTCCTATTTGCTTTATTCCTTCTGATGAAGAAGAAAACTTTCTAATATAGACATTAAATATATATTATTATATATATTTATATATATATTTAAAATTCCTAATATATATTTCTATTATATATAAGAAATTTTTACTTCTTCAGCTATATTTTCATATTTTTACCTCTATTTATCTTATATATAATGTAATAGAATACATTTTTTAAAAATACAAATAAGTCTAATTTTTTTTCTTCAGCTTTTATTTTAAGTTTTGGGGTACATGTGCAGAATGTGCAGGTTTGTTACTCTAATTAATTTTTTAATCTATCTCTATGAGCTTGTAGTTGCATTGAATGAATCATAGAGGAAATTAGAAAGCAGCTATTTACATGTTGAGAAAATCTACAAACACACTTACATCCAGCTTAAGATTAAAGATAGCTATTGTGTTTAACAAAGCCCAGATTTTGATCAGTAGAACAATGATGAAATTTTAAAAAAATCTTCACTAATTATACTTAGTCTACCACATCATAAAAATTTCACAGATAATACATGAAAAAAGTAAATTTCTATTTATTACATTACATGTAATAATATGTAGTTATATGTAAAATATGTATTATAATACATATACAAATAAACTACATGTAAATTTTGTTATACTAGAAAAGGAGTGACTAATGAAAAACCCAAGAGATAACAAAAATAGAAATATTTTTACATTGCAAGTACTATTATGCATGCATTAACTTATTATTTATGAAAGACACACAAATTAAGATTACTAGAGAGCAATCATTGTTTAAAACAAAGATTCTAAGGATTCCTTAATTAAAAACAAAGGTTTTATAGGGATTCAGTAATTTTAAATGAATATATATAAATAAAAGAATATTAAGCTATGTAAAAAAGCAGAGAAATAATTAAATATCTTAATCAAAAAAATAACTTGCATGATATTTGATTTTTTTATTATAGCTTGCATGTTATAAAAGGAAGCCAGAAAATGGAAAAAACGCCCTTTTGAATATTGCCCAGGAATTCTGAAAATTGGCTAAGACGAAGCAGCCTTTCTTTAGCAAAAATAATTAACGAAAAATAAATTATAATCAGTTACTATGGAACATAACTGCAATACTAGTCAGTAAGAAGACCTGCAACTAGTACTTAAAATCATTTTACATTGAAAATAAAACAATATATAGCTTCTTACTGTATTTGCAAAAGAAAGAAATAAGAAACCATTATAAATAGATTAAAGAAAAATGGAAGATAAAATATAGAAAGACTAGTTTTAGTTTTTCTGTTGGATATATCTCTGTCATACAGAATTGAGGCACTGTTAATGACTTACTGGAAAAGTGGTCAATCTAAAGGCAATTGATAAAGTACGAATAGGCACGTAAGTGGAGCTAGAAAAACTGTAGGAATGGAAACACAAAAACTAAGTAAATAAAATATAAAATTGAACTTGATGATGGATAAACATATATCAATGAATAAATATAAAATGGAACTTGATGAATAAATGAATCTCTTAAGTAACAAGTTACTTGAGATGTTAGCTAAATTCAGAAATTTCAACCTACTAAACATTTAAACTGCCTTTTGGGATAAAGTGCTTGAAAGATGAATCAAAAGTTAACACTAACCAAAGTATGAAACTTATTTCAAATGACTGAAAAGCCTTCAGTAACGTGGCAAGTAGGACTTATTTAACTCTGGACAAGAGAAGAATCTCTCAACATTCTTATAAACATGACTGATGAATTGGAGGATATGTTCATTTTTATGAACTCTAAGTTGATTTGTGAAAATATCTGCACAAGGGTAATTTTCTAAATACGAAATTTTCTATGGTTGAGAATGAAGTAATGTATTTTCTTACTTGTGGTATTAGTTTTTATTTTCTGCAGATTTCACAGGACAAAAGAAAAATGAAGAACCAATCAATGGGGATAGTGTTCACTCTGCTTGGACTGACAAACGACCCCCTACTACAGATTGTGATTTTTTTGTTTCTATTTTTTAATTATGTCCTGAGCCTGATGGGGAACTTAACCATTATCCTCCTCAGCCTGCTGGATCCATGGCTCAAGACTCCAATGTATTTTTTCCTCCGAAATTTCTCCTTCTTAGAAATTTCATTCACAACTGTTTGCATTACACGATTCTCGACAAGCATTCTGACTGGAGACAAGACAATTTCCTACGATGCTTGTGCAATTCAATTATTCTTCTTTCTTTTATTAGGAGTTACTGAGTTTTACCTCCTGGCTGCCATGTCCTATGACTGCTACATTGCCATCTGCAAACCACTGCATTATCCAATCATTATGAGCAGCAAAGCGTGCTACCAACTTGTAATCATCTCTTGGGTAGCTGGATTCGTAATCATCTTTCCCCTTTTGGTCTTGGGACTCAAGCTGGATTTCTGTGCTTCCAAACTATTGATCACTTCTTATGTGACACTTCTCCTATTCTACAGATTTCTTGCACAGATACAAGTTTCATAGAATTAATGGCTTTTATCTTAGCTGTGCTGACACTCATCACCACATTGTTGTTAGTGATCCTCTCCTACACATACATCATCAAAACCATTCTAAAATTCCCTTCTGTTCAACAACACACCAAGGCTTTTTCCACTTGTTCTTCACACATGATTGTTGTCTCTATTACTTATGGGAGTTGTATCTTTATGTATATGAAACCATCAGCAAAAGAAAGGGTGACTTTAACTAAAGGAGTATCTGTACTCAATATCTCTGTTGCCCCTTTACTCAACCCTTTCACACTCTAAGGAACCAGAAGGTGAAAGAAGCTCTCAAGGACATGCTTCAAAGATTTTGCTATTTTTAAAACAAGGCAAAATTTGAATATAAATAATATACTGTTGGAACATGGATGGGAAAATTGAATGCAGTCTTCAATAAATTACCTTCGTTCAGAGTTATTCCATTTCTCCACTTGAATAATATCATATTCGGTTTACTACATCTCTATGTTCTCTGTAGCCCTCTGTGTTGTTCTTTCTGAGTAGCTCTTCCTACTCTCTAGTGATAAACTACCTTCTTCAATCCAGAATATTAAATTTCCTCTGTGCCTAGAAATAGCTCTTCCATAAATAATAGTTTTATATACTGAGTGTTTTGTACCAGTGAATATTGCTAGATATACTGAGACAATTACTTCAATATGTGTGTTAATTGCTAAATATTGTATCTGCTCTTAAGTATTTTGCGTTCCTAAGACAGTCAAAAACACAGAATCTGATAATTATTATATTATGTAATTGATGCTGTGATAAAAACGAGGTAGAAAATCTGATTAATTTTAAAGATCAAAGTAGCCCCCCAAGAGATCATTGCTTATGATGGACCTTGAAAGATGAAGAAAAAAATTAAAGGTTCTAGGATGCTGTAATCAGAGTATAAAATATGCAAATAAATTAGTCTACTGTAGAAGGTTCACCTGGAGAGTTACAATGATTAAGAATATTAAAAATTTTTTATATATATATTTTGTTATACTTTAAGTTCTAGGGTACATGTGCACAACGTGCAGGTTTGTTGCATATGTATACATGTGCCATGTGAAAAAAAAAGAATATTAAGAATATGATATTTGTAAACATTTTCAGTTGTTTGGGGGGATAAAAATAATTTAACTGGGCCAGGTGCAGTGGCTCATGCCTGTAATCCCAGCACTTTGGGAGGCTGAGGCAGGTGGATCATCTGAGGTCAGGAGTTTGAGACCAGCCTGATATGGTGAAACCCCACCTCTACTAAAAAAGACAAAACTTAGCCGGGCGTGGTGGCATACGCCTGTAATCCTAGCTACTTGGGAGGCTGAGGCAGGAGAATCGCTTGAACGCAGAAGGCGTAGGTTGCAGTGAGCCAAGATCGTGCCATTGCACTCCAGCCTCAGCGACAGAGTGAGACTCCATCTCAAACATAAATAAATTAATTAATTAATTAATAATTTAACTTAAGGCCCTGGTTCAAATTGTTTATGTTGTCTTATAATCTCTGAAGTCTACATGTGATAGTAACCCATGAAATAAATTCAAGGTATAATTTACTTATATTTGAGTTTGGGAAACTTTTCATGTATTTTAAATAATTCATAAACTAAAAGCTTTCTAATCAATTCTGCTTGTGTAAATTTTTACCAAATTAATTAAGTATATCTTTTATACAATAGCATACATAAAACAATGCATTTGGACAAATATTCATATTCATGTAAAAATACAGAAAACATTTACAACATATTAAATAGTTTCCTTTGCCTCTTTCCAGTCATTCTCCATCTCCCACCTCTAACCCCATCTGTCACTGGATTGAGGTGTTCACTGGTGTTCTTTCAGTCACTACAGATGTGTTTTGTCTTTTCTGAAATTTCTTTATTTTATATATATATATTTTAAGACAGTGTCTCAGAGGCTGGAGTGGAGTGGCATAATTATGGTTCACTACAGCCTCAAACTCCGGAGCTCAAGCAATCCTCCCACCTCAACCTCCCAAGTAGCTGGGACTACAGGTGCACACCATCACACCCAGCTAATTTTTTAATTTTTGTAGAGGTGAGGTCTTGCTGTGTTGCCCAGGTTGGTCTTAAATTCCTGAGCTCAAGCAATCCTCCTGCCTCTGCCTCTCAAAGTGTTGGCATTACAAGCATGAACCATGGTACTCAGCCTGGAATTTCTTACAAAAGAGGGCATACCGTGTGAACTTTATGTATGGCTGCTTTTGCTCAGGATAATATTTTTTGAGTTTCATTCATGCTATTGCATGCATTCATAGTTAATTCCTTTTTGTTGATAGAATTTGGCAGAATATCTAGTGTCCTTTTGTGACAGCCAGCATTATCTCCTTTATCCCATACTTTGGTATTTTTATTCTCTGAAGAATATCTTCACATAACTGAACCATTTAGTTTGATCAGTGTGAAACCTGATTACATTCCATATTCTGAATTGCCAATCCCTGAAGGCCTCTATCTTCCTATAATGTCTTTTAGAAATAAGCTGATCCAACAAATGGGAGTTAATTGGAAGGAATTTTTGCCCTATGTCTTGGTGACTCTACTTCTCAATCCTATTCTCCAATGCAGTGGAGCTTCAAAAATTGTCTCTAAAGGAAAAGAAAAAGGATACACATGGAGGATCTCAATTCCTCATTTGCTTGCTCATTTTAGTGACCCATTTCAACCCCAAATTAACTTATACTCTTTTGTATGCAGTAGGCTCCAAGACTCAACCTTCTTTTGAAGAATGGAAGGGAAGCAAAAGTCTGAGAACCAGAGATGAAGCTTGAGGAAACTAGAACTAGAGATTTCAGCTCCAAGCCCTACAGAGAATGATTCAGGAAAGCTCAGTGGGAAATGGCAGTGACTTTCAGTAATTTTTGAGAAAGTTCTAACCAATAGTCTTAGCAGTAAAGTATGTAGTTCTCAAACAGTTAATGAGAAGTTACTATGGATCTCACCTTGCTCTCCGGTTTGACTATAAATACCTCTGGAAAATAACAGCCTCTGCTTCTCTTACAACTTCCAAATTTTGAGCAAAGTACTCTCACTGAAAAACTTTGAGATAGAACTATACTGATCAGGGGATTCTGAAAAATGGCCTCCCGGTATCTCCTCTGCATTTACAGAACAATGAAAAAGGTCAAATACGGGAATACTGCACAATCATAAAAAAAGAATTAAATCATGTCTTTTGCAGCCACATGGATGCAGCTGCAGGCCATTATCCTAAATAAATTAATGCAGAAACTGAAAACCGAATACTGCATATTCTCACTTACAAGTGGGAGGTAAACATTGGGTACACATGGACATAAAGATGGGAACAATAGCTACTAGGGACTACTAGAGAGGGAAAGGGAAGTGATGGTTAAAAAATGACCTATCAAATACTATGCTCACTACCTGGGTGATGGGATCATTTGTACCCCAAACCTCAGCAACATGCAATTCACTCATGTAACAGACCTGCACATGTACCCTTAAACCTAAAATAAAAGTTGAAAAAAAAGAGACATATGTGGTATTCAGTTGGCAACATAGAATTCAAAGTAGCTTCTTTGAAAGAACCAAAGCCATGGTTTCAGAAATATCAAATCATTGCTTCTATCACTGGCTCTACCCAAAGAGTGATATCAGTGTTGGAGACATGCTAGGAGAAATTGAAATGATCTAGGGTCAATGGTCTCATTGTCTGAAGTGTTATCCGAGCTCATTGTCTCACAACCAAGAAAATTAATAAGTGTGGACACAAGGGTGAGGTTGGAGCGAAAGCTTAATAAGCAAAAAAAAGTTCTCCACAGTAAAAAGGAGGCCAAAATGGGTTGCCGTTTTTACAGTTGAATCCAAATTTGGATTCAATTTATCCCCAATTAAGTGTTTATAGTTTCACTGATTACAGACTATAGGCGGACTTCTTTTTTTCTTTTTTCTTTTTTCTTTTCTTTTTTTTTTTTTTTAAGATGGAGTCTCGCCCTGTCACCCAGGCTGGAGTGTAGTGGTGGTATCTCGGCTCGCTGCAACCTCCACCTCCCTGGTTCAAGCAATTCCCCTGCCTCAGCTTCTTGAGTAGCTGCGATCACAGGCGCAAGCCACCACGCCCGGCTAATTTTTTGTGTATATTTTTAGTAAAGACGGGGTTTCACCATGTTGGCCAGACTGGTCTCAAACTCCTGACCTCAGGCAATCCACCTGCCTCAGACTCCCAAAGTGCTGGGATTACAGGTGTGAGCCACGGGGCCCAGCCAGGCAGACTTTTTAACATTCTCTGTAGTTATACTTTAACTAATTTTAATAGTGAGACCCTTATAAATGAATACAATGTTTCAATGCAGGATTACTCTTTTAATCATCAAAACAATAATGTTGTTTTCAGGGGTAGTGGGGTGTGAAATACCTAAAGATGAAGCTTTCAGAAGAAATGGAAAATAGGACTCTAGGAGTAGAACATGGAAAAAAAAACATTTTTAATAATTTAAGAGTCTCGGAATCATTCAGTGATAATACTAGTAATCACAATTTTGGTAATAAATAAAAGTAGCTTGCAAATTTGGATATTAAATGAGAATTTCATATTGCTCATGAATTGCTATAAACGTTCAAAATATAAGGCATTGTATGCCATTCTAAAGACTGTCACCAACAACTGGAAGTAGATGCATTTATGTCATGCTTACAAAGAGCTGGAAGTATTGATCTTAAAACCAGAAACGAGAGGAGTGGGATAGAGAAAAGAAAAAATGTGGTTCGATTACCTTCCTGAAGCCAAGTTGAAATACCTACACAAAGAAATTGTTCTTTTCCTGGCTGGAAGCTTGCTGAATGATTGAATGTGCTGACCCACACTAGTGCTGCTCAAGGAGAAGACTGCATTATTTCCCATGATCAGAATTACTTAACATAAATTTGCTATGTAGAAAAGGAACTAGAATTGAGAAAAAGACTTTGAGATAAACCTTATATTAACCAGTGGTTTTAATGGCATTGTGTTGATAAGGAACAACTCTAGATTTGTTTTCATAACAATTTTATAAAACCATTGGGTCTTATATACAAAAAGCACATATTTATTATATGCAGTATTTATTCAGCAAAGTGATTCATTTTGAGTCAATACACATTTTAAAAGCTTTATTGAGGTGGTATGGAAGAAACTGCATAGATTTAAAGTATACAATATAAGCTTCGACACGTGTAAAATATTTTATATTTTCTTTCTTTCTTTTTTTTTTTTTTTTTGAGACAGAATCTCGCTCTGTTGCCCAGGCTAGAGTGCAGTGACACAATCTCAACGTGCATGAACTGCAACCTCCGCCTCCCAGGTTCAAGTGATTCTCCTGCCTCAGCCTCTGAAGTAGCTGGGATTACAGGCGTGCACTACCACACCCGGCTAATTTTTCTGTTTTTAGTAAAGACTGGGTTTGCCATGTTGCCCAGGCTGGTCTCAAACCCCTGGCCTCAAATGATCTACCCACCTTGGCCTCCCAAAGCGCTGGGATTACAGGTGTGAACCACAGTGCCCAGCCTTATTTTATATTTTCTAAGAATTATATAAAGCTGAAATCATCACTGCAAGTACAATATTGAACATATCCAGCACTACCAAAAGTTTCCTAATGCAACATTGTATCCCTGCTTACTATACCTCTGTCACTATACTTCAGGAATCACTTACCTGCTTTATGTCACTGTAGATTACATTTCTATTTACTATCACATTTTCTAGAATGTTATAGGAATAGAATAATGCAGTATTCTTTTTGACTAGGCTTCTTTCACCCAGCCTAATTATTTTGAGATTCGTCTGTACTACTGCCTATGTTAACAGTTTCTTTTTTTTTTTTTGAGACAGGATCTTGCTCTGTCACCCAGGCTGGAGTGCAGTGATGCAATCTCAGCTTACTGCAGCCTCCACCTCCCGGATTCAAGCTATTCTCATGGCTCAGCCTCCCAAGTAGCTGGTTGTCTTTCAACTAGTAAATTCTATCTGAGCATTTGCAAGGTCTAATCTAAATCAAAACTACCTCATGCATCATCAAGGATAGAGTGAGAGAATTACAGATCATCTGCTATTAATGCTTTCATTCTCAGCAATTTTGATTTTGTACAATAACCATTCCCTTTCAAAACAGATAATTTGTTATATGAAAAAAGTTATATTTGGAATCATTAGAAACATTACAACTGAATATTTAATTTTTTCTTAATTTTCAAGGTGCCTATTTGATTGAAACAGAACCATAAAAATACTTTATTAACTGTCATCTACATGCTTAAGATGGTATCATAGCTATCACTTCATAATTTGTTAGCAATGCATTATTAAAACTGAGTGGTAAAATAAAGGAATTGAACATAAACTAAGATTTGATATAGTACTGTGGTAAACAAGAATAGCTTTTGCCTGCTTTTGTCTACATACAGGAAACCAGAGAATGAATAAAGATGATAATAACATTCCTACGTCAATAAGAAATATAAATCAGTTCTGTTCATACATTTGAATGTCTTAGATATGTGATCATGACAATGATGACAATGATGACAATGACAAAAAAAGATGAAAATGGTGATGAAAATGACACAATTATGGTCCTGGGGATGAAAGTCTTACACCATTAACCAATTACATTATCTGAGGAAAGCTATCTGAGATCATGGGTCCTGAGTTTCCTCAGAGATAAATGAATACATGGAAGGATACTTTCAGACTGAAAATCAAGTGATACTACAATTTTATATTATGAAGATATAGTCTAGATTTTCAGAAAGTGGAGATGAGATTTGTATACAGAATGAGAAGAATTAATGTCTAAGTATTAGGTTGTTTCAGAACTCCTGAAAAAAATAAATCTCGTTTAGTTGGGATCAAATCTCTCTCTCTCTCTCTCCCTCTGTGTCTCTCTCACACTCTCTTCTCTTTCTCTCTCTCCTTATCTCTCCCCACACTGTTTTTATCCAGATGCATGAATATAATAAGATTAAAACTTGTGGGCAAATTGTTTATCTGAAGGACATGAAAGGATTATCTTAATTCAAAACCAAAATGCAATAGTCAGAATTGCTGTATGCTGTGGAGTAAAATGAACTTCCTTAAAATCATTTACTGTATATGTGGTTGGGAGTGAAAATAGAGAATTAAACCCAAACCCTCCCATTGAATTATACTCACAATCCAAAAGTTTATTAAAATATCTAATTTCTTTCTTGTAAATATCTTTGACTCTTTACCTGTATTCTAGTCCCACTGTCACATTTATACACTAAGATTTAAAATTTATAAATAGTTTAAAACAAAGGCCCCCTCACCTGCACCCTGATAATAAGACACCCCATATTCCATATCATTTCCAAGAGTAATCTCCCTAAAAACAAGAAGTTAACATTAAATTTTTCATCTTAAATACACTTTCAATGACTTCTGTCTAGTTGGAAATGTCAATGAGATTGTAGCCTTTACTTGACATTTAACATGCAGGTTATCTACAATAACCTGGGGTGCTTTTTTTTTTTTTTTTTTTGAGATGGGAGTCTCACTTTGTCACCCAGGCTGGAGTGCAGTGGTGTGATCTCAGCTCACTGCAACCTCCACCTCCCGGGTTCAAGCAATTATCTGCCTCAGCCTCCTGAGTAGCTGGGATTACAGGTGTCCACCACCAAGCCCAGCTAATTTTTTTGTATTTTTTAGTACAGACGGGATTTCACCATGTTGGCCAGGCTGGTCTTGAACTCCTGACCTCGTGATCCACCCACCTCAGCCTCCCAAAGTACTGGGATTACAAGTGTGAGCCACCGCACCCAGCCTCCTGGGGTGCATATTAAACATAGGCTACATTAACTCTATCCCAGAAATACTGACTCAGAAGCAGTAAAAATGATAACTCGAAATTACATTTACAAAATATCTAGGTCAAGCTTGTCCAACTCACAGCCCATGGGCCATATGTGGCACAGGACAGCTTTGAATGTGGCCCAACATCAATTTGTAAACTTTCTTAGAACATTGTGAGATGTTTTTGTGATTATTTTAAACTTCATCAGCTGTCATTAGTGTTAGTGTGTTTTATGTGTGGCCCAAGACAATTCTTCTTCTTCCACTGTGGCCCAGGAAAGCCAAAAGATTGGACACCCCTGATCTGGGTGATTCTTGACAGTCAAACCTTTGAAAATTATTGATATGATAGATTTAAGTCCGAAATACTATCCTGGCAAACAGGGCCCTTTGTGCTTTCACCCTTCAACCTCCTCAAACTTATTGTTGACTTTACTTTCATCAGCACACAAAAATATTAGTTGTACCACATTTTTGAATTGTTCAAAAATGTAAGTGCTATCTTTTATTGAGTGGTAAATAGTTCTAATAGCATATGTTTACTGAGCAATGAGGTATGGGATACATTTCTCCCACTTTACATATGGAGAAACTAACACATAAAAAGTGTGCATGATCTGCGCAGTGTTCCAGAGTGTGTAGAAAAGCTTTTACTGAACCTAACTGAATATCTTGAAGCCATTTTCTAATAATGAGGTATACTAATTCTCCAAATGCATGCGGTTATCTAATACCTGTGTTATTTGCATATATTTATATCTCAGTCATCTTTCCTTATGCATATTTTAGCATAATTATTACTTTCTCTTGAAAGGCTTCCCTTATCTCCAAAATTCCATGGAAGCCATCCTCTCTGCCCCATAAATGTTTTTGTAGATCTTTATTACAACACTAATTAGATGCTGTATATCAATACAGTCATGTCCCACGTAATAACATTTTGGTCAATGACAGACTGCATGTACAATGATGGCCCCATAATATTATAATACCATATTTTTATTGTACCTTTTCTGTGTTTAGATATGCTTAGATGTATAAATACTTACCATTGTGTTACAATTGCCTATAGTATTTAATACAGTAACATGCTGTACCAGTTTGCAGCCTAGAAACAAGGGCTATACTATATGGCATAGGTGTGTAGTAAGCTATACAACCTAGGTTCCTGGAAGTACACTTGGATGTTTGTACAACAGAATCACCTAGCGATACATTTCTCAGAAGTATCCCCATTGTTAAGCAATGCATGATCCTATTTTGTTTATGTGTTTATGTCCTTTAAACAATGAAAGCTTCTTAAAGGTACCGATTGAATCCTTCACAATGTCTGCAATAACATAGATTACAATAAATATATGGTGAATTAGTTATCAAATTACATATGCCAAGTTACATTTATACAAGGCATATTTTATTCAAAGTCGTGGTTTCTGAAAAGTGATATGCCATAAAGAGGTGTTATTTAAAAGTTGGATTAAAGAATCGAGGAAAGTGATTGTAGTAGTGTGAAACATTTCATGAGAAAGAATATAATGTAAGAGTGGAACTGAGCTATAAAGTTCTTCAAGAGACTACCCTATGTGAGATAACTCTTAAGGTGGGAGAACATGATCAAAATAAATGTATAAAACATGTTTTCCAGTTTTTCTTCCTTATCAGTTATCAGTTATAGGATAGTCTCTTGAAGAACTTTATGGCTCAGTTCCACTCTAACTTTCTTCGATTCCTTAATCCAACTTTTTTTATATTTATTTTTATTTATTTATTTATTTATTTATTTTTTGAGACAGAGTCTCTCTCTTGTCGCCCAAGCTGGTGTGCAGTGGCACCATCTGGGCTCACTGCAACCTCCACCTCCCGAGTTCAAGCTATTCTCTTGCCTCAGACTCCTGAGTAGCTGGGATTACAGGCACTCTCCACCACGCCCAGCTAATTTTTGTACTTTTAAGTAGAGACGGGGTTTCACCATGTTGGCCAGGCTGGTCTCGAACTCCTGACCTCAGGTAACCACCCTCCTCAGCCTCCCAAAGTGCTGTGATTACAGGCATGAGCCACCATGCCAGGCCGTTTTCCAGTTTTTATGGTAAAGTTGTAATTTGTAGCAGATTCTTAAAATGGTCTTTTAGAAAAACACAAATTCTTTTGTAATACATCCCAGAAGACTTCTTTCACCTGCTGGTTTCTGAGAGTATAAATGAAGGGATTTAGTAAAGGGGCAATTGAGGTATAGAGCAAAGCTACACCTTTGGATACAGTCACTCTTTCTTTTGCAGATGGTTTAATATACATAAAGATACAGCTACCGTATGTCATGGAGACAACAATCATGTGGGAAGTACAGGTGGAAAATGCTTTGTTCCTTTGCTGTGCAGAAGAGAATTTCAGAATGGTCTTAATAATGCAAGTGTAAGAGAGAATCACTAATACCAGTGTGACCACAAGTGTCACCACAGCTAAGGTAAAAGACATCAATTCTAGGACATGGGTATCTGTGCAGGAGATCTGCAGAATAGGAGAAGTTTCACACATAAAGTGGTCAATAGTTTTGGAAGCACAAAAATCCAGCTTGAGTCCCATGACCAATGGGGGAAATATGATTAAGAATCCAGTTACCCAAGAGCTAAGTACAAGTTGGTAGCAGACTTTGCTGCTCATAATGATTGGATAATGCAGTGGTTTGCAGATGGCAACGTAGCGGTCATAGGACATGGCAGCCAGGAGGTAAAACTCAGTAACTCCCGGTAAAAGGATAAAAAATAATTGAGTTGCACAATTATTATAAGAAATGGTTTTGTCTCTAGTCACAATGGTTATCAAGAATCTAGGAATACACACTGTTGTGAATATTACTTCCAAAAAGGAGAAATTACGGAGAAAGAAATACATTGGCGTCTTGAGCCGGGGATCCAGCAGGGTGAGGATGATGATGATTAAGTTCCCCATCAGGCTCAAGGTGTAGTTGAGAAATAGAAACAGGAAAATCACAATTTGCAACTGTGGGTCATCTGTCAATCCTAGGAGAATGAACTCTATTTCCATTGATTTGTTCTTCATTTCTCTTTTGTGATCCTTATCAAATCTACATAGAAAGGGAAAAACAAAATTTATACATATATATACATATATGTATTTCTAAAGCAGAAAAAATATATCTTTTTAAATTTATCCATGTGCAAATGGTTTCTCCAGCCTGAAATTGTAGATGACACATAATTACATACCATAGGTGAATTCAAAATTTGCTCTAATCTACTAGTTCTCTTTATAATATTCCTCACAAAGTTTCTTCCAGAACTTGAATAATATATACTTTTGGTAAATATGAATTTTAGCTTATCACTGTCAGATGAACTCTACTCTGCATTTGTAATTTAAACAAAATCATATTAATATTTTAAATTTTTTTCTCTATTATTTCTAACATATCTGTACAAATTATACTATTAGTTTGTCTTTTTATAACGAGTATGAGGATGATGTTTCAAAACCAGGATTTAGGGTTAAATTATAATTCCTGTACTGATCAATGACTATGGCAGCACTGATGCAATAAATAGTTAAAGATCCTCATTTCAATAGTTTTGATATTTTATTTGCATTGAGAATACACCATATTATTAACATTATTTTTATTGGCACTTTTCTATATTCAAATCAACAGTCGTTTAAGAGCTTATGGGACAAACAAATGAAAACATGATAAAATAAAGAAGTTATATATTTTAATAAAAAATTGTGTCTTCTTTTCAATTAACCTTTTTGAAATGTCATTTTATTAGTGTGGCTACATAATTTCGGCTATTTTTTACTTCCTCCATATTCTTTATAACACCATTGAAAATCCCTGAAGACATATTACTTTCTATCCTTTCTACATATAAGAATTCTATTTAGTCCCAGTTTGTAATATTTTTCTGTTATATTAAATGCGTCAGTCTACTTCATTATATTGATGCAACAGTATATGAATAAAACAGATTACAACACTCATTAGTATATAACTATAAAATTAATGTACTATTAAAACACATTTATAAAGCATGAAAATTCAGTAGCCAAATTTAACTCCATGAGTTGCACTTACTGTACATTTGCCTTAATTTCTGATTTTAGACTAAGTTAAAATTATAGTTGACTTACCTTTTTTGGATCTATTATTCATTTCTTTCTGTGTGCACGGAAGAGATGCATGCTAACATAATTAGTGACAATTCTACTCATTTTATGACCACATTTTATTATCCAATAGGCACATTTATTACCAATGATTTTTGTGGGGAGAGGCAATGTGTACGTATTGTGTTTCTGTAGAGAATTTCCACATTTCCTCAACTTCATCCTCACTATAAAGATTGATACTCAGATATTAATAATTTTAATGGACATCTATCTTTCATTCCAAGTAACTTAAACTTTGTGAAATTTTGTTATTACAATTGAGATTGCCAACACTCAAAGCCTCAAACAAGATAGACATATATTCTTTGAAATAAAATAAGATTGGGAAGTGAAAATTAAAATCAAGAAATTATTTGATGAAAGATAAACAATTATTGCAAGAAAGAGATATTCTATATTACCAATTGTGCATTTATAAAATGCTGCAATTTTATCGTTTTTACTTACTATAGACTCAAGGGAATCTATTGAAATAAAACAAAGACAAACTTTTCTCTGGGGGTCAGTGTTACAGAAGCACTAATTATCAGCAATAAAAGACACCACTCTAGGCTACTTTAGCTGAAGAAAAAGTATCCCAGAGGAATATTGTAAGTGATTTAGAAAAATCAATGAGATATTTAACAGTAACATCAGCAGTTCACTGTCCAGGGCAACATCGGACCATCTCAAACTGGTTTACACATATATCGGAATAAACTACTGATACATAAAAAACAAGAATCTTAAAAATGGTATGCTAAGTGAAAGAAACAGATACAAATGATTTATAATCATATAAAAGTACTATATGGTTTCATTTATATGATTCTGGAAAAGACTAAACTACGGGAACAGATATTTGATCAGTAGTTCCAGAGGCAGAAAATTAGCTACAGAAGAGATTAGCTGCAGAAGTTCCCGAAGGGAACTTTTTAGGATAATGAAAATGTTTTGTATCTTGATTGTGGGGGAATTGCATGACTATATATATTTGGCAAAGCACATCAAATGATGTACCCACAAAAGGTGAACTTTTTCATTAAATTCAAACTCGTTCATTAACCATTAAAATTATTTCGATATTATTTGCCTCTTTTTTAACAGGCTATTTAGAAGACTACTTAGGTCTACACTGGCCCATAAGATAGATATATATTAGATATAGATATAGATACAGATATAGATATAGATATAGATATATAGATATAGATATAAATAGAAATATATGGAGACACAGAGAAGAGAGTTGATTTTATACATGCTATATCAACAATGATGCATTGAACGTGGGAGTGCAGATATCAATTTGAGATCCTGGTTTCAATTCTTTTGGATGTGTACCTAGAAGTGGGATTGCTGGATCTTATGATAGCTCCATTTTAATGTTTTTCCCCATGACTGCACTGTTTTCCATTCCCAACAACAGTGTACAATAGTTCTAATTTCTCCACATTCTCCCGAACAATATCTTTTATTTTAAAAGGAAAACATTTATTTTAGGTTCAGAGGTACATCTGCAGGTTTGTTATATAGGTGAATTGCATTTCATGGGGGCTTGGTGTACAGATTATTTTGTCACCCAGGTAATAAACATAATACCCAACAGGGAGTTTTTCAATCCTCACCCTCCCCCTACCCTCTACCCTCCAGTAGGCATTGGTGTCTGTTGTTACCTTCTTTGCATCCATGTGTACTCAATGTTTAGCTCCCAGTTATAAGAGAACACAAGGTATTTGGTTTTCTGTTCCTGCATTAGTTCACTTAGGATGATGACCTCCAGCTCCACCCATGTTGCTGCAAAGGACATGATCTTGCTCTGTATTTATGTCTGTGTAGTATTTCATGGTGTATATGTACAACATTTTCTTCATCCAGTCTACCGTTGATGGGAATTTAGGTTGATTCCATGTCTTTGCTATAATGAATAGTGCTACAATGAGCATACACATGCATATATCTTTATGGTAAAACAATTTGTATTCCTTTGGGTATTTACCCAATAATGGGATTGCTAGGTCAGTGCTGGGATAACTGGCTAGTCATATGCAGATGGAAACCACATCCCTTCCTTACACCATATACTAAAAACAACGCAAGATGGATTGAAGACTTAAATGTAAAACCTAAAACTATAAAAACCCTGGAGGATAACCTAGGAAATAACACTTTGGACATGGGCCCTGGCAAAGATTTAATGATGAAGACACCAAAAATAACTGGAACAAAAACAAAAATTGACAAGTGGGACCTAATTAAATTAAACAGCTTCTGCACAGCAAAAGGAACTATCTTTTGCTTTTTGATGATAGCCATCCTAACAGATGTGAGGTGGTATCTCATTGTTGCTTGGATATGCATTTCCTGATAATTGTGATGCTGAAGATATTTTCAAATGCTTCTTTGTTATTTGTGTGTGTGTGTGTGTGTGTGTGTGTGTGTGTTTTGGAGAAATGTATAGTCAAGACCTTTGCCCATTTTCTAATTGAGTTATTATTTAGGGTTGTTTACCTAAATTTAAGGTTGTTATTCAATTGTAGAAGTTTCATTTATATTTTGGAGATTAATCTTTCATTGGGGTTTTACAATTTACAAATACTTTCTCCAATTCCATAGGTTGCCTTTCCACCTTATAGATTGTTTGCTTTCCTGTGCAGAAGATTTTTATTTTATACATATATGTATATGTATAGCCATTACAAATAGCATAGAATAAAATCAGAGTGAAGGGAAAGTAACAAAGTTATGTATTAATTTCATACACTATATGACCTTATGATAAATAATGTATATGTGCTTTTACTTGTGTATATAAGAGATAGTGATGTTAAGTTTATTATATAGTGAATGGGCCAAATAAGTTTGAAATTGTAGACTAACAAGATTTGTTTGATTTTACATGTTATATTTTGAATAAAGTTGGAACTCTTCGTAAGAGCAAACAAATAAATTATCTTAGTCGATAATCCCTATGCAAAACAGCATCAAGGGAATGGCCAAAAGAAGAAAAATATTTTCTATTTTTTATAGACAGGCTACATATCCTAAATTTTTATGAGTTTTTGTAGTAAATAAATCATCGAGGATGAAATCTTCTATAATGAAATTGTAATGATAAGAATAATGTGTCAGCTTCCCTTTTGTATTTTAATAAATTTTAGAACTTTAGTCACTGTGAATTTAGGAATATGATTCTACACAATACCATCATGAACATATAACCCTGTTTTGAACAATACAAAGAGCAGTGTACATCCTACCATTTCACCAAAATGTTTGATTGTAATAAAAACAACCCTGGACTTTCAGTCAATGAACTTGGGTTAACATACTGATTCTGCCTGATACTAGGGATAATGGCACTCACTTAAATACTAATATTCAATTTTAGTATATCTAAAGTAAGCAAAATTACCTCCCATATTTTCTGCTCCTATGGATTATTGATTATATTTACATTATTATAGGCTCTCCAAGATTGATATTTTTGATGGTAAACCCTTTCTCTATCTTCATGTCTCACTTTTGTAGTCAAGCAACTAATATTTTTCAAGGGAAGATGAAGCATTCACCAAAATAGGTCAAATTCTGGACCATAAAGTGACAATTTGCATTCTCAGGCCACAATAAAATTAAGCAAGAAATCAATAATGCAAATACATTAGAAAATCCACACATATTTGGAATTAAACAATACAATTCTAAATAACTTATGCATGAAAAAGAAAGTCTCAAGGGAAAAATAAAATTATCTTAAGCTACATGAAAATAAAAAAATACCATATCAAAAATTTGGAACTAGAAGTAAAACAGTGCTTAGAGAGAGAAATTTACAGCATTAAATGCACATTTGGGGAAAAATTAAATTATACAGTGACATATACATATATATACACACATGCATATGTATGTGTGTACACATGATTAAATGTATACAATTGAAATCAGAACATTATTTCCACCTCAGAAAATTAAACAAGGAAGAGCAAATTAAACGTACAGCAAGCAGAGGGGGAGAAATGACAAACATTACAACAGAAAGTAATAAAATAAACAGAAAAACAATAAAGAAAATAATAAGTCCAAAATCTGGCTTTTAAAAAATATCCAGGGAATTTATCAACATCTAGCAAGACTAGGTAAGAAAAACCTTAAAAAGACAAAAACACCAATATCAGGAAGGAGGGAAAAGGCATAGCTATGATCCCCCAGTGCATTACAAACAATGCATGCCCATGAATTTGATAACTTACGTGAAATGGACCAATTCCTAATAATATAAAGACTAAAACTCACTGCAGAATGCATAGTAAATTCAGCATCCCTGAGTCTATTAAAGAATTAGAATGTGTAGTTAAAAACCTTCCAAAAATAAAATATGAAGCTCAGATAATTTCACTGATTAATGTTACCAAACTTTTAAGGAATAAATTAAAACATATGTACACACATCTTCCAAAAAACAGAACAGTAGAGAAACATACCAACTTATTCTGAGGCTAGCATTACCCTAATTTGAGAGTAGAAAAATAAATTACAAGAAAAGGAAACTACTATAGCCTTATATCTCTCACGAGCATAGATAACAAAATTCTTGATGAAATTTGATCAATATTCAATGAAATAAAAGAGGATAGAAACAAATGGAAGAACATTCCATGCTCATGGGTTGGAAGAATCAATATCGTGAAAATGGCCATACTGCCCAAGATAATTTAGAGATTCAATGCCATCCCCATCAAGCTACCAATGACTTTCTTCACAGAATTGGAAAAAACTACTTTAAAGTTCATATGGAACCAAAAAAGAGCCCGCATCACCAAGTCAATCCTAAGCCAAAAGAACAAAGCTGGAGGCATCACACTACCTGACTTCAAACTATACTACAAGGCTACAGTAACCAAAACAGCATGGTACTGGTACCAAAACAGAGGTATAGATCAATGGAACAGAACAGAGCTCTCAGAAATAACGCCACATATCTACAACTATCTGATCTTTGACAAACCTGACAAAAACAAGCAATGGGGAAAGGATTCCCTATTTAATAAATGGTGCTGGGAAAACTGGCTAGCCATATGTAGAAAGCTGAAACTGGATCCCTTCCTTACACCTTATACAAAAATTAATTCAAGATGGATTAAAGACTTAAACGTTAGACCTAAAACCATGTAAACCCTAGAAGAAAACGTAGGCATTACCATTCAGGACATAGGCATGGGCAAGGACTTCATGTCTAAAACACCAAAAGCAATGGCAACAAAAGACAAAATTGACAAATGGGATCTAATTAAACTAAAGAGCTTCTGCACAGCAAAAGAAACTACCATCAGAGTGAATAGGCAACCTATAAAATGAGAGAAAATTTTCGCAACCTACTCATCTGACAAAGGGCTAATATCCAGAGTCTACAATGAACTCAAACAAATTTACAAGAAAAAAACAAACAACCCCATCAAAAAGTGGGTGAAGGACATGAACAGACACTTCTCAAAAGAAGACATTTATGCAGCCAAAAAACACATGAAAAAATGCTCACCATCACTGGCCATCAGAGAAATGCAAATCAAAACCACAATGAGATACCATCTCATACCAGTTAGAATGGCAATCATTAAAAAGTCAGGAAACAACAGGTGCTGGAGAAGATGTGGAGAAATAGAAACACTTTTACACTGTTGGTGGGACTGTAAACTAGTTCAACCATTGTGGAAGTCAGTGTGGTGACTCGTCAGGGATCTAGAACTAGAAATACCATTTGACCCAGCCATCCCATTACTGGGTATATACCCAAAGGACTATAAATCATGCTGCTATAAAGACACATGCACACGTATGTTTATTGCAGCACTATTCACAATAGCAAAGACTTGGAACCAACCCAAATGTCCAACAATGATAGACTGGGTTAAGACAATGTGGCACATATACACCATGGAATACCATGCAGCCATAAAAAACGATGAGTTCATGTCCTTTGTAGGGACATGGATGAAATTGGAAATCATCATTCTCAGTAAATTATCACAAGGACAAAAAACCAAACACTGCATGTTCTCACCCATAGGTGGGAATTGAACAATGAGAACACATGGACACAGGAAGGGGAACATCACACTCTGGGATCTGTTGTGGGGTGGGGGGAGGGGGGAGGGATAGCATTAGGAGATATACCTAATGCTAAATGACGAGTTAATGGGTGCAGCACACCAGCATAGCACATGTATACATATGTAACTAACCTGCACATTGTGCACATGTACCCTAAAACTTAAAGTGTAGTAATAATAAAATAAAAAAAATTTTTGATCAATAATTCAAGTATAGTGATTTGTAAAAAGGATAATGCATCAAAATGAAGTTTTGTGTTGCAACATCTCTATGTGAAACTGCATACATAAATATGAATTAACCAAGGCCCTTGTCAGAGTTAGGTAGCTTTTTAATAGAAATGAAAATATGTAGAAATAATTGCAAATGAGTAAGGTGACAGTAGGAATTTAGAAGAGCAGAAAAGAGAGTGACTAATCCTGGCTTTGCAAACAGGGAATATTTCATAGATTACCTGATATTTAGATGAAACTTTAAAGAAAACTGTGTGAGTATGGGTTGGAGTGTGCGTGTGTGTGTATGTGTGTATGTGAGAGAGAGAGAGAGAGACAGAGAAATAAAGAGATTGCCTCACAGTCACAAGAAATGGTGAACAATTTGATGAGGTCGGAGCAAAGGTTGCACAGAGCCTATGCTCTAGAAAATATATCATGCACATAGTTAATTCCCTAACAGTCATAAAAGGAGAAATAACTACTTCCCCAGTTCTCAGTTATATATTTCATTTGTATTAAATGTAAAAGAATATTCATATAAACTTGAGGTAAGTAGGAAAGAATGTCCTAAGAAAAATAGGCCACCAAGAACTCATGACAAACTGTCCAAACTTTTTGTGTTGAGACACATAATTAAAAAGTTAAAAAATAAGGATAGGCTCTGAAAACCTGTTGCAATGGATAAGACACACCAATAGTTTCTATTCATAATACACAAGTATCTCCTGTTCATAAATAAGACAATAAATCCAATGGAAAGTGAAGACGGGTTATTAATAGGCAATTCCTAGGGAAGAAATACAAATATTAAAAATATTCAACCTCTATTAATTGGTGAATATGAAATTTAAAAATATATAACATGTATATACCAAGAATTGCTGTACCATTACTACTCTGCTAAGCACTTTTATCCATTATCTCATTCAAACTCTATAATATTCCATGACCTTGGAGTATTGGTCTTCCCCTTTTATAGGCAAGGAAATTGATGCTCAGAATGGTTAAATAAATTTTGCAACTTTAAAAGGAATTTGTTCTTTTTAACCTCAAAACCCAGGCCCTATGATCTGGACTTTATGATACCATCTTTATCATTAAATGAATTGTGATATCATTTTTATGCCTCTGCTTATAAAACTTTCAAGTGATTTATAATATCCAGTGTTGGTTAGGACGCACTGAAAAGAATTGATTCGTGTCTATAGGAGGGAAATGTTGAAGTATCCATCAAAATTTAGCACTTATTTGTATGTTATACCAAAACTTGTACATATGCAAATGAATGCATAAGAATGTCCTGTAGGTCTGGAGTGGACCTCCAGCAAACTGCAGCAGACCTGCAGAAGAGGGGCCTGACTGTTAGAAGAAAAACTAACAAACAGAAAGCAGCAACATCAACATCAACAAAAAAGACCCCACACAGAAACCCCATCCAAAAAACATCAGCCTCAAAGATCAAAGGTAGATAAATCCATGAAGATGAGGAAAACCCAGTGCAAAAACACTGAAAATTCCAAAAACCAGAAAGTCTCTTATCCAAATGATCGCAACTCCTCTCCAGTAAGGGCACAAAACTGGACGGAGAATGAGATTGATGAATTGAAAGAAGCAAGCTTCAGAAGGTGGGTAATAACAACCTCCTCTGAGCTAAAGGAGCATGTTCTAACCCAATGCAAGGAAGCTAAGAACCTTGACACAAGGTTACAGGAACTGCTAACTAGAACAACCAGTTTAGAGAAGAACAGGAATGACCTGATAGAGCTGAAAACCATAGCACAAGAACTTCTTGAAGCATACACAAGTATCAATAGCTGAATCAATCAAGCAGAAGACAGGATATCAGAGATTGAAGACCACCTTACTAAAATCAGGTGTGAAGACAAGATTAGAGAAAAAAGAATGAAAAGGAATGAACAAAGCCTCCAAGAAATACAAGACTATGTGTAAAGACCAAACCTACGATGGATTGGTATATCTGAAAGTGATGGGGAGAATGGAAACAAGTTGGAAAACACTCTTCAGGATATTATCCAGGAGAACTTCCCCAATCTAGCAAGACAGGCCAACATTCAAATTCAGGAAATACAGAGAACACCACTAAGATACTCCATGAGAAGAGCAACACCAAGACAAATGATTGTCAGATTCTCCAAGGTTGAAATGAAGGAAAAAATGTTAAGGGCAGCCAGAGAGAAAGGTCAGGTTACCTACAAAGGGAAGCCCATCAGACTAACAGTGGATCTCTCTGCAGAAACCCTACAAGCCAGAAAAGAGTAGGGGCCAATATTCAACATTCCTACAGACAATAATTTTCAACCCAGAATTTCGTATCCAGTCAAACTAAGCTTCATAAGTGAAGGAGAAATAAAATCCTTTACAGACAAGCAAATGCAGAGGGATTTATGTCACTACCAGGCCTGCCTTACAAAAGCTTCCAAAGGAAGAACAAATATAGAAAGACCAGTACCAGCCACCACAAAAACACACCAAAACATAAAAACCAATTAAACTATGAAGAAACTGTATCAGCTAATACACAAAATAATCAGCTAGCATCATGATGACAGGATCAAATTTACACATAACAATATTAACCTTAAATGTAAATGGGCTAAATGCCCCAATTAAAAGACACACAATGGCAAATTGGAGTCAAGACCCATCAGTGTGCTGTATTCAGGAGACCCACCTCATGTGCAAAGACACACATAGGCTCAAAATAAAGGGATGGAGGAAAATTTATCAAGCAAATGGAAAGCAAAAAAAAGCAGGGATTGCAATCCTAGTCTCTGATAAAACAGACTTTAAACCAACAAAAATCAAAAAAGACAAAGAAAGGCATTACATAATGATAAAGGTATCAATGCAACAAGAAGAGCTAACTATCCCAACTATATATGCACCCAATACAGGAGCACCCAGATTCATCAAACTTTCTTAGAGACCTACAAAGAGACTGAGACTCACACACAATAATAGTGGGAGACTTTAACACCCCACTGCCAATTTTAGACAGATCAATGAGACAGAAAACTAACAAAGATATTCAGAACTTGAACTCAGCTCTGGAGACATCTACAGAACTCTCTACCCCAAAACAACAGAATATACATTTTTCTCAGGGCCACGTAGCACTTATTCTAAAATCAACCACATAATTAGAAGTAAAACACTCCTCAGCAAATGTAAAAGAACAGAAATCATAATAAACAGTCTCTCAGACCACAGTGAGTGCAATCAAATTAGAACTCAAGATTAAGAAACTAACTAAAAACCGCACAACTACATGGGAATTGAAAAATCTGCTCCTGAATGACTACTGGGTAAATAACAAAATTAAGGCAGAAATAAATCAACACGTTCTTTGAAACCAATGAGAACAAACAGAAAACGTACCAGAATCTCTGGGACACAGCTAAAGTAGTGTTAAGAGGGAAATTTATAGCACTAAATGCCCACATCAGAAAGCTGAAAATATCTGAAATTGATACTGTAAAATCGCAATTAAAAGAACTAGAGAGGCAAGAGCAAACAAATTAAAAAGCTAGCAGAAGACAAGAAATAATTAAGATCAGAGCAGAACTGAAGAAGACAGAGACATGAAAAACCCTTAAAAGAACCCAATGATTCCAGAAGCTGATTCTTTGAAAAGATTAACAAAATAGATAGACTTCAGCTAGACTAATAAAGAAGAAAAGAGAGAATCAAATAAACCCACTTAAAAAATCATAAAGGGGATATCACCCCGATAGCACAGAAATACAAACTACCATCAGAGAATACTATAAACACCTCTATGCAAATAAACTAGAAAATCTAGAAGGAATGGATAAATTCCTGGACAAATACACCCTCCCAAGACTAAACCAGGAATAAATTGAATCCCTGAATAGACCAATAACAAGTTCTAAAATTGAGGCAATAATTAATAGCCTACCAATCAAAAAAAAGCCCAGGACCAGATAGATTCACAGCCGAATTTTGCCAGAGGTATGAAAAGGAGCTGGTACCATTCCTTCCAAAACTATTCCAAACAATAGAAAAAGAGGGACTCCTCCCTAACTCATTTTATGAGACCGGCATCATCCTGATACCAAAACCTGGCAGAGACACAACAAAAAGAGAAAAATTCAGGTCAATATCCCTGATGAACATCGATGTGAAAATCCTCAATAAAATACTGGCAAACTGAATCCAGCAGCACATCAAAAAGCTTATCCACCACAATCAAGTTGGCTTCATCCCTGGGATGCAAGGTTGGTTCAACATATGCAAATCAATAAACATAATCCATCACATAAACAGAACCAATGACAAAAACCACATGATTATCTCAATAGATGCAGAAAAGGCCCTCGATAAAGTTCAACACCTCTTCATGCTAAAAACTCTCAATAAACTAGGTATTGATGGAACATATCTCAAAATAAGAAGAGCTATTTATGACAAACCCATAGCCAATATCATACTGAATGGGCAAAAGCTGGAAGCATTCCCTTATAAAACTGGCACAAGACAAGGATGCCCTCTGTCACCACTCTTATTCAGCATGTAAGTTCTGCCCAGGGCAATCAGGCAAGAGAAAGACATAAAGTGTAACCAAATAGGAAAAGAAGAAGTCAAATTGTCTCTGTTTGCAGATGACATGAATGTATATTTAGAAAACCTCATCATCTCAGCCCCAAAACTCCTTAAGCTAATAAGCATCTTCAGCAAAGTCTCAGGATACAAAAGCAATGCAAAAATCACAAGGATTCCTGTACAGCAACAATAGACAAGCAGAGAGCCAAATCATGAAGACACTCCCATTCACAATTGCTACAAAGAGAATAAAACACCTAGGAATACAACTTACAGGGGATGTGAAGGGCCTCTTCAAGGAGAACTACAAACCACTGCTCAAGGAAACCAGAGAGGACACAAACAAATGGAAAAAAGTTCCATGCTCATGGATAGGCAGAATCAATATAGTGAAAATGGCCATACTGTCCAAAGTAATTTATAGATTCAACGCTATCCCCATCAAACTACTATTGACTTTCATTGCACAATTAGAAAATACTACTTTAAATTTTATAAGGAACCAAAAAAGAGCCCACATAGCCAAGATAATCCTAAGCAAAAAGAACAAAGCTGGAGGCCTCATACTACCTGACTTCAAACTATACTACAAGGCTACAGTAACCAAAACAGCATGGTACTGGTACCAAAACAGATTTATAGACCCATGGAGCACAACAGAGACCTCAGAAATAACACCACACATCTACAACAATCTGATCTTTGACAAAGATGACAAAAACAAGCAATGGGAAAAGGATTCTCTATTTAATAAATGGTGCTGGGAAAACTGGCTAGCCATATGTGGAATAAGACTTAAATGTAAACCCAAAATCATAAAAACCCTAGAAGAAAACCTGGGCAATACCATTCAGGAAAGACTTCATGACTAAAACACCAAAAGCAATTGCAACAAAAGCCAACATTGATAAATGGGATCTAACAATCTAAAAAGCCTCTGACCAGCAAAAGAAACTATCTGAGTGAACCTAGGCAACATAAAGGATGGAAGAAAATTTTTTCCATCTACCCATCTGACAAAGGTCTAACATCCAGAATCTATAGGGAACTTAAACAAATTTACAAGAAAAAAACAACCCCATCAAAAAGTGGGCAAAGGATATAAACAGACATTTCTCAAAAGAAGACATTCATGCATCCAGGAAATATATGAAAAAATGCTCACCATCACTGGTCATTAGAGAAATGAAAATCAAAACTGCAATGAGATACCATCTCATGCCAGTTAGAATGGTAATTATTAAAAAGTCAGCAGACAACAGATGCTGGCAAGGGTTTGGAGAAATAGGAACACTTTTACACTGTTGGTGGGAGTGTAAATTAGTTCAACCATTGTGGAAGACAGTGTGGGGATTCCTCAAGGATCTAGAACCAGAAACACCATTTGACCCAGCAATCCCATTACTGAGTATATACCCAAAGGATTATGAATCATTTTACTATAAAGACACATGCACACGTATGTTTATTGCAGCCCTATTTACAATAGCAAAGACTTGGAACCAACCCAAAAGCCCATCAATGACAGACTGGATAAAGAAAATGTGGCACATATACACCATGGAATACTATGCAGCCATAAAAAAGGATGAGTTCATGTCCTTTGCAGGAACATGGATGAAGCTGGAAGCCATCATTCTCAGCAAACTAACCCAGAAACAGAAAACCAAACACTTCATGTTCTCACTCATAAGTGGGAGCTGAACAATGAGAACACATGGACAAAGGGAGGGGAACATCACACACCAGAGCTGGGTCTGTCAGGGGGTGGTGGGAAAGGGGAGGGAGAGCATTAGGACAGATACCTAATGCATGCAGGACTTAAAACATAGATGATGGGTCAACAGGTGCAGCAAACCACCATGAAACATGTATACTTAAGTAACAAACCTGCACATCCTGCACACGTATCCCAGGAAATAAAGAATGTCCTGTGGCATTGTAACTAATGAAAATAGTAACAATAAAATTCCCTAAATTTTAATCAATAATATTATTCAATTACATACAAGTATTTCTCTGGTATTCTATGCAATTGATACAAAAGGATGACTCTGTTTAGATAACTTGAGAAGGAATGACATTCATTATTTCTGGTTAA
Source organism: Homo sapiens (assembly GCF_000001405.40). Taxonomy (NCBI): domain Eukaryota; kingdom Metazoa; phylum Chordata; class Mammalia; order Primates; family Hominidae; genus Homo; species Homo sapiens. The sequence continues at coordinate 55,309,348 of NC_000012.12, forward strand.
CTAAAAAAAAGAAAAAAATACACAGTATCTTCTGTAATAAAAATTGCATAACTGTACAAAAAAGACCTCTTCTCCCTGAATGTGTTACTGTGACTGTTTATTGATGAATATACAGAACAATACCTGGTAGAACATATTATAAATGTTTAATACTGGCTTATTTTAAAACTGGTTTATTTGAAAATGAAGGTTTGGTTGGAAACATAAGGACCATTCCATGTATCATGATATACTCTTGTGACACTTGATTCTCATAATCTTAATCATAAATTAGTTTTAAAATTAAAAATGAAATGCTGAAGTTTTAAATATTTTTATGATTTTTTATAATATTAGAATGCTTTATTTAGTCATTCATTCTGCTCAATGCATATAGAGATGTGTGAATGAATAAAGCATTGTTGGTACTACCCTCAAAGAGTGATCCACTGTTGAGTAGTTCAGCTCTGGAATTAACCAGCCCCGAAAGGAATGGAGAATAAATTATCTCCTGAGTGTAGACTCTGAGTGCCATGTGCGTATTAGGAAAATTAAGCATAGCCAAAAGGAAGGCAGTTTCATTGTATAAGCTGATTGGTACATCTTTATCTTGTTACATTGCTTGGCTTTCCAGAATGGTATGTGATGACTCATTACTTCTCTTGAATGTATCTCTCCATGCATCCTTCCTTTCTTCACTCTAGTCTCTCAGGGATCTATACGGTGACCAGAGAAGGTAAAATTGTGATATCTTTGTTTACTATTCAATCTTTATCTTATTCAGAGACCTTTGAATGGTTTTATCTTCCAATTTCTTAAATAAATATTCCCTGAAAATTTACTTAAAGTCTCAGAATTACAATAGTAGCTTCTTGGAGTTCAGGCCAGAGCAACATGTACATTTGTATGCAAAGCTAAAAGATAAATTTATTTTTACTAATAACAGAGGCTGCTAAAAATCTTACATGTAATTCAGCCTATATTTTCTCAGTGTGAGGGATTTTTATGTAATGGAGACAAGGGTAAACTAAACGACAAAAAAGTCTCCTGAAATGTATTATAAATGCATTATATTTCATATTTTAAATAAAACAAGAAAAATCTATAATTATGTTTATGACTACATAATTAGACCTACCAAAAAGTATTTTTCTTATTTGTCAATAAATAGACAAATTTTTATCTTTTTTATCCAAAAGTTAATTTTGTTGGAATAAATACCAGGGATTCCCAAATTATCACTTTAACATCTTTACTACTATTAATTTTACATTTAATATGTTTCAGCATTGTTCAAGTCACAGTAACAATCTCTGTCTTTTGATCTGCCAGTTTTGATGATATGCTAATGACCAAGTGTGTATTTTCTTGAAAGAAAAGAATGCTAATTGACAGAAGAATAAAACAAAAAGTAGGAAAAAATGTACAGTAACAGCTTTGATACTTATCATCTCCTGAGTGGCTCAGTTCGTGCTACAGAAAGAAGGTAATACAACAAATATTCAGAACTCATATCACAGACAGAATGCCATTTGCTAAGGATAAGGAGAGAACAAGACAGATAAAGGTCATGTAGATCACATTTTAGAGATTTGTGGTTTCTATAAAGAAAATCCTACGTAAAATTTATTCAATTATTTAGTCTTCAAAAAAGGAGACCATGTGATTTTATGGCATCAGAAAAACTCCCTTGTGAGTTGCTTCTTGTCATCAGGCAAGTTTAAGATTAAAAAGATTAAGTTAATATAGTTTTTTTTAAAGTCAATTTTTATTTTAAATAACAAACATGAAAATTATATACATGGATCATCAGTATGTTGTAGAATGATATTATTGAACTCCATCTATGTGACAATCAATTTCTCTGGCTTGTGTTTTCTTTCCCATAAGTTAAAAACTTTCGTTTGCAACCACAGCAACTCTAGTCTTATATTTCTGTGACTGCAAACACATTTATTTTTGTTGATCATATTTAAAAGAATATAAGTTAAGGATAAAAATAATCATAGCTACTATTAAGCTCAGAAATTGTGATTAGGTAATAAATTTATACCAGTAAAATTTATGTTTGTAAATAACATTGGAATTCAAACTAAAAATCAGATATTTCAGTCCTAAAAACACTGGAAACTGAAAAACCATATGTAAAAATAAAAATGACATATATAATTTTAAAATATTGCTGTAGAGATCTGTAATTCAAAGATATATTGCACATGTAGAAGATTTTATTAGATGAAGAGGTTTTATATAAAGTCACCAATAAGAAGACTTTTCATATATGTGAATACGTGTTTTCATTTTAATAGAGGCTATGTAGAATTTTTCTGCTTTAATAGGAATAAGTGGATATTACAAAAATTACTACAAGGAAAGACATCCATTGCTTCATGTCACTGAAGCCAGTTATTACAAATATTTAAATTTTAATTCCTTTACATTTCACTTATTCTTTTTGTGTGTTTTATTTTTCGCCAGCGGATCTTCTTGAAAGAAAAAAATCTCAGCATGAGAAACCACACAACGATTACAGAGTTTGTACTCTTGGGCATATCAGACAGCCCAGAGCTTCAGATTGTAATTTTTATCTTTTTATTTATAACTTATGTATTAAGCATAACTGACAATTTAACCATCATCATCCTTACCTTGACAGACTCTAGTCTAAAGACTCCTATGTATTACTTCCTCCGGAATTTCTCCTTTTCAGAAATTACATTCACCAGTGTTTCCATCCCCAAATTTTTGGGGGCAATTATTACTAAGGTCAAGACCATTTCCTATAACAACTGTTTAGCTCAATTATTTTTCTTCATCTTCATGGGTGCGTCTGAATTTTTTCTTCTAGCTGCAATGTCTTATGATCGTTATGTGGCCATCTGCAAGCCTCTCCACTACACCACCATCATGAACAAGAAAATTTGCACCCTGCTTGTCTTTAAGTTCATGGCTGGGAGGATTTCTGACCATTTTTCCACCACTCACGCTTATCCTCAAATTAGATTTTTGTGCTTCCAATGTCATTGATCACTTCTCCTGTGAGTATTTCCCCATTTTACAACTCTCATGCTCAGACATATGGCTTTTAGAGATTATTGGTTTTTACTTTGCCTTTGTTACTCTGCTGATCACCTTGGCATTAGTAATTCTGTCCTACGTATGCATCATTTGCACTATTCTGAGAATCCCATGTGCCAGTCAGAGGAACTTACTCCTCTCATATGATCGTCATCTCCATCTCTTATGGAAGCTGCATATTCATGTATGTCAAGCCTTCAGCAAAAGAAAGAGCATCATTGACCAAAGGAGTAGCTATTCTGAACACTTCAATTGCCCCCATGCTGAACCCTTCTATTTACACCCTGAGAAACCAGCAAGTAAAACAAGCTTTTAAAGATTTGGCTCACAAAGTAGTGTTTTATAGAAACAAATGAAAAGTATGTACTAACATGAATGAATGTCATCGTAAAGATTCAATAAAGGAAAAGTGAAGTTTTAACTTGTCCACTATCCTCCTATACCCATCTCAAAGCTACCAGAAATGCTGAGTTCATTTGCTTCAGTTTTCTTTTTAACTTGAAAGTGACTGTGTTGTGCCTTCCTTTAAAACTATCTGTAGGTTCCACGTAACCATTGATTTCCAATTTTGGTTAAAAAACCAGTGGCTATAAACATAAATCACCTTGTTGATTATTCTGAACAATACAAATGGTTCATACCATGGTTACTTAAAGAAGTAAACACTCTTTTAATCAACTTACTCTTAAAATTTCTCTTCTTGGTTACTCACATAACAATTTTTTCAAATGTTCTATATATATGATATATGAAATAAATTACTATCTGCAACAAACCTTTTTTGCATGCAGTATCCGTCCAATTCTTCCTACTCATCTGATGGACTTGGGTATTTATTTTCCTACTCACAAGTAATTTGAAGTTCAAAATATACTCTATTTTCTAGTTATGCTGAAGGTACACACTATGTCTAATTTATATGTTCTCCTTATTCATCATGTCTTTGTTTTTGAAAATGTATAAAAAGATAAATATTTAGGCAGCCATCATTGCTCTTAGGCACCCTGAGAGTCTGATATAAACTTCCTAAATAATAATAGCTCCTCTATAGAGAGTACTTACTCTGTTCCATATGCTGGGGTAGGTATGTTCTATCTCATATCTCATTTAATCTTTATAGCTACATGCAAAATAGACGTGGTTATCTGCTTTGTATAAATGTGTACATTGATACTCAGAAAAGTTGTGTAATTTGCCTAAGGTAACTGAGTTATAGTACACAATATAATAGTATATTTTAAAAAACAAACCAAAAAACTAGTCTTTGCTCTATTTTTACACATAGTGGAAACTCTGCAAGGACTTGCAAATTTTGCATAGCTTTTACTAAGAATCTGCACAATTTTATTGTCTTGTTCAGTTACATTATCTCATTTGGGCATGATTATACTATTATAGTCTAGACAGACACTAACTCCTAAAAATATATTTGGTATATAAATTGTAACATTAATCAATCAAAACAAGAAACTCTTCAACTGCCATTGCTGGTGAGCAATACAGTGAGCAGAGAAAAGTGTGAGCAGTATTACAGTAGTAAAAGTTACTAGAAGGCAGATTAAAAATAATGGGGTAGTAGTTTCCCAGTTTTACAAATGGCATGGAGTATTGAGTAGAGAGATCTGCACTAAGAATGAAGATATTTGATTGCTATCTCTGTATGCCATATAATGTCAAGGGAAAAAAATCTTCACACTTAGTATTGTTTTTGTTTGTTGTTATTTTCTTTTCTGTCTCATTGGACACTGTGCCCCAAGCTTCCTTTTCCAATTTAAATAGTAATGTGTATTATGTTTTATATTCCCTAGTGTTTTGTGTACATTTCTCTTCTGGCAATTTTGATTCACTGAATTAGTCCCCTTGAGCCAGTGGCAGACAGACTAGATGAAACATTACGTACCTCGTGGCATCTAGTATCTATGTAGAAACCATGCCAGACAGTTCTAAAACACTTTCAGATACTTTCCCTATTTTATATTTTTGCTCCTTTCTCACTCTCTACTATCAAAGACACATATTCTGTCTGGATAAAATGGGAAAATTAAGACAAAAGATTGAAAATAGGAAGAAAATTTCTTCAATGAGAAAGTGAATGTTTTCAGAAATCCTGGTTTTACTGGATAGCAATGGCATTTGCTAATATCTCTACTATTCCAGCCATTCTGAATGTTAGTGAAACTATATGAAAATCAGAGGTAAGTAAAACCTGTGGAAGGCAATGGAAGTCTCTCAAATCATAGCATTGAATCATTACTTAACAGCTCAACTTTTAATCAAAGTAAATAGGTATTATACTTTGAAACTTCACATAATAAAATGTATAAAAAGGATTAGCATGTCCTATTATACCAGTTTATTCATTCTCTAATAATTAAAAGCAGGAAATCACTATCTCTGTCTCTGTGTTTTTAATCAAATATAGCTATATAGTACTGTGCTTAAGAGAAGAGGCTAAGTCGTCTGAATTATACTTAATGTTTGCCTAGCTATATGAATTAAGTTATATAATTTCTCTGAGCCTCAGCTCTTCTTTTCAGAATAAGGATAAAATCTTCAGTTATGTTATAAAGTCTAAATGAGATAAAGAAAAAAAGTCCCTAGTTCAGAATAGATACTGCCTTTAATAAATCACAACTACAATGAATATTTTCCCAAATTAATTTCCAATAAAGGAAAAATAAATAATAAACTATTCCTAGAACCTACTAAATGCTGCATGATTTATGGAACACTTATTTATAGTATTTCAATTAATTCCCAAAAACATCCTTGAAATTTCAACTCTGTTTTAAACAGAGAAAACTGAAATTTAAAGACATTAAGTAACTCACCCAAAGTCACAAATCCATTAAATGTCTCATTCATATCTCTCTAACGTTAAAGCCTATATACTTTCTGTGATAATAAATTGGCCTTATAGGTCATAAATAAGAAATTAACAGTGTGTTAATACCACAGTTTTCTGTTAATTTATGTCCTTTTCCTATCTTGTTAAAATTATAAATGGCTAGTTAATGAACTGAAGGAATGAGGTTATGAGTGTTTATTTTCCAGAAACCTTTACAGAAATGAGTGTTACTATTTATGAAATTAAGTGTGATTTGGTGACACCTCTTTTCCCTTGATTTGTTTCTATACACACTTGTATGAAGGTTGAGAATTAAACCTGCCCATCATTATCGAAAGGAAGAAATATAAATTATTCCTATTTCTCCGGGGAAATAGTCATCTAAAATTGTTATAAAAACAGTAAAAAACAAATTTAATAAAATAATTATTTCAAGCACTCAATGAATTTTCCTGAAGAGCCACTGTTTCATTCAGGCCTACAGAATTTCTCAAAGTAACCCTTGTGTCATGGCCCACAGCCTAGAATAACCGAGCAGTACCAAAGTGTATTTCAGCATAATTATAAAACTGAGCTATATATTGCCCACAACATTGAGCTAAATAATTTTCTTTTTCATTAGTGTATTAACCTAAGCTCTAAAGTTGAAAAAAAACACAGAGTTATATGAGCAATATAGTTTTTGAAGATACGCTCTGCAAAATTTTTTCAGTGATCTCTATTAAGGTGAAGAAGAAAGAACTGAGTAAACACAGAAAAATTTAAAAACTAGATTTTCAAAGTATTTGCATTACTAAGGGAGGGCTCAACTCAGTGTAATTTAATACCTTATTAAAAAGTACATACACACACACACACACACACACACACACACACACCCCCCGAGAGAATAATAAAATAGAGCCAGTCAGTCCCTTATCTCAGTCTCTTAAAAGCACATACCTAGATTCTTCAAACTGATTTAGTCTCTAACAGTCCCTTTCTTACCAGGCACATCAAATAACTGCCAATATTTAACCTAATTTATTTAAGGGGTCATCGTTAATATTTACCTGATGGCAGAGCAAGATATAGGGTTGTTTCTAGAAAGCTCTGAAGATGCTTTGTAACCATTTTATTTAGTAAATATTAAATATCACCCTTAATTTTCATTTTAAATGGCTCAAATAATTTGTTGCAGGAATCTTTAGAAAACAAGTAAGTAATTTTGTTGAAATGGTGGAAGGAAATGAAAACAACCTAAGCCATATTCTTCCAGGAGAAAATATGGATTTGCATTCAGATATAAAAATCCAAGATAACTAATTAAATGCTTGGACCTATTCCTCATTATCTATATGAATACGTCCTGAGATCTTTTAATTCTCTAGGAATTCATTGCAACTTGTTAAACATTGAGGTTCAATCCTCTCAAAGGACTATGGATGCTGATAATTTTTATCAAGCTTATTTTATATTGGCAACTGAATACAATTCATTAAACTTTCATAAACATTTCTACATAAAAGCATGATATACCACACCCAGTTCTTGTTATTGGATCACATGCTACTAGAGTTCCTTTAAGCCTGTTTCCCTAGTCTTTGAAGACCAGCTATGGAAGTGTCTATTTTTTTTGTGAAGTCTCTCATGAACCCTTCAAATAACAACTTATATCTTCCCTCACAGCTTTTCCTATGTTCCCTCACAGCTTTCATCTGAAGCAAAAGAATGAGTCATGGTATTATTACTGAGTAAAGTGTTAAAAAAAATTAGCAGGGAATTTAAGAGGAAAACAGATTTACAAAAAAAGTTGAAATAAGGTGAATAATACAGTGCATTGATACATTATTCACTATAGACCAGTAATAATATAATATATATTTTTTAAAAACTTGAGTCTCTCATGTCAGTAAATTGTTGAATAAAATTGAATCTTCAGATTGAATCCAAATCTTGTATATTTGGTATGAATGTATTTTGTGACTTCACAGTGTTATGAAAAGCTCATGCTTTTAATGAAAAATAAACCCTGATGAAATAAGGATGATGTTGCTGGAGCTGGAGTAAAGTGAAATGAAAGGATGAATTGTAAAAAAATTTAAACCCAGTAATTCAGAAATAATGTTTCATGAAGTTTTCTTTAAACTTATGTATCAATAAAATGTGGTTCCCTTTTCATATCTTTTGTTTTAAATTTAGCCAATACGGTGAACTTGATCCAAATATGTAAACACAGCTCACAAGGTAAGACATGTAAGAAAATACATCTTGTAAAACAAAGATAAAAAACTAAGTAAGATCCAGGCTAGAATATCAGCATAAAATAGCAAACTGCACTGATGGCAGTGTGTGATTCAATAACAAACTCAACTTTAATTAATTAATTAATTAACTAGATGAGTGTTTCCTTTAAGCCTACCACAACCATACTAAATACTGGATTATGTTGAAATAGCTTTGAAGATAAAATCCTGTTCTAACTCTCAAGAATGCACAGAGTAACAGAGGAGTTAACAGGAGATTTCAGCCTGTTGTAAGTGTGATGAGTTGGGAAGAATGAGCATAATATTCTCATGCAATGTACACAATGGGTATTAAACCTAGTGTTGTAGAAATAAGAACAAAGGTAATTTGGGATGTCATTACAATGTATTACCCACAATGTATTACCCACAATGCTAATATATATATATATATTATATATATATGTATATATATACACACACACACACACATATATACACATATATATACATACACATATATACACACACATAAATACACACACATATATACACACACATAAATACATATGCACACTCACATATGTATATATAATATATATGCACATATAATTTACTGTAAGCTTCAACCACTTTTAGAAGGGTTATTACTAATGAAGAGCAGAGAAAATAACTGGCTGTGAGTAGCAATGTTGACAAGCTATGAACATCACAGTGATCAAATCCTGGTTGAAGATAAGTGGAGTGTGTGTGTGTGTGTGTGTGTGTGTGTGTGTGTGTGTGTGTGGTGGTGGTGGTTATGAGGTGAAAGAGGCAGCTATACCATGGTGGGAGAGGTCAGCACCATGTAGACAAGGAAGAGCAAAGATTTACTTGCCTAGAATATCTGACAGGTACTATGAAACCTGGTGACTTTTTTCCTATTGCTTTGTTGTTATTGTTCTCATGTGACTCTCTTGGTGCCAAATATAATTATTACTATTTATTTAAGTCATAAACTTTTGGACAGGACACCATCCCATTTCCAGAGATTTTCAGCTCAATGGTTAGGAAATACTTTCTCCATAGAACAAAGCCTCATACAGCTTTCGCTAAATGCTAAGCATTTTTCTAAATGCTTTATAAATATATATTATACAATATATAATAAATTTATTTATATAAAAATATAAATATAAATTATACAAATACACATATTTATAAAGAATTTAGAAAAGTTATAAGTAAGCTAATATATATTAAGTTATATGAAAGTTATTAAGTTAAATATATTAACTTAATGCTCACAAAAACTATGAGACAGACTTGTATACAGTGGAAGAAACTATAGGTGAGGATACTGAGACACAGAAGTGTTAAGTGATTTTCAGACGTAGTAAATGGGTTGGATTCAAAACTAGATAACCTCACTCTTTTCTATGGAAATGTTTATGACAATATCATCTGAACTTTATTTTTAAAAAGAAAGAATTAAAAATTGCTATTTCAAAGTATGAATACACAATTAAGCAAATCTTGGAGAATACTTATCTATCATCTCTTTAACTGAGGGCATCCTTCTCAAATTAATAATATTTTATTATTTACTTATTTATTTCAATTATAAAGCAAAATGGTTTCTACAGGAATAAAAGTTATAAAATGACACATAGGTAGGCTGAAATATCATGAAATATCATGAAATATTGATTCACATGCAATAAACTTCAGTTTTGGGCTCTTCCAGCTTACATTATTCTATACTTCTTCCTCTTCTGTATTCCAAACATCTGAAGTTGTTCATGGTAATGGCTTAAGTATTTCTGATTTTCAATAAAGTGGACGTAGGAGTTGGAAAATCTGAATATTCACAAAAGTTGATCGATGGCATTAAGGTTAAATAAAATACAGAGACAAATCTCTAAAATTTAAAACATCTTAGGTGGTAACCAAAAACTTCAATTCAAGGAATACACACAGACCAGGTGGTTTTTCAGTATGTCCAAAGAACGAAGAGAAGGTTAGAATCTGCATAAAAAAGAGAAATGTTATTTATTGCTCTTCAAGAAAGTTCATTGACACTGGAAAGGTTTAGGGGAGCTGCCAAGTTTTGATTGGTAAGTTAAGGCAATGAGTAAAACTACCCATAGGATACCCATAGGATCACAGCAGGTGATTTCAGCAGCTATTAGATAACACAGATTTCAGGTTACAGCAGGCAGTTTCAGCAGTCAGGCTTACACAGAATTACATTCTTAGAGCAATGCCATGTGCCCTGTGTGCTTTTTCCCACCTGGCATCTTGACCCTGTGTTGGTTGGGTATGACAAAAATGACCCAACCCAATCCATACAATCAACTTTCACAATGGCTAAGGACAAAGCACTCACTTTTTAAAAACTGGGCCAGTTGCAGTGGCTCATGCCTGTAATCCCAGCACTTTGGGAGGCCAAGGGGCGTGGATCACTGGAGGTCAGGAGTTCGAGACCAGCCTGACCAGCATGGCGAAACCCCATCTCTACTAAAAATACAAAAATTATCCAGGCGTGGTGGCACGTGCCTGTAATCCCAGCTACTCAGGAGACTGAGGCAGGAGAATCGCTTGAACCCAGGAGGCAGAGGTTGCAGTGAGCCAAGATTGCACCAGTGCACTCCAGCCTGGGTGACAGAGTGAGACTCCACCTCAAAAAAAAACAACCTCAAGTATCTTCTCCATATTGAGAATCATCAGAGTAATCAAACTTTTACATAAATAGGAAACTTGTATAGGGATTTGTGCAAGAATACGAAGGTGGTTCTGATTAGGGAGGAAACTTGTAGGCATGTCTTTGAAAGATAACAGGTATTATGTGGAGTCAGGAAAGTCTGGTTTCAAATTCCTGCCCTACCACTTCCAACTGTGATAACAAACTTTAATTTTTAACCTGTCTTATGTGAAGAGTTTTCACCTGTAAAACAGTGGAAATTAAAGGACCACTGTTATTATCGGGTGGCGTTAAATTTCCCCTTGAAGTAGAAATGGCATACTATGTCAACCAAACTCCAGCTCCGTACTTGGATATTTGTTAATTGATAACTCTTCAAGTTTGTTCTTTGTACTTTCTCTTGTAGGTCTGGCAGGGGAAAAAAGAAAGCAACTGAAGAATGAGAAACCATACAGAAATAACAGAGTTTATTCTTCTGGGATTAACAGATGACCCAAATTTTCAGGTTGTAATCTTTGTCTTCCTGCTCATCACCTACATGCTCAGCATCACTGGGAACCTGACCCTTATCACAATTACCCTGCTGGATTCCCACCTGCAGACCCCCATGTATTTCTTCCTCAGAAATTTCTCCATATTAGAAATTTCGTTCACAACCGTCAGTATACCCAAGTTTCTGGGTAACATTATTTCAGGAGATAAAACCATTTCCTTTAATAATTGCATAGTTCAGTTATTTTTCTTCATTCTCTTGGGAGTCACAGAGTTTTACCTTCTGGCTGCCATGTCCTATGACCGCTATGTGGCCATCTGCAAGCCTCTGCATTGCTTGAGTATCATGAATCGAAGAGTCTGCACACTGCTTGTTTTTACTTCTTGGCTGGTTTCATTCTTAATCATATTCCCAGCACTCATGTTGCTTTTAAAGCTTCATTACTGTAGGTCTAATATTATTGACCATTTTACCTGTGATTATTTTCCACTGCTGCAACTTGCTTGTTCAGACACAAAATTCTTAGAGGTGATGGGATTTTCTTGTGCTGCGTTTACTCTAATGTTCACTTTGGCATTAATATTTCTGTCCTACATATACATTATCAGAACAATTTTGAGAATTCCTTCTACTAGTCAGAGGACAAAGGCCTTTTCCACATGTTCTTCCCACATGGTTGTTGTCTCCATCTCTTATGGCAGCTGCATTTTTATGTACATTAAACCCTCAGCAAAAGATAGAGTGTCCTTGAGCAAGGGAGTGGCAATACTAAACACCTCAGTAGCCCCCATGATGAACCCCTTTATTTACAGCCTAAGAAATCAGCAAGTCAAGCAAGCTTTCATTAACATGGCAAGGAAGACTGTATTTTTCACAAGCACATGAAATGGTATGGTGTGATGAATTAGAGGCACAGGAAAGGACAATATGAATTTTCAGTAGCTTCTTCAATCAAAATGGCCTCCTTGCAGTCTTCTGCATCATTTTCTTTTCCCTAAAAGTTTGCAAGCATATTTATTTAATATATTTCTCATTTGACTTAAAATAATTTTCTTGTGTCTTCCTGACACCCCCTCCTTTGAACAATTTTTTGTAAAATTACAAGCTCTTCAAGAATATTTTGAAAACTAAAATTATTCTTCAGTTTACTTCAAGAAATAAAATTATACCTAGATACATTGGAATGGCTTTATAAATATCAATATGATATTCTACTTGTTATACACAGAACATATAGTTTTATAATTTTAATTTATTCTTATAGAAATTCCCTTCACTATGCTACTGATGTTCTAGGAAATATGTGAAAGATACAATATAATTTTTAAAAAATGTAAGTGAATTCATTTGAAAAGCAAAAAAAAATTTCATTACTCATTTTAATTAGGTATGTTGGTGAAATTAATCTATTAATAAAGGAGCCTAGACCATTATCAATATATACTTTTTTGTTATAAGTGCTAAGTAGAGCTCCATATTTGTGAATCCCATAATATTCTCTCTGTAGAATGACAGATGATGGATAGACACATATGCAAATACATACATAAGTTTTGTCAAACATAGAGAATATATAGTATATTCCTAAGATATGTTAATTTTCTGTGAGTGGAAAATAAGCTTCTTTCTATCATTACCTAAAAGTAGTATGTAAATCTTCTTAAATTTTAGACTAGTTTAAAACAGGATATGTATCCAAATTATTTTATACCTGAACAAAATTATTTAAAGTTTAGTTTTATAGAAAATAAAAGCTTCAGAAAAAAGCAAAAGTTTTTTAGTATATCTAAAATTATGATTTTTATCTGTTAAAATTTTGCTTCCTTGTACTTAACATATTAATAAATGTCTAAAATATGCAAGCAAGATGAGTGTGTGTGTGTGTCTGCGCCCATGGTTTCAAAAGCTGAAATAAGAATTAATGATACTAAAAAGTACTATAAATTTTATAGACCACATTTTTAAGTAATAGAAAAATTATCATTCTAATCAGTGATACAAAATTCCTTAAGATTTTTGTGCAATATATTCAACTGGGAGACTAAGAACAAGGTTTGCTGAGAAAAAAAGTCAAAGAAAACTGAAATGAATTCAAAATGTTAAACAGAAGATAGAAATGGTTTCTTAATTTTATTACTTCCTATTAGAAATAACATTTTCATGTTAAACAAGAAAAATGATTGAAAGTCTGTGGTTTCTATGCCCTCTGAGCACATATTTTCTCATGTGTAAACCAGGCATAACATCTTAAGTAAGTTACTATAAGAATGGAAATCAATCTGTAAAGCATGTAACATAATGAGCTAACAATACATAGTAACGACTATTTCTATTGTTATTTTTACATATAGTACATCTACAATTATGTTCAGATTTACATTTTAAAAAATTTTATTTCTTTAGGATTTCAGGTCAATAATAGCTGACAGCTGACAGATGCATTTATAAAAATTAAAACTAAATGACATTATCATCAATGTTTGAAAAGATGTATAAACTAAATTCAGTAACAGATGAGGAGGAGAAAATTTTAATCAGAGTTATCTATGGAAACCTGATAAAGATGATTGTATGATTATAAAATATTGAGAAATTCATTATGCTGTAACATGATTGATATGAAAAATAATTACAGAATTTTGGAATTTTTAAATGAGAGAGGTGAGAGAGTCCTTGGAATATTGACATTGGTGCATATTAGATTGTTACTGAGAAACAGGATATGTACATGTACTTAGCCAGAAACAAATTATAGAATTGCTTGAAGACCAGTCTGAAATATTTGTATTCTTTATGGTAATTGATTTAGAATTATTTTAGACTTGTTAGAAAGTAATCAATATGATTACCAGGAATAAGTGCTTAGATTCTAAAGAATAATAACTCAACCATTGTGTTCTTTATATGCAGATAGGTGATCCCACATTTGCAACACATAATCACATCATTAGATTCTTATTGCTATAAACTTCACTTGTCCATAATAGAGAGATTAGCATTCATTTGTCAGGCACTTTTTGAAGAGAGAGATAAAAAAAAACATAACTCATGCAACTAGAGTTCATTCACAGTATTATACAAGAAATCTAAAAGATAACTATCATAGAGGGCCTGGATGATAATGCAGCCAGACTTCCATCAGAGACACCATTAAAATACCCACAAAAAGAAGTCTTTTTAGGCCAGGTGCAGTGGCTCATGCCTGTAATCCTAGTACTGTGGGAGGCCAAGGTGGGCAGATCACCTGAGGTCAGGAGTTTGAGACCAGCCTGGGCAACACAGTGAAACCCCGTGTCTACTAAAATACAAAAATCAGCCGGGTGTGGCAGCATGTGCCTGTAATCCCAACTACTCAGGAGGCTGAGACAGGCGAATCACTTGAACCTTGGGAGGCAGAGGTGGCAGTGAGCTGAGATCGCACCACTGAACCCAAGCACATGCCACCCAGCCTGGGTGACAGAGCATGGGTGACATTCATCCTAGGTTGACAGTTCCAAACTAACAGATTAACAGCTCAAAACAATTCAAATATATTATTGTCCTTAGAAACAAGTATAAGTTACATAGTTATAACCAACAGTATAATTCCTCTAGTGTCTTCCAAATAAGCTTTCACTTTCTGGAAGTGCTTGTAGACATTCAACATTTAATTCATATTACAGGTTTCTACCCAATAGGTATCTACTGATATACAGACATTTTACAATGGTGTTGAATGGATAACTCTACCTTCAGATAGCTAGGTTTGGGTCATTTCCCAGGCTAAACTTCTATACTGATTTTACTTAACAAACAAGCTTTATTTAAAGGAAGTCTGTAATAGGAAATTGGACAGAACCTATACATATGGACACTTTAGTTTCAACCATAAATTATTACAGCAGTTTAGAAAGAATACAGTTGTGGGAAGTGGACTGTATTACTGATGAAAAACTTAGCCTGTATCCAGGAATAGGTTGTTCTCTGCATATTTTGAGACCTGAGATTCCTGAAATCCCCATTTCTCTTACCAACCAGACAGTCTGCAACAGTAGGGCTGCATTTTTCATTTCCAATATCTTAAGAATTGGATAAATGTCTTTAAGAATTTGAATAAACTGTAGTATAGCTATACACTGCAGCTGTAGAAGGGATGAGAGATATACACTGTTGTAGCATGGTCCTCAGGACATATATTGATTAAATAAAACAGGGAAAATATTTGTATGTTTTACTAAGAAGGAGGAATATTAATGTGTAAATTATTTATGATTAAAAGGTAACAAATGAGGCCAGCTGTAATGGCTCATGCCTTTAACCCCAGCACTAGGGGAGGCTGAGGCGGGTAGATTACCTGAGGTCAAGAGTTCAAGACCAGCCTGGCCAACATGGTGAAACCCAGTCTCTACTAAAAATACAAAAATTAGCTGGGTGTGGTGGTGTGCACCTGTAATCCCAGCTACTTGGGAGGCTGAGGCAGGAGAATGGCTTGAACCCATGAGGCAGATGTTGCAGTGAGCTGAGATCACACCACTGCACTCCAGCCTGGGTGATAGAGCAAGACTCCATCTCAAAAAAAAAAAAAAGGAACAAACGAGGAATAAGCCATAACACTTTTTAAAACTGCCTATAGAGAAGGAAATGAGAGACAGGACTAGCTAGATTTCCTAGGCTGACTAAGAATCTTTAAGCCTAGCTGAGAAGGTGACTGCTTCCACCTTTAAACACGGGGCTTGCAACTTAGCTCATACCCAACCAATAAGATAGTAAAGAGAACTCACTAAAATGCTAATTAGGCAAAAACAGGAGGTAAAAAAAAGCCAATCATCTATTGCCTGAGAGCACAGCGAGAGGGACAATGATCGGGATATAAACCCAGGCATTGGAGCCGGCAATGGCTACCCTCTTTGGGTCCTCTCCCTTTTTATGGGAGCTCTGTTTTCACTCTGTTTCACTCTATTAAATCTTGCAACTGCACTCTTCTGGTCCGTGTTTGTTAGGGCTCGAGCTGAGCTTTCGCTCTCTGTCCACCACTGTTGTTTGCCGCCATTGCAGACCTGCTGCTGACTTCCATCCCTCCAGATCTGGCAGGGTGTCTGCTGTGCTCCAGATCCAGAGAGGCTCCCATTGCTGCTTCTGATCAGGCTAAAGGCTTGCCATTGTTCCTGCATGGCTAAGTGCCAGGGTTCATCCTAATCGAGCTGAACACTAGTCACTGGGTTCCATGGTTCTCTTCCGTGACCCATGGCTTCTAATAGAGCTATAAACACTCACCAAATGGCCCAAGATTCCATTCCTTGGAATCCATGAGGCCAAGAACCCCAGGTCAGAGAACACAAAGCTTGCCACCATCTTGGAAGCGGCCCGCCGCCATTTTGAAAGCAGCCCGCTACCATCTTGGGAGCTCTGTAAGTAAGGACCACCAACCCCCCAGCCCCTTAACAGAAGGAAAGAGGTTGGAAGAATCAATGTTTAAATATAGACTTTTTGAAATGTAATTAGGATTTATTATTGACTTTGGGCAAATATTAGTATTTAATAATTACAAATGCATTAATTTTTTTAAAAATCCCTGAAAAATAAAACTTAAGTGAATTAAATATAATAAACGGTGTATTAAGTTGGTGAAGTAACCACCTAAACAGAATTATTCCAGTTGGTTTTCAATACATCAATTGGTCTGTACCTCCACGTGGGGTTTAATCTAAGGGCACAAAGAGAAGAGCTAAAAATAAATCTGAAACTGTTCTCAGGAATGACATTGTGGGTGGCAGTGGCATCATTGTTATTCTAATACTGTTGTATATGCAACGTGAGGAAAAGAAACAAATGAAAATTAATGTGATAGCCAGGGTACTCAATATGAGAGAAAGAAGACACAAATGGATCAAAGAGAGAAGGGATTATGTAAAAATCGTGTAGTCCTAAATTTGAACAATATTAACATGCTTTAGTGATACAAGATCTAGAAATAAATTATTTAGGTAGTGAGGGTAAGAGAGTCCTTGGCAAGGTTTCCCTTTTAATAAAAAGCAGCCCCCAAGTCATTTCTTTTCTGACAATGAGCAGCCTGAAAAATCAAGCTGCAGACATAGAAAAGCAGGCTAGATGCTTGAACAGGTGAATGCCGGCACTTGTGCCAATAGGAAAAGGCTATCTGGGGCCAGGCATATTCAACATGGCCACCCCCTCTTCCCTTTTGTTTGTCAACCACATGTACAGTAAAGAAGCAAGCAACATGGCACTGGCCAGGTGGAGAACTCATCTGCATAATAAAAAATTAGGGTGGGGAGGCCAGCTTCTTTGTGGGCTATGCAAAAGATACATCTGGTCTGACCAATCTCTCATCCTCTATGTAAATCAGACACCACCTCCTCAAGCTCATCTATAAATCCCTGTGCGTTTCACCATGGAGCCAGAAGACCCACTCAGAAGCCCCTCTCTCTGCATGAGAGGGAGCTTTTCTCTTTCACCTATTAAACCTCCACTCTCAACCTCACTCCTTATGTGTCCATGTCCTTGATTTCCTTGATATGAGGCAACAAATCTCAGGTATTACCCCAGACAAATAATGTTGTTTCATTAGTATGCTCTTGTAAAGATTTTTTCAACAGCCTATTGTCCAAAGAATATTATGTGTTATAAAAATATATTTGCTTGTCCTTTCCACTGAAAATACCTTGAAAAGATGATCGACTTCATGACAATTATTATAACTAGTGCTCAGATTGTTATCTTGATTTAATATTTTCCAATCAATGCAAAGAGAACTTTTTGGAGAAATTATTGATTCCAGATGTAATACAGGAAAGTGTAACATGAGCCTGGAAAGACGTACTACTTAAGAAGGAAACAATCTAAGAGTAAAAGCAGAATGTCCATGAGAGTCAGAAGACAACTTGAAGACTTTCTCCCTGGATAAATCACTCCAAAGAGGTAGAGATGTTAATTTAAATCTTTCTTGAAATACATATGTCAAACACTAACATGAGCTAAAGCTGATTTCAAAATTGTGAATGTATGTGTTTATAATGATACCAACAAACAGATACTGGCGAATCAACTTGGAATACTGAATGACGAACAAGTAAGCATTCACCTGAGATTTTCTATATGAATTTGTAACAATGTATAAGGAATGGTAAATGTTAGGTTAAGAATATAATCATTTTGTAGCACATAGTGAACAAATGAATCCAGCCATGGATCACCAATGAAACCACCACTGCAGGATTGCAACTGAGACAGTGAAAGAGATCCGACCTAGCCAAGTCCATCTTGCTTCTAACCTCCAGGCTGTCCTTGTTCATTTCTGAGCGGCTGAACTGACTTTGGGAGGAACTTAGTTTTCCAGGGCAGGCCTTCCTCTTGCCTGGGGAATAGACTGCCTTTGTAGGACTAATAAATTAGCTACAAGATTAGAAATTATGGTTTAGGAGTCATGCAGCTGGAGGCTACAGGATTCTGACCCTCCCTAAACTACTCCTAAGATAGTGCTTGAGATATTTTGCAGACCCTGCACTTGATGGATCAGCTGGCACAACCCAGATCAATAAACTGGCTCATCTAATCTTGTGGCCCCCACCCAGTAACTGACTCTGTGCAAGAAAACAGCTTCGACTCCCTGTGAGTTCATCTAGGTCCTGACCAATCAGCACTCCCTGCTCACTAGCTTTTCCCCACCCACCGAGTTATCTTTAAAAACTGATTCCCACACCTTGGGAGACCAAGGCAGGCGGATCACCTGAGGCCAGGAGTTTGAGACCTGCCTGGCCAATGTGGTGAGACCCAGTCTCTACAACAAATGCAAAAATTAGCCGGGCACCGTGGTGCATGCCTGTAGTCCCAGCTACTCAGGAGGCTGAGGCAGGAGAATCGCTTGAATCTGGGAGGCAGAGGTTGCAGTGGCATGATCTCAGGATCATCGCACTGCACTCCAGCCTGGGCGACAGTGAGACTGTCTCAAACAACAACAACAACAACAAAACACCTCTGATCCCCGAATCCTCGGGGAGACTAATTTGAGTAATAATAAAAGTGGGGTCTCCTGCACTGCCAGCTCTGCATGAATTACAGGATTCATTCTTTCTCTATTGCAGTTCTCCTGTCTTGATAAATCGGCTCTGTCTAGGCAGCAGCAAGGTGAACCCATTGGGCGGTTACACCAATAGCTGCTAATTATTTTTTTAATCAATTAAACATGTATCTCTGTTGAAAGTATAAAATTCCTTTTTGGATTAGTTTTGAAAGGAAAAAAAAACCTAAACCTAAACCTCAATTAAGCCTTTACATCTAAATAGCAACAACAGGATATCAATATGACAAGGATGCAATCAAGCAAGGCATTATTGCACTTTTCCCTCCATGAATAATGATAGAATTTCCTGCTTATTAATTGAGCTGTTATAATGAAAACATAACATCATTTTTATAATAGCCAGAAAAGTGATCAACAAAAATTAAGTGATTAAGGGTAACACTCCCTATGATATGGAAACATATCTGCCAAAATGTTCCTTTATTAAATGCTCCTTTATAAGAGTAAAATACATCTTAAGTATATACTATTTTTGATTTCTAAATTATACCCCAATAAAGCTGGAAAAGAAAAAATAAAACATTATTTGATTGTATAAATTTATTGTATTTTTATACATTAAATACATATTTCATAATTTTATTAAAACATAATGCTTATTTTGTGTTAATCTGTATTATATAATATGCACTATTAGTTTAAATAAATTATATGTTAAATAAATGGCTTATCTGATTACACTTTTTTTTGCCAAAATATTTGGGAAACATAAAAAGAACACTAAAGAGAATAATTAGTTATAATTCACAAACCAGAATTTCACATAAATAAAATCATATTTTGTGGGTCTTTTTATTAGAATGTTGAAGGGATAACAGATGTAAAGGCCAAGATAAACAATAAGATGGACAAATTGACACTGCAATTAAATATTGCAATTTATAATGATAATTGAATTAGTTAACCTGATAGCATTTTTAAAAAACTTGTGAGCACAATACTTGCATTATGATAGTTATTCTTTACTTAGCATTATGAAATAACCTTTTGCTTCTTGATGCCCTAACACTTAACAAAGCCTAAGTATAAAAAACAAAAATGGGATATGTAGAAAACTTTTTTAATCTCAAAAAGATGCTTAAATATCAATTAGATTGAGCTTTAGTTTTGTAAGAAAATAGATGTCATAGCTATTTTTATTACTTATGAAATATTAAGTATGCATAATATATTAATTGCAGTTAATGGAAGTAAATATTCCACAGAAGACAATATTTGAGGTCCTCTGTGGGCTAAAAGATGAACCTAACTGCTCTCAAGGGAGATCGACTACAGATAAGAGTTAGGAGGCTACTGAGAAATCCAAAGGCGACTTCCAGAAATCTTTCATGGTCTATAATACAGCAGAGATGTGGCCTGGACTTTGCTTTGTTCCCAGGAGATCAAATCTTTTGAGGTCAAAACAAAGAAACTTGAAATATTGTAGATATAAGTATGACCAGGGGGAACCCAGATACCAGAATCTAACTCATAATATCCAATGTGTCATATATTTACCTATTTTCTCTTTAAATTTTTTTTTAACTTCTAGCTCAACATTATTGAAGAGGAATAAATTTTTTTTGAACTTCTAGTTCAACATTATTGAAGAGGAATATAATGTATTTCCACATCTTCCAAAGGTTTCTGGCATTCCATTTTTATTTCCTGAAATATATCCCTTAAACCATTATAAAATAGAGAAAAACATAAAATAAAATTTGATTAGTGTGAACTTTGGTAGTGTCCAGAAGAGAAGCAATAATTTTACATTCTATCCATCATAGCAGAAATTTGACAATCTAAAATATGGAGGAGACAACTATCAGGATTTTAGCAGACAACATCTATAGAATAGAACATCCAGCAGTTCTTGAATAGCTGAAAATTAACTGACTAGGTTAGAATGAATGTGAGAGGGTTTCCTATACAATTCTGGATATCCTTATGAATGAATGGTTGCATAAGGAAGAATGGTCTTATGTGGGACAAAATTTACTAGGAAATAAAACTTTTTCCGTAAAGCTCTGAAAGGAAGATGTTCAAATGGAAGATGCACTAAGCTATAATCCAAGTGAGAGAGTTGCTGAGATCTAAGGCAAGTAGTTACTTTTCCAATTTATGCTTCAGAGCAAAATGAAAAATAGATAAATATCACATGTTCCCTTAAGCTCAAAATTAAAATGTCTGTATGTAGAATATATATACACATTTCTTGTGAGTCATAGAAGACATCAAACATTAAAGATTTTGATGGAATTATAAGACAAACCAATAAGTAAGCGAACATGTTCCCTATTTGTTGAGTAAAATAATTACATTATTTACTCTATCTTATAGTAAATATACATCATATATAAGATGTTCTATTATCTTGACAATTAGACCAAAATATTAATATTAAAAATAAAATGAATAAATAAAATAACATTATTTTAATATAAATATATGTTTTATTTGCTAAAAATCTTTAATTGGTTTCTCATATCATAAAAAGAATAATGGGTTATTAACAATCTTCTAATTTTCACTTTTATCTTTTGATGAAGTTAAGAGCACCCATTTTATGTTTAGGTGGTAATATCCTTTAATGTATACATGATGAAAAAAAGAAAAATGTATGTTTCATGTGATTGTTTCAACAAAAAAGATAATGATATTTTGCATTAATGGGACACAAAGCAGGTATTATACATTTTATTAGCTGTTTCTCAGTGATGTGGCTTATTGTCTGAAGATATCCTAATTTCTGTTAGATTTAAAGTAAGAGAACTAGTAAATAGGCTGGACTTAGAAAAAAATATTAAAACATAATGCAAACAAGATAGTCAAAACTGTCAGACTGTAGAAGATTTTTAGAATTGTATTGATAATTATATGGATCATGATGAATTATATCTTTTATCTATTTTCCTTAATTATCATTCTACCAAAATATCTTTAAAAGAACAAAAAGGAGAGTGGAAGAAGGAGAGAGAGAAAGGACGAGACATGAACCACACAATGGTCACAGAGTTTGTCCTCCTGGGCCTTTCTGATGATCCTGACCTTCAGATTGTGATTTTTCTCTTTTTATTTATCACGTATATATTAAGTGTTACTGGAAACCTGACTATCATCACCCTAACCTTTGTGGACTCCCATCTGCAGACACCTATGTATTTCTTCCTCCGGAACTTCTCTTTCTTAGAAATCTCATTTACAACCGTATGCATCCCCAGATTTCTGGGGGCAATTATCACCAGGAATAAGACTATTTCCTATAACAACTGTGCAGCCCAACTCTTTTTCTTTATCTTCATGGGGGTGACTGAATTTTACATTTTAACTGCCATGTCCTATGACCGCTATGTTGCCATCTGCAAGCCCCTTCATTACACATCCATCATGAACAGGAAACTCTGCACTCTACTTGTGCTGTGTGCCTGGCTAAGTGGGTTTCTGACCATTTTCCCACCCCTTATGCTTCTCCTCCAGCTGGATTACTGTGCTTCCAACGTCATTGATCACTTTGCATGTGACTATTTTCCCCTCTTACAACTATCTTGTTCAGATACATGGCTCCTAGAAGTAATTGGTTTTTACTTTGCTTTGGTTACTTTGCTGTTCACTTTGGCATTAGTGATTTTATCTTACATGTACATTATCAGGACCATTTTGAGAATCCCGTCTGCCAGTCAAAGAAAAAAGGCTTTCTCCACTTGTTCTTCTCACATGATTGTCATTTCCATTTCTTATGGAAGCTGTATATTCATGTATGCTAATCCATCTGCAAAAGAAAAGGCATCATTGACAAAAGGAATAGCTATTCTCAATACATCTGTTGCCCCCATGCTGAACCCCTTCATTTACACTCTGAGAAACCAGCAAGTAAAACAAGCCTTCAAAAATGTGGTCCACAAAGTTGTGTTTTATGCAAATCAATGAATTTTTGGTCAAAAATAAAGAGCACTTTAAAAAAACAATTAAGCAAAATTTTGAAATTTCTCAATATCTCTGTAAGTATCCTTGCTCTCCTAGTTTCTTTATATGCTATGTTATAGTTAATTTTATATTTTCCCAGTCCATTTCTTCCACTTCTATACAAGTTTCTCCACTGCATTGTTTATTGACCTACTTAAAAATAAAGTAAAATTTATTTTCCTTACAAAATTGTCTGGAATTATATACATTTATTTAAAACTCAACTTGTGTATGATTTTATAGTAAAGTAATTTTACTAAAGTAATTTTAATTCTGTGTATGAGTTCCTTAAAGGCACATATGTCATCATGTTGTACTTCAAATGTAGTTTCAAACTTTAATTCTTCTGTATTTTCAAGATAAATATTGATAATGTCATAACACTTTTAGACTCTACATGTTCTTTTTCATGTTCATTAAATTCAGTCCCTAGAGGTACTATGCTCTATTGCATTGTACTTTAAATGTAGAGCTTTACTTCATGAAATTTAGTGCATGCCATTTTTATTTTCTTTATAAATTAAGTTCCTTATTTAAAATACAAGAATAAATTTTAAAAACACAGTAATTTTTAAAATTATATGAATATCAATTCAATTATTAATCATTAGGCTTGAGGTATAAGTCACTGATTAATGGCTGGACTATCGGAGAATTCCACCTTCAAATGTTAATTTTACTCTCATGTTCTCCCGAATGATGTTGATAAAAAAACTTTAGGTCTAGCACACTTTATCTGTAAATTTGTATACTGCTATTGTGGGGAAAAGCAAGAGAGATCAGATTGTTACTGTGTCTGTGTAGAAAGAAGTAGACATAGGAGACTCCATTTTGTTATGTACTAAGAAAAATTCTTCTGCCTTGAGATTCTGTTAATCTATAACCTTACCCCCAACCCCGTGCTCTCTGAAACGTGTGCTGTGTCAACTCAGAGTTAAATGGATTAAGGGCGGTGCAAGATGTGCTTTGTTAAACAGATGCTTGAAGGCAGCATGCTCTTTAAGAGTCATCACCACTCCCTAATCTCAAGTACCCAGGGACACAAAAACTGCGGAAGGCCGCAGGGACCTCTGCCTAGGAAAGCCAGGTATTGTCCAAGGTTTCTCCCCATGTGATAGTCTAAAATATGGCCTCGTGGGAAGGGAAAGACCTGACCGTCCCCCAGCCCGACACCCGTAAAGGGTCTGTGCTGAGGAGGATTAGTAAAAGAGAAAGGAATGCCTCTTGCAGTTGAGACAAGAGGAAGGCATCTGTCTCCTGCCTGTCCCTGGGCAATGGAATGTCTCGGTATAAAACCCGATTGTATGCTCCATCTACTGAGATAGGGAAAAACCGCCTTAGGGCTGGAGGTGGGACCTGCGGGCAGCAATACTGCTTTGTAAAGCACTGAGATGTTTATGTGTATGCATATCTAAAAGCACAGCACTTAATCCTTTACATTGTCTATGATGCCAAGACCTTTGTTCACGTGTTTGTCTGCTGACCCTCTCCCCACAATTGTCTTGTGACCCTGACACATCCCCCTCTTCGAGAAACACCCACAAATGATGAATAAATACTAAGGGAACTCAGAGGCTGGCGGGATCCTCCATTATGCTGAACGCTGGTTCCCCGGGTCCCCTTATTTCTTTCTCTATACTTTGTCTCTGTGTCTTTTTCTTTTCCAAATCTCTCGTCCCACCTTACGAGAAACACCCACAGGTGTGTAGGGACAACCCACCCCTACAGCTATAACTTACAAAGTAAAATGTAAAAAAAAATTTCAAATATTTGTAAAATAATGAAAGCTTCAATTTTATAGATTTTAATATATTTCACATAATTTTTAGTCTTTTATGTCTCAACTATTTGCTGGTAAGATCTGGAAACCAAAGTCTTCCAATATGAGCAATTAACATGGAGACATCTCTGAGGAACTTAATCTTTAGGAATTTGTGATACTTTAAAAGTTAACCTGTGCCTATATTTGAAATAATTTTAAGGATCTTTCACATGTGCCTTTTATTTGTTTATTCACTTATTTATTTATAAATGTATCTACTAAAGAAATGATTCAGTGATTGAAAAGATTTGTTCTTGCTCTCACACAGATCTAGTAAGAGAGAAAAACATAAGCAAATGGATGACCACAATGCAATTTTATGTGTTGTATCTCTATGAAGAATATATTGTATAGATATGTACATTCTCTATGAAGAATATATTGTATAGATATGTACATGTACAATCTATACATATTGTATAGATATCTAAATGATAATAGACTTACAACATTGATAATATTAATAATTTGAAAAGATATACTGATAAGGAAGTTAGAATAATTGTTATTTTTTTTCTTCTGTCAGGATAGCCATGAAGAAGATAACAGGTAAAGAAAAAAATACAATATCAGAAAGCCTCTGATAAATAGACATACCACTCAGATCTAACAGTTAGTACTTACAATGTCAGACATATTACTAAGTGCATAAACTTAATTATTTCTTTGCACTCTTATGACATATATAGTCATATTTTTTCAGTTGCTAAATGACTTGATCAATGTTGTCACATAAATGATATGAATAGATTTTATTCTTTTAAACTCTCCTGGCTTATCCAAACAAAAGCTGTAATTCTGATCAACTTCATTACATTAAAATATTTTTATAAGTATAATATTTGGTCTGTGCAACTCTAGCAAAAAGAAAAAATAGTGTTCATATATGTAAATTTTGGTTCCATCAAAATATTAGATTTTAATTTTGTGGCTTTTTATCTATAATTACCCAACAAAGTATAAGCAATGAGAAACACGTTTCTCTTTGGTTAAATGAGTTGAGGACCATTTGTGGAATTTTTGAGTTATGATGCTTGACCTTCAATTTGCCAACAGTAAGAACTTAAGAAAATTAGACATGCTAGCTTTTTGAAGCTAATACTTCAGTTTTGATATTATTTTCTAATTGTGAGATCAATTACAAAATACATGGAAACTTTTTTTACTAAGAAACGTTATTCAAATGCAACATTAGTATGCGCAGAGGCTATGAGATGAAAGTCTTAGATTTTGTTGCAAGTCCATGGTTTTGTTTGGCTGTCGGGAAGGTGGAACTGCCTCCCTAACAGGTAGAGACAGTACTCTTTGCAAGCAGTCATCAATCAAGTTGCCTATGAAATCTTTGGATAAAATAAATATTAACAGTAAGGAGAACAGTGCTAATTAAGTTCATGTTGAAACAATGTGTCTTCATTCCCATTTATTTGGGTATAGACCAAGGTAATTTGCTACTCAATAAGGAATCGAGACTAGATGGATTCACTGGGAAAATGATGCTTTCACTCTCATCGTGTGGGTGTTTTACCCTAACATGCTGAGTTACTCCTGTAATAAGAACTTTGGCTATCAGGAAAAACTCTTGTCTCCTTGAGAAAGTTATTTTCTGTGCCTCGTTTTCCACATAAACTTACGAACGTTTCATGGCCTAGTACATATAGGAAACTCCCCATTATATGCAAGGCAGGGTGGTTTTTCTGTTGTTATTGGTTTGGTTTTGGTTTTGGTTTTTGGGTTTTTTTTTTTCCAGGCAGGGTCTGACTCTGTTCCCCAGGCTGGAGTACAGTGTCACGATCTCGGCTCACTGCAACCCTCGCCTCCTGGGCTCAAGCGATCCTCCCATGTCAGCCTCCTGAGTAGCTGGGAATACAGGTGTGCCCAAACCACCACGCCCGGCTAATTTTTTTATTTTTGGTAGAGACAGGGTTTCGCCATGTTGCCCAGTCTGGTTTTGAACTCCCCGGCTCAAGGGATCCACCTGCCTTACTGTGCTGCTGGATTTGGTTTGCCAATATTTTGCTGATGATTTTTGCATTTATGTACACCAAGGATATTGGCCAGAAGTTTTCTTTTTTAGTTGTGTCTCTGCCAGGTTTTAGTATCAGGATGATGCTGGCCTCATAGAAGGAGTTAGGGAGAAGTGCCCCTTCCTAAATTTTTTAGAATAGTTTCAGGAGGAATGGTACCAGCTCTTCCTTGTACATCTGGGAGAATTCAGCTGTGAATCTCTCTGGTCCTGGGCTTTTTTCATTGGTAGGCTATTTGTTACTCAATTTCAGAGCTTGTTATTGGTAAGTTCAAGGATTCAATTTTTTCCTGATCCAGTCTTGGGATGGTATATGTGTCCAGGAATTCATCCATTTCTTCCAGATTTTATAGTTTATGTGCATAGAGGTATTTATAATATTTTCTGATGGTTTGTATTTCTGTGGGGTCAGTGGTAATATCCCCCTTGTCATTTCTCACTGTGTTTTTTGAATCCTTTCTTTTCTTCTTTATTAGTCTAACTAGTGGTCTATTTTATTAATTTTCTCATAAAACCATATCCTGGATTGTTAATCTTTTGAGTGGTTTTTCATGTCTCAATCTCCTTCAGTTCAGGTCTGATTTGGGTTATTTCTTGTCTTCTGCCACCTTTGGAATCTGTTTGCTCTTCGTTCTCTACTTATTTTAGTTGTGATGTTAGGTTGTTAATTTGAAATCTTCTAATTTTTGACTTGGACCTTTAGTGCTATAAATTTTCCCATTAACACTGTTGTATCTGTGTTCTCATTAGTTTCACAGAACTTCTTGATTTCTGCCTTAACTTCATTTTTTATCCACATGTCATTCAGAAGCAGGTTATTGAATTTCCATGTAATTGTATGGTTTTGAGTGAATTTCTTAGTCCTGATTTCTAATTTGATTGCACTGTAGTCTGAGAGTTTGTTATGATTTCAGTTATTTCGCATTTGCTGAGGAGCGTTTTATGTCTGTAGTTGATTTTACAAGTGATTTATTTTAGAGTATTTGCCATGTGGCAGTGAGAAGAATGTATATTCTGCTGTTTTGGGGCAGAGAGTACTGTAGATATATATCAGGTCCATTTGATCCAGTGTTGAGTTCAGGTTCTGAATATCTTTGTTAATTTTTTGTCTTTATGATCTATCTAATATTGTCAGTGGTATGTTAAAGTCTCCCACTCTTACCGCATGGGAGTCTAACTCTCTTTGAAAGTCTCTAAAAACTTGTTCTATGAATCTACATGCTTCTGTGTTGAGAGCACCAGTATTAATCCTTCTGCCATTTGCTTTAGTTTCAGTGTTCATATCACAGAGAAGTTCATGTCATAAAAGAAGTCAAAAGAATTCTTGAATAATCAGAACCTTTCTGCCAGATTGTCTAGTGTAAATTTGTTTTCTGGCACTGCTTCTTCTGTATCTTCTTCCTTATCATCTGGCTCTGGTTTGGGAGCACTTATCTCCATTGAGTTATCTCCTGTTTTCTCTTTTAGTGGTGTCTATTAGCTCTTGAAGTTCTCCAAGATGCATATCTTGAAATCCTTCATCGCCTCCTTTTTTTTTTTTTTTTTTTTTTTTTTTTTTTGCCATATCCACAATCTCTTCCATGATTTTCTTGATTGTTTCTGTCTTAAATCCTGTGAAGTCATGCACAACATCTGGACACAGCTTTCTCCAGCACGAATTTATTGTTTTCGGCTTGATGGCTTTCACAGCTTTTTCCGTAACAATGATGGCATCTTAAGTGGTGTGATCTTTTCAGACTTTAATGATGTTCTCTCAGAGTTCTATAGTATTGACAATCCTTTCCATAGAGTACCATGAATAATGAGCCTTAAAGGTCCTTATGACCCCTAACCTAAAGGCTGAATTGGGGATTTGTGTTTGGGGGCAAGTAGATTACTTTGGTGCCTTCTGCATTGAACTCATGGGGCTTGGGGGGCCAAGGGTATTGTCCAATATCAAAAGAACTATAAAATGCAGTCTCTTACTGGCAAGGTACCTCCTGACTTCAGAGATGAAGCACTATGAAACCAATCTAGAAAAAGAGTTCTCGTTCACTCCTTCTGGTTGTACAACCAAAACTGGCAGGTGGTGTTTATTTTTTCTTTCAAGGATCAGGGATTGGAGGCTTTATAAACAAGAGCGGTTCTGATCATAAATCCAACTGGATTTGCACAAAAATTAGAGTTAGTCTTCCCTTCTTGCCTTAAATCCTGGTGCTCATTTCTCTTCCTAATAAGTGCCCTTTGTGAAAAATTTTTTCTGGAATAGTGCACTTTTGTCTGCATTAAAAAAACTGTAGGGGCAAATGTCCTTTCTCCTCAATGATTTCCTTAATAGTACTTGGGAATTTGTCTATGGCCTCCTGATCAGCAGAAACTGCTTCTTCGGTTAATCTCCTTATTTCGTTTTTTACAATGGTCCTTACACTGGATTATTTATTTTGAAATAGTGGGCCACCACAGCTGCAGACTTCAATCTCTGGTACATATTAAGCAATTCAAGTTTTTCTTGCAATGTCATGATTTTTTTCTACCTTTTGGGGGCACTTCCACCGTCACTAGTGACACTTCACATGGGTGTCATATTTCTAGGCTACGTAGTTTATCTGCAAGTTTTTTTAAATTGTTGCAAATCTCCAAAAGTTTTCCCAATACAGTTATTGAAAAAAGTTCATATAGAAGGAGACCTGTGCAAGTAAAACACATGTTGTTCAAGGATCAACCATACTAGAAAATTATGTATAATTTATTTTTACTTTATATTTAAAATTTTCCTCACAATAAGGGGCTCCATGAAATATTATTTTCATTTAAAAAATAAAAAAACTAAAATTCAGAGATATTAAATAATTTGTTCAAAGTCACAATATTGTATATAGCTAAATTACATTTCTAATCCAAAACCCATAGGTTGCTCCATTAGTCCCACAAGTTATAAATTAATATTGTTATGGTTTTCATAAGAACATCTTAATGTCCTACTTTTCAGGAGAGCTTTTGTTTTTTAAGTTAAAAATCATCTTCAACTATAGATAGCTAGTTAACAAAATAGAGACACTTGGACTATAAATAGAACATATCTGAAAACCTACAGATTTTGAGAGTAATTTGGATGATTACTATTTTTACTTATTGTTCTCATTCATACTTGTCAGGACTTTGGTCCGACTTGGGATTCAAATTCACCGATTTCTGTTAGAAAAAAAATTAAAAGTCATTTTTCCCCCCTGAGGACTCCAAGGAAACAATTCTGTACTAATTATAGGAATGTCATAAGACATTTCCAAAGTAATAATCTCTAAGGTAAAATCTGAGAAAAGTTTAAACTGATTTTTATGAAGCCTTTTGTATTCAACCAGATTATATTATTGCACTCTGTATGTTAGTGTGTACCCATTGTTTAACTTCCACTTATAAGTGAGAACATATGGCGTTTGACTTTCTACTTCTGAGTTATGTTACTTAGGATAATGGCCTCCAGTTCTATCCATGTTGCTGCAAAAGACATTATTTTATTCTTTCTATGGCTGAGTAGTATTCCATGGTATATAATTTATACATATATATACCATATTTTCTTTATCAACCATCTGTTGATGGACACTTAGATTGATTCCATGACTCTGCTGTTGTAAATAGTGTTGTGATGAACAAATGAATGCAAATATCTTTTTTATTTAATGGTTTATTTTCCTTTGCGCACTCAGAAGTGGGATTGCTGGATGAAATGGTAGCTCTATTCTTAGTTCATTGATAAGTCTCCATATTGTTTTCCATAGGGGTTGCACTAATTTACATCCCCACCAACAGTTAAGAAGCATTCCGTTTTCTCCCTCTTCTTGCCAGTATCTGTTTTTTTTTTTCTTTTTAGTAATAGTCAAATAAATGCAACTTTTAGCAAATATTGCTCTGACATTGGTAGTGGGACTTGGGAAGGGTTTCCCTAAATTCAAAGGACCGGACAGGCACGGTGACTCATGCCTGTAATCCTGGCACTTCGGGAGGCTGAAGTGGGCGGATCACGAGGTCAGGAGATCCAGACCATCCTGTCTATCACGGTGAAACCCCATCTCTACTAAAAATACAAAAAAATTAGCCGTGTGCGGTGGTGGGAACCTGTAGTCCCAGCTGCTCGGGAGGCTGAGGCAGGAGAATGGCGTGAACCCGGGAGGCAGAGCTTGCAGTGAGCTGAGATCGCGCCACTCTGCACTCCAGCCTGGGCAACGTATCGAGACTCCATCTAAAAAAAAAAAAAAAACTCAAAGGACCAATACAGGGATAAAACTCCTCATAGGACCTTAATATTGTCCATTTCAGAAGACAATTAAGTCATACTGGAAATCCAAAGCCGTGTTTTCTACCATCTCATAGTGAAACAGAAAAGTCTCTTTTCCGGGTTGCCAAAATTCAAGAGATACGCTTATGTAAGTATGTTAATTCTCCTGAAGATAGGTCCAGATTTTCTGGAAGAAATGTATGGATTATTACAATTGCAGAAGAATCAAATTCTAAATCAAAGTTTCATACATTCATTGTCACATGTGGTTTATATATTTGCCTCATTTACATTAATAATTATGTTTTTATACTTTCTTATCAATATTTATAAAATGTCTAATACCAGTGATTCATCTGTATTTTTTACTGATGCCTCACCTTGGCACACTTTGCTTACATAATGAATTCCCATGAGCCAACAAGAAAGACACATAAAATAAGTCTAACTCCATTTGTATAGCATACATAGGGAGGGATATTCTTTATTTTCTATTGCTCAAATCAGAATTTTCAGGAAAATGTAACATTGTCTGAAGCCTAAGGGAAGTATGAATTAGATTTTATGAATATATAATTATAAGGTTTTAAAATATTATTTAAAATGTTTTCATAAATTCAAAGAAGAATGTTTTAACAAGTGTTTGTGTATTACATGGAAAGGAGAAAATGGAAGACTACTTTACTAATCAATCCAGGTATAACTGTGTTTATAAATGGATCTTGTGTGAGAGAGAGGAAAAGCAAGAATTCATTATAATATAATAAAATGTTCCAACAATTTTACAATATCAGGAATTAAGGGTATTGTGGGTCAAATATTTCTAGTCTAGGGGAGAACTGTAATGTCTAAAAGCCATGAAAAATAACCACATTTGTTTTATAAGTACAAAAGAAACCAAATAAATTGATAAATAAATTTTCCAGCTCTGAAATTATATGGTTATTTAAGAAAGCTAGATGGTGAAATTTGAGATAAAATTATTGAGAAAAACCAAGGAGTAAGTAAGTTTGTTACTTTTAAATTTAATACATATTATTCCACTTACATGTTTTAAAAGATTATTTGCATGTATGATTGTGGACTTATAGCCCTTACAATAATAAAAGTTGTATAGTTGTTTATTACTGAGACGACTATAAATGTAGTCCCAAAGCAGAAACAAAGCAGTAACTTTTGGTTTGTTCATTTTTCTAAATAAGTTTAGATGTTATGCTGTGATAGAAATAGGATTTTAAAAAGGCATTTACTATTTGAAATACCTATTTCCCATTAAGTGTTATTTTGACCATCCACTTGTTTTTTTGCTATAGCAATATTGTTTAAAAAAGAAAAAAAACTACAAAACAAAAAAAAACAAATTGTGTATTATATTAATTAAAATGTTTTTAGGCAATTATTTGTTTTAGCAACAGAAGTTTTCCTTTATTGTTCTTCTCATCTTTTTGCTAAAAAAAGGAAAAAAAAGTGGATCAGGGAAGGTGATAGCATCAACCAATCCCATAAGTAATACCAGGAGACAATGCCAGCAAAACATTCCCATGAATAGACATGCATTATTTTTCTAAAGTGAGATGATTTTCTATGGTGACTAGTTGTTTAACCTCATGAAAGTTTCCTAACCTATGTGAGACTGAGTTTCTCAAAATATGACATTTCAAGATAGAACTAAATAACATCTGTAAATTTTTAAACCCTATATTTAGATTGTGCTGCATTCCAGGTTGATTTAAGTAACTGGAAGATTAGTTTTGAAGAAATATTAGAAGAAGTGGCTTCTGTTTAAATGTTAGCATCATAATTTTTTATTTATGGCCTGTAATAATGTATTTTCAGTGAAGAAAGACTGATATTTAACTTCTAATAATATTTGTTACTTGAATGAAAGGCAGATTGGAAACTACAGAGGGTTGCTAATGGGGAACTCTTAAAATTTTATAGATTATTCATTAATTATGTATATTTTAAAAATATTATGCCTATCTTCAACAGTTTTATTTTTTTTTTAACATTCTATAGGAGGAACATACATTTTCTCTTCTAAAGGGGAAAATAAAGATCAGCAATGAAAAACTACACAGTACTCACAGAATTCATTCTTCTAGGGCTATCAGATGACCCAGAATTTCAGATTGTGATTTTTCTCTTTTTAATTATCATGTACATATTAAGTGTCACTGGAAATTTGACCATCATCACTCTCACCTTGGTGGACTCCCATCTGCAGACCCCCATGTACTTCTTCCTCAGGAACTTTTCTGTATTAGAAATAACCTTTACAACTCTCTGTTTCCCTATATTTCTGGCCACCATTATCACCAGACACAAAACTATTTCATACAATAGTTGTACAGCTCAGTTGTTTTTCTTCATCTTTATGGGTATAACTGAATTTTACCTTCTAACAGCCAAGTCCTATGATCGTTATGTGGCCATCTGTAAACCCCTTCATTATATGACCATCATGAACAAGAGAGTCTGCATATTGCTTGTCTTTTGTGCTTGGTTGGCAGGTTCTTAAATATCTTCCCCCCAGTTATTCTTTTTCTCCGGTTAGATTACTGTGGCTCCAATGTCATTGATCACTTTGCTTGTGACTATTTCTCCCTATTGCAATTATCCTGCATAGGGAGGCACATGGCTCCTAGAAGTGATTGGTTTTTACTCTGCAATAGTAATTCTGCTTTTCACTTTGGCATTAATCATTCTATCCTACATGTTTATCATTAGGACAATTTTGAAACTCCCCTCTGCTAGTCAGCGAAAAAAGGCATTTTCTACGTGTTCCTCTCACATGATTGTCATTTCCATTTCCTATGGAAGCTGCATATTCATGTACGCTAATCACTCTGCAAAAGAAAGAGCGTCGTTGACCAAAGGAGTAGCTATTCTCAATACCTCCGTTGCTCCTATGATGAATCCATTTATATACACCCTGAGGAACCAGCAAGTGAAGCAAGCCTTTAAGGACACCATCCAAAAGGTTATGTTTTTCTCTGGTAAATGAAAGTATTAATAAGGTTTAAAAAAAACCAAGTTACAGTAAATGCTTTCTATTATATATATCCTCTCAACACTCTCTTTCCTTCATTATAGTTAAACATGCATTTTTATTTCCATATTAAAATTTCCACCACATTGTATTCAATAAATTTGATAAAGCTGAATATTGCTTCATAGTTTTCTGAAAATTAAAGTATTTTATTCATGTGTATTTGGATGAAGTAGAAAATCTGGGTGAATGATTGTGATTTTGAATAGGAGTGGTTAGCTTTGGAAGAGACTTAAGGCATTTAGTTTGATGATGTAAGTGTCACGATAGATGTGGACCTGGGAACTATTCATTCTTACCAGATACTATATATGAATGTTCTTAGGAAATGTGATCCTACTTGGCATTTCTGTCAAATCAAATACAATCACCAAGAGTTTGAGAATAAAATATAAATATCCATGTAAATGTTTGAAAACATTAGAGGGGGAGGAGCCAAGATGGCCGAATAGGAAGAGCTCCCGTCTGCAGCTCCCAGCGTGAGTGACGCAGAAGACGGGTGATTTCTGCATTTCCATCTGAGGTACCGGGTTCATCTCACTAGGGAGTGCCAGACAGTGGGCGCAGGCCAGTGGGTGCGCGCACCGTGCGCGAGCCGAAGCAGGGCGAGGCATTGCCTCACCTGGGAAGCACAAGGGGTCAGGGAGTTCCCTTTCCTAGTCAAAGAAAGGGGTGACGGATGCACCTGGAAAATCGGGTCACTCCCACCCGAATATTGTGCTTTTCAGACCGGCTTAAAAAACGGCGCACCACGAGACTATATCCCACACCTGGCTTGGAGGGTCCTACGCCCACGGAGTCTCACTGATTGCTAGCACAGCAGTCTGAGATCAAACTGCAAGGAGGCAGTGAGGCTGGGGGAGGGGCGCCCGCCATTGCCCAGGCTTGCTTAGGTAAACAAAGCAGCCTGGAAGCTCGAACTGGGTGGAGCCCACCACAGCTCAAGGAGGCCTGCCTGCCTCTGTAGGCTCCACCTCTGGGGGCAGGGCACAGACAAACAAAAAGACAGCAGTAACCTCTGCAGACTTAAATGTCCCTGTCTGACAGCTTTGAAGAGAGCAGTGGTTCTCCCAGCATGCAGCTGGAGATCTGAGAACGGGCAGACTGCCTCCTCAAGTGGGTCCCTGACCCCTGACCCCCGAGCAGCCGAACTGGGAGGCACCCCCCAGCAGGAGCACACTGACACCTCACACGGCAGGGTATTCCAACAGACCTGCAGCTGAGGGTCCTGTCTGTTAGAAGGAAAACTAACAAACAGAAAGGACATCCACACCAAAAACCCATCTGTACATCACCATCATCAAAGACCAAAAGTAGATAAAACCACAAAGATGGGGAAAAAACAGAACAGAAAAACTGGAAACTCTAAAACGCAGAGCGCCTCTCCTCCTCCAAAGGAACGCAGTTCCTCACCAGCAACGGAACAAAGCTGGATGGAGAATGATTTTCACGAGCTGAGAGAAGAAGGCTTCAGACGATCAAATTACTCTGAGCTATGGGAGGACATTCAAACCAAAGGCAAAGAAGTTGAAAACTTTGAAAAAAATTTAGAAGAATGTATAACTAGAATAACCAATACAGAGAAGTGCTTAAAGGAGCTGATAGAGCTGAAAACCAAGGCTCGAGAACTACATGAAGAATGCAGAAGCCTCAGGAGCCAATGCGATCAACTGGAAGAAAGGGTATCAACAATGGAAGATGAAATAAATGAAATGAAGCGAGAAGGGAAGTTTAGACAAAAAAGAATAAAAAGAAATGAGCAAAGCCTCCAAGAAATATGGGACTATGTGAAAAGACCAAATCTACGTCTGATTGGTGTACCTGAAAGTGATGCGGAGAATGGAACCAAGTTGGAAAACACTCTGCAGGATATTATCCAGGAGAACTTCCCCAATCTAGCAAGGCAGGCCAACGTTCAGATTCAGGAAATACAGAGAACGCCACAAAGATACTCCTCGAGAAGAGCAACTCCAAGACACATAATTGTCAGATTCACCAAAGTTGAAATGAAGGAAAAAATGTTAAGGGCAGCCAGAGAGAAAGGTCGGGTTACCCTCAAAGGGAAGCCCATCAGACTAACAGCGGATCTCTCGGCAGAAACCCTACAAGCCAGAAGAGAGTGGGGGCCAATATTCAACATTCTTAAAGAAAAGAATTTTCAACCCAGAATTTCATATCCAGCCAAACTAAGCTTCATAAGTGAAGGAGAAATAAAATACTTCACAGACAAGCAAATGCTGAGAGATATTGTCACCACCAGGCCTGCCCTAAAAGAGCTCCTGAAGGAAGCGCTAAACATGGAAAGGAACAACCGGTACCAGCCGCTGCAAAATCATGCCAAAATGTAAAGACCATCGAGACTAGGAAGAAACTGCATCAACTAATGAGCAAAATCACCAGCTAACATCATAATGACAGGATCAAATTCACACATAACAATATTAACTTTAAATGTAAATGGACTAAATTCTCCATTTAAAAGACACAGACTGGCAAGTTGGATAAAAAGTCAAGACCCATCAGTGTGCTGTATTCAGGAAACCCATCTCACGTGCAGAGACACACATAGGCTCAAAATAAAAGGATGGAGGAAGATCTACCAAGCAAATGGAAAACAAAAAAAGGCAGGGTTTGCAATCCTAGCCTCTGATAAAACAGACTTTAAACCAACAAAAATCAAAAGAGACAAAGAAGGCCATTACATAATGGTAAAGGGATCAATTCAACAAGAGGAGCTAACTATCCTAAATATATATGCACCCAATACAGGAGCACCCAGATTCATAAAGCAAGTCCTGAGTGACCTACAAAGAGACTTAGACTCCCACACATTAATAATGGGAGACTTTAACACCCCACTGTCAACATTAGACAGATCAATGAGACAGAAAGTCAACAAGGATACCCAGGAATTGAACTCAGCTCTGCACCAAGCGGATCTAATAGACATCTACAGAACTCTCCACCCCAAATCAACAGAATATACATTTTTTCAGCACCACACCACACCTATTCCAAAATTGACCACATAGTTGGAAGTAAAGCTCTCCTCAGCAAATGTAAAAGAACAGAAATTATAACAAACTATCTCTCAGACCACAGTGCAATCAAACCAGGGCTCAGGATTAAGAATCTCACTCAAAGCCACTCAACTACATGGAAACTGAACAACCTGCTCCTGAATGACTACTGGGTACATAACGAAATGAAGGCAGAAATAAAGATGTTCTTTGAAACCAACGAGAACAAAGACACAACATACCAGAATCTCTGGGACACATTCAAAGCAGTGTGTACAGGGAAATTTATAGCACTAAATGCCCACAAGAGAAAGCAGGAAAGATCCAAAATTGACACCCTAACATCACAATTAAAAGAACTAGAAAAGCAAGAGCAAACACATTCAAAAGCTAGCAGAAGGAAAGAAATAACCAAGATCAGAGCAGAACGGAAGGAAATAGAGACACAAAAAACCCTTCAAAAAATCAATGAATCCAGGAGCTGGTTTTTTGAAAGGATCAACAAAATTGATAGACTGCTAGCAAGACTAATAAAGAAAAAAAGAGAGAAGAATCAAATAGACACAATAAAAAATGATAAAGGGGATATCACCACCGATCCCACAGAAATACAAACTACCATCAGAGAATACTACAAACACCTCTACGCAAATAAACTAGAAAATCTAGAAGAAATGGATACATTCCTTGACACATACACTCTCCCAAGACTAAACCAGGAAGAAGTTGAATCTCTGAATAGACCAATAACAGGAGCTGAAATTGTGGCAATAATCAATAGTTTACCAACCAAAAAGAGTCCAGGACCAGATGGATTCACAGTCGAATTCTACGAGAGGTACAAGGAGGAACTGGTACCATTCCTTCTGAAACTATTCCAATCAATATAGGGAATCCTCCCTAACTCATTTTATGAGGCCAGCATCATTCTGATACCAAAGGCGGGCAGAGACACAACCAAAAAAGAGAATTTTAGACCAATATCCTTGATGAACTTTGATGCAAAAATCCTCAATAAAATACTGGCAAACCGAATCCAGCAGCACATCAAAAAGCTTATCCACCATGATCAAGTGGGCTTCATCCCTGGGATGCAAGGCTGGTTCAATATACACAAATCAATAAATGTAATCCAGCATATAAACAGAGCCAAAGACAAAAACCACAAGATTATCTCAATAGATGCAGAAAAAGCCTTTGACAAAATTCAACATCCCTTCATGCTAAAAACTCTCAATAAATTGGGTATTGAATGGACTTACCTCAAAAGAATAAGAGGTATTTATGACAAACCCACAGCCAATATCATACTGAATGGTCAAAAACTGGAAGCATTCCCTTTGAAAACTGGCATAAGACAGGGATGCCCTCTCTCACTACTCCTATTCAACATAGTGTTGGAAGTTCTGGCCGGGACAATCAGGCAGGAGAAGGAAATAAAGGGTATTCAATTAGGAAAAGAGGAAGTCAAATTGTCCCTGTTTGCAGACGACATGATTGTTTATCTAGAAATCCCCATCGTCTCAGCCCAAAATCTCCTTAAGCTGGTAAGCAACTTCAGCAAAGTCTCAGGACACAAAATCAATGTACAAAAATCACAAGCATTCTTATACACCAACAACAGACAAACAGAGAGCGAAATCATGAGTGAACTCCCATTCACAATTGCTTCAAAGAGAATAAAATACCTAGGAATCCAACTTACAAGGGATGTGAAGGACCTCTTCAAGCAGAACTACAAACCACTGCTCAAGGAAATAAAAGAGGATACAAACAAATGGAAGAACATTCCATGCTCATGGGTAGGAAGAATCAATATCGTGAAAATGGCCATACTGCCCAAGGTAATTTACAGATTCAATGCCATCCCCATCAAGCTACCAATGACTTTCTTCACAGAATTGGAAAAAACTACTTTAAAGTTCATATGGAACCAAAAAAGAGCCCACATCGCCAAGTCAATCCTAAGCCAAAAGAACAAAGCTGGAGGCATCACACTACCTGACTTCAAACTATACTACAAGGCTACAGTAACCAAAAGAGCATGATACTGGTACCAAAACAGAGATATAGATCAATGGAACAGAACAGAGCCCTCAGAAATAATGCCACATATCTACAACTATCTGATCTTTGACAAACCTGACAAAAACAAGCAATGGGGAAAGGATTCCCTATTTAATAAATGGTGCTGGGAAAACTGGCTAGCCATATGTAGAAAGCTGAAACTGGATCCCTTCCTTACACCTTATACAAAAATCAATTCAAGATGGATTAAAGATTTAAACGTTAGACCTAAAACCATAAAAACCCTAGAAGAAAACCTAGGCATTACCATTCAGGACATAGGCGTGGGCAAGGACTTCATGTCCAAAACACCAAAAGCAATGGCAACAAAAGCCAAAATTGACAAATGGGATCTAATTAAACTAAAGAGCTTCTGCACAGCAAAAGAAACTACCATCAGAGTGAACAGGCAACCTACAAAATGGGAGAAAATTTTCGCAACCTACTCATCTGACAAAGGGCTAATATCCAGAATCTACAATGAACTCAAACAAATTTACAAGAAAAAAACAAACAACCCCATCAAAAAGTGGGCAAAGGACATGAACAGACACTTCTCAAAAGAAGACATTTATGCAGCCAAAAAATACATGAAAAAATGCTCATCATCACTGGCCATCAGAGAAATGCAAATCAAAACCACTATGAGATATCATCTCACACCAGTTAGAATGGCAATCATTAAAAAGTCAGGAAACAACAGGTGCTGGAGAGGATGTGGAGAAATAGGAACACTTTTACACTGTTGGTGGGACTGTAAACTAGTTCAACCATTGTGGAAGTCAGTGTGGCGTTTCCTCAGGGATCTAGAACTAGAAATACCATTTGACCCAGCCATCCCATTACTGGGTATATACCCAAAGGACTATAAATCATGCTGCTATAAAGACACATGCACACGTATGTTTATTGCGGCACTATTCACAATAGCAAAGACTTGGAACCAACCCAAATGTCCAACATTGATAGACTGGATTAAGAAAATGTGGCACATATACACCATGGAATACTATGCAGCCATAAAAAATGATGAGTTCATGTCCTTTGTAGGGACATGGATGAAATTGGAAACCATCATTCTCAGTAAACTATCGCAAGAACACAAAACCAAACACCGCATATTCTCACTCATAGGTGGGAATTGAACAATGAGATCACATGGACACAGGAAGGGGAATATCACACTCTGGGGACTGTGGTGGGGTGGGGGCAGGGGGGAGGGATAGCATTGGGAGATATACCTAATGCTAGATGACGAGTTAGTGGGTGCAGCGCACCAGCATGGCACATGTATACATATGTAACTAACCTGCACAATGTGCACATGTACCCTAAAACTTAAAGTATGATAAAAAACAAACAAACAAAATATTAAAATACAAAAAAAAGAAAACATTAGAAACTTATTTGTATACAGCATTTTTATGATATTAATGATAAGTATGATAATAATGAGGAAAGTAATAAGAGGAGGAGAGCAGAAGATGAAATAAAGTTTTTTTTAGCAATTATCATATTGCAGGCCTATTTTAATTGTTTTCTACGTATTGGCTCATTTAATCCTGCTAATGACTTTATGAGGTACCTACAATTATTATTATCTCTTGTTCAGAGGTATTTTTAGGTAGATTAAATAACTCTAAAAATGAATAACAAAAACCAGAGAACAGAAAATATAAAATAATATCAGGAAAATGCATGGATTATGGTAAACTGGTGAGAGTTCAACTTTCTGTAGAACTGAGTTTTGATCTGAGGATCCAGAAATAACTTTAGAGTTTCTGGAAGTAGAGAAGTGAAATGAAATCTGCTGTGATAGTGTTCTACATCTCTACTTTGCACTACACAATTCATAAACAATAGCATTTTACAAAACCCCATAGACAGTATTATACACTGACTTTCATTTGTAATAATTAATAGTTCATGTTAAATTGTTAAAGGACTTTCTAATGTACCATTAATTCATTCAGGTTATACTTATGTATCTTATGACACATACTGTGGATGTAGTTATGAAAAAAGATGACTCTTACCCCAAGTTTCCTAAAATTCTAGTGAGAAAAAAAAAACACACAATTAAATTTAATTCGACAAATGCAACAATTTGGATCTAAACTGCCTATAGGTCAAGTAATGTTACCATGATCAAAGATAGAATTTCAGTTTTCCTGACTTTTCTCTCAGCAGAATTATTTCCAATTTCACAATAATTACTAAATATGGGTTCAGCTGTCACCTTAGTGACATTATCTTTCTTCATTACTTTGTGTGCTATAACGAATGGCATTGTTTCCTGATTTTAAAAAGTTACTGGGAATAAGATGATGATGGTCTCCAAGCAGTGACAAAACTCTCCATAGTAGCTCTCTGTGGCTCTGATCGGTATCATGAATCATGAATTGATCTTCCACTCAGTTTGACCTGTGTACCCTGCCATATCTATTATGCTCCAAGTCTATTTGAAAGAAGTTATATGTATATAACCATGTCCTAGATTTCTAGAAGATGCCAAACTGTTTCAAGCACTTTTAGTTTGCATCCAGAAAACACTGAGTTTTATTTCTCATTTTAAATCCATGCACAAGCAAACAGAAAAACCATAACAATTAATAAATATTGAATATTCTAAGATAACATCTGGTAAATAATTGGTTTGGTAAATAATTGATAAATAATTGATCTGTCAAATAATATCTGGTAAATAATTGATGCTTAAAGTGATTATGTGTGCACTATTTTTTCTAACTCAATATCTGTATGTTTTCTATAAACAGAATAAGAATCTCCCAAATGTAAATTCTTCCCAATTCTTATATGATTATGAAAATTCATTCATATATTATTCTAAAAATATTTTTTAAAGCAACTAGGTTGCAAGTATGTGCTAGCCATTTGGGTTAATAGAATAATACTATCTTCACCTGCTGGGATTTCAGATGACAGTTAAAAAGGTAGATATTTACATATAGAATAATTTTTTCATAAAAACGTATACCACATGCTGTATCAATGTAAAAGATAGGGTTGCTCACAACACCTGCATTATCCAAGAAATACTTCTGGTAAATACAAGAAATTCGATTATATGAATGTTCTGGGCAAAAAGAATCGTGATTGCAAATAACATGGAGTTGTAAAAGTGAAGGAAGTAGTGTATGGTGAATTATGATGAAACAGAAAGCAACAAATAGCAATTGATTTCTTTTTATGCTTTTCATGAAAGAGCTAATTTTATTAGTTCAACTTATTATGCAAAGCAACATAATGCTATGAAACAAATACTCATTTATGTCATGTGAATATTATGTTCTAAACTCTATTAAATTTTTTATCTATTCCTCTAAGATTTTAACAGCCAATTTGTTTTTCTCCTCCTTCTAAAGAATGAAGCATAAAGAGTCATGGGAAATAGGTAATCACATACAGCCAATACATATCAGAACTGATTCAAATCAGGGCTATGCCCCAACAAATAAGCCCTGTGCCAACTCCTGGGGGAGGGGAGAAACCTTGCAAAATAAAAGTATCCAAGGGAATCTTACAATTTCAGAATAAGTACTATGATATCATTTATTCCTTCACAAAAGTATTAAGTGAGCACATCAAAAATGCCAAGCTTGGCTTATAGGGATTTCTTTCCAAATTATCATACTCTGAAAATTAAACATTC
Organism: Homo sapiens; assembly: GCF_000001405.40. NCBI lineage: Eukaryota > Metazoa > Chordata > Mammalia > Primates > Hominidae > Homo > Homo sapiens. Next base: position 55,352,585 of record NC_000012.12, read on the forward strand.
AGGAGACAATTACTTTTTTGGAATTAAACTTACATCTCTTAGACAACAAATAAAACACTTTAGCTAAAGACACTCAGAGTCCTCCAACTCTTCTATTACAATTTCATATGTAATATTTACCTGCATGATAACTGTGGTGCGCTTTCTGTGTATCCTTTTTTCTTTAGGGTTTTATAGGCAAGACTCTGTTACTTTTTGATTGAATACCAAATTATCCACACCACCAACATCAACCATAGCTAGAGAATATGTGGTTGATAATTTATTATCTCACTCGTAGATATTACTTAGTCATTCTCCATCCAACTGATTTAGGTCACAGTAAACCTTTGTATCCTCAAATAATTAAAGGGCGTTCATTATGTCCTACATCTCTTTCTGATGTTAGGTCTCTTGTGCTGAATTTCCCAAGCTCGAGTTGACTTTTTTTTGCCCCATTTATATAATTGGACTTTTATTGCTGTATTTTATGGTCACATATGATCACATAAGCATCCTGAAATGCAGAAGTGTGCTTATCAATATGATAGCAATTTTTACAGTATACTAAAACTTTATTTTTCTTGGCTATCTTTACTAATAACCCATAAACATTTTTTAAGCAAAGGAAACATTTTCTTCATTATTGCCTACTAAAGGGTTTATTGTAGTGTAGCAATTCAATAAAATATTTGTTAATCAACAAATGGATGGAAGTCTCAAAATGCCTACTATTTACATTATCATATATTTTGCCTTTAAATTATCATTGCTCTGCTCTGACACCTTTTTTGAAGAAGTTTTTATATCGGGGCTTTCTAGGACTCCTTGCTTTTCATAACTATGGATACAAATCTCTATATCCCATCAACAATGTTGGCTACCTCTTAAACTCCTTATTCACCCAACTGAACCTCTCTCTGATTTTAGGTCTACTTCCCAGGATCTCCACTGTGGACATATATGGGGCAAAATGCTGTCTGTTACTCATTAAGCTACTAAATAGACTTCTGTGATCAGATTTCCATGGCTATCACATTTTTGAAGTTTTATTGACTTCAAATGTTTTCATATACACGACAGTGAAACAGCACAGTAACACTCAACAATATTATTAACTTAGGGAAGTTCTGTATCACTCCTTGATAACAGTGGCTTCCATAAGGTGGAGTTATTCAAGTATGAGTAGCAGCTTATATACTCCCTCATTCACTGTATTAAAATCTCAGAAATCACAGTCCATTTGTATGACCTCAGGCAAATTAGGAAAACTCTGAATGACTCAGTTTCCTTATATGAAAATTAGGAGAAATAATACTAATTTTCTCAGAGTAGTCGTGAATATTTATTAAAACAACACTTTAAAAAGTGCTTACAAACACGTCTGATACCTTCCGAGCACTTAACAAAGTGTGACTGTTACTATTATTATAATGCCAATTTTAATTTAATAACATACAACCATCCACATACAATTTATTCAAAAATATTTCAGCTTTATGCAGCCCAAGAATGTCAATAGAACAACTGCCTTGTATTAATATATTATGTGGAGCTCCCTTAATCACAACTAAAGCATCCCAGTTTTCTCATCTGTAAATTGAGGATTACAGTAAATTTTAGTTAATTTATTGTTATAAATTATTTAAATTTCTCTTCTGGGTATTACTACTCTAAAAATGTTATGTATTTGCTCATTTTGCATCTTTCGAATACCTTCAAATAAGCCTATCTATGTGCAGACACTGTAAGCACCACATTTTCCATTGCAATGTGATTTGGTTCTGCTAATCAGATACATTCATAAAAGAACTTTTAACTCAGTTAGTCATCTATATTGCTGATGCAGATCATAGCAAGTGCAGGTGACCCTGAAGCTTGCGGCAATAGTGCTGAATTCCTGAGGAGCCATTCTCATGCAGACTGATGGCTTATGCATTAGGCTGTGCTTCTAAGTGCATTGAAGAGCTTAAAGAGAGAAAATGTAACTTTAATGTTTCAATTATCTCATATTTTAATGTTTTAATTATCTCATTATTTTAATATTTCAATTATCTCATAACTGCAGAGATGACATAGCCAATAATAAATCCTAAGTTTCCTCAATTATAAAGTTGATTTAATTTACAACGTCTATACCTATGTAAATGTTAGTGTGTTGACTGTGAAAGAGTTGGGATTGAGCACTGGAATGAGACTAGTTTCAGAAGATTTTGAGTACCTGAATTTGAAAGCACCACCAGCCTCCCTTACCAACACAAGAATCCATATTTCTCTGCCTCATGAAGGTGGCCATACATTGTTTAGAAACACTGTTATTTGGCCATCTTGCCAGCAATTCATCTGCTTGCAAGTTAGCCAAATTACAGGGTTTCTAAACCAAATAGGAACAGCTCTGGTCTGCAGCTCCCAGCGAGATCAATGCAGAAGGTGGTGATTTCTGAGTTTCCAACTGAGGCACCCGGTTCATCTCATTGGGACTGGTTGGACAGTAGGAGCAGCCCATGGAGGGTGAGCCGAAGCAGTGGAGAACGTCGCCTCACCCATAAAATGCAAGGGGTTGGGAAATTCTCTCCTCTACTCAAGGGAAGCTATGAGGGACTGTGCCATGAGGAATGGTGCACTCCAGCCCGGATACTTTTCTCATGGTCTTCAAAACCTGCAGACCAGGAGATTCCCTCTCGTGCCTACCTCACTAGAGCCCTGGGTTTCAAGCACAAAACTGGGTGGCTGTTTGGGCAGACACTGAGATAGCAGCAGGAGTTTTTTGTTTTTTGTTTTTTTTTTTTCCATACTCCAGTGTCACCTGGAACACCAGCTAGACAGAACCGGAAAGAGGGCTGAAGCCAGGGAACCAAGTTGTCTGGCTCAGTGGGTCCCACCCCCACGGAGCCCAGCAGGCTAAGATACACTGGCTTGAAATTCTTGCTGCCAGTACAGCAGTCTGAGGTCGAACTGGGATGCTCAAGCTTGGTGGGGGAGAGGAATCCACCATTGCTGAGCCTTGAGTAGGCAGTTTTACCCTCACAGTGTAAACAAAGCCACTGGGAAGTTTGAAATGGGCGGAGCCCACTGCAGCTCAGCAAGGCCACTGTGGCCAGACTGCCTCTCTAGATTCCTCCTCTCTGGGCAGGGCATCTCTGAAAAAAAGACAGCAAGCCCAGTTAGGGGCTTATAGATAAACACCCGATCTCCCTGAGGCAGAGCACCTGGGGGAAGGGGTGGCTATGGGGGCAGCTTCAGCAGACTTAAACGTCCTTGCCTGATGGCTCTAAAGAGAGCAGCGGATCTCCCAGCACAACGCTCAAGCTCTGCTAAGGGTCAGATTGCCTCCTCAAGGGGGTCCCTGACCCCTGTGTAGCCTGACTGGGAGACACCTCCCAGTAGGGGTCAACAGACACCTCATACAGAGAGCTCTGACTGGCATCTGGCAGGTGCCTCTCTGGGATAAAGTTTCCAGAGGAAGGAACAGGCAGCAATCTTTGCTGTTCACCAGCCTCCGCTGGTGATACCCAGGAAAACAGGGTCTGGAGTGCACCTCCAGCAAACTCTAGCAGACCTGCAGCAGAGGGGTCTGACTGTTAGAAGGAAAACTAACAAACAGAAAGAAATAGCATTATCATCAACAAAAAGGACATCCACTCAGAGACCCCATCCGAAGGTCACCAACATGAAAGACCAAAAGTAGTTAAATCCACAAAAATCGGAAGAAACCAGCACAAAAAGGATGAAAATTCCAAAAACCAGAATGCCTCTTCTTCTCCAAATGGTCACAACATCTCGCAAGCAAGGGAAGAAAACTGGATGGAGAATGAGTTTGATGAATTGACAGAAGTAGACTTGAGAAGGTGGGTAATAACAAACTCCTCTGAGCTAAAGAAGCATGTTCTAACCCAACACAAGGAAGCTCAGAACCTTGAAAAAATGTAAGACGAATTGCTAACTAGAATAACCATTTTAGAGCAGAACATAAATAACCTGATGGAGCTGAAAAATACAGCACAAGAACTTTGTGAAGCATACACAAGTATCAATAGCTGAATCGATCAAGCAGAAGAAAGGATATCAGAGATTGAAGATCAACTTAATGAAATAAAGTGAGAAGACAAGATTAGAGAAAAAGAATGTAAAGGAATGAACAAAGCCTCCAAGAAATATGGGACTATGTGAAAAGACCAAATCTATGTTTGATTGGTGTACATGAAAGTGACAGGGAGAATGGAACCAAGTTGGAAAACACTCTTCAGGATATTATCCAGGAAAACTTCCCCAACCTAGCAAGACAGGGCAACATCCAAATTCATGAAATACAGAGAACACTACAAAAATACTCCTCAAGAAGAGCAACCCCAAGACACATAATCGTCAGACTCATCAAGGTTGAAATGAAGGAAAAAATGTTAAGGGCAGCCAGAGAGAAAAGTCTAGTTACCCACAAAGGGAAGCCCATCAGACTAACAACGGATCTCTCTGCAGAAGCCCTGCAAGCCAGAAGAGAGTGGGGGCCAATATTCACATTCTTAAAGCAAAGAATTTTCAACCCAGAATTTCATATCCAGCTAAACTAAGTTTCATAAGCAAAGGATAAGTAAAATCCTTTACAGACAAGCAAATGCTGAGAGATTTTGTCACCACCAGACCTGCCTTACAAGAGCTCCTGAAGGAAGCACTAAATATACAAAGGAACAACCAGTACCAGCCACTGCAAAAACATACCAAATTGTAAAGACCATCGACACTATGAAGAAACTGCATCAACTAATGGGCAAACTAACCAGCTAGCATCATAATGACAGAATCAAATTTACACATAACAATATTAACCTTAAATGTAAATGGGCTAAATGCCCTAATTAAAAGATGCAGACTGGCAAATTGGATAGAGTCAAGACCCATCAGTGTGCTGTATTCAGGAGACCCATCTCAAGTGCAAAGACACACAGAGGCTCAAAATAAAAGGATGGAGGAATATTTACCAAGAAAATGGAAAGCAAAAAATAGCAGGGGTTACAATCCTAGTCTCTGATAAAACAGACTTTAAACCAACAAAGATAAAAAAAGACAAAGAAGAGCATTACATAGTGGTAAAGGGATCGATGCAATAGGAAGAGCTAACTATCCTAAATATATATGCACCCAATACAGGAGCACCCATATTCATAAAGCAAGTTCTTAGAGACCTACAAAAAGACTTGGACTCCCAAGCAATAATAGTAGGAGATTTTAACACCCCACTGTCAATATTAGACAGATTAATGACACAGAAAATTAACAAAGATATTCAGGACTTGAACTCAGCTCTGGACCAAGCAGACCTAATAGACTTCTACAGAACTCTCCACCCCAAATCAACAGAATATACATTCTTTTCAGTACCACATCACACTTATTCTAAAATTGACCACATAATTGGAAATAAAACACTCCTCAGCAAATGCAAAAGAATGGAAATTATAACAAACAGTCCGCCAGACCACTGTGCAATCAAATTAGAACTCAGGATTAAGAAACTCACTCAAAACCACACAACTACATGGAAACTGAACAACCTGCTCCTAAATGACTATTGGATAAATAACAAAATTAAGACAGTGATAAAGATGTTCTTTGAAACCAATGAGAACAAAGACAAAACGTACCAGAATCCATGGGACACATTTAAAGCAGTGTTTAGAGGGAAATTTATAGCAGTGAATGCCCACAAGAAAAGCACAGAAGATCTAAAATCAACACCTTAACATCAACATTACAAGAACTAGAGAAGCAAGAGCAAACAAATTCAAAAGTTAGCAGAAGACAAGAAATAACTAAGATCAGAGCAGAATGGAGGGAGAGAGAGACACGAAAAACCTTTCAAAAAAATCAATGAGTCCAGGAGCTGGTTTTTTGAAAAGATTGACAAAGTAGATAGACTGCTAGCCAGGCTAATAAAGAAGAAAAGAGAGAAGAATCAAATAGATGCAATAAAAAATGATAAAGGGGATATCACCACTGTTCCCAAAGAAATACAAACTACGATCAGAGAATACTATAAACACCCCTACACAAATAAACTTAAAAATCTAGAAGAAATGGATAAATTCCTGGACACATACACACTCCCAAGACTAAACCAGGAAAAAGTTGAATCCCTGAATAGACCAATAACAGGCTCTGAAATTGAGAAAATAATTAATAGCTTACCAACCAAAAATTGTCCAGGACCAGATGGATTTACAGCCGAATTCTACCAGAGGTACAAAGAGGAGTTGGTACCATTCCTTCTGAAATTATTCTAAACAATAGAAATAGAAGGAATCCTACCTAACTCATTTTATGAGGCCAGCATCATCCTGATACCAAAACCTGGCAGACACACAACAAAAAAACAAAATTTCAGGTCAATATCCCTGATGAACATTAATGCGAAAATCCTCAGTAAAATACTGGCAAACCGAATCCAGCAGCACAACAAAAAGCTTATCCACCATGGTCAAGTCGGCTTCATCCCTGGGATGCAAGGCTGGTTCGACATACACAAATCTATCAATGTAACCCATCACCTAAACAGAACCAATGACAAAAACCACATGATTATCTCAATAGATGCAGAAAGGCCCTCAAGAAAATTCTACAGCCCTTCATGCTAAAAACTCTCAATAAATTAGGTACTGATGGGACGTATCTCAAAATAATAAGAGCTATTTATGACAAACCCACAGCCAATATCATACTGAATAGGAAAAAACGGGAAGCATTCCCTTTGAAAACCTGCACAAGTTTCTCTCTCACCACTCCTATTCAACATGGTATTGAAAGTTCTGGACAGGGCAATCAGGCAAGAGAAAAAAATAAAGTGTATTCACATAGGAAAAGAGGAAGTTAAATTGTCTGTATTTGCAGATGACATGATTGTATATTTAGAAAAACCCCATTGTCTCAGCCCAAAATCTCCTTAAGCTGATAAGCAACTTCAGCAAAGTCTCAGGATACAAAATCAATGTACAAAAATCACAAGCATTCTTATACACCAACAACAGACAAACAGAGAGCCAAATCGTGAGTGAATTCCCATTCACAATTATTAAAAAGAGAATAAAATACCTAGGTATACAACTTACAAGGGATGTGAAGGACCTCTTCAAGGAGAACTACAAACCACTTCTCAAGGAAATAAGAGAGGACACAAACCAATTGGAAAACATTCCATGCTCATGGATAAGAAGAATTAATATCATGAAAATGGCCATGCTACTCAAAGTAATTTATAGATTCAATGCTATCCCCATCAAGCTACCATGGAATTTCTTCACAGAATTGGAAAAAACTACTTTAAATTTCATATGGAACCAAAACAAAGCCCACATAGACAAGACAATCCTAAGCAAAAAGAACAAAGCTGGAGGCATCATGCTACCTGACTTCAAACTATACTACAAGGCTACAGTAACCAAAACAGCATGTTACTGGTACCAAAACAGATATATAGACCAATGGAACAGAACAGGGGCCTCAGAAATAATGCCACACATCTACAGTCATCTGGTCTTTGACAAACCTGACAAAAACAAGCAATGGGAAAAGGATTTCCTATTTAATAAATGGTGTTGGGAAAGCTGGCTAGCAACATGCAGAATGCTGAAACTGGATCCCTTCCTCACACATTATACCAAAATTAACTCAAGATGAGTTAAAGACTTAAATGTGAGACCTAAAACCATAAAAACCCTAGAAGAAAACCTAGGCAATACTATTCAGGACATAGGCAAGGGCATAGACTTCATGACTTAAAACACCAAAAGCAATGATAACAAAAGCCAAAATAGACAAGTGGAATCCAGTGAAACTAAGAGGTTCTGCACAGAAAAAAAAAAACTATCATAAGAGTGAACAGGCAACCTACAGAATGGGAGAAAATTTTTGCAATCTATCCATCTGACAAAGGGCTAATATCCAGAATCTACAAAGAACTTAAACAAATTTACCAGAAATAAACAAACGACCCTATCAAAAGATGGGCAAAGGATCTGAACAGACACTTCTCAAAAGGAGACATTTATGCAGCCAACAAACATATGACAAAAAAGCTCATTATTATTGGTCATTAGAGAAATGCAAGTCAAAACCACAATGAGATACCATCTCACGCCAGTTAGAATGGCGATCATTAAAAAGTCAGGAAACAACAGATGCTGCAGAGGATGTGGAGAAATAGGAATGTTCTTACACTGTTGGTGGGAGTGTAAACTAGTTCAACCATCGTGGAAGACAGTATGGGGATTCCTCAAGGATCTAGAACCAGAAATACCATTTGACTGAGCAATCCCATTACTGGGTGTATATCCAGAGGATTATAAATCATTCTACTATAAAGACATATGCACACGTGTGTTTATTGCGGAACTGTTCACAATAGCAAAGACTTGGAACCAACCCAAATGTCCATCAATGATAGGCTGGATAAAGAAAATGTAGCACATAGACACCATGGAATGCTGTGCAGCCATTAAAAAGGATGAGTTCATATTCTCTGCAGGGACGTGGATGAAGCTGGAAACTATCATTCTCAGCAAACTAACACAGAAACAGAAAAACAAACACCACATGTTCTCACTCATAAGTGGGAGGTGAATAATGAGAACACATGGACACAGGGAGAGGAACATCACACAGCAGGGCCTGTCAGGGGGTGTGGGGATAGGGGAGGGATAGCATTAGTAGAAATACCTAATGTAGATGACAGTTTGATGGGTGCAGCAAACCGCCATGGCATGTGTATACCTATGTAACAAACCTGCATGTTCTGCACATGTACCCCGAGCTTAAAATATAATTTTAAAAAAGACAGAAAAAAAGTGGGCAAAAGACAAAACATTTTATTTTTTTAACTGATAAATAAAATTGTACATATTTATAGGTTACATAGTAATGGTTTGATACATATAATGTGTAGTGATAAGATCAGAGTAGTTAGAAAATTTGTCATCTCAGGCATTTATAATTTCTTTATGTTGGGAACACTTGTTTATTCATTTTTTAGAGACTAGGTCTCACTCTGTTACCCAGGCTGGAGTGCAGTGGCGTGATCACAGCTCACTGTAACCTTGAACTCCTGGGCTCAGGCAGTCCTTCTGCCTCAGCTGCCTGAGTAGCTGGAACTACAGGTGTGCACCACCACACCTGGCTAATTTTTTTCAAAAAATGTTTTTAGAGACGGGGTCTCACAATATTGCTCAGAATGGTCTCAAACTCCTGGCCTCAAGGGATCCTCCTGCCTCTGCCTGCTGAGTTTCTGGGATTACAGGTGCAAACCACCATACTTGACTGCATTGGAAACATTCAATATCCTCTTTCTAGCTATTTGAAACTGTATAGTGTATTATTATTAACTATAGCCATCCTACCATCGTATAGAACACGAGAGCTTATTCCTCTTACCTAGCTGTAATTTTCTTGAGATATGAAAGTCCAGGGGAAGCAGCAGTGACCTATCCCCTGAAACAGAGGTGATGAGTAATACCAGAAGCAGAAGCTCCTGTGAGAACAGGTTCAAGATATCCTCTGACAGGACAGTTATGGACATAACCCCTGGACAAGGAGCACAGCAGGAAGAACTTTCAAAGGACCTGTGAGGATGCATGAAGTTAGCACCTCAAGGAAATTCATATGTTACCCAAGGACATTAAAGGAGAGTACATTCCTATCTGGGGACATGGACATTTGAAGTCTTTAAGTGTTTTTTTTAATGAAGGTGCAACCTTATTTTATACCTACAAAAAAATGTAGAATTTTCACACTTTTCTGCAAGAAGTAAAAATTATGCTAAGAGCTATCTTTATCATCTCTGCATTCTCACAACCTAAGGCTGAGCCCAACACATTACAAGCTTTAAAAGGTAAATATTGAACGAATAAATGGTAGTGATTATAATCACAATCTTTCTATGTTGTCATCAATGGAAAAATTTAAAACCTTAAACACAAGTCTGACATCTTTTATGATGTGGAATAATGGAGACCACTGGCCCATTCTAAAACATGAGAACGAATTCTTAACATTTCCCTAAAATAGAGAATCAACTCATTCACAGTTTAGTAGTTTACCATTTAAAGACTACGAATCTTTTTTACTTCATTATTTATTTTCTTCTATTACTGCAGTTTTAGATTATTATAAAAATGTAAATTCTTCTTTATATTTTTCTGCTCCAATTTCAGGCTTCTGTATCACCTAAATATTTTATTCCAAATTGTATACCAATTTGGACTATTATTTAGTGGTTGGTGTCATGAGAACGCCAATCTTCATGGTACCTTTTATTTGTTCATTTAACTAATCCCCCTGAGTCCATTGTAAATACAGTAGATAAAATCATGGCTAGCCTGAATAACATTGCTTCTGCACAGAAGATCATTTCTTCTTACCTATCAAGCTCGGAAAGCCACTACATTAGCCTTCATTTCAACTAAAATTTGTATCAAGGTAATACTTTTTAAAGCGGCGATAGGTAGGATATCTTGAGACTTCAGATCCTTGGTGAAATTTGGGTTGATGTATAAAAATGTATTTATGTATGCCCTTCTTGTAAACGTTATAGAGAAGCTCTTGAAATTGTTCTTTATTATCAATATTTTGGATATTTTGTTACAAATACAAGATGATAGAGGAGAAACAGATTGCAAAAGCTCTTGAAAAATCCAACAGCATTTATGTTTAAGCAATGAATAAACCTTTTGAAATAAGATACACTAAACCATTCATATTTACCATAAAAGTATGTTTTTTCAGGAATATAATTTTTGCTTTAATAGCTTATATTTATGTTTTATATAAATTCAGTTATTCACATTATATATAAGTAAAATTAAAGCACACAATTTAAATGAAATATATAAAGAAAAGATAATGTAAAGAATATGATATCTTCTGTCCACTAAACACTTCTATATACCATTATCAGGGACATGTCTCTGGATGACTGAGTTGTCTTTACAACTCAGTCAATTATAAAAAGTAGATTATAAAAATTTGAATGAGGATGGAGAAGGAGATGCTCTCTTTTTTTCTTTTCTTTTGAATAAGCATATCTTTCTCCACCCTCATTCAAAAGAAAAAGAACAAAACAGATGAAGAGAAAAATAACAAAAAATTTTCAAAGACTACCATAGTATGCTGGCTATGAATTCTCATGAGCTTCATTTGAAAATGCCTTAATCTCAGAAGTTTTAATTTCTTTTTTCTTGTTTTCAGGGAATATACTGAAACATTTAGAAGACAGAGATGTATTCTGAAATATATAAAAATATAATGAAGGAAATACAGAAATAATTGATTTATAAGGTAACAACAGAATTTTTAAAATGTATTTGGTATCTATGTACTACAAAACCATTTTTCTCTACAAGCAAAAAGCAACAATGAAGTTTTTTAAAGTCCTTTTTTTTTTTTTTTTCCGAGACGGAGTCTGCATATATTGCCCAGGCTGGAGTGTAGTGGCACAATCTCAGCTCACTGCAACCTCCGCCTCCTGGGTTCAAGCAATTCTCCTGCCTCAGCCTCTGGAGTAGCTGGGACTACAGGCGTGCGTCACCATGCCCGGCTAATTTTTTTGTATTTTTAGTAGAGACGGGGTTTCACCATATTGGCCAGGCTGTTCTCGAACTGACCTCAGGTGATCCATCTGCCTCAGCCCCCCAAAGTGCTGGGATTACAGGCATGAGTCATTGTGTCCTGCCTAAAGTTAATTTTTTTTACATTTAGTTTCTTTTCCTTTTTTTTTTTTTTTTTTTTTTTTTTTTTTGACACGGAATTTCACTCTTGTCGCCCAGGCTGGAGTGCAATGGTGCGATCTCAGCTCACTGCAACCTCCACCTCCCAGGTTCAAGCAATTCTCCTGCCTCAGCCTCCCAAGTAGCTGGGATTACAAGCCCCTGCCACCACACCCCGCTAATTGTTTGTATTTTTAGTAGAGACAAAGTCTCACTATGTTGGCCAGGCTGGTCTCGAACTCCTGACCTCAGGTGATCCATCTGCCTCAGCCTCCCAAACTGCTGGGATTACAGGCATGAGCCACTGCGCCCAGCCTACAGTTAGTTTCATTGTGTATATTTAAGGTATATAACATAATCTTTCTATATGTGTATATATAGAGAAAGGATTACTACCTCCAAGCAAAATTATTCTATCCATCACATCCCATAGTTACCTTCTTATATAATACATTACTAACTGTAGCCTTTGTGCTATACATTAGCTCTCTAGATTTATTCATCGTACATAACTACAAGTTTAAACCCTTTGAAGATATTGAATATATATATATGTATTAAATAGATAGATGCATCAGCGGATAGCTAGACACAATGGAATGTTATCCAGCCTCATAAAAGAAGGAGATACTGCCACACTGCCATTTGTGACATTACGGATGAACCTGGAAGGCATTATGGTAAATGGAAAGAGCCAGACAGAAAAAAAATAATAATTTTCTTTACTGGTGTCATAGTTTTCTGGTTTCTTCACCTATTTTACAGCGAAAATACAGAATACTTTTCTAAAGAAAAAAATAATGAGAAATTCCACAGCAGTAACAGACTTTATTCTTCTTGGATTGACAAGTGACCCACAGTGGCAGGTTGTACTTTTCATATTTCTTCTTGTTACCTACATGTTAAGTGTGACTGGGAACCTGATCATTATCACCCTCACCCTTTCAGATCCCCATCTGCAGACTCCCATGTATTTCTTCCTTCGGAACTTCTCATTCCTGGAAATTTCATTCACGTCTGTCTGCATTCCCAGATTCCTTGTCACTGTTGTGACAGGAAACAGAACCATTTCTTATAATGGGTGTGTGGCTCAGCTATTTTTTTTCATCTTCTTGGGGGTGACAGAATTTTACCTTCTGGCTGCCATGTCCTATGACCGCTGCATGGCCATCTGCAAACCTCTTCATTACACAATCATCATGAGCACCAGAGTGTGTACCCTTCTTGTCTTTAGCTCCTGGCTTGCAGGGTTTCTGATCATCTTTCCACCAGTAATGCTTCTGCTGCAGTTGGATTTCTGTGCCTCCAATGTAATTGATCATTTTATCTGTGACTCTTCTCCAATGCTGCAGCTCTCTTGCACAAACACTCACTTTCTAGAACTCATGGCATTTTTTTTAGCTGTGGTAACACTGATGGTCACCTTGACATTAGTTATTCTCTCCTACACAAACATCATCCGGACAATTCTGAAAATTCCTTCTATGAGTCAAAGGAAAAAAGCCTTTTCCACTTGCTCCTCCCATATGATAGTTGTCTCCATCTCTTACAGTAGCTGTATCTTCATGTACATTAAGACTTCTGCCAGAGAAAGGGTGACTTTAAGCAAAGGAGTAGCTGTGCTCAATACCTCAGTGGCTCCTCTCTTGAATCCCTTCATATACACACTGAGAAATAAGCAAGTGAAGCAAGCCTTCAAGAGCATGGTCCAGAAGATGATTTTTTCTTTAAATAAATGAATGTGATTATGTAAAAAATGTACCCCCAAAGGCAAAGCTGAATGAAAAACTCTCTACCCTTCTCTACATGAACTCTTTCTAAACACCTTATTTCACACTTTTAGTTAGACATAGTTACATATCATCAACACTTCTTAATGAAATTAGCCTAAAAACCAAGATTTAGCTCTTCTAAACTATATAGAAAGTGTTCGCTCTCTCACCTATGTAACTAAATTTTAGGTAAATTAATAATTACTATGGTTTATTGAGGGATAGCATTGGGAGATATACCTAAGGCTAGATGACGAGTTAGTGGGTGCAGCGCACCAGCATGGCACATGTATACATATGTAACTAACCTGCACAATGTGCACATGTACCTTAAAACTTAAAGTATAATAAAAAATAATAATAAAATAAAGGCAAAATAGATTCTTCATTCATAAAATAGAGGTAGCTATAAATTAAAAACTTACTAAAACCACATTCAACTATGAAATTAATTTTATATGAAATGTTTAAACTATGTATCTTAATTAATATATCTAAAATTTTTTCTTCAATGTCACCAGGAAAAACATGTTATAAAACTAAAAGCATCATTAAAATGTCTCCTTGTATTTGTCAATAAAATGTAGTTAAAATGTGTGTAAACATTAAATAAAAGTGTAAGACAAATGTGCAGAGATATTATCTCTGTTGTTTGAATTAAGGCTGTATTACTTTTTGTCTTAGCTTTCCTAGAAAAAAAGAGCAAAGCGTAATCAAAGAGTTGATATTATTTATCTTATATTTTCCTTTGATAATATTTCCTTAAAAATAGATTATTTAACAGAGAACTTTTCTGTTTCTGCCAATATTTTAAAAGAAAAACCATGATCTATGAAGGCAATTCATATTTGTGTTCAGATTCCTTATATTGATACAAAATTGCCTTACTACTGATATGATGAAGAAAATGACAAAGTAAGAGTCTACAATGGTGTGATACTGCCCTTTTATAAGGTATTCGGCGAATGATGACGTGGTTTATTAATGTCTTGGTTTTTCCTTTTCTAGTAAACCTATAATATTTTATTTATCTTTCCATTGTCTCCTTCACAGGTTTCACTCCCCTCACCTATATCCAAGAAAATGACTTTTAGAGGTATTTGAGAACTGTAAAAAATGTGTTCAAGCCCACTTCCTATAGTTAATGAGTCCCTCAACTCCCATGTATCATTAAGAAAATTGGTTGTTGAATCCAGCAGCACATCAAAAAGATAATTCACCACGATCAAGTGGGCTTTAAACCTGGATGCAAGGATGGTTTAACATACACGAATCAATAAATGTGATTCACCACATAAACAGAACTAAAAACAAAAACCATATGATCATCTCAATAGACACAGAAAAAATAGTCAATAAATCCAACATCCCTTTATGACAAAAACACTCAACAAACCACGCATTGAAGGAAAATAGCCCAAAATAATAACAGCCATCTGTGACAGACCCACAGCCAATATCATAATAAACTAGCAAAAGTTGTATGCATTCTTCCTGAGAACTGGAACAAGACAAGGATGTCCCCTCTCAGCACTCCTATTCAACATAGTACTGAAAGCCCTAGCCAGAGCAATCAGGCAAGAGAGAGAAATGAAAGGCATCCAAATAGGAAAAGAAGAAGTCAAATTATCTCCGTTTACTGAAAATATAATCCTGTACCTAAAAAACTTTAAAGGTTCCTCCAAAAAACTCCTAGGCCTGATAAACTACTTGAGTAAAGTTTGAGGATATAAAATCAACATAGAAAAGTCAGTAGCATTTCTATACACCAATAACATTCAAGCTGAGAACCAAATAAAAAACGCAATCTTGGCTGGGTGTGGTGGCTCATGCCCGAAATCTCAGCACTTTGGGAGGCCAAGCGGGGAGGATTGCTTGAGCCCAGAAGTTTAAGACCAGCCTTGGCAACATAGTGAGACTCTGTCTACACAAAAAAATTTAAAAATTAGCTAAGCATGGTAGCATACACCTGTGGTCCCAGCTACTCAAGAAGATGAGGTGGGAGAATTGCTTGGACCTTGGAGGTTGAGGCTGCAGTGAGCTCTCATCATGCCACTGCACTCCACCCTGGACAACAGAGTGAGACCCTGTCTCAAAAAAATAAATAAAAGTTGTCCAAACATGGTGGCTCACGCCTGTAATCCCAGCACTTTGAGAGGCTGAGGCTGGTGGATCACTTGAGGCCAGGAGTTCAAGACCAGCCTGGACAGCATAGCAAGACCCTATCTCTACTTAAAAATAAAAAAACAAGATGCCTGTAATTCCAGCACTTTGGGAGGCCAAGGCAGGCAAATTACTTGAGTACAAGAGTTCAAGACAAGTCTGAGCAACATGGTGAAACCCCAATCTCTACAAAAAATACAAAAATTAGCTGGTCACGCTGGCATGCACCTGTAGTCCCAGCTACTTAAGAGGCTGAGGTGGAAGAATCGCTTGAGTACAGGAGGTGGAGGCTACAGTGAGCCAAGATTGCACCACTGCACTCCAGCCTGGGCGATAGAGCGAAACTCTATCTCGATAAAATAAAACAAAATAAAAAAGTTATTTTAAAATTTCTAAAACAAGAAAAGAAAATTGGCTGTCTTGGGACAGTAGCTATGAATCTGACTAGATACAGGATAAATGGATTTTAGTTTGATTCCTTGATTTTCAGCTTTGTCTGATATACAGGTGAATGTAAAGAGCTCTACAGGTTTTCTAAGTCTGTGACAAATACTTTTTTTTATAGATGTGAGCGTCCTTCAGCACTTGTCTATTTCTTACCATTGTGTTTTATGGAATGGCATACTTTTTTTTAAAACAGATTATAATATAATATCATCACAAAATGAAAATTACATGATAATGATTACATGATTATTTCATTATGAATTCTTTATTGTGGCAATTTGTAAAGAAATGAGACATTGTAAGTTTGCTTTTATTAAGATTACAACAAGTAAGCAGAAATGCAAAAGTGAAAATCAGGAGTGTGGAAACAACATGCAAACGTTAACTAAGTGAAGATAAAGTATATATACATATACAACTACATGATAGATAGATAGATAAAGAGAGATAGAGGGAAAGAGAGGGAAAGAAGAGAAACTGGAAAATTAGAGAGTAAGGGAAAGTAAATTTTCTTAATCCACAAAAACTTATCTGAAGAAGTTGATTCTAATGTTCAATAAATGTAAACCCATGAAAATCACTATGAATCTTTCCTTAAGTAGTATTATTATGCTGTAAGGTGAAATATTATTCACTATTATTTATTATTTATTTTTATATAAATATTATTTTATACATAAAATAGGTCAGGTATTTAGAGGTTTTTGATTAAAAGTTTATACTCGTATTTGATGTTCATATTGTACTATCTCAAAAAATACTTTTATTTTAACAATGTGAAAAATTACATTTGTATAATGCTCACAGAAAATATATCTGGGTCATAACCAGTTTTAAGTTACATGGCAATTATTGTCACTTTATTTTTTTGAAGTTACAGAGATCATAAATAATTATTAAATTTCATTGGTAAAAAATCATCTTGGAAATTGATTCTAGCAAATAAATGGTTGTTAAAAATGAAAATGTCAATGTTACTGTAATTTGGAACTTCATTAATTCATATTCTCTTGGAACATTACTCATCTTAAATATTAAAAATGCTCTCAACAGAGTAATAATCATTCATAAACCACTGATTCTCTTTGGATCATAATAACAGGTAGTTATTGATAAATAAAAATGTTATAATCATTAATCATAAAAGTGATCATAAAATCTAAGTAAAATCATACAATCAGACAATTTTAGTAAATGCTTTATTTTAGTATATATATATATATATATATATATACACTCAGAAGGAAAGGTAAATTAAATTAATAGATAATTAGGATAGAAAAATAGGACACCAGCAATGTTTTATCTTACGTGACATTTCTGCGTTGATTTTAATTTGAATTTAATCAAGTACAGATGCTTGTATTTTGTTAAATTTCTTTAAGTAAGACTAGAGTAAATGTGTTAACATTTTTCTGATATTCCACATAATCATGTTTTTATAAAAGACAAACTACATTTATCATTTGTTCAAAAACAACATTATAACTCAGGAATGGTGGCGGTATTTTCGACTTTTCTGAAACTACTTTCTATATTATCTCTATGCCTTCATAAAAATTCAGTTATTTTCTTTGTGTCTAATTCACAAGATGCTAAGTGAAACCTTTAAATAGTCATTCAATAATTCTACCTTCAATCCCTCCTGAAATTGAAATCATTAATACAGATCACTCTATAAAAAGAGAGATAGAAATAGGTAAAAAGACAAGGGAGGAATTGCCTCAGAGCACAGAAAGGTTATCAATTTTGCCATCAGTAAGGATTTTAGTTTGATATACAAATGAGATTATTAACACTTTAAAATAGTGTAGAGAAAACTGGACAAAGCAGTCTGTTTACTCTCTTTCTATTGCCAAAAATACTAATAGGCAAAGCTCCACATGAAAAGGGTTACTATCCAGAATGATGTATTATTTAGTAATCAGGTAAATAAATTTATAGCACATTCAATTACTTAAATTTCCCTCGTGTTATTTTTATAAGGCATATTATTAAAAAGCATTAGATATATTTTTATTTTTGTTTTTTATTATTTTTAAATTGACATAAAATTGTATGCATTTATTGTGTATAACATGTTTTGAAGTATACATATTTGTGAGATGACTAAATCTAGTTAATTAACATATTCATTACCTCACATAGTTATTTTTTGTGGTGAGAACACTTTACATACACTCTCTTAGCACTTTTCTGGAGTTGCCATGTCATACAACAGATTTCTTGAACTTATTCCTTCTTTTTGACCAACAGCTACCCATCCAATCCATCTACTCCCAACCCCAACTACCCTAGATGCTGGTAACCACCATTCTGCTCTCTCCTTCTAGAGACCAGCCTGGCCAGCATGGTGAAACACCATCTCTACTGAAACTACAAAAATTAGCTGGTCATGGTGGCGATGGCAGGCACCTGCAGTCCCAGCTACTTGGCAGGCTGAGGTAGGAGAATCGCTTGAATCCAGGAGATGGAGGTTGCAGTGAGCCGAGATTGTGACATTGCACTCCAGCCTGGGTGACAAGAGTGAAACTCCATCTCAAAAAAAAAAAAAAAAAAAAAAAAAAAGATCTCATATACTCCATAATTACATATCCCTACTATGTACCCACAAAAATTAAAAATTAAAAAAGAACTAATGAGGTTGAAGACAGGCTATCTGAAAATACACAATTAGAAGAGAAAAGAGAATAAAAAGCAATGAAGCATGCCTACAAGATCTAGAAAATAACATCAAGAAGCCAAATCTAAGAGTTATGTTTTTTGACTTTTTAATAATAGTCATTCTGACTGGTGTGAGATGTTGTCTTATTACGGTTTTGGTTTGCAAGAAACTTATTTTTTCACATTTCTGAAGGCTAGCAATCTGAAATCAAGGTGACAGCAGGGTCGTGCTTCTGAAGGCTCTAGGGAAAAATCCTTCGTTCGCTTTTCCAGCTTTTGGTAGTAGAAAACAATTCTTGGCATTCCTTGGCTTGTAGCTCCATCATTATAATTTCTGCTCCTTCTTCACGTCTTTTCTCTGTGTGTCCATGCATCCTCTTCTAAGGATACCAATCATATTGGAGGGATAGAATTAGGAGAAATACCTAATGTAGATGACGGGTTGATGGGTGCAGCAAAACACCATGGCACGTGTATACCTATGTAACAAACCACTTTCTGCACATGTATCCCAAAATTTAAAGTATAATAAAAAAAAGAAAGATACTACAAAACTTCATTCTTTGTCCCCACATTCAGAGGATAAGTTGTTTTATTTTGTTTTGTTTTGTTTTTTAGTTAACAGCCGTTTTTTCTCCCTCAATAGGTTCTGATACTAGAAATAAAGTGATGTTTGAGTATATTATGATGTATTTCTTAAAGTATAAAAGAAATGCATGTAGTGTGGTGAGCAGTGGTGGTGATTTATTGGATTTTCATAGATATAATGCACACGTACGCAAATATTTTTGGGGAAAATATTTGTCATAAACCCTGTTGATAATTCTGGTTTTTTAATTGATTCTTTTAGTTCAGAAGATCAAATGAATAAACAGAGAGGATACTGGAATATCT
Organism: Homo sapiens; assembly: GCF_000001405.40. Taxonomy (NCBI): domain Eukaryota; kingdom Metazoa; phylum Chordata; class Mammalia; order Primates; family Hominidae; genus Homo; species Homo sapiens. The sequence continues at coordinate 55,372,251 of NC_000012.12, forward strand.
CACATGCACAAAACAATGGTAATGGGCGTTATATACAATACTCTGCCTTTAGAGATTTGACTGTAACAAAACAAAGTTTAAAATTAAAAGAAAAATGTAATATAAAACCTATTAAAAAAGAGAAGAAAGAAAATATGTGGAAAATAACTGTCATTCAATATACTCAAAAAATAAGAAAGAAAGAGGAAGGAAGGAGGGAAGGAAGGAGGGAAGGAGGAAAGGAGGGAAGGAGGGAAGCAGGGAGGGAGGGAGGGAAGGAAGGAAAGGGAAGGAAGGAAAGATCAATCTTCAGTAGGCCAGCTCAAAATATAAAGCCTACCTGTCTCCTGATTAAAGTCAAATTCCGTTATATGGAGCTTGTATTTTCTAGGAGCTTGTATTTTCTACTCCTAGAAAATGTTTTATTATTTAATTATTTATTTAATAAATAATTTTTTATTTATTATTTATAAAATAATATTTAAATATTTAAATAAAATTTATTATTTAATAAAATCATGTTTTATTATTTCATTTTCATTCTATTTCTGTATTTTGGGTTTTTTTGTTTGTTTGTTTTTTTGAGACCAAGTCTCACTCTCTCGCCCAGTCTGGAGTGGAGTCCAGTGGCACGATTTCGGCTCACTGCAACCTCCACCTCCCAGCAAGTGATTCCCCTGCCTCAGCCTCCTGAGTTACTAGGATTACAGGCATGTGCCACCATGCCTGAGTAATTTTTGTATTTTTATTAGAGACGGGGATTCACCAGGTTGGCCAGGCTGGTCTCAAACTCCTGACCTCAAGTGATCCACCCACCTCAGCCTCCTAAAGTGCTGGGATTACAGGCGTGAGCCACCGCGCATGGCCTGTTTCACTCTATTTCTGACAACAGTTTTCCCTCATAAAAATATCAAATTTATCAGTAAAACAAATTTTAAACAAAAAACTTATACACAACACTCACACAATGAGAAAGCTATTTCTGAAAATTCCCAAATCCACAAGAAAGTTTGAAAGATCACTTGGTAATTTCAATGCCATTTTTTAAATTATGTAGTCGTTAGGCCGGGTGCGACGGCTCACACTTGTAATCCCAGCACTTTGGGAGGCCGAGGTGGGCAGATCATCTGAGGTCGGGAATTGGAGAACAGGTTGGCCAACATGGTGAAAGCCCATCTCTACTAAAAATACAAAAAAAAATTAGCCAGGCTGGGTTGCACACACCTGTAATCCCAGCTACCCAGGAGGCTGAGGTAGGAGAATCGCTTGAACCCAGGAGGCGGAGGTTGCAGTGAGCCAAGATTGAGCCACTGCACTCCAGCCTGGGGGACAAAGTGAGACCCTGTCTCAAAAAGAAAAAAAAAAATGTAGTTGTTATTTTAAAGTAAAATATAAAGTCATGCAAAAAAGCAATCAAATTATGACAATAGTAGTAAAAGTAAAAGAAATCAAGAGTATAAGAAAGGCTTAAAAGAAAGATAAAATAACAAAGCTCTATAGATATATAAACTAATAAATTTATAATGGAAAGATAAGTCAAATCTATAAAAATTCATAAATCTGATGTTGCAGCAAATCAAAGCTGTGATTAGACTAAAAAACATTAAAATTCAGAATATTTTTAAATGACCAAAAATAATTTAGTGGAAATGTGGAAAACAAATAACAAGAGACCAAAATGTAGAACTTAAGTTTCACTTTAATAGAAAAAATAAGTGATACAAAGGTAGAGAAAACACAGATAACTACCTGGAAAAATGAATCATAAAAGCAAAATATAATTACAATTGTAGATAGAAAGACATATGTTAGAATAGATAGATAATAAATGGATGATAGACATAGATATACATAGAAATATCTTATGATCGTCTATGATAAGCTATGTATAATAATTAAACACAAAATTAAAGATAAATATTATTAAAATGAGTTGTAAAAGATAATTAAAAAGAAATATTGGTAACTTCCATTAAAATATAAACTGCAATCTTTTTAAATAGAGAACACGTCTTATTGTTTACATTAACAGAAAACATGAAACGATCCAAAAAAATTCTGACAAATATATTAAAGTGTAATGTTAAACAATTATTTGAAGGGTTGGGGGAAGTGGGAATGATTAATGGTACAAAATTTGTTAGAAAGAATAAATAGGATTTAGTATTTGATAGTACAACAGGGTGACTACAGTCAGTAATAATTTAATTGTACATTTTAAAATAACTCAAACAGTACAGTTGGATTGTTCATAATACAAAGGATAAATGCTTGAGGCTATGGATACCCCATTTACCCTGATATTATTATTACACATTGTATGCCTGTATTAACATATTTCATCCCATAAATGTATGCACGTACTATGTACCCACAAAAATTAGAAATTAAAATTTTTTAAAAACTATTATTTTTAAAAAATTAAAGACACAGTCATTCTAGAGTTGGCATTTATTTATTTAACAAATATAATTTAACATCACTTTGTACCAGATAGTGTGGTAGGCCTTGAAAATAGTATGTTGAACAAATTAGAGCCTCTACTTTAACTGAGCTTATATTCTACATGTGAAACAAATAATTAATAAATAATTTTTATTAATATAAGCCATAAAGACAAATTAATCCAGATAAAGAGAGAATAATGAGGCTGCTATATGAGAAATTAAATTTGAAAACTAAAACGCAATGGTTTAGTCAGATGGTTTAATTACATATATATGCCCCCTTTTATTATTGTGTCCAAACACATAAACTCACATATACTGAATAAAAGTGTCTCTTAAGAGAAAGGGGGCTCTTAAGACTAGAAGAATATTAACAATTATTCAGAGCAGAACATTTGGAATACAAAGGAAGAATTGCAGAGCAAGAAAAGGGCATGTGTAAAGACACACTAGTGAGAGAAAACATAGCACATTACAAGATATAAAACAGTTCTGTATAAGTTAAGGTATATATTTTAAAAATCTCAGACATAAGATTTAGTTGTGTTCCTAGAGTTATACAGAGCCAATCTTCTCTGCCTCCCAGGGTGGCTTTTTAAATATTTTAAAATAGCTGTTTTTTCTCAAGTTTTTTTCAGATTAATGCCAATTGATAAAAACTCAATATTCCCTGATAATAGCTTCATAGGATTTGAATTTTTAAATCTAGATACAAATTTAAGATCTAACATTTACTTGCTGTGTGACACTGAGATAGTCTACCTAGGATCTTTAAGTTAGTTTTCAACACAAGCTTTCTTTCCTAAATGAAAAAGGCTCCTTTCATTTACACTAGCATAGAGATTTGGAGATTTTTTTTTTTTTTGCTTTTTTTTTTTGCATCTAGATAATATACTTTATTTTTCTTTTTTTTATTATACTTTAAGTTTTGGGATACATGTGCAGAATGTACAGGTTTGTTACATAGGTATACACGTGCCATGGTGGTTTGATGCACCCATCAACCTGTCATCTACACTAGGTATTTCTTTTAATGCTATCCCTCCCCTAGCCCCACACCCCCGACAGGCCCTGCTGTGTGATGTTCCTCTCCCTGTGTCCATGTGTTCTCATTGTTCAACTCCCACTTATGAGTGAGAACATGTGGTGTTTGGTTTTCTGTTCCTGTGTTAGTTTGCTGAGAATGATGGTTTCCAGCTTCATCCATGTCCCTGCAAAAGACATGAACTCATCCTTTTTATGGCTGCATAGTATTCCATGGTGTATATGTGCCACATTTTCTTTATCCAGTCTATCATTGATGGGCATTTGGGTTATATTATTAAGCCTGAAAATAAACACTTTTTTTTTTTGAGACGGAATTTCGCTCCTGTTGCCCAGGCTGGAGTGCAACGGCACCATCTCGGCTCACTGCAACCTCCGCCTCCTGGATTCAAGCGATTTTCCTGCCTCAGCCTCCCAAGTAGCTGGGATTACAGGCATGCGCCACCACATTTGGCTAATTTTTTTTTTTTTTTTGTATTTAGTAGAGACAGGGTTTCACCATGTTAGTCAGGCTGGTCCTGACCTCAGGTGATCCACCCGCCTTGGGCTCCCAAAGTGCTAGGATTACAGGTGTGCGCCACTGCACCTGGCCCAATAAATACTTCTATTTAAGTTCACTATTATGTTTCTGGAAACATCACACACTTTAATAAAATAATAACATTATTTGGTTTTAAGAAATAAATCTATCTTAGAGATTTATAAAATCAAATAAATCACTATTGAAAGAGTCCACAAGTAATCTATATTCTGGGCACATTTATGCTAGAAAAACAGAGAGCTTTTAGATTTCCAAAATGAATTCATAGTGAAATATTTTTAGGGTGAGCAAAGTCAATTATTAAGTTAAAAGAATGAAGTAATTCCAGCAATGCATAAGAGAATATCATGGATACAGAAAATACCATTGAAAAGATAAAAATTCAGGAATAGATAAAATGGCTCTTCATGGGTGACTTCAGTTACTATCATAATATAAACATAAAATAAAGGGGTATGTCAAAAACCCAGCTAATTCAGGCTACAATTTTCAATAAGTTTGAGTGGCATTCTATTATAATACCTAAAACTATTATTTCATTTCAAAGTAGTAAAGATATACTTTTTTACTATATTCTTCAGGGCTTGTTTCACTTGCTTATTTCTTAAGGTATATATAAAAGAATTTAATACAGGTGCAACTGAAGTGCTGAGTATTGCTACTCCCTTGTTTAAAGCTACCCCTTCTTCTGCAGAAGATTTAATATACATGAAAATACAGCTGCCGTAAGAGATGGAAACAACAATCATATGGGAGGAACAGGTAGAAAAGGCCTTCTTCCTCTGCTGCGCAGAAGAAACCTTCAGAATAGATTTTATGATATTTGCGTAGGAGTACATTACCAGGACCAATGTAATCAGGAGTGTGACAGTGGCTAAAATAAAGCTTAACATTTCTATGACCTGTGTGTCTGTGCAGGAGAGTTTCAGAACAGGAGAATAGTCACAGAAAAAGTGGTCAATAATATTGGCATCACAGAATTCCAATCTCAGGCCCATGTAAGTCTAGGAAAGATCATTAACAAACCAGCCCACCAAGAGGCAACAGCCATCTGGTTGCAGACTCTGTTGCTCATAATGAATGCATAATGCAGGGGTTTGCAGATGGCCACATAACGGTCATAGGACATGGCAGCCAGCAGAAAAAACTCTGATACACCCAAAAAAAATGACAAAAAATAATTGTGTCACACAAGCATCATAGGAAATAGTTTTATCCATAGTCACTTTGCTTACTAGGAATCTAGGGATGCAGACAGATGTCAACAAGATTTCTAAAACAGAAAAATTCCGAAGGAAGAAATACATGGGTGTTTTGAGGTGAGAATCCAGCAAGGTGAGCAGGATAATGATTAGATTTCCAATGACACTCAATAAATACGTTAAAAATAGAAAAAGGAAAATTACAGTTTGCCAGTGTAAATCACCTGTCAGTCCTAGAAGAATGAAGGTTGTCACCATTGTATGGTTTCTCATAATTAAATTCCTTCTGAATTTCATCAGACCTGGAAAAAAATAAATAATATATGTTAAAAAGGCTTCACTGAGCATAGGTTTAAAAGTGATATGAAGAACCAAGTAACTCATTTGAGAAGCATACGCTTTTTTTCCTTCTATGATTTTAACAATTTTGCCTAGCGGTCAGAACCCCAGAATCTCTTTTCAGATCTTTTTTACTTTGAGAAAGAATGGTTTTATTGTTTCCTGTTATAAGTATCTGTACATTTTTCTAGTTTAAAGTTTTGTCTAAAATACCAAAATGTAACTCCTGCAATTTCACTCAATCCATAAGAAAAAATCTTTCAGATTAGATTGGTTAATCCCCCGATTGTTAACATAATCTCAGGTTTTTTTCAGCTAGATATAGCTTTTCTGCACACTTCTACATCTTAAAGAGCTAATTAGAACTGAATTCTTGTAATTAATCTTTTTAAAATTGCTCTTTTCTGATCATATATTTCTGCCTAGTCTTTGGGTTGTTTGGTGCAGCCAATGAAAACATTTTCAATGGAAAAAACATGCATGAATCTCAAAATTATGCAAATTTCAAAATTAGTATGTAAATATGAAGGTAAAATTTTCATGGAATTTGGAATTTATTTACTCAATTGTTCAGTAAGCTTCAACTTCATAAGTAGCTTTATCAATGTAAAAAATATTTTATATTCAATACTGTTAAAGTAGTCAATCCTTTACTAAGTATGAAGGGATATATACATCCTAGTCAAATTTTTAATAAAAATAACTATAAATCATGGCTCATGATGTTATTCTAATAGACAAACTTAGAGACTCTTTTAAATATATGTATTGAATCTTTAATCAAGAGTTACATAAATATTTTCTTTATTTTTCTAATTCTGAATTTAATGGGTTTAATCTTATGGAAACACATTCAGAATAACGTATGTATCAATTGTCTACAAAAAACAACAAAATACTGAAAATACTTACTTTGCATAAATTTCACAAGGTTTTTGTTTGCTGAGGCATTGTGAAATTTTTCTTTTGTATCATTAGCCAAAAATGTAATATTAAATGATTTTTCAAAAAAATATTTATTTCTTCCTAACCCATATTTTTTCTCTATTTCCTCACTCTCAACAGAGAGACCTGTTCATGCTAAAAGCCAGGGATATTTAAAAACATTTGTGGATCTTTCTCTTTGTCTCCCTCTCTTCCCTTCCTCCCTTCCTTCTTTCCTTCCTTCCTTCCCACCCTCCTTCCTTCCTTCTTTCTTTTCTTTTCCTCTCTCTCTCTCCAATCAGCTTACATGTGCCATTTCAAACACATTTTTCTGACTTTTCCTATAAACAAAATGAATAATGTCTGGATTCAGTCTAACTTAAAATCTGAAAATCTGATTTATTTATTAGAATCAAAATAGTATTTTTTTTTTCAGTTTGTCTTTTAAGAACTCTGGTCACTACTTAGAGTTTCTCATTCTCTCTGGAATAAAAAAGGTTTTGTCTCCACAGTGCCATAGATTTATCTTTGTTCTTTAATAATGAGTATGTTTACTCAGAACTGATAAAGAGCTCTGGGGATTCTTTTGAAGAAGATACCAATTGGCTATTTTCTTCCTTAACTCTAAAAAGAAAAACAAAATCGCAAAGCTAATTAAAAGTCTTGTTATGGCATCTGTAGAAAAACCGGAAATGTTGATGTTAAAACGAAGTCTAATTCCTGTAGTGGGATTAAAAGGTTGTATAAAGTACTTTAGGCTTTTCAAAGTGTCTGAGCTAATACTGGTCCAAAGAAAGAAGAGAACTGGAGCTTTTTCATTTTTGTTCCAAAAGAAGAATCAATCTATCTAATGACATCTGTCTAATGACAACATTGTCTGTAACTTCTAATTCACTAAATCTTCACAAATTGACTCATATGCTTTTTTGAGTCAAATATACTTATTTCTTATTCTCTCTATACAACTTCATAACATGAAATATGTATTATATACTAATATAACTACTAGGAAAGCAATGGCATAATTAGAAAGTAACGAATAATAGAGAAGTCATTAATAAAACCCCTTTAGAAGAAAACACATGTAGATTTTTGCCTACATGTCCCATAAACCAAGGAGAAGACTTATTATGACATGAGATGTAATGTAAAATTATAGGAACATAAGAAGAGCAAATCTTTTATATTTATTCTTTATTAAGAAAACCAAATTAAAATTATAAAAATTGATGAAAGAACAAATTGAATTGGTAACCAAGAAGTTAGAGAGATTTTCTATAAATGGTAATATCAGTAACTGATTCAAATATATAGGAATGGTAAGGTATTTTCCTTGCAGAGGATTGGTTATGTTTTAGAAAATATCTAAAATGTAAATATTAAATTAACAAGCAAAATGCTTCACTTTTTATGTATTAAATATATTCTCTTCACATGAACTTTGAAAACAGCAGAGGAAGATGGAATACTTATTAGAGTTCTATAAGGGAAGAAAATCTATTTTGAGGGATATGAAATAAAATAATTTTTAGAAAATATGAATGTATTAAATCATGTATGATTGTGTAATTGATGAAGAAATATGTGAAAGATTGTTGCTTTAATTTCTGGTGATACTCCTGAAGTTTTTTTGCAGAAAGCAAGGTAGTCAGTTTAGAAGAAAGTCAGAGGTGAAGCAGGGAGACATCTTACTTTTAAAGAAACAGATTACTGCAGAAACAGTGATGATTAGAGAGATTAAAATTCCAGAAAGAAAAAGAAAAATCTTCAGAGATAACATCAATATACATACAGGTGTTTTATTATTTTTTTACACTGGGATTTTTTTGTTATATATGACTTTTGGTCAGAAATGAGAATTTTGGCTTGACCCTGGTAGAGGGCTGCTTTCTTGGGTCAGATACATCAAGAAAATTATTGATAGTACAGCAGAGTAAGAGTGAAAAAATGGAAAAATTGATGGATTTTGAACAAATGGCCAATTGTACCATTAAAGACCCTTGCTCGATTTTAAAGCTGTGTAGATTTGGAAGCTAAATACTTAAGCAGATCCAGCAGGCTTCTTCTCAAGATGTTTGCCAAATTTTGAAGATGAATAGAACAGAAGTTTGAAGAGATAATTTCTGCATTTCTAAAATGCCTAGACTCTTAGTGGTAGGAAGACATATATCTCACCTCCCACCCCAAGGTAATAACTGGAATCTTGAAAGAATCACACACTAGGTATTGAATTAAGCCAAAGGTACATTGAATCTATCTATATAAATCCAGCTTCAGTTCAAAATCTAGCTTAATTCCAGTTCAGGTTAAGTTGTTCTCCAGAGCGGCCATTTTAGAGGCCTACCCCTAGATCTGTTCCTTGCTGAGAAAAAGAATTCAACGATATTTCTCCTATTTGCTTTTGAAAGAAGAGAAACATGGCTCTGTTCCGCCCAGCCCACAGGCAGGCAGACTTTAAGGTTATCTCCTTGTTCCCTGAACATCGCTGTCATCCTGTTCTTTTTTCAAGGTGCCCAGATTTCATATTATTTAAACAATTTGTGCAGTTAACGCAATCATCACAGGGTCCTGAGGCAACTTTCCTGAGGCGACTTTCATCCTCAGTTTACAAAGATGACGGGATTAAGAAATTAAAGTAAAGACAGGCATAGGAAATCACAAGAGTATTGATTGGGGAAGTGATAAGTGTCCATGAAATCTTCGCAATTTATGTTCAGAGATTGCAGTAAAGACAGGTGTAAGAAATTATAAAAGTATTAATTTGGGGAACTAATAAATGTCCATGAAATCTTCACAATTTATGTTCTTCTGCCATGGTTTCAGCCAGTCCCTCCGTTAGGGGTCCCTGACTTCCTGCAACACTCAAGGCAATAAAAAAATTGATAAAATAATTAAAATATTGAGATTGCAATAGATTTGAAATATATAGAGAGGGATCAATAAACTTAATAGAATTAAACAACATAATATCTAAATTGAAGAATGTAGTAAATCACTTTAATAGCTAAAAGTATACATTTGAAGATAGGCATGAATAATAAATATCCAAAATAAAGAGAGAAAATAAGAACATGGAGAATAAGATACATGTGGAACCGTGATCAAAAGTTCTAGTACATGTAATCTGGCATCCCAGAAGAAAAGTAGAAAGAATATAGGGGGGAGCAATATCCAAAACAATAAGTGCAAAGAGTGTCCTAAAGTGCTAAAAGACATCAATCCAAAGATTCAGGAAGCTCAGTGAAACCCCAGTGAAAAACCACACTCAGTGGTATCTTCATTGGTACCCACTGAAAATGAATATAGACAAAATCATTGTGAGTTCAAAACCCTAGATATGAGTTTTTGTATCTCTTCAGCTAGTAACTAAATGTACTTTTGCTAAAGTCTGAGCCAATGCCATAGGGGAAATATAATAACTAACAGAAGAATGATGCATAAATACCACATATGGTAGTCACTTCTGCTATTTATCAGTATCCCTTTCTTCTCAATTAAGATTCAGAAAGGAAAAGGGAAAATATCACCAGGGTAAATTTCACACCAGAAATATTTAATTCAGGTTGGAAAAGGTGAAAGGGAAAAAAAAAAGAAGGAACACTGAGGTCACCCTGAGATAAAAACTATCCCATGAAGTATGAGGTTTGAATAAAAGGAAGTATGATGTATAACTTCTGAGGATAGATCATAAGGGGCATTGATACTTTTGCCTTGGTCTCTTGAATTATCTGTTCTGGGGAAAGAGCTGGATTTCCAGAACTCAGGATCTAGAGTAGGTGCTAGATGGAACTGGTGCTCTTTTGAGGCTGTAATACTGCATGGATTCCTTCAGTTGCTAGGAACTCCTTGCAAAGCCCCCACAGATTTTATACTCCTATCTCTGAAAAGGGGGCACTGTCTGTTACTGCTTACACATCTGAAGGCCATGATGTAGCCAGTTCTTGTAATGAAGAAATAAGCTGATCCCTGGGGCTAATTGCCTCTATAAAGTCAACTGCCACTGTTAGGACCATCAGACAGATACTCAAGACTCATCCTCGCAACACACAAAAAGGGAAAAAATAAATTCACTTTCTCCCACTGCTGATTTTGCTGTAGTGCCTCTTATTGGCAGTGCATATTAGGAAATCTGATGGTGAAAGAGACTGTAGTTTGCAGTACTGATCCCTGATATTATAGAGCTAAATAATAAATGTTGGGTTTGGAGCTGAAAAATAATCAATAAAAATTAACATTTTCTGACATTTAGTATTATTTCTTTATATTCATTATCATAGATATGTCTATTTGACTATTTTAGGCCATGAAATGTAAGTAGAAATCCCGTGTCACTTATTAATGGCAGTATATAATGGCCTCTATGTTTATTTTCTACCTTATTTTCCTCCTGACAGTTGTTGATTATGTTTAAATTAGATTAACTTGGGTCCTGAATGGAGCAAGATGTAGAACAGAGTCTTTAGCTGGCCTTCACTTGACATGTGTTGGGAATGAGAAATAATTTTGTTTTAAGCCATTGAATTTTTTTTACATAAACCAGTAACATAGGTGTTTATTATCATTATCAAGCATGCACTGTACATAATTCTATGTGCTATACTTTTATCCAACTGACATTGCAATAGATTTGTTTATACCAGCATCACCATAAACACATGAGTAATGCATTGTGGTACAACATTACAGCGATGTTGTACCACATACAATGAATGTGGTTCAACAGTGATGATGGCGACATCCCTGGGTGACAGGAAAATTTCAGCTCCATTATAATATGGTTGGAACCATCATCGTACATGCAGTCCATCATTGACAAACATAGTTATGCAGTGCAGGACTTTTATACATACGTACACACACACACACACACACACACACAGAGTTATAGTTATCTATAGCTATTATATTTTTTAAAATATGTTTTTCTTTTTCTTTTCTTTTCTCTTTTTTTTGAGACAGAAACTCACTCCGTTGTCCAGGCTAGAATGCAGCAGTGAGATCTTGGCTCACTGCAGCCTCCGCCTTCTGGGTTCAAGCAATTCCCTTGCCTCAGCCACCTGAGTCAGCTGGGATTGAAGGCGTGCACCATCATGCCCAACTAAGTTTTGTATTTTTAGTAGAGACGGGATTTCATGTTGGCCAGGCTGGTCTTGAACTCCTGACCTCAGGGGGTTCGCCCACCTCGGCCTCCCAGAGTGCTGGGATTACAGGTGGGAGCCACCCCGCCCAGCCTTAAATGTTTCAACTTTAATTATAGAATAAAGGGTACATGTGCTGGTTTGTTACAGGGATAAGTTGTGTGACACTGATGCTCGGGGTCCCAACAATCCCGTCACACTGAGGTAAGCATACAACCCAACAGATGGTTCTTCAGCCCATGCTCTCCTCCCTGGCTACCGCAAATAGTGACTCCTAGTGTCTGTTTTTCTTTATGGCTAGTCAATTACCCCAACACCATTTTTTTGAACACAGAGTCCTGTCTACGTTGCTTATTTTTGTTGATTTTGTTGAAGATCAGATAGTTGTGGGTGAGCAACTTTATTTCTGGGTGATCTATTCAAGATTACTCGGTTGCTGGCAGAACCACATTTTCTGTGGCTGTAGAATTCATGGAAACTGTTTACTTCAAAGTCAGCAATGATACACTATAGCAAATTGGCAAGCAAGAGTGTTTTATAATATAACATAATCATGAGTGTCAATGCATCATCTTGGCCATATTGCATTGTTTAGAAGCAAGTCACAGGCCCTGCCCACACTTCTGGAGAAAAGGTTATACCAGGCCATGAACACCAAAAGTTGGGTACTATGGGGACTATTTTAAAGTCACCTGCTACACCTTGGAAAAAAGATATATTCCTAGAAGCTAGGTGGTGAAAGTAAACAAACAAAAAAGTATCTGAAACACTGAAATGGAAACATACTGAATATAACATGTAGAAAATATTAGAAAAAGAAATGTATTAATTTTTGGTTAGAAAATATTGTCCTTCTTTGAAAGTTCTCTTGAAATAAGACAATCAGCCTAAACCTCCAATATTTTTCCCTCATTCTAATAGATTCAGCTCCTATAGCAAGTCCAGGTAAATACAAACATATAATCCTAAAAATGAAAATAATTTGAATCTAGTGTCCATAACAAACATACTGTAAGAAAAAGATTAAAAATGAGAATGAATTCAGTAGTTGTAAACAATGTACTAGGTCTAAATTGTCTAATATAAACTTTGCTTTCTTTGTTTTCTAATGTGAAAGAAACAATACTTAAGGAGGTCTTTAGATAATCAATTTCATGAGTTTTATGTTTACATTATACTTTCTATTTTTACTGCATCTTAATGGTATGCCTATATACTAGTTATATTTTCCCTAAAATACTCCATCTATGTATTAACAAATAAAACACTTGTATAGCATATTTTATATCCTAGGGCCCTTTTCTCATTCTATTTTCTGCTTCTTCCCGTGCTTACATGTAATTGAATCATATTACCTTGGCAAACATTTATTTCAGGTTAAAATAAAACGATATTGACAATATAAACTTCAAAATAATTCTAATACTGTTATTTCCTCACTGCTCTTGTTTTCATTATACACCTCTCTAACATTTAATGATTAAAAATAATAATTTCCAAAGGATGCCTAATTAAAATTATTCAACATAACCTCAGTGTGCATTCATCACTACCATCTCTCTAGAGACATTTTAACTCTGTTTTACTGCAATAGTCTTCTGTGAATATTTTGAAGGAGAAAGAAAAAAGCTGCTATAAACAGCCTGTGTTGGAGAGAATACTTTAAAAAAACAAGTTTTCCTGCGGGAAGGTGAAGACAGGAAAAAAAATAATAACAACAGATCTTTTTTTTCACAAGAGTTACTGAGAGTCACTTAAAATATTACATTGGAAAGTTTTCCTAGTATCCAGGGTCAAGACATTGTTATTGTCATGGAAATTTTGGGGAGTAAAAAGAGATACTGAATGCCTAGCCTTTGGAGAGTCCTTTTACGTTTCAAGGATGTTCCATCTCAACCGTTTTCATTCATATGCCATGCAGCTCATCTTTTCCACTGGTGCTGTTTTTGGATTCTTTCTTGTGATTTGAACCCTCTCCTTCTGATGATCTAAGAACTTCACTTAATTGACAAGTAAAATATACAACTTCATCATCTCTGTTTACCAATTTCCCTGTAAGTATTGTCCTGATTCTAACAAGGATCCACATTTCTTTCCTTCCCTCCTTCCCTCCTTCCCTCCTTCCCTCTCCCTCCCTCCCTCCTTCCCTCCTTCCTTCCTTCCTTCCTCTTTTTGTTTTTGAGAGTCTCATTGATTGACACTCCAGGAAAGCTTGATCTTTCCTGGAGTGTCAGCAGAGTCTGCATCTGGTTTGGTCTGAAGCCCTCTGCTGTAACCAGATGCAAACTGCCCATTTTGCTACTGCCCTTTCCCACTTCCATGGCCTCTACCTTTACTACTAACAACAAACTAGTACCAGAGACACTGTTACTCAGTGAGTTTCAGACTTTCAGATTTTTGCCACTGATTGAGACACCCAGATTTTTCACTGTATTGTCAGCCCTTTCCTGGATCTCCAGCTGCAGGACCTTTTGGATACTTTACCGTAGTCTGGTTGTAGCACCTCTTAACAGCAACTGGGACTATGTCACCTATCGGGGCCTCTCCCACTTCTGGAAGAGAAAGCAGAATTTTCAGCTGGACTTGTTCCTACGTTGTGTTCCATCCCACTGTACATAACCGGGTTCATCTTTCCAAATTCCATCTCCTCATTATATAAGTATGTTATTATGTAAGAAAATTCAAGACAGAAACAAGTTGTGAAGCTTATGAAACGTTCCCAAAGTAAAGCATCAAACACTGATGCCAGTTAAAGTAAAGCCACATAACATTTGGGTTTTAGCAGTTAAACTGCTACCACGTGGAATTATATTATTGTAAGTGTATTTTCAATTACTTTCCTCATTTTTTGCATTTTTCTAATTAATTTATAACTGAGATGACTTAACTTTGGCTGTTAGAATATCTTCTATAGAATATTATTTAATTCAGAAAGAAAAAACTTTGGAAAGTTTTCAAAACTTTGAAAAATTCTGTTTGTATTTTAGGATTATAGAAATATTAGTTTGATGATCCTGATTTATTTATAAATTATTGATTCTCTAGACAAGACTGAAATTAAATATCTTGAAATATTATGGAAAATAACTTCTAAAAATGCTTCAAAATGTTTTATTTTCAGACAATCAGGACATGTGATCTTTGGTATAGCATCTTAATAACCGTAAAAGAATATTTTACATTTTAATGTTTTTTATGTTTCTAGTTTTCACGTACATACGATCAAATTTTTTTTTCTTTTTGAGATGGAGTCTTGCTGTGTCACCCAGGCTGAAGTGCAGTGGTGCAATCTTGGTTAACTGCAACCTCCGTCTCCTGGGTTCAAGCAATTCTCCTGCCTCAGCCTCCTGAGTAGCTGGGATTACAGGCACCTACCATCACGCCTGGCTAATTTTTATATTTTTACTAGAAACAGGGCTTCGCCATGTTGACCAGGCTGGTCTCGAACTCCTGGCTTCAAGTGATCTGTCTGCCTCAGCCTTCCATAGTGCTGAGATTACAGGTGTGAGCCACCGTACCTGGCCAATCAATTTTTTAAGAGAAAGTAAAACACATTTGGTAAGCACATTTTTCTTATACAGATGTATTTATTAAACCTATCAGGTAACACACTCAATTTTTTTTTATTATTATTATACTTTAAGTTTTAGGGTACATGTGCATAATGTGCAGGTTAGTTACATATGTATACATGTGCCATGCTGGTGTGCTGCACCCATTAACTCATCATTTAGCATTAGGTATATCTCCTAATGCTATCCCTCCCCCCTCCCCCCACCCCACAACAGTCCCCAGAGTGTGACGTTCCCCTTCCTGTGTCCATGTGTTCTCATTGTTCAATTCCCACCTATGAGTGAGAACATGCGGTGTTTGGTTTTTTGTCCTTGTGATAGTTTGCTGAGAATGATGATTTCCAATTTCATCCATGTCCCTACAAAGGACATGAACTCATCATTTTTTATGGCTGCATAGTATTCCATGGTGTATATGTGCCACATTTTCTTAATCCAGTCTATCATTGTTGGACATTTGGGTTGGTTCCAAGTCTTTGCTATTGTGAATAGTGCCACAATAAACATATGTGTGCATGTGTCTTTATAGCAGCATGATTTATAGTCCTTTGGGTATATACCCAGTAATGGGTTGGCTGGGTCAAATGGTATTTCTAGTTCTAGATTCCTGAGGAATCGCCACACTGACTTCCACAATGGTTGAACTAGTTTACAGTCCCACCAACAGTGTAAAAGTCTTCCTATTTCTCCACATCCTCTCCAGCGCCTGTTGTTTCCTGACTTTTTAATGATTGCCATTCTAACTGGTGTGAGATGGTATCTGATTGAACACACTCAATATTAAATAGCTGGTGACCAACAAGGCAAGTACCAGACATAGATTTTTTTTGTCATGGTTAATATATATTTTTATAATTCAGTATAACTTGGTTGGCTGATTTTTCTTTTGGTTTATTATAGGCCTTATATGTTTCCTAACCCAGCAGATGTGATAAAATGTAACCCAAACTCACTAAACCATTGTTTCTTGTTTTCCTTTATAGACTTGGTAGCAGTCAACAATAAGAAATGAAAAATTATGCTTCTGTGAAACAGTTCATTCTTCTGGGATTAACAGATGACCCAAAGCTAAATGTTTTGATTTTTATATTTCTATTTTTTACATATATACTGAGTATAACTGGGAACCTGACAATTATTACTCTCACTTTGATAGATGTGCACCTCAAAACACCCATGTACTTTTTCCTTAGGAATTTCTCTTTTCTAGAAATCTCATTCACAACAGTTTGTATTCCTAGGTTTCTGGTCAGCATCGTAACAGGGGATAAGACCATTTCTTATAATTCTTGCATGGCCCAGGTATTTTTCTTTATACTCCTTGGTTCAACAGAATTTTTCCTTTTGACTGCTATGTCCTATGATTGTTATGTTGCTATCTGTAAGCCACTGCACTACACAACAATAATGAACAGCAGAGTCTGCATCCAGCTTGTAATTAGCTCTTGGCTAGCTGGATTTCTCATTATCTTTCCACCTGTAATTATGGGGCTTCAACTGGATTTCTGTGACTCCAACATCATTGATCACTTTACCTGTGATTCCTCTCCTATGCTACTGATCTCCTGCACAGACACAGCGTTTCTAGAGTTCATGGGATTTTTCCTGGCCATATTCACTCTCATGGTAACCTTAACATTAGTGATTCTTTCCTATGTATTCATCCTTAAGACAATCCTGAGAATTCCTTCTGCTGAACAAAGGAAAAAGGCCTTTTCCACTTGTTCTTCACACATGATTGTTGTCTCCATTTCTTATGGAAGCTGCATTTTCATGTATGTCAAAACATCAGCAAAAGAAGGAGTGGCTTTGACCAAGGGTATAGCAGTGCTCAATACCTCTGTAGCCCCAGTGTTAAATCCTTTTACTTACTCCCTAAGGAACCAGTAGGTAAAACAGTCTTTTCAGAACTTGATCAAAAAATGTTTTTCAAATAAATTTTAGTCACAAAGAAATGTATAGCCTGAACTTGAAATGGAAACTTATCTGTAGCATAATACTGACATCGTTCTATATCTCCATCCAATACCATTAATATATTCAACTATTTTTCCTTCAGGATTTATTCTTCTATCCCATTTTGACCTCACTTGGCTTCATAACCCATTTATATTTACATGCTGTGAACATTTAGGTGTTGTTTTATTTGTTTTTTTGTTTGTTTGTTTTTTGTTGTTTGTTTTTTGAGATGGAGTCTCACACTATTGCATGGGCTGGAGTGCAATGGTGCCAACTCGGCTCACTGCAACCTCTGCCTCTTGGGTTCAAGTGATTCTCCTGCCTCAGCCTCCTGAGGAGCTGGGATTACAGGCTCCTGCCACCACGCCCAGCTAATTTTTTGTATTTTTAGTGGAGACAGGGTTTCACTATGTTGGCCAGGCTGCAGAATTTAGCTTTAAACAATCATTGAAAGACTTTCCCTTTGATCCTAAGAAAAAAATTTTTTTAAAAAGTTACCATCAAGCAATTCTGAAAAATTATTTATCCCAGTGCATTAGCACAATGTACTAAAATAAATTCTTCTGTGAGATGAAGTCTCCTACCTCTAGTATATTTATATTTCTCCTTTTATCTCCCTTGGTTTTTGCATTGTAAATAGTATATTTATATTTCTCCTTTTATCTCCCTTGGTTTTTGCATTGTAAATGTTTACATATGCTATTTGGTACATTGGCATTCTATATCTTCAATGTGAATTCCATTATTTAATAGTATAAAATATCTTGCTTAATGTCTTTTCTTGGCTCAAATTCCAAAATTACCTCAAGTCCGGTTCTGATATTTCTGTTAGGCCCCAGTACTCTCACCACAAATCACCCTTAATGAACTACACTGATGATAGCCCATTTCTTTCTGTTAATTTGCTGTTGCTGGGTCTGGAGTTTACCTGCAGCTCCTTTGAAAAGAATCTGGCTTGCCTTTCTCTCTTTTGATTTTACTAGCCCTTTAAACCCCTGTGCTTTCTATCTCCCAAGTGGTTCTTAAAATTTCTAGTATACTAATGATACCCTCGATTCTATTTATATGGTTACATTCTTTTAAAAAAGTTTTCATTTTTTTATGGACAATGGAGAGTATGGGATTAAGTATGTTTACACTGCCTGCGCCTTGATATAAACTTTTCCTATAAGAGGTTCTTACTTATACACTTGTAAGAATAAAAATTTGTTTAGTATTTATCAATTTGCTTTTTTCCTGTCTTCTTCCACAAGCAATGCATGAACACATGAAATCATTTAAGTTACTATTGGATCACTTTTCCTTAATATGTATTCAAATTCCTAGTTTTGGGGTTCTCTTTTCTCCCCCATTTAAAAAATGAGTTATTCAAACAAGTATTTGTAGAAAAAAGGTTACACGTAATCAAAAGCAGGTGAATGAAAACTAACACATTCAATCTGAGAGACAGTATGAATGTCTAAATGTCTAAAATAGCCATATGATATTTGCATCTGTGAATCTGAGCAAAATGATTTACTACATCTGCTTATAGGAAGTGTTTTGTTAAATTGATAATAAGTTTAGTTAGAATTGGTAAGAATACTGGACTCCTTTAGGCATCATAGAGCTAAATATTCCAGCTAATCAAAAATTACGTTTTTATTTCTCTTTGCTTTACAAAACTTTTTATTTTTCTGGTAGTTGCTTAGCAGATTCTATGCAAATCTGAATTTAATTTGCATCTATTGATGTGGATATGGCTCAAGCAATGTGATGCTCAATAAAGGCCAGATCCTTCAGTTCATGTGGGCAGAGAGAAAGGATATGCTGCATAATGTTTAACAACTAGTCCTCCAAAAAATAGAAACCTGATGTAATTATAAATTTTAGTGTCAATTCTATATACCCAGTTGATTTTCATGCAATATTTCATTGACTTTTACCAAACTTATGTTCATAAGCAATTTATTTTTGCAACTCAACCACAGTTTGACAAATGGAATTGTATTTCAATCTGTGAACTCTTTTTCTATAAGTTTAGTCATTAAATCTGAGAATTAATGAGTTTTGAATTATTATATTAATTTTAATTTCTTTAATTACAAGTTTTTATAATTTATGTTAGAATTATGTATGACCTTTTAAAATAACTGCTTGCCGAGAGTCCTAAAAACTAAATGTTATGGGATCTTTAGAGTGTCACTTTTCTGGCTGGAAACCTCTGTGGCTGGTGGCACTTTTGCCTGAGTTCTTGCCCCACGTCCAGGAAGAATGAGGTACGCATACAAGTGGAGGGTGAACAAGATGAAGAGAAGCTTTACTGAGTGACAGAACAGCTCAGAGGAGACCAGCAGCAGGCAGCTCCTCTCTGCAGACAGGTTGTCTCATCCAGAGTTCAGCTCTCAGCAGAGAGGAGGCCCTGAATTGGGTGGCTCCTCTCTGCACTCAGGTTGTCTAGTGGTCTCTGCAGCTCTCAGCAGAGTGAGTAGCTCCTCTCTTCAGCTGGTCCTCTAGTCATCTCCAGCTATCAGCAGAGAGGGTAGTTCCTCACTTCAACCAGTCCTCTGGCCATCCTCTCCATCCTCTGCCTCATTCTGGCTGAGCCCAGGGCTTTTATGGAACCCAGAGGAGAGGAAGTACATGCAGATTGGTCCATGGGCAGCCATCAGCAGCAGAAAAGTCACCACAAGTTCCCACTCCAGTCTGCGGTCTACAGGACTGGCAGCCCAGTGCCCAGCCTTCAGGCCATCCCTGGACTGAAGGTGGGGCCTTACAGGGGCACCACTCCCTTCCTCCCAGGAGCCTGCCTGCCTACAGTAGCTATCCATGGCACCCAGGCTGCTGGCACCAAGGGGCACCTGCAAGCCAGCACCCAGCCACCCTCACCACCCTCTCAGCTTCTCCTCCTGTGCTCCTCTGCACCCAAAGTCCAGAGGGGGCCCAGTCCACTGGGGACTGGCATGTCAGCCGTGCCCCAAGCGTGAGCACACCCGGCCAGACAGTGACAGTGCCTAGGTTGGCCCCAACACCACTCCGAGATCTGAGCGGGCATCGGGAGTGGGGAGAGGACAGCCAGCAGGAGCAGGCACCTCCGAGCCTGCAAAGGCAAAGGGAGCCTTCCCAGGTCAACCAAGAATGCAGGGTTTGCTGGGCCTGCAGCCCGGGTTTGGGCGGCTACAGCCGTGCTGAGGGACCGGGCGCCTGCCTGCTCCATGGAGCCAGAGTCCCAGGTCTACAGCCCGGGATTAGGCGGGCACCCGGGAAGCTCCTGCCCCAACTCGGAATGGACTGGGCTCTCACTTGTCCCGGACTCCCGCCGGCTCCACTGAGCGTGCACCTCCCTGTGGCACCTCCCTGCTGCAGCCGGCTTGAGGACAACAGCTGCTGCCATCATAAGCACTGTGGCATTATCCCGTATACTCAAAATTCAGAATAAAAAGGGCTATATTAGATCATCGACCAAAAAGTGTACCCATTCTACACCTCAATTTATTTTTTGTTCACTATACACATTAAACCAATTTTCCATCTTTCTTTATGTCATGCTACTACTAAATGTACACTTTAAAGTAGTATTTTGATCTGCAAGTAACCATCTTCCTATAATAATAATTTTATAACAACCTCTTTATTAAAGCATACTTAAAATGTTTACTCAAGTTCTTGGCTTTAATCGTGGCTAATTAAATATTATATACTTTGAACTTAAAGTAGCTGTTATACTTTAACAAATTTTTCTTCATATGCCATCTGTATTGTTTAATTATATACCTTTAATAATTTTGTTGTAACTTTATTTTACAACTTTGTCTCCCAAAGAAACATTAAACATCTTAAAATCTTTAAGAAGTGTCTAGCATCCTATGACCATTAAATAATCTTAGTTCTGATTTAATTCAAAATACTTATATGTTTGACGGAGCTCTTGGATTAAATATTGTCTAAATATGTCTCAAAATAACTAGTGTAAAAGGGATATTATGGATGTCTTTTTATATCAAAGCAGAGGATAATAAATTGACATCTGTGGGAAAATTGTTGGCTGGAGATATGAAGAAGGGATTGTGAAATTTAACAAATAATGTAGCCTTCTAACAGTACTCCAGAAGATGTAAAAACTATGCAAGCAGCTAGCTTTATCATTACTGTGTTCATATAACCCAAGAATGAGCTCAATACATAATAAATATTTTAAAAGTTATCTAATAAGCAGTAATGATTTTTATTATAATCATATTTTCTACATTTTCAATCAGTGGGAAAATAAAAAACCTTAAAGACAATCTGGACATTTGATTCAGTGTAATGAGAACCTTGGCCTAAGTCTAGAACATCACAATGAATTTTTGACATTTTCTTTAAGATTAAAGATAAACCTACTTGTTCACAGCATAGTCTGTCATTTAGAGACTGCCAATATCTAGTACTCCACTATTAAGTTTCTTCTCATTGTAAAGTTATAAGATATTTATATATCCGTAAATCTTCCTATATCTTCTGCTTTGTTTTTTGGCCACTATTACCTAAATATTCTATTATAAAATGTGTGCTAATTCAGACTATTGCTTAGCACCCAGTGTCTTCAGAACACTAATCCCCTTTTGTTTATTCATTCAATAAATCCCAAGGTAGTAATACTATTATTCAAGCCAGCCATTATTCTGTTTCCTCCATTCAGAGGAATATTAATAGGAACGTTGATAGAATAAGTTAGCCATTATTGTTTCCTCCATTTAGAGGAATATTAATAGGAATATAAGCAAGCCATTATTCTGTTTCCTCCATTTAGAGGAAACAGAGCTTGAATAATAAGCCTTGCAGGCTATCCTCCATCTAGAGGAAACAGAATAATGGCTAGCTTGAATAATTACCACCCCCAAAATATGATCTTGCATATCAGGCTTGGGGAGATGTTACCTTCACCTCTACTTCAACTATAATTTATTTCATTTTAAATGCCAGGATAATACTTCCTTAAGTAGAAATAGGTAGAGTATCCAATGACTTCAGACCTTTAGAGAAATTTGACTGGATGTACAGAAATGGATAAATATATACCCTTCTTGTGAACGTAGTAGAGGTACTCCTGGGATTTTTATTTTCTACCCATATGTTGAATATTTGGTTACAAATACAAGGAAAAAGAAGCAGAACAATATGCAGAGGTTTTTTGAAAAATCTTGATGCTTTAATTTAAGTAAATTTAAAAAGCAACTAGAAATGACATTTTGACTAATCCAGTCATGTTTACCTTAAAAGTGTGTATTCTTAATTGTTATTTCAGGAATATAATTTTTCTGCTTAATAGTATATGCTTACGCTTTATACAAGTAATTTCAATTATGTACTATATTAAGTATTAGCACATTTAAACCACACAATTACGACATTTCATAATATCAAAATATGTAAATAGCAGGGAAATTTAAAAACCATTGCATTCCTATAGTTTGAAGCAACAAGTTTCAAGTTTCTTCCTTATAGCATGGGTTGCGACTCATGGTAGTGAATGACATTTTGTGTTCTTGTAGAGATATCCTATGCAATTGCTTGCAATATAATCAATATCAGAAAAACATATAATTATTTTTGCACAAGATTCAAAAGAATTTGATGCATTTTAACACAGTAGATATACCTTATGTATTTAGTTTTACACAGTGTGAATTTTACATGTAATGAAGGTCAGTATCCATAATATAAAGGCAAAAGACCAAAAGAAACTGCAACTCTGGGTTCACAAAGAACATGGATAATAAGAAGGGCAAATATCTCCCTCTTAGGAATCTTGTAGGTAAAAATTGGTGGTAAATATATTCACATAATAAATTATCTAATCCTGAGAAAATATTCCATTTGAAAGTGCTAAATCTCTGAAGAATACTGGAACCAGATGAGACTTTACAAACTCAGAAAAGCTGTCTGGACCTTTAAGTACTTTAAAAAATTGTGCTAAGTGGCAGCACATTTAAGCTTTTGTGGAAAATAACTAAACTTGAACAAAGAAGTAAAGCATCATAACATCAAGGATGATATCAGAAGAAAAAAAGTGAAGGAAAAACAATCTTGCCTCATCTAAAATGTATCCTGAGTATCGAACTAATTTATCACCACTGGAGAAAAGAATACACAGTAATGTGAAGACATGCTACATTGGTCTAGAAATAGGATTAATAAAACACTTGCAGCTTACTAAAATACAGTTAGAATTAAATAAAAGTACTACTTTACATAATGAACAGCAGCTTTATGACAGGTAGCTGGTAAATAAAAACATATTCAAGAAGAGTACATTTTACAATCTTACAGGAGATTATCATAGATGATTAACTTAACTAGAATGTCTTTCATTACAACATTACAATTAGAGTAAAAACCACTTCCGGACATTAAATATCTCTGCAAACCATTATTAGGGACAGACTACTCTACCAGACTAATGAGTGTGCTGACTTTTTTAACTCTAAAATTTTAAATAGGGAAGGTGAAATGCATGCTTATTCAAAAGTTTTCAAAAATTAAAAATATCAAGGGAAAGCAAAATAAAATATTAAAAGGTATTGAAATGAGTATCAAAGTATTGAAAAATGCTGGTAAATGAACTCTCAGAATGTTATTTGAAAAGTTTCAATCTAAGAGGTTTAATTTTATTTTCAGGAAGTATGTTGAACATTCAGAAGAGAGATATTTGTATTGTAATATATGAGAATGTAATGAAAGAAATATACAAGTAATGAATTAATATGTGACATAATAAATAACAAAATTGTTAAAAAATATTGTGGGTCTATGTACCACAAAATCATTTTATTGTAAAAGAAAAGATAACAATGATGTTCTTAAAATGTGTGTTTGTGTGCGTGTGTGTTTAAGTTTCTTTACTGGTGTTATAGCTTTCTTATTTCTTCATTTATTTTATAGCTAAAATAAAGAGTAACATAATAAAGAAAGAAAGAAATAAGTAATAAGAAATTGCAAGGCAGTAATAGAATTTATTCTTCTTGGATTGACAAGTGACCCACAGTGGCAGGTTGTGCTTTTCATATTTCTTGCTACCTACATGCTAAGTGGGACTGGGAATCTGATCTTTATCACTCTCTCACCCTTTCAGATCCCCATCTGCAGACTCCCATGCATTTCTTCCTTCAGAACTTCTCATTTCTGGAAATATCATTCATGTCTGTCTGCATTCCCAGATTCCTTGTCACCATCGTGACTGGAGACATAACCATTTCTATAATGGTTGTGTGTCTCAGCTATTTTTTTCATCTTGGGGGTGACCAAATTTTACCTTCTGGCTGCTATGTCCTTTGACTGCTACATGATTCTAAAGAGTTTTCTATAAATGAAGAGATAAATTATTTATATGTTAGTTTTCCTTTATTGCCAAACCTGTGATACTGCCTTCATCTTTTCATTGTCTCTTTCACAGTTTCAACATCTTCCCCAACCCAAGCAAATGACTTTTGGAGGCCTTTGAGAACTGCCAAAAAACGAGTTCAGGCTTATTATCTTTAGTTATTGAGTCCCTCAAAATCAATGTGTCATTAATAAAATTAATTATCAGGACTCAGTAGCTGTGACTCTGACTAGGTATAAGGTATTTGGATTTGATATTGGCACCTTGATTTTCAGCCTGATCTGATTATCTTGATTAATGTAAATGACTGTAGAAAATCTAATTCCCTGGCAAATAGTTTTCATTATTGTTCAAAGAAGAGGCTGTCTTTAACAATCACGTACTTCTTACCATTGTGTTTTCATGGAATGACTCACATGTTTTTTCAAATTCTAACATAATACCAACAGAAAACTAAAATTATGATTACTTTGTTTACAAGTTCCTTATTATAACACACAATTTACAAAGAAAATGAAACAATGCAAGTCTTTTTGTAAGATTATAATACATATGTATTATATATGATATATACCATATATACACATATGTATATAGGTATTATATATGATATATACGTTCTATATTCATATATTTATATATCATTATATATGTATATGTCCACATATGTCTATATGTATGTATAATGTATATATCATACATAATAGTTATAGATATCTATAGATAGATATAGATACTAATAGATATCAGGCAAATAACAGAGTTAGGAAAACTCTATCCTCTTAGTCAAAATTTACCTGATGAAGTTCATTATAATAGTTAATACGTGGAAATAAATGAAAATCAGTATAAATCTTTCCAGAGCAAAACTTTTAGAAAATGTATTCATTTCCAAGTGCTACTAAAGCAAAGTACTAGAAATCGGCTGGCTTTAGACATTTTATTTTAATGTGTTTCATGGTATATTTCCTTGAATTTATTCTACCTGGAATTCATTAAGCTTCTTGGGTATGTAGATTCACATCTTTCCTCAAATTTGGAAAGTTTAAAAATTATTTCTTCAAATACTCTTTTTGACCCTTTCTCTCTTTCTCTTTTACTTCTGGGTCTTCCATAATGCAAATTTTAGTACACTTGATGGTGTTCCAGAAGTCTCATTGGCTCTGTTCATTTTTCATTATTCTTTTTTAAACACACAAAACATGCCTTTCTATTTCTTTTAGAGAAAAAGCTTTTTGGAAAGCCTGTATCACTGAGCAAAGTCAGAGAAAATATGAAACAGTTGACATTTAAATGCAAAAAAAAAATTTCAAAATATGCCAACTGCATTTTCTCATACTCACCAAGAGTGGCTTTTGGGTTGAGAAATAGATGGTTTAATAACAAAGGGGAATCTGGAAAAAATCTTCAAAATTTTAATAATTTAGCAGCTGTACAAAAATGAATTAGTTTGATAAAAGGTGTAAAACTGATCCTTTTCTAGCTAAAACATTAGGTTTCTCTTATAGATAATGAGAAAACTAATTAGATTTAAACTATTACTTGAATCTATCAAGGACTAACATAAGTGAGTATATTTCTTCTTTTTTTCATGTTGTTAATTTATCTTCCTAAATCATAGAACTCTTGACAGCTACTCTTTTTGAAATGTACCATGAAGGCATTTTGTCAATTCTTTTTTTTTTTTTTTTTTGGTTTTTATTATCAATGCTTGTATTGTTTTCTCTCTCTGAGTCTTTTTGTTTTTTGGTGTGCATTACATTTACATAAACTTACTGAAATTGACACCATCATCATTACTTCCTTTTCTGAGAGCACCGTTATTTAGCATGGATGTTTTCTTAATCCTGAGGAGTCATATCCTGTATCTTTTGCATGTTATCTGGTATACTTGCTCTAATCAAAGATGATGAAAAAAATGTCCTAGAACAATCTTAGCAGATAAATTGAGAAATTGCCTGAGCATATTTTGTGATGTTAACATGTGGCCAGCCAGGTAGCTAGCTGCTTGATCAAGAGCATCACTAGCATCCTAGCCCCTCTGTTTGAAGGAACTCCTTATATTTTGTGCAGGGAATCACAGGGTCCCCACAGCATGATTTTCAACTGGTCACCAGATATCCTTGAAGCATCAAATATGCCCATTTGAATTTGAAATTTAAAGACGATCCCATCAAGACCATGAAAATAACTTTGTGTTGTATGACAGAAAAGTACCTCACAATATTCAATAGCCAAGTACCTAGCCAGGAACCTTTGACACCAAATTTTACATGAAATTGTCTATAAAAATGAGAGAGATGTCACAAGAGAACAAAACTTCATGGATGCAGTTTAAACTTCAACGTAGATCTCCGAGTCTTTTTAAATTTGTCACAGCTTAGTTCAGAAGCATACAAATACCTGCTTCAGGAAGGAGTTAGACAGCATTTTCTTAGATAAACCTCAGCTGGTATGACTTATTGCAGGGATGCCAGACCCAGGATGCATGACCCCATTTCAATGTCATCTTTACCCTTCCTAATATCTCACACTTTGACTCTGTTCATTAAATCAGATTACTCTCATGGGTCACTCAAAATTTGTCAAGATGGTTTCTCTGTTTCTAGTACTGGTAGCAACAGATCATGCTGAGCAATTCATATTCGGGATGTTGATTATGTACTTCACTAAAATTCCTGTTTTGTTGGCATAGACCACTACAGGTACCTGTATCAATCAAAATGGACTAATTCAGAATAATTGATGCATGCATGCAGAGTTTGGCCCATAGAACTAAAACAAACACTGGATTGATTGACTATATTTAAAAAGTCCGATTGGAACTTTTATACTGTGATCTTGTTCATTAATAAAGGTCGGCATTGTGTTTATGTCAACTTCAATCAGAAAGGAGCTAAGAGGATCAGTTTTGCCTACAGCAAGAGGAGATGGAGTTCAATTAATTTCCCATAAATATAGTATTTTCTGTGTTTTTGTTTGTTTTTGCTATGAAAAGAAATCAAGGCTCATTTTTAAAATTGAAATAACTCAAAATCTTTTCTTTTCTTTTTTTTTTTTTGTTTTTCTGTTTTTCGTTTTTTTGAGATGGAGTCTTGCTCTATTGCCCAGGCTGGAGTGCAATGGTGTGATCTGGGCTCACTGTAAGCTCCGCCTCCTGAGTTCACACCATTCTCCTGCCTCAGCCTCCGGAGTAGCTGGGATTACAGGCACACACCACCACGCCCGGCTAATTTTTCTTTTTTAGTAGAGACGGAGTTTCACTATGTTGGTCAGGCTGGTCTCGAACTCCTGACCTCGTGATCCGCCCACCTCGGCCCCCTAAAGTGCTGGGATTACAGGCGTGAGCCACCGTGCCCGGCCGAAAGTCTGTTTTCTAATGACAATATTAGCATTTGTATTTTATGGCCTTTAAGTTTTCAAAATTACTATGTATTCTGATAACTTGTTCAATATTCCACCAACAGAACAAAGCAAGCAAAATATTTATTATTATTTAACTATAAAAAACCTTTCTGTACATTAAGTAATCAAAACTATACAGCAGAGAATTATCAAAGATAAAACTTAAATGTTTTTTAAAGTAATGAAACACAAATTAATCTTTTCACTACTAAATAAATTCTGTCATGAACTTGCAATTCTAATGGATATTCTGCCACTTCTTGTTGAATGGGTCTTAAAGTTCTTGATGCAGAATAAGAGCAATCCTAGTGTATTTGAAATCAAATCACGTATTGACATTCACTCTTCTTTTTATCTACAGACCTATCAGAATTCAGAACTAAGCCATGCCAAATATGACATCAATTAGAGAATTCATTCTTCTGGGATTTACAGATAACCCAGAGTTACAAGTTGTGATATTCTTCTTTATGTTGATCACATACTTATTGAGTGTAAGTGGAAACATGATCATCATTATGTTAACATTGTCAAATATTCATTTGAAAACTCCTATGTATTTCTTCCTCAGGAATTTCTCTTTCTTAGAAATTTCATTTACGACAGTCTTCATTCCTAGATTTCTGATCAACATTGCTACAGGAGACACAACCATTTCCTATAATGCTTCCATGGCCCAAGTATTTTTTTTAATTCTTTTGGGATCAACAGAATTTTTTCTTCTGGCTGTCATGTCTTATGATCGCTATGTGGCTATCTGCAAACCTCTACATTATACAACCATCATGAGTAACAAAGTCTGTAATTGGCTTGTAATCAGCTCCTGGCTGGCTGGTTTTCTCATTATTTTTCCCCCCGTGATTATGGGCCTCCAACTGGATTTTTGTGACTCCAGCACTATTGACCATTTCATCTGTGATTCTTCCCCTATGCTGCTGATTGCTTGCACAGACACACAGTTTCTAGAGCTTATGGCATTTTTGCTAGCAGTATTCACACTCATGGTAACTTTGGCCTTGGTGGTTCTCTCCTACACACTCATCCTTAAAACAATTCTGAAGATTCCCTCTGCCCAGCAAAGGAAAAAGGCTTTTTCAACTTGTTCCTCCCATATGATTGTGGTTTCTGTTTCTTATGGGAGTTGCATTTTTATGTGTGTAAAAACATCTGCAAAAGAAGGTATGGCTTTGAGCAAAGGTGTAGCAGTGCTTAATACCTCTGTTGCTCCTATGTTGAATCCCTTTATTTATACCTTAAGAAACCAGCAGGTGAAACAGGCCCTTAGGGAATTCACCAAAAAAATATTATCATTGAACAAGCAATAATGATAACTAAATCTGTGGCTGAAACACAAATAAGCCAATAAAAACACAAAGCATCTTTCTACGTAATAGGTATACACAAAGGAACACACATGCAAAGATTCACACCATTGTAGAGCTTACTTCTAGTGATAAAACACACATATGGAACAATCAATATAATAGAAAATTACCTAGTACTTTAGTAAGGAACAAATGCTATTTAAAAAAAATAGAAGAAATATGGTATAGAAAGTAATATGGCAGGTAGAATTCAAATTAAATAGCTTGGTCAAAGATTTCATGGTCATCTTAAAGCTTCTTTTATTTTTTTTCTATATTCACACACGTTTTTCTGTATTCTTTATATATATTTTTTATTATACTTTAAGTTCTAGGGTACATGTGCACAACGTGCAGGTTTGTTCTTAATCTTTTCCTTTTTTTCTGTAATTTTTCCATCTTATCATATCTGTTTTATATTTATCAAGCAGATCAAGATTGTGAGGTGTGACTATTAAATAAATATTGGTCTTTGCTTTAAAAAGATATATAGCAAGCTCTAAATAGCCTATTCCAATCCTACCTGAAAATAAATCATTTTATAAAAAATTAACAGCAACTCACAATTAATGAATGGATTAGCACCTAATTTCAACGTTGAGAAAACTGTGCTTTGTAATCCCGTATTCTATTGAACCTGATATTCAGAATCTGTACATGGAAAAACAGCTGAGAAACAATAATCTTCTGTGAAAATGGGCTATTTCAAGCCATCCAAGTTTTGCCAACTCTGCTTCATCAGAAAGATTTATCTGTGTCTTTCCAGATTTCACATGTTCTGTTAAGCAAAAATGGAAGTGTGAGAGACTGGAGCTGTTGGGGAGAACAATCTCCAATAAAGTGCTGCAAGCAGAGATATTAGAAATGATTGCTTTTACACTAAATGCAGTGACTTTACATTTTGTGATATATTATCATAACAATCCACCATCAAATAGATGAAGGTAGGAGGTCATAAAAATGCAATCCATGAAGTTGCTGAAAATTAATGCAGGTTTGATATACACCCCTTTACCATGCACATAATGATCAGAGAACACAATTTTATTGATGCCCAAATAAATAAGAATAGTTCAAAGACAAATCATACACCTATGCAGTTTCCAAATAGTCAGCATAAATAGTGCACACAATTTAATTAGTAGGAATAAAAATATTTTAAATAAATATGAAATTCAGAGCCTTGAAAATTAAAAATTTAATTTGAGGAAAACCAAATATATATATATTTAATTTTATAAATTAATATAAAATAGGAAGATTAGTACATAAACTAATTACTTATAAATTCTAATCTTATATAAGATATGAGACTAGACCTTAAATTTATAAGGTTATAATTTTTTAATACTAATAAAACCATAAAATTGTGTAATTATGTGATACTAAGGTAATAATGGTACTATGTGCAATTACATAAAGACATTACTTTTAAGGAAAAGTATTAACTAGAAAATATTTATAAAGCAGCAAATAAACTGAATATATATTTTAACTATGAAACAAATTACCAAAAGATACAAAGTTCTAAGAGCTATGCCTCTGAAACATTTCCAAGATTTTAATATTATTTTATTCTAAATTTTAGAAGTATAAAACATTCATTTAAAGTATATATTCTTGTAAATAGTTGTAGACTATAAAATGGTTGAAAAAATATTCACTTAGTAATATACAAAATATCCATAACATATATGCATGTTCCCTGTATAAAATCTTACTGTAGTGGATCAATACTATAAAAAAGATACTAGTATAAGATAAGAAACATAAGGAAATTTGACTAGGAAAATTTGGGATATAATGTATCATTTTGTCTTTTAAATAGGCCCAATGAAAACAATGTATCAGATCTTAAATTATACTACTATTTACCCACAAATCATCAACAAAAAATTTTAAAATCTCTTAGTTGAGACAGATATGAAAATAATTATGTTAAAGCCATAAGGAAAACACATAGTAAATGAGCAATTAAACTTTTACTCAAACATGAAACTAATATAATTTGTATTCCTGACAACAAAATAATAATGTACACCCCCCACTTTGTATTATAGAGACGTTTGTCCTAGATGCATTTAACCAATGCTATAACATACAAAGCTGAAGCAAAATTCATAATATTCAAAATGAGAAGACAGATATAACATTTTTTCGGTATTTTTTACAAATATTCCCCAGAAAAGTTTTAAAATTACTGGAAACTAATCATAAAAAATTGAAGAAGTAAAAAATAAATGGAAAGATATCATGTGTTCATGGATTCAAAAAATTAGTATTGTTAAAATGTCTATACTATCCAGGTGAACTACAGATTCAATGTAATCCCTATCAAAATTCTAATGGCATTTCCATAGAAATAGAAAAAAATCAATCCTATAGTTGATAAAGAACCACAAAATCCCAAATAGCCAAACCAACCATGAGAAAGAAAAAACAAAGATGGAGGCACCACATTTTATGATTTCAAACTATATCACACAGTCATAACAATCAAAACAGTATGGCACTGGAATATAAAACAGACACATAGAACAATGTGACAAATTAGAAAGCAAATTTTTTTTAGAAAAAAAATCACATTTGATCAGGTTCCAAGAATAGAAATGTGGAAAGGATAGTCTCTTTGATAAATGGTATTGAAGAAACTGAATATCCACATGCAAAAGAGTGAAATCGAACCCTTACCTCACACTATATACAAAACTTAATCCAAAATGGCTTAAAGACTTAAATGCAGTACCTAAAACCATAAAATGCCTAGAAGAAAACATAGGGAGAAAGTTTCTTGACATTAGTCTTTGCAATGATTTTTTGGATATGACACCAAAAGCTCAGGCAACAAAGGCAAAATTAAACAAGTGGGACTACACCAAACCAAAAAGTTTCTGTAGTGGAATGAAACAATCAACAAAATAAAAAGAAAATCTCCTATGGGCTGGGAAAAAAAATAATTCTGTTAAAAGGTTAACAATCCAAAATATATAAGTAACAAATATAACTCAATAGAAAAAAAATCCAATTTTAAAAATGGGCAAAAAACCTGAATAAACATTTTTCTTCCAGAGAAGACATACAAATGGGCAAAAGGCATATGAAAACATCCTCAACATCACTAATCATCAGGGAAATGCAAATAAAAATCACAATAAGATATCACCTCGCACCTGTTAGAGTAGGTAGCCTCAGAAAGATAAGAGATTAAGTGTTGGTGAGGGAGTGGAGAAAAGGGAACAGCCATATGTAAATTGGTACAGTCACATGGAAAACAGTTTGTAGGTTTCTCAAAATATTAAAAATAGAATTACCACACAGTTCAATTGTGAGTATATATTTATATATTTATGACTATATATTCATAGGAAATGAAATCAGCATTGAAGAGATATCTACACGCATATGTTCATTGCAGCATTGTTCACCAAGGCAAGATATGAAGATAATCTAAGTGATAAGTGACAGATGAATACATAAAGAAAATGTAATATATATGTATATACATATATGTTTACACACACAACACACACACACATAAAGGGACGTTATTCAGTCATAAAGAAGAAATCCCTGCCATTTGTGAAAGCATGGATGAAATTATGTTAGCAATGCTTTGTCTGAATTCGATAGGTTATGAAATGATGTGTTTTCATTTTTATTTGTGATTTCTCCTTTGACCCGTTGGTTGTTTAAGAGTATGCTGTCTAATTTCTATATATTTGAAATTTTTTCAATTTTTTTCCTCATATGGATTTCAAGTATTATTCCATAGTGATTAGAAAAGATGCTTTGCACAAGTTCAATATTTTCAAACTTACTAATGCTGATGTCATAAAATGGATTAGGAGTTTTTCCTTCTTTTTCTTCTTTTTTTTTGGAAAAGTATGAGAAGGATTGGTTTTTATTCTTTAAATGTTAGCAGAATTCACAGGTGAAGCCAGCAGGTCTCTGATTCTTCTTTGCAGGGAGGTTTTTGATTACAGAGTCAATCTCCTGACTAGTTACCGGTCTGTTCAGATTTTCTATTTCTTCATGATTCAGTCTTGGTGGGTTGTATCGTTCTAGGAATTTGTCCATTCATCTAGGTTATTTAATTTGTTTACACCTATAAATTTATATCTTAGCATTGCTTACACTATATTCATAAGATTTGATATGTTATTGGTTTTTGTTGTTGTTTTTCATTGTTTGTTTTTTTGAGATGGAGTCTCATTCTGTCACCCAGGCTGAAGTGCAGTGGCACAATCTCGGCTCACTGCAACCTCTCCCTCCCGGGTTCAAGCAATTCTCCTGCCTCAGCCTCCTCAGTAGCTGGGACTACAGGTATGCATTACCATGCCTGGTGAATTTTTGTATTTTTAGTAGAGACAGGGTTTTGCCATTTTGGCAAGGCTTGTCACAAACTCCTGACCTCAGGTGAGTTTCCCACCTCAGCCTCCCAAAGTGATAGTTTTTACACTCATTTTTTGCAAAATATTTTCTAATTTCCCTGTGGTTCTTTTTTTGGCCTCTTGGTCATTTAAAAATGTGTTGCTTACTTTCTGTATATTTCTGCAGAAAATTTTTTAGTCATCACTCTGTTATTGATTTTTAATTTTATGCCATTATAGGAAAACTACATTATATATGTATACTTCTTAAAAAAAAAAAACTACCGAGACTATTTTGTGGCCTTACATGTGTTCTATCCTGCAGAATATCCTGTGAACTTTAGAAGAATATATATTCTGATGTTGGGTCAAATATTCTGTATATCTCTGTTCATTCTAGCTTATTGTTTTATTGTTAAAGTCCTCTCTTTCCTTATCTTCTCTCTAGTTGTTATATCCATTATTGAAAGTGGAGAATTGATTTCTACAACTATTACTTTTGAACTGTGTGACCCCCCTCTCAATTTTGTAAATCTTTGCTTCATATATATTGAATGCATTGTTAAGTGAGTAAATGTTTGTAATTTTTCTATCTTCTTCAAGATGAAAACTTTTATTAATATATAATGCACTTTATCTCTTATAATATTGTTACATTTAAATAGTATTTCGTCTAATATTACAGGTAATCCAGTCCCATTTGGTTACTATTTGAATGGAATATCTTTTCCATACATTCACTTTCAACATATTTATATATTTGAATCTAAACAGAGTCTCAGGAAGACAGCACATAGTTGGATCTTTTAAAATCCTTTCTGCAATTATCTCTTTTGATTGGAGAGTTTAATCTGTTTTGAATTTAAAGTAATTATTATAAGAGATGTGCTTCTGCTTCTTGCTATTTTGCCATTTGGTGTTTACATCGCCTATAGTTGGCCCTTCATTTCCACCATCACTGTCTTTTTTTATGTTTAGTTGATTTTTTGTAATGACATTTTCACATTTTATTCCTGTCTGTGTATATTACATAGACATTTTCTTGGTGTTCATCATGGGAATTATATTTAACACTCTAAAATTACTAGAACCGAATTTAAATTTATTCACATTTAACTTTAATACCATAAAAGAGTCTGTTCCTATAAATCTCCCTTTCCCTTTTTGGTAATTGATATCACAGATTTCATTGCTGTGCACTGTGTGCCAAATATCATAGAACAATAGTTTTATGCATTTTATATTAATTCTTTTATAATTAAAATTGGAATTATAAAACAAAATTAAAATAATAGTAACTTTTATAGTTGTCCATGTATTTACCTTTATCAGAGACCTTTATTTCTTCATATGGAGTGCTGTTACTGTCCAGTGTCCTTTCATTTCTACCTGAAGAACTTACTGTAATATTTCTTAAAGGGCAGTTCTAGTAGTAACGAACTTCCCTAGCTTTTATCTGGGAAAAATCTTAATTTCTCCCTAATTTTTGAAGAACAGTTGAGCCAGATATAGGATTTATAATTGTCAATACTTTTTTTCCTTTCCACACTTTGAATATAGTCATGTGTGACTTAATGATGAGGATACATTCTGGGAAATGTGACATTAGGTAATTTTGTCATTGTGCAAACATTATCAAGTATATTTACACAAACTTAGATGATATAGCCTACTACATACCTAGGCTATCTATATGATATAGCCTATTGTTCCTAGGCTACAAACCTGTACAGTATGTTACTGTGCTGAACAGTATGTTACTGTACCGTGGGCAGTCATAACACAATGGTAAGTGTTTGTATACTTAAACATATAAAAGGTAGAGCATTGTGCTACAACATTGCTACAATGTTCACTAGGCAATAGGAATGTCTCAGCTCCATTTTAATCTTATGGGACAGTCATCATTTGTGCAGTCTGCCATTTATCAAAATGTTATCATATGGTGTATGACTGTACATCAACCTACTCCCTATTGCTTTCATGAATTCTAATAAGAAATGGAGTGATAGTCTAATTGAGGATAACTTGTATGTGATGAGTCATTTATCTCTTGCTGCTCTCAAGATTTTCTCATTTTTGGCTTTCAATTGTTTGATTAAAAATATGTCTTGATGTGGGTCTCTTAGAGATTATCCAACTTAGAGTTTATATAGCTTCTTGGATTTGTAGGTTCATGACTTAAATTTAGGAAATTTCTGTCCATTACTTTTTTAATAGTATTTCTTCCCCATTTTTTTCCCAGCTGTCCATGTGGGATAAACACAATGCTCTTGTTGGTCTGCTTGATTGTGCCTCACAGATTCTTTAGTATCTGTTCACTGACTTCACTGTTTTCCTCGTACTTCATAATTTCAATTGTTCTATTTTTAGGTTATCTGATTCATTTGTCTGCTTGCACAAATTTGCTTTTGAATCCTTCTAGGTTGTTTGTATTTCCGTTGTTATTTATGGCTCCAGAATTTTGATTTGGTTTCTTTTACTATTTCAATTTCTTTGGTTATGTATTTTATTTTGTTCATGTATTGTTTTCTTGTCTTTGTCCATGTCTGTCTTCAGTTTTTGGAACATCTTCAAGGAAGTTGACTAATTATTTTTTAACATAAGAAAAGTATGCAAATTTTATTTGATGTTAAAATTTTAATTTTTATGTGTGCATAAAGGTCTTCATGGAAAAAAAATAAGACTTGAAGAAAGGCTAGACCCAAAAGCCTATATACCATTATAATAAAAAGAGATAAATTGTGGAGTTGTGACAAAAAATAGAAAAAGGAGTATGGCCTGGGGGCAGTAAATTGTGGGAATGTGATGAGGAAATGTATAGGGGAAACTAATGAAAAGATGGGTCAATTTAGTAAAATTTGTTCTTACACATTCTCTCAGTGTTACCTCCCCATCTCTGGTGATAAGAGTGTTCTCCTCTCCTGTTACAGGAAGAGCATCTTTCTCAGAGGAAATTTATACCCTGCTTTTAGGTAGAAAGTGGAAGGCCAAAGAGCTCTTCCTGCATCTACTGTTTTCTCAATTGCCTTTAGCTCAAAATAATCAATATGCTAAAGTGTCATATTTGGGGATAGCATGTTCTGATCCCCTTATAATCTTATTTTGTATTGTTTTTCTTCTTTTTTGTAAGATAAAGACAAATATTTATTTAGTCCCCTGGCTTTATTATTTCATTTAGATAAATATAGGACTTTTAACTTTTAGGTTCAGGGGTACACATACATGTTTATTATACAGGTAAATTGAATGTTATGGGGGCTTGGTGTACAGATTATTTCATTACCCAGGTAATAAGCATAGTACCTGATAAGTAGTTTTTTGATCCTCATTCTCCTTCCACCTTCCACCCTCAAGTAGGCCTGGTGGCTGTTGTTTTCTTCTTTGTGTCTATATGTGCTCAAAATTTAGCTCCCATTTATAAGTGAGATCACATAGTATTTGGTTTTCTGCAACGTAAGCATTGTAGAGGTCTATGCTACTATGAATAGTGCTTCAGTGAACATATGCATGCATGTGTCTTTATGGTAGAATGATTTATATTCCTTTGAGTATATATCCAATAATGGGATTGCTGGGTCAAATGGTAATTCTAAGTTCTTTTAGAAATTGCCACACTGCTTTCCACAATGCTTAAACTAATTAACATTCCCACCAACCATGTATGAGTGTTTCCTTTTCTCCATAACCTCACCAGCATCAGTTATTTTCTAATATTTTAATAGTAGACATTCTGACTGGTGTGAGATGATATCTCACTGTGGTTTGGAATTGCATTTCTCCAGTGATGTTGAGCATTTTTTCTTTTTTTTTTTTTTTTTTTTTTTTTTTTTTTTTTTTTGAGACACTGGATTTCTTTAATTAAAAAAAAAATGCCAAGAAACATTATTTATACAGGGTTGATTGTTTTCATGTTGTTATTCTGTACCCTATAGTAGCCTCCATGAGAATCTGGTATTTCTTGCTGCTTGGAACTACTTTGCAGTGATTACTTGGTTGCAGTCCAAGTATTCTCGTTTAGTCTGAGCCTGGAGATGTTCTAGACTTGCTTCTCCCACCTCTGAGATTAGGACAGGAAAAATGTGAAATTTCCCAATTACAGGATTATACGGTACCATCACATCATTTGTGGAAATTGGGGTGACTGTATAGCTGGGATTGGGCTAAGGACTGTGGTCTTATCTGTCCACATACAGCCAAAATGCCTATCCAGAAATCCAGTTCGTTGGAAAGGAAAATTGGTACTCCTGTGCCACAGGGGTTCCAGAAAAGGGAAGTCACTTTACCTTGCGGTGGTGGGATCCTGATGTCTTTCATCCATTTGTAGTAAAAGCTGGTAAAGCTTTTCTTACTCCTGGTTCCCTACCAGTATTTCTAAACATGTCGCACTTTCTCCACAGGCATGTGGTTTTGACCTTTTTTTCAATCTTCTAGAAAGGGAACGGAAGCAGAAGTGGGACATCGAGGGCTCTGCTGTCCTCTGCGCTGGGTGTGGAATGCTGCTGCACCTGTCCCTTCTGCTGGCTCAGGGAAGTGTCTTCTTGCCCACATTTCTGTGGGGAAAGGTTTTTAATCCTCTGATGCTTCCATCTTCCTGTTTAGGCCATGTGCCCAGAAACCTGGACTGATCTTTCTTTAATAGTGAACCCCTGGGCCACTGAAGAGTAACATGGCTCCACTGGACACAAAAGAGGGATGGAATCAACAGGCAGGGGGCCTTTTATAAGCCTTAGGAAAAGAAAATGAAACTATTTCATCTTTGGACTTTTCAATACTATTGGAGTGATTTTTTTCTTTCTAAACAGGGAAAATAATGTTACAAAAGCATCTTTTTTGTTATTTGTTTGCATCCCTCCCCCACACCCTGGTGTTTTAAAATGAAGAAAAAAAACCACTTTTTGTACAAAAACTCTTAATGATTAAAAAACAAACAAACAAAACATATTGGCCTTGTCATTTGTGTGAAAGTGGGCAAAGACTGGAATAGAGTAAGACAACTGAAACCAATTTTCATCCTTTTACTGAGGAAAAAAATATTTAATATTTTTGTTATATAAGGAATAGTGCCTAAGGCAGGTACTTATACTCCTGACCTCAGCCCCACACACTCTGGTTTTATAAAGCTATAGGACAGAGCAGAGATGGAACTGAAAAACAGGGTAGAAAATAACATAAATTGGAGGGGAACAGTGGGATGCAGAAAGAATGACAACAGCCACATGTGCCCCAGTCAAATACTTTTAGTCCCTGCAGCAGAAGATGCCAACCAAGTCTCTATACTGGCTGGGGATCCTGCCATGGATGCAGGAGAAAAAATTCAATCACAAGGGAGTAAGTGACAACAAAAAGAAAAAACTCTGAGCCACAGCTACACTGGGAGGGGGAAGGACCAGATTTTGCTACTTCTGTCACACAAGCTAGAAAAACCCTACCTCTCCCATTGGGCAGGCAACCTGACATTCCACCCAGTTCCTTGCCTTACCATACTATGTATTCCTCCTCTTGGAGAATTAAGACCTGGGCTAAATGCTCCACTCCGGGATAAGGCTGAGCAGTCCTAGTTCTCTAGACTGCCTCTTTTATAAAGATTGGATTAAGGTACGTGAAATGGTGAGAACTGTAAAGATTTTAAAAAATAAAGTAGAACCCAGAGAAAATGTCAAAGCTGCCGCCATGTAGCACCAGCAACCAATTCTTGCACTTCTCTTCCCTGTCTCAGTAATCCCCTACAGAAGGTTACATGATTGGAACAACTCTTTCTTCCCTGCAAAGTCTGCTGGTACCAGGTTATAACCTGGACAGTGGAGAGTGTCTGCCTTAGGCTGGTTTGTGCAAGAGGGCCACCTTAGGTCTCCTTGAGGACATTTATCTTGGCGCAGATCTTGAGGGCAGGGCCCAGCTTGATGTTCATGGCACTCATAAGATGTTCTTCTTTAAGT
Source organism: Homo sapiens (assembly GCF_000001405.40). NCBI lineage: Eukaryota > Metazoa > Chordata > Mammalia > Primates > Hominidae > Homo > Homo sapiens. The sequence continues at coordinate 55,411,816 of NC_000012.12, forward strand.
AATAAAAGGGCCTGTCCATCAATCTCCTGTGAGCGAAATTCCTCTGCAATCTCTTGGCAGCCTTGGAGAGAAGCAATAAACTCGTACACCTCCTCTACACTCCAACGGCTGGGATTACTGGACAGGAACACAGGGTTGATGCCATGTAATTCCGGTGTAGGTGGAGCTGTATTGGGATTCCCCAGGTCACGTTCTCCATGCCCAGCTCTTACTGATAAAGGCCCAGGAGATGTTGGAGAGAGTGCTTCATCATAACTGGAATTATCTGAACCCCGGCTAGAGTCTTCTTGACCCCGGTGGCACTTGCCCTGAATCTTGGCACGGGCAATGTCAGAGGAGCTGCGGCGGGGTCCACGCCTGCGAACGCGAGCATAGTTGGCTTCTTGAAACTCTTTCATTTTTTTCCTCTTCAGCCGGAACTGATGGCTACAGCTCACATTGTACCTCTTAGCGCAAGTCATGGAGCAGAACCTCTTAGAGCCACGAAACTGCTCTGCGGGGGCGTACTTCCCACAGTACTCGCACTTCAGGAGATTCGCCTTCTTATCTAACTCAGCAGATGGGCTGTCCACTCCCAAAGGGCCACCTGACTGATTCTCAGTCAGCCCTGTCGGAAGGCCAGTCTGTAGTGGCTTCTCAGACTCCTTCAGTAACTGAGAACAACCCACCGGGAAAGGTTCTGCTCCTTCCTGGATAACAAAGCCTTCAATGATGTGGGTGAGAATCTGGGGCTTCACGATGGCCTGTGGGGGTTTTGAGTCACCCATTTGTCTAGACACCATGGCTAGTGTAGGAGGCGGTACTGAAGGGGCGGGGGTCAAGGCTACTAGTTCACTGTTTGGAGTATTAGCATTCACATTAGCCACTGATTCAGCTTTTTCTCCAAGACTGCTCTTCTCGTCCATGACTTTTGGGCTTTCTGCTACTGGAGATGCCTTGGCAGGAAGCATTGAACCCAATGTGGAGACATCATCTCTCTCCTCCTCAGAGTCAGCCTTGCGTTTGACAGCCAATGTCTGGGGTTTACCCGGCAAGTGCACAGACTGCATATAGAAGGCAGCAGGGACCTGGGCTACAACAGGTGAGGAGGTGGTAGCCCCACCCTTTACCACATGTGCTGTCCCCTGCACAGGAGCAAGGGTCATCCCAGGGGCCAATGTGGGAGGGCACTCCTGCAGTGCACCAGGAGCCTGGGATGAAGGTGGCGAGGAGGCCAAATGGGCCTGACCAGACTGCACTGTACCTGGCATCCCCCGGGAAGTAGGTACAGCAGCTGCCAGCTGTGCCAACCCCAAAGCCTGTGCCTGGGCTGTACCTGGCTGTCGAGTGCCTACAACTTGCACAGGGATATGGGGTGGTGGTTGCTGGGCAGCTGACATCTTAGCGGCCCCTAACTGAGGCGGCTTGATAGGTGCTACAGGTGGTTTGGATTGGATGGGAATTGGTGGCTTAGGGGCTGCATCAGGTGGAAGAGACAAGGGTGAAGACTGAAGCATGGGCTGAACGACCAGGGTTTGGGCTTGCTGCTGGGACTGGGAAGGTGGGACCTGCTGAGTAGGTGGGACCTGTGGTGGCTGAGGGGCAGTGAGGGTGGTGGCTTGCGGCTGCTGCTGTTGCTGCTGTTGCTGTTGTTGCTGCTGCTGCTGCTGCGCCAACTGGAGGTGTGTAGCTGTGTGAAGGAGCTGGGACTGCCAGTGCTGGAACTGCTGCTGGTGGTGGATGGCAATCTGCTGCTGGATCACCACCTGTTTCTGCTGGAGGTGGATCTGTTGCTGTTGCTGAATCAGTGAATGGGGCTGGATCTGTGTGTAGGTGGCTGAGCTAATAAGTGTCTGGCTGGGCGCAGGTGTGGCTGTCCGTGTCAGGTTCATGCCCACATTCTGCTGGCCACTCCCATCTGCTTCTGCCTTCTTGGCTGCTGCACTTTCTGCCTCTGTCTGGCTGCCCTGGCTCACAGTCACTGTTTGGGCTGCAGGCAAGGGCTGCACCACTCCTGTACCCTTCCTGGGACAGCTCCCACCACCCATTCCTGAGGAAGGCAACTGACCCAAACCACCATGTGCCTGCCCACCTCCACCTGGACCCATGGACCCTGGGATGCTATTCCCACTGCCTCCACCAGCTTGACTAAGGTTGAGGGACTGGTTTGTGGCCCCAGAGGAAGCCTGTGCCACCGCTAGGGCCTGGCTAGAGGCCTGGGAGAGGCTAGAGACAGGGGAGGCTCCTGGAGGAATGGCCTTCTGAGTGGAGCCTTGCATCTGAGGTCCTTGAGCTGAGGCCTGTTGATTCCTTACTGCCAAGTTCTGAACCTGATCTGCATCTGCATGAACTCCAGGAGACTGAGCAGATGGCACCTCCTGCTGGACTGCAGCCACTGCCCCATTAGGCATCAGGATGAGTTGGGAGGCTAGAGGCACATTCCGACCCAGGGTTCGGTTTACCTGCAATAGGTTTCCCAGCTGTGGCCGTAGATACATCTGGGCCTGAGACTGGTTGAGGGGTGGGGAGGTGGTGTTCCCCAGTAGCACAGATTGGGTCAAGGTGGTAGCACTGGGAGAGCTCACACTCTGGGATCGGCTGATGAGCTGGGCGGCCGATGTGGTGGCCAGATTGATCGAGGCCTGGGTGGTGGTAGTCTGCTGCTGTGTAGTGCTGGTGTTTGGGGAGCTGGCCTGCCGACTGGCAGCAATTGTGGCCTGTAGTGCCTGTCCCCTCCCTCTCGGGCCAGCTGGCTGCTGACCTCTCACCTGCTGGACGGCAGCCAGGCTATGCAGCTGGGCATTACTGAGCTGCTGCTGGAGCATGAACTGGTGGAAATACTGAGCTGCATTGGGCTGCCGCTGCAGTGCTTGCAGAGCCTGCACTGCTTCTCGTTCATATAGTGACATTTGAGCTATCTGGGGCCGAGAGCTGCCCCCTGAGCTAGAACTCCCATTGGTGGAATTGGAGTTCTGCTCGCTCGCAGTCTCCATGATAGTGGTCCAGGGTCCCCAAGGCTGGTGCTCTGTCTGACTCAAGACCTTCTCGCCTGGCTGTGCACCCAAGTCTTCCCCGGGGGCGTCCACCTCATGTGCCGGGGTCCCCAGTCGCCAGGCTGGGCTGGGGGCTCGCTCGGCCTCCGCGGCGGGCTCCCCTCGCCTCCTCCCCTTCCTGGAGGGGCGGGGGCGCCGAGGGCGGGGTGGGAGGCGCCCGGCGCGACCGCGGCTCCCCGCCCCTCCCGCCGCTCCGGGTGCGGGCCCGGCCGCGGCTCAGCCAGGCCTCCGGGGCTCGCTCCGGGCCTGTCACTTCCTGCCCGGCCGAGAAGGTGGGGGCCGCAGGCCAGGGGCTGCGGGCCGGGCTGAGCATTTTTTCATATGCTTGTTGGCCACATGTATGTCTTCTTTTGAAAAGTATCTGTTCATGTCCTTTGCCCACTTTTTAATGGGGTTGTTTGTTTTTTTGTAGTAAGTTTGTTTAAGTTCCTTACAGATGCTGGATATTAGACCTTTGTCAGCTGCTTAGTTTGTGAGAATTTTCTCCCACTCTATAGGCTGTCTGTTAACTCTACTGATAGTTTCTCTTGCTATGCAGAAGCTCTTTGGTTTAATTAGGTCCCATTTGTCAATTTTTACTTTTGTTGCAATTTCTTTTGGCAACTTTGTCATGAAATCTTTGCTAAGTCCTGTATCCAGAATGATATTTCCTAGATTTTCCAGGGCTTTTATAGTTTTAGGTATTATATTTATGTCTTTAATCTATCTTGAGTTGATTTTTGTATATGGTGTAAGGAAGGGAGCTAGTTTCAATCTTCCACATATGGCTAGCCAGTTATCCCAGCACCATTTATTAAATACTGAGTTCTTTCCCCATTGCATATTTTTGTCAATTATGTTGAATGTCAGATGGTTGCAGGTATGCAGCCTCATTTCTGGGCTGTCTATTTTGCTTCATTGGTCTACGTATCTGTTTTTGTACCAGTACCATGCTATTTTGGTTACTGTATCCTTGGAGTATAGTTTGAAGCCAGGTAATGTGATACCTCCAGCTTTATTCTTTTTGCTTAGGATTGCCTGGGCTATTCAGACTCTTTTTTAGTTCCATGTGAATTTTAAAATAGGTTTGTTGTAATTCTATGGAGAATGTCATTGGTAGTTTGATAGTAACAGCATTGAATCTATAAATTGCTTTCAGAAGTATGGTCATTTAAAAATATTGATTCCTTCTATCCATTAATATGGAATGGTTTTCCATTTATTTGTGTCATCTCTGATTTCTTTGAGCAGTGGTTTGTAATTCTCATTGTAGAGGTCTTTCACCTCCTTGGTGGGCTATATTCCTAGGTACTTTATTCTTTTTGTGGCTATTTTGAATGGGATTGTGTTTTTAATTGTGCTTTCTGCTTGAATATTATTGGTTTATAGAAATGTTACTGATTTTTGTATACTGCATTTGTATCCTGAAACTTTGCTCAGATTGTTTATCAGCTGAAGGAACTTTTGGGAAGTGATTATGGCATTTCCTATGTACGGAATCATATCATTTACAAACAGAGATAGTTCGACTTCCTCTCTTCCTATTTGGATGTCTTTTATTTCTTTCTCTTGCCTGATTGCTCTGGCTAGGTTTTCCGGTACTACGTGGAATAGAAGTGGTGAAAGAAGGCATCCTTGTCTTGTTCATATTTTCAAGGGAATGCTTCCAGCTTTTGCCCATTTAGCATAATATTGGCTGTTGGTTTTTCACAGACGGCTGTTGTTATTTTGAAGTATGTGTGTTCGTTGCTTAGTTTGTTGCGGGATTGTAAATTATAGAGAAGATGATTTCTATCAAAAGCCTTTTCTGCATCTACTGAGATGATCATGTGGTTTTTGCTTTTAGTTCTGCTCATGTGGTGAATCACATTAATTGATTTGTGTATGTCGAACCAATTTTGCATCCCAGGAATAAAGCCTACTTGATCGTGGTGGATTAGCTTTTCAATATGCTGCTGGATTTGGTTTACTAGTATTTTGTTTTGTGTTTATCCATCTATGTTAATCAAGGATATTGACCTTAAGTTTTCTTTTTTTGTTGTTATCTCTGGTAGGTTTTGGTATCAGGATGATGCTGGCCTCATAGAATAAGTTAGAGAGGACTCCTTCCTACTCAATTATTTGGAATAGTTTCAGCAGGAATACTAACAGCTGTTTATTACACATTTGGTAAAATTCAGCTGTGAATCTCTCTGTTCCTGGGCTTTTTCTGGTTGGTAGTCTTTTTATTACTGATTCAATTTCAGAGCGCAGTGTTGTTCTCTTCAGGGATTCAATTTCTTCCTGGTTCATTCTTTGGAGGTTGTATGTGTCCAGGAATTTATCCAGTTCTTCTAGTTTTTCAAGCTTGTGCACATAGAGATGTTCATAATAGTCTCTGATGGGTTTTTGTATTTCTGTAGGGTCAGCAGTAGTGTCCCTTTTGTCATTTCTGATTGTGTTTCTTTGGATCTTCTCTCTCTTTTACATTAGTGTAGCTAGTGGTCTATCTTATTAATTTGTTCAAAACACCAGCTCCTGGAGTCATTGATCTTTTGTATGGATTTTCATGTCTCAATTTCCTTCAGTTTAGCAATGATTTTAGTTATTTTTTTTCTGCTAGCCTTGGGATTAGGGTTGGTTTGTTCTTTCTCTAGTTTCTCTATTTGTGATGCTTAGGTTGTTAATTTGAAATCTTTCTAACTTTTTGATATGGTCATTTAGTGCTATAAACTTCCCTATTAACACTGCGTTGACTGTGTCCCAGAGATTCTGGTATGTTGTGTCTTTTTTGTCATTATTTTCCGAGAATTTCTTTATTTCTGCCTTAATTTCATTATTTACCCAGAAGTCACTTAGAAGCAGTTTGTTTAATTTCCATGTAATTTTATGGTTTTGAGTGGTTTTCTTAGTATTTATTTCTATTTTACTGCACTGTGGTCTGAAAGCATGTTTTGTAAGATTTTTTTTTAATTTATTGAGGATTGTTTTAGACCTGATGTGTGGTCATTTTTGGAGTATGTGCCATGTGCAGGTGAGAAGAATGTATATTCTGCTCTTTTGGGATAGATGTAGATGTCCATTTGGTCAAATGCTGAGTTTAATACTATCAGTGGGGTGTTAAAAGTCTCCCACCATTATTGGCTGGTTATCTAAGTCTCTTCGTGAGTCTCTAACAACTTGCTTTATGAATCTGGGTGCTCCTGTGTTGGGTATATATATATATATATTCATGATAGTTAGGTCATCTTGTTGAATTGAGCCCTTACTATTGTGTAATGCCCTTCTTTTACTTTTTTATCTTGATTTAAAGTCTGTTTTGTCTGAAATTAGAATAGCAACCTTTGCCTTTTTATATTTTCCTTTTGCTTGTTAGATTTTTCTTCATCCCTTTATTTCGAGTCTATGGGTGTCATTGCATCTGAGATGGGTATCTTGAAGATAGTAAACCATTGGGTTTTCATTGAGGCATTTAGCCCATTTACATTCAAGGTTAGTATTGATACATGCAGATTTGATCCCATCATCATGTTGTTAGCTGGTTATCATGCAGAATTGTTTGTGTGGCTGCATTATAGTGTCACTGGTCTAGGTACTTAAGTGTGATGCCAGTAATGGTCTTTCTTTTGTAGTTGCCAGTAATGGTCTTTTCCATAGTTAGCACTCCCTTCAGGACTTCTTCCAAGGCAGGTCTGATGTTGATGAATTCCCTCTGCATTTGCTTGTCTGAAAGGGCCTTATTTCTTTCACTTATTAACATTAGTTTGGCTGGACATGAAATTCTTGTTTGTAAATTCTTTTATTTAAGGGTTCTGAATATAGGCCTCTAATCTCTTCTGGCTTGTAGAGTTTCTGCTGACAGTTCTGCTGTTAGCCTGATATAATTCCCTTTGTATATTACCTGCCTCTTCCTAGCTGCCTTTAACATTTTTCTCTCATTTTGACCTTGAAGAATCTAATAGCTATGTGTCTTGGGGTTATCTTCTTGTGTAGTATTTCACAGAGGTTCTCTGCATTTCCTGAATTTGAATGTTGGCCTCTGTAGTGAGTTTGGGGAAATTTTCATGGATAATATTCTGAAATATGTTTTCCAAGTTGCTAGGTTTCTCTCCCTCTCTTTCATGGATGCCAATGAGTCATAGATTTGGTCTCTTTACATAATCCCATATTTCTCATAGGTTTTGTTTATTCCTTTTTATTGTTTTTCCTTTATTTCTCTCTGACTTAGTCATTTTGGAGAGCCAGTCTTCAAGCTCTGATATTCTTTACTCAGTTTGTTCAATTTTCCTGTTAATACTTGCAATTGCACTACGAAATTCTTCTAGTATGTTTTTCAGCTCTATCAGATAAGTTTGATTCTTTCTTATAATGTCCATTTGGCTATCACCTCTTGTATTGTTTTCTTGTAATCCTTAGATATCTTGGATTGGGTCTCAAGTATCTCCTGTATTTTAATGATCTTCATTCCTTTCCATAGTCTGCATTTTATTTCTGCCATTTCAGCCATTTCATCCTGGTTAAGAATCATTACTGGAAATATTATTATGGTTGTTTGGAGGTAAGATGATACTCTGGCTTTTTGAGTTGCCACAGTTTTTGTGCCAGTTCTTTCTCATTTGTGTGGGCTGATGTTTCTTTAATCTTTGAAGTTAGTATCCTTTGGATGGTTTGCTTTGCTTTTTTCACCTTTGATGCCCTTGGGAGTTTGATTATGGTATAAGGTGAACTCGGTTGACTGGCTTTGATTCTAGTCTGCTCCTGGGTTGTGGAAAAGCCCCCTCTGATTACTGTCTCTGTGCTCACATTGGTTTTGTTGGGTGTTCTAGTCAACAGGAATCACTTAGGCAGCACCTGCAGTTGGCATATATATTAGTCCATTCTCACACTGCTATAAAGACATACCTGAGACTGGGTAATTTATAAAGGAAAGAGGTTTAATTAAGTCACATTTCCACATGGCTGGAGAAGCCTCAGGACGCTTACAATCATAGTGGAAGGTGAGAGAGAAGCATGTCTTACATGGTGGAAAATGAGAGAGTTGCAAACAAGAGCAGGGAAAACTGCCTTATAAAACCATCAGATCTCATGAAAACTCACCGGCTATCATGAGAACATCATGGGGGAAACCACCCTAATGATCCAATTACCTCCACCTGTTTTCTCCCTTGACATGTGGGGGTTATGGGAACTAGGGATTATAATTTAAGATGATATTTGGGTGGGAACATAAGGCCTACCCATATGAAAATACAAGCCATGTCCTTGCCAGTGTGGCCCTAATCTGCTGTCTATGTATTTCCCGGGGAAACATGGTGTTGGGCCTGCCTGCAGAGTTTGGGGGAAATGGGACCACTGGGTTGGAAGTTCTAGTGGGTGTGGTCTATCTGGCTAGAAGAGGCAGAGGAGGGTGGAGTTGCCCACCCTGCCACTTGAGTGTTTGCACAGTAACAGTAGGCTACCCCCTTCTGCAAATTCAGGCAGAAGTAGGACTGCTGGGCTGGTAGCTCTAGCTCCCCACCATAGGCCCAATAGAAGCCACACTTGTGGTACTTGGGAGCAGTAAGATTGCCAGACTTTCACTGTCAGATGGGGCTTGGTGCCAGCTTCCAGCCCAGTGGTCTTGCTTTGGCCTGAACTGGGCTAGCCATTCCACCTACCCCCACCACTGGTAGCCAGGCAAGCAATACTTGCTAGAGCTTCCAGCCCAGCAATCCCATGTTTGTGTAAACTCAACTGGAGGGCACAACCTCCTGTTGTCCTGGGAAACACCCAAACACCATAGCACATGACTTCACCTGCCCCTGCCACTGGTAGCTAGGCAGACAATGGTAGCTAGGCAGACAATGTTAGCAAGAGTTTCTGGGCCAGTGGCTCCTCTTCTGTGTGAACTCAGTTGGAGGGCATAGCTTCCTATTGCCTGGGGAAACAGCCAGATGGCTGAGTGGTAACCAGGTAATCCTGCCACCAGTAACAAGGTGGGCAGTGCCTGCTAGTTTCTGGCCCAGTGGCCACAGAGCACATCTTCCTGTTGTCCTGGGAAACAGTCAGATGGCAGAGCATGTGACCCCATCTGCCACTACTACTCGTGGGCAGGTTGGCAACATGTACTAGAGCTTCCAGCCCAGCAGCCCTGCTTCTGCGTGAACTCAATGGAAGTATACCATTAGCTCTCCTGGGTCTCCAGCTTGTCAACTGCAGCTCTTAGAACTTTTTAGCATCCACAATTGTGTGAACAAATTTCTTATAATAAATAAATAAATCTATCTATTTATCTATCTATCTGTCATCTATCTACCTATCTACTCATCCATCCATCCTATTGGTTCTGTTTCTCTAGAGAAGCCTGACTAATACAACTGTATTTTCTCTAATGTCTCTTTTTTTCTAATAGGTGCAGACACACATATTTATATTGAACACATTAACTCATACTAAGTAAAGACTTAGATCCCACGACATTCATGAACATGAGCTATTTTAGGTTCTTATTAAGGGATTGACAATTGAGGATGATAAAAAATATATATATTTAATACTATGAGGTGACATAATGAGTTTTTACCCATTATTTCAAGTAAATTATTACTTATTTAGATAAGGAAATAACCAATAACTCTTGGAATTTGAGTGTAACATGTGAAGCTTGGCTGAGTTCTGCATTTACTTACACATTATCACTTATGTGGATGAGGAATTTGTCGTGTTCTTGATGTGGACTACAAAAGGATACCAAATGGGATATTAAGGACTTGACTTTTGTATTCCAAATTTTTATCACTGAGCATTAAACAGATGTACTTATTATAAACAAAGTAGAAAGAAAGGATTATAATCACAGTTTACTCTGGTACAAAGGCAAAAATGCATATCACAGTAAACTATAGATCTTTTTAAAAGTTTGCACTACAGCAAGGCCACCACCAAATAAAAACAGTAATTCCAGTGAAATTCACAGCAAACTTACGTCTACTTTACCGTGTAGAGGTAGATCTACCTCTTTACTGTCTAGTAGATTTACCTCTATACCAATTACTACTGTGTAGTAGATTTACCTCTATACCAATTTCTTTCTTTCCCTTATACTTTGTGTACTTTTCCTTATAAATTCTCTCTATTTTATTTCCTAACATAATGGCCTTCTTTTGAGTACAGGCTTCCCAGTCAAGAAATGTCTTAAACTTGACCATGTCTAACAAACTGAAATCATTCAATATTTTCTTAATAATATGAAAATTATGCAAGTATTTCATGCTTTTAAATCAGTGTTGAATTTCTCAAAAAATAGTGCCTTAATGTTTTATACTTATGTGTAAAATTTCTCTAGAATCAAGAAACAGGACATTTATTCTAAATCTTCTAGAAGATATTATGCTCTACTGTAAAATTAAAAACAATATATTTTGATCAAATATTTAAAATGGACAGCTTTTTTTTTTCTTTTTTGAGATGGAGTTTCACTCTTGTCACCCAGGCGGGAGTGCAATGGCATGATCTCGGCTCACTGCAACCTCCACCTCCCGGGTTCAAGCAATTCTCCTGTCTCAGCCTCCCAAGCAGCTGGGACTACAGGCGTCCGCCACCATGCCCGGCTAATTTTTGTATTTTTCAGTAGAGACAGGGTTTCACCATGTTGGCCAGGCTGGTCCTGAACTCCTGACCTCAGGTAATCCACCTGCCTCGGCCTCCCAAAGTACTGAGATTACAGCTGCTGCGCCCAGCCCATCTTTTTTATATGTGTTTATTTGCATAATGCAAATAAAAACCATCATACTTCCTTCTTAGAAACATATTTAACAATTTATAAAAAATGGAAAATTTACCAAGGTATCAATAAATAATAGGGAAAAAGAGAAATAATTATACTACCAGGTATCAAATTGAAGGATAAACAACCACAATAAATATTCTGAAATCAGTAAGACATTATCAAAATAGAATCAATATCCCAGAAGCAGGCACATAATCCCTGTTTTATTCTCTATTACACTAGGAAGGATTAAAGGTATTAATCTTTTATAAGCTGAATTTATATTAAAATAATCATTTTTATAGAAACAGGTAAGGCAAACAAACAGTTCTCTAGGAAAACACAGAGATATTTATGAACATTTTAATTGTGCAAAGTTGTGGCTCAGTAACTCATTTGAGAAAACTTACAATCAAGGGATAATAGAACAATAATGCCAAGATGCATTTGTGTGTCTATGCATTCTAATATTATTTATAATAAGGAATATTTTCAAAGATTGGTACGTTCAGCAAAGAATAATTTTATTCATTATGGCATATCCATACAATGAAACCATATTTAGTCATTAAAATGGATGTTGTAATTGTCTAAGCTAATATTAAATGGTTAACTATTGCTTAGAGACAAATGGAAGATTTTCTATTTGGGTATCAATGCTTAAAAATATATTACTAAGTGTCAAAGACAGGTGATATCGTTTGGCTGTGTCCCCACCCAAATCTCATCTTGAATTGTAGTTCCCATAATCCCCATGGGTCATGGGAGGGACCTGGTCGGAGGTAACTGAATCATGGGGGCAGTTTTTTCCCATGCTGTTCTCATGATAGTGAATGAATCTCATCAGATCTGATGATTTTATAAATGGCAGTTCCCCTGCACACAATCTCTTGCCTGCCACCATGTAAGATATGCCTTTGCTCCTCCTTCGCCTTCTGCCATGATTGTGAGGCCTCCCCAGCCATGTGGAACTGTGAGTCTGTTCAACCTCTTTTTCTTTATAAATTACCCAGTCTCAGGTATTTCTTCATAGCAGTATGAAAATGGACTGATAGAGCAGGTGTCCACAATTAAAATGTATGTGGAGTAGTATACATCAAATTGGTAACAGTGGTTATCTCTGCACATAAACATTTGAATATATGTTAACATCACATGAAGGCATCTTTTTCAAATAAAAAGATTCATGTTGTGATCTTTTTATTAAATTATATTTGTCTCTACAGTTGTGATAAAGTCTATAATAAATCAATGACTGAGTTTTTATTACTGAAGTACTATTACTGTTTATGCAAATGTAATTTAAATATCCTGGTTTCCACTTATATAACATATTCAACAAGAAGATACTATTTTTTAAGCCAGGAACAATGGTACACACCTGCAGCTCCAGCTACTCAGGAGCTTGATGCAGGAAGTTCATTTGAGGCCAAGAGTTCAAGGCTGCAATCCTGCCTATGAATAGCTACTGCACTTCAGCTTGGGCAACATAGTGAGACCTCCTCTCATAAAAAACATGTAATTATTTTTTCAAAAAAAGAAGAAGATACCATTTTAATCATATTTTTAGCACTGTATTTAATCACTGCATTGAGAATGATCTCAATTTATTGTGCTCTTATGTAAAAATATATTTTGCATAAAGTATTAAAAGTATTTGTTGTTTTATATATGTGGAAAATAATACAGAAATGTACAGATGAAATTTGAGTTGCTTCTAATTTTAGATAAATACTAGTCAGCTCAATTGATGAAGGGAGTTACACTCCCTATATAAGTTTCACCAGTGATAGTGTATAATAGTCTTCAGTGATTTCAACATTGTTTCAAAGATTATAATACCAGATACTTTTTCTTTCATAGACCCGTGGCTTATTTTGCTTGTCATATTTTAAATTGCTTTTTCCCATAGTCTTAAGGATGATACATGACAATGGACATTGCAGGTTGTTGGTTTATTCTTGCTAGACCTCACTCCTCCCCAGATACCTGGCTAACATCCTGCTGGATAATTTTCTCAGTCTTCTCCTGGGACACAGGTCCCAAAATCAACCAATTAAAATATGATTGCTGGAGTCAAACTTGTACATGGATTCACTAATGCCCTATTATTGTTTATCCCAAATGTCATTAAGCATTTGTTTCCTTAAAGCATATTTCTGAAATTATGTAAAGGAAAATATATTAAAGGTATTATTTACTTTTTTCCTAGGGAAAATTAATAGAAATGGCCCTCTGTGAAGTATCAGAATAGCCTATCGTAAATAATTCTAGAATTTTTTTCATTTATGTCAGCAAAACTTTTAACTAAGGATTTATTGTTAAGATGGTTGGTGGAATATTTCAGGCTTCCAGATTTTGGACAGTGTTGGGTGGAAACATGAGGAGACTATTTCACTGGATGTGTTAAGATGAAACATCAAGATCTTTATGATGAAATCTGTAACTTTGTAGGAGGGGAGAAAAAACAGTTATTTCTTCATGTAGAATTGACTCACTACATGACTTTTGATTTAAGAGAATTGAGCACATTATTTTCTGTTCAATATTTAACTCTAACCATCCAAATTTTCATAATAGGTAAGTATTTTAAATTTATTTTTTGTGATTTAGCTTCTATCCATTCTATTCTGTAGCACTGATTAATCTCATATCATATTTATTTCCCTCTCTGTCTCTTATGTATATGCATATTTAATAGTTCAGAAATTAATGGAGATTTAAAAATCTTTTAAATGGTAATTTCTAGCAATTAAATAGGTAGAACACAGCATATTTTTCTTAATATTTATACATTTACACTTAGAAAGAGCTGGTGCATATTACAGATGTGGGTGTCCAAGATAGTTACTAGACAACATATGTGAAGTATTTGTGCATTTTATATCTGATTTAGATATATGAAGTAGTTGTGTACTTCATTAAAATATTTTCTGAACATGTTTTGGGTGCCTGACTACATTTAAAACATTTTACTAGAAATTTTAAAACACTCAACTGAAAAATACTACATTAATTGGATTTTAATGAAAAGGCTCTTTAAAAAAAATCAAGAATAAAGATAGGAGTTTCAGAGGCACCTGTATTACCTGAAAATAGAATGTGTGGTGGATTGAAAAAAAAGTGGATACTATCTATATAAAGCCATTGTTTAAATGTTCAAAACACATTAGAATGACTTACCCACTGAATTATTATTTTGTTTTACAAAGAAAGGGGTAAAAGATAAATTAACAGAGGTAGTAGTGTCTACATCCTAAAAAAGATATTTATAATTTTCACCAAAAAATTGGGTTGATCACTGATTTACATCATCAGTCCAAATTTTTATTCCTATAAAAGATACAGTAAGCAAAGCATAATGCCCCCTACATTTTAGCTAAATAGTAAAGCATTAGAAAAGTTTATGTTCTATTAATACATTTCCCCAAAATAAATGTAAACTATGGAGACAGAGTAAACATGTAGCAGTGACTGATATTAAATATAGAAGATATATCTTTAAAAGCAGAATTATGGAAAATAAGAAATATAAATGTATATATATACACTATTTTAAAAGTCCCAAGTGCTTCTTGTCACAATTCAATAGTATTTGAAAAAAAAATGTGCAAATATTTATACTTGTCTTTGGACTCATTGTTTTGTTCCTTTTGATGTTGATTTTATCAGTAATCTCTGACAGGAATCAATCATCAGAAATGAAAAATAGAACATCAGTGACAGATTTCATCCTTCTGGGTCTGACGGATAATCCGCAACTGCAGGTTGTGATTTTCTCGTTCCTATTTCTTACGTATGTACTGAGTGTTACTGGAAATCTAACTATCATCTCCCTTACCCTGCTGGATTCCCACCTGAAGACCCCCATGTATTTCTTCCTCAGGAATTTCTCCTTGGAAATTTCATTTACTTCTGTCTGTAATCCTAGATTTCTGATCAGCATTCTAACAGGGGACAAATCCATATCTTATAATGCTTGTGCAGCTCAGCTATTTTTCTTTATCTTCCTTGGCTCAACGGAGTTTTTCCTCCTGGCCTCTATGTCCTATGATTGCTATGTGGCTATATGTAAGCCTCTGCATTATACAACCATCATGAGTGACAGGATCTGTTATCAGCTTATAATCAGCTCTTGGCTGGCTGGTTTCTTGGTAATTTTTCCACCACTGGCCATGGGCTTACAGCTGGATTTCTGTGACTCCAATGTCATTGACCACTTTACCTGTGACTCTGCTCCTTTGCTGCAAATCTCTTGCACAGACACAAGTACTCTAGAGCTCATGAGCTTTATTTTAGCTCTGTTTACTCTTATATCCACTTTGATATTAGTAATTCTCTCCTATACTTACATCATCAGAACTATTCTGAGAATCCCCTCAGCACAGCAAAGAAAAAAAGCCTTTTCAACCTGCTCCTCACATGTGATTGTTGTCTCTATCTCTTATGGAAGCTGCATCTTCATGTATGTGAAAACATCAGCAAAGGAAGGAGTTGCTTTGACAAAAGGAGTAGCTATACTCAATACCTCTGTCGCTCCTATGCTGAATCCATTTATTTACACTCTAAGAAACCAGCAGGTGAAACAAGCATTTAAGGATGTTCTGAGAAAGATTTCCCACAAAAAAAAAAAACACTGATTTGAATGCAATTTATAAATGAAACACACACACATTTTTTACCGAAGAACCAATAAAGATTTCAGCTTTAGTTCCTTTCTGTCTTCTTATTTGTATGTCTTCTCAGGAACACAACTGTTTCTACTATTTTATTTAATGTTAAATTAAATACTAATGTATTTAATGTTCTTACAAGTCCTTATATGAATTTATAGAGAAAAGTCATTATTAAATGATCTGATGCACATTCCTTGGTACAATTCAAAGAAGGAACTAAAGTCATTTCCTATATTAATCTATATACTTAAAATAATATAATTGTAATTATATTTATCACTGCCAAACTTATTTCAACAGAATATGATAATGTATCATCTATGTTAACTCACATAGGTGAATATATGAATACACATGCACATGTATGTAGTCAAATATATGTGTGTTTCTGTGTGTGTCAATGTTTGTGTATGTATACATGTGTATATTCATATATTCATATATTTGCATATATGAATATACACACATGTACACATTGTATGTTCATACATTCACATATATGAATATGCACACATATATACATATATTCTAAAGCTATTATATTTATGTATAATCTTTATATATTATAAATATATTTATATATAATATATAAAAAATATATATTTATAATACACATAATATATGTGTGTATATTCATATATGTGACTATATGAAGAGTGAATATATATATTCACTCTTTCCATTTTTTTTCTTTAAAATGAAACTTAAAGGAAACTCTGGGATATAGTAATAACTGGTATATGAACAAACTCTAAGAATTTAATAATTTAAATAGGGGAATTAATTTTTATAGTGATAATATTTAATTTATGCTTAACTTATATCTTATATAAAATAGAAAAAAATTAAGTTACATTTGTCATTATGACAGCAAATTATGAATTAGAATAACCTTTATTAGTTTTTCTTTTGTTTTTAGATCAATTTATTGTGAATGCTTAAATAACAAAATCAATTAATATAACAAACTGTGTCATTAAGAATAATTTCCTGAGTGTAGAAATTTTCTAATTATAGTTATTACTTAAGAAAAGGGTGATAGCATTTAGCCACATCTCTATAAAACATTTCTACAGAGAACTAGCAACATCTGGCTTGGGAATAATGCTCTCTGAGGACTTTTATCCAAGATTGTGATTTATGACTCAATAACCATGCAATATAGTAGCTTATGGTATTGTTTTCTGTCTTTTATCAGTTGTTTCAGACTAGTTTTGATAAAATTTGCCCACTGTATTATGTGTGATTGTATTAGTTGCCAAATAAATATCAAAATAAAACACGTTTAAGCCAAAAAAAAAAGATTTATTGGATTGATAATCTTAGGAAGACTTGAAAGTTCTGAATTATTCTGTTTAGCTCAGGAGTCAGAAAAAAGGATTCATATGTGCCATGACACAATCTTGCTCAATCTCACTTTTGTGAGACCTCTGTCTCTTCCTGTTTTTATATGTCATATCTTTACTGTTTATTTTCTTCTTCCTTACTACAGATACTCTTTTGACAAATTATAAATACACTTTGCACTCTCCCATTTATTCTTTTCAATTCATGAAACAATGAAAACAGACTCCCTGGGACCAACTCCAAAAGAAGTGTCAGTTGAAAAGAGTTGATTGACCCATCTTTGAGTAGGTGTTAGTAACTGACATTTCTTTGATCCAAGAGGATCAGCTACATGATTCTCAGCCAAAGTGTGCTGGTTAGTTTATGCATGGTAGAGTTAGGTTGTTTGGGTTTGTAAGTCTGACTCTGTGGTTTGCAAGCTTGAGACTTTGACATCCTTAAAGTGCTTAGTAATGTTAACTATATTATTATTGTCATTGTTATTGTAGTTAATGTTATTTACATGGCCTACCTGGGTCACATTGTTCTTTGAGAGGTGCAGTTGGGGGCTGGTAGCTATTCCTGCTTGAAAGTAAGAGCAAAATAATTCTTGAGTAAAGAAAATGCCATTCAAACCTAAATCAGTCAAATCTATTTGGCCAATTTGGCTGTGTAGAAAGCATGGCTACCTGCAGATACAGACACTTACAAGGTAAAGGGCAAATGATAATGCATTCAAAACTCTTCAAAAACTGGCATCCCCTGAGTAAATTTATGATAGTAAAGGATTGACCTTATGCCTTGTCCAAGTGTCATATTTTATCTTGGATTCCTACCAATTATAGTCAAAAGAGAGTTAAATATATAAAGCATAATGTTTATTTCCATTATGCTTTATACGTAACTAAACATTATAACTTAAAAATGGTTACTAGTGGCTGGAATTTTCATGTTCCCTATGTAGGAAGCCACATTCTTGGCATCTGCATACTAGAGCAGCTGAGATTCTTTGCACAGTAGGATGATGTAGGAAATAATTATCATAGTTCATTTTTCATTGTGTTTGTTTACTTTTTTTAACTAGGTGTGAAAATACATGACAAATCATTCCTTTCCACGAAAGCACCTGTGATAAGTCCACATGACCCAAACCAAATGTTTTTCTTACTGGATTGTACTTTAATACTGCTAAATTCTGATTCGAGGGATTTTATTTTGTATTAATGAAGTAGCTAACTCTCCTTAATTGATGTGCAGCAAGTTTAACCTCTCAGTTACTTGGCTTTATTAACTGTCAAATTGGGTTAACACTCCATAACTCATAGAATTTTTAAAACTCGTTGAGAGTAAATTAAGTCCTTTAAACAGTTTGTTTCAGGAACTCAATAGATATTTGTTATTATTTTATTATATAGTCTCCCTTTTTTCTTGCACTCTTCCACCCTGGATTTTAAAAACTGCATGTCTTCTCCTTTTGTTTAGGACATGCTTTCCCAAATTTACCCATTACACATTTTTCTTCTGTAACTAAGCCATTGACAATATTTTTATGCTGTCATTCTGTATACACCCTGCCTTTTAAAATTGTATCTCAGAGTTTAATACTATATTCTGAGACGATGGCTTTTAAATTTATGTCTAACCTACTTTTATCATGTGCCCAAGGCCTAACTATCTGATTTTCTCATTTTCACCATGAAGACGTGGCTTGAGTAGTGGGTATCATAACCAAAGTCTTTTTTTTTTCCTTTTGGATCTTAACCCCAAAATAACCTCAAATAAGCCTACTCTCCAAAACAACAACAAAAAAAACCCATCCTTGCTAAACAATATCACATAAAATAACATTATCTTAGTCATAATATCATTTATGGAGATTGCCTGACAAGCTGTCCTTTCTACAGCTTATAGCACAATCTCCATAAATGATATTATGGCATATCTAGAACTGCCAAAGCAAATATTCCATGGACTTTTATTTTATTTTATTCTTTTTTATTTGTATAAGTTTATAGGGTATAAGCGTAATTTTGTCACATGTGTAGATTGTGTAGTGATGAAGTCAGGGCTCTTAGGGTATCACCCAAATAACATGCATTGTTCCCATTAAGTAACTTCTCATCATCCACCCCTCGCACCTCATCAGCCTTCCAAGTCACCATTGTCTATTATTCCACACTCTACATCCATGTATGCACATTATTTGGTTCCTACTTATAAGTGAGAACATGCAGTACTTGTCTTTTTCTGTCTGACTTGTTTCACTTAAGATAATGGCCTCCAGTTCCATCCATTTTGTTTAATTTTATACTTCTGCTTTTGTGAATAGTACTGTGATGAGCATATGAGTACAGGTACATATCTTTTTTATTTAATTATTTATTTAAATGATTTAATAATTAATGATTTTAATGATTTCTTTAAATTATTAGTGACTTCTTTTCCTTCTTTCCTTTTCAATGATTTCTTTTCTTTCTTTCCTCTTCACTAGTAGGGTATTGCTGGATCAAAGGGTAGTTTATTTTTGTTCTTTGAGAAATCTTCATAGGATTTTCCATAGAGGCTGCACTAATTTACATTCCCATCAATCTTTGTAAGAGTTCCCTTTTCTCCACATCCTTGCCAACATATGTTATTTTTTATCATCTTAGTAATAGCCATTCTGACTGGTATAAGAGGATATCTCATTGCAGTTTTAATTTGCATTTCTCTGATGATTAGTAATGTTAAGCATTTTTTCATATACTTGTTGGCCATTCATATGGCTTCTTTTGAAAAATGCCTATTCATGTCCTTTTCCACTTTTAATGGAATTACCTGTATTGTTGTTATCATTGAGTTATTTTGAGTTTCTTATAAAACCTGGATATTTGTCCTTTGTCAGATGCATAGTTTGCAAATATTTTTTCCCATTCTGTAGGTTGTCTTTTCACTCTGTTATTACTTTGCTGTGCACAATTTTTTTTTTGGTTTAATTAAGTTCCATTTGTCTATTTTTGTTTTTTTGCCTGTGCCCCAGCTACATTTCTCTGTGGATATCTGACTGCTCATAAAAATCAAGCTTCAAAAACTGAAAGATTTGTCTTTTTCCTGCAGTCAAACTTGCTTTCCATCTAATCATTTATTTGCTGAGTTACCTAATTTGCCAAACCATAAGCCCAGGGTTCATCTCTTACTGCTTCTTTTCCTCTTCTTACCTCAAATTTTCATTAAATTTCATTTGTTCTACTTTCACATGTTTCTCACATCATCTTACTGATCGCTGTACCAATGAGATTGTGTTATAACGACAGAAAATACCCAAGATCAATGATCATGGGTATCTTCAGCAATGAGGCTCACAATTCTCAGGGTGCCCAGAAGCCACTGGTCAAATCGCATATTGACTCACTGCTGACTCTTACTTGCTGCCAGAAACTGCTGCCAAATAACACTGGCTTCTCCTTTTTTTGATAGTCCAAATCCAATGAGAATATTTCTAAGGTCAAACCTTACCTGCTGGAAAGGCAGAAACTTCAAAAATTTTCTAGGCTTACACAAACAAAAAAGAGAATTTTAGACCAATATCCTTGATGAACATTGATGCAAAAATCCTCAATAAAATACTGGCAAACCGAATCCAGCAGCACATCAAAAAGCTTATCCACCATGATCAAGTGGCCTTCATCCCTGGGATGCAAGGCTGGTTCAATAGACACAAATCAATAAATGTAATCCAGCATATAAACAGAACCAAAGACAAAAACCACATGATTATCTCAATAGATGCAGAAAAGGCCTTTGACAAAATTCAACAACACTTCATGCTAAAAACTCTCAATAAATTAGGTATTGATGGGATGTATCTCAAAATAATAAGAGCTATCTATGACAAACCCACAGCCAATATCATACTGAATGGGCAAAAACTGGAAGCATTCCCTTTGAAAACGGGCACAAGACAAGGATGCCCTCTCTCACCACTCATATTCAACATAGTGTTGGAAGTTCTGGCCAGGGCAATTAGGCAGGAGAAGGAAGTAAAGGGTATTCAATTAGGAAAAGAGGAAGTCAAATTGTCCCTGTTTGCAGATGACATGATTGTATATCTAGAAAACCCCATTGTCTCAGCCCAAAATCTCCTTCAGCTGATAAGCAACTTCAGCAAAGTCTCAGGATATAAAATCAATGTGCAAAAATCACAAGCATTCTTAAACACCAATAACAGACAAACAGAGAGCCAAATCATGAGTTAACTCCCATTCACAATTGCTTCAAAGAGAATAAAATACTTAGGAATCCAACTTACAATGGACGTGAAGGACCTCTTCAAAGAGAACTACAAACCACTGCTCAATGAAATAAAAGAGGATACAAACAAATGGAAGAACATTCCATCCTCATGGGTAGGAAGAATCAATATCGTGAAAATGGCCATACTGCCCAAGGTAATTTATAGATCCAATGCCATCCCCATCAAGCTACCAATGACTTTCTTCACAGAATTGGAAAAAACTACTTTAAAGTTCATATGGAACCAAAACAGAGCCCGCATCACCAAGTCAATCCTAAGCCAAAAGAACAAAGCTGGAGGCATCATGCTACCTGACTTCAAACTATACTACAAGGCTACAGTAACCAAAACAGCATGGTACTGGTACCAAAACAGAGATATAGATCAATGGAACAGAACAGAGCCCTCAGAAATAGCACCGCATATCTACAACTGTCTGATCTTTGACAAATCTGAGAAAAACAAGCAATGGGGAAAGGATTCCCTATTTAATAAATGGTGCTGGGAAAACTGGCTAGCCATATGGAGAAAGCTGAAACTGGATCCCTTCCTTACACCTTATACAAAAATTAATTCAAGATGGATTAAAGACTTAAACATTAGACCTAAAACCATAAAAACCCTAGAAGAAAACCTAGGCATTACCATTCAGGACATAGGCATGGGCAAGGACTTCATGTCTAAAACACCAAAAGCAATGGCAACAAAAGCCAACATTGACAAATGGGATCTCATTAAACTAAAGAGTTTCTGCACAGCAAAAGAAACTACCATCAGCCTGAACAGGCAACCTACAAAACAGGAGAAAATTTTTGCAACCTACTCATCTGACAAAGGGCTAATATCCAGAATCTACAATGAACTCAAACAAATTTACAAGAACAAAACAAACAACCCATCAAAAAGTGGGCAAAGGACATGAACAGACACTTCTCAAAAGAAGACATTTATGCAGCCAAAAAACACATGAAAAAATGCTCACCATCACTGGCCATCAGAGAAATGCAAATCAAAACCACAATGAGATACCATCTCACACCAGTTAGAATGGCAATCATTAAAAAGTCAGGAAACAACAGGTGCTGGAGAGGATTGGAGAAATAGGAACACTTCTACACTGTTGGTGGGACTGTAAACTAGTTCAACCATTGTGGAAGTCAGTGTGGCAATTCCTCAGGGATCTAGAACTAGAAATACCATTTGAGCCAGCCATCCCATTACTGGGTATATACCCAAAGGACTATAAATCATGCTGCTATAAAGACACATGCACACGTATGTTTATTGCGGCACTATTCCCAATAGCAAAGACTTGGAACCAACCCAAATGTCCAACAATGATAGACTGGATTAAGAAAATGTGGCACATATACACCATGGAATACTATGCAGCCATAAAAAATGATGAGTTCATGTCCTTTGTAGGGACATGGATGAAATTGGAAATCATCATTCTCAGTAAACTATCACAAGGACAAAAAACCAAATGCCGCATATTCTCACTCATAGATGGGAATTGAACAATGAGAACACATGGACACAGGAAGGGGAACATCACACACTGGGGACTGTTGTGGGGTGGGGTGAGGGGAGAGGGATAGCTTTAGGAGACCTACCTAATGCTAAATGATGAGTTAATGGGTGCAGCGCACCAGCATGGCACATGTATACATATGTAACTAACCTGCACATTGTGCATGTGTACCCTAAAACTTAAAGTATAATAATAATAAAATTAAAAAATTTTAAAAAAAGAATTACATTTTGGAGGGTGGGGCTGGGGACACTATATTTATCCTTATCTGAACAGTGTAATCACCTTGAGACCTTTTCTTTAGTAATAATCACACACACACACACACACACACACAGAAACACACACACAGTCCCATTAAACCTCACAATCTTTTTTCAGTTCAGCATAATTTCGATTATTTATTTAATTATAAATGTAAATATTAACACACACACAATGAAAATCAATGCCACAGAGCCCTTCATCCAGTTGCCTATGCTCAAGATTTTGAGTGCAGACACCCAACACCGTTCTTCCAGGAGCACATGTATGTCACACTCTGTCATGCCAGTTAGCTAAACAAAAGGTTTGTCTCTTCCTCTCCCGAAAATGCACATTTCCCTGTTTTGAGTATGTGTGTTGTTAGATGATGTGGGTCTCCACAGGAGCTCTTCAGCCCCTGGTGACTTTGAGTGGCAGCAACATTCTCTGCTGCGAGTAAGGAATCCCTGTATGGCCAGGCCACCTGCTACTGTTGCTTCCGTAATGATCTCCGCAGCACAGAATCCCTGATTAAGAAAAATAAAAGTGTTAATTCTAATGGCTTCACAGTAAGCCATTAATTTGCATATCCCCCAATTGTATCTTGCTTAAACCTAGAAAATAAATGATCTCATGACCAAAAAAAAAAAAAAAAATTCTAGGCTTAATAAATGAAATTAGCAATTTTGTAAGGCAGAAAGTTAATTTATAAAACTAAATGTGTATATTTATAGTAGCAATAAGTAGTTGAAATCCAAAATAAACAGTACCATTTACTGTCCTCAAAAATGAAATACTTAGGTATAAATCTAAGAAAATTTGTAAGGAATGTATAGGCTTAAAAATACAACCATTGGAACAAAATCATATGACCTTTGAAAAATGAAGCGATATACTATGTTTCTGAATAGAAGACTATTTTAATAAGCCAATTGTTCCTATCTTAATCTATAGATTCTTGTAATCCCAACCAAAATCTTAGTGTATTTGTAGATATTAACAGCTTAAACCTAAATTCGATGTCTAAAGGCAACA
This sequence comes from Homo sapiens, assembly GCF_000001405.40. Lineage (NCBI taxonomy): Eukaryota > Metazoa > Chordata > Mammalia > Primates > Hominidae > Homo > Homo sapiens. The sequence goes on from NC_000012.12 coordinate 55,435,640, forward strand.
GAAATATGTTAGTCAAAACAATTTTGAAAAAGAATAAAGTATGAGTACTCATAATACTTCATTTCAAAATCTGCTATAAAGCTACAATAATCAAGATAGTGCAGTACTAGTAAAAAAAAATAAAGGCATATATCAATTTAAACAGAATAGACATACATGAAATGATGTCTAACAAAGGTACAAAGGCAATTTAATCAAGAAGGATTTTTTTAATAAATAGTTATATAACAATTGTATCTCCATATGTAAAGAAATAAATCTCAACATTTACCCCAAGCCTTATATAAAATGTGACCCCTAAGTAAAATATAGAGCCAAAGGTAAAATGTAAAACTATAAAACTCTAGAAGAAAACATAGGAAACAATCTGAATGACCTTGGTTTTTCAAGAAGTTTTTGTGCTTGACCAAAGTCATAATCCACAGGAAGAAAGTCTGGTAAGTTGAAATTCGTTTTATTCATTGTTTTAAAGTTCTTAAAACAACACTGTTAAGAATAAAATGATTAACTAAAGACTGGGAGTAAATGTTTTCAAATCACACTCTTGAGAGCACACTTGTCTCTAGAATATGTAAAGAACACTCTAACCTTAGAATAAAAAAACGAGCAACACAATAAAACCTGTGCATAATATTTGCATAGAGACTTCACCATAGAAGATTTATAGATTGCAAATATGTATATGAAAAGATGCTCTATGTCATGAATTATTAGGGAAATGCAATTAAAACCTGCATATCTATTTGAATATTCACAACAAAAATACTGGCAATATCAAATGTTTGCAAAGCTATAGAGCCACTGGGAGCCTCATACTTTTCTAGTGAGAATATAAAATGGTACAACCACTTGGGAAACCATTTGGAAGACTCACAGAAAGTTAAATTTACACATATCATATGAACTAGCAATTCTACTCCTATCCAAAAGAAATGAAAAATTATGTTAATTCTCAGGAGTCTGGCTCTTGATCTTGATACTGTTCAAAAAAAAATGTGTGATTTATCAGCCTCTACTATAGGAAATTACAAAGGCTTTCCCTAGCAGGGTTCACAGGAGCAAGCTGCCCTTCCCATATCAAATGATACACTGTTATGCATTACAGTCTTTGAAGGAAATAACAGTAAAGGACTCAGATCATCCTGGCCAAATATGCTGTTACATTTATCTTTAATTCCAGCCCAGGTGCCTCCACTTGCAGGCCTCCTTCTTGGGAAAACCTGAAGACACTTTTCTCCACTCGGATTCAGTACTCAGCACTTTTACATTCCTAGCCCTGCCACTCTCTCCTTCCCATGGCCCCTTGCTTCCATACAACTGCAAGAGATTTTTGTTGGGTGATCCCATGGTAGTAAGGGGAACCCTGTGTCTGTGTTGTTCTACCTGACACTCAATGCTGTGTCATTTCATGGTAGAAAATGGAACAGGCAGGAGTCCACATTTTCTCTGATTTTAGCCTTTCGTATACTATTTGCAGTGATTGATTTCAAACTTGACTGTTACTTTCCATTTAGGCTGGTTGCTTTTACCAACCACTCTAATATCCGGCAGCTCAACTCTCTCTTCAGCTCAGCAGGGCTCTTGATACCTCAGAAACATGTATGTGAATCTTTATGGCAGCTTTATTTATAATCAGCAAAAATGGAAACAATATATATGTTCCTCAACTGAGGAATGGATAAACAAACTGTGGTACATACATATATTGACATATTACTCAGCAACAACAAAAAAATGATTCATTCAACAATAATGAATTGGAAAACAGGGTTTGAGTGGATTTCTTTTTTACAAAAATAGCTGTAAGCAATGTAGTTTGTAGACTTGTAACATGGGTTAAGAATTATGAAACTAATTGTTGTACAAGATTTAAATAAATATTTAGATATATTGTCATAATAGAAGTCAGTATTTCTATGTTGAAGAAAGAAGTTACAATTAAAGAAAGATAATAATTACAATAAATTCTGTGATTGTAGTCAGAGGTATCATGATGGACTCTTGATTTGTTTCACTTGTTTTAATTTATAATCAGTAAATATAGGAATAAATATAGATGTGTCTTTATGCATGAATTAGCACACAATCATGTGCCACACAACGATGGTACAGTCAACAATGAACCACATATGTAACAGTGGTCCCATATAATTTTAATGGAGCAGAAAAATTTCTATCACCTGTTGACATCATAACTGTCATAATGTCATAGCACAACACATTACTCATTTGTTTGTGGTGTTGCCGGTGTAAACAAATCTATTACACTGCCAGTCTTATAAAAGTATAGCACATACAATTATCTACAGTACATAATATTTTAAAATAATAATAATTGGCTATGTTACTGGTTTATGCATTTGCTATATTATAATTTTGTTATTTTAGAATATGCTCCCTCTATTTATTAAAAAAGTTAATTATAAAGCAGCCTCAGGCAGATCCTTTGGTACGTATTCCAGAAGAAGGCATTGTTACCCTAAGAGATGACAACTCCTAGGCATGTTATTGCTCCTGAAAACCTCCCACTGGGACAAGATACGGAGTTGGAAAACAGTGAAACTGATCATTCTGACCCTATGTACACCTAGGCTAAAAAAGTTTAAAAAGTAAAAAAAAGATAAAAATTTTAAAAGTAGAAAAAAGCTTATAGAATAATGATATAAAGACAATGTTTTTGTACATCTATACATTGTGTATGTATTTTAAGCTAAGTATTATTATAAGAGAGTCAAAAAGTTTTAAAAAATGAAAAGGGTATATGGTTAAAAAGTTATAGTAAGCTAAGCTTAATTGATTATTGGAGAAAGAAAAATATTAAAATAAATGTAGTGTGCCCTAAGTGGAGGCATTTATAAAGTCTACAGTAGCATACAGTAATGTCCTAGGCCTTCACATTCACTCACCACCCACTCACTGACTCACCCAGGGTGACTTCCAGTCCTGCAAGCTCCATTCATGGTAAATGCCCTATACAGGTGTACCATATTTATCTGTTATACCATATTTTCACTATACTTTTTCTATGTTTAGATACACAAACACCACTGTGTTATAATTGCCATACAGTAGCATGCTACACAGGTTTGTAGCCTAGGAGCAATAGGCTATGCCATATAGCCTAGCTGTGAAGTAGGCTATACCATCTAAGTTTGTATAAGTATACCCCATGATGTGTGCACAATGGCAAAATCACCTAATGAAGCATTTCTCAGAGTGTATCACCTTTGTTAAGCAGTGCATGACTATATATATTGAATATATATATATATATATATATATATATATATATATATATATATCTCCTATCTCTAACTACCTTGAAGGGGAAAAAGCAGTGACACCTCAGTGACAATGGATGCACCTAGCACTCAGGCATTGGGTTTTCCCTTGCCGTTCCTTCTCTAATAAATGGAATTACTTCTCCTTGTAAAACTGGTATATTTTAGGAATGAGGTATAGAGAATTCAAGGTAAGTCTGAAGCAACTTTTGGTTTCAGAAAATAAGGATGGTCTAAAAATTCCAAAAGATGATAGCATATTGAAAGGTCACAGCACTCCACCTAAAAATGCTCCCAATAGCCAGTTAAACATCTTGATTGGATTGGATTATAATCCCCAGAATAAAATGAATATTGATGAGTCTACACTGACACAAGCAAGTAAGTAAATAATCAGTTAGGAAGAAGTGGCAAGCTCTTCCTCACAGAATTTCAATTAGTAAATGTAGAAGGAATGAGGAAAATGATAAATCAGCATTAGCACACCACCATAATCATTGCTCCAAGTAAGATTTACAGATGAATGTTAAAGTGAATGGGTGAAAGTTTATATAGCATACTCACAGAGTATCAAAAAAAATATCCCAAATATTTTGTAATTAAAATGATCATTGTAGCATTATTCACAATAGTCAAAATATAGAATCAACATGTGTCTATAAACAAATGATTAGATAAAGAAAACATGATATATATATATAAATATATATACACACACAGTGAAGTACTAATTATCCTTGAAAAAGAAGAAAATGCTGTCGTTTGTAACAATGTAGGTAAACCTGGAGGACATTAGGTTAAGTGAAATAGCTCAGGCACAGAAAGATAAATATGGCATAATTTTACCAATATGTGGAATATTTAAAAAGTGGAGCTGATGGAAATAGAGAGTACAATGGCATTTACTAGGGACTTGGAAAATACGAGGAGTTTGAAGAGATGTTGGTTAAAGGATATAAAATTTAAGTTAGATAGGAGAAATAAGTTCAACAGATTTATTGAAAAAAATTGAAGATAAGTAAAGTTAAATGAAGCATTTCAGATCAGCAAAATCCAAGAGAATTCTTTATCAACTGAACCACAAAAAAAGACATGAAAATTAAAAGATGAAGGAAGAACTGAGGAATTGAATAAATAAGGATTCATATGTTGGTAAGTAAAAATGAATATTGATCATCAGATTAAGTATAATATCTGGAGAAGTGTAAAAATATTTAAAATTAAAATGAATTTTAAAAATTATGAAAAGCTTATTTACACTTATTTTACATGTTGATTGTACTCTTCTCCACATATTTTTCCTCCTGGGTCCCAAGGATAAAAGGAACCCTTATCTCAGACATGCCCTTTTCATCACAGAGTGGAGAGAGTATGGGTAAAACCACCTGGTGATTCTTGGGTAAAATTAACTCAGATTACAGAAGGTAATGACAATGATTTGAGAAAATTGAATTCTCACAGGGAAGAACAGTGAATATTTAAGAATGATGAGATATTCTACCACATTTAACCCTGTTGGTCACAAATATTCACTTCCCTCTTTGCTGCATGCAAAACATATTTATCCCTCTCTCAGGGAGACAGTCCAAAGGTCACATCAAGTCAGCCATTGTGCTCAACTTCCAGGATCTAATGGCAATTTCTATACTTTAGAGCCACAACTGCCTTCTCTAAATTCAGACAGTTGATTTGTCTAATGCACACACCTTACAATTACTAGAGGAACAGGAAAAAAACAATCTAAGAAACACTATCATTCAGAGAGGATAGGAATTGGGAATACACAGCAAACACTGTCAATACCAAGTCTAAAATAGAACTTGATAGGCAATGCAGGGGCCTCTTACTCTGTAGCTGTGGGAAGCCTCTTGACTGGTTCCCAGTTACGTTCCTTGAGAATAAGACCCAGCCACTTTTATTTCATGGCTCTTGAGTCACAATCTGAGAGGTATCTGCTTTTCTTTTTTACTTTGCCATATCCAAAAACGTTCTAAAGAAATTTTAAAGAACATTTATTGGGGGAACCCCCCCTCCGATAATTCAACGTTATCTCAGATAGGTTCTTTTCTATTTCCCTAAGTGTCAGCCGGTCTGAGAAATAAAGGGAAAGAGTACAAAAGAGAGAAATTTTAAAGCTGGGTATCTGGGGGAGACATCACATGTCGGCAGGTTCCGTGATGCCCCTTGAGCTGCAAAACCAGCAAGTTTTTATTAGTGATTTTCAAAGGGGAGGGAGTGTACAAATAGGGTGTGGGTCACAGAGATCACATGCTTCACAAGGTAATAAAATATCAGAAGGCAAATGGAGGCAGGGTGAGATCACAGGACCAGGGCAAAATTAAAATTGCTATTGAAGTTTCGGGCATGCATTGTCATTGATAACATCTTATCAGGAGACAGGGTTTGAGAGCAGACAACCAGTCTGACTAAAAATTTACTAGGTGGGAATTTCCTTGTCCTAATAGGCCTGGGAGCACTACTGGAGACCGGGGCTTATTTCATCCCTTATCTGCAACTGTGAAAGACAGATGTTCCCAGAGCGGCCATTTTAGAGACCTACCCCTGGGAATGCATTCTCTTTCTCAGGGCTGTTTCTTGCTGAGAAAGGGGAGTTCAGTGATATTTCTCCTATTTGCTTTTGAAAGAAGAGAAATATGGCTCTGTTCCACCCGGCTCTCAAGCAGCCAGACCTAACGGTTATCTCCCTTGTTCCCTGAACATCACTGTTATCCTGTTCTTTTTTCAAGGTGCCCAGATTTCATATTGTTTAAACATAAATGCTTATGAACAATTTTGCAGTTAACACAATCATCACAGGGTCCTGAGGTGACACACATCCTCAGTTTATGAAGATGACGGGATTAAGAGATTGAAGTAAAGACAGGCATAGGAAATCACAAGAATATTGATTGGGGAAGTGATAAATGTCCATGAAATCTTCACAATTTATGTTCGGAGATTGCAGTAAAGACAGGCAAAAGAAATTATAAAAGTATTAATTTGGGGAACTAATAAATGTCCATGAAATCTTCAAAATTTATGTTCTTCTGCCATAGCTTCAGCTTGTCCCTCCATTCAGGGTCCCTGACTTCCCTCAACAAACATTAAAGAAAAATAAAACTCCCTTGGGACTAAGTTTATTTCTTAGCCTTCTTTTTTCTTTTTCTTTTTGTCTACAGACTGTGGAGCAGAAAATTGATTTACATTCAATCTCTCCTACCCAGGCTAACCACTCAAAAACATGATCCTCTTTTAACATGCTGGATTCTTACTTGTATATATCAATAATCTCACTCATTATTATTTTTAAGTGCCTATTTACACTTAATTACAGATACTTTAAACTTAAGAGATTTTTAAGGCAGAGCTATGTCCTTCTGAAAAAGTCCCACACCCAACAGAAATTACATACTTAATGTTAAGATATTGAGTTAATAGATTCAGAGGCTGAAACAAATAATGTGGTAGCAACATCACTGGCATGTTCTTGCTGTGAGATGGTTTTAATATACCTCAAAGAATGACTAAATTTTATTTTTAACTTGGGGAGGTGAGATATGGTTGGATCTTCAAATCTAATTCCCAGTTGTTTGTGGATCTTCTCTATTCCCATTCATACCAAGTGCCAAATAGGCCAATTCTTTTATCAGTTTCTTTATAGCAAACAGGTTAATTCCAAATTCCCATTCATAAAGCCACAGATGCTTTTGGTATATATCTACCTTTCAGATTATCTCAGGTGATGACTTTACTAAAATTTTCACTACTGCAGCATAACCTAGGCTGTTGCTGCTATATTTTCACTTCAAAGGAAGTCTACAGGTCAAGAAATAAATTTCTTTTAAATGGAGGGGCCCTGAATAATCATTAAAAAATCTACGAAGTGTACATAAAAACATTCAACATATTCTATAGACAATTTTAATAGTATAATTAAGTTTAACAATGTTGATGGAGCAATGGTAATCTGCAAAATTAAATGAATTTCTAATATCATTATATCAAAAATATGCTATGTATAAATAATATGTAAATATTATATAACTATATATTATATATAATTGAAAATAACATAGAACTACACAAATACTTGACAATGAATCTAATGATGGAAGCATAACATACACAAAAGAAACAATAAAATCTTATTGATAAAAATTTACATAGAGGCTATGACTTTCATATCTCTTTGTTATTTAACCTTAAGCAATACTTCTGGCCAGCCCTCCAAACCTAATTTTGTGCACTTTTAAAGCATTCACAGTCAGTTTGAGATGTTACTTTTAAATACGCTTATTTAAAAATCCCAGAAACAAACATTACAAAGCTGGAATGCATTGAAACAGTGGTTCTTAATGGTGTGAACTGTTTTTGAAGGTCATCCATGTAATGATGGTCTTACAAGACATTGTCTGTAGACAGAATAAATAATATATCTGACCTATGTAATTTCTTCTGTTTTTCAAATGTAAATAAGTTATCCTATGATTAACACAATATGAACTGATTTTACAATATCTCTGTATACATAGTAACTTTCATCCACACTGATTTCCATATATGGTAGATACTTCACCAAATTATATTATGGGGGATTAGATTAAGCAAAATATTTTGATTATTAAAAAACAGACATACTCATATCCTTATAAAAGTGTATTAGGAAATAGAATCAGACTTGTGCATTATTTTTCTCATTAGCATGGGCACCAGGCCTCTATCTGATGCTATTGTTCTGCATTACTCTCTCAAAAGAAAGTGTCTCTGTTGCCTCCTATTTTAGTTGCTTTGCCAAAGTTAATTACACAGAAGCTTCATTAGTGATGTTTGAACCTGGCCACTAAGGATCCTCTATTTATTCATATGATCCCAGTGCACTTCCAAGAGATAGAGCAGAAAAAATAAATATTTTGGGGATAGAAAAGCTAACTCTCTGCTCTTCTGAAATCAGAGGAAATCTGTTGCTTTCCTCCCTTACATCAAAATTTCTTACCATTATGACAGAGTCCAAGGAAAATATTTCCAAAGTGTAAAATAAGGAAGTTTCTAAAAAGAGTGTTTATTGTAGCGTGAAAATGCAAAACTAGGAGACCTCAAGATCCTTCAGGAAGTACCTGAAGGTTGATGATCAAGTTAAACCAGTACAAAGTTACAACTTCCTTAACACAACACAGTTCAACCCATTAGGGAGCTGCCACCTGAAATCGTGAAAAATTATCAAAACAGTAAGTATTTTAAGGTAGGTATGACAATTACTTTCTCATTTGAGAGATAAGAGAAAGAAATTTTTGTTGGAGTACTCTTCTGTAATTTTGCTAGTTTAAGCTTGTTTCAAATTTTTAATATGGAAAACTGTAGCGAACATGTTTTTAAACTATTAACAGATCTTTGACAAGACTAAACATCATAGCTAGGACATATTTATGCATTCCTGTGTAGTCACACATGCAGTAGTTTGTGGTCACCCATAAAATATAAAGGACACACAGAAATATGCTTCCAAATCCTTGGAATATATACAAAAAAGCATATTACATTGCTTATATTACATTGCTTATAATGTTAGCTTTTTTCTAAATTGTAAATATTCTCTTATGGTTAAATGTCTGGCCAGAAATAATTCAATCCCTCATATTTATTAGTTCAACAAAAATGCTCCCTTAATGTCTAAGTGACACTAAGACCGAGAGACCTTTGTGTTGTTGCTCATGATGCACTGCACTGCACAAGACGATCAAGGCGTAGAAGACTATTTCACTAAGATAGCTTTTTCCTAGTGTGTGTTCAAAGGGAGAGGCATGAAAACGAAGATGACAGAAAGGATGTCAATTCTCAGTTACTTCATAGTTTATGCTGCTTATTGCACTTTTCATGACCCTGAAGTAGTTGGGAGAAAATTAGTTCTTAAACCAAAATCAAAGAAAAAGGCATAGTAAATTACTAGTACACTACTTTGCTTGTATAAAAGCAAAACTTAGAATACATTGACTTTATCTAACAAAGTCAAAAATGGTATTTGCATGAAAGAGGATTGAGGCAACATGAAAAACCTCAGAATATTTGAAAACAAGGAACTGTTTTTCTTTCCTGGAATAAGATGATGAATAGTGTGAGAGTTTCGCAAAGAGACCAGTTTTGGGGGCAGTAAGGTAATCAAAGGCAACAGTTTTAGTTTTATGGATTTCTTGAAAAACCTTGAGAGTTTCACTAAGAAGTACTAAGAAGTAAGCATATGTGACAAGCTGACTGTGTCTTACTGGCCAGTATGCTCTGTTAGCATCTTCATTCTCATTATGCCAGATTCGTACCATCTCTCTTAACAGATTTGTATTAGGCTTTCTGCATAAGTATGTATTTTCCTGTAATGGTACCTTTAAAGCAAGATGGGCCTTGCCATATGTATCACATGGGATTTTATGAAGCACATGTCCATAAGAGTAAGGAATTCATTTTCCCAGGCCCAGAAGACTGATGATATTTGCAGTAATTTTTTATACGCAAAGCAGGTGAAAAAGCATTCATATAACAAACTAATTGGTATCTTATAAGGAGATACAATTTCATTGAGTGATGGAGAAATAGCAAGAACCCTAGAGACTGTGTTGTCAGATAAGACATATGTTTGTAGCTACCATTATAAATAATTAATGCAGGCTAAGGACTGGAAGCAGTTATTGCTCCATGAACAGAAATAAACTCATTTCCTCTTGCTGAAGAATGTCATAATGGTCAGAGATGACATGAACAAAATAAGACCCATAATGCAAATTAAAGAAGCCAGTTAGTATTTTAGTCATCCTTCATTTGTGCCTGAAATTATAAATATATAAATTAGGTGATTGCTGATGGCATAAGGGACAACACTGATAGGCAGCTTAGATGATGATGTCAAGGGCGGGCAACAAACTTCCTTAATTGCCTAGGTGGTTCTCAAATATTGATGTGCATATGAAACTCTTGGTAATTATACCACAGCTATTCTAATTTCTAATTTATCCACTAGGGCCTAACCTCATTTGCCTATTTCCTGGCTAAAACGTATTAGCTCTGTGTCCCAGAAAACTATACTTGTGACAAATGTCTTTGATATTTCTAATTCAGAGAATTATACACACTAAATAACCTAGTCAAATGCAAGTATTTCTGGAAGAATAAAGTAAAGCATTGGATAAACACTACAGTAGTAATTTCCTTCTTTCCTTCTTTCCTTCCTTCCTTCCTTCCTTTCTTTCTTTCTTTCTTTCGTGAGACGGAGTTTCGCTCTTGTTGCCGAGGCTGGAGTGCAATGGCGAGATCTTGGCTCATCGCAACCTCCACCTCCCAGGTTCAAGCAATTCTCCTGCCTCAGCCTTCCGAGTAGCTGGGATTACAGGCATGTGCCACCACACCCGGCTAATTTTGTATTTTTAGTAGAGATGGGCCTTCTCCATGTTGGTCAGGCTGGTCTTGAATGCCCGCCTTGGCCTCCCAAATTGCTGGGATTACAGTCATGAGCCACCGCGCCCGGCCAGTGGTAATTTTAGTGTAAATTAAATGAGTTTCAAAATACAGAGCCTCGCCTTGTGCATGGCTTGCATCATATTTTCCAACAGCTAGGTGGAAGCATATCCTAACACAGAATTTAGTGGATGTGCTCTGACAGGAAAGCAAAGAGAGAGAAGGATCCAGAGCTGCTTAATTCCTTGAGAAGAGTGGAGAACTCCATGCAATAAATGCACACAGCCAGTATACCTCAGGGAATCAGGCAAAAAGAGGTTGGGAATTTAGAAAGTTGAGTGTGGAGAACAAAAGCTGTGGAGGCAAAATACACTTGTCACAACTTGTCTTCTGAAAAAGAGGAAGATATATTCACTCTTAGTCAATACAATATAAAGACTGAAAAAAAAATTAAAAGTGCCATTGCATTTCTGAAGAGAAAAAGAGATGAGAGGCTGGTTAAACTCAAAGTTCAGGTAAAGGATCGTGTGAGAAGGTGAAAAGTAGAAAAGGGCAAACCATAGGTCCAATAATTAAATAGGTAAATTTTGTCTTTAAGACCGTCAGAACAAGTATTCTATCTCCTCTCCAAACCGTATTGTTGAACTTACACCTGTAGATGCAATTCACCGATAGCCTAGTCTATTCACAAGGAACTTAGACCAGTGAGTCTAGGGCTGAATGCTATTCTGCAGAATGTGCTGCAGCCTGTTAATACTTACAGAAGTTACGATTCATTTAGATAGTCTCATGGTCCTCACTATATACGTTTTAACAGTTTTATTGAGGTATAATCTATACTAAAAACTGCACTTGCACACAACCATGAAACCATCACCACAATCAAGGTGATAAACATATCCATCACTCCTCCAAAGTTTCTGTGAGTCTTAAGTTAGTTTTCTTGGATTCTTTTTAGTTTTTGGGTTTTTTTTTTTTTACATAAACACTTAACATGATATCTATTCTCTTAAGCCTTTCCAGTGCACAATAAGGTTTGTTAACTATAGGCACCATGTTGTTCAGCAGATCTCTAGAACTTACTCATCCTGCATAACTGAAACTTTATAACTATTGAACAACAACTCCCCATTTTCCCATCACTTCAACCCTTGGCAACCAAGATTCTAACTCTCCGCTTCTGTGAATTTGACTATTTTACATGCCATATATAAGTATAATCATGCAGTATTTGTCCTTCTGTAACTGGATCATTTCACTTAGTATAACCTCTTGTAGGTTCATCTGTGTGGTCACAAATCACATGATTTTCTTCTTTTTAAAGCTGAACAACATTCCATTATTGTATTATATATTCCACATTTTCTTTATCCATTCATCTGTTGATGGACATTTGGGTTGTTTCCATATCTTGGTTATTGTGAATAATGCTCAATATTTAAGAGTAAAGTTAGTTCTTTAAACTCCTTATTTCTATAATTTTGCATATATACCAACAGGTGGGATTACTGGATCATATAGTAGTTATATTTTAAATTTTTTGAGGAAAGTTTCATACTATTTTCTATGGTGGCTACACCATTTTACATTTCTAACCAGAGTGTACAAGCGTTTCTATTTCTCTATGTACTTGCCCAAAGTTACCTTTTGTTTTGTTTTTCTTGTTTTTTAATAGCCATCCTTATATGTGTGAGGTGATATCTCATTGTAGTTTGATATGCATTTCCCTGATAATTGATGATATTAAGCATCTTTTTATATACCTTTTGGCCACTCATAAGTCTTCTTTGGAGAAATTTCTATTCAACTCTTTTGCCTGTTTTTAAATTGCATTGTCTTTTTTATGCTATTGAATTGTAGGAATTTTTTATGTATTTTGGAGATTAAGCCCTTATCAGATATATGGTCTGTAAATATTTTCTCCCATTTCATAAGTTGTGTTCTAAATTCCCCAGCATTCTCCAAATTACTACCATTTATCTGTTCATTTTGAAAATATAAGGATGAGTGAATTTGTATAACATTAATTAGAAATTAATTAATTTAATTATAGAAAAAAATTTAAAAACTGTTAGCTGAGTAGTCACAGTTATTTTTTCACTATACCTGGTTCCAAACTCCTGAGAATTCCAACATAGCAAAGAAACTTAACCATGATTACCCCTCCTGAGGGGTAATAGAATCACCAAAAAAGACAGGATTAAAAAAAAAAAAAAAGACCTAAAACTAAACTTTTCCTACCCACATATCTTTTACCTTATCCTGTATCTGGCTTCCATTCACTGCAAAAAAAAAAAAAAAAGAAAGAAAAGAAAAGAAAAAAGAAATATACTGCTATTGTAGCGTTGTTTTCCTTAACTCAAAAGTGTTGGGTCATAAGAAATTTAGAATGCTGTAGTATTTTAGGTGGACTGATGTACTGGAAAAAGAGGGAGGGGTTCTGACCAGGCAAAGAAAAGCTGAATAATACAGTGTTTTAAACTCCATGATTATTCCAGGCTATGGAAATGTAATGACATTATTTTTCTATTACAAGAAGTAGGTTTGTTCATATTTCTTTATGCTAAGTATTTTTGTTTCTCTAAAAACACTCCTCACTGAGGTTGGTTCTATTATAGCACAGAAAATTGGGCAACTAAATGAACCTTCTAATATGTGTAGAAAGAGATGGGTGGAACTAGAATTATGCAAATAAAAAGACTATTTCACTAATACATTCAGGTTGTATTAATCAGCAAATGTACTAGGAGTGTTGGTATGAAAGAAACAGACTTTAGGATATAAATAAGAAAGCAAATTATTTAAACAAAAAAGAAAATTCTACCTTGGTAATAATCATAAGCATAGCAGCAATTCTAATCTTCTTGACATTGCAGTATAAGCCTTTTAGCTTAATATTGTCTAAACTTTAAAATACTTTTTAAAAATGGGTTTTTCAAAAAAACTTTTAAAACTCTGCTTTTTAAGAGATAAAAATACAGATACAGTTGTATAAAAGGTACATTAACTCATTGAAAAATTGTTGAACACATGCTATGTGTCAAGCAGAGTCTCCACAGCAGTAAAAGATGTAACAGAGAAAGAACAAAGCTCCTATTCATAGTGTTTACTTTTGAGTGACCCTAAAGATCCACTGATCCTAAGAGTATTAGGATATCTTTGAACTTCTTGGGTATATCCATGCATATAATCTGTATGAATTCCACCTGATTTTTCCATAAGAGAATCCGAAGTCTCTCTTAGAAAAGAAATGAATCTTTAGACACATAGTAGGTGGTTTTGGCCTTTAAAAAAAGAGGAAAACAGAGAGTAAAACAATTCTAGTCTCTAGAAAATGATATATGAGAATCAAATTCTGGAAAAAAGGAAAAAAAAATTCTAAGTTCTTAGGAAGGAAAAGGTCAGGAAAGAGATTACTATAAACAACCAAGCAGATAACAATAGCATGTAAGGAATTATAATATCAAGGTAAAGAAAGAAATAGTTCAGAGAGCAAAAAAAAACTCTGGAAAATGTATTAGCAAAATAGCATTTGCAGAACTTTGAATTGAAAATAGTCTGGCCTTTTGTCTAAGAATGTACTAAAAATGATAGTGCAGTTTGAAACAGGTATGAAAATAAGAACTTTGAACCAACTGACAGGAATAAGCATTAAAAATATAGCTTACTGTCACTATGTAGACAAATCTGTTTTATTTCTTCACTAAACTTACCAAGAACCCTACATAGGCCAGATATAAGAGAAAATAAGGATATATAAAATATTGTCTCTAAAGAAGTTTACAGAAACATACGGGAGAAATACAAGTATAGTGAAGAGTATAATACAATGTGATATAATCCAAACCAAGTACATAAGTACTTGGGAAAAGACACAGGAGCATAGTTTCACATTCACTGTGTGGGTAAATGAACATTTCCTTGAAGAATCAATATGTATGCACCAGTCAGTCAAAAGATTAGCCTGTGCAGACAAGAGCATGTAGAAAATTGAAGAATTGCAAGTAGTCAATGCTAAGGCAACTTGAGCTATGAAGAAGAAAGGTAAGAAAATGGTAAGTGATGAGATGGGAAAATCAAGGAAGGTCCTGCCCATGAAGAGCCTGGCAGTCCACATGAAAGTGATTAACCTGTAACAAGCAATAGGTAACACCAGTGGAACAGAAATCTCAAAGAAGGAGCATGACTTGACTTAGAGCATGTGGTATGTGAGGTGTCTGTGGAACACCCAACTTGTGATGTATACTTAGCAATGCTTTTTACCTGATCTTTGGCTACATCACATACATGATCATCAAATCACCCTTGAAGAGTAGAGGGTAAGAAGAGTAACAAACAGAAAACAAGAAGCAGGAGGTCTGAAGATTATTGAGAATACCAATATTTCACAGATGGAGAAAGAGGAGACTAAAAAGAGAAACAATAAAAAGACAGATATAGAAAGAATATCAGTATTAGACATGAAGCCCATTGAAAGAATTATTGAACTTTAAAACAAAAATACTATAGCAATTACAGGCAGGATTAAAAACCTAAATGTGCCCTTAGCTTCAACAGTAATGAAGTCTTTGCAGATTCTTCAGGGGGTGGAGGTGAAAGTGAGGACACAGAGGGTTAAAGCATAAATTGAGTAGGGGTGAGATGAGGAGACGTTAATGTCTTTTTAAATTTTTTTTAATTTTATGCGTACATAGCAAATGTATGTATTTATAGGCCACATGAAATATTTAGATACAGGGAGGTAATATTAAATAAGACATCATGGAGAATGAGTTGTCCATCCCCTCAAGCATTTATCCTTTGAGTTACAAATAATTCAGTTATATTATTTGTTATTTTAAAATATACAATTAAGTTATTATTGACTATAGTGTCCCTATTGTGCTATCAAATAGTAATTATCCTTTCTATTTTTTTGTACCTATTAACCATTCCCACCTACCCCCGAACCCCCCACTATACTTCCCAGCCTCTGGTAAACATCCTTCTACTCTCTATGTCTATGAGTTCAACTGATTTGATTTTCAGATGTCACGAATAAGTGAGAACATACGATGTCTTTCTAAAGGACCTAAAGATATATTGAAAAAGACGCAGCCTAGAAGACTATATTTAGTGGTGTTAAATGTAGATTTGCTTCTGGAGCTTGAAAGGAAAGGAATCACAACTGAACATCAAATGAAAGCCTATGAGAATATTCATTTTGTAAAAACCTTGAACACAACTTTTTCTCACATTATAGATAAAATAATTGTACATCAACCCATCTACAGGTACTAGAGGGTTGAGAATAAGGAATGCCAGCAGAGAAGAATAAAAAGACCGGGGAAAGGCTCAGGGACAACGGTTGTATTCTGTTGTCATTGTTGTTTGTTTGTTTTTCAGGAAAAATGTAATTTAATCTTAATACAATCCTCAGATGATAACAACTGAAGAGAATTAATGTTATTAATTACCTGGATATATCCTATATTCAGAGTTTGTCCTGGACAAAAAATGTTTAAGTACCTATAAAATGACATCATTTCTTTCTAACCCATTTGTAAATCCATTCCATGTAACAAACTACAATCAACTGCATTTGTAAATTCTGATGGATAAGGAATGATCAAAGAAAAAGTTGGATTGTTTTACAAAACTTGATTTCTTAAGGAGATATCCACTGCTCATATATGTGAAATTTAGAAAGGTTATTGGAACACTGGCAACATTGATTATTCTATAAAGGGAGAAAATAAAAGTAGGCTGGTCAGCTTGGCTTCTAGATGCATATCCTTTTGCTATAGAATTCAAATATCTACCCCCTCATAAACCGTGATTTTTAAAGGAGGATTGGGTAGATATCAAAGAACAGTGATGAAAAACCACACAGTAATAAGAACTTTTATCCTGCTGGGACTGACAGGTGACCCACACCTGCAAGTTCTGCTTTTTATCTTTCTATTTCTCACCTACATGTTGAGTGTAACAGGGAACCTGACTATTATCACCCTCACATTGGTGGACCACCACCTTAAAACTCCTATGTACTTCTTTCTCAGAAATTTTTCCTTCTTAGAAGTCTCATTTACTACAGTCTGCATTCCCAGATTCTTGTACAATATATCAATGGGGGACAATACCATTACCTACAATGCTTGTGCCAGTCAAATATTCTTTGTTATTCTCTTTGGAGCAACAGAATTTTTTCTCTTGGCAGCCATGTCCTATGACCGCTATGTGGCCATCTGTAAACCCCTTCATTATGTGGTCATCATGAACAACAGGGTGTGTACCTTATTAGTTCTCTGCTGTTGGGTGGCTGGCTTGATGATCATTGTTCCACCACTTAGCTTAGGCCTCCAGCTCGAATTCTGTGACTCCAATGCCATTGATCATTTTAGCTGTGATGCAGGTCCTCTCCTAAAGATCTCATGCTCAGATACATGGGTAATAGAACAGATGGTTATACTTATGGCTGTATTTGCACTCATTATCACCCTAGTTTGTGTGATTCTGTCCTACTTGTACATAGTCAGAACAATTCTGAAGTTCCCTTCTGTTCAGCAAAGGAAAAAGGCCTTTTCTACCTGTTCATCCCACATGATTGTGGTTTCCATTGCCTATGGAAGCTGCATCTTCATCTATATCAAGCCCTCTGCAAAAGATGAGGTGGCCATAAATAAAGGAGTTTCAGTTCTTACTACTTCTGTCGCACCCTTGTTGAACCCCTTCATTTACACCTTGAGGAACAAGCAAGTGAAACAAGCTTTCAGTGACTCTATAAAGAGGATTGCATTTCTCTCAAAGAAGTAGAAGCTGTGATGAATTGGCATAAAGTGAATGAAGAAGGCTCCCTAAATGTCATCCTACAGCTTTTAACTTATTTCATTGCTTCCTGACTACAGTTTAGTCATGTGAACCTTCTCAATGACATTTAATATTGCATCCTAATCCCATCTTTATCAAAATCCTTATTATTTCGAACCAAGGTCATACATTGTGTTTTCCCTCATTGTGAAACTAAAAATTACATTTCCAAAAATCAAGGTTTTCTCCACTTCTGATCTAGTCTTTTCTTCATTTCTCTAGGGAAGAAAAAAGTAAGAATACTTATCAGTGTATACATTATCTACAAGTTAATTTATGTAGTAATAAAAATTCTTTCTCTAATACAAAATTATCAAAATTAATATTGTAAATCTAAGAATCAAAACAAAAAATAGAAAGCAATGAGAGACATATATTAAAAATAAATTAAATCAAATAAGGTATTCCAGGTCTATCAGGATAACTGGGAAAGAAGACATCAACAGGAGTTAAAATTAATCCTATTTGAAGAAATGGAAACACCTTCAAAATCTCTGGCAAGACATATTAGCTATTGCTTTATATTACATGAGAGGAAACTCATGCAAAATGTATACATTTAATTTAAAACAAATGTAAACATAAAATCACTTATTATGGGTTACAAAATCAGAATGAATGCATAAGAGCAAATTGAAACACCGAAATTTAAGTGCTTATTAAATAAGATAACTATTTACCACAACATAAAAGTAATTAAAGGGTTAAGAAGATATGGAGGATAACCAACCAATATTCTTTTTTATACAGAGAAAAGAAGAAACTAAAAATGTAAAAAAAATAGAATTATGATCAAGTGGAAAATAGAGGAAAATATTCAAAAGTTTAAAAGGTTAGAGCTGAAAGAAATAATTACTTCCACAGGCTGAAAAGGATGAAGATTAAATTATTACAAGAAAATTGAAAAAAAACCTCACTGAATTACAAACTCAGGGATTATTTATTTTAAATATCAAAAGTGGGCTTTGACATAGCAATAAAACATTTCTTCAAATTATTTCTATTGACATAATTTTGAAAATAACTGCCACTTTTGAACCACATCAAACTCTTTGTAAATGTCATAATTAATGTCTTTACCATCCTGTAAATGCATTTTAAGTGCATCAAAATATAGAAATAAAAAGGTTGCATACACTGGCCAATATATCATAGGTAGGAAATGATGGAGCCTGATTTCTGATTTAAAATCATGTTCAATCCACTATATGACTTTTCCTTTGAGGTGGGAGCAGAGTGAGAAAAGATACTTTAACTGGAAATATATGAGCTCACACAGCTCTCTTTCTCTCTCTCTTGCTCTCTTTATATAAAATTACAATGTTAGTTTATCAATGTGTCTGCTTCTATTTTTTAAATGGCTTTATTGACTTTAAAGAAAAAAATTAAAATCTTACAATTTATGCAACAGATTTTATATACCAGAATCTGTCCTATTCTAGTTTAAGTAAGATTTTATGTTTTGATAAGGAGAAAGTAGATGGCATAAAATTGAAGCAATCACCTCCCTGCCAATATTGAAACATATTTATTATCAGCATGACTTCAGGAAGCATTCACCTCAGAGCTCTCATGTACTGAAATCACATAAGAAATATCTAAATTAGGAAACCTGCACAAAAGACTCTCTAAAATATTCATAATCTAAACCAAAGTAAATGTAACTATTATATATTATATATTTGCAAAGCAGGACTAAATTTTTAAAATTAACTCTTAAGTTGGATAACATATTATAAAATATATTAGTTAAAAACCATTCAGGACACCAATATGCAAATTGAAACAGATAGAAGAGTAGAAGCAAAGAAACTAAGCCAGGTAGCATTGTTCCCATCTTCTTTAGATGTTACTCCTAAGTGTTAATCTTCACTAAGGAAAAACAATGATATTTAGTAATTCACATCAGAAGCTTTGAGATTTCACTCAGAGTGAAAAATAGTATTCTTTTGCCTTGTAGGTATAAGGTGAGGAATATAATAGTTGAAAAGAAAAGAATGAAAGTCACTGATACTGAACAGCTGCTTCAAATAGGATTAAAATATGTTCATTTTATCAGACCAACATACACTATAGCACTTATTTAAATAGCTCTCATGCATATGTTCTGACATTCTGGCTCCTAAAGTAAATTCTCAGAATTGGGAGCATGGCTTTGAAATTATTTATATGTTCTGATTATTGGCATCCTATTAAACCAATGAGTCTGTAATTTTTTTTAAAAAACCTGATTTTGGAAACTTTTAACAAAGGCTTCCAATCAAATCACTGCTTGATCTTAACATAAGTGTGTTCCAGGTAAAATGGATTTTAGGTAGAACATCACCACCCTGTAGATCAATATTCTAGCTCAGTTCAAAGCTCCATCCTGAGCTTTGGTAAAACAAGATCACCACTCCAGATATCTGGTGCTCCCTAAAAGTCTAAGCAGAAAATAGAGGAATCTTGGTGCACATAGAAATCCAAATACAGGCCAAGTGTGGCAGCTTATACCTATAATCCCAACACTTTGGGAGAGCGAAGTGGAAGGATCATTTGAGCCCAGGAGTTGGAGACCAGCCTTGGACAACATAGAGAGATCCTGTCTCTAGAAATATTTTAAAAATTAGCCAGACACAATGGCACATGCCTGTAGACCCAGCTACTTTTGAGGCTGAAGCAGGAGGATCACTTGAGTCCAGGAGTTAAAGACTGCAGTGAGCTATGATTGTGCCACTGGATTCCAGCTGAGTGACAGAATGACACTCTGTATCATAAATAAATAAATAATTTTAAAAGGAAATGCAAATACACCTAGATGAAGCCAGTGAAATTCTTAGCCTGGAGTATTAAACTGTGAGGTACAGAGAACCTCTGAGGCACATGAACCTAATCACTTCACCTAGGTTAAGAGTGATGTCATATAGAAAGCAGTCTTGGATAGTGAGGAAGCCACTGACTATGCTATCATCATTTTGCCCAAGCATGCAACGGGGTCTAAGGAGCTGGCCCTGTGGTAAAGGAACTGTGACAAAAGTAGTTAAATTTTTAGAACCCCAGCTCACATCTCCCTAACCATAGCAATAATTCCCCAGTTCTCTGTTAAATATACTTAATTAGACCAGTCTCCCCTATTTAGACTGATCATTTGAAAACAGTTCTTCTTTTATCCTAATATATCCACATAGTATTGGGCTGCCTTGTACTTATAAACTTTCTGTAAACCTTCAGATGTTTACATTCAACTATAAAATTATAACATAATTTTCTTTAAAGAAAGTTTTTTTGTTTTTATTTTTTTCAGCCCAGTCTGGAGTGCAGTGGTGCAATCTCAGCTTACTGCAACCTCTGCCTCTAAGATTCAAGGGATTCTCATGCCCCAGCCTCCCTAGTACCTGGCATTACAGGTGTGTGCCACCACACCCAGCTAATTTGTTCATGTTTTTAGTAGAGATGGGTTTTGCCATGTTGTCCAGGCTGGTCTCAAACTTCTGGCCTCAAGTAATCTGCCCACCTCAGCTTCCTAAAGTGCTGGGATTACAGGCGTGAGCCACCACATGTGGCCTAAAGAAAGCATTAAGATAAATATTTTTCAAGGCCATATTATCCTGGAAAAAAACATTGGTACAGTTATCTAAAATTGGGGGGCAAATGAAATTGTGATGAAGTTTCTTAATGCATTTCTTTGCACTGATAAAAACTGTGAATTATCAACTAAAAAATAAATGAACAAACAGTGGTTTCCTGTGGCCAGGGGATATTTATAAAGCTTAAAATCCATATGGCCACTAATGTGTCCTTTTTTATGAGGCACTGTGTTTATTCTGATAGATTTATTAATTAAGATACATTTATTCCCATACTAGATACAAAATGAACAGATGGTGGATCTATCCACTTTTAGTCTTCTCCCTGAACTAAAAGTGCAGATAATTTACAATTGATATACTATTTTGTACCTTGTTATTGACTGCCCGACAGTTTCGATATTCATTTAATCTAAAAAAACACTCTGAGTAAACAATGAGAAAATATCACTAATGCATGAGATTTCTGAAATGTAACCATTATAAGATTATTACATTTTAACCACAATGTCTGCCATCTAACAAAAAATTAAAAGAAATGATTAAAGAAGTGACCATAAGTTGGGGGCAAAAACAAGGAAAACAGTCCACAGGTGACTCAGATGTTGGAGCCTGTTGGTAAACACTTTAAAATAACTATTATAAATATTTGAAAGATGTAGGAAGAGGGTAAACAAAATAGAGAAAACATGAACAATTGAAAATGAGCCTGAAATCTACATGTAGAAATCAAATGAAAATTCTAAAAGTAGGAAATGTCATATTTGAAATTAAAAGTTGGGGGTGAGTAAAACAGGAGGAAACAGGTGAAGATAAATTTGTTGTACTCAAAGGCAGGTCAGTTGGAAATATCCACACTCTCAAGTTCAGAGAGATCAGAAAAGAAAAGACTCAAACAGAAGTTCAGAGACATATGAAACAAACAAACTTTCCAAAATATGTGTATGTCCCACAAATGGTGGAAAGAATATGGCAGAAACAATGTTTGAAGACATAATGACCAAAGAGTTTCCAAAACTTACTAAAGATATCTATCAACTGATTTGGGAATCTCAGGAAACCTCAATAAGAGCCAAAGAAAACCATAACTGTGTACCACATATCAAACCATAAGAAGTCCAATAGGAAATCTTAAAAGCACTCAGAAAAAGCAGGCACAACCAGACAAACAATTGATAGTTTTAGTAGAAAGTGGAAGCCAAAGGATAATGGAATAGCACCTTCAAAGTCCTGAAGAAAAAAATCTTCCATTTCAGAGCTGTATACTAAGGAAAATAAAGGCAAAGTAAACAAAAGCATTTAAATGTTATTGGCAGCATAGCTTCATAGTAAGACACACTACAGAAAGTTGTTATAGTTGAAGGAAAATGATTCCAAATAGAAAACAGAACACTTACACACTGTTGGTGGGAGTGTAAATTAGTTCAGCCATTGTGGAAAGCAGTGTGGCGATTCCTCAAAGAGCTAAAAGCAGAACTACCATTCAAACCAGCAATTCCATTACTGGGTATACATCCAGAGGAATAGAAATAATTTTGGGAATAGAAATCATTGTACCATAAAGACACATACACGCAAATATTCATGGCACTATTCACAATAGCAAAGACATAGAATCAACCTAAATGCCCATCAATAACAGATTGCATAAAGAAAATGTGGTACATATACACCATGGAATACTATACAGCCATTAAAAAGAATGAGATCATGTTTTTTGTGGGAACATGGATGGAGCAGGAGGCTATTATCCTTAACAAACTAATGGACAAACAGAAAAACCAAATGCCAAATGTTCTCACTTATAAGTGGGAGCTAAATGATAAGAACTTATGAACACAAAGAAGGAAAAAACAGACACTGCAGTCTACTTGAGAGGGGAGGGTGGGTGGAGGGAGAGGAGAAGAAAAGATAACTATTGGGTACTGATCTTAATACCTGGGTGAGGAAATATTAATAATATGTACCACAAACCCCCACCCCCATGACACATTTACCTATGTAACAAACCTTCACAAAAATACAAACCAAAAATTACAGTTAAAAAAAAGAAAATGCATGCAACTGACAAAGACATGAAGAGAGAAAAAGGTAAATGTAAAAGACTACAAAACAAAAATCTTAAAATATGTTTTGCTGAGTTTAAAATATGCATACAAGTACAAAACATGACAATAATTACCAAAGAGCAAAAAAAGCTACATAGAGATAGACTATTTCAAGTCATTCTTGCAGATCTTATGTTGTTCAGGTTGTGGTTAAAAATACTAACTAAGCTGTAAAAAGTCAAATAATAAATGTTGTACTCATTACTGAAATCATTAAAAGAATATTACAAAATGATAAAACTAAAAAGTTAATAGATAAGAAAAATGGAACAATAAAAAATGTGTGATCTAAATGATTTTATGAATGTATTAATAAGAATGAAGAACATATGAGGCAAATAGAAAATAACTAGCAAGATAGTAGACATAAAACCCATTATAATTATTAGAGTAAATACTTTGTAATTGCTGATAAATATAAAAATGTGAGGTCCATTCCAAGATGGCCAAATAGGAACAGCTTCGGTCTGCAGCTCCCAGCGTGATCAACACAGAAGACAGGTGATTTCTGCATTTCCAACTGAGGTACCTGGTTCGTCTCATTGGGACAGGTTGGACAGTGGGTGCAGCCCATGGAGGGTGAGCTGAAGCAGGGCGGGGCATCACCTCACCCAGGAAGCACAAGGGCTCGGGAGATTTTCCTTTCCTAGCCAAGGGAAGCAGTGACAGACTGTACCTGGAAAAATGGGACACTCTTGCCCAAATACTGCACTTTTCCCATGGTCTTAGCAACCAGCAGACCAGGAGCTTCTCTCTTGTGCCTGTCTCGGTGGGTCCCATGCCTATGGAGCCTTGCTCACTGCTAGAGCAGCAGTCTGAGATTGACCTGCGAGGCTGTAGCCAGGTGTGGGGAGGGGCATACAACATTGCTGAGGCTTGAGTAGGTAAACAAAGTGACTAGGAAGCTCAAACTGGCTGGAGCCCACCACAGCTCAGCAAGGTCTGCTGCCTCTATAGACTCCACTTCTGTAGGCAGGGCATAGCTGAAAAACAGGCAAGAGAAACTTCTGCAGACTTAAACGTCCCTGTCTGACAGCTCTGAAGAGAGCAGTGGTTCTCCCAGCACGGTGTTTGAGCTCTGAGAACGGACAGACTACCTCCTCAAGTGGGTCCCTGACCCCCATGTAGCCTAAGTGGGAGACACCTCCCAGTAGGGGCCAACAGACACCTCATACAGGTGGGTGTCCCTCTGGGATGAAGCTTCCAGAGGAAGAATCAGGCAGCAATATTTGCTGTTCTGCAGCCTCTGCTGGTGATACCTAGGGAAACAGGGTCTGGAGTGGACCTCCAGCAAACTCCAACAGACCTGCAGCTGAGGTACCTGACTGTTAGAAGGAAAACTAACAACCAGAAAGGAATAGCATCAATATCAATAAAAAAGACATCCACACCAAAACCCCATCTGTAGGTCACAATCATCAAAGACCAAAGGTAGATAAAACCACAAAGATGGGGAGAAACCAGAGCAGAAAAGCTGAAAATTCTAAAAATCAGAGCACCTCTTCTCCTCCAAAGGATCACAGCTCCTCGCCAGCAATGGAACAAAGCTGGACAGAGAATGACTTGGAAGAGTTGACAGAAGTAGGCTTCAGAAGGTCGATAATAACAAAATTCGCCTAGCTAAAGGAGCATGTTCTAACCCATCTCAAGAAAGCTAAAAACCTTGAAAAAAGATTAGATGAATGGCTAACTAGAAAAAGCAGTGTAGAGAAGACCTTAAATAACCTGATGGAGCTGAAAACCATGGCACAAGAACTTCGTGATGCATCCACAAGCTTCAATAGCTGATTCAATCAAGTGGAAGAAAGGGTGTCAGTGATTGATGATCAAATTAATGAAATAAAGTGAGAAGACAAGTTTAGAGAAAAAAGAATAAAAAGAAATGAACAAAGCCTACAAGAAGTATGGGACTATGTGAAAAGACCAAATCTACATTTGTTTGGTGTACCTGAAAGTGACAGAGAGAATGGAACAAAGTTGGAAAACACTCTTCAGGATATTATCTAGGAGAACTTCCCTAACCTAGCAAGGCAGGCCAACTTCAAATTTCCTGAATTTGAATACAGAGAATACCACAAAGATATTACTAGAAAAAAGCAACCCCAAGACACATAATTATCAGATTCACCAAGGTTGAAATGAAGGAAAAAATGTTAAGGGCAGCCAGAGAGAAAGGTCGGGTTACCCTCAAAGGGAAGCCCATCAGACTAACAGCGGATCTCTCGGCAGAAACCCTACAAGCCAGAAGAGAGTGGGGGCCAATATTCAACATTCTTAAAGAAAAGAATTTTCAACCCAGAATTTCATATCCAGCCAAACTAAGCTTCATAAGTGAAGGAGAAATAAAATCCTTTACAGACAAGCAAATGCTGAGAGATTTTGTCACCACCAGGCCTGCCCTAAAAGAGCTCCTGAAGGAAGCACTAAACATGGAAAGGAACAACCGGTACCAGCCACTGCAAAAACATACCAAATTGTAAAGACCATCGAGGCTAGGAAGAAACTGCATCAATTAACAGGCAAAATAACCAACTAACATAATAATGACAGGATCAAATTTACATATAACAATATTAACCTTAAATGTAAATGGGCTAAATGCCCCCAATTAAAAGACACAGACTGGCAAATTGAACAAAGAGTCAAGACCCATCAGTGTGCTCTATTCAGGAGACCCATCTCATGTGCAGAGACACATATAGGCTCAAAATAAAGGGATGGAGGAAGATCTACCAAGCAAATGGAAAACAAAAAAAAGCAGGGGTTGCAATCCTAGTCTCTGATAAAAAAAGACTTTAAACCAACAAAGAGACAAACAACTCAAAAGAGACAAAGGCCATTACATAATGGTAAAGGGATCAATTCAACAGGAAGAGCTAACTATCCTAAACATATATGCACCCAATACATGAGCACCCAGATTCATAAAGCAAGTCCTTAGAGACCTACAAGGAGACTTAGACTCCCACACATTAATAATGGGAGAATTTAACACCCCACTGTCAACATTAGACAGATCAATGAGACAGAAGGTTAACAAGGATATCCAGGACTTCAACACAGCTCTTCACCAAGTGGACCTAATAGACATGTACAGAACTCTCCACCCCAAATCAACAGAGTATACATTCTTCTCAGCACCACATCGCACTTATTCCAAAATTGACCACACAGTTGGAAGTAAAGCACTCCTCAGCAAATGTAAAAGAAAAGAAATCACAAAAAAACTGCCTCTCAGACCACAGTGCATTCAAATTAGAACTCAGGATTAGGAAAATCACTCAAAACCGCACAACTACATGGAAACTGAACAACCTGTTTCTGAATCACTACTGGGTAAATAACGAATTGAAGGCAGAAATAAAGATTTTCTTTGAAACCAATGAGAACTAAGACACAATGACCAGAATCTCTGGGACACATTTAAAGCAGTGTGTACAGGGAAATTTATAGCACTAAATGCCCACAAGAGAAGCAGGAAAGATCTAAAATTGACACCCTAACATCACAATTAAAAGAACAAAAGAAGCAAGAGCAAACAAATTCAAAAGCTAGCAGAAGGCAAGAAATAACTAAGATCAGAGCAGAACTGAAGGAGATAGAGACACAAAAAACCCTTCAAAAAATCAATGAATCCAGGAGCTGGTTTTTTGAAAAGATCAACAAAATTGATAGACCACTAGCAAGACTAATAAAGAATAAAACAGAGAAGAATCAAACAGACGCAATGAAAAATGATAAATGGGATATCACCATCAATCCCACAGAAATACAAATTACCATCAGAGAATACTACAAACAACTCTATGCAAATAAACTAGAAAATCTAGGAGAAATGGATAAATTCCTGGACACATACACCCTCCCAAGACTAAACCAGGAAGAAGTTGAATCTCTGAATAGACCAATAACAGGCTCTGAAATTGAGGCAATAATTAATAGTCTACCACCAAAAAAAAGTCCAGAACCAGATGGATTTACAGTCAAATTCTACCAGAGGTACAAAGAGGAGCTGGTACCATTCCTTCTGAAACTATTCCAATCAATAGACAAAGAGAGAATCCTCCCTAACTCATTTTATGAGGCCAGCATCATCCTGATACCAAAGCCTGGCAGAGACACCACAAAAAAAGAGAATTTTAGACCAATATCCCTGATGAACATCGATGTGAAAATCCTCAGTAAAATACCGGCAAACCCAATCCAGCAGCACAAATAAAAAGTTTATCTACCATGATCAGGTCAGCTTCATCCCTAGGTTGCAAGGCTGGTTCAACATACATAAATCAATCAACATAATCCATCACATAAACAGAACCAACGACAAAAACCACATGATTATCTCAATAGATGCAGAAAAGGCCTTCAACAAAATTCAACAGCCCTTCATGCTAAAAACTCTCAATAAACTAGCTATTGATGGGACGTATCTCAAAATAATTAGAGCTAGTTATGACAAACCCACAGCCAATATCATACTGAATGGGCAAAAACTGGAAGCATTCCCTTTGAAAACTGGCACAAGAAAAGGATGCCCTCTCTCACCACTCCTATTCAACATAGTACTGGAAGTTCTGGCCAGGGCAATCAGTCAAGAGAAAGAAATAAAGGGTATTCAATTAGGAAAAGAGGAGGTCAAATTGTCTCTGTTTGCAGATGACATGATTGTACATTTAGAAAGCCCCATCGTCTCAGCCCAAAATCTCCTTATGCTGATAAGCAACTTCAGCAGTCTCAGCATACAAAATCAGTGTGCAAAAATCACAAGCATTCCTATACGCCAATAACAGACAAACAGAGCCAAATCATGAGTTAACTCCCATTCACAATTGCTTCAAAGAGAATAAAATACTTAGGAATCCAACTTACAAGGGTTGCGAAGGGCCTCTTCAAGGAGAACTACAAACCACTGCTCAATGAAATAAAAGAGGATGCAAACAAATGGAAGAACATTCCATGCTCATGGATAGGAAGAATCAATATCATGAAAATGGCCATACTGCCCAAGGTAATTTATAGATCCAATGCCATCTCCATCAAGCTACCAATGACTTTCTTCACAGAATTGGAAAAAACTAAAGTTCATATGGAACCAAAAAAGAGTCTGCATTGCCAAGTCAATCCTAAGCAAAAAGAACAAAGCTGGAGGCATCATGCTACCTGACTTCAAACTATACTACAAGGCTACAGTAACCAAAACAGCATGGTACTGGTACCAAAATAGAGATATAGACCAATGGAACAGAACAGAGGTCTCAGAAATAACACCACACATCTACAACAATCTGATCTTTGACAAACCTGACAAAAACAAGAAATGGAGAAAGGATTCCCTATTTAATAAATGGTGCTGGGAAAACTAGCTAGCCATATGGAGAAAGCTGAAACTGGATCCCTTCCTTACACCTTATACAAAAATCAGTTCAAGATAGATTAGAGACTTAAATGTTAGACCTAAAACCACAAAAACCCCAGAAGAAAACCTAGGTAATACCATTCAGGACATAGGCATGGGCAAGGACTTCATGACTAAAACACCAAAAGCAATGGCAACAAAAGCCAAAATAGACAAATGGGATCTAATTAAACTAAAGAGCTTCTGCACAGCAAAAGAAACTACCGTCAGAGTGAACAGGCAACCTACAGAATGGGAGAAAATTTTTGCAATCTACCCATCTGACACAGGGCTAATATCCAGAATCTACAAAGAACTTAAACTTACAAGAAAAAAACAAACAACCTCATCAAAAAATGGTCAAAGGATATGAAAAGACACTTCTCAAAAGAAGACATTTATGCAGCCAACAGACACATGAAAAAATGCTCATCATCACTGGTTATCAGAGAAATGCAAATCAAAACCACAATGGGATACCATCTCACACCAGTGAGAATGGCGATCATTAAAAAGTCAGAAAACAACAGATGCTGGAGATGATGTGGAGAAATAGGAACGCTTTCACACTTTTGGTGGAAGTATAAATTAGTTCAACCATTGTGGAAGACAGTGTGACAATTCCTCAAGGATCTAGAACTAGAAATACCAGTTGACCCAGCATTCCCATTACTGGGTATATACCCAAAGGATTATAAATCATGTTACTATAAAGACACATGCACTCATATGTTTATTGCAGCACTATTCACAATAGCAAAGTCTTGGTACCAACCCAAATGTCCATCAATGATAGACTGGATTGAGAAAATGTGGCACATATACACCATGGAATACTATGCAGCCATGAAAAAGGATGAGTTAGTGTCCTTTGCAGGGACATGGCTGAAGCTGGAAACCATCATTCTACACAAACTATCACAAGGTCAGAAAACCAAACACTGCATGTTCTCATTCACAGGTGGGAATTGAACAATGAGAACACTTGGATACAGGGCGGGGAACATTGCACACCAGGGCCTGTTGTGGGGTGGGGGGCTGGGGTAGGGATAACATTAGGAGTAATACCTAATGTAAATGATGAGTTGATGGGTGCAGCAAACCTACATGGCACATGTATACCCATGTAACAAAACCTGCATGTTGTGCACAGGTACCCTAGAACTTAAAGTATAATAAAATATATATATAAATGTTACTAGACTAAACATTATAATGAAAAGATAAGCATTATCAGAACAAAGTTTAAACTTTTATTATCACAAGAGAAAATTTTAAATGTAAGAGCACAGAGCAATTGAAAGTGAGAGGCTGGAATTAAAAGGTATTCAGGGTAAAACTAAAATAAAATTTTAAAAAGCAAACAAAGTGGTGTGGCTATATTAATATCAAACCAATGAAATTTTATGGCAAGAAATATTGATGAAAATGAAAAGTAAAATTTCATAATGATGAAGGGGTAAATTAAACTTTGACAAACAAATCTTATACACGTATATTCCTAATGATAACACCAACAGATACTAGGCAAAGATCAACAGGGAAAAGAAGAAACACATGCAAATCCACAACCCTAGCTGGGGATTTTAATGAAATGAAAAATCTTACATTTTTCAGTAAACCAATTCTTTCAAAACTGGACTTTTGAGAGAGAATTAAATTCCATAGAAAAGTATGCCAAGAGAAAATGCAGAGTAAATTATTATCAAAATTACTCTTTCAAGTGACTCTGTTGGAGAGTACAGTAGACTGACTGCATGTAGGAGGGACAAAAAATTAGTTTGTGCAGGCTTTCTTTTTCTATCCTTTTAAAAACCTTGAACCCACTTGTGTCTTTGTACCTAAGGTATGTTTTTGTTAACCAGCATGTAAATAAGCTATTTTTCCCTTCTAACCTGAAAATCTTTCACTGGGTATTAAGTCTGTTGGTATTGTATTTACTGTGGTTTACTTTATGTCTTTTCTTCTACCATCATTTAAATTTATCCCACATCTTTTATTTTCCATTGTTTTCCTTTCTTGACTAATTTAGTTTTAATTAAATATATTCTTGCTTTGTTTCTATTGACTTATTTAACTAAATATTTTGTCATTATTTTAGTGCTAAGGCTAATTTTGATTACTTCATTCAGGAGGTATCTGTCAGGTCTTGCCACTGTAAAGTTACTCTTTTCCTTTATAGGTAAGTAATAATTTGAGAATATGTATATATACTTTTCTCATTAAACTTTCACTATCTTGACATCTTTTGACATTTTATAACCCAATTTTTTTCTATACTTTTTACTTGCCATTTGACTATATGAAAGAGCTTTCTTTTTTCTTTATTTATTCTATATAAGTATATACAGTATAGGTTTTAATTTTATTCTATGAGTTATAATGTGTTGCTCTCTTTATTATATGACTCTAAATTTCTTCCAGATTTGTTTAGCTGGAGTCCCTTTAGTTGACATCATGTCCTTTTTAAAATTACTCAATATACCCAAGACGTTTAATGCTGAATTCTATGCCAAGTGCTCAACAGTGTTTCCACATGCAATGCAGTTTCATGAGTGGACCTAGATTTTGAACAAAGCAACAAAAATGAATTTTGTGAGAAAGTGAAGCAAATTGATGTCATTTGTGGAAACATTTGCAAGCATGCAAATAAGAAGATGGTCATTACAATTTCTTGGTAAGTTGTAATCTTATGAGAAAAACAAAGTGCATGGTTCGGTTTAAGACATTGATTTTCGTATATTGAGTGTTACTTTTTTTGAGCTGCTATTCCTCCAGTCATGATAATAAGCAGAAAATGTTCCAGTCTACCATATGAGGAAGAGCTGAAATCACCTTCACTCGCACGTTTGGTAGTTGGCATCTGGCTGTCGGTTTGAGGCCTCAGTTATTTTTTATATGCCCCTCTCTGTGTTGTCTCTCCTTAGAGCCAGTTTGGGCTTTTTCACAGCATGGTGGTTGAATTCCAAAGGTAAGTGTCCCAAAACATAGGGATCTAGACAGCAGCTATAACATCTTTATCACCTAATTTTGAAATCACAAGGCATCTTTTCTTCCATACTCTACTAGGTGGAGCGGTCACTTATTTTCACCCAAATTCAAAGAAAGGAAACTTAGAATCCACTTCTTGGAAGGAGTTTCAAAATTGTATTGTAAGAGCATGTTGGAAGAGAGATACAGTTGCTTTACATTTCCTTAAGATAACACAGTCTACCAAAGAGGTGAAAGTGGTGAACAGAACATGTCACTTTATTTCTCATTCGATGAGCTTATACAGATAATGAAACATGAGAAGCTTCTGCAGCACACTGCCATATGCATTTAGCTTTTCCAGTTTTTCTGGACAAAGTGACGCAGTAATCATTGTCTTGATATTTGAGGGAAAAAATCTGTCTTTTTGACTTTGCATACATCTTTGTAAATAAACTTATCTTCTTGTAATTTACTGTGAAGATGAGTCCACCAGGAATCTTGTAATAAATTTTGTCTTTTTATGTTTATTTTTCTCATTGCCATTAAAATTAACTGTCAAATATTTTCAGAAATATTGACTAGGTAAATTCATGGTAACTATAGATATACATAGAAACAAATACCACTGCCACATTTCAAGGTAAAGTAGCTTAATCACCCTCATAGTATAATTCAATTGGTATAATGGCATATCCACATATTTATCAGAAAAATATAGAGTGTGATATCTAAGTGCTCTAGCAACTGACACACGTGAGTAAAAAAGAAAAGCACATAGTTTCATATCCCTGGTTTGGAGGAAATGAAACATAAGCTTATTTTTAAAACCAACGTTTCATATCTCTGGTTTGGAGGAAATGAAACATAAGATTATTTTTAAAACCACTCAAATTTTAAGACACTGATATTCAATATAATGTACTGTGGGAAACTTGGGCAAAAGTTAAACTAATAATCATGTGACAGGTAATACAATTCATTATATATTCCCATTTACTTAACACATTAATTGACATGTTCAAAAATTAAACTTGCTTATATGGTCTTGAAAAACATTGTGTGTGAAATCAACTGCTTGTGATTAAAGCCATATTTTATTCTCTACTGCAATTTCTAAAATCTGTCCAACATAAATAATAAATATCACATACATGAAATGTATGATTCCCTTCAAAGGAAATTACGCTTTTCTGTGTTGACAATTGACAGTTCGAAAAGTTCACTTTACAAAATAATTTTCTACATTATTTTTAAGGAGTAAGCTTTCTTGAAACATTTTAAATATATTTTTTAACAATGACAATATTTGATTTATCTAAGACTTTTAAAGAACATGGCATTTAACTAAAACAAGGTACATTTCTTTAAATTACTTAGCATAAGATCTACTATTTAATAGCACAACAGGGAGACTACAGTCGATAATAACTAAATTGTATATTTTTAAATAACTTTAAAAATGTAATAGGATTGCTTGTAACTCAAAGGATAAGTACTTGAGGGGATGGGTACACCATTCTCCATGATGCATTTGTTTCACATTGAATGCCTGTATCAAAACATCTCATATACCCCATAAATTTATACACCTACTATGTACCCGCAAATTTTCTTAAATAATTTTTTAATTTTTATAAATTATTTAGATCAAACTCTTGAAGAACTTATATTCTATAATCACTGAAAACCACTCATTTATTTTATTCTAACATGCTTTTAGAGAAAATCAATTTTGCAATTGTTTTCTTTCTAATACAGAAAGGTTTGAATACTGAAAAAGAGAAAATTAAAGTCAGAATGGATAGAATGAAAAACGTTCTGATTGTTGGACAAGCTAAAGTCATACAAATAATTGAATATTGGGTATCAATTCTTAAACTAGAAGAGTCAAATTAGTGTTTTGTTCAAAGATCCTTTTATGTTTTCATGTTAATTATTTCAACAAGTTGTATTACTTGTCTGAAGCAGAAAATATCTTTCTAAATACAGCTTTGAAGGCTTGTTTAACTTGCTGATTCCTCAGAGTATAAATAAATGGGTTTAACAACGGGGCAACTGAAGTATTGAGCACAGTTACTCCTTTGCTTAAAGCAACTCTTTCATTCGCTGATGGCTTTATGTAGATAAACATACAACTACCATAAGTGATGGAGACAACAATCATGTGAGAAGAGCAGGTGGAAAAGGCTTTCTTCTTTTGCTGAGCTGAAGGGAATTTCAGAATTGTCTTGATGATGTAAGAGTAAGAAAGGATTACTAAAAACAATGTGACAATAAGTGTCATCACAGCTAATAAAAAGGCAATCAGTTCCAGTAAATGTGTGTCTGAGCAAGAAAGTTGTAGGATAAGAGAAATGTCACAAATGAAATGATCAATGATATTTGAAGCACAGAAATCCAAGTTAAGACCTAAAATCAGTGGAGTGAAAATGATCAGGAATCCAGTTACCCAAGAACTGAATACAAGCTGGTAGCAAACTTTGTTACTCATGATGGACATATAACGCAAAGGTTTGCAGATGGCAACATAGCGATCATAGGACAGAGCAGCTAGAAGGAAAAATTCTGTAACCCCCAAGAATATGTAAAAAAACAACTGAGATATGCAACCATTACAGGAAATGGTCTTTTCCCTGGTAACAATGGTGATTAGGAATCTGGGAATGCAAGCAGTTGTGAATGAAATTTCCAGAAAAGAGAAATTACGGAGGAAGAAATACATTGGAGTCTTGAGCTGGGAATCCAGCAGAATGAGGGCAATGATAGTGAAGTTCCCTATCATGCTCAACACACAATTTAGAAGTAGAAATAAGAAAATTACAATCTGTAACTGAGAATTATCCGTCAGTCCCAGAAGAATAAATTCTATCTGCCTTGTATGATTCTTCATTTCTCTGTTGTGATTTCAATCAAATTCTAGGAATAAAAAGGTGCAAGGGTTGAGCTAGGTCCAGGAAAAGATACAGGAAAGTTTCCACACTTACAAACATATACATTTAAGAGGTAGTACTCCATGGATGTTGAAGATATGATATAGAACTATGCAACAGAAATTGTAAACTAGGGGTTTAAAAGTACAACAAACATCATCTCACTTTGGAAAATTGATTTGCAAAGCCCTTAATAGTTGATTTTCAAGCTAGTTTTTTTCATGCTTCCACTTCAAGATTCCACTTAATTGTAACTAATTCCAGGTTTGTCAAGTTGTAAATAAATTAGGTAAAGATCTTGGTTCAGGATTCAAAAATAGTTCATTCATTTTAAAATTATTAATTTCATCTAAAGAAAATGATGCCAGTGTAATGAATTAAGACCTAAGTTAAGGGAAGGCACAGTGACTCATGCCTGTAATCCCAGCACTTGGGAGGCCAAACTGGGGATCGCCTGGGGCCAGGAGTTGAAGATCAGCGTGAGCAACATAGGGAGATGCCAGCTTGGGTGACAGAGAGAGACCCTGTCTTTTTTGTTAAGAATTAAAAGACCTACAGTCAAATTTTGAAACTTTACATTATATTATATTAAAGTGACATTTGTTTAAAGCCCTGCTATACAGCCTTTTTCAACTTCTCTATGAACTACATATGAAGATACGGAAAAATGCCCCTAAAAAGTATGAGTTGATACCACAACAAAATAAATACTAGTTGAATCTAGGAAACTCAAAACTTAATATTATGCATATATTGCCACATTTACAAAAAAAAAGTCTATTTAGGACTTAAAAATTTTGTCTTGTGTAATCAAGACCATAGGAGTAAGAAAGAAAACAGATAAAACATTGCATCTCTTCCAAGTCGCTACAGTTACAGGTACCTACAGTCTAAACCTACTTTCTAGATGTAATACTGTGAGTGAAAAATCAGTGCTTTCTTGCCACACTATCTGAGTCCCCAACAATTATTCATGCAGGTAACCAACGACTATTAATTTAGGGAAATAATGGGGTAGGAAGGGTGTAATCATTTGAATGGGACAAAAGGATTCTGATGGTATTTTAAGTTTGTTATTG
The DNA here is from genome assembly GCF_000001405.40 of Homo sapiens. Classification (NCBI taxonomy): domain Eukaryota; kingdom Metazoa; phylum Chordata; class Mammalia; order Primates; family Hominidae; genus Homo; species Homo sapiens. Next base: position 55,471,258 of record NC_000012.12, read on the forward strand.
TAGGTTTCCCAGAGTATCAGGTTGCCAATGAAAAAAGTGAAGTGAGTAATAGTACAGAAGTAAAGCAAAGGTGACAGACTGCTAGGAATTAGAAAGTGGACTTAAAATCCAGCTAAGGATCTGAGAAATAACTTATCAATGGCTACTGAGAAAAAAGGCAATCCACTCTCAGGGTTAAAGTTTGGGAAGCTTCTTTATTGTTTAATAATTAATTTTTAAATGTTAAGCTGAGTATCACAAACAAACGAAAAAAATAAGACATAAGAAAGTGTAAAATGGCTAAGTTAACAGTTTAAAGTCAAAGATCTTGAAATTTTTAGAAAAGTTTAATAAAATTTGGAATTTTCTCCATTATTATTAGTTATATGGTCTTGGGAAAACTAACTTTCTTACTTTAGTTTTTTCATCTACAAAAAAAAGGTAAAATAATTCTGATCTCAGTTAGAAGGATTAATTGAGATGTATACACAACACATGTCTAATAACTTTAATAACCAGTGAAGAGATTAATAAAAATTAAGGCCGGGCACAGTGGCTCACGACTGTAATCCCAGCACTTTGAGAGGCCGAGGCAGGCAGATCACGAGGTCAGGAGTTCGAGACCAGCCCGGCCGATATGGCTAAACCCCGTCTCTACTAAAAATACAAAAATTAGCCGGGCATGGTGGTGGGTGCCTGTAATCCCAGCTACTCAGGAGGCTGAGGCAGGAGAATCACTTGAACCCAGGAGGTGAAGGTTGCAGTGAGCCAAGATCATGCCATTGCACTCTGACCTGGGTGACAAAAGCAAGACTCTGTCTCAAAAAAAAAGAAAAAAATTAAAAATGTAGTTAGAGTGTCCATTGTTTTAGTAAGCTTCAAATAGCTGCAGATATAGCAGAGCTCCCTAATCACCGAAATCTTTGGAGACTGGTGGGGGTTTCTGGATAGTGGAAAAGATATTCCATGTGTATCATAAAATAAATTACATAATTTATAAAAATCACAGTTCTGTAGTTAAACATAACTATGTTTCCAAATTTCAGCATCTGATGAGTATAGAATTTGTCCTATTTTCTCAGTTCTGAGAAAGCAAATATATTTGAGTGAAATTTCTTCTAGCTCACTTTTAAGATAGAGGGAAGGGCTGGGTGTGGTCACTCATGCCTGTAATCCCAGCACTTTGGATGGTTGACAGAGGATATCTCTTGAGCCCAGTAGTTCAAGACAAGCCTGGACAACATCATGGGACCCCATCTCTTTAAAAAAAGAAGTAAAAAAGAAAAATGCAGAGAAGAAAAACAGTGATAAGGAGGACTGTAGAAAATACTGCTCACAGCATCTTTGTCTAAAATCGTAATGTTAAGAAACTGTTACTAATACAATATTAAATTTTATTTTTTAATAGTGTAAGAAATCTACTTACAACTTTTCACATTTTAAGTGAAGGGTAAATGATGCTGAATTAGTTCTCATCTAATTGATTTCATTATCCAAATTCAGATGTAATATTAGCAAATTAAATGATGTTTATTTTAGTAAAATTTTGCAGGCTTATTTCAAATAGCTATAAAACTCAAGTTATTCACTAGAATGCAAATGTCACTGACTCATTTGACTTAAAACTAAAACTAATACATTCTTTAGAAAATGCACTAATAATAACTTTTCATATAATGAGAATAAAATTCCTGTTTTTTAAAGTACATATTATTTGAGAAAAAGCTTAGTGAAAGAGACACACCTATGACAATCCTTAAAGAGGACAAATTCCTGTGGGGAAAAGACAATATTAGAAAGAAGGATGAGGCTAAAGTCATAATATTTTAAAATTTTCAAAATATAAAGGCATCTTCCAACCTTCTTTTTGAAAATTAAGTTAGGAATTGAGAGTTAGAATAAGAAATTTTTGAGGAAATAGTAAATTATAAGTTAGCAAATATAAAAATATAACCAGAAAATTGCTACAATGAAAACTAAAAGAGTTTTCAAAAACATCTATTTTCCAACTTCAGTAGATGTAAAACGTTTAACTGGCTTATTAAGCGACTATAAACATCTTCTAAGAATAAATAATTTTCATTTTACTTACATACTTCTTATATATAAAGATTAATGTGTGCTAGCTATGCCAAAATAGCTAAGACTTAGAAAAAGAACACAGATAACTTGAAAGACAGCTCTCCTTTTTGCATATAAGTGCAAAAATACAAGATAAAACAATATAAATGCATAATAAATAACCTGTGATTTGTTCACTTTCAATGGAATATTTTGCTGCAGATAAAATGTTCAAACTATAGCTACATACACAACATAAATAAATCTTATATATGTAATATTAAGTCCAAAAAGCATGTCCCAGAAAAATCATATAATTGATACAATATATAGAATACTAGTTCCCATATAATATGATAGGGTTGATAAATGATTGATGGATACATACATACTTATATACATACACAGAGACAGATTCAGGGAGAGAGAAAATGAAAGAGTGCGTGTGTGGGGGGGGCGTGGATAAATACATTATGCTTGTTGCAAAAAATTGTCTTTTCTTCCCATGATTATTTCCATCAGAAATGCCTAAATACTTCCAGTAACTACATGTTCCAGAAGAAATTTTACAATACTAAAACTTGGTTGAAAACATTTTTGGTTCAACTTCATACGAGAAGCTATAACATTGCCAATACTAAGAAAAATAATACGTGTTGCATCGAGTAAGTTTTATTTTCAACTTAAATGATACGTGGACAGTCCAAAATTAGTAATTATCTGTTAGTAATTAACTAACAGTATAAAGGAGGAAAGCAGTATTTTCGAGATGTCACATTACACTCTGCCATCAAATGTTGATTCCTAAATTAAAGCAATATTAAGCTTTCCTAGGATAGCAAGACTAAGTGAATGGGCATTACTAATTGACCAATTAAATCCTAACAGTTTTTTTTCACTGAAATCAAAACTAAACAAAGATACTGACCATCATCACTATTATTCAGCACTATTCTGAACTCTGTAACCAAATTAAGCATATAAAGGCAAATTATACATGATGAAATTCAATTAAATACTTGATTGGTAGATAAAATAGATTTACTTTCTATTGATATTGACTCAGTCCTTAGAATATGACAGATAATAGACTGAAACTATTATAACAAGAAGATAATTCAATAATGAGAGCAGATAAAGCAAATTTCTGAAAAGGAAAACATTTTTAGAATATATAGTATAAAATGTACCTTTTGAAAAAACAAGCAATTCAATTCTCATATATCAACTAAAAGTCATGGTAGAGTTTAAGAGTGAAAAATAACTTAATATTTAAAAATAAGCAAATCTAAATAATTTATTCATTCAGATAACTTTTTTGGGGGGGACATGGTATCACTCTGTCAGCCAGGCTGGACTGCAGTATCATGATCATAGCTCACTGCTACCTCCAACTCTGGGCTCCAGCAATCCTCTTGCCTCAGCCTCCTTGGCTGGTATTACAGGTGCCAGCCCCTGCACTTGGCTCTGATAATAACATATTTGGATGTGAGAATATTGACAAATATATATTCTCATAAAAATATTCAAAGTATACATTAGATACAAAATTCCAAAGAAGTTTGTGTAAATTGATTTTATTTTTTAATAATGTCTACATTTGCTGCATATAGCTATGACTTTTGCAAATGTGTACAAAACAGTCATGATGAAAAATAAAATTCTCTTGTAGTGAGATTAAATTATGATATATTTATATTTTTAATAAAATTCAGTTACTCTTAATAGTATTTTATCAAAGGAAATGATTAAATCGTTATGTTTTTTTAATCTCTATTTTTTTAATAAGAGTGAAAACAACTACTAATGAATTCAGAAATTGATTATATATTTTAGAGTCATATTTTCAACTAAGAAAATGGTGATGCACTTCATTTATTTTTTCAGGGATAGAGTCTCACTCTGTTGCCCAGGCTGGGTTGCAGTGGCCCAATCATAGCTCACTGTAACTTCAAACCCTAGTTCCTGGACTCAGGTGATCCACCTCCAGAAGTAGCTAGAACTACAGATGCACATCACCAGACCTGGCTAATTGTTTTGAATTTTTTTTGTAGAGATTGTTGGGACGGGTGTAGGGGATGTCTCATTATGTTGCATAGGCTGGTCTCAAATCCCTGGTCTCAAGCAATCCTTCCACCTCAGCCTCCCAAAGCACTGGGATCCTCCCAAAGCACTGGGATTATAGGTATGAGCCACCACACCCAGATTTGTTTTACTCTTGAGCAAACCTTTGTTGTTAATTTGTAAAGCAGCTAAATTATTTCCAAATAAACTTAAAACATAAGAACTGAAAGAGAAAAAAGTAAACTATATTATGTAATATACAATATTTTTTCTTCTCTCAAAACATTTAATTAAATTTCTTCTGAATTAAATTTTGTCAATCAATATTTTTGCCTGTTCTGAAGTGTTATTTTTATTGTTGAATATGTAATGTTTTTCTTCTACATGACTTAGCATATTATCTCAATGTAAATTCAAGAGCCCCCACATTCATCTGTCAATGTTAATCCTTTGGCAAATTTTTTCTCTATCATCCTTCTTAGTATATTTCTTCTCCTCTTGTAGTAATTTTTCAGTCAATTATTTCCAGGCTTTTAATGGAAATGGTAGGTGTTAGAGAACCACAGAAAACCTGCTTCCTTGATCTCATCTTATTTTGCTACTTTTCATTTTGCCAATGAGTCTGTGTTCTAACATATATATTTTCTGTAAAATACATTAAGCATTTCTGTAAATTCAATGTGATTATCAGGGTACATAAAGCAGACTTTTATTCTTCAACCAGAGCAAATATGGCAATCAATAAGTTTTCATTGCTCACACATGTTGGTCAAAATAAGCAGTTCCAAAAGAAATATTTTTTCTATTTTTAAAAATGCATGAACACAATGAAGTCAATTCTCCAAGAAAAATACCTTTAACCTTGTTATGTTTGATTGACTTCTAAAATTGTTCAGGTTTTCTTTATCTAGATGGAAGTAGAACAAACTTCATTCCTTCCAAAATTCTACAGTGCAGTGTTGGTTTAAATTATTAAAGCATTAGAAATGCAGGTGCAAGTGAGTGCATAAATGAAAGTTCACATTCTTGCATTTAGGGATTCATAACATGGAAAATGAGGAATTATTAATGTTTTATTAAAAGAGGAATAATAAAGTATAATCTCTGAGTCACTGTTATGTTTGTAACATACATTGTATTCATAATTCTTCTATTTGTGAAAAAAGTAACACCACTATTTTACTTACCATAAGCAGTATATAATGATATTCCTTTCTTTTCCTCTAGAATACATGAACAACTGTAATAAAAGGCAAATGCATTCATTGTGAAACAGTATTTAATTTGTCACCAGGAAAATTAACATAAAATAATCTCTCAGGTTAATTCAAAGCAGAAAGCTGAGATGTAAATGTAATTATTCTTCAATACCACACATATCTGAACACATGGAAGTATCTATGTTTTCTATAATAAAGATTGCTAATAAATTCCTGTTTTTAATACCAGATAAATTATAAGATAACATGTATGTCCAAATAATTCCTCCACACAAACCTTTGCAAAGATTATTATAACTGAGAAGATCTGCTTTAAACTTGTGAAATATTTACTAGTTTCCAATTAATTAAAAGGAGTGACTGTTTCTCTGTGGAAAATCTAAGGGGATGGTGTCCCTAAGGAAAAACAGAGAAGATTAAATATATCCAAAAAAGCCTATAAACACCAGTTGACTTATGTCTTTATCATTTAAATAAAAGTAGATTTATTGTTTCAAACATGATGATATAAAGCACCATTAGGTTTGTCACATTAAAAACAACCATTTCAAGATGATCATGGAGACACTGCAAATTAGCAGGTTGTATTGGATCATAGATAACACATGTGCCCTGTTGCCAAGATAATTCCTTTTGATGACATTTTTCCCCAGTATATGAATCTATCTATCACCAGGAAAACAGCATATGAGTACCTAACACAAACATTATTTCTACTTATATTTTTAAGAGGCAATTGTGTTTAAGAAAAAAGCATAACTTCTGCATAATATTAAATTTGAGAATAAACTTTTGAATATTTTCTGCAGTGATTTGAGAATTGACACCTAAATTCAACCATTTTAGTATTACAAATGATTATACCTGTCATGTATTGAATATTCACTATGCATAAAGCATATGCTAACTGTTGTGCATACATTATTCTATTTAACAATAGAATAATAAAATTCATCACAATAAGCAAGGGAGGAATAATTATGAACTTTCTGCTGTTTAAAAACAGAATTAAGCAAATAATCATGCTCATTCACACTCATGGCAGAGTTTAGAAATTTTGGAGACATGATTGCAATCAGATCTTTGATTCCAAGCATAATTTGTTAACCCTTGTGACATACTTCCAATAAAACAAATGAATGGATAGATGAATGGATGGATAGATAGATAGATAGATAGATAGATAGATAGATAGATAGATAGATAGATACATAGAGGGAGGAAGATATTTAACTTAGAAAATAGTCTATAATCTGATACCTGATATGGTAAATGGGATAAGAATGTTGAGCAATATTTTTAATTAAATAAGTATACAATTTTTTTTTTTTTTGCAATCTTACAACTAGTATGATGTATTTATTTTCAGCTTTTTATATACGTTTTTCAAGCACTTCCCAAGTATTTATAGAGTACTTACTATGTTCCAGGCTGGTGGCTGAGCAGTGAACAAACCAACCTAGGTCCCTATATCTGGAAACCTTCTTAAGTTTGTGAACTTAAACACCCATATATACAATTGAGATCATATCATAAATATAATTTTGTATTCTATTTTTCACATTCTATTTCATAAGCATTACCCTCTGCCAATAAATTTTTTTCAAATACCACACATAATGGCTGCATAATGTTCAACTGAGTGTACAGAAGACAATAGATTTATCTATTTCGGTGCTGCAAAAAGCATAATTATCTTCCATTTCCCCTTCTATGAATAACTAGCTATTTTCCAAATTCTCCCCATTATTTAAAAAACCACACACACAACAAACTCTGGAATGGGCACCCTTCTCTTTGTAACTTTTGTTATTTCCATAGGATAGATTCCTAGATTAATTGAAGTGTTTAAGGCTCTTTATGTACAGCTTAATTCATTTTCTTTTTTTTTTTTTTTTTTATTGATCATTCTTGGGTGTTTCTCGCAGAGGGGGATTTGGCAGGGTCATAGGACAATAGTGGAGGGAAGGTCAGCAGATAAACAAGTGAACAAAGGTCTCTGGTTTTCCTAGGCAGAGGACCCTGCGGCCTTCCGCAGTGTTTGTGTCCCTGGGTACTTGAGATTAGGGAGTGGTGATGACTCTTAACGAGCATGCTGCCTTCAAGCATCTGTTTAACAAAGCACATCTTGCCCCACCCTTAATCCATTTGACCCTGAGTGGACACAGCCCATGTTTCAGAGAGCACAGGGTTGGGGGTAAGGTCACAGATCAACAGGATCCCAAGGCAGAAGAATTTTTCTTAGTACAGAACAAAATGAAAAGTCTCCCATGTCTACTTCTTTCTACACAGACACGGCAACCATCCGATTTCTCAATCTTTTCCCCACCTTTCCCCCCTTTCTATTCCACAAAACCGCCATTGTCATCATGGCCCGTTCTCAATGAGCTGCTGGGCACACCTCCCAGACGGGGTGGTGGCCGGGCAGAGGGGCTCCTCACTTCCCAGTAGGGGCGGCCGGGCAGAGGCGCCCCTCACCTCCCGGACGGGGCGGCTGGCCGGGCGGGGGGCTGACCCCCCCACCTCCCTTCCAGATGGGGCGGCTGGCCGGGCGGGGGGCTAATGCCCCCACCTCCCTCCCGGACAGGGCAGCTGGCCCGGCGGGCGGCTGGCCGGGTGGGGGGCTGATGCCCCCACCTCCCTCCCGGACAGGGTGGCTGGCCGGGCGGGGGGCTGACCCCACCACCTCCCTCCCGGACGGGGCGGCTGCTGGGCAGAGATGCTTCTCACTTCCCAGACGGGGTGGCTGCCGGGCGGAGGGTCTCCTCACTTCTCAGACAGGGCGGCCGGGCAGAGACGCTCCTCACCTCCCAGACGGGGTCGCGGCCGGGCAGAGGCGCTCCTCGCATCCCAGATGGGGCGGCGGGGCAGAGGCGCTCCCCATATCTCAGATGATGGGCAGCCGGGCAGAGATGCTCCTCACTTCCTAGATGTGATGGCGGCCGGGAAGAGGCGCTCCTCACTTCCTAGATGGGATGGCGGCCCCGCAGAGACGCTCCTCACTTTCCAGACTGGGCAGCCAGGCAGAGGGGCTCCTCACATCCCAGACGATGGGCGGCCAGGCAGAGATGCTCCTCACTTCCCAGACGGGGTGACGGCCAGGCAGAGGCTGCAATCTCGGCACTTTGGGAGGCCAAGGCAGGCGGCTGGGAGGTGTAGGCTGTAGTGAGCCGAGATCACGCCACTGCACTCCAGCCTGGGCACCATTGAGCACTGAGTGAACAAGACTCCGTCTGCAATCCCGGCACCTCAGGAGGCTGAGGCTGGCGGATCACTCGCGGTTAGGAGCTGGAGACCAGCCAGGCCAACACAGCGAAACCCCGTCTCCACCAAAAAAATACCAGTCAGGCGTGGCAGCGCGTGCCTGCAATCGCACGCACTGGGCAGGCTGAGGCAGGAGAATCAGGCAGGGAGATTGCAGTGAGCCGAGATGGCAGCAGTACAGTCCAGCTTGGGCTCAGCATCAGAGGGAGACCATGGAAAGAGAGGGAGAGGGAGACCGTGGGGAGAGGGAGAGAGGGAGAGGGAGAGGAAGAGGAAGAGGGAGAGCGAGAGCGAGAGCGAGAGCAAGAGCTAATTTTTGTATTTTTAATAGAGATGGGGTTTCACCATGTTGGCCAGGCTGGTCTTGAACTCCTGACTTCAAGTGATCTGCCTCAATAGAGGTCTTCTAATAATTTCCTACCTCAACACCCCAAAATCACTCACTTATGTCTTTAAATATTAGATGAAAAACTCTGAAGTTTAATTTCTGATTATGAAAAAAGTAATTATATGACCTCTGACATATAATCATATTTTATAGCCAGAAAAGAAAATGAATAAAATCTGTCTCCAGAGAAGCAGAACCAATAGGAAATGTATGTATATATGTATATATGAAGGACGATGGTTGGGGGAGCGGGATTATTTTTTTTTTTTTTAATTCTTCCAGAGAAGAGGTGACATTGCAGCTTGCATATGATTTAAATGTGAATTTCATCTAAAAATATCTTCACAGCAACATAAAATAAAGCCTGGTGACAGATTTTATTCCAGTAACAATATGTACACACACAGGCACACTCACACACATACAAATACACTTGTCTTTAAATGGTAAGAAGAGATCTAAATGATCATTTATACTCAGTTTCAAAAATTACTAATGAGCCTATTGTGTAATGCACTTTTGCAAAGTAAAAGACAAAAAGGCAGTAGTGGGGACAGCATCCTTAAAAGACAGTAAGATGCAATAATACCATCAGACATAGAGGAAGTATAAACAATAAGTGTCACATCGTGTTGGCTGCTTTCCATTTTTAAGGTATTTGGGAGAATACAAAACCCCCTTTCTTTCCTTTATCATTTCTTCATAATATCAAAGCATATCATTATCAAAATAGAAATGTATTCTAGAATTCAAAACTGTCACAACACAGAGATAATCAAAGATAGAACTAATTAAGAGCTTTAGGTATACATTTCTAGCATGGGTACGTGTGTGTATGTGTGTGTGTGTGTACATATATGTAAACTGTACATTATAACCTAAATTATTTTATATTAACTTTTCATTAATATTTTCTATGTAAGTATAAATACACTCGTGATAGCTAATTTATGTGTCAATTTAGCTAGGCCACAGCTCCCAGATATTTGGTTAAATATTAGTCTATATGTTGCTGTGAAGATTTTTTTTAGATGAGATTCTATTTAAATCATATGCAAGCTGCAATATCACCCCTTCTCTGGGTCTCTGACCTGTTAGCGTACCCTGAAAAATTTGAACTTGCCAGCCTCCACAATCATGTGAGCTAATTTCTTAAAACAAATAAATAAATAAATAATCCACCCTTCATCTTCCATCATATATGCATACATACATAAATCTCCTTTTGGGTCTGCTTCTCTGGAGAACCCTGACTAATAAAGTACCTAATCATTTTCAAGTCTATATGGCATTCTATTGAATGCATAAACCATTAAGCCATGCTCTATTGTTGGAAATTTACTTCGCTTACAATTTCCACTGTTGTTTAAAAAGCTATATTAAATGTCTTTTTGTGCCTTACAGAAACATATAATACTATTTTGTTTCCAAACATAATTTCAGGAAGACATTTTTCAGGTTACAGTGAGACACATTTTAAACTTTTCGTTATTTGTCATATTTTCTTCCCGTGTCACAAATGTACTACTTCTTAAGCATTAAGTCAGAAATCCATTTTACTCACCTTTAGGAAAATGTAAGGAATTGCGATTATTCTTAAGAATAGTTTATATTTGTTTCCAGCATTAAAGGACCTCCTCAGTGACAGCCTGCCTCAAATCCACTGTGGAAAATGTTCCTCACATTGCTATCTTTCTCACACTATGCTGTTTTTTCTTCACATTTACCACCATCTAAAACATTATATACTGTACTAATTTATCTGATTGTTTTCTATCTCCTTAAGATTAGAATATAAAGACCTGCATGGATTTTTGTCTTTTTTGTTCACTGATGTAACATTACTACCCTGAACAGTACCCAGAATACACAATAGGTTCTCAATAAATACTGGCTAAATGAAAGAATGCTTGTGTTTTAATGAGAAAAAAGGAGATAGTCAATCGAGTATACAAAAGAAGGAAGAGAATAAAATGAGATTTGGAAATGTTTATTTGGAACAGTCTCTAAATATCTAAGTGCTCCACATTTCTACCTTATTTTTCTCTCAGCATTGCCCCCAACCTTTCAATAGCCTAGCTGTTGTCATGGAGATGGTGTTCTCTGACATCTCTACTCATACTTATTGGAGACATCTAGAGATGTCCTTTTAGACTAAAAAAAACAAAATTATGTCGACTGAACTACTATTCTCTTTGTGTAGTTACAAGAGAACTCTTTCGAGTACAAAGAAAGTTCCTAAGTCTGCCCAAAGGATCTATTAAGATTATCCACCCAATCATATCTATTCTAATGGTTTCTTTCTCCAGATTGAGACCTGTGGTCTCATTTTTTTAGTATATCTGGTGGGAAATGCATATCAAAAGCCATACAAATGCAAAAATTTTCTACCTACAATTAAGAATTTCTCCTATGAAAATGCTCTGGTATATAAACAGTTATGTGTGCAAAGATAATTATATAAAAACTTCAGGGCAGTATTTTCATTACAAAGAAGAAATGTAAACAATTTAAGTTTCCAAACTGGTGGTACTTATTATCAAATTGAGATTTAAAATATATAAATTCAGTCACTAAACATGATCATTAAAAACACCTATAATAAACAAAAATAGTAGATTACAACTGTTTTTACAGGTTTACCTATGTGCTAATATTTGAACGGTTATCTATGTGTCTTTTTTGAATCTTCATATTTTTCATGATATCCATGAGTTACCTTTTAAAAGTAGAGAAAGTGTTCCGATACCAGTTTTATTGCCTTAGACAATACAAGGGAAAAAACAAACACCTTATTATTTGACTTATATTGTCCAGTCTGATCACAGTATGTCTCATGTTGCATTTTTTTGTCCCCAGGGACTCTGTCCCCATTGTTGCCTGTATGAGGTTGATTGCCAAAAGTGATTACAATAAAGATTCCTTAGTGACTTTTAAACCTGGGATCCAAAGACTCTATTTTTTGTTGACTCTTGACTTCTTTTATAAATGAATATTTAAGGCCAAACATGTTTTTCTGACTGATAAGTTCAGAAGATCAACTCTCCTTTATCATCCAATAGCTCATGGTATCCCCAGCACTTTACACCAGGTATTTCTTTATTTTAGATAACAAGAGAACAAAAACATGGCTTCTTAGATTAAAATGGCAGAAGCCCTTTCAGGGGAAAAAAAAATCTGTGAAAAAGGGCCCTGGGCACTTCCAGGGCCTTTTCTGGTTCCTGAGAAAACTTAGCATTCACATGACTCCACAGTCGTATTCCTGTTCAGCCTCTCTTACCGTGAGCTTCTGCAAATAAACTGTCAACAGATTTCATGAAATAACTTACTGCTTAAAGGGTAAGTGTGAACACGTTTTTTACTTTAAGTTATTTTCAGTGTATTTCAGTGTACAGTTGCATATATACTGGCAGGAAGAGAGAGGTGAGTGGGAAGTGTAATGATATATTTCTCTCTTTAAGTAAAGTGTTAGGCTTAAATAATCAATATGTTGAATACTTATGTTAGCATTTGATGGAAAGATCCTACAATCATTTATGAAATGCCTTTTTTTTTTCTAGAATGATGAGCCTAGAAATCTATCAATTCTGGGTGGGAAATATTCAGAAATAAAACTCCCCCCTGCCACACACACACAGGTATGCAAAAAAATATATAAATTCAAGTGCACAGTGTGCATAATAGCAGCAGACTGAAATATTACATGAGATCTTATTATGAATTTCTGATCTCTTGCCAAATTGAAATACTTTCTGGAGATTAAATATGCAAAGCAGAGGGAGGAGCCAAGATGGCCAAATAGGAACAGCTCCAGTCTACAACTCCCAGCGTGAGCAAAGCAGAAGACGGGTGATTTCTGCATTTCCATCTGAGGTACCGGGTTCATCTCACTAGGGAGTGCCAGACAGTGGGCGCAGGCCAGTGGGTGCGTGCACCGTGTGCAAGCTGAAGCAGGGCCAGGCATTGCCGCACTTGGGAAGCGCAAGGGGTCAGGGAGTTCCCTTTCCAAGTCAAAGAAAGGGGTGACGGATGCACCTGGAAAATCGGGTCACTCCCACCCGAATATTGCGCTTTTCAGACCGGCTTAAAAAATGGCGCACCACGAGATTATATCCCACACCTGGCTTGGAGGGTCCTACGCCCACGGAATCTCACTGATTGCTAGCACAGCAGTCTGAGATCAAACTGCAAGGCAGCAGCTAGGCTGGGGGAGGGGCGCCCGCCATTGCCCAGGCTCGCTTAGGTAAACAAAGCAGCCAGGCAGCTCGAAATGGGTGGAGCCCACCACAGCTCAAGGAGGCCTGCCTGCCTCTCTAGGCTCCACCTCTGGGGGCAGGGCACAGACAAACAAAAAGACAGCAGTAACCTCTGCAGACTTAAATGTCCCTGTCTGACAGCTTTGAAGAGAGCAGTGGTTCTCCCAGCACGCAGCTGGAGATCTGAGAACCCGCAGACTGCCTCCTCAAGTGGGTCCCTGACCCCTGACCCCCGAGCAGCCGAACTGGGAGGCACCCCCCAGCAGGAGCACACTGACACCTCACACGGCAGGGTATTCCAACAGACCTGCAGCTGAGGGTCCTGTCTGTTAGAAGGAAAACTAACAAACAGAAAGGACATCCACACCGAAAACCCATCTGTACATCACCATCATCAAAGACCAAAAGTAGATAAAACCACCAAGATGGGGAAAAAACACAACAGAAAAACTGGAAACTCTAAAACGCAGAGCGCCTCTCCTCCTCCAAAGGAACACAGTTCCTCACCAGCAATGGAACAAAGCTGGATGGAGAATGACTTTGACGAGCTGAGAGAAGAAGGCTTCAGACGATCAAATTACTCTGAGCCACAGGAAGACATTCAAACCAAAGGCAAAGAAGTTGAAACCTTCGAAAAAAATTTAGAAGAATGTATAACTAGAATAACCAATACAGAGAAGTGCTTAAAGGAGCCGATGGAGCTGAAAACTAAGGCTCGAGAACTACGTGAAGAATGCAGAAGCCTCAGGAGCCGATGCGATCAACTGGAAGAAAGGATATCAGCAATGGAAGATGAAATGAATGAAATGAAGCGAGAAGGGAAGTTTAGAGAAAAAAGAATAAAAAGAAATGAGCAAAGCCTCCAAGAAATATGGGACTACGTGAAAAGACCAAATCTACGTCTGATTGGTGTACCTGAAAGTGATGTGGAGAATGGAACCAAGTTGGAAAACACTCTGCAGGATATTATCCAGGAGAACTTCCCCAATCTAGCAAGGCAGGCCAACGTTCAGATTCAGGAAATACAGAGAACGCCACAAAGATACTCCTCGAGAAGAGCAACTCCAAGACACATAATAGTCAGATTCACCAAAGTTGATATGAAGGAAAAAATGTTAAGGGCAGCCAGAGAGAAAGGTCGGGTTACCCTCAAAGGGAAACCCATCAGACTAACAGCGGATCTCTCGGCAGAAACCCTACAAGCCAGAAGAGAGTGGGGGCCAATATTCAACATTCTTAAAGAAAAGAATTTTCAACCCAGAATTTCATATCCAGCCAAACTAAGCTTCATAAGTGAAGGAGAAATAAAATACTTCACAGACAAGCAAATGCTGAGAGATTTTGTCACCACCAGGCCTGACCTAAAAGAGCTCCTGAAGGAAGCGCTAAACATGGAAAGGAACAACCGGTACCAGCCACTGCAAAATCATGCCAAAATGTAAAGACCATCGAGACTAGGAAGAAACTGCATCAACTAAAGAGCAAAATCACCAGCTAACATCACAATGACAGAATCAAATTCACACATAACAATGTTAACTTTAAGTGTAAATGGACTAAATGTTCCAATTAAAAGACACAGACTGGCAAATTGGATAAAGAGTCAAGACCCATCAGTGTGCTGTATTCAGGAAACCCATCTCACGTGCAGAGACACACATACGCTCAAAATAAAAGGATGGAGGAAGATCTACCAAGCCAATGGAAAACAAAAAAAGGCAGGGTTTGCAATCCTAGTCTCTGATAAAACAGACTTTCAACCAACAAAGATCAAAAGAGACAAAGAAGGCCACTACATAATGGTAAAGGGATCAATTCAACAAGAAGAGCTAACTATCCTAAATATATATGCACCCAATACAGGAGCACCAAGATTCATAAAGCAAGTCCTGAGTGACCTACAAAGAGACTTAGACTCCCACACATTAATAATGGGAGACTTTAACACCCCACTGTCAACATTAGACAGATCAACGAGACAGAAAGTCAACAAGGATACCCAGGAATTGAACTCAGCTCTGCACCAAGTGGACCTAATAGACATCTACAGAACTCTCCACCCCAAATCAACAGAATATACATTTTATTCAGCACCACACCACACCTATTCCAAAATTGACCACATACTTGGAAGTAAAGCTCTCCTCAGCAAATGTAAAAGAACAGAAATTACAATAAACTATCTCTCAGACCACCGTGCAATCAAACTAGAACTCAGGATTAAGAATCTCACTCAAAACCACTCAACTACATGGAAACTGAACAACCTGCTCCTGAATGACTACTGGGTACATAACAAAATGAAGGCAGAAATAAAGATGTTCTTTGAAACCAACGAGAACAAAGACACAACATACCAGAATCTCTGGGATGCATTCAAAGCAGTGTGTAGAGGGAAATTTATAGCACTAAATGCCCACAAGAGAAAGCAGGAAAGATCCAAAATTGACACCCTAACATCACATTAAAAGAACTAGAAAAGCAAGAGCAAACACATTCAAAAGCTAGCAGAAGGCAAGAAATAACTAAAATCAGAGCAGAACTGAAGGAAATAGAGACACAAAAAACCCTTCAAAAAATCAATGAATCCAGGAGCTGGTTTTTTGAAAGGATCAACAAAATTGAGAGACCGCTAGCAAGACTAATAAAGAAAAAAAGAGAGAAGAATCAAATAGACACAATAAAAAATGATAAAGGGGATATCACCACCAATCCCACAGAAATACAAACTACCATCAGAGAATACTACAAACACCTCTACGCAAATAAACTAGAAAATCTAGAAGAAATGGATAAATTCCTCGACACATACACTCTCCCAAGACTAAACCAGGAAGAAGTTGAATCTCTGAGTAGACCAATAACAGGAGCTGAAATTGTGGCAATAATCAATAGTTTACCAACCAAAAAGAGTCCAGGACCAGATGGATTCACAGCTGAATTCTACCAGAGGTACAAGGAGGAACTGGTACCATTCCTTCTGAAACTATTCCAATCAATAGAAAAAGAGGGAATCCTTCCTAACTCATTTTATGAGGCCAGCATCATTCTGATACCAAAGCCGGGCAGAGACACAACCAAAAAAGAGAATTTTAGACCAATATCCTTGATGAACATTGATGCAAAAATCCTCAATAAAATACGGCAAAATGAATCCAGCAGCACATCAAAAAGCTTATCCACCATGATCAAGTGGGCTTCATCCCTGGGATGCAAGGCTGGTTCAATATATGCAAATCAATAAATGTAATCCAGCATATAAACAGAGCCAAAGACAAAAACCACATGATTATCTCAATAGATGCAGAAAAAGCCTTTGACAAAATTCAACAACCCTTCATGAGAAAAACTCTCAATAAATTAGATATTGATGGGACATATTTCAAAATAATAACAGCTATCTATGACAAACCCACGGCCAATATCATACTGAATGGGCAAAAACTGGAAGCATTCCCTTTGAAAACTGGCACAAGACAGGGATGCCCTCTCTCACCACTCCTATTCAACATAGTGTTGGAAGATCTGGCCAGGGCAATTAGGCAGGAGAAGGAAATAAAGGGTATTCGATTAGGAAAAGAGGAAGTCAAATTGTCCCTGTTTGCAGATGACATGATTGTATATCTAGAAAACCCCATTGTCTCAGCCCAAAATCTCCTTAAGCTGATAAGCAACTTCAGCAAAGTCTCAGGATACAAAATCAATGTACAAAAATCACAAGCATTCTTATACACCAACAACAAACAAACAGAGAGCCAAATCATGAGTGAACTCCCATTCACAATTGCTTCAAAGAGAATAAAATATCTAGGAATCCAACTTACAAGGGATGTGAAGGACCTCTTCAAGGAGAACTACAAACCACTGCTCAAGGAAATAAAAGAGGATACAAACAAATGGAAGAACATTCCATGCTCATGGGTAGGAAGAATCAATATCCTGAAAATGGCCATACTGCCCAAGGTAATTTACAGATTCAATGCCATCCCCATAAAGCTACCAATGACTTTCTTCACAGAATTGGAAAAAACTACTTTAAAGTTCATATGGAACCAAAAAAGAGCCCACATCACCAAGTCAATCCTAAGCCAAAAGAACAAAGCTGGAGGCATCACACTACCTGACTTCAAACTATACTACAAGGCTACAGTAACCAAAACAGCATGGTACTGGTACCAAAACAGAGATATAGATCAATGGAACAGAACAGAGCCCTCAGAAATAACGCCGCATATCTACAACTATCTGATCTTTGACAAACCTGAGAAAAACAAGCAATGGGGAAAGGATTCCCTATTTAATAAATGGTGCTGGGAAAACTGGCTAGCCATATGGAGAAAGCTGAAACCGGATCCCTTCCTTACACCTTATACAAAAATCAATTCAAGATGGATTAAAGATTTAAACGTTAGACCTAAAACCATAAAAACCCTGGAAGAAAACCTAGGCATTACCATTCAGGACATAGGCATGGGCAAGGACTTCATGTCCAAAACACCAAAAGCAATGGTAACAAAAGCCAAAATTGACAAATGGGATCTAATTAAACTAAAGAGCTTCTGCACAGCAAAAGAAACTACCATCAGAGTGAACAGGCAACCTACAAAATGGGAGAAAATTTTCGCAACCTACTCATCTGACAAAGGGCTAATATCCAGAATCTACAATGAACTCCAACAAATTTACAAGAACAAAACAAACAACCCCATCAAAAAGTGGGCGAAGGACATGAACAGACACTTCTCAAAGAAGACATTTATGCAGCCAAAAAACACACGAAAAAATGCTCATCACTGGCCATCAGAGAAATGCAAATCAAAACCACAATGAGATACCATCTCACACCAGTTAGAATGGCAGTCATTAAAAAGTCAGGAAACAACAGGTGCTGGAGAGGATGTGGAGAAATAGGAACACTTTTACACTGTTGGTGGGACTGTAAACTAGTTCAACCATTGTGGAAGTCAGTGTGGCGATTCCTCAGGGATCTAGAATTAGAAATACCATTTGAGCCAGCCATCCCATTACTGGGTATATACCCAAAGGACTATAAATCATGCTGCTATAAAGACACATGCACACGTATGTTTATTGTGGCATTATTCACAATAGCAAAGACTTGGAACCAACCCAAATGTCCAACAATGATAGACTGGATTAAGAAAATGTGGCACATATACACCATGGAATACTATGCAGCCATAAAAAATGATGAGTTCATGTCCTTTGTAGGGACATGGATGAAATTGGAAATCATCATTCTCAGTAAACTATCGCAAGAACAAAAAACCAAACACCGCATATTCTCACTCATAGGTGGGAATTGAACAGTGAGATCACATGGACACAGGAAGGGGAATATCACACTCTGGGGACTGCAGTGGGGTCGGGGGAGGGGGGAGGGATAGCATTGGGAGATATACGTAATGCTAGATGACGAGTTAGTGGGTGCAGCGCACCAGCATGGCACATGTATACATATGTAACTAACCTGCACAATGTGCACATGTACCCTAAAACTTAAAGTATAATAAAAAATAAAATAAAATAAAAAATAATAAATAAATAAATAAATATGCAAAGCAGTATTGAGTCAATATGAATATGATGATATTGTTAAATATTTAATATTTATGCAAGACTGGATTCAGGGAAAGCAAAATATCAAAAATGAAAGATAGTCTTAAGACCCAAACAAAGCTGAATCCAATACCAAGAGAACTACTGGATGGTAAATTGAAATAGTGAAAAAGAAGAAAACAGGACAGAGGTTCTAAGTGTGAGTTACAGAGTCATCTTCTGATTATAATGTTCTCTCAAAAGGGTATTAGCTTCCTAGCAAGCTTTATCTACCCTGAGCCTAGATTAAGATGCATGCCCTGTGATGGTGTTCCTCTACCATGGAGATTTTGCTCAGTATATTGGGTGTATACTAGCAGAAGACAGTGCTTACTTGATTAGACAAAAAAGGGAAAAACACTGATTGTTTAAAGCTCTTGTAGTAGATGCATTAGGGCTTTTTGAGGGAAATATTCTAAAACCATAAGAAAATGCCTTATTTTATATCTCTCTTGCATTTAATAAAGGTAAGAAAATTTGAAGCTCTTAAGACATTACTTACAAATTAGAAACCTGTGAATATCTAACAATATGATTGAGAATACACAACAGCAACTTCTACCTAGCTATTGAACTTAGCCCAGAATAACAGAGTCCCTAGTCTTCAGTCTTATTATTTCACTGAAAGAAATATTGAGGAAACATTGAGGGATCAATATACTAAAAGAAATAAACAATAAGATGGGGAAAATTAGCCAGTTGCACTTTGGCAAAGTTTAATCTCCATTAGCCCTAATATTACACCTGAATCAAGGAGTAAGTAATTGTATAGAGAATGGCACACATTTAGTTTTTGCTCTTGATAGCCCTGTTTACACCAGTTGTATCAACGTAATTATTAACTGCCCCCGCTGTGCTTCTCAAGTATCTTGGTTTAGATAATAAACTATGTAGTAACCCCAGCTTTGTTTCAATTACCAATAGACAGAATATTATCTTCATGAAATTAAAACATTCAGGTAAAGTGTTCACCACAAACACAGCGCAGTGATTAAAGAACTGGGACTCTGGGGTTTCTCTAGCCACTTACTATCCTGAAACAATGGCCACATACTTTACCTCTTTGTCGATCAGCTTTTTCATTTTTTAAGTGGAGATAATATACCTCCCTACTTCACAGGTTGTCCTAAGGATTATATTAATTATATATGTAATATACTTAAAAGAGAAGCATAGCAAGAGATTTGCCTGAAGCATAGCAAGAGATTTGTGTTTGTCATATTATGATTATACTGGGTTAAGTCACAGGAAGTTAACTGATTAAGCACTTTTAAAAATCTGGTGAGGTGAAAAATAAGAGAGTAACAGATTGAGAAACGAATGCGTACTGTGGAAATAGAGTCAAAGAATGTAGATCTGAAGGAAATGAAAAAGGAGAGAATATTGTGTCATGGCGAGGATATTCAGCAATTTTTGTCTTGACTTTTATCCATGTTGTATAACTTGTTCTAATCTGAGTAGCTAACTGAACGCAGGAAGACATAGTTTTTATATTTTTCAGCAGTTCATTTATTATAATCAAAACTGTCTTGCACTGTGATAAAAGGGCACTGAAAAATAATCATATTATACTACACAGCACTATCCAGGGAGTAGATATAAGATTTAGATAATGAAGCTTAGAAGAGATATGTAAAATTATAAACGTGGATGCCTTAGGGTCAAAAGATGGTTTTCTCTTAAAATGAATAACCAACAATTAAAAAGCAGTCAAAAAGCAAATAAATATACATCTTAGAGGGAATTGAAATGTTTTGTTTGGAACCTGATGTATGTTTTATTTTAGGGTTTTACAATTCCCAAATTTTAAAACAGAGATGAAACTAAAGCGAATTATTTTAATGTAGCTTATGAGTTGCAGAAAAACATTTGGCAGCATAAAAAACAGTCATATTTCAAAAAATAATGCAATCCAATAAAAAGGCACAACTCAGAATGAGTTAAAATGTTTAATACACTATAAATTAATTACTATAGAAGATTAATAAAGAAAAGTTATTCTATAGTTCGTTGACTAAAATTTATAAAATAATCTTATTTGGCCATTTTGTATAAATAGATCAAGGGAGCTCAACGTACTAAAACATGTACATATATGTTATTTATATTCTCACTATAAACTTCTGCAGATCAACAAGTAAAACCTATGATGTTGGATAAATGAAACATGCATGAGAGTGTTCATCATTAGCTGCTTTTTTTATTGAATGCTGCAGTTCAAATTTCTCTGACATTTACATGTAGTTTTGGAAAAATGCAGAAGTCAGTAATGAGAAAACACACAGCAATAACAACATTCATCCTTCTGGGACTGACAGAAGATCCTCAGCTGCAGGTTCTGCTTTTCATGTTTCTATTTATCACCTACATGTTGAGTGTAACAGGGAAACTGACCATTATCGCCCTCACCATGTTGGATCCCCACCTGAAAACACCCATGTATTTTTTTCTCCAAAATTTATCTTTCTTAGAAATCTCATTTACAGCTACCTGTGTTCCAAGATTCTTATACAGTATCTCAACTGGGAACAAAATAATAACGTATAATGCATGTGTCATTCAGCTATTTTTTGCAGACCTCTTTGGGGTAACTGAATTTTTTCTTTTGGCTACCATGTCATATGATCGCTATGTGGCCATCTGCAAACCCTTGCATTATATGGCAATCATGAGCAACAAAGTGTGCAAAACAATGGTTATTTGTTGTTGGATGGCAGCACTTATGATTATCCTCCCACCACTTAGCTTAGGTTTTCATCTAGAATTCTGTGACTCTAATGTCATCAATCATTTTGGCTGTGATGCATTGCCTATTCTGAAAATACCATGCTCAGACACATCATTAATTGAGCAGATGGTTGTAGCCTCTGCTGTATTAACCTTTATTATCACTCTTGTATGTGTAGTTCTGTCCTACACATATATCATAAGAACAATTCTAAAATTCCCTTCTGTTCAACAAAAGAAAAAAGCCTTTTCTACCTGTTCTTCACATATTACTGTGGTTTCCATCACTTATGGCAGCTGCATCTTCATCTATATCAAGCCATCTGCAAAAGAAGAGGTAAACATTAATAAAGGTGTGTCAGTGCTTATTTCATCCATATCACCTATGTTGAATTCTTTCATATATACTCTTAGGAATGAGCAAGTTAAACAAGCCTTTCATGACTCACTCAAAAAAATTGCATTTCGTTTAAAAAAGTAAAGTGTACCTAAGTTGATAAATCAATATAAAAGATCTGCTTCATATTTTTCATAAAGCCAATAACCAACTTTGTAATTTCTTAGTCTATAGAGCAATCAAGTTGACTGCATAGCCATTTAATCATTAATTTTTTATTAATTTACGTACTGAGAAATTAATTATTGAATAATATTCTATGATAGACAAAATATATCACTTTTAATCCTTAACCAGATTAAACCACTCTTTTTTCCTTCTTTCCAGTTGATTTTCTCTGATAATTTTAAAATATGGGTGTGAAGTTATTTTTTTCCCAACTTCTATGAGTAGTCATTCTTTTTTTTTTTTTTTTTTTCTCCCCTGGAGATAGATTCCCACTCTGTTGTCCAGGCTGGAGTGCGATGGTGCCATCTTGGCTCACTGCAACCTCCAACTTCCAGGTTCAAGCAATTCTCATGATTCAGCCTCCCAAGTAACTGGAACTAAGAGCATGCGCCACCACGCCCACCTAATTTTTGTATTTTTAGTATAGACAGGGTTGCACCATGTTGGCCAGGCTAATCTCAAACTCCTGGTCTCAAGTGATCCACCCACCTCGGCCTCCCAAAGGTGCTGGGATTACAGGCGTGAGCCACTGCACCTGGTCTATGAGAATTCACTCTTAATCAAGATACAAATTCCTTGCCTCACTGAAAAAAAGTCAGATTTAAGTAACAAACTTTAAAATATCTACAGCAAAAAGAGAAAATTTCATGAAAAATATTAAAGAGAAAACATAAGTAAAAGAATAGCTTTATGGTACAGTTAACATGAAAGGCTTAATATAATAAATATGTAGGAAGTTTCTATGAATCAAAAAAGGCAACAAATTTACTATAAATACCAAGAAAATATTAGATATTTATTTTACTAAAAAATAAAATTACCTATAGCAATAGGAAGGGATGCACAACTTCATTATTAGCCACAGATTTAAACATTAAAGTCATGATATACATTTCACCCATCATATTTGCACAAACTAAATTTTTCGTATGTTCAATATTAGCCAGTATGCTAACACTTAAAGTAAAACATACACCTCAATGCACAATTTACTTGAAAACATTGGAATTTATATTTACTAACAGTACATATAAGATTTCATCTAGAAATCAACATCTAGGGATTTATGCCAGAATCTACTTGCCAATTATTATACTCATTGCAGTCATTTTGTAATAGTAAAAGATTGAAAATAACCAAATGAACATCACTTGGCAATGTGTAAGTCAATTAGGGAATTACAGCATAAGATGTAGTACTTATCAAATGATATAGAACTTGATCTTATAATGGAAGGATATTAAAATTTTTAAAAACTGGCTGGGCGCGGTGGCTCACGCCTATAATCCCAGCACTTTGGGAGGCCGAGGCGGGCCGATCACGAGGTCAGGAGATCAAGACCATCCTGGCTAACACGGTGAAACCCCGTCTCTACTAAAAATACAAAAAATTAGCTGGGCGAGGTGGTGGGCACCTGTAGTCCCAGCTACTAGGGAGGCTGAGGCAGGAGAATGGCATGAACCCAGGAGGCAGAGCTTGCAGTGAGCTGAGATGATGCCACTGCACTCCAGCCTGGGCGACAGAGCGAGACTGCAACTCAAAAAAAACAAAAAAAAAATTTTAAACTATTTGCAAGATAATACATACATCATTATGCCATTTAGGAAAAATAAAATCCTATGTTGATCATAAATGCATAAAGATAGATAATACATGTTTTAGTCATCCCTTTCCCACACCACGAGCACCAAATACAATAATCTTGCTGCACAATGCACAGAACATATTTGATAAATGAATGAATGAATGATTGCCCGTATGAAAGTTTGAATATGTGAATAAATTATTCTGTGTAAATAGAAATGAAATGTAAAAACACACTGTACAGTTGACACCATTCATCTTGGGATAATAGTGAGTGACATAAAATTCAAGAATATTCACCTGTTCTCTAAGCCCATGTCATTTGTTTCTATTGGTAATATTTGACAAATGCCTCTTGCTTTGTTTCTCAGCCTACATTAATCTTTGGGGTTGAAGGTAAAACACCCAGTGAACAACTTAATCAAATTGAATGTTTCAGGAAAGTTGTTTCCATTCCTAATTTCAGTGGAGAACCTCAAAACCCCCCAAAAGTTAATTATTGCATTCTATTAACCAATCCACAGTGTTTTTAATTCAGGGTTGTGATCTAAATCAGGCCAATCAGAGTTAATCAAGACTTCTTCTGGAAGTCTGATACATCGTACATTCTTTCTCCGATATGGTGTGAAAAAGTAACGTCTAACACTGCTATGGTTACAGTTTCTATCAGCGAAGGAACTACCCTGAGTACCAGGCCAGCACACAGATAAGGTTAGAGCACGTAGCTCAGTGAGTCACACAGAGATGGAAACAGTACCCTTATTGCCTCATGGACCTCTGGATCAAACTATGAGAAAGGTTAATTCCACAAGTTATATGAACTCAGTCAATAAATTATTTGGAGTATTTGTATGTATATTGATGTATTTCTTACACCAACATAGGTTTTTTTGGTAACTTGCCAGTAAAAGATATGAGAAATTGCTACCAAGAGTAGCAGAAAGAGGTGACAGATCTAAAAATTGTAATTGTACAAACCAATGTAAGAAAGGAAAAATTTCTTATACTGTAGTGAACAAATTGGTTAAACTGCCACCAGGCTTGTGTTGAGAATGCAGGATTTGTGTCTAGCAAAACTACAGGATTAGGGGACACAGTGGAAAAATTTTAGGGTGGTTGACTCTAAGTAGCTTTCTATAGCCATCAAAATGGTCATATAATAGAGAAAAATAAAGCTTACTTGAAACTGACTCACACAGAAAAAAGAAAAGATACTAAATTATTTCTCAGAATTCCTGTAAATCAGTAATCTGCAGCCTTGCAAGCTTGAAAAAGTCAATTTTGTATATTGCAAGTTAAAATTAATGAAAGCAAGTCTAGAATAAAGAACTCTAGTAAGAAATAATATGGGATATGGGACTCAACAATAGGATTTATTACTCGGGCACTGTACCACAGTAAATAATTTTCATGATGCATCCCCTGCTACAACTAGTAAAGATTGACTCCAGTTTACAACAGAGTAGGAGGGATCCATTCTGGAGACACAAGGCAGATTAAAGGTGCTTCCCTACACCTGGCCACTGATTTGAATTGTCTCCAGTTCATGATCAAGTCTAAGACAGTTACTAATGAGAGGTTTGAATAAAGCACTGGAAAAGAGCTGGATGTCATGTCACAAGTCCTCAGATTCATTTCTGAATCTGACTTAAAAATATCTTCAGCTTTGCTTCTGTAATGACTTGGCTCATAAATGATAAGTGAATGGGGATATATTGTCAAGATAACATGGGAGTCTTTAGTTTATTTATCATTTTTTCCCAGCATGTAATATTTTGTACAGTCAAGTAATAGCAAAGAGCACTATCAGAGAAGAATGCAGGAAACCATAGAGCATTATAACATCGTGAAACCAGACTGATTCATCCAGAATTCTTCCTCTTGGCTCATTTTGGCATATGTTGTCTTGAAACTACCCTTATCACCACAACTCAGCATCTTCAGCCCTTTCCTACCAACCCTTACATTCAACTACCTTTTAAGGTAAAGTCCCATATTTACTATAGTGTTTATTTATTAAAAATTTAACATAGATTTTACCTGTGCTAGTATTTTTATTAGAATTGCTTTGCACAAACTTAATTTTTAAAATAATGCTTATTATTTTTACTGTGTGACATTACCTAATACAAAGCTTTTCATGGTTGCACATATTGTGCTTTTGCAAAATACCAATAATTTAAGCTCCTCCAATGCCAAAGAAACACCAAGTCTGTCCAACAGCTTATGATTGCTTAGCTCCTCAGAAAATCTCAAGAGACATACACTCCCATTTTCAGCAAGAAGTGAACTGTTAGTTTTGTACAAATCCCTGTGGTGGAAAGCTTTAGTGCCCATTTCAAGTATGTGCACTCTGACAAGATGAAGACTATTTCCCAAATTTCAAAACCACGGGAACCTGGATTGGCCACCAATTGATTCACTCCAGTTGGGCAATTAATTCTTGCTATGCCTTCCAATTAGAACATGACACAATTTATAGACTAGTAACTGCTATACATTATTTTCCTTATTATTCCAAACGTGGAATAATGAAATGAAATGAAGTCATTTTCATTATCACCTTCTCTCTCTACCATGGTATATTGGGTGTGTTGGATGTGGCCAACGTTATTTAATAATAACTTCCATATCTGAGGAAAGATGCACCTACAACTAATAAAAGTAATTCAACATTATCCAATATTCCTGGACTTAAAGGAAAATGCACTTTGGGTTTGCCTTTTGAGAATTATTTATTAAGTTCTATGCACCCTTGAGCATTTTCAAAAGCTTGTATACTAAAACGTGTACAATTTCAAAGGATAAATGTTATGATACATAAATTGTATCTCAATTTATTTTAAATATAATTTTAAAGATGTTTAAAAAGCATACGTAGAGGAAGAAGCATGCTTGTGGAAACTAGGCTATCAAAAAGTATACATATTGTAATAAACATGCATTGTTTTAGTTTCAGTTTTTGTTTTATTCTGCTCAGCACCTTTTCTCCTTTCTCATAATAAACCATATAAGGCAAAACAAATAGACAAACAAAAAAACATGTTTATCTTATAGTTGACTACAAGAGTAAATGATGTAGTCTAGGATTATTCACATAGCATGTTCTGTTTGCCTAGCTACCGTAGTGCCTTGAAAATGACCCTACGAAAAAAAGCAGATCTTAATTTTTCCTGAAAACCCTAGAGACCAGACTACTTTCTTTCTTCTCACTGATGTTATATAAGGATATTATATGCAGAACTGCTGTCACAAGTATTGCTACTATAAAGGGAGCCAGCATGAGGATAAAAAGTCATACTGAGAAGAGTAGAACCTAAAAATTCTTAGGGAGGTGGAACCAGAAAAAAAAAAGTGACATGAATTTCTGAATCATAGTGTACCAAGCACCAGCCCTACCATCAGACTTTCTGTCTCACATCAATCAACAGAGTCTATTGTCTCTAACAAGTTGAAAATAGGTGTCTCATACGTGCAAGCAAACATTTCTAGCTGAATCAAAAGCTTTGTCACCCTACATGCCTCCACAGCACTTTGGGTTTTCCTAGGGTTATTAACAATAGAAGTCATAACAGATCGTTTCATTAATGGACTAGGGAGTCATGGTTCCCTTGCTGTATCATTTGCAAAATGATACAAGGAGAAGTGGAAAATGCTTGTACATTTGAGCTTGCCTTCCGTCTTTCTGCTTTTGGAACACAATTATTATGTGAAGATGCTAGGGCTCACCTGCTGGAAATATGTGTGGCCTATCCAGAGCCAACACCAACCACCAGACATGTGAGTAGGACTGCACAAAACAGATCTGTCCTCATTTGACTTACTAAATAATTGGTAATACCTGACTGAGCCAAGCCAGCATCCCTTGGAGTAGAGAGGAACTGCATCAGCAGAACCCTGACCAAATTGACAATTCACAACAGAATTATAAGCAAAAAAAAAAAAAAAAAAGGCTGTTAGTTTAAACCACTAAGTTTTAAAATGGTTTGCTCTGCAGCAAAGGGTAGCATATAGAAACTGGCCCAGAATAAGTTAAGCAGAAAAGAAATTTACTGCAAAATGTAAATGCTCTGATAAATTTAATTAAGCAAGCCTAGAATGTGATCATGAGCAGAGATGAGATGAGCAGTAGGAAGGGTCTTTCCCAAAGACTACAGATACTGTCGAGAGTTCTCATCTGCTAAAAACAACTTTCATTTGAAGCTGTTGCCATTGAGCCAGATGTTGGCAAGGCTGTAGGAATACATGACATGGTTCGGATCTGTGTCCTCACCCAAATCTCATGTCAAAATGTATTCCTCAATGTTGGAGATGAGGCCTGATCGGAGGTGATTGGATCATGGGGGCAGATTTCTCATGAATACGTTACCACCACCCCCTTGGTGCTTTCCTCATGATAGTAAGTTCTCGTGAGATCTGGTCATTTAAAAGTGTATAGCACCTCCCCCTTGCTCTCTCTTGCTCCTGCCCTGGCCATGTGACATGTCTGCTCCCCCTTGGCCTTCTGCTATGATTGTAAGTTTCCTGAGGCCTCCTCAGAAGCCAAATAGATGCCAGTGCTATGATTCCTATACAGCCTGCAGAAAAGTGAGCCAATTAAACCTCTTTTCTTTATAAATTACCCAGTCACAGGTATTTCTTTATAGCAAGGTAAGAACAGCCTAATACAACATCTAATCTCACCTTCCTTCATTTTTATATCACTCACTAAGATTTGAAGTACCAGTTTTAAGAATCCAATTAGCTCATCTAAAACCACATACCTATGCCCTGGGTTTTGCAGGGAGTAAA
Source organism: Homo sapiens (assembly GCF_000001405.40). Lineage (NCBI taxonomy): Eukaryota > Metazoa > Chordata > Mammalia > Primates > Hominidae > Homo > Homo sapiens. The sequence goes on from NC_000012.12 coordinate 55,499,776, forward strand.
AGTGAGGGAGAAGGAAAGGAAAAATTACTTGGGTAAACAACTAAGAGACCAGTCCTTAGAGAAGCTGCCTGCCTGAAAAATTACAGCTACAGGCAAAAATAGATCAGTCTGGTGAAAATTCAGACTACAGCTGCACAAATAAGCCACAGATAGGCAGACAGGCAGGCAAAGTCCAGCATACAAGCCCTTTGTTCTTTGTATGATTAACAAGCTCCCAGGAAAAAGTTTCCTTCTCTTTTCAGACAAGTACACAGTGGGCTCTGTGGGCTCTTGCACAGGGAGGAGGCAGGCTTACCTAAAACAAACCCACACTTACACAAACAAAAAAAGCTGCGCTTTGTGCTTGCCTAGAGACATACCCACAGCTGCATAAGATAAAGTGAGCTGCACAGACAGCTTTACTGATAAGAGAAGTTACTTGAACTGCTACAGAGATGAGAAGAGTTTCTTATAAAAGCTTCTGAACTCAACCGTAAAAATGGAAATCCACTCAGACTCCCCTCACCACTGTGCAGAGCTTTCTTCTTTCACTTATTAAACTTTTCCTCCAACCTGACCCTTGTGTCTGTGCTCCTTAATCATCTTGGACATGAGACGAAGAACTCCGGGTAATACCTCACAGGAGAGACTATTACATTGTGGTGCATTGGTGAGACCGTAACAGAAGGACATTCAAAATGTATATTTAAAATGTATGCTTCATCAACTTTGTGAAGCTAATGAAAATAAATAATGTATGCTTTTGTACATTCATTTTGTTTGTACAAACACAAATGAATATTTCGGCTGGTGTGTGTGTGTGTGTGTGTGTGTGTGTGTGTGTGTATGAGACAGAGAGAGACAAGAGACAGAGACAGAAAGACAGAGAAGGCTTAAGAATCCATTTGTCTTTACCCTAAGGGATAAAATTTAATTACCAAACATTTCATCCAGCCCATGCAAATTTCATGATCTTTTTTGTTTGTTTTGTTTTGCTTTGTTTTGTTTCATTTTTTGAGACAGAGTTTCACTCTTGTCACCCAGGCTGGAGTGCAATGGCACGATCTCAGCTCACTGAAACCTCCACCTCCTAGTTCAAGTGATTCTCCTGCCTCAGTTTCCCAAGTAGCTGGCACTACAGGTGCCCGCCACCATGCATGGCTAATTTTTGTATTTTTAGTAGAGACAGGGTTTTGCCATGTTGGCCAGGCTGGTCTCGAACTCCTGACCTAAAGTGATCCACACACCTTGGCCTCCCAAAGTGCTGGGATTGCAGGCATGAGCCACTGCACCTGGCCAAATTTCATGCTCTTTAGATGCTGCTCAATCTTTCTCTGGTTTTCTCATGATCCTATTTTAATTTTATGCAAACTTCAGATGAAACTAATCATCAAAAATATGCCTAAGCAAATCCAGTATTTGATAAAACAGAAAGGTAAAAGAAGATAAAAATTAGCACCTAATCACAAGTCCATATATTTTATTCCTATTTCCCCTCCTATGTTACTTATCCAGATTACAATTTCCTTCATCTAGCATTTTCTCAGCTTTTTATACTTAGCTGGGTGACCAAAATCTTTATTGCTGAGAAATAGTAGTGTTTGTTCATCTTGCTTATGCTTGATTTAGGTACATCTTTATCACGTGTTTTATCCATATATCCTCCTGCTCTACTGTAGTAGTGAATAAATATATTTTAACTTAATAATCAGATTAAGTCACCTGCTTAACACATTGTTTTCTTTTGCATGTTTATATAGTGGTATTAGACGTTCAACATAGTCATCATACAACATATGTCAGTCTGATACCATATCTTTGCTATTGTGAATAGTGCTGTGATGAACATATGTGTGCATGTGTCTTTATGGTAGAATGATTTATATTTCTTTGAATATATACCCAGTAATGGGATGTCTAGGTCGAATGGTAATTCTTTTTTAAGTGCTTTGAGAATTTGCCAAACTGCTTTCCACAATGGCTGAACGAATTTATATTCCCCCCAGCAATGTGTAAGTGTTCCCTTTTCTCTACAACCTCAGTAACATCTGTTAGCTTTTGACTTTTTAATAGTAGCCATTCTGACTGCTGGGAAATTGTATCATTGTGGTTTGGGTTTGCATTTCTCTGATGATTAGTGATGCTGAGCATTTTTTCATATGCTTGTTGGGGCCATATGTATCTTCTTTTGTAACTTAAATATCCATCAACAGTAGACTGGATAAAGAAAATGTGGTACATATACAGCCACAGTATACTATGCAGCCAATGAGATTATGTCCTTTGCAGCAACATGGATAGAGCTGGAAGCTATTATACTAAGCAACCTAACACAGGAGCAGAAAACCATATACTGCATGTTCTCGCTTGTAAGTGGGAGCTAAACACTGAGTACATATGGACACAAGGAAGAGAACAACAGACACCAGAGCCTGCTTGAGGGTGGAGGATGGGAGGAGGATGAGGATAGAAAAACTACCTATCAGGTACTATGCTGATTACCTGGGTGATGAAATATACCAAATCTCCATGACACACAATTTACTTATGTAACAAACCGGCACATGTACTCCAAACCTAACATAAAAGTGAAGAAAATTAACAAGTGTTAGTTTGTTTAAAACATTCCTCCTTCAGATATTAAAATATTTACTCAGCTGAGTACAGTAATGTAAAATTTAACTGCTGCAGACAGACTCTAAAATGCCCCCCAATGATCTCTGCCTTCTGACATCTCCACATTTGTACAATTTCCTCCTCTTTAGTGAAGGCTGGACTAGAGATTTGCTTTGAACATATAAAGTAAAACAAAGATAATATAATGTTACTTCTATGACCAGGTTACAAGAAACTGCAACCTCCATCTTGCTAGCAAAAGTTCCCTACTGCCTTTTCGTCTTTCCTGTTTTGATAAATCAAGTGGCCATGTTGGAGAGACCTCATCCCCTGTGGCAAGGATCCGAGGGTTACCTCCAGCCCACGGTAAGCAATGGACTTAAGCTCTCCATTCAAAAACCAGCCTGGAAGTGAATCATGCTAACAACCATGTGAATCCAAAAAATGATTCTTTCCTAGTAGAGCTCTAAGATGAGACTTCATTTGTGAGGACCCAATTAAGCTATGCCTGAACTCCCGACCCAAAGAAATTGTGAGATAATACATGCATATGGTTTTAAGCCTCTAGGTTTGTGGCAATTTGTTACAAAGAAATAGATAACCCTGTATTAGTCAAGGTTCTCTAGAGGGACACAACTAATAGGATATACATATGTGTGTGTGTATATATGTATATATCATATATATCAAATATACAGTTATATCAATTTGATATATATTTAGAGAGAGGGTGGAGTTTATTAAGTAGTATTAACTCACATGATCACAAGGTCACACAATAGGCCATCTGGAAGCTGAGGAGCAAGGAAGTGAGCTCCAATCTAAAAGCTGAAGAACTTAGAGTCCGATGTTCAAGGGCAGGAAGCATCCAGCACGGGAGAAAGATGTAGGCTGAGAGGCTAAGCCAACCTGGCATTTTCACGTTTCTCTGCCTGCTTTATATTCTTGCTGCACTGGCAGCTGATTAGATGGTGTCCACCCAGATTAACAGTGGGTCTGCCTTTCCCAGACCACTGATTCACATGTTTATCTCCTTCGGCAAGACCCTCACAGACACACCCAAGATCAATACTTTGCATCTTTCAATCCAATCAAGTTGACACTCAGTATTAACCATCACACTAACTGAAAACTTATTGGTGAGTCATTGTTGCAAAACATGAAAAGCACAGCCACCTTCTTCTAATTCTTCATTCTCTGACCCATATATTATCTATGAAAAATTTAGGGCATACGTAGGCTATTTGTTCATAACATTATGTATATCTCCTACAAGGCAACATTGAAGATAATGTACCCATCCTCTTGATATTCAATAGGACAATGCATCATTCTGCAAGGACAAATTTTTCCATATGTTATGGTATATGAAAACACTAGTGAATATATGTGGCACCAAGCCATTGCCATATTTATTTTGCTGAAATAGACATGTCTTAATCAAAAACGTTTCATGTGGGATAAGTTGCCAGTGGAAAAGCATATAGATAGTTCATCAGTACTGGTACTGGTATAACATGACAGGAAGAAAAATCATATCCCCATCCCTATATAAAATAAAATTTGTTTTAGAAACAAATATTTCCCATTTGCTTTACAGATATGATGCCAAAACAAGTTCTTAGGATGGGTCACTTTCTCAGACAATGTAGGCCCGCATCATGGTCAAAGTCAGTATTGTTGTCAAAGTACATATCTTGAGCTTATAAATAATGTCTTAAAGAATCAGCATGGCTGTTTTTATTATTTTCCCAATTAAGTAAACAACAGAGTAGTTAGCTAAGAAAAGTGACTATTATCCACAGAAAGAAAACTTTATGTACATGGTTATTAACTTACTTCTGGTTAGATAAGCATATACTCAAATATTATCTACAAGCTAAGCTCAATTGTTTTCCTTCCTGGTAAATTGGTTAAATGAAATTCTCCCCAAAATATAGGTGTGTATTGAGGGAGGAGATGCATTGGCTAAGAATAAGCATTTGCAGGACTGCCAGGATTTCGTTCATAAAAAATCCCTAAACTTTAAACATTACTGGGCATATAACTCCTCATAGTGGTGGAGTGTTTCTTGCCTAGTAAGAATTCATGATTGAGGTATAATATATACAAAAGAAGGAACATACGATAAGTACACAGCCCTATGAATCATTACAAACTAAATAATTGCATGTAACCACTATCCAGATCATAAAATACAGCATTGCTAGACCCCACAGTACTCCCTCATACTGCCCCAATCACAGTTCTTTCCCATCATTCTAACATTAACTCATTTTCTGATTTTTATACCCATAAATTTATTTTGTCTTTTTATTTTTTTATTATTTTATCATTATTATACTTTAAGTTTTAGGATACATGTGCACTATGTGCAGGTTTGTTACATATGTATACATGTGCCATGTTGGTGTGCTGCACCCATTAACTCGTCATTTAGCATTAGGTATATCTGCTAATGCTATCCCTTCCCCCTCCCCCCACACCACAACAGTCCCTGGAGTGTGATGTTCCCCTTCCTGCTTCCATGTGTTCTCATTGTTCAGTTCCCACCTGTGAGTGAGAACATGCAGTGTTTGTTTTTTGTCCTTGCGATAGTTTGCTGAGAATGATGGTTTCCAGTTTCATCCACGTCCCTACAAAGGACATGAACTCTTCATTTTTTATGGCTGCATAGTATTCCATGGTGTATATGTGCCACATTTTCTTAATCCAGTCTATCATTGTTGGACATTTGGGTTGGTTCCAAGGCTTTGCTATTGTGAACAGTGCCGCAATAAACATACGTGTGCATGTGTCTTTAGAGCAGCATGATTTATAATCCTTTGGATATATACCCAGTAATGGGATGGCTGGGTCAAATGGTATTTCTAGTTCTAGATCCCTGAGGAATCGCCACACTGACTTCCACAATGGTTGAACTAGTTCACAGTCCCACTGACAGTGTAAAAGTGTTCCTATTTCTCCACATCCTCTCCAGCACCTGTTGTTTCCTGACTTTTAAATGATCGCCATTCTAACTGGTGTGAGATGGTACCTCACTGTGGTTTTTATTTGAATTTCTCTGATGGCCAGTGATGATGAGATTTTTTCATGTGTTTTTTGGCTGCATAAATGTCTTCTTTTGAGAAGTGTCTGTTCATATCCTTCACCCACTTGTTGATGGGGTTGTTTGTTTTTTTCTTGTAAATTTCTTGGAGTTCATTGTAGATTCTGGATATTAGCCCTTTGTCAGATGAGTAGGTTGCAAAAATTCTCTCCCATTTTATAGGTTGCCTGTTCACTCCGATGGTAGTTTCTTTTGCTGTGCAGAAGCTCTTTAGTTTAATTAGATCCCATTTGTCTATTTTGGCTTTTGTTGCCATTGCTTTTGGTGTTTTGGACATGAAGTCCTTGCCCATGCCTATGTCCTGAATGATATTGCCTAGGTTTTCTTCTAGGGTTTTTATGGTTTTAGGTCTAACATTTAAGTCTTTAATCCATCTTGAATTAATTTTTGTATAAGGAGTAAGGAAGGGATCCAGTTTCAGCTTTCTACATATGGCTAGCCAGATTTCCCAGAACCATTTATTAAATAGGGAATCCTTTCCCCATTGCTTGTTTTTGTCAGGTTTGTCAAAGATCAGATAGTTGTAGATGTATGGTATTATTTCTGAGGGCTCTATTCTGTTCCATTGGTCTATATCTCTGCTTTGGTATGAGTACCATGCTGTTTTGGTTACTGTAGCCTTGTAGTATAGTTTGAAGTCAGGTAACGTGATGCCTCCAGCTTTGTTCTTTTGGCTTAGGATTGACTTGGGAATGCGGGCTCTTTTTTGGTTCCATATGAACTTTAAAGTAGTTTTTTCCAATTCTGTGAAGAAAGTCATTGGTAGCTTGATGGGGATGGCATTGAATCTATAAATTACCTTGGGCAGTATGACCATTTTCACGATATTGATTCTTCCTACCCATGAGGATGGAATGTTCTTCCATTTGTTTGTATCCTCTTTTATTTCCTTGAGCAGTGGTTTGTAGTTCTCCTTGAAGAGGTCCTTCACATCCCTTGTAAGTTGGATTCCTAGGTATTTTATTCTCTTTGAAGCAGTTGTGAATGGGAGTTCACTCATGATTTGGCTCTCTGTTTGTCTGTTGTTGGTGTGTAAGAATGCTTGTGATTTTTGCACATTGATTTTGTATCCTGAGACTTTCCCGAAGTTGCCTATCAGCTTAAGGAGATTTTGGGCTGAGATTATGGGTTTTCTAGATATACAATCATGTCATCTGCAAACAGGGACAATTTGACTTCCTCTTTCCCTAATTGAATACCCCTTATTTCCTTCTCCTGCCTAATTGCCCTGGCCAGAACTTCCAACACTATGTTGAATAGGAGTGGTGAGAGAGGGCATCCCTGTCTTGTGCCAGTTTTCAAAGGGAATGCTTCCAGTTTTTGCCCATTCAGTATGATATTGGCTGTGGATTTCTCATAGATAGCTCTTATTATTTTGAGATACATCCCATCAATACCTAATTTATTGAGAGTTTTTAGCATGAAGGTTGTTGAATTTTGTCAAAGGCCTTTGCTGCATCTATTGAGACAATCATGTGGTTTTTGTCTTTGGTTCTGTTTATATTCTGGATTACATTTATTGATTTGCGTCTATTGAACCAGCCTTGCATCCCAGGGATGAAGCCCACTTGATCATGGTGGATAAGCTTTTTGATGTGCTGCTGGATTTGGTGTGCCAGTATTTTATTGAGGATTTTTGCATCAATGTTCATCAAGGATATTGGTCTAAAATTCTCTTTTTTGGTTGTGTCTCTGCCCGGCTTTGGTATCAGGATGATGCTGGCCTCATAAAATGAGTTAGGGAGGATTCCCTCTTTTTCTATTGATTGGAATAGTTTCAGAAGGAATGGTACCATCTCCTCCTTGTACCTCTGGTAGAATTTGGCTGTGAATCTATCTGGTCATGGACTTTTTTTGGTTGGTAAGCTATTGATTATTGCCACAATTTCAGATCCTGTTATTGGTCTATTCAGAGATTCAACTTCTTCCTGTTTTAGTCTTGGGCGGGTGTATGTGTTGAGGAATTTATACACTTCTTCTGTATTTTCTAGTTTATTTGCGTAGAGGTGTTTGTAGTATTCTCTGATGGTAGTTTGTATTTCTGTGGGATCTGTGGTGATATCCCCTTTATCATTTTTTATTGTTTCTATTTGATTCTTCTCTCTTTTCTTCTTTATTAGTCTTGCTAGTGGTCTATCGATTTTGTTGAACTTTTCAAAAAACCAGCTCCTGGATTCATTAATTTTTTGAAGGGATTTTTGTGTCGCTATTTCCTTCAGTTCTGCTCTGATTTTAGTTATTTCTTGCCTTCTGCTAGCTTTTGAATGTGTTTGCTCTTGCTTTTCTAGTTCTTTTAATTGTGACATTAGTGTGTCAATTTTGGATCTTTTCTGCTTTCTCTTGTGGGCATTTAGTGCTATAAATTTCCCTCTACACACTGCTTTGAATGTGTCCCAGAGAATCTGGTATGTTGTGTCTTTGTTCTCATTGGTTTCAAAGAACATTGTTATTTCTGCCTTCATTTCGTTATGTATCCAGTAGTCATTCAGGAGCAGGTTGTTCAGTTTCCATGTAGTTGAGCGGTTTTGAGTGAGTTTCTTAATCCTGAGTTCTAGTTTGATCCCACTGTGGTCTGAGAGACAGTTTGTTATAATTTCTGTTCTTTTACATTTGCTGAGGAGTGCTTTACTTCCAAGTATGTGGTCAGTTTTGGAATAGGTGTGGTGTGGTGCTGAAAAGGATGTATATTCTGTTGATTTGGGGTGGAGAGTTCTGTAGATGTCTATTAGGTCCGCTTGGTGCAGAGCTGAGTTCAGTTCCTGGATATCCTTGTTAACTTTCTGTCTCGTGGATCTGTCTAATGTTGACAGTGGGGTGTTAAAGTCTGCCGTTATTATTGTGTGGGAGTCTAACCTCTTTGTAGGACTCTAAGGACTTGCTTTATGAATTTGGGTGCTCCTGTATTGGGTGCATATATATTTAGGATAGTTAGTTCTTCTTCCTGAATTGATCCCTTTACCATTATGTAATGACCTTCTTTGTCTCTTTTGATCTTTGTTGGTTTAAAATCTGTTTTATCAGAGACTAGGATTGCAACCCCTGCCTTTTTTTGTTTTCCATTTGCTTGGTAGATCTTCCTCCATCCCTTTATTTTGAGCCTCTGTGTGTCTCTGCACATGAGATGGGTTTCCTAAATACAGCAAACTGATGGGTCTTGACTTTTTATCCAATTTGCCAGTCTGTGTCTTTTAATTGGAGCATTTAGCCCATTAACATTTAAGGTTAATAGTTTTATGTGTGAATTTGATCCTGTCATTATGATGTTAGCTGGTTATGTTGCTCGTTAGTTGATGCAGTTTCTTCCTAGCCTTGATGGTCTTTACAATTTGGCATGTTTTTGCAGTGGCTGGTACCAGTTGTTCCTTTCCATGTTTAGTGCTTCCTTCAGGAGCTCTTTTAGGGCAGGCCTGGTGGTGACAAAATCTCTCAGCATTTGCTTGTCTGTAAAGGATTTTATTTCTCCTTCACTTATGAAGCTTAGTTTGGCTGGATATGAAATTCTGGGTTGAAAATTCTTTTCATTAAGAATGTTGAATATTGGCCCCCACTCTCATCTGGCTTATAGAGTTTCTGCGGAGAGATCCGCTGTTAGTCTGATTACCCCTTTGTGGGTAACCCGACCTTTCTCTCTGGCTGCCCTTAACATATTTTCCTTCATTTCAACCTTGGTGAATCTGACAATTATGTGTCTTTGAGTTTCTCTTCTCGAAGAGTATCTTTGTGGCGTTCTCTGTATTTCCTGAATGTGAATGTTGGCCTGCCTTGCTAAATTGGGGAAGTTCTCCTGGATAATATCCTGTAGAGTGTTTTAGAGTGTTTTCCAACTTGGTTCCATTCTCCCCATCACTTTCAGGTACAACAATCAGACGTAGATTTGGTCTTTTCACATAGTCCCATATTTCTTGGAGGCTTTGTTCATTTCTTTTTATTCTTTTTTCTCTAAACTTCTCTTCTCGCTTCATTTCATTCATTTGATCTTCCATCACTGATACCCTTTCTTCCAGTCGATTGAATAGGCTACTGAGGCTTATGCATTCATCACATAGTTCTCATGCCCTTGTTTTCATCTCCATCAGGTCCTTTAAGGACTTCTCTGCATTGGTTATTCTAGTTAGCCATTCATCTAATTTTTTTTCAAGGTTTTTAACTTCTTTGCCATTGGTTCATACTTCCTCCTTTAGCTCTGAGTAATGTGATCTTCTGAAGCCCTCTTCTCTCAACTCGCCAAAGTCATTCTCCGTCCAGCTTTATTCTGTTGCTGGTGAGGAGCTTCGTTCCTTTGGAGGTGGAGAGGTGCTCTGATTTTTAGAGTTTCCAGTTTTTCTGCTCTGTTTTTTCCCCATCTTTGTGGTTTTATCTACCTTTGGTCTTTGATGATGGTGACATACAGATGGGGTTTTGGTGTGGATGTCCTTTCTGTTTGTTAGTTTTCCTTCTAATGGTCAGGACCCTCAGCTGCAGGTCTGTTGGAGTTTGCTAGAGGTCCACTCCAGACCCTGTTTGCCTGGGTATCAGCAGCAGAGGCTGCAGAACAGTGGATATTGGCAAACAGCAAATGTTGCTGCCTGATCGTTCCTCTGGAAGTTTTGTCTCAGAGGAGTACCTGGCCATGTGATGTGTCATTCTGCCCCTACTCAGGGGTGCCTCCCAGTTAGGCTACTCGAGGGTCTGGGACCCACTTGAGGAGGTAGTCTGTCTGTTCTCAGATCTCAAGCTGCATGCTGGGAGAACCACTACTCTCTTCAAAGCTGTCAGACAGGGACATTTAAGTCTGCAGAGGTTTCTGCTGCCTTTTGTTTGGCTATGCCTTGCCCCCAGAGGTGGAGTCTACAGAGGCAGGCAGGTTTTCTTGAGCTGTGGTGGGCTCCACCCAGTTCGAGCTTCCCAGCCACTTTGTTTACCTACTCAAGCCTCGGCAATGGCGGGCACCCCTCCCCCAGCCTCACTGTCGCCTTGCAGTTTGATCTCAGACTGCTGTGCTAGCAATAAGTGAGGTTCCATTGGCATAGGACCCTCCAAGCCAGACACGGGATAAAATCTGCTGGTGTGTCATTTGCTAAGACCATTGGAAAAGCACAATATTAGGGTGGGAGTGACCCGATTTTCCAGGTGCCATCTGTCACCCCTTTCTTTGACTAGGAAAGAGAATTCCCTGACCCCTTGCACTTCCCGGGTGAGGCGATACCTTGCCCTGCTTCGGCTCATGCTCGGTGTGCTGTACCCACTGTCCTGCACCCACTTTCCAACACTCCCTGGTGAGATGAACCCAGTACCTCAGTTGGAAATGCAGAAATCAACCATCTTCTCCATCGCTCATGCTGGGAGCTGTAGACTGGAGCTGTTCCTTTTGGCCATCTTGGATTTAGACCCAGATTTTCCAAATTAAAAGGATATATATAAGTATTTCTTCTCTTATTATATGTTCTAATTCAAATCTACCATATTTTCTGATTAATAACCAAAGTTTCTTTTTCATATTTTTCTCCATTCATACCTTTAAATTGATGGCTTTTTTAGTGCAAAAATAATTTTTCTCGGGATTTTTTTTCTTGTCTGGCATCTTTTGTCCCAAGAAGAATAAGTAGAGGTGATGTATTTCTCATTTTTTTGTAATGCAAACCATCCTGCTACAGGGACCCTATAAAGCAGAATTCAAGGGTTTAACTTTCTTCACAGTTGACAGAGAAATAAATAGGCTAAGAAGGAACTATTTTATCACACTAATTTTACATTAAAGTAGAACTTAAAACCTTTCTCTAAAGAAGAAAATAAGGACTATGCTTTCTTAACATCTTCTTTCTTCCTCAGACTATTTATATGGCAAAGACATAGATGAAGAAGCCTAAAAGTCAGTAGGACCTAAATTTATATTTTTGGCCTTCTTACACAAGTAACTCAGCCACAGTTTTGTTGATCTTACTTAGATATATTCTCTATTTCAGTGCATTAGGCAATGAAATTTCTTCATAATCAGAAAGAAAAATCAATGTTATGAGCACTTGAACAACTATTTCTAAGATCACCACAGGTATCTTAGGATTTCCATGCTCATCTATCAAACCATGGGCTGAAAGTTCTAGAACTCCAGTACTTGTCTTTTTCTACAAGACTGCAATACAGTGTTGTAAAATATAATATAAATGCTCTAACAGCCTAATTGCTCAATTCCTCCATCTCTGTGACCATGGCCATTTTACTCATCATCCCATGGGGAAAAAAAAACAGGGGTAGCAGGAGAAGAGGCTAGGTGATTACCCACAGAACGAATAATTTGATCCACCTAATTTACAAGTTTTTTCTCTGCTGAGGTTGCTATTTAGTTAGTATTTACATGGGATACAAATATATTCACAACACTATATCCATTTTGAAGGATATAATCACACACCTCTTAGTTATCAATTGTGTTTCTTACAAAAGTTCAGAATTTATAGTCAAGCAATTAGCCATTGATAATGAATTAGTATAGATCCATACTTTTGGTCATCTCTCCTTTCAGGCAAAATAATCAATGAGGCGCACAGCTCAAAGTTCTTTCCATTGGTAAGATTTCCTTTTATTGTATTTTTTCAGGACAAGCTCTGCAGCATTTGCATTCAGATATTACCAACAAATCACTCAAAAGCATCTTTAGACAATACCTGAATTTTTTATTGATGAGTTTATTAGTCAGTTGGTCATAGGAATCAATTCATAAAGCCAAGGGTGTGGGTTGAAACACAGATGGCAATGTAGCAGGGATAGGAGAAATGAGAATCTGAGCCACTTCCTTGTACAATTTACTTTTGCCTTAAGAACTATCAAAAATGTGACCGATCCCAAATATACCACTGCCTCTGATGATGAAGTTCTGCTACCAACACCCAATCTTATGGCTTGGTAGGCCAGAAAACTCCCAGGCAGCTCAGACTTCATGGTAACTTGGTGGTTCATGGTAAAGTATTCAGTCTGTATTAGGTCTCTGTCTCTAAAATCTTTCTCAAAATAACATTAGCTACAGATGATAACACAATTTGTTCCAAAATTATAAAAGCTCACATCATGAATCACCCATAGGGACCTGCCAAAGCCTCTTTACAGCATCTTTATCTGACAAGACACTTCAAGTGGCATTGGGTCACTTAGGGACAGGTGATCTAAATGGCAAAGAATCAGAGCAGACTGGACATAATCCATAGCCTTTATATTACCCTAGGATGTACTCAAAACTGGCAGCCCTGTTGTTATTCTGCAAATGTGTCACAATGCCACATTTACCTGAACCATGTCTTGCCTCCAAATTCCAAAAGGACATTATTCAACAACTTTGTCAGCACCGCAGGAGAAATATCTTGACACAGTATATACCATGACCTCTCAAAATTTCATTTAAATTTTGGTAGGTTTTTATTTTAAGCCCATTAACACACATGTGTCCTCTCAAGGATTTTATGGAAATTGATCCTTCCTGCTTATTGGTCCAAAGAACATGCCGGCATAAAAGTACTGGATGAGTATGATGTCCTGTGGAATGGAAAAACACTCAAGTTCTTGCAGACTGGACAGTGGAGAGTTACTACAGAGCAAATGTGTACTTCACATTGCTGTATATAATAATAATAGTGAAGGTGTACTTCTGACCCCACCAGCCAAAAGCAAAATGCTTCCAGTAGTCTTTACTAACATTATAGAGAAAAACTCGATTGACAAACTGGCACCAGCATGCCAGGTCTAGGGAACCTATGATCTGAAATGACAACAGCAATTGGAGTCACTGTCTGATTAATTTTATAATAATTGCCTGTCAATATCCAGGACCTATCTGCCTTCATCACAATAAATAGCAAGTTAAATGTAGTGAGAATTACCAGTTTTGCATCTTTCAAGTCCTAATATTAGCACCAATTTTGTAATTCCTTCAGATATGTCATGTTGCTTTTGGTGTACTGTTTCTTATAACAAAGGAACTTCTATAACAAAGGAACTTCTAGTATCTACCACTTAGTATTATCGTAATACCACTTAGTATTATCACAATTGCTCCATAAGTTGGGAGACTATGTGGAGATTCTACCAGTAGATGAAAGTCTGGCTATTTCCTCTTCCTTAATACACAGTCACCTGTGTAAGAAGCCATACTTTTTTCAGGGAAATCTGGGAAGAATATTTACAAAACAAATTTTTGGATGTGTAGTGAGTTCCTTCCTTAAAGAAACCTGATTCATTTATATTTGAGGAGCTCTGAGTCTGTGAATGGGTTCATGTCTGGAAATTGACTGAGAAGCCATGGCCCTCTGGTGTGGTGATTAATATTAGACTTCAATTCACCAGACCTAAAACTTCTGAAGTAATATTTTAATAGGCAGCCCATCTATTTCACTCCTAGAGACATAATGATCATTAGCCAATACCAGAGATCTCTATAGGGCAAACCTTTTGTTTCTGCTGGTTTTTGTTACTAATTCTGTTTATGTGGTGAATCACATTTACTGATTTGCATATGTTAAACCAACATTGCATCCCAGAAAGAAAGCCTACTCTATTGTGGTAAATTAGCTTTTTGATATTGTCTTTCAATTCTTGGATTGTATTACTGTTTTCCTTAAATTGGGTTGATATAATAATTGATATAATAATTAATAACAACATGCTATTATCATAATTCTTATATTATCAATAAGGGAACTGAGGCATAGAGCTTAAGTCATACAGCTAATATGTAGAAAAGCTAAGATTTGAACCCAGCTAATCTGGGTTGAGAGTTCATCCACTTGACCAGAACACAATACTGCTTCCTATTCTGACAGGCCTGGTGAAGAGACAGAACTCTTCTTAGAGTCAGAAGAGATTGTAAAATGTGAAGGAAGAAGTAGGCAGAGAGCATTTCTTGCAAGAGGACAGAATCAAATAGATGTATTAGACCGTGCTTCAAAACTTTTAGCAAATCTATCTACCTGGGCAACAGGTTACCTGAGGCAGATATAAAAATTAGAAAAAAAAATCAATGACATTTACTGACTGATTAATAAGTGAAATGAGAGGAAAGTTAAGTCTTTCTCGCTAGTAGAGTTTAAGTTTCCATGACTGGAAGTATGCTGCACTTGATACAAACAGGCAATTAACATAAAAAATCAGTATTGTACTTTTCAGTTATTTCTCCAAATTGGTCTTCCTACCTCCTTTCACACTCTTACTTCTTAAATTCAGCATTCAAACTCTTCCCAGAATAATTTTCCAAAAAAACAATATGAGCCCTTTACTTCATATGCCTCAAAAATTCAATGGCTGCCTATTGAGGACAGAGTAAAGTCAAAGCTCCTCTATCTACTTGGCATCTGTGAGTATGTACTCTACTTTTCCTCCAGTTACCACCTAGTAGTAAATTTGTCCTAAGTATGGTGGAATTACTAACAAATGAACAGTGACACACACTACAGAACACTAGCCTATTATTTATTTTTCAAACTTTTCAGGAAATTGGGAAATAATTAAAACTTTTCCATGATAACTGAGCCAAATTTTTCCAGGACCAACTGCCAAGACTGGCTTCTTTGGTAGCTGACAGGCAGTCAGATAACTCAGTGGGGAAAATGTAAAATTCATTCTTTCCTCACTGTCTTTGTATGTGCTTGTGGGGGTTTTTTCCCCCTTCTTTGCCCTTTTCTGTTTTATTGTAAATATTATAATTGCTTTTGTTCCAATGTATGCAAATAAATTTATATGCATATAACAAAATAGATTGGTTTGTTAATTGACATGCTAAATGAAATAGTCTTTCTCTTAAGACCATCTCATCCACTGTGCAATAGACCCCACATCCACTCACAAAGACAATGCTCCCATAATTGACTCCTTTCCCCCCAGAATCATCTTTTGCCACTCTAACAGATTGTTCCTTTGCACACCATTACAAACATGCATATAGTTTATTTCATTCTAAAATTCCCTTTCTTATCTCCACCAACCACTTCATCTTCTACCCCATTCTGTTTGGATTTTTACAGTCATATTTCCATAAACACTTCTCTATATTCCCTGTCTCCAATTCATCTCCTTCTATTCTCACAAAAACCCACTCCAATCAAGCTTTTGTCCTCACCAATCACCAAAACAGCTTTTATCATGGTCACCAGTGGTCATCACATCAAAGCAATGGCCAAAGTTTAGTCATCATCCTGTTTGATCTATCAGCTGCATTTGACTTGATAAATTACTCCTTCCTCCTGGACCACTTTCATGCCTAGTCTTTCAGGATACAACATTCTTTGAGCAGGGTCATGAGGTCTCCTTCCAGGCCCTGGCTCCTGGATGACATGTCTAGATACACCCTGGGCCAGAAGTGAAACTGCTGCCTTTAAAGGAAGCATCCAGTCATGGCAGGACCCATCACCTTCTGACTAAAGATCCCTTGGGCCCTGAATAACCAGTAGCAATACCCAGGTAGTACACCAGGGGCATCGAGTGAGACTCTGAGAGGTGCTGCCTTCAAGTGAGACTCAGTACATTCCCAGCTAAGGTGGCTATGATGAGAGACTCCTACTTGAGAAAAGTGGAGAAAAGAGTAAAAAGGACTTTGTCTTGTATCTTATGTACCAGCTTGGTCACAGGAGACTAGAGCAGCAAGCAGGCATTTGGAGTCCCTGATTCCAGAACTTGACTCTTGGATGGCATTTCTGGACCTGCCCTGGGCCAGAGGGGAGCCCACTGCCCTAAAAGATGAGTCCTAGGTCTGGTAGCATTCACCACAAGCTGACTGAAGAGCCCTTCAGCCTTAAGTGAACATTGGTGGCAGCCTGGTGGTACTCCTCATGGAACTGTGGTGGTGGTGTTTATGAGGTGAGGGTCCTCTGACTGTGGAAAGGGGAGGAAAAAGTGGGAAGGATTGTGTCTCATGGTTTAAATGCCAGCTTAGCTACAGCACAGTAGAACACCAGGTCAATGTCCAAGGATTTTGACTCCAGTCCCTGGCTCACAGATGCCCTCCTGGGGGATAGGGGAACTTGACACCCTGAAGGGAAGAACACAAGCCTGTCTGGCTTTGCCACCTGCCAATTGTAAAGCCCTAGGGCCTTGGGAAGACATAGGAAGCAGCCAGGCAGTGGTTACAGCAGGCCTTGGGCAAGATCCAGTGTTATGGTGACTATAGGTCTGACCCAGCACAGTCCCAGTGGTGGTAGCCACAGAGTTGCTTGCATCACCACACCCCCAGCTCCAGGTGGTTCCTCACAGAGAGACTCCATCTGATTGGGAGGAAGTAAGGGGAGAGAACAAGAGTCTCTGCCTGGAAATTCAGAGAATTCTTCTGGCTCTTACCAAGACCACCAAGGCAGTACATCTATGAGTCTTCAAGAACCCCAGTGTTATTGGGCTTGCTGTGCCCGCTAATCCAGATACAAAACACCAAGTTCTTTCAAGTACTCATAAAGACTTTTCAATAAGGAGAGGTACAAATAAGCCCTGACTGTGAAGACTAAAATAACTACCTAACTTTTCAAAGCCCAGACACTAACAAATATCCACAAGCATCAGCATCATCCAGGAAAACATGACCTCACCAAACAAACTAAATAAGGCACCAGGGACCAAACCTGGAGAAACAGAGATATGTGACCTTTCAGACAGAACTAAAAATTGCTGTTTTGAGAAAACTCAAAGAAATTTAAAATAACACAGAAATGGAATTCAGAATTCTATCAGATAAATTTAACAAAGAGATTGAAATAATTTTTTAAAATTGACCACTTCTGCTTGCAGCACACAGAGAAGGCACACAGACCTGTGCCCACCAGCACATTGCCCCTGTGCCAACACTACCACCACTGTGACTGATATGGTTTGACTCTGTCCCCACCCAAATTTCATCTTAAATTGCATTCCCATAATTCCCATGTGTTGTGGGAGGGACCTGGTGGGAGATCATTTGAATCATGGGGGTGATTTCCCCCATACTGTTCTCATGATAGTGAATAAGTCTCAAGAGATCTGATGGTTTTATCAGGAGTTTCCGCTTTAGCATCTTCCTCATTTTTCTTGCCACCACCATGTAGGAAGTGCCTTTCTCCTCCAGCCATGATTCTGAGGCCTCCCAGCCATGTGGAGCTTTAAGTCCAATTAAACCTCTTTTTCTTCTCAGTCACAGATGTGTCTTTATCAGCAGTATAAAAATGAACTTATACAGTATATTGGTACCAGTAGAGGGAAGCATTGCTGAAAAGATACCTGAAAATATGGAAGCGACTTTGGAACTGGGTATCAGGCAGAGGTTGGAACAATTTGGGGGACTTAGAAGAAGACAGAAAAATGTGGGAAAGTTTGGAACCTCCTAGAGACTTATTGAATGTCTTTGACAAAGATGCTGATAGTGATATAAACAATAAGGTCCAGGCTGAGGTAGGTCCATCTCTCAGATGGAGATAAGGAACTTGTTGGGAACTGGAGAAAAGATAATTCTTGTTATGTTTTAGCATAAGGTCAGAAGACAGAAAAATGTGGGAAAGTTTGGAACCTCCTAGAGACTTGTTGAATGGCTTTGACAAAGACGCTGATAGCAATATAAACAATAAGGTCCAGGCTGAGGTAGGTCCATCTCTCAGATGGAGATAAGGAACTTGTTGAGAACTGGAGCAAAGATGATACTTGTTATGTTTTAGCAAAGAGACTGGTGGCATTTTGTCCCTGCCCTAGAGATTTGTGGAACTTTGAATTTGATAGGGATGATTTAGGGTATCTGGTGGAAGAAATGTCTAAGCAGCAAAGCATTCAAGAGATGACTTGGGTGCTGTTGAAAGCATTCTGTTTTAAAAGGGAAATGGACCATTAAAGTACAGAAAATTTGCAGCCTGATGATGCAGTAGAAAAGACAAACCCTAGGGGTGGAGCCAAGATGGCCGAATGGGAACAGGTCCAGTCTACAGCTCCCAGCGTGAGCGATGCAGAAGACAGGTGACTTCTGCATTTCCAACTGAGGTACCGGGTTCATCTCACTGGGGAGTGCTGGAGAGTGGGTGCAGGACAGTGGGTGCAGCACACTGTGCATGAGCCAAAGCAAGGCAAGGCATTGCCTCACCCAGGAAGCACAAGGGATCAGGGAATTCCCTTTCCTAGTCAAAGAAAGGGGTGACAGACAGCATCTGGAAAATCAGGTCACTCCCACCCTAATACTGCACCTTTCCAATGGGCTTAACAAACGGCACAGAAGGAGATTATATCCTGCACATGGCTCCGAAGGTCCTATACCCACAGAGCCTCACTCATTGCCAGCACAGCAGTCTGAGATCAAACTGCAAGGCGGCAGCGAGGCTGGGGGAGAGGCGCCCACCATTGCCCAGGCTTGAGTAGGTAAACAGAGCAGCTGGGAAGCTCGAACTGGGTGGAGCCCACCACAGCTCAAGGAGGCCTGCCTGCCTCTGTAGCCTCCACCTCTGGGGGCAGCGCACAGACAAACAAAAGACAGCAATAACCTCTGCAGACTTAAATGTCCCTGTCTGACAGTTTTGAAGAGAGTAGTGGTTCTCCCAGCATGCATCTTGAGATCTGAAATGGACAGACTGCCTCCTCAAGTGGGTCCCTGACCCCTGAATAGCCTAACTGGGAGGCACCCCCCAATAGGGGTGGACTGACACCTCACATGGCCAGGTACCCCTCTGAGATAAAACTTCCAGTGGAACGATCAGGCAGCAGTATTTGCAGTTCACCAATATCCGCTGTTCTGCAGCCACTGCTGCTAATGCCCAGGCAAACACCATCTGGAGTGGACCTCCAACAATCTCCAACAGACCTGCAGCTGAGGATCCTGACTGTTAGAAGGAAAAATAACAAACAGAAAGGACATCCACACCAAAAACCCATCTGTACATCACCATCATCAAAGACCAAAGGTAGATAAAACCACAAAGATGGGAAAAAAACAGAGCAGAAAAACCGGAAACTCTAAAAATCAGAGCACCTCGCCTCCTCCAAAGGAACGCAGCTCCTCAACAGCAACAGAACAAAGCTGGATGGAGAATGACTTTGGTGAGTTGAGAGAAGAAGGCTTCAGAAGATCAAACTACTCTGAGCTAAAGGAGGAAGTTCGAACCCATGGCAAAGAAGTAAAAAACTTTGAAAAAAAATTAGATGAATGGATAACTGGAATAACCAATGCAGAGATGTCCTTAAAGGACTTGATGGAGCTGAAAACCATGGCATGAGAACTACATTATGGATGTACAAGCCTCAGTAACTGATGCGATCAACTGGAAGAAAGGGTATCAGCGATGGAACACGAAAGGAATGGAATGAAGCGTGAAAAGAAGTTTAGAAAAAAAAGAATAAAAAGAAATCAACAAAGCCTCCAAGAAATATGGGACCCTAACTCATTTTATGAGGTCAGCATCATCCTGATACCAAAGCCTGGCAGAGACACAACAAAAAAAGAGAATTTTAGACCAATATCCTTGATGAACATTGATGCAAAAATCCTCAATAAAATACTGGCAAACCGAATCCGGCAGCACATCAAAAACTTATCCATCACGATCAAGTGGGCTTCATCCCTGGGATGCAAGGCTTGTTCAATATACGCAAATCAATAAACGTAATCCAGCATATAAACAGAACCAAAGACAAAAACCACATGATTATCTCAATAGATGCAGAAAAGGCCTTTGACAAAATTCAACAACCCTTCCTGCTAAAAACTCTCAATAAATTAGGTATTGATGGGACGTATCTCAAAATAATGAGAGCTATCTATGACAAACCCACAGCCAATATCATACTGAATGGACAAAAGCTGGAAACATTCTCTTTGAAAACTGGCATAGGACAGGGATGCCCTCTCTCACCACTCCTATTCAACATAGTGTTGGAAGTTCTGGCCAGGGCAATTAGGCAGGAGAAGGAAATAAGGGGTATTCAATTAGGAAAAGAGGAAGTCAAATTGTCCCTTTTTGCAGATGACATGATTGTATATCTAGAAAACCCCATTGTCTCAGCCCAAAATCTCCTTAAGCTGATAAGCAACTTCAGCAAAGTCTCAGGATACAAAATCAATGTACAAAAATCACAAGCATTCTTATACACCAATAACAGACAAACAGAGAGCCAAATCATGAGTGAACTCCCATTCACCATTGCTTCAAAGAGAATAAAATACCTAGGAATCCAACTTACAAGGGATGTGAAGGACCTCTTCAAGGAGAACTACAAACCACTGCTCAATGAAATAAAAGAGGATATAAACAAATGGAAGAACATTCCATGCTCATGGGTAGGAAGAATCAATATCGTGAAAATGGTCATACTGCCTAAGGTAATTTATAGATTCAATGCCATCCCCATCAAGCTACCAATGACTTTCTTCACAGAATTGGAAAAAACTACTTTAAAGTTCATATGGAACCAAAAAAGAGCATGCATTGCCAAGTCAATCCTAAGCCAAAAGAACAAAGCTGGAGGCATCACGCTACCTGACTTCAAACTATACTATAAGGCTACAGTAACCAAAACAGCATGGTACTGGTACCAAAACAGAGATATAGATCAATGGAACAGAACAGAGCCCTCAGAAATAATGCCACATATCTACAACTATCTGATCTTTGACAAACCTGAGAAAAACAAGCAGTGGGGAAAGGATTCCCTATTTAATAAATGGTGCTGGGAAAACTGGCTAGCCATATGGAGAAAGCTGAAACTGGATCCCTTCCTTACACCTTATACAAAAATTAATTCAAGATGGATTAAAGACTTAAACATCAGACCTAAAACCATAAAAACTCTAGAAGAAAACCTAGGCATTACCATTCAGGACATAGGCATGGGCAAGGACTTCATGTCTAAAACACCAAAAGCAATGGCAACAAAAGCCAAAATTGACAAATGGGATCAATTAAACTAAAGAGCTTCTTCACAACAAAAGGAAATGCCATCAGAGTGAATAGGCAACCTACAAAATGGGAGAAAATTTTTGCTACCTACTCATCTGACAAAGGGCTAATATCCAGAATCTACAATGAACACAAACAAATTTACAAGGAAAAAACAAACAACCCCATCAAGAAGTGGGCGAAGGACATGAACAGACACTTCTCAAAAGAAGACATTTATGCAGCCAAAAACACATGAAAAAATCCTCACCATCACTGGCCATCAGAGAAATGCAAATCAAAACCACAATGAGATACCATCTCACACCAGTTAGAATGGCAATCATTAAGAAGTCAGGAAACAACAGGTGCTGGAGAGGATGTGGAGAAATAGGAACACTTTTACACTGTTGGTGGGACTGTAAACTAGTTCAACCATTGTGGAAGTCAGTGTGGCGATTCCTCAGGGATCTAGAACTAGAAATACCATTTGACCCAGCCATCCCATTACTGGGTATATACCCAAATGACTATAAATCATGCTGCTATAAAGACACATGCACACGTATGTTTATTGCGGCACTATTCACAATAGCAAAGACTTGGAACCAACCCAAATGTCCAACAATGATAGACTGGATTAAGAAAATGTGGCACATATACACCATGGAATACTATGCAGCCATAAAAAATGATGAGTTCATGTCCTTTGTAGGGACATGGATGAAATTGGAAATCATCATTCTCAGTAAACTATCACAAGAACAAAAAACCAAACACCACATATTCTCACTCATAGGTGGGAATTGAACAATGAGAACACATGGACACAGGAAGGGGAACATCACACTCTGGGGACTGTTGTGGGGTTGGGGGAGTGGGGAGGGATAGCTTTAGGAGATATACCTAATGCCAA
Source organism: Homo sapiens (assembly GCF_000001405.40). NCBI lineage: Eukaryota > Metazoa > Chordata > Mammalia > Primates > Hominidae > Homo > Homo sapiens. The sequence goes on from NC_000012.12 coordinate 55,522,223, forward strand.
ATGACGAGTTAATGGGTGCAGCACACCAACATGGTACATGTATACATATGTAACAAACCTGCACATTGTGCACATGTACCCTAAAACTTAAAGTATAATAATAATAAAATTTAAATTATATATATATATATATATTTAATAAGAGCCTATGGCTGGTCTCTCATATAATGCTCAGCAGTGACTTTCCTGTAGCATGATTAGTTAACTACCACTCCAACATCCTGCTGGTTAACAGATAAATAAAATAAAATTGTGGCTTATCTAACATTTTCACCTCACCCCACTGTTAACTTATGCTGACAGTCCCTTTCTCTGCTCTAATTTTTCTGTTATTTTTAAACACAGACCAAGCTATAGTCAGCAATCAGTGATGAAATATTATACAACAATAAAAACACTTATCCTGGTGGGACTAACAGATGACACAAATCTACAGATTCTGCTTTTTATCTTCTTGTTTCTAACCTATTTGTTAAGTGTTGTTGGAAATTTGACCATCATGACGTTCACTTTTGTGGACTCCCACCTTAAAACACCTATGTATTTTTTCCTCCGGAATTTTTCCATCTTGGAAGTCTCATTTACAACTGTGTGAATTCCCAGATTTCTCTACACAATGGCATCTGGGGAAAATACTGTTACCTATAATGCATGTGCCACTCAATTGTTTTTTGTTGTTGTCCTGGGTGTGACTGAGTTTTTTCTCCTAACAGCTATGTCCTATGATCGTTATGTAGCCATCTGCAAACCCCTGCATTACACGACCATCATGAACAACAGAGTTTGCATCAAGTTCCTCACTGGCTGTCATATAATTCCTCTAATCATTGTCATCCCACCATTTGGCATGGGCTTTGAGCTTGAATTTTGTGACTCCAATGTCATAGATCACTTTGACTGTGATGCTGCCCCCATCCTGAAGATTACCTGCTCTAACACAGAGTTTATAGAGCGATTTGTATTAGTCTTGGTGGTGTTGACACTCCTGTTTACCTTGGTGTGTGTGATTATGTCCTACACTTACATCATCAGGACCATTCTCAGATTCCCTTCTGCCCAGCAAAGGAAAAAGGCTTTTTGCACTTGCTCTTCCCATATAATTGTGGTTTCTATCACTTATGGAAGCTGCATCTTTATCTATGTTAAACCATCTGCAAAAGAAGAGGTAGCTATTAACAAGGTGGTGTCAGTGCTGATACAGGCTTTCAAAGACATGATCAAAAGGATTGCATCTATCTCAAAAAACTAAAGGACTGAGTGCAAATTGAAAAATTATAAAAGAATTCATTATCTCTATTTTATTTTTCCCTAATTCTATACTAGTCACAATTTTTGTATATTACAACCTCATTCTGCTACACCTACAGCCCACTATCTATATAACTATTAATTAACCTTTTTCATTTCAAGCTATTCCCAGAAATAAGCAGAAATAGACCTTCAGCAAACTTTTATAACATTATACCTATTATTACTCACATAAGCAAGAAATGTAGACAGCATCAACTTACTGCCATATTGGTGCTCATCTATTCCTCTTGCACTGACCTACATGTCCGGATTTGAGCCCCAAATTTTCCAGGGACATCAATGATCATCATCTATGTCTGCAGGAATGATCCTGTAAGCACCCCACTTGATAACAGTCATTATTCGATCTCTTCCACTTTTCAGCAAGATATAAACATAGACTAAAATTTTCTTCAAATGTCATTTGCTTAAAAGCTGTACAACTTCTTTGTATAAAAACTGTAACTCTGTGTAAATAGAATTTCATATGTCTGTCACTGTGTGTATACCTGGGTGAGCCTATGTGTATTTTTCACCCTTTCAGAATGTCAGCTTAACAAGTTTGAAGAGGTTAATGGGAAGGACAAAATACATATGAAAATTTATACTTGAATTTTATTCTGTTATCCAAATCATTCACCATAATGATTTTTCTAATCATTTTTTCTAAATATTTTATAATCTCTTGATTATATAAAATATTTGTCCATATGATTATTTCATTGATGTATCTCTCCTTCACTAGACACTAAGCTCCATGAGGTCAAGTACTGTACTTGCCAATCATACTTCCAATAGAGTTTAAATTTACTCCATGCACCTCTTAACTGGCTGCAGATAGCCTCAGCCATTCTTTTTTGGTTTTTTTTGTTTGTTTGTTTGTTTGTTTGTTTGAGACAGAGTTTCAGAGTTTCACTCTTGTTGCTCAGGCTGGAGTGCAATGGCACGATCTCGGCTCACTTCAACCTCTGCCTCCTGGGTTCAAGCGATTCTCCTGCCTCACCCTCCCAAGTAGCTGGGATTACAGGCGTGCACCACTGCATCTGGCTAATTTTGTATTTTTAGTAGAGATGGGGTTTCTCCATGTTGGTCAGACTGGTCTCAAACTCCCGACCTCAGGCGATGCACCTGCCTCAGCCTCCCAAAGTGCTGGGATTACAGGCATGAGCCACGATGCCTGGCCAACCATTCTTAACCTACCCCAACCCTAGCCATCCCATGGTCTTACAAAGGCCATAGAGAAGATCCTCCAGGCATTAGCCTATGAAAACAACCATTGGCCTCACTCACACAGCCTTCATGTTCACGAGCTCCACTGCTTCCACACAATGATTATAAATGGAAATCTTTAGGACAGACAGAACCTGAGAACATTTTAGACCTAGGATCTAGCATCACATAATGAACCCACTGACTTGTGATTGCCAGGGAGGAAGGCACAGGTCACATTCTTTGAGGAGCACCCACACAATCTTTTCTTAAAACTTTTACTCTATTCTCAATAGGATCAGTCTGAGAAATGAAATTTAGAAAGCCCTTAATTTATTATCTCAAAACTTAACTTCCCAGACAAGATTCATCTTTCCAAATCTATCCAGGACTCTCCTCCACCTTGCCCAGACACACCAGTCTTAGTGGTAATGGCTTTCCTTTGGTCTTGTTAATACTCCTTAACTCTGTGGTATTAGTGATTCGCTATGCTAGGACACTGTTAGGTAAGATCTTATAAATGCAAACAATATGTGTGAGCACATAATTCAAGATTGTTAGAAAGGTAAGAAACTATATATTTAAAGTTCATAACACATATTAGTAGTTCAAATGGTGAAGCCATATGTAGAATAAAACAGGGAAAAGGGAAAGGTAGAAAGAAAAATATTTTTTCACTCTTTCCTTGAATATTCCAGTCTTATTATCAGGTGTCCTTTTCTATTAATGGCAGTCAAGTGTATCATCTGGGTGCCACACATAGGTCCTGCCTGCCCTCATTATGTAAGCTTGGCTCTTGCTCAATCCCAGATGTACCACTTCCATTTTATGATGGATTAGGCCTCCTCAATCTTACGACATGGTTGGTCTGCCAGAACAAAACTCTTGATGGCTGCTTCCAGAAGTGTAGTTACTTGCCATCCACTGGTTGGGCATTTTGTGCCTACCAAGGCCCATTAGCACAGCAGTTTAAATTTACTCCATGAACCTCTTAACTGGCTGAAGATAGCCTCAACCGTTCTTATCCTACCCTAAACCTGGCCATCCCATGGTCTCACAAAGGCCATAGAGAAGATCCTCCAGGCATTAGCCTATGAAAACAACCATTGACCTCACTCACACAGCCTTCATGTTCACGAGCTCCACTGTTTCCATCAATGCTTGTAAATGGAAATCTTTAGGAAAGACAGAACCTGTGATTTGTTTTCATAAGATGCATAATTTTCCAGTGAAGACTTCATGGCCATGTCTCAGAGCCCACAGACCTGCATTGTGATTCTCACCCTGGGCTTTAACATAAGATCCACGTGGCATATTTTCCACTACTTAAGGCTTGACCTTTAATTTTCCCTGCTCTCTTTACAAAAGAGCGATTCTCTGTGCAAGCTACCACATAGATAGGCCTTCTAGCTTTTCAATAGTCAATTAATCATGCTCAGTTTTTTGTCATGTTTTTCTACAGTGTTGATAGGACTTAGCAATTGCCTCCCATATTAGTTCTATATTGCTGTATGACAAATTACTACAAAATGTGTGGCTTAAAACAATATACATTTATCATCTCACAGTTTCCATGGGTCAGAAGTCTGGACAGAGCAGGTGGGGGAGAAAAAAATTTTTAAAAAAAAAAGTTTGGACACAGCTTAACTAGGTCCTCTGCTCAGGGGTTCATGAGGCCATAATCAAGGTGCCAGCCAGGCTTCATTCTCTTTTGGAGACTTGCATCCTCTTCTAAGTAGTACACATGAATGTTGGCAGAATGCAGTTTCTTTCTACCATAGACTGAGGCCTTTAGCTTCTAGAGGTTGTGGTTTCCTGCCATGTAATGCTCTTCATGAGCAACTTAAGTAACAAAGGCAGTCTTCTTAAAGGCCAAAAGGAAAGCATTTTACTCCAATATTTTAAGATGTAGTTTTACATAATGTAATAGAATCACAGGAGTGATATTCCATTACCTTTGCCATATAACATAACCAAGTGAAGGGAGTGGCATTCTCATTTCCTTTGCCATATTCTAATGGTTAGAAGAAAGTGATCAGTTCTACCTGCACTAAAAGAGGTGGAATTACCCAAAGCCATGGACACCAAAAGGTGGGAATTATTGAATGTCATCCCAGAGTCTGTCTTCTGTGTCATCCTATCCCATTGTCCTAATAGTTATTATTTTCCCCATATTTCTCAAACACTTAATATATCTCACCAGCTAGTTATGTCGCTCCACAGTGTATACCACACCAATTCACCAGTATTGAGAGTTTTAACAATTAGGCTATGTGGCAGATTATGTTTTCCAAAAATGGCCACATCAATATATACAACATTCAACAGAAGCCAGAGATTTATGTTCACTGAAATAAACACATATTTTGGATATCCAAATTCTGTCTTTATCTCCCCTGTCTATAATGCTTTTACCAGCACCACCATTCATGGAGTCACAAATCTTACACACCACCATGGCTTTCTATAATGCACCTAATTCACAGCAAAGGAAGAATAGCAATGAACTCACGCCCATAAAATTAACTAGTTAGTCTTACCACATACCTCATCGTTCAGAAGTGGCTAACCTAATTGGAAGGTGGAATAACTTACTGAGGATAAAGTCATGAAACTAGTTGGGAGGCAACACCCAAAAGGATGGGATTTTGTCTTACAGGATGTAGTGTATCCTTTGAATTAAACACCATTATTTGGTGCTGTCTTCCTCATAGCCAGAATGCATGGGTCTGGAATTTTAAGAACAGAAGTGGGAATTACTACTTTTACTATTAAGCCCAATTACCTGCCAGTAGAATATTTGCTTCCTATGAAAGAAACATTAAGTTCTGCTGGTTTGGAGGTCTTAGTTCCCAAGTGAAGGATGCTTCCACCAGAAAACATGACAATGGTCCATTGAATTGAAAGATGAGGCTTCCATCTAATTATTTAAGGGTCTTTATTCCTCTAAACCAAAAAGCTTAAAGAGGAGTTATCCTCCTAGCTAGAGTGATTACTCATGACTACAGAGGAGGAATTAAATTGCTGTATACAATGAGAGCAAAGAAGACTATATCTAGATCTCAAGGGATTCTCTGGTGTTCTTCTTAGTACTTCCATGTCCAATAGTAAAAATTAATTTAAAACTGCAGAAACCAAAAGGTAGGATGATTGAAAACCAAAATCTCTCAGGAACAAAGGAATACCACCTCACTCCCTCAAGAAAGGCCATAATCAAAAAATCAGAAAATAACTGATGTTGACTTGTATGTGGTGAAAAGGGAACATTTCTACACTGTTGATGGAAATGTAAACTAGTACAACCACTATAGAAAACAATGTGGAGATTCCTTAAAGAACTAAAAATAGAACTACCATTTGATCCAGCAATCCCACTACTGGGTATCTAACCAGAGGAAAAGAAGTCATTATGCAAAAAAGATACTTGCACATGTGTGTTTATAGCAGCACAATTTGCAATTGCAAAAATGTGGAACTAACCCAAATGCCCATCAATCAATGAGTGGATAAAGAAACTGTGAGATACACACACACACACACACACACACACACACACACACACACAATGGAATACAACTCAGCCAAAAAAAGGAACGAATTAATGGCATTTGTGGCAACTTGAATGGGATTGTAAACTATTATTTTATTTATTCATTTATTTTGAGATGGAGTTTCACTCTTGTTGCCCAGGCTGGAGTGCAATGGCATGGTCTCAGCTCACTGCAACCTCTGCCTCCTGGGTTTGAGTGATTCTCCTGCCTTAGCCTCCCAAGTAACTGGGATTACAGGTAGCTGCCACCACGCCCAGCTAATTTTTGTATTTTGGGTAGAAATGGGGTTTCACCATGTTGGCCAGGCTGGTCTTGAACTTCTGACCTCAGGCAATCCACCCACCTCTGCCTCCCAAAGTGCTGGGATTACAGGTGTGAGCCACTGCGCCCAGCCTGGAGACTATCATCTTAAGTGAAGCAACTCACAGTGAAAAACCTAACATCATACGTTCTCACTTATAAGTGGGAGCTAAGCTATGAGGATACAAAGGCATAAGAATGACACTATTGACTATGGGGACTCAGGAGGAAAAGGTGGGAAGGGGGTGAGGGATAAAAGACTACAAATTGACTCAGTGTATAGTGCTTGGGTGGTGGGAATACCAAAATCTCACAAATCACCACTGAAGAACTTATTCATGTAACCAAATAGCACCTGTTCCCCAAAAACCTATGGGGATAAAATCATTTTTAAAAATAAAGCAGCACATCTAAAAATTAATTCACCATGATCAAATAGGCTTCATTCCTAGGATACAAGGTTGGTTCACCATATGCAAATCAATAAATGTGATTCAGAATGCAGAAAAATGGTGGATAGGAGACCAGACTAACAGGCAGCTCCCACTTGGATGGACAGAACAGCATCTGGAGACTCACATTTAAACTTTTGCACCAAGAAACACCACAGAAGCATACCAGGAAAAACAAAATAATTCACAGATCCTTTGAAAAAAGCAGCTTGCTGCTACAAATGTCGCAAGACCACCAACAAACTGTGAGTTCTCAAAGTGCGAAAGGGGGAAAAGTCAGCCTCTGAACATACATCCCCCCAGGGAACCTGAAAATCTGGATCACAGGAGAAGGATTTAACTTTATCTAGAGTAGAAACAGATTTAGGGAGCTGAGTGAAATGAAAAAGTAGAAGAAGCAGAAGAAAGAGCCCTGTAGAAATTCCTGGTCCCCAGTTCAAGCCCAGGGAAGCCATTCTTAGTCTTATCTCACAGAAGCCCTTAGGAAAGGGAAGGCAGACAGCAGAATTGGGGAGGGTCCACAGAGTGAAGGAAGCTCCTAGCTGAATTTTGTAATAATTTCAACTGAGCATGAATTTTCCTGAGCAAAATCCAGGGTTGGGGGGGTGAATGGGAAGTATAGATACAAGCACAGAAGCCACCACCAAAAAAAATGTATGCTGGTGAGGAGGGGTGAGGCCTGAAAACCCTACTTGGCTTTCTCAGTGGGGAGGCTTGTAGCCTGAGGAGAGATCTCAGCTCTGCTCATTGGCTGCCTGGATATAAACTCAGTGCAGTTGTGGGGATTGGCATGGTGGGAGTGAGACTGGCCTTATTGGCTGCATGGGAGGTAGCTGAGGCCTGTTACTGCCAGCTTTCCCCTACTTCCCTGGCAACCTGTATTATGCAGCAGAGGCAGCCATAATCCCCCTGGGAACATAACTCCATTGGCCTGAGAACCATCTTCTCATCCTCCACAGGGGCCACAGCAAGCCCCACCCAAGGAGTCTGAGCTCAGACCCACCTAAACCTACCTCCACCTGAAGGGCTTTCTCTACCCACCCTGGTAGCTGAAGACAAAAGGCATAAACCCTTGGGAGCTCTATGGCCCTGCCTATCACCTGAGAAACTGAAGTACTCATCCTGACCAATGTAGGGTAACATTATATCCCCCTTCTACTACTGCAGCTGGTGCTCTCTTGAAAGCACCACCTTCTGGGTGGAGGCCAACCAACTCAAGCCACTACAACAATTCATAACTGAACAATCCTGCTTCAAAAAAGGAGAAAACAACAGCTAATTCCATCACCGGCAACACCCTGGCTAACCAGAGCTCTTGAGTCTGTCCACGTGACAACTTCACTGTTGGCATAACCACCATTCAAGAAAACCACTGCACTAAACAAAACTACAACTAAGGATTCCCACAGAGTCCACTTTACTCCTTGCCACTTCCACCAGTGCAGGTGCTTGTATCCATGGCTTGGAGACCTGAAGACAGATCACATCACGGGACACTTTGCAGACATTCTGCAGCACCAGCCTGGAGCCAGGTAGCCCTGCGGGGTGGCTAGAACCAGAAAGGCAATAACAATCACTGCAGTCTGGCCCTCAGAAAGCTCCATCCCTATGGAAAAAAACAAGAGCACCACATTAAGGGATAACCCTGTGGGATAAAACAGTCTGAGAGTAACCCTTGAGTGCCAAATCTTTCCACTGGAACAGTATACCCAAATGAGAAGAACCAGAAAAGTCATTCTGGTAATATGACAAAACAGGGTTCTATAACACCCCCAAAAGATCACAGTGGCTCTCCAGCAATGGATCCAAACCAAAAAGCAATCTCTGAATTTCCAGATAAAGTACTCAGAAGGTTGATTATTAAGCTACTCAAGGAGGCACCAGAGAAAGGTGCAAACCAACTTTTAAAAAAAATTTAATAAAGGATATGAATTAAAAAGTCTCCAGAGAAATAGATATCATACAGAAAAGACAATCACAACTTTTGGAAACAAAAGACACACTTGGATATAAACTAAAATGCTTCTGCACAGCAAAAGAAACTATCATCAGAGTGAACAGGAAACCTATAGAATGGGAGAAAATTTTTGCAATCTATCCATCCGACAAAGGGCTAATATCCAGAGTCTACAAATAACTTAAACAAATTTACAAGAAAAAAACAACCCCACCAAAAAAGTGGGCAAAGGATATGAACAGACACTTCTGAAAAGAAGACATTTATGCAGCCAACAAACGTGAAAAAAAGCTCATCACTGGTCATCGAGAAATGCAAGTCAAAACCACAATGAGATACCATCTCACGCCAGTTAGAATGGTGATCATTAAAATGTCAGGAAACAACAGATGCTGGAGAGGATGTGGAGAAATAGGAATGCTTTTACACCATTGGTGCAAGTGTGAGTTAGTTCAACTATTGTGGAAGACAGCATGGTGATTCCACAAGGATCTAGAAACAGAAATACCATTTGATCCTGCAATCCCATTACTGGGTACATACTCAAAGGCTTATAAATTATTCTACTATAAAGATACATGCACACATATATTTATTGCAGCACTATTTACAGTAGCAAAGACTTAGAACCAACCCAAATACCCATCAATGATAGACTGCATAAGGAAAATGTGGCACATATACACCATGGAATACTATGCAGTCATAAAAAAGGATGAGTTCATGTCCTTTGCAGGGACATGGATGAAGCTGGAATCATCATTCTCAGCAAACTAATAAAAGACCAGAAAACAAAACACTGCCTGTTCTCACTCATAAGTGGGAGTTGAACAATGAGAACACATGGACACAGGAAGGGAAACATCACACACTGGGGCCTGTCAGGGTGTGGAAAGCTAGGGGAGGGATAGCATTAGGAGAAATAGCTAATATAGATGATGAGTGGATGGGTGCAGCAAACCACCGTGGCACATGTATACCTATGTAACAAAATTGCACATTCTGCACGTGTACCCCAGAACTTAAAGTATAATTTTAAAAAAAGCACATTTAAAGAATTGCAAAATACACTGTAAAGTTTCAATAATAGACTTGAACAAGTAAAAGAAAGAACTTCAGAACTCAAAGACACAGCTTTTGAATTAACCCAATCCAACAAAGACAAAGAAAAAAGAATTTTAGAAAATAAAGAACACCTCCAAGAAATTTGAGATTATGTTAAATGACCTAACAAGAATAATTGGTGTTACTGAGGAAGAAGACAAATCTAAAAGTTTGGAAACTTATTTGAGGGAATAATTGAGGAAAACTTCCCTGGCTTTGATAGAGATCTAGATATTCAAACATAGGAAGCTCAAAGAACACCTGGGAAATTCATCACAGAAAGATTATTACCTAGGCACATAGTCATCAAGTTATCTAAGGTCAAGATGAAGGACAGAATCTTCAAATTAACAGCAGAACCCTGAAAGCCAGAAGGGATTGGGTTCCTATCTTTAGCCTCCTTAAACAAAATAATTATCAGCCAAGAATTTTGTATCCTGAGAAACTAAGCTTCATACATGAAGGACAAATAAAGTCATTTTTCAGACAAACAAATGCTGAGAGAATTTGCCACTACCAAGCCAACACTACAAGAAATGCTAAAAGGAGTTCTAAACCTTGAAACAAAACATCAAAATACACCAAAATTGAGCCTCCTTAAAGCATAAATTTCACAGGACCTATAAAACAATAACACAATGAGAAAAACACAAGGTATTCAGGCAACAATTAGTATGATGAATAGAAAAGTAACTCACATCTCAATACAAACGTTGAATGTAAGTGGCCTAAATGCTCCACTTACAAGATGTAGAATGGTAGAATGGATAAAAATCCACTAACCAAGCATCTTCTGTCTTGAAGAGACTCATCTAATACATAAGGGCTCACATAAACTGAAGGTAAAGGGGTAGAAAAAGATATTCCACGCAAATGGACACCAAAACTGAGCAGGAGTAGCTATTCTGATATCAGACAAAACAGACTTTAAAGCAATAACAGTTTAAAAAGACAAAAAGGGACATTATATAATAATAAAAGGATTCATCCAACAGGAAAATATCACAATCCTAAATTCATATGCACCTAACACTGGAGCTCTCAAATTTATAGAACAATTATTAATAGACCTAAAAAATGAGATAGATGGCAACACAATAATAGTGGGGGACTTCAATACTCCAGTGACAATACTAGACAGGTCATCAAGAGAGAAATTCAACAAAGAAACAATGGACTTGAACCATACTCTGGAACAAATGAACTTAACAGATATTTACAGAACATTCTACCCAACAACTGCAGAATATAGATTTTTTTATAAGCACATGGAACATTCTCCAAGATAGGCCATATGATAGGCCACAAAACAAGTCTCAATAAATTTAAGATAATCAAAATTATATCAAGTATTCTCTCAGACCACAGTGGAATAAAATTGGAAATTAACTCCAAAAAGAACCCTCAAACTACATAAATACATAAAAATAAAATAATCTGCTCTTGAATGATCTTTGAGTCAACAATGGAATCAAGATGGAAACTGAAAAATTCTTGCAACTGAATAATAATAGTAACACAATTTAAAACCTCTGGGATACAGCAAAAGTGGTGTTAGTACAACTAGACAATCTAAGGTCATGCCTCAAGGAATTAGAGAAACAAGAACAAACCAGACTCAAACCTCTAGCAGAAGGAAAGAAATAACAAAGATTAGAGCAAAAAAGAATGAAATTGAAACAAAAAATACAAAGATAAATGAAACAAAAAGCTGGTTCTTTGAAAAGATAAACAAAATCAATAGACCAGGTTCCATCTCCTCCACTCCAGTAGTTCCTAGGCGACTCTACCATAGACTCTCTTATCCTATGACCTGCCAGTACTGAGAGATCCATAGGAAGGGTGCAAAAATATCCAGAGGCTGCAAAATGGAATCATGTTTGATAGTGCTATAAACAATATGTGAGGCACTGTTCTAAGAAATATTCAGATAGTAACTCATGATATCAAAATGTAGTGTGAGTAGAACATTGTGAATTTAAGCTCAGTTTGACTACAAGAAAATACCAGCAATCCTGAGAGGACCCAAAGACCCTCTGAAGGAAGCAGACTGCTCATGAAGGACCCAGGAGGTGCCCCAAATACCGTGAATGCCCCAACTGTGGAAGTGTAAAAAGGGGGAATCCTCTCCCAAACACACACCCCCCACTGGAGAAACTGAAGATCCGTTTGTGGGAGAAGTTTCTGACCTTACCTGGAGCTGAGCCAATTTAGAGAGCCAAGTGAAATACAGGAGTAGAGGAAGCAGCAGAAAGGCCCACGGAGCTCACTGCATCCCCTAGCAGGCCATTCCTGCCTGGCACCACAGGGATCCATTGGGTGGGTGACCAGAGTAGCACGGGACATAACTTCACAAGGAGAAGGAAATCTCTAGCTGAACTCTGTAACAATTTGAATGGGGCAAGAAGCCTTCTGGCCAGAACTCAGGGAAGGGTGCAAATCTGGTGTGCAGACCCCACAGGTGGAGGAAGAACCAACCCCTTTTCTCTCGCATCTGGAAGGTGGGTAGCCCAGGGCAAGCTGTCAACCCAGTCACACGCCTCCACCTGGAAACAGAATTGAGGCTGTTGTGGGGGCATGATGGGAGTGAGTCTGGCCCTTCATTTTGCATGAGAGCTGGATAAGGCCTGTGACTGCTGGCTTTCCCCCACTTTCCTGACAGCCAGCATGACTCAGGAGAGGCAGCCACAATTCTTCTAGGTACAAAACTCCAAGGACCTGGGAATCCCACCTCTATCCTCCACAGCAGCCACAGCAATACCCGACCAAGGAGAGTCTGAGCTCAGGCACGCCTAGCCCTGCCCCCACCTGATGGTCCTTCTCTATCCACCCTGGTCGTGGAAGACAAAAGGGCATACAATCTTGGGAGTTCTAGGGTCCCGCCCACCACCAGTTTCTCTCTATGCTACTATTACAGCTGATGCTTTCTGGAAAGCTCCACCTCCTGACAGGAGGCCAACTGGCACAAAAACAGAACATTAAACCAGCAAAACTAAGAACCCTCACAGAGTCCATTTCAATTCCTTGCCACCTCCACCAGAACAGGTGCTAGCATCCATAGCTGAGAGACCCATAAACAGTTCATATCACAGGACTCTGTGCAGACAACCCCCAGTACCAGCCCAGAGCCAGGTAGACTTGCTGGGTGGCTAGAACCAAAGAGAGATAACAATCACTGCAGCTTGGCTCACAGGAAGCCACATCCATAAGAAAAGGGGAAGAAAACTACATCAAGGGAACACCCTGTGGGACAAAAGAATCTGAACAGCCTCCAACCCTAGACCTTCCCTCTGATAGAGCCTACCCAAATGAGAACCAGAAAACCAACCATGGCAATACAACAAAACAAGGCTCTTCAACACCCCCAGAAAATCACACTAGTTCACCAGCAATGGATCCAAACCAAAAAAGAAATCCCTGATTTACCTGAAAAAGAATTCAGGAGGTTAGTTATTAAGCTAATCAAGGAGGAACCAGAGAAAGGTGAAGTCCAATGCACAAGGAAATCCAAAAAAATAATACAAGAAGTGAAGTGAGAAATATTCAAGGAAATAGATAGCTTAAAGGAAAAACAATCAAAAGTTCATGAAACTTTGGACACACTTTTAGAAATGAGAAATGCTCTGGAAAGTCTCAGCAATAGAATTGAACAAGCAGAAGAAAGAAATTCAGAGCTCAAAGACAAGATCTTTGAATTAACCCAATCCAATGAAGACAAAGAAAAAATAATAAGAAAATATGAGGAAAGTCTCCAAGAAGTCTGGGATAATGTTAAATGACAAAACTTAAGGATAATCAGTGTTCCTGAGGGAGAAGAGAATTCTAAAAGCTTCAAAAAAGTATTTGGGGGAATAATAGAGGAAAATTCCCTGGCCTTGCTAGAGACCTAGACATCCAAATACAAGATGCACAAAGAACACCTGGAAAATTCATCACAAAAAGATCTTTGCATACACATTGTCATCAGGTTATCTAAAGTTAAGATGAAGGAAAGACTCTTAAGAGTTGTGAGACAGAAGCATCTGGTAACCTATAAATGAAAAAGTATCAGATTAATAGCAGATTTCTCAACAGGAACCCTACAAGCTAGCAGGGATTGGTGCCCTTCTTTAGCCTCCTCAAACAAAACAATTGTGAGCCAAGAATTTTGTATCCAGCTAAATTAAGCATCATATATGAAGGAAATATATGGTCATTTTCAGACAAACAGATGCTGAGAGAATTTGCCATTACCAAGCCACCACTACAAGAACTACTAAAAGGAGCTCTAAATCTTGAAACAAACCCTGGAAACACATCAAAACAGAACCTCTTTAAAACTTAAATCACACAGGACCTACAAAACAAAAAATACATGTTAAAAAGCAAAAGCAAAAAACAAAAGTACACAGTCAACAAAATGCATGATAAATGAAATCATATTTCAACACTAACATTGAATGTAAATGACCTAAATGCTCCACTTAAAAGATACAGAACCACAGAATGGATAAGAACTCATAAACCAACTATCTGCTGCCTTCAGGAGACTCAACATATAAGGACTCACAGAAACTTAAAGTAAAAGGGTGGAAAAAGGCATTTCATACAAATGTACACCAAAAGTGATCAGGGGTAGCTATTCCTGTATCAGACAAAACAAATTTTAAAGCAACAGCAGTTAAAAGAGACAAGGAGGGACATTATATAATGGGAAAAGGCCTTGTCCAACAGGAAAATATCACATCCTAAACATATACACACCTAACACTGGAGCTTCCAAATTTATAAAACAATTGGAAATCATCATTCTCAGTAAACTATTGCAAGAACAAAAAACCAAACACCGCATATTCTCACTCATAGGTGGGAATTGAACAATAAGAACACATGGACACAGGAAAGGGAACATCACACTCTGGGGACTGTTGTGGGGGGGGAGGGGGGAGGGATAGCTTTAGGAGATATACCTAATGCTAAATGATGAGTTAATGGGTGCAGCACACCAGCATGGCACATGTATACATATGTAACTAACCTGCACATTGTGCACATGTACCCTAAAACTTAAAGTATAATAATAATAAAATAAAATAAAAATAAAAACAAAACGATTACCAATAGACCTAAAAAATAAGATAGACAGCAACACAATAATAGTGGAGGACTTCAGCACTCCACTGACAGCACTAGACAGGTCATCAAGACAGAAAGTCAACAAAGAAACAATGGATTTAAACCATACCTTGGAACAAATAGACTATACAGATATATATAGAACATTTCAACCACCAACTGCAGAATACACATTTATTCAACAGTGCACGGAAATTTTGCCAAGATAGACCATGTGATAGGCTATAAAATGAGACTGAATAAATTTAAGAAAATTGAAATTATATCAAGCACTCTCTCAGACCACAGTGGAATAAAACTGGAAAACAACTCCAAAAAGAACATTCAAAACCATGCAAATACATGGAAATTAATAACTTGCTCCTGAATGAGCACTGAGACAAAAAGGAAATAAAGATGGAAATTTAAAAATTTTTTAAACTGAATGACAGTAATGACAACCTACCAAAACCTCTGGGATACAGCAAAGGCAGTGTTAAGATAAAATTTATAGCCCTAAACACCTACATCAAAAAGACTGAAACAGCAAACTGACATTCTAAGGTCACACCTCACGGAACTAGAGAAGCAAGAACAAACCAAACCCAAACCCAGCAGAAGAAAAGAAATAACTAATATCGGAGCAGACCTAAATGAAATTGAAACAAAAAAATACAAAAGATAAATGAAACAAAAAGCTGATTTTTTGAAATAAAATTGATAGACCAATAGCAAGGTTAACTAAGAAAAGAAGAGAGAAAATCCAAATAACCTCACTAAGAAACGAAACAGAAGATATTACTACTAACACACTGAAATACAAAAGATCATTCAAGGCTACTTTGAACACCTTTATGCACATAAACTAGAGGACCTACAAGAGATGGATAAATTCCTGAAAAGATACAAACCTCCTAGCTTAAATCAGGAAGAATTAGATACCCTGAACAGACCAGTGAAAAACAATTAGATTGAAATGGTAATTTAAAAATTACTAACAAAGAAAAGTTCAGGACCAGACAGATTCCCGCAGAATTCTACCAGATATTCAAAGAAGAATTGGTACCATTAGTTTTGACACTACTCCACAAGATAGAGAAAGAAGGAACCCTCCCTAATTCACTCTATGAAGCCAGCATCACCCTAATACCAAAACGAGGGAAGGGCATATTCAAAAACTAAAACTACAGACCAATATCCTTGATAGATATAGATGCTAAAATTCTTAACAAAATACCAGCTAACTAAATCCAATAACATATCAAAAAGATAATCCACCATGATCAAGTGGGTTTCATCCCAGGGATGTAGGGATGAAATAGAAACTAGAAAAATAATTTTTAAAAAACAATAGAAAGAAGAATAGAATGAAACAGTGAATTGGGTATTTTTTCTTTTTCTTTTTTTTTTTTTTTTTTTTTTTTTTTTGGTAGAGATAGAGTCTTGCTATTTTGCCTCGGCTGGTTTCAAACTCCTGGCCTCAAGTTATCCTCTCTCCTTGGCCTCCCAAAGTGCTGGAATTACAAACATGAGCCATGGCACCCAACTTGCATCTGCTTCTTAAATGCCATCAGCTGAATGGTCTTTATGCCAAAGAGGAATATTTTGGGGTAGCATATTGTGGTCTTCCACAAAACAAAATGGCTCATCCTTCAACTCATAAAACTACAAGCAAGTGTTAATGCAGCAACCCTCCCTGACTCCATGACTGTGGCATTATAGAGTTGATATCCTAACCGTCTTTGTCCCAGAGTTTTGTTTCCCATGCTGCTTTATTCAGGCACACACACCAATACTTCAGAACATGTATAATCATCCATGCTTCAGGGAAGTTTGAGGAATCACTGTTTAAAAAATTATTTAACACTTCTTGATGTAATAATCCTCACAAGTCATGATTGTTATCCTGGGGACACAATATTGGATAGAAATAAAAATGATGTGTAGTTCCTTTTTACATATATATATATATATATATACACACACACACACACACACATATATACACACATATATACACACACACACATATATATATACACACACATATATATATACACACACATATATATATACACACACATATATATTTTTTTCTTTTTTTTTTTTTGAGATAGGATCTCACTTCGATGCCCAGGCTGGAATGCAGTGGTGCGATCTCGACTTCCCGGGCTCAGGTGATTCTCCCACTTCAGCCTCCTGAGTTGCTGGGACTACAAGCATGTGCCACCATACCCAGCTAATTTTTTGTAGACATGGGGTTTCACTATGTTCCCTAGGCTGGTCTTGAACTCCTGGGCTCAAGTGATCCACCCACCTCAGCCTTTCAAAGTGCTGGGATTACAGGTGTGAGCCACTGTGCCCAGACCAAAGTTTAGTTCTTAAATAAGATATAGGGAACTAGGAGAGATTTTACAAATTTAATCGTGGTACTGATACAGCTCTGATCACTGGAGGAACACCAGGGTCCTTGGTCGTGCTCCAATAGGATTAATGTCACAGACACACGTGGAGTGCTTTTGAGGAGTGAAAAGTTTACTAGGCAAGAAAGAGAACAGCTCCCCTGTACAGAGACAAAGGAGGAGGGCTTGGAACAAAGAGAAACCTCATGTGTAGCAGAAAGGTGGTCTATTATATTGGGAGGCTGAAGGAGGTGATGTCTGGTTTGCAAAAGGCCAAGAGGATTGGTTTAACCAGGTGTGTCATTCACATAGCCCTGAAAAACCTGGCCCTCCCACCTTAGCCCTTTACTATGCAAATGCGGGTCGCCATGATGTTTTGAACACATACTGTTATGTCAGGGTGGCCATGACACTTGGCACACCTGGTGACAAGGAGAAGATGGCAGGAATCGCCATGTTGGGTAGACCCAGTTTCTATTTGCTGGTATTTGCATATCAAATATGGCCTGGCTCTTCTTTTATTTTTTTTGAACTTTCTTCTTTTTTTATATATTTTTTTATTATACTTTAAGTTCTAGGGTACATGTGCACAACATGCAGGTTAGTTACATATGTACACATGTGCCATGTTGGTGTGCTGCACCCATTAACTCATCATTTATATTAGGTATATCTCCTAATGCTATCCCTCCCCCCTCCCCCAACCCCACAACAGGCCCTGGGGTGTAATGTTCCCCTTCCTGTGTCCATGTGTTCTCATTGTTCAATTCCCACCTATGAGTGAGAACTTGCAGTGTTTGTTTTTTTGTCCTTGCAATAGTTTGCTGAGAACGATGGTTTCCAGCTTCAACCATGTCCCTACAAAGGACACGAACTCATCCTTCTTTATGGCTGCATAGTATTCAATGGTGTATATGTGCCACATTTTCTTAATCCACTCTGTCATTATTGGACATTTGGGTTGGTTCCAAGTCTTTGCTATTTGAGTAGTGCCACAATAAACATACGTGTCCATGTGTCTTTATAGCAGCATAATTTATATTCCTTTGGGTATATACCCAGTAATGGGATGGCTGGGTCAAATGGTATTTCTAGTTCTAGATCCCTGAGGAATCACCATACTGTCTTCCACAATGGTTGAACTGGTTTACAGTCCCACCAACAGTGTAAAAGTGTTCCTATTTCTCCACATCCTCTCCAGCACCTGTCGTTTCCTGACTTTTCAATGATCGCCATTCTAACTGGTGTGAGATGATATCTCATTATGGTTTTGATTTGCATTTCTCTGATGGCCAGTGATGATGAGCATTTTTTCCTGTGTCTGTTGGCTGCATAAATGTCTTCTTTTGAGAAGTGTCTGTTCATATGCTTTGCCCACTTTTTGATGGGGTTGTTTGTTTTTTTCTTGTAAATTTGTTTGAGTTCTTTGTAGATTCTAGATATTAGCCCTTTGTCAGATGAGTAGATAGCAAAAATTTTCTCCCATTCTGTAGGTTGCCTGTTCACTCTGATGGCAGTTTCTTTTGCTGTGCAGAAGCTCTTTAGTTTAATTAGATCCCATTTGTCTATTTTGGCTTTTGTTGCCATTGCTTTTGGTGTTTTAGACATGAAGTCCTTGCCCATGCCTATGTCCTGAATGGTATTGCCTAGGTTTTCTTCTAGGGTTTTTATGGTTTCAGATCTAACATTTAAGTCTTTAATCCATCTTGAATTAATTTTTGTATAAGGTATAAGGGAGGGATCCAGTTTCAGCTTTCTACATATGGCTAGCCAGTTTTCCCAGCACCATTTATTAAACAGGGAATCCTTTCCCTATTGCTTGTTTTTCTCAGGTTTGTCAAAGGTCAGATAGTTGTAGATGTATGGTATTATTTCTGAGGGCTCTATTCTGTTCCATTGGTCTATATCTCTGCTTTGGTATGAGTACTATGCTGTTTTGGTTACTGTAGCCTTGTAGTATAGTTTGAAGTCAGGTAGTGTGATGCCTCCAGCTTTGTTCTTTTGGCTTAGGATTGACTTGGGAATGCGAGCTCTTTTTTGGTTCCATATTAACTTTAAAGTAGTTTTTTCCAATTCTGTGAAGAAAGTCATTGGTAGCTTGATGGGGATGGCATTGAATCTATAAATTACCTTGGGCAGTATGGCCATTTTAACGATATTGATTCTTCCTATCCATGAGCATGGAATGTTCTTCCATTTGTTTGTATCCTCTTTTATTTCATTGAGCAGTGGTTTGTAGTTCTCCTTGAAGAGGTCCTTCATGTCCCTTGTAAGTTGGATTCCTAGGTATTTTATTCTCTTTGAAGCAATTGTGAATGGGAGTTCACTCATGATTTGGCTCTCTGTTTGTCTGTTATTGGTATATAAGAATGCTTATGATTTTTGTACATTGATTTTATATCCTGAGACTTTGCTGAAGTTGCTTATCAGCTTAAGGAGATTTTGGGCTGAGACTATGGGTTTTCTAGGTATACAATCATGTCATCTGCAAACAGGGACAATTTGACTTCCTCTTTTCCTAATTGAATACCATTTATTTCTTTCCCCTGCCTAATTGCCCTGGCCAGCACTTCCAACAGTATGTTGAATAGGAGTAGTGAGAGAGGGCATCCCTGTCTTGTGCCAGTTTTCAAAGGGAATGCTTCCAGTTTTTGACCATTCAGTATGATATTGGCTGTGGGTTTGTCATAAATACCTCTTACCTTTTTGAGGTAAGTCCATTCAATACCCAATTTATTGAGAGTTTTTAGCATGAAGGGATGTTGAATTTTGTCAAAGGCCTTTTCTACATCTATTGAGATAATCATGTGGTTTTTGTCTTTGGTTCTGTTTATATGCTGGATTACATTTATTGATTCGTGTATGTTGAAACAGCCTTGCATCCCAGGGATGAAGCCAACTTGATCGTGGTGGATAAGCTTTTTGATGTGCTGCTGGATTCAGTTTGCCAGTATTTTATTGAGGATTTTTGCATCAATGTTCATCAGGGAAATTGGTCTAAAATTCTCTTTTTTGGTTGTGTCTCTGCCAGGCTTTGGTATCAGGATGATGTTGGCCTCATAAAATGAGTTAGGGAGGATTCCCTCTTTTTCTATTGATTGGAATAGTTTCAGAAGGAATGGTACCAGCTACTCATTGTACCTGTGGTAGAATTTGGCTATGAATCCATCTGGTCCTGGACTTTTTTTGGTTGGTAGGCTCTTAATTATTGCCTCAATTTTAGAGCCTGTTATTGGTCTATTCAAGGATTCAACTTCTTCCTGGTTTAGTCTTGGGAGGATGTATGTGTCGAGGAATTTATCCATTTCTTCTAGATTTTCTACTTTATTTGCATAGAGGTGTTTATAGTATTCTCTGATGGTAGTTTGTATTTCTGTAGTATTGGTGGTGATATCCCCTTTATCATTTTTTGTTGCATCTATTTGATTCTTCTCTTTTTTCTTCTTTATTAGTCTTACTAGCGGTCTATCAATTTTGTTCATCTTTTCAAAAAACCAGCTCCTGGATTCATTGATTTTTTGAAGGGTTTTTTGTGTCTCTATTTCCTTCAGTTCTGCTCTGATCTTATTTACTTCTCTTTTTTTTATACTTTAAGTTTTAGGGTACATGTGCACAATGTGCAGGTTTGTTACGTATGTATACATGTGCCATGTTGGTGTGCTGCACCCATTAACTCTTCATTTAACATTAGGCATATCTCCTAATGCTATCCCTCCCCCCATCCCCAACCCTATAACAGGCCCCGGTGTGTGATGTTCCCTTCCTGTGTCCATGTGTTCTCATTGTTCAATTCCCACCTATGCGTGAGAAGTTATTTCTTGCCTTCTGCTAGCCCTCGAATGTGTTTGCTCTTGCTTCTCTAGTTCTTTTAATTGTGATGTTAGGGTGTCAATTTTAGATCTTTCCTGCTTTCTCTTGTGGGCATTTACTGCTATAAATTTCCCTCTGCACACTGCTTTAAATGTGTCCCAGAGATTCTGGTGTGTTGTGTCTTTGTTCTCATTGGTTTCAAAGAACATCTTTATTTCTGCCTTCGTTTCATTATGTACCCAGTAGTCAATCAGGAGCAGGTTGTTCAGTTTCCAGGTAATTGAGTGGTTTTAAGTGAGTTTCTTAATCCTGAGTTCTAGTTTCATTGCACTGTGGTCTGAGAGACTGTTCTAATTTCTGTTCTTTTACATTTGCTGAGGAGTGCTTTACTTCCAACTATGTGGTCAATTTTGGAATAACTGCGATGTGGTGCTGAAAAGAATGTATATTCTGCTGCTTTGGGGTGGAGAGTTCTGTAGATGTCTATTAGGTCTGCTTGGTGCAGAGCTGAGTTCAATTCCTGGATATCCTTGTTAACTTTCTGTCTCGTGGATCTGTCTAATGTTGACAATGGGTTGTTAAAGTCTCCCATTATTATTGTGTGGGAGTCTAAGCCTCCTTGTAGGTCTCTAAGGACTTGCTTTATGAATCTGGTTGCTCCTGTATTGGGTGCATATATATTTAGGATAGTTAGTTCTTCTTGTTGAATTGATCTCTTTACCATTATGTAATGGCCTTCTTTGTCTCTTCTGATCTTTGTTGGTTTAAAGTCTGTTTTATCAGAGACTAGGATTGCAACCCTGCCTTTTTTTGTTTTCCATTTGCTTGGTAGATCTTCCTCCATCCCTTTATTTTGAGCCTATGTGTGTCTCTGCACGTGAGATGGGTCTCCTGAATACAGCACAGTGATGGGTCTTGACTCTTTATCCAATTTACCAGTCTGTGTCTTTTAATTGGATCATTTAGCCCATTTTCATTTAAGGCTAATATTGTTATGTGTGAATTTGATCCTGTCATTATGATGTTAGCTGGTTATTTTGCTTGTTTGTTGATGCAGTTTCTTCCTAGCATCGATGGTCTTTAGAATTTGGCATGATTTTGCAGTGGCTGGTACCGGTCGTTCTTTTCCATGTTTAGTGCTTCCTTCAGGAGCTCTTGTAAGGCAGGCCTGATGGTGACAAAATCTCCCAGCATTTGCTTGCCTGTAAAGGGTTTTATTTCACCTTTACTTGTGAAGCTTATTTTGGCTAGATATGGAATTCTGGGTTGAAAATTCTTTTCTTTAAGAATGTTGAATATTGACCCCCACTCTCTTCTGGCTTGTAGAGTTTCTACTGAGAGATCCACTGTTAGTCTGATGGGCTTCCCTTTGTGGGTAACCCGACATTTCTCTTTGGCTGCCCTTAACATTTTTTTCTTCATTTCAACTTTGGTGAATGTGACAATTATGTGTCTTGGAGTTGCTCTTCTTGAGGAGTATGTTTGTGGTGTTCTCTGTGTTTCCTTTGAATATTGGCCTGCCTTGCTAGATTGGGGAAGTTCTCCTGGATAATATCCTGCAGAGTGTTTTCCAACTTGATTCCATTCTCCCCATCACTTTCAGGTACAACAATCTGACATAGATTTGGTCTTTTCACATAGTCCCGTATTTCTTGGAGACTTTGTTCATTTCTTTTTGCTCTTCTTTCTCTAAACTTCCCTTTTACTTCATTTCATTCATTTGATCTTCAATCACTGATACCCTTTCTTCCAGTTGATTGAATCAGCTACTGAAACTTGTGCATACATCATGTAGTTCTCGTGCCATGGTTTTCAGCTCCCTCAGGTCATTTAGGGTCTTCTCTATGCTGTTTATTCTAGTTAGCCATTCGTCTAATCTTTTTTCAAGGTTTTTAGCTTCTTTGCAATGGGTTCAAACATCTTCCTTTAGCTCAGAGAAGTTTGTTATTACCTATAACAAACTTGAGAGAAGGCTTCTTCTCTCAACTCATCAAAGTCATTCTCCATCCAGCTTTGTTCTGTTGCTGGCGAGGAGCTGCATTCCTTTTGAGGAGAAGAGGCGCTCTGATTTTTAGAATTTTCAGCTTTTCTGCTCTGGTTTCTCACCATCTTTGTGGTTTTATCTACCTTTGGTCTTTGATGATGGTGATGTACAGATGGGGTTTTGGTGTGGATATCCTTTCTGTTTGTTAGTTTTGCTTTTAACAGTCAGGAGCCTCAGGTTCAGGTCTGTTGGAGTTTACTGGAGGTCCCCTCCAGACCCTGTTTTCCTGGGTATCACCAGCAGAGGCTGCAGAACCACAAATATTGCAGAACAGCAAATGTTGCTGCCTGATCGTTCCCCTGGAAGCTTCGTCTCAGAGGTGCACCCAGTCGTATGAGGTGTCAGTCAGCCCCTACTGGCAGGTGCCTCCCAGTTAGGCTACTCGGGGGTCAGGGACCCACTTAAGGAGACAGTCTGTCCATTCTCAGATCTCAAACTATGTGCTGGGAGAACCACTGCTCTCTTCAAAGCTCAGTTGGAAATGCAGAAATCACCCATCTTCTGCATCGCTCACACTGGGAGCTGTAGACAGGAGCTGTTCCTATTCGGCCATCTTGGAACCTCTAACGTGAAATTTATTTTTTACAGTTATGAAGCCTGACAAGTGCAAGTCAAGAAGGTGTATCTGGTGATGGCCTTCCTACTCTTGGGGACCCTGCAGAGTCGCAAGGTGGCTCAGGGCATCATGTGGTGAGGGAGCTGAGCATGCAGACATGCTAGGTCAGATCTCCCTTCCTCTTCTTATAAAGGCAGTATTTCCACATCCATGATAAACCACTAATCCATTAATCTGTGAATGGATTAGTCTATTTATAAGGACCAAGCCTTCATGATCCAATCACCACTTAAGGCCCTACCTTTCAATATTGCTACATTGGAATTTAAGTTTCAACCCAAGTTTTGGAGGAGACATTCACACCATACCATTATTCCCCTGAGCTCCTAAAACTTGTGTTCTTCTCACATAGAAATATGTTCATTCCAGCCCCAAACCCCCAAAGTCTTAACTTGTTCCCACACCAACTCTAAAGGCCAAAGTCCAAAGTCTCATTTGTGAGCCTGTGAAAGACTCACTCCCATTCCAAAAGGGAGAAAATAGGCAAGAAGAAAGGGATAACAGGCCTGAAGCAAGTTTAAAACCCAAGAAAGTAGACATTAGGTCCTACGACTCCAAAATAATCTCCTTTGACTCCATGTCTGGCACCCTCTGCACTTTGGCTTGATGATTTGGTCCCCCAAAGCCTCAAGCAGGCCTGCCCCTATGACTTTGCTAGGCTTAATCCATTCAACTCTCCCATGCTGGCATTGCACATTGGTAGCTCTAAAGTTCTGGAGTTTCAGCAGCAGTTCTTCTCCCATGACTCCACTAAGCATGGCCCTAGTGAGGACTCTCTGCAGTGGCCTCACTCCCACAGCCACACCAGCCCCATGGTGGGGACTCTGCAGCAGCTCCCACCCCACATTTCTGCTCAGTATTGCTTTGATTAAGGTTCTCTGTGGTGACTCCACCACTGTGACACATCTCTGCTGAGAACCTTAGAATTTTGAAGCCATTCTTTGAAATCTGGGTGGAGGCTGCCAAGCCTCCACAGCTCTCATTTTCTGAAAGCCTGCAGAATTAACACTACATGGACACTACCAAAGTTTATAACTTGTGCCTTGCAGAGCTGCAACATGAGCATCACCTGGGGCAACTTGACCCATGACTGAGGCAGCCATGGAGCACTGTGCTAAAATGTAGGAAGCAGAATCCTGAGGCAACCCTGGGCAGTGAACCCATGAAGATCACCCCAGGCCTATCCCCTGAAAGCATTCTGCCCTCCTAGACCTCTTGGCCTGTGATGATAGAGGCAGCACTGAAGATCTCTGAAATGTCTTCAGGGTATTTTTTCCATTGTTTTGAGACATAGTACCTGACTCTTTTTCACCTTTGCTAATCTTTTTAGCAAACGGTCCTGCACACTTCGTTTCCTCTCCTGAACATGATTTTTCACTCTATATGGCCAGGCTGAATGTTTTTCAAATATTTCTACTCTGCTTCCCCTTTAACTATAAATTATGTTTTTAAATTGTTTCTTTGTTCCTGAATCTCAGTGAAAGTGGCCAAAAGCAACCATGCAGCTCCTTCTATTTTGTTCAGACATTTCTTCTGCCACATGCCCTGGTTCATCAATCTCAAGTTTGATGAACAAAGCTCTCAAGCATTGACACAGCTCAGCCAAGTTCTTGTCCAATTTATAACAAGGATAGCCTTTCCACCAGTTTCCAAAAACTTGCTCCTGAGTTTCATCTGCAATTTTATCAGAATGGCTTTTACTGTTCTTATTTCTTTTTATTATTATACTTTAAGTTCTGGGGTACATGTGCACAATGTGCAGGTTTGTTACATAGGTATATACTTGCCAGGGTGGTTTGCTGCACCCATCAACTCGTCATTTACATTAGGTATTTCTCCTAGTGCTATCCATCCCCAAGCCCTCCAGCCCCTGACAGGCCCTAGTGTGTGATGTTCCCCATCCTGTGTCCAAGTGTTTTCATTGTTCAATTCCCACCTAAGAGTGAGAACATGCAGTGTTTGGTTTTCTGTCCTTGTGATAGTTTGCTGAGAATGATGGTTTCCAGTTTCATCCATGTCCCTGCAAAAGACATGAACTCATCCTTTTTTATGGCTGCATAGTAGTCCATGGTGTATATATGCCACATTTTCTTAATCCAGTCTATCATTGATGGACATTTGTGTTGGTTCCAAGTCTTTGCTATTGTGAATAGTGCCACAATAAACACACATGTGCATGTGTCTTTATTGTAGAATGATTTATAATCCTTTAGGTACATACCCAGTAATGGGATCACTGGGTCAAATGGTATTTCTAGTTCTAGATCCTTGAGGAATCGCCATACTGTCTTCTACAGTGGTTGAACTAATTTACACTTCCACCAACAGTGTAAAAGCATTCTATTTCTCCACTTCCTCTCCAGCATCTGTTGTTTCCTGACTTTAATGATCACCATTCTAACTAGCGTGAGATGGTATCTCATTGTGGTTTTGATTTGCATTTATCTGATGACCAGTGATGATGAGTACTTTTTCATGTGTCTGTTGGCTGCATAAATGTCTTCTTTTGAGAAGTGTCTTTTCATATCTTTTGCCCACTTTTTGATGAGGTTGTTTTTTTTTTAATTTATTTAAGTTCTTTATAGATTCTGGATATTAGCCCTTTGTCAGATGGTTAGATAGCAAAAATTTTCTCTCACTCTGTAGGTTGCCTGTTCACTCTGATGGTAGCTTCTTTCATATTTCTATCAGCATTCTGGTCATAACCACTTAACCAATCTCTAAGAAGTTCCATGTTTTTCCTAGTCTTGTTGTATTCTAGGCCCCCACCAGAATATAGGCTTTTTCTAACCTACCCTTCCAAATTCTTTCAGCTTCTGCCAAGTATTGACTTTTAAAGCTGCTTCCACATTTTCAATGGTTTGTAATTAGCAACATGTGTGTTCCTGGAAAAAGTTGAATGTGGTTAAGATCTTGCATGCAAAGACTGTGTGCTGGTAGTCCTGTTGAGATATCCTGTGGGGAAGTGAGTGAAAGTATATTTCTTTCAAAAGTGAAGGCTGATTGCTTCTGAGAGGCTGTTTGAACTATGCATTGAATTGAACATATTAGCAAAATATGTCAACAGCAAACTATTTTCCAGCTGTTGGTTTGATGGAGTCAGTAATTTGGTAATTTAGACATGGGAGATTCATGGAGGATACCACAGCATTCAGGTTATGGTGATTTACTGTGAGTTGTCATTCATTTACATCATGTTGGAGCACTGGCCAAACAGGATTATTAAAGGAGAGATAATAGAAATAATGACAAGGCCAGGCACACCCATCCCCAGGGAGTGTCCATCCATTGCTCTACATTTCTCCACAAACTTCATGGCTGTGGCAGATTCTCTCATGGAACCTTTATCTCAATGGTCTCTCTGGAACCTCTCTTCTCAGTCATATGTTTACAGTTTGTTCTCAAAATTGCCAACGACTGAGGTTCATTAGCCCCTTTTGAACGTGGGTCCACAGGGCTTCTTTAGCTTCTTCAGGAAATTGATCCCATGTGCCTGCTCTAAAAAGAGCAGATAAAACCTGTGTTGCTCTAGCTAACACAGAAACTGCAGAGATGCCCATCCTCTGCCATCTAAGAACTTCAACATAATCTCTCTTAGAACATAAATTTTCAGAAATTTTCTGTCTCTCAAAGTATTTTCTTCCAATTCAATAACTGCTATGGGCTTTGTTTTTATTTTTTATTACCTATGTGAAGTTCTCTGTCTCTCAGGAACTATGATTTGATTCTGGATTGGATTCTTAGAATGGAAAATAATATGCTCTTTTTTCTGGTTAAGTTCCATAAGTTTGGATACTTCTATTAAGAGAAAGGTAAAATGTGGATGGAAGCCAATAGAAAACATGTTAAAGTATATACTACTCAAAGATTCACGTGGCACATCTCATCTTTGATTTACCTCTTAGGAACAACAAGGTAAACAGTATACTATAGTCATTCAGGTTGTCAAAGGTATGAGCAACATATGTTTTTAAAGTCACTGATTTTATCATTCTATAAATGTGGATCATGAAATGAATCAACTGTGAAAATCTGGAAGAAAATGCAGTACTTGCCAAAGACCACAGGTTAGTATAAACAAGGAAAAGAGGGCTGCAGGAGACCCAGGTCACATCATCTAAGACCTCCAAAACCTGTATGGAAAGTTGACAAGAATGATTTTAATAACATAATTTTTCTAATCCATGTGCATGTAAATTAGAGGGACCCCTTTATATTATATTTGCCTCTTAATCAGAAAAATCTAAAGATGCACTCACAATACTACCACCAAATTTTTCTTCCCTGAGAATTACCACTTTATCTACAAAGAACTCTTATTATCAAAAACTTTTTCTGGTTTCTGTAAGACAAGAATAGAAAACAGGAGAGTTTGGGTCATGATAAACTGTCATCCTTAGTTGCCACTGGGGACTCTAAGACTGAGAAAAATCCATTCCGTGATGCTGCTTACAGAGTTCTCAAAATTTCTCTTCTCCGAGACATATCTCAAATCAGTGCCTGGAAGACTCTGAATGTGGCAGAGAAACATAAAATGTAAATTAATATGACATATTGATGCTTGAACCTTGTTCATGTAGAGGAAAAGACTCACAATACAAAATGAGATGATCTTCAGCATTGCCTGTGTAGGGAAATTCCTACTTGTTTCTGAAACAAGGATGTCAGAGATTTGGACAGTAATGGAGATAAGGATCTATAGCAGATATCCAGTGAGGCATCAAATAGTGCAGAGAAAGGAAAGAAAGAAACAGGAAAGCACAGAAAACAGAATGAGGTAGAGAGATGTGTGCCAAAAGCACAGAATTAGGAGAGCTTATAATACAGTCAAGAGTAAGTGCTTTACTTGTGAAGATTGTATAAACATTTGAAAGGAAACAACAGGTTCAAAAACTTCTATTTTTCTGAAAAAAAATGAGTTATTCTATAATAAGTTTTCTTAAGTGCCCAGGAACAGGTCAACTTGAGAAATGAAAAAGGTCACTTAAACAAAAGATATGGGGCTTGCATGGAGCCAAGTGCACCCCAATGGGACACTGGTTTGGGCCATATGGATGGTGAGCAATGTATGACCTGATTCTGTTCATTAAGATAAGCTTTATGTCTCCTACTCTAAGAAACTCTTCAATTTTCATCATTCTCACCTTTTGCCTTTAGGTTTTCCGAAGGTCAACAATGAAAAACAGAACCATGTTTGGTGAGTTTATTCTACTGGGCCTTACAAATCAACCTGAACTCCAAGTGATGATATTCATCTTTCTGTTCCTCACCTACATGCTAAGTATCCTAGGAAATCTGACTATTATCACCCTCACCTTACTAGACCCCCACCTCCAGACCCCCATGTATTTCTTCCTCCGGAATTTCTCCTTCTTAGAAATTTCCTTCACATCCATTTTTATTCCCAGATTTCTGACCAGCATGACAACAGGAAATAAAGTTATCAGCTTTGCTGGCTGCTTGACTCAGTATTTTTTTGCTATATTTCTTGGAGCTACCGAGTTTTACCTCCTGGCCTCCATGTCTTATGATCGTTATGTGGCCATCTGCAAACCCTTGCATTACCTGACTATTATGAGCAGCAGAGTCTGCATACAACTAGTGTTCTGCTCCTGGTTGGGGGGATTCCTAGCAATCTTACCACCAATCATCCTGATGACCCAGGTAGATTTCTGTGTCTCCAACATTCTGAATCACTATTACTGTGACTATGGGCCTCTCGTGGAGCTTGCCTGCTCAGACACAAGCCTCTTAGAACTGATGGTCATCCTCTTGGCCGTTGTGACTCTCATGGTTACTCTGGTGCTGGTGACACTTTCTTACACATACATTATCAGGACTATTCTGAGGATCCCTTCTGCCCAGCAAAGGACAAAGGCCTTTTCCACTTGTTCCTCCCACATGATTGTCATCTCCCTCTCTTATGGCAGCTGCATGTTTATGTACATTAATCCTTCTGCAAAAGAAGGAGGTGCTTTCAACAAAGGAATAGCTGTACTCATTACTTCGGTTACTCCCTTACTGAATCCCTTCATATATACTTTAAGAAATCAGCAAGTGAAACAAGCTTTCAAGGACTCAGTCAAAAAGATTGTGAAACTTTAAAAAAGGAGATTACACTTCAAAATACATTTTCACTTAACAAATATGCATTGAATGTCTATATTTCAAGTGCTAAATTGGCCCTTGAAGATTAAAATAGGAAAAGTATATGTCTTAATTTCAAGAAAACTATAGTCTAGAATCAAGGAAAGATATATAAATGGTAAATTTATGTAATAAATTTACAAAAAACAAAATAATATTTTAATTGTTATTAGAGAAGAGTGAATGGGGATCTGAAAAGGAACAGTTGGAAAGAATTAGTTCTGTTTTCCATAAATTATTTGAAATTTAAGAAGCAAAACAGATTGTTTATTTAGAAGAGTAGGAGGATAAGAATTTAGAGTGAAAAAGGAAACCAGATCATAAAAGTAAGTAATTACAACTACTGAGTTAGCTGGGTTTCATGAGTCAAGAAATTTTCAGAATTGTTTTGAGGAGAATGTAGTATCAGCATTGTTCTTCAGCATGGAGCCCTGGAGACTATGTTTCCATCGAGGAGTGAATAATTTTTCTTCTCCTCCATTTTTTCATCTATATTTCAAATGTAACCATTGCAACTTCCCTCCTTTCATAAGAGGAAAATGAAAGAATATATATTTAGTCTACTTTTCTCCAAATGAGGAGAAAATTTTTAAGATTTTTGTCAACTTAATATGTCCATTTTCTAGTTTATGGTTAAAACAGGTTTCTAGAGACAAGTTTAGAAGGCTTTCATTCTCCTAGACAAAATCTATTGTTTCTTTTCTTAGGTGACATTTTAAGTTAATGGCATGAGATCTGTTTTCTCTCTCTTTGATAGTTTCTGGTAATTTTTTCCTTCCTATCATGATTTTATTTTCATCCTTTTGTTTCACTTTATTAGATATTAGAAAAGAAAATTCTGTTATCTGGCTCTACTTCTTTAACTTTCCCCCAGATTTTTGCTTTCGTTTGTAACATAAACCATGGATGACCATTTTATAAAGTAAAAAGAATATAAAGTGTCAATGCAATCTTATATCTAGAATGTTCCAAATTATGAGTCTTGAAAAACAACTAGAAATAGACTATCCTACCAAAAACTTTACACATGGATTCAAGGCAATGACAACTTGAATTTGAATAGGTAGTGGTAGTGTCCAATTTCAATGGAAGTAAGCACTTTTTTTTAATCTGAGCATTTGTACACAGTTTAATAATATCTTAAAAAATTGCAGGAGCTTTGTTACTATTTGGGGTAAAAGTGGAACACAATCTGGTATTTTCACATGCTTTATATGTGGTAATATGTTGAGTAAAATGAGGTACTTCTCAAGCATTTAAGGAACAAGCTGGATTGAACTGATTATGAGAGCAAATTATCAGAGCCACAGAAGGTATTGGAGAATGTATAATATTTTTGAAAAAGTATTTTATGTAAAGCTGTTGCTATTCTGAGTATCTTGTTTTCTTTGGTTGCTAGCTAGAGATTAGTGATAATATTCAATATATTCCAAATTTAATGCACTACAAGAACAAGAAGTGTTCTTGAATAGCCACATCTAAATCATTAAGTTCCCCTACACCCACATTTCTACTAAAACCTATGGTACAGTGGGAGCAATGTCATATAGTGGCTTAAAACATAGGCTTTAGTTCAAATCCCAGATTTTCAACTTTCTACCAAAGTTACCTGGGGATAGTTACTTGATCTCTCTAAGGCTCACCTCTGTCAACTCTAAAATGTTTACAATAATAGTGTCTATCTTATAGTTTTGAGCATTCACTGAGAAAATAGATGTAAAATATTAAAAGACAGCCAGTATTTATTGTGTTTAATAAATGACATCTATTATAACTATATTATAAACAATATATTTTTCAAGGAACTGGAGCTTAACTAGAAAGAAGGCATTAAATTGGTTGGTTTAATATAGCAGGGACAGTAAAAATGTTGGCCATTGTACTTGAAATCCATCTGCACAAGGCCAGCATATTTCTACTCTCCACACATCCAGCTGCATGCTGGGTAGCTGGGTCAGCAAAGATCTTACCTACTCTTCAGATAAAGCCATCAAAATACTTGGCAGCAGGTTATAAGAACTGGGCTAGCATCAACTTCATTGCCCTAGATATCTATGGGAGAGACAGGATGTATTAACATGCTGAGACAAGGAAGGAAGGTACTTTGTGTAAGTTAATGTTTAAGATCACTAGGCAAGAGTTCACTCAGCATTCTTTATATAAGCATTTGGAAATGAACATGGAAAAGAATGTATCACCTTCTAAATGAGCTTGTCAAAAAAAAAAAAGCAAGTCATATTCTTCTAAAGCTGTTCATCTAGTCTGGCTGTATGTTAATTCATACTTGGAATGTAATCCAAGTCATAGATAAGCAAAAGGAATGACTTCACAGAGTCTGGTGCTGAGCTACCAGAATATTCAGTATCTAAATATATAAAATGGTGAGTTTGATTCCTCATGTCACCAAAGTGGACAAGAATTAAAAGAAACAGCTTTAGCTGCCTAACATTCTCAGAATCATATTATACCAGTGCTAGGGTGAGGAGACTATGAAAATGAGTAAAAGCCAATCTGCTACATTTGGGCATTCATTCTTCTATTGCCTCTCTTTAAAGCTGCCAGAGCTTGTGGATATATGGATTACAATTCTAAACAGGTAGTCTTCCAGCATCATTTCTTGCAAAGAGTTTTAAATAAAATTCAAAACAATAAAATATATTTTTTAATTTTTTTTATTTCAGCCAGGATCAGTGACTCACACTTCTAATCCCAGCTCTTTGGGAGGCTGAGGCAGGCGGATCACTTGAGGTCAGGAGTTCAAGAACAGCCTGGCCAACACAGTGAAACCCCGTTTCTACTATTACATTGATAGAAAAGTAATTGTGGTTTTTGCTACTAAAAGTAATGGCAAAAACTGCAATTACTTTTGCACCAACCAAATAAAAATACAAAAATCAGCCAGGCATGGTGATGCGTGCCTGTAATTCCAGCTACTGGGAAGGCTGAAGCACAAGAATCACTTGGAGTACAAGTGGCCTTTTGTTACATCAGTGAATTAAATAGTGGTGAATTCTGGGATTTTAGTGCACCTGTCACCCAAGTAGTATACATTGGACCTAAGCTGTAGTTTTTTTATCCCTAGCCCCCTCCCATCATTCCCCTTCTGAGTCTCTAAAGTTCATTATACCACTCTGTGTGCCTTTGCATACTCATAGCTTAGCTCCCACTTACGAGTGAGAACATACTTATAAGTGAGAACATAGTTTTTGGTTTTCCACTCCCGTATTACTTCACTTAGAATAACGACTTCCAGCTCCATCCAAACTGCTGCAAAATACATTCTTTTGTTCCTTTCCAGGCCAGGTGCAGTGGCTCTTGCCTGTAATCCCAGAAATTTGGGAGGCTGAGGAGGGTGGATCACTTGAGTTCAGGAGTTCGAGACCAGCCTGGCCAACATGGTGAAACCCTGTCTCTATCAAAAATACAAAAATTAGCCTGGTGTGGTGGCACGTGCCTGTAGTTCCAGCTACTTGGGAGGCTAAGGTACAAGAATCACTTGAACCAGGGAGGCAGAGGTTGTAGTGAGCTGAGTTTATGCCACTGTACTCCAGGCTGGGCAACACAGCAAGACTCTGTCTCAAAAAAACATAAAATAAAATAATAAAAAATGTTGCTTCTTTTCATGGCTGAGTAGTATTTCATGGTGTATATATAGCACATTTTCTTTATCCATTCATTAATCATTGGGCACTTAGGTTGGTTCCACGTCTTTGCAATTGTGAATTGTGCTTCTATAAACATACATATGCCAGTGTCTTTTTCATATAATGACTTCTTTTCCTTTGGGTAAATACCCAGTAGTGAGATTGCTGGATCAAATGGTATGTTTGCTTTTAGCTCCTTAAGGAATCACCATACTGTTTTCAATAGAGGTTGTACTAATTTACATTCCCACCAGCAGCAATAAGCTTTCCATTTTCCCCACATCCACGCCAACATCTATTGCTTTTTGACTTTTTAATAATGGCCATTCTTGCAGGAATATAGCAGTATCTCATTGTGGTTTTAATTCTCATATCCCTGATGATTCGTGGTATTGAACTTTTTAAATATGTTTCTTGGCCTTTTGTATATCTTTAACCGAGAATTTTTTAGGAAGCCAGGTAAGGCATCACATAGGATGATTAAGGACAGTTTGTAATGACTTGGGTTCTCTGGCCTGAAAATCACATTTACCCATTTATTTAAATTCACGTTGAAGGTCAAAAACCAGGGCTTAAGCTTTTTTTCATACATATCATTAGATAGTATAGCTAAAGCTATAGTGGAGTCACATGCTCTAAAGCTAAAGCAACCACTCATCTGAGGAACAGATCTACTTGGAGGGGAAAAAGCTACATACTGGAAAATATATGATATAAAAAAATTAAAGCAGAAATATCAAAAATTTTGAATAATTATAATTTCTTCAAAAAGATAAAAAAGATACTGGTAAAATTAAGGACAAAACATTATAAAGTAATGAGGTTTAAAAACGTAGTAAGTGTCCAAATTAACAAAAGGTTGTAAAAGAGAAATAGAGAAATAAAAAACATAATAAAAGAAATAAAGAATAAAACAAGTGAGAATAATACCACGACAGGTAGAACCAAAGTAGAAATAATGAGCTAGAAGATCAGGTCTAATAAACTCCCCATTAAGACAAAAGAAAAAAATAAAAAGATTAAATAGGGAGAAATGATAGATCAATAGATAGATAGATACCAAAAGACAAGTGCAAATGCCAAAAAAAATCTAGACAATAAGAATCATGGGTGAAAAGAAAAGGAAAAAAGAGAAGAAAAAAAGGAAATAATATATTTTCTATAATATAGAAAGATAGCAACTAACAGATATCATAAATATCATACAGAATAGATAAAGGAAATATACACCTTTAAAATCAGACATTTAAATGTGATGGTAAAATAGATCATCAGACATTTAAATGTGATGGTAAGATAAAAGATCACTTCAGAAGGCTCACCACACAAAGAACAAATTCAAAATAATTTTTAAAAGAAATACACAAATTAGAACAGAAATAACAATAGAAGTATGATGCAAATAATATGAAAGATTAAAATAATAATATAAATTGTATTAAACACATAAAGTATATTTTTGACCTTTGTGTACAAATCGATGGGGTACAATTGTAATTTCGTTACATGGATATGTTGCATAGAGAAAAGTAAGGGCTTTTGGCGAATCCATCACCAGAGTAATATCCACTGTACCCCTTAATTAATCCACCCTCCTCCTGCCCCCCACCCTTATGAGTTTCCATTGTCATTATTCTGCATTCTACATCCATGTGTATGTATTATTTAGCTTCCCCTTATAAGTGAGAGCGTGCGATGTTTGTCTTTCTGTGTCTGATTTGTTTCACCTAAGATAATGACTTCTACTTCCATCCATCTTGCTGCAAAGACATGATTTCATTCTTTTTCATGGCTGTGTAATATATATATATATCACATTTCTTTATTCCATCATTCGTTGATGGACATTTAGGTTGATTCCATATCTTTGCTATTGTGAATAGTGCTTCAATAAACATACAAGTACAGGTATCTTTTCACATAATGATTTCCTTTCCTTGGGGTAGATACTTAGTAATGGGATTGCTGGGTTGAATGGTAGTTCTATTTTTAGTTCTTTCAGAAATCTCCAAACTGTTTTCTATCACGCTTGTACTAATTTATATTCCCAGTCACAGTGTATGCATCCCCTTTTCTCCACAGCCTCACCAACACCTGTTATTTTTTGTCTTTTTAATAATAGACATTCAAACTGGTGTGAGGTGACATCTCATTGTGATTTTAATTTTTCTATTTATCTGATTAGTGACAATGAGCATTTTTCATGATTTTTGGCCATTAGTATGCAATCTTTTGAAAAATGTCTGTTCATGTTCTTTGCCCACTTTTTAACAGGATTATTTGCTCTGGTTGTTGTTGCTGCATTGTTTGAGTTTCTTGTAAATTCTGGACATTAGTCCCATCAGATGCATAGTTAGCAAACATTCTCTCCCAGCCTGCAAGTTGCCTTTTTACTCTATTAATTCTTTTTTACTGTGCAGAAGCTTTTTAGGACATGAATGAGAAATTTAGCAATTAGACATCTTTTTTAAAAATATGGAACTGAAAGATTCATTGAAGAAATTACAAACTACATTTGAAAGCTTTAATAACAGATTGGACCAAGGAGGAGAAAGCCTTTCAGAATTTGAAGACAGATCTTTAAAAATAATACAGTCAGACAAAAAGAAAAAAGAATGAACAAGGCCTTCAAAATGTGTGGAACTATTTAAAGCAAATGAATTTATGAATTGTCAATATTCTTAAGGGGAAAGAAAATCAAATAGTTTAGAAAACCTATTTAAGGAAATAATATATTTTGTCTGTTCAAAAAGTGAGACTCAAAGAAGAAAAATCTATTAGGTTGGTGCTAAAGTAAATGCAGTTTTTGCCAGTAAAAGTAACTCATAACCAGAACTAAAATTTTAGAAAACATGCATTGTAGGGTTGCAAAGGAGGACCAAAGTAAGATAAAAGAAAGATAATATAGAATAAAAATTAGGGAGAGCAGAGCAAAATGGCAGATTAGACATCTCCATCCCTCCACAGAAACACCAATTTGAACAACTATTCATGCATAAAAAAGCCTTCACAAGAGCTAAGGAAATCAGGTAAGAGATTGCAGTACCTATTTAGAGCATAATAACAGGAAAAAAGGCTTGAAGAGGATAGGAGGGACAATTTTGCATTATCTGCCCATTCCTCCCCCAACCCCAGGCAGCACACCACAGAAAGAAATACAGTCTGCTTGGGATAAAAAGAGGGAAATAAGCATAGGACCTTGCCTTGGACCATAACACCAGTTGCCACAGTAAAACTCAGTACCAAGCAAATCTCTACAGTTTCTGAATCCAGGCCAATACCCACAGATTAAGCCCCTAGACCTGCCTTGGTGTCAGATGGAAATCCGGAAATCCAAGGCACCTGAGCCATAGACTACACCTCCAGTGCTCACAAATGCTAGCTGACTACAATAGCCTCAGGCTCTGGGCAGCTCTTCATGGCTGGCAGGCAGGCCTCCACAGCCACTAGCTTCAGGAACTCAGCAGTGCTACACCAGCCTCAGTGGCCACAGCATTCCAGCCCAGCACCATAGTAACCACAGAGGTCCTGGGCCTAGAGTTCCCCCTAGCACTGAAAAGGCTGCAAAAGTCTCTGACATAGTGACCATGCTAGATGGCCTGACCAGAATCTCTGCACTGGCTTAATGTTAAAGAGAGTTTCCAGACAAAGCCAGTTTGCAATCACTGAAATAGATACCTACTTCTTCAAATTACAGATATCAACACATGACCACAAGGTTCAAGAACAATTAGGAAAACATGAAATCCCCAAAAGGCCAAAATAAAATGCCAGTGACAAACCCTAAAAAATGGAGATATACAAAAGACCTGACAAGGAATTCAAAATAACTATTTTAAGGAAACTCAGTAAACTTGAATAAAATGTTGAATAAAATACAGAGAAATACTTTCCTCAAAGAAACAAGGAAAACAGTAAATGACCAGAACAAGAAATTTAATAGAGAGATTAAAACAATTAAAAAATTAAACAGAAATCTGGAGCTAAAAATATGAGATAAAAATAGATTGTATAAACAGTGGACTTGATCAAGCAGGAAAAAATTCTGTAAACTTGAAGACAGTTTATATGTAAGTATAAAGTAAGCAGAGAAAAAAGAAAAAGGAATAAGAAAATATTACAGGATTTATGGGAATGCATCAAAACAGCAAGTGCTTTCAGTTTCTAGAGTTAAAGGAGCAAAAGAAAGACAAAGAAGTAGAAAAATTGCATAAAGAAATAATAGCAAAAACATTTCCAAACCTGGAGAAAGATATAAATAACCAAGTACAGGGCTGTCAAAGGACAATGAAAACACCACCTACCAAAACTTATGGGTTACAGCAAAAGCAGTTCTAAAACTAAACATTAGAGGAATAAATGCCTACATCAAAAAAAAGATAAACAACCTAACATTATACTTCAAGGAACTAGACAAACAAGAACAAACTAAACCCAAAATTAGTAGATGAAGAAAATAATAAAGATTAGAGGAAAAATAAACAAAATCAAGATGAGAAAAATGAGAAAAATATCAGAGAATGAAGTTAGTTTTTTGAAAAGATTAACAAAATCAACAAATCATTAACTAGAATAAGAAAAAAGAGGGGGTGCAGCCAAGATGGCCAAATAGGAACAGCTCCGGTCTACAGCTCCCAGCATGAGCGACGAAGAAGACGGGTGATTTCTGCATTTCCCTCTGAGGTACTGGGTTCATCTCACTGGGGAGTGCCAGACAGTGGGTGCAGAACAGTGGGTGCAGTGCACCATTTGCGAGCCTAAGCGGGGCAAGGTATTGCCTCACTTGGGAAGCGCAAGGGGTCAGAGAGTTCCCTTTCCTAGTCAAAGAAAGGAGTGACAGACGGCACCTGGAAAATCAGGTCATTCCCACCCTAACATGGCGCTTTTCCAATGGGCTTAAAAAATGGCACACCAGGAGATTATATCCCGCACATGGCTCCAAGGGTCCTACGCCCATGGAGTCTCATTCATTGCTAGCACAGCAGTCTGAGATGAAAATGCAAGGTGGCAGTGAGGCTGGGGGAGGGGCGCCCACCATTGCCTAGGCTTGATTAGGTAAACAAAGCAGCCTGGAAGCTCGAACTGAGTGGAGACCACCACAGCCCAAGGAAGCCTGCCTGCCTCTGTAGGCTCCACCTGTGGGGGCAGGGCACAGACAAACAGAAAGACAGCAGTAACCTCTGCAGACTTAAATGTCCCTGTCTGACAGCTTTGAAGAGAGTAGTGGTTCTCCCAGCACACAGCTGGAGATCTAAGAACTAGAAGACTACCTCCTCAAGTGGGTCCCTGAACCCTGAACAGCCTAACTGGGAGACACCCCCCAGTAGGGGTGGACTGACACCTCACACGGCCAGGTACTCCACTGAGACAAAACTTCTAGAGGAACGATCAGGCAGCAGCATTTGCGGTTCACCAAGATCCACTGTTCTACAGCCACCACTGTTCTGCAGCCACCACTGCTGATACCCAGACAAACAGGGTCTGGAGTGACCTCTAGCAAACTTCAACAAACCTGCAGCAGAGGGTCCTGCCTGGTAGAAGGAAAACTAACAAACAGAAAGGACATCCACATCAAAACCCTTCTGTATGTCACCATCATCAAAGACCAAGAGTAGATAAAACCACAAAGATGGGGAAAAAACAGAGCAGAAAAACTGGAAACTCTAAAAAGCAGAGCACCTCTCCTCCTCCAACGTAATGCAGCTCCTCACCAGCAATGGAACAAGGCTGGATGGAGAATGACTTTGACGAGCTGAGAGAAAAAGGCTCCAGATGATCGAACTACTCCGAGCTACAGGAGGAAATTCAAACCAATGGCAAAGAAGTTAAAAACTAAAAAAAAAAATTAGACGAAAGGATAACTAGAATAACCAATGCAGAGAAGTCCTTAAAGGAGCTGATGGAGCTGAAAACCAAGGCATGAGAACTAATTGAAGAATGCAGAAGCCTCAGGAGCCAATGAGATCAACTGAAAGAAAGGGTATCAGCGATGGAAGATGAAATGAATGAAATGAAGCGAGAAGGGAAGTTTAGAGAAAAAAGAATAAAAAGAAATGAACAAAGCCTCCAAGAAATATGGGACTATGTGAAAAGACCAAATCTACGTCTGATTGGTGTACCTGAAAGTGATGGGGAGAATGGAACCAAGTTGGAAAACACTCTGCAGGATATTATCCAGGAGAACTTCCCCAATCTAGCAAGGCAGGCCAACATTAAGATTCAGGAAATACAGAGAACACCACGAAGATACTCCTCGAGAAGAGCAACTCCAAAACACATAATTGTCAGATTGACCGAAGTTGAAATGAAGGAAAAAATGTCAAGGGCAGACAGAGAGAAAGGTTGTGTTACCCACAAAGGGAAGCCCATCACAATTTCATATCCAGCCAAACTAAGCTTCATAAGTGAAAGAGAAACAAAATACTTTACAGACAAGCAAATGCTGAGAGATTTTGTCACCACCACGCCTGCTCTAAAAGAGCTCCTGAAGGAAGCACTAAACATGGAAAGGAACAATCGGTACCAGCTGCTGCAAAATCATGGCAAAATGTAAAGACCATCAAGACTAGCAAGAAACTGCATCAACTAACAAGCAAAATAACCAGCTAACATCATAATGACAGGATCAAATTCACACATAACAATATAAACTTTAAATGTAAATGGACTAACTGCTCCAATTAAAAGACACAGACTGGCAAATTGGATAAAGAGTCAAGACCCATCACTGTGCTGTATTCAGGAAACCAATCTCACGTGCAGAGACACACAGAGGCTCAAAATAAAGAGATGGAGGAAGATCTACAAGCAAATGCAAAACAAAAAAAGGCAGGGGTTGCAATCCTAGTCTCTGATAAAATAGACTTCAAACCAACAAAGATCAAAAGAGACAAAGAATGCCATTACATAATGGTAAAGGGATCAATTCAACAAGAAGAGCCAACTACCCTAAATATATATGCACCCAATACAGGAGCACCCAGATTCATAAAGCAAGTCCTGAGTGACCTACAAAGAGACTTAGACTCCCATACAATAATAATGGGAGACATTAACACCCCACAGTCAACATTAGACAGATCAACAAGACAGAAAGTTAACAAGGATACCCAGGAATTGAACTCAGCTCTGCACCAAGCAGACATAATAGACATCTACAGAACTCTCCACCCCAAATCAACAGAATATACATTTTTTTCAGCACCACACCACACCTATTCCAAAATTGACCACATAGTTGGAAGAAAAGCTCTCCTCAGCAAATGTAAAAGAACAGAAATTATAACAAACTATCTCTCAGACCACAGGGCAATCAAACTAGAACTCAGGATTAAGAATCTCACTCAAAACCACTCAACTACATGGAAACTGAACAACCTGCTCCTGAATGACTACTGGGTACATAACGAAATGAAGGCAGAAATAAAGATGTTCTTTGAAACCAATGAGAACAAAGACACAACATACCAGAATTTCTGGGACACATTCAAAGCAGTGTGTAGAGGGAAATTTATAGCACTAAATGCCCACAAGAGAAAGCAGAAAAGATCCAAAACTGACACCCTAACATCACAATTAAAAGAACTAGAAAAGCAAGAGTAAACACATTCAAAAGCTTGCAGAAGGCAAGAAATAACTAAAGTCAGAGCAGAACTGAAGGAAATAGCAACAGAAAAAACCCTTCAAAAAATTAATGAATCCAGGAGCTGGTTTTTTGAAAAGATCAACAAAATTGATAGACCGCTAGCAAGACTAATAAAGAAAAAAAGAGAGAAGAATCAAATAGATGCAATAAAAAATGATGAAGGGGATATCACCACCAATCCCACAGAAATACAAACTATCATCAGAGAATACTACAAACACCGCTATGCAAATAAACTAGAAAATCTAGAAGAAATGGATAAATTCCTCGACACATACACTCTCCCAAGACTAAACCAGGGAGAAGTTAAATCTCTGAATAGATCAATAACAGGCTCTGAAATTGTGGCAATAATCAATAGCTTACCAACCAAAAAGAGTCCAGGACCAGATGGATCCATAGCCGAATTCTACCAGAGGTATAAGGAGGAACTGGTACCATTCCTTCTGAAACTATTCCAATCAACAGAAAAAGAGGGAATCCTCCCTAACTCATTTTACAAGGCCAGCATCGTCCTGATACCAAAGCCAGGCAGAGATACAACCAAA
Source organism: Homo sapiens (assembly GCF_000001405.40). Lineage (NCBI taxonomy): Eukaryota > Metazoa > Chordata > Mammalia > Primates > Hominidae > Homo > Homo sapiens. The sequence continues at coordinate 55,564,036 of NC_000012.12, forward strand.
AAAGAGAATTTTAGACCAATATCCTTGATGAACATTGATGCAAAAATCCTCAATAAAATACTGGCAAAATGAATCCAGCAGCACATCAAAAAGCTTATCCACCATGATCAAGTGGGCTTCATCCCTGGGATGCAAGGCTGGTTCAATATATGCAAATCAATAAATGTAATCCAGCATATAAACAGAACCAAAGACAAAAACCACATGATTATCTCAATAGATGCAGAAAAGGCCTTTGACAAAATTCAACAACCATTCATGCTAAAAACTCTCAATGAATTAGGTATTGATGGGACGTATCTCAAAATAATAAGAGCTATCTATGACAAACCCACAGCCTATATTCTACTGAATGGGCAAAAACTGGAAGCATTCCCTTTGAAAACGGGCACAATACAGGGATGCCCTCTCTCACTGCTCCTATTCATCATAGTGTTGGAAGTTCTGGCCAGGGCAATTAGGCAGGAGAAGGAAATAAAGGGTATTCAATTAGGAAAAGAGGAAGTCAAATTGTCCCTGTTTGCAGATGACATGATTGTATATCTAGAAAACCCCATCATCTCAGCCCAAAATCTCCTTAAGCTGATAAGCAACTTCAGCAAAGTCTCAGGATATAAAATCAATGTGCAAAAATAGCAAGCATTCTTATACACCAATAAGACAAACAGAGAGCCAAATCGTGAGTGAATTCCCATTCACAATTGCTTCAAAGAGCATAAAATACCTAGGAATCCACCTTACAAGGGACGTGAAGGACCTCTTCAAGGAGAACTACAAACCACTGCTCAAGGAAATAAAAGAGGATACAAATAAATGGAAGAACATTCCATGCTCATGGGTAGGAAGAATCAATATCGTGAAAATGGTCATACTGCCCAAGGTAATTTATAGATTCAATGCCATCCCCATCAAGCTACCAATGACTTTCTTCACAGAATTGGAAAAAACTACTTTAAAGTTCATATGGAACCAAAAAAGAGCCCGCATCGCCAAGTCAATCCTAAGCCAAAAGAACAAAGCTGGAGGCATCACGCTACCTGACTTCAAACTATACTAAAAGGCTACAGTAACCAAAACAGCATGGTACTGGTACCAAAACAGAGATATAGATCAATGGAACAGAACAGAGCCCTCAGAAATAACGTTGCATATCTACAACTATCTGATCTTTGACAAACCTGACAAAAACAAGCAATGGGGAAAGGATTCCCTATTTAATAAATGGTGCTGGGAAAACTGGCTAGCCATATGGAGAAAACTGAAACTGGATCCCTTCCTTATACCTTATACAAAAATTAATTCAAGATGGATTAAAGACTTAAACATTAGACCTAAAACCATAAAAACCCTAGAAGATAACCTAGGCATTACCATTCAGGACATAGGCATGGGCAAGGACTTCATATCTAAAACACCAAAAGCAATGGCAACAAAAGCCAAAATTGACAAATGGGATCTAATTAAACTAAAGAGCTTCTGCACAGCAAAAGAAACTACCATCAGAGTGAAGAGGCAACCTACAAAATGGGAGAAAATTTTTGCAACCTACTCATCTGAAAGAGGGCTAATATCCAGAATCTACAATGAACTCAAACAAATGTACAAGAAAAAAACCAACAACTCCATCAAAAAGTGGGCAAAGGATATGAACAGACACTTCTCAAAAGAAGACGTTTATGCAGCCAAAAGACACAGGAAAAAATGCTCATCATCACTGGTCATCAGAGAAATGCAAATCAAAACCACAATGAGATACCATCTCACACCAGTTAGAATGGCAATCATTAAAAAGTCAGGAAACAACAGATGCTGGAGAGGATGTGGAGAAATAGGAACACTTTTACACTGTTGGTGGGACTGTAAACTAGTTCAACCATTGCATTGTGGAAGACAGTATGGTGATTCCTCAGGGATCTAGAACTAGAAATACCATTTGAGCCAGCCATCCCATTACTGGGTATATACCCAAAGGACTATAAATCATGCTGCTATAAAGACACATGCACACGTATGTTTATTGTGGCACTATTCACAATAGCAAAGATTTGGAACCAACCCAAATGTCCAACAGTGATACACTGGATTAAGAAAATGTGGCACATATACACCATGGAATACTATGCAGCCATAAAAAAATGATGAGTTCATGTCTTTTGTAGGGACATGGATGAAATTGGAAATCATCATTCTCAGTAAACTATCACAAGGACAAAAAACCGAACACCACATGTTCTCACTCATAGATGGGAATTGAACAATGAGAACACATGGACACAGGAAGGGGAACATCACACTCTGGAGACTGTTGTGGGGTGGGAGGAGGGGGGAGGGATACCATTAGGAGATATACCTAATGCTAAATGAGGAGTTAATGGGTACAGCACACCAGCATGGCACATGTATACATATGTAACTAACCTGCATATTGTGCACATGTACCCTAAAACTTAAAGTATAATAATAATAATAATAAATTTTTTAAGTAAAAAATAAAAAAATAAAAATTGTTGGCAAGGATGTGGATAAAAGAAATCCTTTGGACTGGACACAGTGGCTCATGCCTGTAATCCCAGGACTTTGGAAGGCAGAGGTGGGAGATTCACCTGAGATCAGGAGTTTGAGACCAGCCTGGCCAACATGCTGAAACCCCATCTGTACTAAAAATACAAAAATTAGCTGGAAATGGTAGCATGCACCTGTGATCCCAGCTACTCTGGAGTCTGAGGGAGTAGAATTGCTTCAACCCGGGAGGTGGAAGTTGCAGCGAGCTGAGATCACACCACTGCACTCCAGCATGGGGGACAGAGTGAGACTCCATTAAAAAAAAGGAATCCCTTGCACATTGTTGGTGGGAATGTAAGTTAGTACAGCCATTATGGAAAACAGTATGGAGGCACCTCAAAAAACTGAAAATGCAACTACCATACAATCCAGAAAACCCACTACTGGGTATATATTCAAAGAAAGGAAATTAGTATGTTAAAGAGATATCTCTAGTCCCTTGTGTATTGCAGCACTATTTACAATAGCCAAGGGATGGAATCAACCTAAGCATTCATCAACAGATTAATGGATGGAGTGCAGTGGCCCAGCCTTGACTAGCTGTAACCTCTGCCTCCTGGGTTGAAGTGATTCTCATGTCTCAGCCTCCTGAGTAGCTGGGATTGTACAACTGGCTAACTTATTTTTTTTTTTGTATTTTCAGTAGAGATGGAGTTTTGCTGTGTTGGCCAGGCTGGTCTTGAACTCCTCACCTCAAATGATCCACACATCTTGGCCTCCCAAAATGCTGGGATTACAGATGCCCAGCTGAGTTGTGGTCTGGCTGCTTCTAACAATCTATGCTCATATATGTGAGCAAATAAATGATATGAAATTGGAACTTACATCTAAAGAGGAAGGAGAGAGTAAAGATTTGAAAAAATTACAGCCCAGTTATGTGATAGAAAAAGAAAGCCCATTTTCAAGGAAGGAATTCAAGTGGGGCTACAAAAATTTGCAAACCTAAAAGGAATGCAAGTGCTGATAGTCAAGACAACAGGAAAAAGGCCTCATAGGTGTTTCAGAGACCTTTGAGGCAGGAACTGCCCTGCATATCCTTGGGACACTGCTACCTGCATCCCAGCCACTGTAGCTCCAGCCATGGCTCAAAGGGGCCCAGGTACTCGGGCTGTTGCTTCAGAGGGTGCAAGACATAAACCTTGGTGGCTTCCATATGGTGTTAAGCTCACAGGTCACAGAACACAAAAGTTGTTTCTTGGAAACCTCCACCTAGATTTCAGAGGATATATGGAAAAACCTGGATGTCCCAGCAGAAGCCTGCTGCAAGGGTACAGCCCTCGTGGAGAACCTCTACTAAGGCAGTGGAGGGAAAATGTGGGGTTGTAGCCCCCACACAGAGTTCCCAGTGGGGCACTGGATCTGTGAGAAGGCAGCCACCAACCTCCAGATCCCAGAATGGTAGAGCCACCAACAACTTGCACCATGCACCTGAAAAACCCATAAGCACACAACCCCAGCCCATGAGATCAGACATAGGGGTTGACCCCTACAAAGCCACAGGGGTGGAACTGCCCAAGGCCTTGGCAGTCCACCCCTTGCATCAGTGTTTCCTGGATGTGTGACATGGAGTCAAAGGAAATTATTTTGGAGCCTTATAATTTAATGACTGCCTTTCTGGGTTTCAGACTTTCATTGGAGCCTGTAGCCCCTTTCTTTTGGCTGATTTCTCCCTTTTGGAATGGAAGTATTTACCCAATGCCCGTATATCAGTTCTATCTTGGAAGTGACTAACTCATTTTTTATTTTACAGGCTTATAAGGGGAAGGGACTAGCCTTGTCCCAGATGAGACTTTGGCCTGTGGACTTTAGAGTTAATGCTGAAATGAGTTAATACTTTGGGGGACTCTTGGGAAAGCATGATTATATTTTAAAATGTGAGAAGACATGAGATTTGAGCAGGGCCAGAGGAAGAATAATATGGTTTGGATATGTGCCCCCACTCGAATCTCGTGTTGAAATGTAATCCCCAATGCTGGAGCAGGGCCCTTGTGGGAGATGATTGGATTATGGGGGTGGTTTCTCATGGTTTTACAACACTCCCCCTCAGTGCTGTCATCACAATAATGAGTTCTTGCAAATGTGATTATTTTAAAGTGTATATCACCTCCCACCCCTCTCCCTCTTGCTCCTCCTCTGGCTATGTAAGACATGCCTGCTTCTTCTTCACCTTCCAACATGATTGTAAGTTCCCTGAGGTCTCTCCAGAAGCAGAAGCCAGTGTGCTTCTGGTAGAGCCTGCAGACCTGTAAACAAATTAATCCCCTTTCCTTATAAATTACCCAGTCTCAGGTATTTCTTTGTAGCATAAGAACACACTAATGCAGGAATATAAATTATTCTCCCATAAAGACACATGAATGTGTATGTTTGTATTAGCCCATTGTCATACTGCTGATAAAGACATACCTGAGACTGGGCAATTTACAAAAGAAAGAGGTTTAACGGACTCACAGTTCCACGTGGCTGGGGAGACCTCACAATCATGGCAGGAGGTGAAAAGCATGTCTCAAATGGCCACAGACAACAGAAGAGAATGAGAGCCAAGTGAAAGGGGTTTCCCCTTATAAAATCATTAGATCCTATGAGACTCATTCACTACAAGAACAGTATGGGAGAAACCACTCCCATGATTCAGTTATCTCCCACTGGGTTTCTCCCACGAAATGAGAGAATTATGGGAGCAACAATTCAAGGTGAGATTTTGGTGGGGACACACCCAAACCACATCATTCTGCCCCTGGCCCCTCCCAAATCTCATATCCTTACATTTCAAAACCAATCATGCCTTCCCAACAGTCCCCTAAAGTCTTAACTCACTTCAGCATTACCTCAAAAGTCCAACAGTCCTAAGTCTCATCCAAGATAAGGCAAGTCCCTTCTGCCTATGAGCCAGTAAAATCAAAAGTTAGTTGTTTCCTAGATACAATGAGGATACAGGCATTGGGGAAATATGCTCATTCCAAATGGGAAAAATTGGCCAAAACAATGGAGCTACAGGCCCCATGTAAGTTTGAAATCCAGAGGGGCTGTCAAATCTTAAAGCTCCAAAATGATCTCCTTTGACTCCATGTCTCACATCAAGGTCATGCTGATGCAAAAGGTGGGCTCCCATGGTCTTGAGAAGCTCTGCTCCTGTGGCTTTGCAGTATACAGCCTCCCTCCCAGCTGCTTTAGCAGTCAGGCATTGAGTGTCTGTGGCTTTTCCAGGTGAGCAGTGCAAGCTGTTGGTGGATCTGCCATTCTGGGGTCTGGAGGATGGTGGCCCTATTCTCATAGCTCCACTAGGCAGTGCCCCAGTAGGGACTCTGAGTGGGGGCTCCAGCCCACATTTCCCTTCTGCCTTGCCCTACCAGAGGTTCTCCATGAGGGCCCCACCCCTACAGCAAACTTCTGCCTGGGCATTCAGGCATTTCCATACATCCTCTGAAATCTAAGTAGAGGTTCCCAAACCCCAGTTCTTGACTTCTGTGCTCCCACAGGCTCAACATCAAGTGGAAGCTGCCAAGGCTTGGGGCTAGCACCTTCTTAAGCCACAGCCTGGGCTTTACATTGGCCCCATTCAGCCATGGCTGGAGAAGCCAGGATGCAGGGCACCAAGTCCCTAGGCTGCACACAGCACAGGAACCCTGGGCCTGGCCCACAAAACCATTTTTTCCTCCTAGGCCTCCTGGCCTGTGATGGGAGGGACTGCCATGAAGACTTCTGACATGCCCTGGAGATATTTTCCCCATAGTTTTGGGGATTAACATTTGGCTCCTTGTTACTTCTGCAAATTTCTGCAGCCAGCTTGAATTTTTCCTCCTAAAATGGGATTTTCCTATCTATCACATCATCAGGCTGCAAATTTTCCAAACTCTTATGCTCTACTCTCTTACAAAACTGAATGCCTTTAACAGCACCCAAGTCACCTCTTGAATGCTTTGCTGCTTAGAAATTTCTTCTGCCAGATACCCTAAATCATCTGTCTCAAGTTCAACATTCCACAAATCTCTAGGACAGGGGGATAATGCTGCCAGTCTTTTTGCTAAAACATAACAAGAGTTACCTTTGCTCCATTTCCCAACCAGTTCTTCATCTCCATCTGAGAGCACCTCAGCCTGGACTTTATTGCCCATATTGCTATCAGTATTTTGGGCTAAGCCATTCAACAAGACTCTAGGAAGTTCCAAACTTACCCACATTTTCCTGTCTTCTCAGCCCTCCAAACTGTTCCAACCTCTGCCTGTTACTCAGTTCCAAAGTCGCTTCCACATTTTTGGGTATCTTTTCAGCAGCACCCCACTTCTGGTACCAATTTACTGTATTAGTCCATTTTCACACTGCTGATAAAGACATACCCAAGACTAGGCAATTTACAAAAGAAAGAGGTTTAGTGGACTCACAGTTCCACATGGCTGGGGAGGCATGACAATCATGGCAGAAGGGAAAAGGCACATCTCACATGGTGGCAGACAAGAGAAGAGAATGATAGCCAAGTAAAAGGAGTTTCCCCTTATAAAACCATCAGATCTTGTGAGACTTATTTACTAGCATGAGAAAAGTATGGGGGAAACCACCCCCTGATTCAATTATCTCCTATTGGGTCCCTCCCACAACATGAGGGAATTATGGGAGCTATAATTCAAGATGAGATTTGGTGGAGACACAGCAAAACCATACCTATGTTCATTGCAGTACTGGTCACAATAGCAAAGACATATAATCAACCTAAAAGTCCATCAATAGTAGACTGGATAAAGAAAATGTGGTACCAATTCACCATGGAATACTATGCAGCCATTAAAAAAGAGCAAGATCATGTCCTCTGCAAGAACATGAATGGAGCTGGAAGCCATTATACACAAATTAATGCAGGAACAGAAAACCAAATACCACATGTTCACACTTATAAGTGGGAGCTAAATGAAAACAAATGGACACAAAGAGGGGACCAATAGGCACTGGGGCCTATTTGAGGGAGGAAGGCAAGAGGAATAAGAAGAAGATCAGAAAAAAATAACCACTGGGTACTATGCTTAGTACCTGGGTGATGAAATAATCTGTACACCAAACCTTCATGACACAAGTCTACCTATATAACAAACCTGCACATGTACCCCTGAACCTAATATAAAAGTTAAGAAAAGAAAATGTGGCTTTTTAGGACCTCCAAATTTTTCCACCTAACCTGTTTGTCCATAGCCAAGTCCAGCTATGACCACCCACCTGAGAAAGAAAAATATAATTACTCCATACTCTTCTTCTCTGTGGCTAATGTTCTCTGGATACCTCCCCCACCACCACCAATGTGTCTCCAAACTAGTCTCCCTGGACCCTCTTCTCTCAGCTGTCTATTTAAAGTTTGTTCCCAAAGTTATTCACAAAGGACATTCATTAGCCTGTTCCAGATGAGGATCCCCCAGGCAACTTGTGTTTCTTCACTCGACTGATCCCCAGTGCATTCTCTCAATAGAGCAGGTATAACCTGTGTCACTCTGGGTAAAGTTTAATCTGGGGTAGGACAGGGAGTTCATATTATGCCTTCTGAGATCATCAGTTTATTTCTCCTACAACAGAAAAATTCAAGACTACTCTGCTTCTCAAAGTCCTTGTTTTAGTGTCCTAGTTATTGGCTATGCTTTAAAAAGAGGATGTCCAAAAACTCTGATTCAGCTCCTGTTTAATTAGTTGAATAACAGATCAGCAAATCCCCACTGAAATGATAAGAAACAGAAGCAGCGGACTACTTCTTACCAGGAAAAGTTTGGAAATTTGTGTATTTCTATGAAATGTAGTATAGAACTTGGTGGCAGAAAAGGTAAAACAAAAAATGCAATAATTCTTATACTATTTTGTAATTATATTGCCTTCTAATTTTAATTTGCCACCAAGAATATTTAGGATTAAAATCTCACAATAGTCATTTGGATAGTCAAGTCAGGAAGTATGTTACCTGTTTATAGCTTCATTTATTTTACTTCTCTGGAGTTGTAAAGACTGAAACTGATGCAGATGTGAATATTCAACCACTCCCTGAAGACTCCAGGTTAGTAACCAGGAGGAGAGGGCATCTGCAGCTGATGCTCTCTGGCTACCATCCCCAGCACCACCAACCCATCTCCAAGCTAACTTCTCTGGACCCTCTTCTCTCAGCTGTATATTTAAAGTTTGTTCCCTAAGTTATTTACAATAACTTTTCTTGATCCCTGATTTCAACTGTTGACTGCAACCCAATAGGAGGTTATAAAATCAATTTAGTGGGCTTCAACCAGCATTTTAAAAAGTAAATAGAAAATATCAGATTTTATCACATGGGTCAGGTACAGTGCCTCACATCTGTAATCTCAGCACTTTGGGAGGCCAAAGTGAGAGGATCATTTGAGCCCAGGAGTTCAAAACCAGCCTGGGCAACATAGCAAGACCCCATCTTCACAAAAAATAAAAAATAATAATTAGCTAGGCATGGTAGTGCATGCCTGTGGTCCCAGCTAATCAGGAGGCTGGGGTTGAAGGATCACTAGAGGCCAGGAGGTCAAGGCTGAAGTGAGTCATGATCATGCTAATGCACTCCAGCCTGGGTGTCAGAGTAAGACTGTGGCTCAAAATACATATATATATATATATTATACCTTATGTGGTAAGGAACGCTCTATAAAACTTTTAAGTGAGATCTATATGTGTTTATTAAAATATATATAATTTAGAATGAATTTTAATCAAGAATGCTTTAAAGCTGCTGCCTTATAAACATTTATAAAAACATAACTAGAAAGAAATCTTGAATAAATCAATAAGGGCACTCCCAGATAATGTGACTCTTTAACTGCATGGGCTCACAAATAAAGTAGAAACTTGAAATGCCCATGAAGTACCCAAATATGGAATCTCCCAGAAAATCCTGTATCATAGTTTTGTACATTTTCCCCATAAAATTCACATGCCCACATACACAAAATGTTTTACACATAATTTAATGGATTCACAGACATAGTAAATCTAATCTAGGGATTAGTAGATCCCTGGTTTAAAAGTTCTTGCTTTAAATATTCTTAAGATCCTAACATTTCCTTGGAATTTAATAGAATCTCCCTATCCTTACAGGAAGCAAAATTCTAGATCTAAAGATTCTGAATGTGTTTGAGGAAATATTCTAATCTAATATTTACTGACCCCTAGAAAGTATGTAGAATGTTTCAAAGGACAGAATAGCATAACCCTAATACACAAATCTTTGAATCTAACAGACAGACATAGGCTAAGAAGTTGGAGGGTCCACTGGAAAGAAGTGGGAAGATGATACTTTTTTTGCTTCAAGGGAATTAAGGAAGCTGAACCTGAAGAAAAATGAGAAATTGCTATATTTATATGAAAAAAAGGTAGGGAAGAGTAAGAAAAATGACAATTCTGAGAAGAGTTAGGCACAAAAAGGAAGTAGGGCAATGAATGGGATCAATGAGAAATAAAGTTAATGTTGGGGGGAAGAAATTCATAACCATTCTGGAAGGAGGTAGCAGCTGGAGGCATTCTTTTATTAACTTATTTCACAATGTTTTGAATATCATTTATGAGGCAGACACTTGCCTCATGTGAGCACTAGGGAGAGTACAATGTGGAAACATAATGACAAGAACTTTCCTCCATAGGGCAAATGGGACTGGGAAGGATCCAACATCATTCAAATGGGCCACTGGTCTGGACTATGTCATCAGAGGAGAAGTTAATCATCCATTTCATTTTTTTCTTGTCAGACTTCATCCGTTCATTTCAGAGCACCTCTTCCTTTCTCACTTTTGATTACTACTCTCTTTTTCACTTTGAGACTCAAAATTTTTTCAACAATGAAAAATAAAACCGTGTTAACTGAGTTTATCCTTCTGGGTCTAACAGATGTCCCTGAACTCCAGGTGGCAGTTTTCACCTTTCTTTTCCTTGCGTATTTACTCAGCATCCTTGGAAATCTGACTATCCTCATCCTCACCTTGCTGGACTCCCACCTTCAGACTCCCATGTATTTCTTTCTCCGGAACTTCTCCTTCTTGGAAATTTCCTTCACAAACATCTTCATTCCAAGGGTCCTGATTAGCATCACAACAGGGAACAAGAGTATCAGCTTTGCTGGCTGCTTCACTCAGTATTTCTTTGCCATGTTCCTTGGGGCTACAGAGTTTTACCTTCTGGCTGCCATGTCCTATGACCGCTATGTGGCCATCTGCAAACCTCTGCATTACACCACCATCATGAGCAGCAGAATCTGCATCCAGCTGATTTTCTGCTCTTGGCTGGGTGGGCTAATGGCTATTATACCAACAATCACCCTGATGAGTCAGCAGGACTTTTGTGCATCCAACAGACTGAATCATTACTTCTGTGACTATGAGCCTCTTCTGGAACTCTCATGTTCAGACACAAGCCTCATAGAGAAGGTTGTCTTTCTTGTGGCATCTGTGACCCTGGTGGTCACTCTGGTGCTAGTGATTCTCTCCTATGCATTCATTATCAAGACTATTCTGAAGCTCCCCTCTGCCCAACAAAGGACAAAAGCCTTTTCCACATGTTCTTCCCACATGATTGTCATCTCCCTCTCTTACGGAAGCTGCATGTTTATGTACATTAATCCCTCTGCAAAAGAAGGGGATACATTCAACAAGGGAGTAGCTCTACTCATTACTTCAGTTGCTCCTTTGTTGAACCCCTTTATTTACACCCTAAGGAACCAACAGGTAAAACAACCCTTCAAGGATATGGTCAAAAAGCTTCTGAATCTTTAAAGAATTTAAGAATTATGCATCGCGACATTATTCACAATAGCAAAGACTTGGAACCAACCCAAATGTCCAACAATGATAGACTGGATTAAGAAAATATGGCACATATACACCATGGAATACTATGCAGCCATTAAAAATGATGAGTTGATGTCCTTTGTAGGGACATGGATGAAATTGGAAATCATCATTCTCAGTAAACTATCACAAGAACAAAAAACCGAACACCACATATTCTCACTCATAGGTGGGAACTGAACAATGAGAACACATGGACACAGGAAGGGGAACATCACACTCTGGGGACTGTTGTGGGGTGGGGAGAGGGGGGAGGGATAACATTGGGAGATATACCTAATGCTAGATGACGAGTTAGTGGGTGCAGCGCACCAGCATGGCACATGTATACATATGTAACTAACCTGCACATTGTGCACATGTACCCTAAAACTTAAAGTATAATAATAATAAAAATAAATAAATAAATAAATAAATAAAATAAAGAATTATCTGTGGGACTAGGTATGAAAAAAAGAGAGAGGAAAAAAAGAATTTAAGAATTTAAGACTTCATTCATGAGTCCCTACTATGTACTAAGCTCTTTGATAGTTACTAAGTACTCAATAAAAAGTTAAACTTCAGTTCAGTGGGAGAGACTTGGAAATAAATTGCAATCTGTTAAGTGTTAATAGTGAAATGAATATGGTTTTATTCTATTTAGTTACTCAATTGAATAACTCAACCTAAGTTAGAGAGAAAATAAATGTTTTCAGAGGGGGTAAAGAAAGAAATTTTGGTAGAATAAATATTGTGAATAGGAGCACAAAATTTCAATCCAAGGAGACTGAGTAAATATTACCACTATTAGTTTCAATCAAAACAAAACAAAAAGCTATGGAGATGATAAATTTAGTTTTGAATTAAGTTAAATTCTCATTTTAAGTAAGTTAAATGCCCATCTGAATTTGGAACCAGATCTATGAATTTCACAATCCTTAACATGTACATAGTAGCTGATGATGTGGGAATAGATGAGGTCATAAATAAAAGCATGTATAGAAAAGGCTTAAATATTAAATGCTAAGGTTCATCCTAAAATTTAAAAAGCAGAAGGGTTAATAAGAAAGGCAATAAACCTATCAAATTTATGGGAAGAGATGTCTCAAGAAACATAGTTTGTTGTCAATGTGAAATGCTGCAGAGAGCGATTAATAGGAAGAATGAAAGTGTGAGAACTGACAATTGGATTGTTGTTGATCTTAGCCATTTTCAGCAAATGTGAAAGTTGGGTAGGAAGTTGGTTTGGGTAGGAAGAAATCAGATTGTTGTGGATTACTAGTGAATGGGAGCTGACAAGTTAGAGAATGATCAAATGGAATTTCGAGAACAGAGAAATGGAAAGAATGAGCCCCAAGTTATATTTCCCCATGGTATTCTGCACTTTTTCACTGATAATATCTTAACAATGGTTATAGATGTAAATCTATATTCACCTCTAGTCTGTAAGGCATAGGAGTGCAGGGATAATAACTTCTTAATCACAATTTCATCTGCAATGCCAAGCAATGGTAAGTGCTCATTAAATAGTTCTTAAATGGATGAATGAATGAAGGATGGATGGATGGATGGATGGATGGATGGATGGATGGATGGATGGACAAATGACTGAGGGGTCTCAGACAGATTTTTTTTAATAAAGGCTCATGATCATTTGAGGGTTTATATACTTTGAGAAAGGAATTATCAAGGCATGCTACATATGGACTTAGATCTGCCTGGAAATTCCACTGTGTTTTACATATGGGGAACTGAAGCTTCAATAAGTGAAATCACTTCTGCAAGGTCACACAGCTAAGTGCCTGCACTACAATCAGAAGCCAAATCTATCTGGTGCTAGAGCCCACCTGCTTAACTATTGAGCCATACAGCCATTCTAACTGGTTTTACCATTTCCTCTCCCCAACACTTCTAATTATTTTAAATGACCTTGATTTTTTTACCTATCTTATTTTTCCAAGCTCTCAACAGCTTTGTTAGAAGCCTTTGGGATATGATTCTCTTTAGGAAGTTGCAAGTATACCCAAGCCCATATTATTCCACCCTATGGCTCTTGACTTCTCTCAAAATCCTTCTCCTTTCTATATCCATATCTCTTGTGAAGAATGTGGATCTCCTGTTTATTTTCTCCCTTTCAGTAGGAACATAAAGATCCCAAAGAGCATGAGAACTAACAAAACAGTATTTTGCTTCCATCTTCCCCTGCCAATAATAAGATTTCAATGAGGATTAAGTAATGAACAAGGAGACTCATATAAGCTGCTAACTGGGCTCACCTCCTCCCTATTTATCTTCTTTCTGAGCTATAAGGAAATGGCCTTGGCTTCTAGACTTGAGGGTACAAATGGTGGTCTACTACATATAATAGTGTCCTGCCCATAATAGGTACTCAATAAATGTTCAATTAGTAAAATAACTAATGTACAAATGAAAAATTTCTTTATTACTTAAGGTTCAAGCAATTGTCATAGCTTTTTTTTATTATACTTTAAGTTTTAGGATACATGTGCACAACGTGCAGGTTTGTTACATATGTATACATGTGCCATGTTGGTGTCCTGCACCCATTAACTCATCATTTAACATTAGGTATATCTCCTAATGCTATCCCTTCCCCCTCCCCCCACCCCACAACAGGCCTCAGTGTGTGATGTTCCCCTTCATGTGTCCATGTGTTCTCATTGTTCAATTCCCACCTATGAGTGAGAACATGTGGTGTTTGGTTTTTTGTCCTTGCGATAGTTTACTGAGAATGATGGTTTCCAGCTTCAACCATGTCCCTACAAAGGACATGAACTCATCATTTTTTATGGCTGCACAGTATTCCATGATGTATATGTGCCACATTTTCTTAATCCAGTCTATCATTGTTGGACATTTGGGTTGGTTCCAAGTCTTTGCTATTGTGAATAGTGCCACAATAAACATACGTGTGCATGTGTCTTTATAGCAGCATGATTTATAATTTTTGGGTATATACCCAGTAATGGGATGGCTGGCTCAAATGGTATTTCTAGTTCTAGATCCCTGAGGAATCGCCACACTGACTCCCACAATGGTTGAACTACTTTACAGTCCCACCAACAGTGTAAAACTGTTCCTATTTCTCCACATCCTTTCCAGCACCTGTTGTTTCCTGACTTTTTAATGATTGCCATTCTAACTGGTGTGAAATGGTATCTCATTGTGGTTTTGATTTGCATTTCTTTGATGGCCTGTGATGACGAACATTTTTTCATGTGTCTTTTGGCAGCATAAATGTCTTCTTTTGAGAAGTGTGTGTTGATATCCTTCACCCACTTGTTGATGGGGTTGTTTGATTTTTTCTTGTAAATTTGTTTGAGTTATTTATAGATTCTGGATATTAGCCCTTTGTCAGATGAGTAGATTGCAAAAATTTTCTCCCATTTTGTAGGTTGCCTGTTCACTCTGATGGTAGTTTATTTTGCTGTGCAGAAGCTCTTTAATTAGATCCCATTTGTCAATTTTGGCTTTTGTTGCCATTGCTTTTGGTGTTTTAGACATGAAGTCCTTGCCCATGTCTATGTCCTGAATGGTAATGCCTAGGTTTTCTTCTAGGGTTTATATGGTTTGAGGTCTAATGTTTAAGTCTTTAATCCATCTTGAATTAATTTTTGTATAAGGTATAAGGAAGGGATCCAGTTTCAGCTTTCTACATATGGCTAGCCAGTTTTCCCAGCACCATTTATTTAATATGGAATCGTTTCCCCATTTCTTGTTTTTGCCAGGTTTGTCAAAGATCAGATAGTTGTAGATATGTGGCATTATTTCTGAGGGCTCTGTTCTGTTCCATTGATCTATATCTCTGTTTTGGTACCAGTACCATGCTCTTTTGGTTACTGTAGCCTTTTAGTATAGTTTGAAGTCAGGTAGCGTGATGCCTCCAGCTTTATTCTTTTGGCTTAGAGATGTAGATTTGGTCTTATTTATTGTTTTCTGGTTGTTTTGTATATCCCTTGTTCCTTACTTCCTATCTTATTGTCTATTTTTGTGGTTGGGTAGTTTCTGTAGTAATAAGATTTGATTCCTTTGTTTCTCCTTTCTCTATTGGCTCTACCAGTGAGTTTATAGTTTTGCATATTTTCACCATGGTGGTTATCATCTTTTCTCTTCCAGATGTATGACTCCCTTGAACATTTCTTGTAAGTCCAGTATGGTGACTATTAATTCCCTTCATTTTTGCTTGTTTGTCACATATTTTATTTCTCCTTCATTTCTGAAGGATGGCTTTGCTGGGCATAATATTGTTGGCTAGCAGGGTTTTTTTTTCTTTCAGTACTTTGAATACATCATTCCATTCTCTCCTGGCCTGTAAGGCTTCTGCTGAGAAATCTACTGTTAGTGAAATGGGGATTCCCTTATACATGACTTAATGTTTTTCCCTGGTGTTTTTAGAAATTTTTTCTTTGTCTTTGGCTTCTGACAATTTGACTAAAATGTGTCTTGGATAGGACATGTTTGGGTTGAATCTATTTGGGTTTCTTTGAGATTCCCGTATTTGGATGTCCAGCCCTCTCTCAAGAATTGGAAAATTTTGACCTATTATTTTATTAAATATGCTTTCTATACCATTTCCCTTATTTTCTTCTCCTAAAATGCCCAGAATATGAATATTTGTTTGCTTAATGGTGTCCTGTAAATCCTATAGGCTTTGTTCACTTCTCTCTTTTGTTTTTCAGTCTGCCTGTGTTATTTCAAAAGACCTGTTTTCAACTTCAGAAATTATTTATTCTGCTTGGTCTAGTCTCTTAAAAGTTGAAAATCTTTATGGTCAAGGACCTCTTGCCACATTACTAAATTCAATGGTGGATGTGTAATAGGTATCTCAAACTCAAGCATTCTAAGTGCCTAATCTACACCACCTCTCCATCTCACCTGACAATCTCTCCTTTCCTCCAGCCCCTGGCAAATTTTGTTTACCCACAGCCCTTCCCAGCTCAATCCCATGGTTTTAGTCTTGAACCATCCCACTAGTTTTGGTTTCTCTGAAGATCTCACCTGATTGGAAACAAGTGCCTATAAATGCATCACTCTGAGCAGCTATAGGTAAAGTTAGCCTCAAGCTGGGCAAAAATGTCTGTGTGAACACTAGTGGGAAGGGACACTTGAGAATCAAATGACAAAATCAATTTGAGAACAAGATGACACAGAAGAATCGAGGCTAGCCCACTGTGCAGAAGGTACAAAGTTTTGTGAGGCATAAGACATATCTGTCTGTACATTAATTGAAGAAATGCTATTCTTTGGGCATGTGTTCCCTATTTCTTGTAAAGGATTAGACAGACTTTTACCCAGGTTCACTTGAACAGCCATATTAGTTGGCTCAACAGCAACAGGATTTACAATTTTTTGAAAGAGGCAGTCTCTTCTTAGGAGAGCAAGCCTCTGAATCTAGGGCATGGATCAGGGTTCCTATTGACAAGGCGGTAGGTGCACAGACTCTGTGGCAGAAGCCTGATCGATACCTCACACCACGGGTTCAGCCAGGGAGTCAGTTGCAGGCTCAATGACAAGCATAGGAGAAAACTGCATCACACGTAATTTAACAAGAACCACTTTGGGCTGTGGTAAATGCAACTTCTAAGGCTACTTCAGAGGTGTTGTAAGAGTCTGCTTTCTGGCATTAGAGCTTCAAGATTCTTTTAAAAAAAAAAGCTACTGTTTTTATTTCTGAAGCTTCTGGTTCTTGAGTGTCTGTCTAGAAGTTGGTTGGTTGTTTAGTGATTCAATGGTCTTATTGGACCCCCTCTAGTTTTATAGACTGTTTTACATTTTCCTTTTCTAATAGGTAGATCCCTGTATTCTGCAGGGACCATGGCCAGTTTAGTAAACGTCTGACTGTAATACCATTCCACTGGCATAGGGACAGACACATGTGCACTCAAAGATCTTGCCACAGTCCGAGTGTCTCTTCAAGTCTCATTACTACATTTATGTTCTCAGCATGCATTTTCATAAAGTGTTGCTTTACGAGAGAAAATTGAGAAAATGGTTTGTGAGAGCGTCCAGGGCATCCATCAACTGGACAACAGTAAAATTTCAGTACGGGTTATCAAACCATTTCTTTTTCTTTTTTTTAACTTTTAAGTTGAGAGATATAAGTGCAAGTCTGCAACTTAGGTAAACTTGTGTCATGGGAGTTTGTTGTACAGATTTCATCACCCAAGTATTAAGCCTGATACCCATTAGTTATTGTTTCTGATCCTCTCCCTCCTCCCTCTCCACCCTCCAGTAGGCCCCAGTGTATGTTGTTCCTTTCTATGTATCCATGTGTTCTCCTCATTTAGCTTCCACCTGTGAGAACATGCAGTATTTGGTTTTCTGTTCCTGAGTAAATTTGCTAAATATAATGGCCTCCAGCTCCATCCATGTCCCTGCAAAAGACATGATTTTTTTCTTTTTTATGGCTGCATAGTATTCCATGGTGTATATGTACCACATTTTCTTTATCCAGCCTATCATTGAAGGGCATTTAGGTTAATTCCATGTCTTTCCTATTGTGAATAGTGCTGCAATGAGCATACGCATGCATGTGTCTTTATAAGAGAATGATTTATATTGCTCTGGATATATACCCAGTAATGGGATTGCTGGGTTGAACAGCATTTCTGCCTTTAGGTCTTCCAGGAATCACCAAACCATTTATTATTGTTGGGTCTACTATTCCATCCTACAGGCAGTGGCTGTTGACCAAGAACATGCTGAGCGTGGGGCTGCTGGGCAGGATCTTGCACAGCCAAGCACTGTGTGCAGGTTATTGGTCCACACTGCCTGGGACAGCTTGATCACCAACTGCTGGATCAGCTCCCAGGCTGATGGCATCAGGCTGCAGGCTGCTGTCCCTCAGCTGGGGTCCCAGAGGCCCCCACAGGCTTGAGGCAGCCTTGACTTCCCTTGTGGCTGCCAGGATGGCCAGGGGGCCAGCCGCCAGCACTGCTGTCAAGGTTCCCATACAGCCACAGAGGCTGATCATCTATACTACTCTCTGATCTGAACTATGATTATCTGTGAGTCAGTTAGTGAAAGATATTCCAACTATATCTGCTATGCTATGTTCCTTTAATTTAGAAAAAGACAAATATGAAAAACATTGTAACCTCAATCCTGAGTAGAGTAAAGGCAAGAGTATAAAAATTTCTTTGTACGTTTCTCTAATTTATTTTACTTTATTTAACACACAAGGAGACAACATTTCTCTACTTTAAATATCTCAATAAAGAATCTTGGTGACCATTTTCATCAAATGTGTAGCATTTGATGAAATCATATATACTTCCTCCAAAATATTATGATATAGCCTCCTTTGTGACAAAGAAAACTCCACAGAACATAATATTCTTGGAAAATACTGTCTCCAGTTTGACATGCCATAGATACTAGGCATGTTAGGCCTGTACCATAATTCAAGTATTGTCTGGATGGAGCTGGACAGTGAGGCAGCTATCTAATCCTACTAGCCATAATACTTTATTTCATGTTAAGTTCCCACACCAATGTTATGTTTGTCCTTTCCCAAAAATATAGAAAATCATAAAAATATCACTAGTAAAAATTCAGACTGTCATAACATTTAGTTCTTCCTGCAATTTTGGAAAATTATCACAATTTCAATAAAATTTCTAAGAACTTAAAAATAGGAAGAGTATCAACAGTAGTTAAAATTCATGGAAATTCAGTGTCTACACCAGCAATTCCTTGTTTTGCTTTCTTTTCTAAAACTGTCAAGAATAATTGCAAATAAATACCCAAAAGGAAGAGATTATATAGATTATAACTGGCTTATTAATTATTTAAATATTTATTGGCTTGAACTGTGGGTGAACAATTCTTTGCATGAGAAAATGCAGGGAAATTCTAGAACTTTCACAGCTTTGCATAAAGTTATTTCTTCTTCATAGGAGCTTCCTGCATCTTTTTGGACCTTTTGGATGTGAAGTCTCTGATAGCATAGATCTAATTACTCCCAGAATATATACATGCTCACAATGTAGCATCATCATAAATTTGATGGGCTAAAACTGTGCCCACCTAGGTCATCCACCTCTAGACTGCCTAGTACCAGGTTCATACTGTGCATATTTAGTGCCTCTGACTGGTCTGATCCTATATATGAAAAGGGTCTCATTATTATATAACAGAAGCTTGTACATCAAAAGTTGATTCAGCACAAACTGTTACCCCTCCCCACTTATGCCCATATCACTCACTCTTTATTCCACACATATTCTCCCTCTCAAGGCCTTTGGCTTTGGCAATTTCTCACAAAGTAATGTTCCCCTGCAGTTCTTGCCTGATTCAATTAACTTCCTTTTATCAATAGCTGTCATTTTTGTTTGTGTTAGCATCTCCCTTTCTCTGATAAATATTTCACCCTGCTCCAGTCTTGGATTTCTGATGGAACTGTCAATCCACTCATCTCTCCTTATTTGACGTCATTGATAAACATACAAACTGGCCCATTCAATTATGATACCACATTCCCCTAGCTAAAAGATTGAGTCAGAGTTAAGCATATGAACCAAGATGGACCTTATGACCTTTTTGATTTAGACTTGAAAGAAAAGAGAGATGGTGCCATGCTTTCTGGATCATAGATTTCAAGGACTATATATTGGAGACTGTCTACTGTCTTCCAAGTGAAAAAATCTGTCTCAAGAAAAACACCAACCTTAAAAGAAGAAAATGGGGAGAGAGTAACTATGTTTGAGTCCCTGTATTCTAGATCTAGTAACACCTGAAACCAGTTACTGCTGGACTTATACATTATGTGAATTATAAATTTCTGTCTTCACTTAAGATAGTTTGGCTTGGGTTGCTGTCATGTGAAATCAAAAGATTCCTGATTATTCCTTCCCGGATTTTAGTTCTGTGATTTTAAACTAAGCTCTACTCTTCACCATAATACACAATTAATACCCAACAAAAATGGAACTTAGGACATTCCAACCCTATTATTGGCCAAAGTTCTAGGTTCTCCCATGTTATTCTATATTTTTCCTTACTTCTACTCCATTTCTGCATTTGACTGGATCCCGACATGGTGCCCAATGCTCCAAGATGCTTTATTTTTTCTGGGATACATCCATGATATAAGATTATCGGTATCACAATCTCAATTCAGGAAACAGTCTTTCACATCTTGATAAGCCACACGTTTTGTCATTCAAGAAAAAGAGGTATAGATGTATGCCATTTTATGATTGCAGAATAATGGTTTATCTGTGTTATCAGGGATTTAGAATTTAAAAAATGGAGGATTGGTTAACCTACTCCAGGATGACTGCAGTAGAAGAACATAGATATACCTCTCATAATGTGACTAGAGTTGAGAATACTTGTATTCCACATGAATATGAGTACTCACCATAAGTCTTCTTCAACAAACAGACATATACATACATCTATTAAAAAGTTGGTAGACAAGCTGACTTTTTCTGTGGATGAGAACCAATCTTATTCTCCACCACTTTAATGCTTGTTCAATGAGCTCAAAAACAAAGTAAACATTAAAGAAGGACTGTAGAATTATGCATGAGACTTTCCTTACCAAGACTCATCTGGCTACTGTCATTGCTGTGTCCAATCTTCTAATAGCAGAAATCAAAGCCAAGCCTATTGCATGGCACCTGCTACTTTCATATGCAATTGGTTAATTAGTTAATTGCTAATTAGTTAATTGCAAAGGGCCCCTTATATTATAGTGGGGCAGCAATTGTCTTCACTGAAACAGCCCTTCCTTTTGGATATGGATTTCTTCTGCCAGCTCAGCATTATCATCCAAGGGCAAACTGGATGATTTATTTACTATCATTTTTATCCCACAATGTTTCTTTTAAACAAGAAAAAATATTATCAAAATTAAATGTATACATATTTATTATATATTACCTTCTACCTTGATGACCCATAGTTTACCAACACAGAATCTATAACTAACTGCAAATTCCCAAAAGAGAGAAGATAATTGGTTCTGTTTGGCTCATGACTACACTTACTTCATTCTCCTCTGGCCAAGTTCATTCTCTTCTAGTTTTCTCAATATGTGGTGTGGGCTGGAAGAGAAAATAAACAATGAGCTATCTTATGTACTATAAAGTTATATCTTTGTCTTCCTCCTGACTCAAGAATTACCCACAAACACATGTTCCCACAAAGCTGTAGACTAGATTGAATCAATCCCTTCTGTAAATTATACTGTTCTGTTGTTACTCCCTCTTTGTTGCCTTTTCTCTAAACTCTTATTGTCCTGGTGTATATGTTATTGCTCTCCAGTAATTTCTCAGGACCATGTTTCTCTTTCCTAAAGAAATCTGTATGCTATAATTCTCTATCACATTGGCTGCTCAAAAATCCATACTTGGCACACTCATCTATTAAGACTCTCTGTCTAAAGCCAAACTGTGATCGGAGGAGAGAGATTGTTCACAAGTTAATCACAGACATCATCTAGGATCAACCTCAAATACAAACATTCCTCTCACCAAACATAGCTGAGAATTAATCCTGTGTATAGGACTCTAGGTCAAAGCCAAACACTGATCCTTCCAAGACCATGTCCCTCTACTCCTTCCAATCTGAAATTCCTTTTGTCAGGGAGAGTCATATTTAGCAGCTATTAGGAGTCACATGACACTTATCATTTCCATGTAAACATTTAGAGATCGCAAGTGGGTAAACTTGGAGAAGTTTGAGCCAGAGTGCCAGGAACAAGTGGAAGAGCAGTTCTCAAGCCTTAGAAGAAATAGAGGAAGAACAAGACCTCCTACCTCTCATCAGAGGACAGTTATCAGGGTACAAAAGACTGAAAGAGAAAAGGAGTTTCTGGGAGGAAATACTAAACCACACTCCATCTCTCACATTTCTTGACCAATGTGTGAGACCATCACAGCAACAGAAGGTAAATGCCCTAACTATCTCCCTCTTTAGGAGTCATATGGTGTAATGAACATTAAGAAAACAAGTTATATTGTCTAGCTTTATACATAAATATAATAAAGGTATTTTATTTAACATTATGCCCAGGACACACTAGACTTCTCAAAAAAACATATCATTGCAAAATGACAGTGCTAAGTCCTTACCTAACAATAATAACTTTGAATGTAATGAACTAATGTCTCCAGTTAAAAGACATAGAGGTCTGAATGAAATAAGAAAAACAGCATCCAACTGTATGCTGCCTACAACAAACTCAATTCATCCTTAAGGACACTACAGACTGAAAGTGAAGAGATGGAAAAAGATATTCCATTCAAATGGAAACCAGAGCAGCAGCTATACTTACATCAGATAAAATATACTCTAAGCCAACAACTGTAAAAAGAGACAAAGGAGGTCATTATACAATAATAAAGGGATCAATTCAGCAAAAGAATATAACACAGATGCAGCAATCTTTAACAAAATACTAGCTAACTGAATCCAACAGCATATCAAAAAGATAATCCACCGTGATCAAGTGGATTTCATACCAGGGATGCAGGGATGGTTTAACATACACAAGTCAATAAGTGTGACATACCACATAAACAGAATTAAAAACAAAAATCACATGATCATTTCAATAGATGCAGGAAAAACATTCAACAAAATCCTGCATCGCTTTATGATTAAAACTCTCAGCAAAATTGGCATACAAGGAAGATACCTCAATGTAATAAAAGCCATCTATGACAAACCCACAGCCAACATAATAGTGAATGGGAAAAGTTGAAAGCATTCCCTCTGAGAACGGGAACAAGACAAGGATGCCTAGTCTCACCATTCCTCTTCACCATAGTACTATAAGTCCTAGCCAGAGCAATCAGACAAGAGAAAGAAATAAAGGGCATCCAAATTGGTCAAGAGGAAGTCAAATTGTCACTGTTTGCTGACGATATAATTGTTTACCTCAAAATCCCTAAAGACTCCTCCAGAAAGCTCCTAGGACTAATAAAAGAATTCAGCAAAGTTTCTAGATACAAGATTAATGTATGCAAATCAGTAGCTTTTCTATACACCACAGGGACCAAGCAGAGAAACGAATCAAGAACTCAACCCCTTTTACAATAGCTGCAAAAAATATAAAATACTTAGGAATATACCTAACCTAGGAGGCAAAAGACCTCTACAAGGAAAACTACAAAACACTGCTGAAAGAAATCATAGATGACACAAATAGAAACACATCCCATGCTCATGGATGGGTAGAATCAATATTGTGAAAATGACCATAATGCCAAAAGCAATCTACAAATTCAATGCAATCCCCATCAAAATACCACCATCATTCTTCACAGAATTAGAAAAAAAAAACAATTATAAAATGCATATGGAACCAAAAAGAGCTCATGTAGCCAAATCAAGATTAAGCAAAAAGAACAAATCTGGAGGCATCACACTATCTGATTTCAAACTATACAATAGGGCCACAGTCAACAAAACAGTGTGGTACTGGTTAAAAAAAAAAAAAAAATAGGGACATAGACCAGTGGAACAGCATAGAGAATCCAGAAATAAGCCCAAATACTTAAAGCCAACTGATCTTCAACAAAGTAAACAAAAACATATAAAGTGGGGAAAGGACATCATTTTCAAAAAATGGTGCTGGGATATATGGCTAGCCACATGTAGGAGAATGAAACTGGATCCTCATCTCTCACCTTATACAAAAATCAACCAAGATGGATTAAGGACTTAAACCTAAGACCTGAAACTATAAAAATTCCAGAATATAACATTGGAGAAACCGTTCTAGACTTTGGCTTAGGCAAGGATTTCCTGACCAAGAACCCCAAAAAAATGCAATAAAAACAAAGATAAATAGTTGGGGTCTAATTAAACTAAAGAGCTTTTGCATGGCAAAAAGAACAGTCAGCAGAGTAAGCAGACAATCCACAGAGTGGGAGAAAATCTTCACAATCTATATATCTGACAAGGACTAATATCCAGAATCTACAACAAACTCAAACAAATCAGTAAGAAAAAAAAGCAAACAATCCCATCAAAAAGTAAGTTAAGGATGTGAATAGACAATTCTCAAAAGAAGATATACAAATGGCCAACAAACGTATGAAAAAATGCTCAACATCACTAATGATCAGCGAAATGTGAATCAAAACCACAATGTGATTCCACCTTACTCCTGCAAGCATGGCCATAATCAAAAAATCAAAAAACAGTAGATTTTGGCATAGATGTGGTAATCAGGGAACACTTCTACACTGCTGGTGGGAATATAAACTAGTACAGCCACTATGGAAAACAGTGTGGAGACTACCTAAAGAACTAAAAGTAGAACTACCATTTGATTCTGTAATCCCACTACTGGTTATCTACCCAGAGGAAAGGAAGCCATTATATGAAAAGATACTTTCACATGCATGTTTATAGCAGCACAATTCACAATTGCAAAATTGTGGAACCAACCGAAATGCCCATCAGTCAACAAGTGGATAAAGAAACTGTTGTGTATATATATATATACATATATATATGATGAAATATATGATGAAATACCACTCAGCCATAAAAAGGAATGAATTAATGGCATTTGCAGCGACCTGGATGAGACTGGAGACTATTATTCTAAGTGAAGTAACTCAGGAATGGAAAACCAAACATCGTATGTTCTCACTGATATGTGGGAGCTAAGCTATGAAGATACAAAGGCATAAGAATGATACAGTGGACTTTGGGGACTTGGGGAGGAGGTTGGGAAGGGGGCAAGGGTTGAAGATTACAAAAAGGGTCTCGTGTTATCGCCCAGGTGATAGGTGCACCAAAATCTCACACATCACCACTAAAGAACTTACTCATGTAACCAAATACCTCTTGTACCACCAATAACCCATTGAGTGGAAAATAAATAAATAAATAAAAATAAAATGTGTTCTAAAAAAAGAATTAATAAAGATCAAAGCAGAAATAAATAAAATTGAGACTAAAAAAATACAGAAGATCAACAAAACAAAAAGTTGGTTTTTTGAAAAGATAAAATTCACAAACCTTTAGCTGGACAGAAAAATTAAGAGAAAACACAAATAAGTAAAATCAGAAATGAAAAAGGAGCCCTCACAAGAGAAACACAGTAATATAAAGGGTCATTAGAGACTGCAATGAACAACTATATGCTAATGAATTCAAAAATCAAAAGTAAATGGATAAATCCCTCAACACATACAACCTACTGAGATGGAGCCTAGAGGAAACCGAAAACCTGAACAGACATGAACAAGTAACAAGATTGAATCAGTAATAATAAAAAGTCTCCCAACAAAGAAAAGTCCAGAACTAGATGCCTTCAAAACTGAATTCTACCAAACATTTAAAGAAAAATTAATATCAGCTATTCTCAAACTATTCCAAAATGTTGATGCAGAGAGAACTTTTCCCAACTTATTCCCTGAGGCCCTGATTCCAAAACCAGAAAAGAACACAGAAAAAAAAAAACCATGGGCCAATATTCCTGATGAACATACACACAAAAATCCTCAACAAAATACTAGCAAACAAAATCAAACAATATATCAAAAACATAGGGAGGAGCCAAGATGGCCGAATAGGAACAGCTCCGGTCTACAGCTCCCAGCATGAGCAACGCAGAAGATGGGTGATTTCTGCATTTCCATCTGAGGTACCAGGTTCATCTCACTAGGGAGTGCCAGACAGTGGGCGCAGGTCAGTGGGTGCATGCACCATGCGCGAGCTGAAGCAGGGCCAGGCATTGCCTCACTCCGGAAGTGCAAGGGGTCAGGGAGTTCCCTTTCCTAGTCAAAGAAAGGGGTGACAGATGGCACCTGGAAAATTGGGTCACTCCCACCCGAATACTGCGCTTTTCCGACGGGCTTAAAAAACAGCGCACCACGAGATTATATCTGGCACCTGGCTCTGAGGGTCCTACGCCCACGGAGTCTCGTTGATTGCTAGCACAGCAGTCTGAGATCAAACTGCAAGATGGCAGTGAGGCTGGGGGAGGGGCGCCCACCATTGCCCAGGCGAGCTTAGGTAAACAAAGCAGCCAGGAAGCTCGAACTGGGTGGAGCCCACCACAGCTCAAGGAGGCCTGCCTGCCTCTGTAGGCCCCACCTCTGGGGGCAGGGCACAGACAAACAAAAAGACAGCAGTAACCTCTGCAGACTTAAATGTCCCTGTCTGACAGCTTTGAAGAGAGCAGTGGTTCTCCCAGCACGCAGCCGGAGATCTGAAAACAGGCAGACTGCCTCCTCAAGTGGGTCCCTGACCCCTGACCCCCGAGCAGCCTAACAGGGAGGCACCCCCCAGCAGGGGCACACTGACACCTCACACAGCAGGGTACTCCAACAGACCTGCAGCTGAGGGTCCTGTCTGTTAGAAGGAAAACTAACAAACAGAAAGGACATCCACACCAAAAACCCATCTGTACATCACCATCATCAAAGATCAAAAGTAGATAAAACCACAAAGATAGGGAAAAAACAGAACAGAAAAACTGGAAACTCTAAAAAGCAGAGTGCCTCTCCTCCTCCAAAGGAACGCAGTTCCTCACCAGCAATGGAACAAAGCTGGATGGAGAATGACTTTGACGAGCTGAGAGAAGAAGGCTTCAGACGATCAAATTACTCTGAGCTATGGGAGGACATTCAAACCAAAGGCAAAGAAGTTGAAAACTTTGAAAAACATTTAGAAGAATGTATAACTAGAATAACCAATACAGAGAAGTTCTTAAAGGAGCTGATGGAGCTGAAAACCAAGGCTCGAGAACTACATGAAGAATGCAGAAGCCTCAGGAGCCGATGCGATCAACTGGAAGAAAGGGTATCAGCAATGGAAGATGAAATGAATGAAATGAAGCAAGAAGGGAAGTTTAGAGAAAAAAGAATAAAAAGAAATGAGCAAAGCCTCCAAGAAATATGGGACTATGTGAAAAGACCAAATCTATGTCTGACTGGTGTACCTGAAAGTGATGGGGAGAAAGGAACCAAGTTGAAAACACTCTGCAGGATATTATCCAGGAGAACTTCCCCAATCTAGCAAGGCAGGCCAATGTTCAGATTCAGGAAATACAGAGAATGCCACCAAGATACTCCTCCAGAAGAGCAACTCCAAGACATAACTGTCAGATTCACCAAAGTTGAAATGAAGGAAAAAATGTTAAGGGCAGAGAGAAAGGTCAGGTTACCCTCAAAGGGAAACCCATCAGACTAACAGCAGATCTCTTGGCAGAAACTCTACAAGCCAGAGAGAGTGGGGGCCAATATTCAACATTCTTAAAGAAAAGAATTTTCAACCCAGAATTTCATATCCAGCTAAACTAAGCTTCATAAGTGAAGGAGAAATAAAATACTTTACAGACAAGCAAATGCTGAGAGATTTTGTCACCACCAGGCCTGCCCTAAAAGAGCTCCTGAAGGAAGTGTTAAACATGGAAAGGAACAACCGGTACCAGCTGCTGCAAAATCATGCCAAAATGTAAAGACCATCAAGACTAGGAAGAAACTGCATCAACTAATGAGCAAAATAACCAGCTAACATCATAATGACAGGATCAAATTCACACATAACAATGTTAACTTTAAGTGTAAATGGACTAAATGTTCCAATTAAAAGACACAGACTGGCAAATTGGATAAAGAGTCAAGACCCATCAGTGTGCTCTATTCAGGAAACCCATCTCACGTGCAGAGACACACAGAGGCTCAAAATAAAGGGATGGAGGAAGATCTACAAGCAAATGGAAAACAAAAAAAGGCAGGGGTTGCAATCCTAGTCTCTGATAAAACAGACTTTCAACCAACAAAGATCAAAAGAGACAAAGAAGGCCATTACATAATGGTAAACAGATCAATTCAACAAGAAGAGCTAACTATCCTAAATATATATGCACCCAATACAGGAGCACCAAGATTCATAAAGCAAGTCCTGAGTGACCTACAAAGAGACTTAGACTCCAACATATTAATAATGGGAGACTTTAACACCCCACAGTCAACATTAGACAGATCAACGAGACAGAAAGTCAACAAGGATACCCAGGAATTGAACTCAGCTCTGCACCAAGCAGACATAATAGACATCTACAGAACTCTCCACCCCAAATCAACAGAATATACATTTTATTCAGCACCACACCACACCTATTCCAAAATTGACCACATACTTGGAAGTAAAGCTCTCCTCAGCAAATGTAAAAGAACACAAATTATTACAAACTATCTCTCAGACCACAGTGCAATCAAACTAGAACTCAGGATTAAGAATCTCACTCAAAACTGCTCAACTACATGGAGACTGAACAACCTGCTCCTGAATGACTACTGGGCACATAATGCAATGAAGGCAGAAATAAAGATGTTCTTTGAAACCAACGAGAACAAAGACACAACATACCAGAATCTCTGGGACGCATTCAAAGCAGTGTGTAGAGGGAAATTTATAGCACCACTAAATGCCCACAAGAGAAAGCAGGAAAGATCCAAAATTGACACACTAACATCACAACTAAAAGAACTAGAAAAGCAAGAGCAAACACATTCAAAAGCTAGCAGAAGGCAAGAAATAACTAAAATCAGAGCAGAACTGAAGGAAATAGAGACACAAAAAACCCTTCAAAAAATTAATGAATCCAGGAGCTGGTTTTTTGAAAGGATCAACAAAATAGATAGACCACTAGCAAGACTAATAAAGAAAAAAAGAGAGAAGAATCAAATAGATGCAATAAAAAATGATAAAGGGGATATCACCACAGATCCCACAGAAATACAAACTACCATCAGAGAATACTACAAACACCTCTACGCAAATAAACTAGAAAATCTAGAAGAAATGGATAAATTCCTTGACGCATACACTCTCCCAAGACTAAACCAGGAAGAAGTTGAATCTCTGAATAGACCAATAACAGGATCTGAAATTATGGCAATAATCAATAGCTTACCAACCAAAAGAGTCCAGGACCAGATGGATTCACAGTCGAATTCTACCAGAGGTACAAGGAGGAGCTGGTACCATTCCTTCTGAAACTATTCCAATCAACAGAAAAAGAGGGAATCCTCCCTAACTCATTTTATGAGGCCAGCATCATTCTAATACAAAAGCCGGGCAGAGACACAAGCAAAAAAGGGAATTTTAGACAAATATCCTTGATGAACATTGATGCAAAAATCCTCAATAAAATACTGGCACACCAAATCCAGCAGCACATCAAAAAGCTTATCCACCATGATCAAGTGAGCTTCATCCCTGGGATGCAAGGCTGGCTCAATATACACAAATCAATAAATGCAATCCAGCATATAAACAGAGCCAAAGACAAAAACCACATGATTATCTCAATAGATGCAGAAAAGGCCTTCAACAAAATTCAACAACCCTTCATGCTAAAAACTCTCAATAAATTAGGTATTGATGGGATGTATCTCAAAATAATAAGAGCTATCTATGACAAACCCACAGCCAATATCATACTGAATGGGCAAAAACTGGAAGCAGTCCCTTTGAAAACTCACACAAGACAGGGATGACCTCTGTCACCACTCCTATTCAACATAGTGTTGGAAGTTCTGGCCAGGGCAATTAGGCAGGAGAAGGAAATAAAGGGTATTCAATTAGGAAAAGAGGAAGTCAAATTGTCCCTGTTTGCAGATGACATGATTGTATATCTAGAAAACCCCATTGTCTCAGCCCAAAATCTCCTTAAGCTGATAAGCAACTTAGCAAAGTCTCAGGATACAAAATCAATGTACAAAAATCACAAGCATTCTTATACACCAACAACAGACAAACAGAGAGCCAAATCATGAGTGAACTCCCATTCACAATTGCTTCAAAGAAAATAAAATACCTTAGAAATCCAACTTACAAGGGATGTGAAGGACCTCTTCAAGGAGAACTACAATCCACTGCTCAAGGAAATAAAAGAGGATACAAACAAATGGAAGAACATTCCATGCTCATGGATAGGAAGAATCAATATTGTGAAAATGGCCATACTGCCCAAGGTAATTTACAGATTCAATGCCATCCCCATCAAGCTACCAATGACTTTCTTCACAGAATTGGAAAAAACTACTTTAAAGTTCATATGGAACCAAAAAAGAGCCCGCATCGCCAAGTCAATCCTAAGCCAAAAGAACAAAGCTGGAGGCATCACACTACCTGACTTCAAACTATACTACAAGGCTACGGGAACGAAAACAGCATGGTACTGGTACCAAAACAGAGATATAGATCAATGGAACAGAACAGAGCCCTCAGAAATAACGCCACATATCTACAACTATCTGATCTTTGACAAACCTGAGAAAACCAAGCAATGGGGAAAGGATTCCCTATTTAATAAATGGTGCTGGGAAAACTGGCTAGCCATATGGAGAAAGCTGAAACTGGATCCCTTCCTTACACCTTATACAAAAATTAATTCAAGATGGATTAAAGACTTAAACATTAGACCTAAAACCATAAAAACCCTAGAAGAAAACCTAGGCATTACCATTCAGGACATAGGCATGGGCAAGGACTTCATATCTAAAACACCAAAAGCAATGGCAACAAAAGCCAAAATTGACAAATGGGATCTAATTAAACTAAAGAGCTTCTGCACAGCAAAAGAAACTACCATCAGAGTGAACAGGCAACCTACAAAATGGGAGAAAATTTTCGCAACCTACTCATCTGACAAAGGGCTAATAACCAGAATCTACAATGAACTCAAACAAATTTACAAGAAAAAAACAAACAACCCCATCAAAAAGTGGGCGAAGGACATGAACAGACACTTCTCAAAAGAAGACATTTATGCAGCCAAAAGACACATGAAAAAATGTTCATCATGACTGGCCATCAGAGAAATGCAAATCAAAACCACAATGAGATACCATCTCACACCAGTTAGAATGGCGATCATGAAAAAGTCAAGAAACAACAGGTGCTGGAGAGGATGTGGAGAAATAGGAACACTTTTACACTGTTGGTGGGACTGTAAACTAGTTCAACCATTGTGGAAGTCAGTCTGGCGATTCCTCAGGGATCTAGAACTAGATATACCATTTGACCCAGCCATCCCATTACTGGGTATATACCCAAAGGACTATAAATCATGCTGCTATAAAGACACATACACACATATGTTTATTGCGGCATTATTCACAATAGCAAAGACTTGGAACCAACCCAAATGTCCAACAATGATAGGCTGGATTAAGAAAATGTGGCACATATACACCATGGAATACTATGCAGCCATAAAAAAATGATGAGTTCATGTCCTTTGTAGGGACATGGATGAAATTGGAAATCATCGTTCTCAGTAAACTACCACAAGAACACAAAACCAAACACCGCATATTCTCACTCATAGGTGGGAATTGAACAATGAGATCACATGGACACAGGAAGGGGAACATCACACTCTGGGGACTGTTGTGGGGTCGGGGGAGGGGGGAGGGATAGCATTGGGAGATATACCTAATGCTAGATGACGAGTTAGTGGGTGCAGTGCACCAGCATGACACATATGTATACATATGTACCTAACCTGCACAATGTGCACATGTACCCTAAAACTTAAAGTGTAATAATAAAAAGAAATAAAAAATAAAAAATAAAAAATAAAAAAAATAAAAATTACAAAAAAAATTATCAAGTAGTTTACTCTTAAAAACATTTAAAAAATTAAAAATTTCATAACATTCTAAAAAAAAAACCATAATACACCATGACTAAGTGGGATGTATCCCAGGAATGCAATGATGTTCCAACATAGGCAAATCAATAAATGTGATTCATCATATAAAACAGAATGGAGGACAAAAACCATATGATCATCTCAATAGATGAAGAAAAGATACCTGATAAAATTCAATATCCCTTCATGATAAAAACTCTCAAAAAATTAAGTATGGAAAGAAAGTACCTCAACAGAATAAAGGCCTTATATGACTAAACCCATTATACTGAATCTAATGTCTAACATACTGAAGCTAACATTATACTGAAAGCTTTTCTTCTAAGAACTGAAACCAGACAAGGGAGTACACACTCACCACTCATTCCACATAATTGAAGTCCTAGTCAAAGTAATTAGGCAGGAGAAAGAAATGAAAGGCATTCAAATTGGAAAGGAGGAAATCAAGTTGTCTCTGTTTATATATAAAAAATCCTAAAGACTCAACCTAAAAACTCTTAGAACTGAAAAGTAAAGTCGTAGGATACAAAATCAGCATGCAAAAATCAGTAGCATTTCTATACATGAACAACTAACTAGCTGAAAAAATAAATAAGGCAATCCCATTTACAATAGCTATTAAAAATAAAATAGCAAGGAATAAATTTAATGAAGGAAGTGAAAGACGTCTGCAAGGAAAACTACAAAACACTGATGAAAGAAACTAAAGAGGATACAAACAAATGGAAAAGATATCACATGCTTGTAGGTCAGAAGAATTAATATTGTTAAAATGACCATAATCCTAAAGCAATCTACAGATTCAATGCAATCCATATCAAAACACCAATGACATTCTTCACAGAAATAGAAAAAAAAATCTTAAAATGTGTATAGAACCTCAAAAGACTTCCAATAGGCAAAGCACTCCTGGACAAAAAGAACAAAGCTAAAGGCATCACATTACCAGGCTTCAAAATATACTACAAAGCTGTAGTAACAAAAACAGCATGGTACCGGCATGAAAACAGACACATAGACCAATTGAATAGAATAGATAACACAGATATTAATACACATATCTATAGCCAACTGATTTTGACAAAGGCACCAAGACAGTCTTGGGGAAAGGACAGTCTCTTCAAGAAATGGTGCTGGGGAAACTGGATGTCCATATATAGAAGAATGAAACTAGACTCCCACCTCTCTCCCTACAAAAATCAACTCAAAATGGATGGAAGACCTAAATGTAAGACCCAAAACTATAAAACTTCTAGAAGAAAACGAAGGGGGGAATCTTCATAACATTGGTCTGGGTAATGACTTATTGGATATAACAACAAAAGAATAAGCAACAAATATAAAAATATAGACAAATTAATTACATCGAATTTAAAACCTTCTACACAGTGAAGGAAACAATCAACAGAGTGAGGAGGCAATCTATAGAATGGGAGAAAATATTTGCAAACTATTTATCTCACAGGAGATTAATATCCAAAATACATAAGGAACTCAAACAACTCAGTAGCAAGAAAACAAATAACCTAATTTAAAAACAGGCAAAGGACCTAAACAGAAATTTCTCAAAGGAAGACATACAAATGACAACAGGTATATGAAAAAAAAATGTTCAACATCACTAATCATCAGAAAAATGCAAATCAAAACCACATGAGCTATCACCTCACTCCTGTTGAAATGGTTATTACCATCTGGGTGTGTGGCTTATGCCTGAATCCCAGCACTATGGGAGGCCAAGGCAGGAGGATTACTTGAGCCCAGGAGTTTGAGAATAGCCTGGGGAATATAGTGGGACCTCATCTCTACAAAAAATAAAAATAAAAAATAAATACTGGGGGCACTGTGGCATCTCTACAAAAAAAAAATAGTGGGGTCACTGGGACCTATAGTCCTAGCTACTCTGGAAGGTGAAGTGGAGAGTTCATTTGAGCCCAGAAGATGGAGGTTACAGTGAGCTGAGATTGTGCCACTGCACTCTATGCTGGAAAACAGAGAGAGACTCTGTCAAAAAAAAAAAAAAAAGGATTGTGGGGCCAAGATGGCCAAATAGGAACAGCTCCAGTCTACAGCTCCCAGCATGAGCAATGCAGAAGATGGGTGATCTGCATTTCCAACTGAGGTACCGGGTTCATCTCACTGGGGAGTGTCGGACAGTGGGTGCAGGACAGTGGGTCCAGCACACTGAGCGTGAGCAGGGCGAGGCATCATCTCACCCAGGAAGTGCAAGGGGTCAGGGAATTACCTTTCCTAGTCAAAGAAAGGGATGATAGACAGCACCTGGAAAACTGGGTCGCTCCCACCCTAATACTGCACTTTTCCAACAGTCTTAGCAAATGGCACACCAGGAGATTATATCCCGTACCTGGCTCAGAGGGTCCTATGCTCACAGAGCCTCGCTTGTTGCTAGCACAGCAGTCTGAGATCAAACTGCAAGGTGGCAGCAAGGCTGGGGGAGGGGCGCCCACCATTGCTGAGGCTTGAGTAGGTAAACAAAGCGGCTGGGAAGCTCGAACTGGGTGGAGCCCACCATAGCTCAAGGAGGCCTGCCTGCCTCTGTAGACTCCACCTCTGGGGGAAGGGCATAGCCAAATAAAAGGCAGCAGAAACCTCTGCAGACTTAAATGTCCCTGTCTGACAGCTTTGAAGAGAGTAGTGGTTCACCCATCACACAGCTGGAGATCTGAGAATGGACCGGCTGTCTCCTCAAGTGGGTCCCTGACCCTGAGTAACATACCTGGGAGGCACCCCCCAGTAGGGGCAGACTGACACCTCACACAGCCAGGTACTCCTCTGAGACAAAACTTCCAGAGGAATGATCAGGCAGCAACATGTGCTGTTCACCAATATCCACTGTTCTGCAGCCTCCGCTGCTGATACCTAGGCAAACAGGGTCTGGAGTGGACCTCCACCAAACTCCAACAGACCTGCAGCTGAGGGTCCTGACTGTTAGAAGGAAAACTAACAAACAGAAAGGACATCCACACCAAAGCCCCATCTGTATGTCACCATCATCAAAGACCAAATGTAGATAAAACCACAAAGATGGGGAAAAAACAGAGCAGAAAAACTGGAAACACTAAAAATCAGAGCACCTCTCCTCCTCCAAAGGAGCACAGCTCCTCACCAGCAATGAAACAAATCTGGACAGAGAATGACTTTGACAAGTTGAAAGAAGAAGGCTTCAAACAACCAAACTACTCTGAGCTAAAGGAGGAAGTTCAAACCCATGGCAAAGAACTTAAAAACCTTGAAAAAAATTAGACAAATGGAATAATCAATGCAGAGAAGTCCTTAAAGGACCTGATGGAGCTGAAAACCAAGGCACGAGAACTACATGATGAAGGCGCAAGCCTCAGTAGCTGATTCAATCAACTGGAAGAAAGGGTATCAGTGATGGAAGATCAAATGAATGAAATGAAGTGAGAAGAGAAGTTCAAAGAAAAAAGAATGAACAGAAATGAACAAGGCCTCCAAGAAATATGGGACTATGTGAAAAGACCAAATCTACATCTGATTGGAGTACCTGAAAGTGACAGGGAGAATGGAACCAAGGTGGAAAACACTCTGCAGGATATTATCCGGGAGAACTTCCCCAATCTAGCAAGGCAGGCCAGCATTCAAATTCAGGAAACACAGAGAATGCCACAAAGACACTCCTCGAGAAGAGCAACTCCAAGACACATAGTTGTCAGATCTACCAAAGTTGAAATGAAGGAAAAAATGGTAAGGGCAGCCAGAGAGAAAGGTCGGGTTACCCACAAAGGGAAGCCCATCAGACTAACAGCGGATCTCTTGGCAGAAACTCTACAAGCCAGAAGAGAGTGGGGGCCAATATTCAACATTTTTAAAGAAAAGAATTTTCAACCCAGAATTTCATATCCAGCCAAACTAAGCTTCATAAGTGAAGGAGAAATAAAATACTTTACAGACAAGCAAATGCTGAGAGATTTTGTCACACCAGGACTGCCCTAAAAGAGCTCCTGAAGAAAGCACTAAACATGGAAAAGAACAGCTGGTACCAGCCAGTGCAAAAACATGCCAAATTGTAAAGACCGTCGAGGTTAGGAAGAAACTGCATCAACTAATGAGCAAAATAACCAGCTAACATCATAATGACAGGATCAAATTCACACATAACAATATTAACCTTAAATGTAAATGGGCTAAATGCTCCAATTAAAAGACACAGACTGGCAAATTGGATAAAGAGTTAAGACCCATCAGTGTGCTGTATTCAGGAAACTCATCTCACGTGCAGAGACACACATAGGTTCAGAATAAAGGGATGGAGGAAGATCTACAAGCAAATGGAAAACAAAAAAAAAGACAAGGGTTGCAAACCTAGTATCTGATAAAACAGACTTTAAACCAACAAAGATCAAAAGAGGCAAAGAAGATCATTACATAATGGAAAAGGGATCAGTTCAACAAGAAGAGCTAACTATCCTAAATATATATGCACCCAATACAGGAGCACCCAGATTCATAAAGCAAGTCCTTAGAGACCTACAAAGAGACTGAGACTCCCACACAATAATAATGGGAGACTTTAACACCCCACTGTCAACATTAGATGGATCCACGAGACAGAAAGTTAACAAGGATATCCAGGAACTGAACTCAGCTCTGCACCAAGTGGACCTAATAGACATCTACAGAACTCTCCACCCCAAATCAACAGAATACACGTTATTTTCAGCAACACACCACACCTATTCCAAAATTGACCACATAGTTGGAAGTAAAGCACTCCTCAGCAAATGTAAAAGAATAGAAATTATTACAAACTGTCTCTCAGACCATAGTGCAATCAGACTAGAACTCAGGATTAAGAAACTCACTCAAAACCGCTCAACTACATGGAAACTGAACAACCTGCTCCTGAATGACTACTGCGTACATAATGAAATGAAGACAGAAATAAAGATGTTCTTTGAAACCAACGAGAACAAAGACACAACATACCAGAATCTCTGGGACACATTCAAAGCAGTGTGCAGAGGGAAATGTACAGCATCAAATGCCCACAAGAGAAAGCAGGAAAGATCTAAAATTCACACCCTAATATCACAATTAAAAGAACTAGAGAAGCAAGAGCAAACACATTCAAAAGCTAGCAGAAGGCAAGAAATAACTAAGATCAGAGCAGAACTGAAGGAAATAGAGACACAAAAAACCCTTCAAAAAATTAATGAATCCAGGAGCTGGTTTTTTGAAAAGATCAACAGAATCGATAGACCGCTAGCAAGACTAATAAAGAAGAAAAGAGAGAAGAATCAAATAGATGCAATAAAAAATGATAAAGGGGATATCACCACAGATCCCACAGAAATACAAACTACCATCAGAGAATACTATAAACACCTCTATGCAAATAAACTAGAAAATCTAGAAGAAATGGATAAATTCCTCGACACATACACCCTCCCAAGACTAAAGCAGAAAGAAGTTGAATCTCTGAATAGACCAATGACAGGATCTGAAATTATGGCAATAATCAATAGCTTACCAACCAAAAAGAGTCCAGGACCAGATGGATTCACAGCCAAATTCTACCAGAGGTACAAGAAGGAGCTGGTACCATTCCTTCTGAAACTATTCCAATCAATAGAAAAAGAGGGAATCCTCCCTAACTCATTTTATGAGGCCAGCATCATCCTGATACCAAAGCCTGGCAGAGACACAAGCAAAAAAGAGAATTTTAGACAAATATCCTTGATGAACATTGATGCAAAAATCCTCAATAAAATACTGGCACACCAAATCCAGCAGCACATCAAAAAGCTTATCCACCATGATCAAGTAGTCTTCATCCCTGGGATGGAAGACTGGTTCAATATACGCAAATCAATAAATGTAATCCAGCATATAAACAGAACCAAAGACAAAAACCACGATTATCTCAATAGATGCAGAAAAGGCCTTTGACAAAATTCAACAACCCTTCCTGCTAAAAACTCTCAATAAATTAGGTATTGATGGGATGTATCTCAAAATAATAAGAGCTATCTATGACAAGCCCACAGCCAATATCATACTGAATGGGCAAAAACTGGAAGCAGTCCCTTTGAAAACTGGCACAAGACAGGGATGCCCTCTCTCACCACTCCTATTCAACATAGTGTTGGAAGTTCTGGCCAGGGCAATTAGGCAGGAGAAGGAAATAAACGGTATTCAATTAGGAAAAGAGGAAGTCAAATTGTCCCTGTTTGCAGATGACATGATTGTATATCTAGAAAACCCCATTGTCTCAGCCCAAAGTCTCCTTAAGCTGATAAGCAACTTCAGCAAAGTCTCAGGATACAAAATCAATGTATAAAAGTCACAAGCATTCTTATACACCAATAACAGACAAACAGAGAGCCAAATCATGAGTGAACTCCCATTCACAATTGCTTCAAAGAGAATAAAATACTTAGGAATCCAACTTAGAAGGGATGTGAAGGACCTCTTCAAGAAGAACTACAAACCACTGCTCAATGAAATAAAAGAGGATACAAACAAATGGAAGAACATTCCATGCTCATGGATAGGAAGAATCAATATTGTGAAAATGGCCATACTGCCCAAGGTAATTTAAAGATTCAATGCCATCCCCATCAAGCTACCAATGACCTTCTTCACAGAATTGGAAA
Source organism: Homo sapiens (assembly GCF_000001405.40). NCBI lineage: Eukaryota > Metazoa > Chordata > Mammalia > Primates > Hominidae > Homo > Homo sapiens. Next base: position 55,602,699 of record NC_000012.12, read on the forward strand.
AAACTACTTTAAAGTTCATATGGAACCAAAAAAGAGCCCGCATCGCCAAGTACATCCTAAGCCAAAAGAACAAAGCCGGAGGCATCACGGTACCTGACTTCAAACTATACTAAAAGGCAACAGTAACCAAAACAGCATGGTACTGGTACCAAAACAGAGATATAGATCAATGGAACCGAACAGAGCCCTCAGAAATAATGCCACATATCTACGACCATCTGATCTTTGACAAACCTGAGAAAACCAAGCAATGGGGAAAGGATTCCCTATTTAATAAATGGTGCTGGGAAAACTGGCTAGCCATATGGAGAAAGCTGAAACTGGATCCCTTCCTTACACCTTATACAAAAATTAATTCAAGATGGATTAAAGACTTACATGTTAGACCTAAAGCCATAAAAACCCTAGAGGAAAACCTAGGCAATACCATTCAGGACATAGGCATGGGCAAGGACTTCATGTCTAAAACACCAAAAGCAATGGCAACAAAAGCCAAAATTGACAAATGGGATCTAATTAAACTAAAGAGCTTCTGCACAGCAAAAGAAACTACCATCAAAGGAACAGGCAACCTACAGAATGGGAGAAAATTTTCACAACCTACTCATCTGACAAAGGGCTAATAACCAGAATCGATAATGAACTCAAACAAATTTACAAGAAAAAAACAACCCCATCAAAAAGTGGGTGAAGGATGTGAACAGACACTTCTCAAAAGAAAACATTTATGCAGCCAAAAGACACATGAAAAAATGCTCATCATCACTGGCCATCAGAGAAATGCAAATCAAAACCACAATGAGATATCATCTCACACCAGTTAGAATGGCGATCATTAAAAAGTCAGGAAACAGCAGGTGCTGGAGAGGATGTGGAGAAACAGGAACACTTTTCACTGTTGGTGGGACTGTAAACTAGTTCAACCATTGTGGAAGTCAGTGTGGCGATTCCTCAGGGATCTAGAACTAGAAATACCATTTGAGCCAGCCATCCCATTACTGGGTATATACCCAAAAATTATAAATCATGCTGCTATAAAGACACATGCACACGTATGTTTATTGTGGCACTATTCACATTAGCAAAGACTTGGAACCAACCCAAATGTCCAACAATGATAGACTGGATTAAGAAAATGTGGCACATATACACCATGGAATACTGTGCAGCCATAAAAAATGATGAGTTCATGTCCTTTGTAGGGACATGGTTGAAGCTGGAAACCATCATTCTCAGCAAACTATCGCAAGGACAAAAAAACCAAACACCACATGTTCTCACTCATAGTTGGGAATTGAACAATGAGAATACAAGGACACAGGAAGGGGAACATCACACACCGGGTCCTGTTTTGGGGTGGGGGGAGGGGGGAGGGATAGCATTAGGAGATATACCTAATGTTAAATGACGAGTTAATGGGTGCAGCACACCAACACGGCACATGTATATATATGTAACAAACCTGCACCTTTGCATATGTACCCTAAAACTTAAAGTATAATAAAAAAAAATCAGAAATGACACAAATAAATGGAAAAACATTCCACCCTCACAGACAGGAAGAATCAATATCATTAAAATGGCCATGCTGCCCAAAGCAATTTATAAATTCAATGCTATTCTTATTAAACTATCATTGGCTTCCTTCACAGAACCAGAAAAAACTATTTTAAAATGCATATGGAACCAAAAAAGACCTCGAATAGCCAAGGCAATCCTAAGCATAAAGAACAAAGCTGGAGGCATCACGCCACCTGACTTCAAACTATACTATAGGGCTACAGTAACCAAAACAGCATGATACTGGTACAAAAACAGACACATAGACCAGTGGAACAGAATAGAGAGCCTAGAAATAAGGCCACACACCTACAACCATCTAATCTTCGACAAAGCTGACAAAAACAAGCAATGGGAAAATGACTCCCTATTCAATAAATGGTACTGGGGGAACTGGCTAGCCATATGCAGAAGATTGAAACTAGACCCTTTCCTTACACCATATACAAAAATAAACTCAAGATTGATTAAAGACTTAAATGTAAAACCCAAAACTATAAAAACCCTGGAAGACAACCTAGGCAATACCATTCTGGACATAGGAACAAGCAAAGATTTCATGACAAAGACACCAAAAGTAATTGCAACAAAAGCAAAAATTGGCAAAGGGGATCTATTTAAACTAAAGAACAGCAAAGGAAACTGCCAACAGAGTGAACAGGCAACCTACAGAATGGGAGAAAATTTTTGCAAACTATGCATCTGACAAAGGTCTAATATATATCTATAAGGAACTTAAATTTACAAGAATAAAAACAAACAACCTCAAGTGGGCAAAGGACATGAATAGACACATTTCAAAAGAAGGCATGGCATACATGCGGCCGACAATCATATGAAAAAAGCTCAACATCACTGATCATTAGAGAAATGCAAATCAAAGCCACAATGAGATATCATCTTACACCAGTCAGAATGGCTATGATCATTAAGTCAAAAAATAATGTTTGCTGGCAAGGTTGCAGAGAAAAAGAAACACTTATACACTGTTGGTGGGAGTGTAAATTAGTCCATCCATTGTGGAAGACAGTGTGGCAATTCCTCAGAGATCTAAAAGCAGAAGTACCATTTGACCCTGTAATCCCATTTCTGGGTATATACCCAAAGGATTATAAATCATTCTATTATAAAGACACGTGCATATGAATGTTCACTGCAGCACTGTTCACAATAACAAAGACATGGGATCAACCTAAATGCCCATCAATGGCAGACTAGATAAAGGAAACGTGGTACACATACAACATGAGATACTATGCAGCCATAAAAAAAGAACAAGATCATGTCTTTTGTGGGAACATGATTGGCACTGAAGGCTATCATCCTTAACAAGCTAATTCAGAAACAGAAAATCAAATACTAAATGTTCTCACTTATAAGTGGAAGCCTAATGATGAGAACACATGGACACATTGAGGGGAATGACACACACTAGGGGCTGTCAGAGGATGGAGGGTGGGAGGAGGAAGAGGATCAGGAAAAATAACTAATGGGTACTAGACTTAATACCTGGGTGACAAAATAATCTGTACAACAAAACCTCATGACACAAAGTTTACCCGTACAACAGACCTGCACATGTACCCCTGAACTTAAAATAAAAGTTAAATTTAAAAAGAGAAACTGAAACTATGACATGAACATACATAATCCTTACTCTATTGCTATGTACCTAAGTAGAATTCATTACATTAAATTGATATAGTGATGGTAATTATAATAAATATTTTCCAAGTAAAAAAATAACAAATGTTGGCAAGGCTGTGGAAAAAAGGGACTGCTTATACTCTGTTGGCGGGAATGTAAATCAGTTCAGCCACTGTGGACAGCAGTTTGGAGATTTCTCAAAGAACTAAAAATAGAACTACCATTTGACCCAATACCCATTACTGAGTATATATATCCAAAGGAAAATAAATTGTTCTACCAAGAAGACATGCACTCATATGTTCATCACAGCACCATTCACAACAGCAAAGATATGGAATCAACCTAGGTGCCCATCAATGGTGGAGTGGATAAGGAAAACATGGTACATATATAACATGAAATATTATACAGCCATAGAAAAGAACAACATCATGTCCTTTGCAGCAACATAACTGCAGCAGGAGGATATTATCCTAAGCGAATTAATGCAGAAACAGAAAATCAGATACCACATGTTCTCACATATAAGTTAAACATCAGGTATACATGGACATAAAGATGGGAACAATAAACACAGGACTACACAAGGATGGAGGAATCGAGAGAGGCAAGGATTGAAAAACTACCTATCAGGTACTATACTCACTACCTGGGTGATGGGTTCAATCATACCCTAAACCTCAGCATCATGCAACATACCCATGTAACAAACCTGTACATGTACCCTCTGAATCTAAAATAAAAGTTGAATTTTTTTAATTAATTAAAAACAAAAGATGAAAAAAGACTTTCATTCTGTCTTCCCCATAATCATATCTCAGCATCTTCAACATTGCCATGCCTAGCGTATAGCAGAAACTCCACAAATATTTGCTAAATGAATTGCTGAATATATGAATGGTTCAGTATTTCACATCCACCAGTTTTCTTTCTCTTTTGTTATGAAATCTGTATGCACTTTATCAGTAATTCTTAAATAGTTCGGCTTTGGTATTCTTTGGGTTGCACTGAGTTTGTTCATTTTTAAATACTTTTCATGAGTGTTTTATAACACTATATATTATCTGTATACATCTGCAATAGTAATATTGCTACACCATCTCCTCTTCTAGTTGTTTTATCTCAAGAAAAACACATCAGAAAAAATTCAGAGAAAGACATTGTAGGATGGTTTCTTTTTGTTTGTTTGTTTGTTTTTGTTTGGATGGTTTCTATCATGGCCATAGAAATGATTAAGAGTCTTCAGGGAAAGCAGGCAAAAAGGGAGAATGGATTTCAGGTGAGATCAGGAAGGGCATAGGAAAAGTAAGCAGAAACCTCTTCACTCCAGAATACAAGAAGTGTAAGGAAAGGCTCTTGAAGCTTGAAAACATTGAAATTAAGACAAACAAAAAGACATCCTAGTTCACACCATGCCATTATTAGCTATAAGGTGCTATTAGAAGCTGAAAAATTAAGACTAAGGAAAGGAAAAAGAATTGTGCAAGATCCCCGTGTTAGCAGCAGAACTGCGACTAAAATTTAAGTTGTCTGACTTCTGATGTAGCATAGTACATTCGCACCATGCAGAGCTACCCATGTGCAGTGCAAAACCCGAGCATGTTTTAGCAATAAAATTTTAATGCAAATTAAAACTGCTGAACAGGCTGGACATTCATAGATGACTGTGGCTGGACTTACCAAAATTGTGACAAAGTTGTCTTTGATGCCTTCCCCTCCACTTATCAGTTCTCAAAAATATTTACCCAATTGATGTTGCCAACTACATTATTAACAACTGACAGTAACACAAATATTTATTTAGGGGTAAGTTCTTAGGTAAATATTTTGTCATCTTCTCTGAAGATTTTTTGCAAATTGTTTTGCTTACGAGGCCAGAGCAGCCATATTCTAAGTTCATTAGTGAATTCTGAGAGCAGATTTCCCTGAGCACCGTTTGTTTTTGTTCCCCCGCCTCTGAATTGATCCCCTGGGTCTGTAGTAAAAGAGTCTATAAAGCAAATGTCCCTTTCCTTTGGATGGAACCTGTGCAGAAGCCTCTTACATGACCGGAAACTTCAGAACCTTAGATTCCCAGCGGAAATCATGCGCCATGATAAAAAGGGGAAGAGGTTTCCAGCTTCAATTCAGATTCTAACCCTCTGCTATGTGGTTTGGATGCTGACTGAGCAACAGAATTGTCTCTGTAGATAGCTATGTTTTTGGATTGTTGCTGCTGAAGGGACAGGTAGGTTGGAGAAGGCCAGAGAGAAATGAAGGCAGTCAAAAACAAATTTCTATGGAAACTTAATCCTGAAATTATTTCTACAGAGTTGCCTCCACATTTTTCTGCAAGGCTGAGCTCTTTTCATGAAACCACGTAGGCCATTTGGGCCTTTAAACTCTCTGCTCCCTCTTTAGGGAATCGTTAGAGATCTGAGGAGCTTGTGTTCTCCCTGGGCTGGTGAATCTCTGAGGCTGCTTCCCAGGTAACCAGTCGCTGTACAGAAAGGAAGGGAGCTGCATGTCACAGCTTGCCTTGCCAGACCACAGAAGTCACCCAAGACCAAGGTTTCTAAATCATTCAGCAAATTCCCTATGGCCTGGTGGGAGCTCTCTCTTTTTAAGCTGAAAAAAACTGAAGCTGAAGAACTGCTTCTCCTCCCCAGAAATGGGCCTTTTTGCAAACACTGGCTGGTTGTAGGTGGGAAGACCGATAGCAAATCCCTAGGCAAGAATTCTCTCCAAACTTTATAAATTCATATATCCCATCAGTAAAAATAAAATTGGGAAAATATCCCCAATATATGGGTATGTTTATCAATGTTTAAGTTATTTGCACTACTACTATATATATAGTTTGTGTTTTAAAATATACACAAAAACAGACTTTTTTAAGCTACAGAGCTTTGGAGGCTGGTTGTTTTTTATTATTATTATTTTTTATTTCCAAATGTTATTGGGGAACAGGTGGTGTTTGGTTACATGAATAAGTTCTTTAGTGATGATTTGTGAGATGTTGGTGCACCCATCACCCAAACAGTATACACTGAATCCAATTTGTAGTCTTTTATCCCTCACCCTCCCAACTCTTTCCCCATGAGCCCTAAAGTTCACTGTGTCATTCTTATGCCTTTGCATCCTCATAGCTTAGTTACCACTTATTAGTGAGAATATGTGATATTTGGTTTTCCATTCCTGAGATACTTCACTTAGAATAATAGTCTCCAATCTCATCCAGGTTGCTGCAAATGCCTTTAATTCATTCCTTTTTATGGCTCAGTAGTAGTCCATTGTGTGTATATATATATATATATATATATATACCACAACTTTGCAATTGCAAATTGTGCTGCTATAAACATGCATGTGCAAGTATCTTTTTCGAATAATGACTTATTTTCCTCTGGGGAGACACCCAGTAGTGGGATTGCTAGATCAAATGATAGTTCTACTTTTAGCTCTTTAAGGAATCTCCACACTGTTTACCACAGTGGCTGTACTAGTTTACATTCCCACCAGCAGTGTAGAAGTGTTCCCTGTTCACCACAGCCATGCCAACATCTACTGTTTTTTTATTTTTTTATTATGGCCATTCTTGCAGGAGTAAGGTGGTATTGCATTGTGGTTTTGATTTGCATTTCCTTGATCATTAGTGATGTTGAGCATTTTTTTATATGTTTGTTGACCATTTGTAGATATTCTTTTGAGAATTGTCTATTTGTGTCCTTAGCTCACTTTTTGATGGGATTGTTTGTTTTTTCTTACTGATTTGTTTGAGTTTCTTGTAGATTCTGGATATTAGTCCTTTGTCAGATGTATAGATTGTGAAGGTTTTCTCCCACTCTGTGGGTTGTCTGTTTACTCTGCTGACTGTTCCTTTTGCTGTGCAAAAGCTCTTTAGTTTAATTAGGTCCCAACTATTTATCTTTGCTTTTATTGCATTTGCTTTTGGGTTCTTGGTCAGGAAATCCTTGCCTAAGCCAAAGTCTAAAGGGCTTTTCCAATGTTATCTTCTAGAATCTTTATAGTTTCAGGTCTTAGATTTAAGTCCTTAATCCATCTTGAGTTGATTTCTGTGTAAGGTGAGAGATGAGGATCCAGTTTCGTTCTCCTACATGTGGTTTGTAAATTATCACAGCACCATGTGTTGAATAGGATGTCCTTTCCTCACTTTATGTTTTTGTTTGCTTTGTTGAAGATCAGTTGGATGTAAGTATCTGGGCTTATTTCTGGGTTCTCTATTCTCTTCCATTGGCCTATGTGCCTATTTTTATACCAGTATCATGCTAAAAACAGATGTTTTTAATGAGCTAAAGATAAATGCCATAGTTCATTAACTTCAAGACACCCATTTTAACATCTTTGAGATTGAGATTATATTATACTCAATGGTATCTTAGCATAATGCCATAGTCTTCTTGGCAGTCTTTTTTCTTTCTTAATGGCACATAAAATAATAGTGTATTTCATATTAGATTGTATCCTAGATTTTATGAAATATCATATAACTTGAAGGATCTCATATCTCCTTCTCATATCCCAGTGGATCACGTGGCATATCCCATGATGTGAGCAGCCTCCCCATTTAAAGACCAGTGACATAGGCCATGGAGTTTCTGGGCCATCAGTCTCAAATAAAAAAAAGAGAGAGTGAATCACTCTTAAGATTTTTACAGATTTCTCCAGGGGGAAAAAATCCCTTTTCTACTCAATAAAATAACAAGCCTGAGAGCCTTAGTGAATCTGATCATGGCAAGAAAATACTCAAGTGGCTCCCAGTTATGTTTTAGAATCTCACTGTACCTTAGACCAATAGTTAATTTCTCTGGATTTTCCCTTCCTTATCAGAAGATGAGTGTGATAAGCCTCACTGGGTTTCATTTCTATAGATGACTATCAAATGCCAGGCCCCAGGAATGAATATGAGAGAGGGGAGTGAACAAGGATGAGTAAGATATTCGCTATCTTCAAATCTCTTACAGTTCAGATGCAAATGTCAGGCAGTTTTTAATGATGATCTAGTGTAAGAAAATGGCAGGGTAAGTGAAAATGGCTTCTTCTTCCAAAACTACATGCTACATATGCAAGCAATACTTTACAAACTAGGAGGCTTTGTTGTGAATGCAGATCTGAGAAGGCCAGTGCCTCTACTGGAAAGGGGGAGGTAAGTGCTAAGATACCCAGATGAACATAAAGTCTGTGAGCTCAATGTGTTGGTGGTTTAGCACAGAAGACAGGCTCTAGCCTATACAGCTGACTATGGAATATAGCAGAGGCAAAAACTATGTTATGGGAGCCATGAGGAAGCAGCTAATTCAGCCTAGGACTTCAGAAAAGTCTTCATAGAAGAGGTCACACTTGAGCTGGATTTTGAAAGATGAGTGAGTGACAGTTCTAAAGAGGACTGAGAAGAGCAGCAGAAAATTCTTTGTAGGCTTTCTCAGAGGGAAAAAAACGGAAGGAATAAAAGAAAAAAACAGGGAGGAATAAAGGGAGGGAGACAGGAAAGTCATTGTCATTCAATAGTTCCTCAGATTCTGAAAGAGGCAACTTTTCTTGCTAGGGAAGAACCTCCAGAAGCTTCTGCTCTGCTTTCCTGAATCCATGGGGAAGCAGCAGGGAGGGGGAAAGAAATGATGCATTTCAGGAGAAATTTTTCCCTTTTCATCCTAATTTCTGATGGTCCTATTTGCCCAGAATTGCACATTTCTGGAAAGGGCTTGAGGTCCACAATGGCCAATCAGACTGTGGTGACTGAGTTCTTCCTCCAAGGCCTGACGGATACCAAAGAGCTTCAGGTGGCTGTTTTTCTGCTCCTGCTGCTTGCCTACCTTGTGACTGTCTCTGGGAACCTGATCATCATCAGCCTGACCTTGCTGGACACCCGCCTGCAGACATCTATGTACTTATTTCTCCAGAATCTGTCCTGCTTAGAAATTTGGTTCCAGACAGTCATCGTGCCCAAGATGCTGCTCAACATTGCCATGGGGACCAAGACCGTTAGCTTTGCTGGGTGCATTACCCAGGACTTTTTCCACATCTTCTGGGGGCCACAGAGTTCTTCCTCCTCACAGCCATGGCCTATGACCAGTATATTGCCATCTGCAAGCCCCTCCACTACCCCATGCTCATAAGTAGTAGAGTCTGCACACAGCTCATCCTCACCTGCTGGCTACTAGGTTTCTCCTTCATCATCATGCCTGTCATCCTGACCAGTCAGCTTCCATTCTGTGATACCCACATCAAGCATTTCTTCTGTGACTACACGCCTCTAATGGAGGTGGTCTGCAGTGGGCCAAAGGTGCTGGAGATGGTGGATTTTACCCTGGCCTTAGTAGCACTGTTTGGCACCTTGGTACTCATCACCCTGTCCTATGTCCAGATCATCCAGACAATTGTCAGAATCCCCGCTGTCCAGGAGAGGAAGAAGGCTTTCTCTACCTGTTCCTCTCATGTCATTATGGTTACCATGTGTTATGACAGCTGCTTCTTTATGTATGTCAAGCCCTCTCCAGGAAAGTGGGTTGATGTCAACAAGGGAGTGTCTCTAATCAATACAATTATTGCCCCACTGTTAAATCCCTTCATCTGTACTCTGAGGAACCAACAAGTTAAGCAGGTAATGAAAGACCTAGTCAGAAAAATGACTTTGTTCCAAAATAAATAAGGGCCCTAAAAGTCATCTTCTGGGGAAAAAATGGGTGCCTTCTCCAGAGTAAGTCCACATGACATCAGGCCAAGAGGCAGGAGTCAGGGGCTTAGGCCCCCATTGCACCCCCAGCAAGGTGCAGGTTTCCCCACAGGCCATAAGGAAAATGTCCTGATATCATATGAAGAGTCTTATTACCTAGCCTCAGTCTTAGGTTTGCACCTTCTTTTATCACTCTGTCAGCCAAAGAAATGAGAAATAGCTAGCCTATGTCCCCAGGTGCCCTCAACTAGACTCCAGTAACAGCTGACATTCGTCAGCATGCCAGTTTCATTTTTAACACCTATAATGTTTGTAGAACACTTCATAGTTTCAAAAGCATTTTCTCAACACTAACCTCACTCAATCTTCACAATAACCCTGCGAAACAGATGGAAAAATTATTATTTACATTTTACATAAGATGTTGATATACTCAAACAGTTTAAGTGTATTGCCAAAGATCACACAGGAGACCAGGGTTCAAACCCACAACTTCTGGATCTAAACGCAATACCACATTTCCTACAGATGTGAGACATCTGGATTTAATAGTCATCTTTTGCTGCACGCAAATTATCCCAAAATTTAGCAGCTTAAAACAGCAAGCATTGATTATCTTGGTTTCTATGGGTTAGTAATTTGGGTTCAGCTTAACTCAGAGCAGCTCAATAGGGCTGTTGTCTCATCTAAAGACTCTACTGGGGGTGGGGCATGGTGGTTCATGCCTATAATTCCAGCACTTTGGGAGGCTGAGGTGGGTGGATCACCTCAGATCAGGAGTTTGAGACCAGCCTGGCCAACATGGGAAAACCTCATCTCTACTAAAAATACAAAACTTAGCCAGTCATGGTGGCATACACATGTAGTCCCATCTACTCAGCAGGCTGAGGCAAGAGAATTGCTTGAAACTGGAAGGTGAAGGTTGCAGTGAGCCAAGATCATGCCACTGCATTCCAGCCTGGGTGACAGAGTGAGACTCCATCTCAAAAAAAAAAAAAGACTCAACTAGGGAAGGATTAACTTCTGAGCTGCTCACTCCAGTTGCTGTTAGCAGGCTCTAGTTCCTCAGTGATTGTTGCCATGTGGGCACTCTATAAGAAAGCTCATAACATGGCAGCTGGCCTTCTTTAGAGCAAACAAACGAAAGAATGGCCAAAACAAAAGTGTTTTATAACCTAATGTTAAAAGTGACATCACATCATTTTTATCATATGCTATTTGTTAGAAGTAAGTCACCTAGTCCAGCCCATATTCAAGAAGAGGTGAGCACACAAAGACATGAATATCAGAAGGCAGGGATGATTTGGGAAACATTACATGCAGCCTATTACAATCTACCCTCTGGCACAGTCCACCAATGATTCATGTCCCTCCCACATGCAATATATATTCCACCCTTCTCGAAGTCATCAAAGGTCTCATCTTGTTATAGTTTCCAATCAAAATCCACAATCTTATCATCTAAACCAGGTCCAGGTGTAGATGAAGCTCCTTGGGTGTAGTTCCATAGGTACATACAGCCCCTAACTACTTTTCTCAATCTGTGACCTGTGAAACTAAAAAAGACAAGTTAACATCCCCACACACACCCAACATACAATGATGGGGTAGGCATAGAATAACTATAACTATTGCCACTCAAAAACAGGAAAAGAAAAGGAATTACTGGTCCAGAAAAATTATGAAATCCAGCTGAAAATGATGGAAACTCCTTAACTCATTCAAAACTTGGGAGTAATTCATTATTCCTCTTGGGCCCTTGGTCCTGCCCTCTGAGTCATTTTTTCCTTTTTCATGAAAAGTAGCACACAATTGTAGCTGAATAGTTTTCTCAGCCTTCTTCCTCCCAGTAGAATTACAGTGACCCAAATGCCTCTTTCTTATTTTGTACTGTCTTCTTTTCAATCCAAGATGACAGAGTTTCTGGGGATATAACTCATTCGGGAACTTTATGGATCTCCAGTGTATCTTCTTGATGCTTGCTTCATTAGATAAAAACCACAGCTAAGGCCTGAAAGATCTTTAAAGGTCCTGGTATCCCTATTATTTTATTGAAAGGACCACTGAAACACATTCTTAATTTCTTTAAAAGGTCTTTTGTGCCTGGTACTTAGGCACCACCTTGATATTTCTGAGGTCTTAAAGTATTACAGTCACACTCTTGATATCACCTCTGGACTAGTTTTCCTGACAGTGCCCTGTCAGGAATTAAGAAATTAAAATTAAGAAACCATTTCTTAATTTTAGCATCATTTATCATTAGAAGAGAATTTCAAAAACTATCAAGTCCTGGATCCATCCTGTTTAACAGTGTTTACTTCAACTTTCCTCTCTCCTCTCACTATAACTGTCAGGAAGAAATCAAGTGGCACCTTCAACACTTTGCTTAGAAATTTCCTTAGCTAGATTACACAGTTCACATTTTCCACTTTCCACTTAACTGCAGGAGACAGTGTTGCTAAACTTTTGTCGCTACATAACAAAGGTCCTTCACCAGTTTCCAGTAAGATTTTCTTCAGTTTCCTGAAAGCCTTCATCCATAGCATCCTCAAAGTCCAAAATTCTACAGAAAGTATTTTCAAAGTTAAGCTTTCACCACTAGTCTTCTAAAATCCTTAAAAGTTTTCCAGCTTCTACCCACTCCCTAGCCCCAAAGCCATTCCTACATTTTAGGTAGTTGTTATGGCAGTACCCCTCTTCAAAAGCTGTATTTGCTATCTATTGCTGCTTAACAAGTTACTTCCAAAATCTAGTGGCTTAAACAGCAAACATCTATTATCTCACAGTTTCATTGATTCAGGAATCTAAGTGTTGATTAGCTGAACTACTCTGGCTCAAGATCTCTCATGTAGTTGCCATTAACCTGCCAACCAGGGCTATGGTCTCATCTGAAGGCATGACTGAGGGAGGACCTCCTTCCAAGCTCACATCTATGGTTGCTAGCTAATTTTAAATCCTCATCAGCTGTTGTATTCCCTCAATTTCTTGTCATGTAGCCCTCTCCAAAAGATAATTTAAAACATGACCACTGGATTCCATCAAGCTGAGTGAATAAGAAAGTACCCAAGATAAAAGCCAGTCTTTTTGTAACCTAATCTAAGAAACATCATCCCATCACTTTTGCCATATTTTATTTGTTAGAAGTAATTCACTATATCAACCCTATACTCAAAGGGTGGGGATTACACAAGTGAATAAACCAAGAGGTAAAGACTATTGGGGGCCATCTTAAAGGCTGCCTATCCTGTGGGCTTAGCCTCTTTATTTTACAAATGAGGAAACTGAGGCCAAGAGCTCATGGCCCTCCACTAGGGAGTTGTTCAATGTAAACACTCATTATACCCATTTCAATTAACAGTATAAAAAATTGTGTTCAATTTTTAGAAAACAAAAATGAGTGACTCTACATATAATTAATACTCAAAGTTGATTTCTCAAGAGAGATTACTTTCAAGAATAACAAGAGATGGAAGTTTACCAAGAGTTTCTTCTCTCTACTGTTGCCAATAAACCAGGTAAAGTCAATGGATGACAAGAATTCCAAATCCGGGACAAATTCATTAACAGAGAAATGAATGAGATGTTTGGAAAGATAGAAAAACGTGTTCCATGTGGTGAGAGATGACTTCTCACTTTTCTGCCTGATGCTAACATCTCCTCTAGCTCCCCCACCAAGTTTATATCTACATCTAGCCCCAGAAGAATGAGGGGCTTCCAGACTCCAACTCAGTAAGGAGAAGTTCCAAGTTTATTTGCCAGCAGGTCAGCAGGACCTCTCTTCCTACTACCTATCCCACTAATAACCAAGTCCTTACCACTCCTCAGCTCCCAGGGCCCTGTGGGTTTTCTGTAGGAAAATAAACCTAAGAGACAGTGTTGTCTTCAAACTTTCTCTTGCCTCATCCCCATTTTTTCCTCCAAATCTTGTATCTCATTTCAGTGTTCTACTTCTCTGCAAACCACATCCAATGTTCCTTCTATACTTCACCTTTATTTGAAATAGAATTGCCCCTATTAATAGAGGCATGAGGCAGACAAATGCCAAGGTAGATAGGGGCGGATCCCCAATGAAACCCCACCTTCAAGCCAAAGACAGTTTAAAGCCCAAAATCCAAGCTACAAGTGAAATCCACAGACCAGATTGAGAACCTGCCTTCCTGTTTGGTGCACTTTCCTCTGATTGATCTCCACCATTCACCTATTTTATATATGCCTACCCTTCCCTAATTGGTTTTTATAACACTATCGTGCCCACCTTTGAGTGATGCCTCTTTTTTTTTACTTTTTTTCGTACTCACAAACCAATCAGCATGCACTCCCCTATTCTGAGCCCATAAAAGCCCCGGACTTAGGCACATGGGGAGAGAGACAACCCAACTTCAGATGAGAGACCATCTTCCCATAGCATCTCCACCAAGAGCTGTTTTGTTGCTCAATAAAATTCTCCACCGTCATCACCTTCAATGGTGGGCATATCCTCATTCTTCTTGGGCATGGGACAAGAATTTAGGAACTGCTAAACAAGGGTATGAGTTATAACACAGGCGGGCAGGGGCACACCTGGCCCAGCCACAGGCTGAGCCAGTGCACAAGCCAAGCATGGCCCTGGCGGGTTGAGTGGGCGGGCTCTCTTCTGCGGCAGGTAGTGTGGCCAAGGAAGGCCCAGGCAGGGGTATCACCAGCTGGAGGTCCCCAGCTTGTTGCAAAGTGACCAAGAAAAATCCTGTGTCACTATTGCCCCATTACCTTTCATCCCTAGCCCCTCACCATGTTGCCTCTTTTGAGGTAACAGAGATGCAGAGATATCACCTTCTCTGAGAGGAGTTTATTCCCAACACTCACTCCAAATCATCCCCATTGACATCCATGGCACCATTAACCTTTCACTCTTTGAGACTAAACACTTTGAAGTCATCCCTGACTCTTCCCTACTATCTGTCACCCACTCCTGTTGTCTCTTCCCTTAGAATCCCTCTTGGATTCACTCTACTCCTGTATTTCAACAGCCCTCACATAGTCCACATGTCAAATGTGACCAACTGTCAGAGACTGCAGGAAATGGTCACACATTCTTTGCCTCCCTACAGCCACCCTCTTTGGTAGTGACCTTCTACACTGACTCTGGAATTGGCCATGTGGCTTGCTTTGGGCAATGTGACACCAGCAAACATAATGCGAGCAGAAACTCAAAAAACGTATCCTCTGACCACCATGTGAACAAGCCTGGGCTAGCTTACTAGATGACAAAAGACACGTAATCCACTTGCCCCCATCATCCCACCTGACAATAGTCTCACATACACACAAACCCCATGGCAGAACTCCCCAGCTGGCCACTGAGGAGGCATGGGTGAGCCTATCAAAGACCAACAGAAGAACTACCCAAACAAGCCTATGCTAAATTGCCAACCCACAAAATCATAAACTAAATAAATGATGTTGTATAAGCCATTAAGTATTAGGGTGATTTATGAATCAATGAAAATTAGCCAATACACTAACAAAAAGTAAATATATGTGGCAAACACATGGTGACCCTTGATTAAGGATCTAGGATTAAGAAGTTGAGATAAGAGAGTGTTTTCCCATGTAAGTTGAAATTGATTTGATAAAATCAGGAAGTTGAACCTGGTTTCTTCTCATGTATGGTCACAGACTACAGGAAGTTATCAAGGAAATAAGCTCTAAACAGGAGGCCAACTGAGGCAGAACTATTTCTTTTTCTTCTGGAGCATTCAATGCTCTCCCCACTGGGCAACTGGCTTCCAAGGTGAGACTCAGATGGGGATACTGACCTGGTGGATTTTGAAATTCTAGTCCCAAGGACCCTGACTTGAATGCATATTCTATGTGAAATAAGATTGTAAAGTCTCCAGAAAAGCTCAAAAGTCACTTGTGGCCTGAAGTCCCACACTCTCGTCGGGAGCATTTCTGGGCCACCCTTCTCCAAGGACTCTGTCCCCTGATAATAAAATTATCAGATGGTATATAAGAGAGGTGCCTAGAGCTGCCCACTCTGAATATGTATTTCTCAAAAAGTTCAGAAAATGGGCAGGAGGGCCAGGTGCAGTGGCTCACGTCTGTAGTCTCAGCATTGGGAAGCCGAGGTGGGTGGATTGCTTGAGTGCAGGAGTTTGAGACAGCCTGGGCAACATGGTGAAACCCCGTCTCTACTAAAAATACAAAAAAAAATTAGCTGGCCAGGCGCAGTGGCTCATGCCTGTAATCCCAGCACTTTGGGAGGCCAAGGCAGGCATGAGGTCAGGAGTTCAAGACCAGCCTGGCCAACATGGTGAAACCCCATCTCTACTAAAAGTACAAAAATTAGCTGGATGAGGTGGCAGGTGTCTGTAATCCCAGCTACTCAGGAGGCTGTGGCAGGAGAATCACTTAAACCCGGGAGGTGGAGGTTGCAGTGAGCCGAGAGCGTGCCACTATACTCCAGCCTGGTTGACAAGAGTGAGATTCCGTCTCAAAAAAAAAAAAATCAGCCAGGTGTGGTTGTGCACGCCTGTAATCCCAGCTACTTCAGAAGCTGAGGCAGGAGAATCACTTGAACCTGGGAGGCAGAGTTTGCAGTGAGCCAAGACCATATCATTGCACTTGAGCCTGGGCTACAAGAACAAAACTCCATCTCAAAAAAATAAAATATAATAAAATTAGCAGGGCATGGTGGCTCAGCTACTGTGGTCCCAGCTACTGAGGAGGCTGAGGTGGGAGGATTGCTTGAGCCCAGAAGGTGGAGGCTGCAGTGAGCCAAGATGGCACCACTGCACTCCAACCTGGGTGACAAAGTAAAAAAAAAGAAGAAGAAGAAAAGAAAATAGGCAGGAGGAGGATGTACCCATCTGCTTACTTCCCAAACTGAGTCAGTCTTGAGTGAATGTTTTTCTTTCCTTTCACCAAACCCCATAGACACACAATTTATGAGCCAGGTTAAGGTAAACAAATGCTGTATCTGCCAACAATATGCAGTCTCATATTAAGCACTAGCACACTGCATTAGTAGCTTGCAAATTTATCCCATCTTCCATTTCAAAGTTATTATGATGTGAAAATAATTCCTGTATAAGGCATCCATGGGAACTGTGGAATGGGAGGTGGGGGCTGAGGACCTAGGACATTGCTTTTAGCATGTCTACGTGTAGACGGGACCAAATTCTCAGGTCATAGACTCAATATTCCAGAGATAATCTGGGTAAATGGCTCCCTCTAGTGGGACATATTATTTTTGCAACGTCTCACACACACCACGTGTTAAGAAATTCTTGAAAGGACTTAAATTCTCACGCAGTGGAATCACTGTCCAGGAATGATCTAAACAAACACTTCCCTCTAGTGGAGACTTTTTTCTTTAGAAAATGTCAAACACTGAAGGGGAGTACTCACAGATTAATAAACTCTGCCTAAATACAATTGCCAAGGAGGAGCCTTAAGGGCACTCAATAAAAATTAAAATATCACCAGGCATGGTGGCTCACACCTGTAATCTCAGCACTTTAAGACACAGAGGCCGGCAGCTCAGTCAAGATCAGGAGTTTGAGACCAGCCTGACCAACATGGTGAAAACTTGTCTTTATTTTTTTTAATTTTAAGGAAAAATAAAGAAAAATTTAAAATATAAAAATAAAATTATTAAAGAAAATTGTTATAATTGACCATACATCTGCTCTTTCCACATCACACCTCAAGTAGGAAGGACAATAACTTGGAATTTTCTTTTCCTCCCTTTGTAATAATGTGTGCCAAGGTCTTCTATGAGGAGGAGGAGGACAATGGAGCTCAGAACTGCTGTAATTTGCAATGCTGTTTTAACATGTGTAAAGTAATTTTTGTTTTTATCCTCAAAAGGCAGCACCTTCTGGGTGGTGGGGATATGGATGAAGGAAGAAGAAAGGGGGGAAATAAAGGCTAAAGAAGAACTGAAGAGGGAAAGAAAGGAAAGGAACAAAAAAAATGGGAAGGCGAGAAGGAAGAAGGTGGGAGGGAGAGGAAATTAGGAACCCCGTAACCTCGAGGCTGCCATTTACAAATAGATTTTAAGGTGTTTTCAAAGGAAGGGTTCTCACAAATTACGCTGTACTTGGAAATTTCCTTGTAAGTACAAGATTTTTAAATATATTATTGAAATATGAAACTTGATTTGTGAAGACACAAAACTTTTTTTAACTTCTATTTAAAAGGTGAACATATGGATATGACCTGGCCAGATAGGTTGGATGCTTGGAACAAATCTAATGAGCAAAATTGTATTTCCAGATTTCAGTATTTCTAAGACCATCCATGGTTTCTAGATATAAGAATTGAGGCCGGGCACAGTGGCTCACACCTGTAATCCCTGCACTTTGGGAAGCCAAGGTGAGTGGATTACTGGAGGTCAGAAATTTGATACCCGCCTAGTCAACATGGTGAAACCCCATCTCTACTAAAAATAAAAAATAAAAGTTAGCTGGGCATGGTGGCGCATGCCTGTAATCCCAGCTGCTCGGGAGGCTGAGGCAGGAGAATCGCTTGAATCCAGGAGGCAGAGGTTGCAATGAGCTGAGATCGTGCCACTGCACTGTAGGCAACAGAGAAAGACTCCGTCTCAAAAAACAAAAAACAAAGAAAGTGTTATCAAAATCCCAAAATAGCAGAACTTGAGTAATTGGCATATGCGGATTCACTACAATCTTCTCTGTTCTGCCTGTCTGTAAAAAATGTTTAATTTTTTAACGTGTAAACATAAAATGGGTGGTGCTCAAATCAAATCACTAACTTTTTTGGTATCAGGTTTGATATACTTTCTAAATAAAAAGGGAACAGAGACAGACTTCAGCAGCCCTGATGAAGTAAAGCAATCACAGATCAAAGTCGGAAACATTTAAATGGCCACAGGCCAAAAATCAGTAGCCATTAGGCTTGTTTTTAGTTTAGTTTTAGAGAAAAGTTTAAAGCCTTAAAGCAAACGTGGCTTGAGTTCTTGGCCATTCTATTCATTGTATCTTGAAATCATGGTGATCTAAGAAACACTAAAATCTACAGATATATTTGCTCATCAGATTTGTCCCAAGCATCCAAACTGTCTCGCCAGGTCACATCCATATATTCATCTTTTAAGTAGGCATTTCAAAAGAAAAATTTCGCACCTTTACAAATAAAGTTTTACGTCTCAATAAAATGCTTTAAAAATTTATATTCAGAAGAGAATTTCCAAATAGAAAGCAATTTCTGGGAATCAATCCTCTGAACACCTTTAAATCAATTTGTACACAACAGTTTCAAGATTAGAGTCTCTCTCTCTCTCAATCTCTCTCTACCCCACCCCCCAAAAGAACTTTTCAACATCTTTCTAAGCTGAAAAGAGACAAGAAACTCCTTTTTGTTTCTGACAAAAGCAATTTTAAGGTGATTAAAGTAGCATGTTCCCAATATTTTTAAATGTGCATCATTCTCAGCTGGTGTTTATGTGAGAAAACTTCATATTTCATTCCAAAAACTCCAGACATTTCAACAAAAGCATTGTATAGTCTTGGGTTACATTCTAAATACACAGAGAGATAATTTGAAATAGGCGTCCTGAGAAAGAATGTGCGTATTGAATGTTGCTGGCTAGAAGACAGGCTATGTTGTTACATACAACGCAACTGTTTGTTAACAACCATGTTAATTGATGATCAGGTGTGATGTTTTAAGCATTTTCTATCCAAACATAATAGCTTGTTATTTATGATAACATGTTACTTTATTATGTTTTAGGCAATTGGTTGAAGGTTTAGGGTAGACATGTATCACATAATATTTTTTACCACTCAAAGTGATGAGAAATAGGTTCCCAGGTAGCATATTCACACAGAACATCTGATTTTCATGAACAGATTATTGATATTAAACAGGAGATGGCTATGTAAGGATTCAGATATCTCAACACAGCATTGGAAGCCTGAAGACAACAAAACAATACCTTAGAAATTCTAAAGAAACATTAATTCCATCTAGACTACTATACCCAGCCAACTCTCAATCAAGTACAAAAATAGAATACTTTTTTCAGATGTGCAAAGTACCAAAAATTGTATTCCACCATCCAATAGCACATGGAGCTACTGAAGTGTATACCCTCCCAAAACAAAAGTAAGCTAAGAAAGAGAAAGACATTGGGTCCAAGAAACAGGAGCTCTGATTAAAAGAGAGATGAAAGACATCTCCAGACACCCCAGATAGAAGCTATGCTGAAGGCTGGAGAAAAATCAGTCCAGAGGGCAGCCTATAGACACCCACCTTCCACATACTACCCTCCACCAAATACACCACAAACACCCATAGGCCCATCACACTTAAACTACACACAATTCACACCTCACTCATGGCAATACACACTACACACAGGCTACAGGCTTGGTCCCCAGAGTCTGTGACTAATAGAAATATTGGACATTCTTTGTCAGGTCTCAAGTTTAAGAAAAGACTGTCTTTCTCGATTCCAAAATCAAAACAGACCTCTGATGACCTTCCAAGCCAGAGGTCCCCTCCTTCAGTGGGGCAATTCCTCAAGAGCCTCTTTCTACTTCACACACACTCTGAGAGCATCACCCCCACTTTCAGGGGTCACCTAGCCCTTCAGTCATTCAGCCAACCATCCACATCTCCACCTATCCATCTTCTGTTCATCTGGCCAATTGCCCATCCATTTATGTGCCTATATGTCCACCAATCAATCAAGTTGACCACCTATCCTGGACTTGTCAGGGTAGTTTTCAGACCCACAAAGAGCCTTAACACAAACTCCTTTCTAGGGAGCTGATGTTCCACCTTCATTTCACATCCCTGTGAATGAAGCAGGAGAGCTACCCCTGGAGGAGAAAGCCTGGCTCAGTTTCTCTGTCCTTAGGCCCAGAGGCCTGAATTTTTTCCCAGAATGTTTTTGATCCAAGGTTGGATGAATCCACAGATATGGAACCCATGGATGTGGAGGTTGACTATATATATATGCACACAGTCATCCCTCGGTATCCATGGGGGAATGAGTCCAGGACTCCCTACAAATACCAAAATCCAAGGATGCTCAAGTCCCTACATAAAATGGTGTAGGATTTCCAGATAACCTATGCACATCCCCCATATGCTTTAAATCATCTCTAGATTACTTATAATACCTAATACAATGTAAATGCTATGTAAACAGTTGTTATACTCTACTGGTTTTTCCATTTGTATTATTTTTTACTGTTGTCTTGCTATTTTTCTTTTTTTTCCAAATATTTCTAATCTGCTGCTGGTTGAATCTACAGTTGCAGAGCCCATGGATCCTGAGGGCTGAATACATCTATATACAGTCATGTACTGCATAAGGACATTTTGGCTAATGATGGTCCACATATACAGTGGTGGTCCCATAAGATTATAATACCACATTTTTACTGTACTTTTTCTCTATATAGATACACAAATACTTACATTGTATTACAATTGCCTACAGTAATCAGTACAGTGACGTGCTGTACAGGTTTGTATCCTGGGAGCAATAGGCTGTACCATATAGCCTAGGTGTGTAGTATGTTATACCATCTAGGTTTGTGGAATTACACTCTATGATGTTCACACAATGATGAAACCACCTAATGAGTCATTCTCAGAATGTACTCCATCATTAAGTGATGTATAATGGTATTATTCATGACAGGATTATCTTACCTGATGGGGAAAACCCAATTATTCATTCCTAAAGAATAGAGTCTTTGGTGGTCTTACTCTACTGGTTTTCCCCTGCAACCAGCACACCAGACAATCCCTTGGGGGTTGGTTTGGCTTGGTTGGTTTGGGGTTTGGTTAGGATCACTATGTTTTCCCTCTTGGGTTTTAAAGTGAGCACCTTCCTGCTCCCATTGTATGACAACCCTATATCAATAATATAATCACCATCAATCATCCCACCTAACATGAGATTATCCTCTGTTTTGCTTATGTGTACAGTGTCCTGAGAAGCCTTAAATGGACAGAAATAAGTCTGAACTTCTAATTCTATGAAATCATTATTTTGTCCCTGGTAGTAGCATTCTTGCTATGTTAGTTAAGGTACAGGTTAATTGCTATACCAAAGAAACTCAATAGTACAGTGGATTAAATAAGATTAAAATTTCTTTTTCTGTAATGAAACAGAGATATGCTCTCCAAAGGTGAGAGGTCCAGACCTGCCAGTGTGGATCTGCTATACGAAGTGATGCCAAGATCCAGCTCCCTCCAATATCCTTGCTCCTGCCACCTCCTCAACTCCTCATACACAGGAGTATGAAGGTATGTGTTACCTCCATACCCTCATACTAACCCAAGGGAAGGGACAGAGAAATTCTGTGTAGGCAGCTTGAACATTAAGGAGATCACTGTCTTAGTATATTTTCTGCTGCTGTAAGAGAATATCACAGACTGGGTAATTTATAAACAATAGGCATTTACTTGGGTCATGGTTCTGGAGGCTGCTGGGAAGTCCAGAGCATGGTGCTGGCATCTAGTGAGGGCCTCTGTGCTGCAGGAGGTGGCAGCCAGAATAGCAAAAGGGTATGCACAGGAGAGAGAGCCCATATAACAAAGCCGCCCCCACAATAACCCACTCTCGAGAAAACGGCATTCATTAATCCACTCATGAAGGTGGAGCCCCCATGACCTAATCACTCCTTTAAAACCCCACCTCCCAACATTGTTGCATTGGGGATTAAGTCTCTGACACATAAATTTTGGAAGATGCATTCAAACCATAGCCGTAACCCAGAAGTTTCCCACATGAATTCTGCTCACATCATTGACCCAAATTTAGTGATTTGATCACATTTTAAAACAAGAAAGCTTAATAACAGTGGGTTCTTGCTTGACAACCAAGTGCCCAGCTAAAAATAGGGGAGTTTTATTGCTAAAAAGTTGAGAGTGAAATGGATAATGAAAGGCCATTTATACCTCCTTAATGTACTAATATATCTAAATCAACAAAGCCCAGAGTCACAAGGACAGGAAGCAAATATTTTGCAAGTCGTTAGGTTTAGTGGCAAGGGGTGCCACTCCTACTTCAACCCCTTGGTAACCAATGTATTTTGTATTTGTATTTTGGCTATTTGGCTATTGTATTTCGGTTATAGGAGAATACCACATATTGGTCTGGGGTTCAGAGCCTATGTCTCACCTATAAGAGATCACTCAAACTTTTCAAGGTTTTTTCTCCCAACTGGTGCTGTATTTGAGTTTTTAATTGGCCATTCTATTGTTCAAAAAAGGCCAGGTGGTTCTGGGGAATGAAGTTACAGGGTAATCCCAATGAGTCCTGTGAGCATTGGCACATTGTCTCACTTGTTTTGCTATATATTTTTTCCTTGATTAGATGCAATATTATGTGAAATATCATGACAACAAATGCAGCATTCAGTAAGTCCGTGGATGGTGACACTTGCAGATGCAGGCAGACAGGAAAGATAAATCCATGCCCAGAGTAAGTGATTATCCCAGTGAGTGCAGAGCATTGCCTCCTTCAGGCAAGGGGTACAATGTAATCAAACTATCCCCAGGCATATTAGTTACCCATTGCTATGTAACAAATTACTACAAAACTTCCCTGCCTAAAACCACAGACAATTATCATCTCACAGTTTGAGTTGGTCAAGAATCCAGGAGAGAGCAATGAGCTGGGTGCCTCTCGCTCAGGGTCTCTCACGAGGATGGAGTCAAGCTGTCACCGAGGGTGCAGTCACTTAAGGGACAACTGAGGTTGGAAAATCCACTTCTAAACTCATTCATGTGCCTGTTGGCAGGCCTCAGATCTATTTCCAGGTTCACTCACATGGTTGCTGGCAGGCTTTGGCTCTTCCTCATGTGAGTCTCTCCACAGGCTGCCGAGTGTCCTCAATATGGCAACTTGTGAGAAGGGGGAAGAGAAAGACAGAGACAGAGGCAGAGGAGAACCAGACAGGACCCAAGATGAAAGCCAAGTCTTTTTGCAACATAATGTCAGATATCCCATCACTTTTGCCATGTTCCCTTCATTAAAAGCAGGTCACTGGTTCCAACCTACACTAAAAGGGAGAGAATTACACAAATGCATGAGTATCAGAAGATGAGTTTCATGGAGAACTATCTTAGAGGCTGCCTACTACACCAAGCTATTGTTACTGGCAAGTTACACACTCAGCCATGGCATAGCCAGACCAGCCTTGGTGAGGGGAACCATTGTCGGTAAGCCTGTGCCTAACCTTCATCCCTTCCGCCATGGACATTTTGATTGTGATCCCTTGAATAAGCACTGGAGATGCTGGAGAAGGCTGACTGACATCTACCAGCTGGGTCATCTTGATCCCTAAGTATTAACAGTATCTTCTGTAGTGAGAGACCTTTCGTGAGCATCCACATTGTCTCACCATTGTCCCACATATTCACAAATAGTCTCGCAGTCTGGACCCATTTTCAAAAGCTCATTCATAGAATAGTAAGATGGTTGAGAGCATGAACTCTGCAGCCAGATCACCTGGATTCAAATGCCAGCTCAGCCATTTACTAGCTGTATGGTCTTGTTCAAGTGCCTAACCACGCTATGCCTCAGATTCCTCTTCAGTAAAGTCAGCATAATAGTTGAAACTACCCCACAGTGTTTTGGGAGGATTCAGTAAGTTAATATATAAAAAGTGCTTAGAACAATATCTGACACAGAGTGAGCATTACAGAAGTGTTAGTGATGATGATGATGGTGATGATGATGATCCCCAGAATGCCTTGTCACTCATTCTCCTGTATTGTTCCTTCTACTTCCTAAACCTCCTGCCAAACAAACCATTAGCTGCTGCTCATGGATCAATGTAAATCCATATCTCAGGCCATCCTTCTTCCAGGAAAAGCAGACTCTTTAAGTTGTACTATCAAAATTCTGCTCAGCAGGCATTTTTCTTCTCCACTCTTCCTCAGGTCACCCCTTTTTTCCTCAGGGTCAACCCCCATTACTGGGGCTATAATGCCATAGATGTCCATATCTAGTTAGTCCCAGCAGAGTTGTGCAAAGTTCTCTGTAAAGCTGGGCCCAAATATTTTTCCTCCTCCATCAACCAGTCATGAGGAACACTACATGAGGCCATAGGAAGAAAGGACATTAGTGTGTCAAGAATAGACATGACGGGAGTGTGGACCATGAACTGGTGGAATGTCCTTGTGACTTCAGGACTTCTTCAAGTCTGATCTCATGTATGCCCCTTCACTTGAAGATGGGGTGCTTCTGGGCCTGACCATGCAGCTTTATCAATTGGGAAACACCCAGGTCATAAAGGGCAGCTCAGGTTGCAGAGTCACCTGGTATCCCAGGGTCAGGTGTTTATCCTCTGCCAGAGATCAAATAACAAGCAATGGCTCAGAGCAGTGGCTTGTGCTTGTAATCCCAGCACTTTGGGAGGCCAAGGCAGGAGGATCACTTGAGCTCAAGAATTTGAGACCAGCCTGGGGAACATAGTGAAACCTCATTGCTACTAAAAAAGTTTTAAAACTTAGCCAGGCGTGCTGGCGCACACCTGTAGTCCCAGCTACTCAGGGGGGCTGAGACAGAAGGATTGCTTGAGCCCAGGAGGTCGAGGCTGCAATGAGTCCTGATTGTGTCACTGCACTCCAGCCTGGATGACAAAGTGAGACCCTGTCTCAAAAATACATAAATAACAAACAAGGAGATATTTCTCAAAAGTATAATAGTTACTTGGTGAAGAGGGCGTGGACTTTCTCTGAATCCTTGGGGCCTCCACTACAACTCTTCTGTGAATGGGGCTTTTCACAGGCTCCAAACAGCACCAATTCAGCCATGGCACTTCTCACACCTTCAGATTCCCTTAGTCATAAAAGCCAGCAACAGAATTAGCTGTATTGCAGCCTGGACCAGCCAATATCCTTCTCTTACTCTGGGCCCCTGGCAAAGCTACAAGTTTTATGTGTTTAGCTGAAAATATAAAAGACCTAAGCCTGACAGTTTCTTTCTTTAAGCTGCCAGAGCAGTTATGAACAGCAACCAAACTCACTGTCATTTAACTCCTTGTACCCATACCATGCTCAGGAATCACCATTCAGCGGCACTTCAGATGATGATAGGTAGTTATTTCTGTAACTGTTTCACATCGGAAGGCTGAAAACCAAAGATTACCAGTCTTCCATCCTCCAATAGTACTGAATCCTCATTGTCTTTAAACCCAATGAGATCAAATGATCATTCCCAGATTCCCACCCTTGCAACAATTTCTGGTACTAAACTCTGTGTCAGTATATGTCAGAGTTCAATTGCAAATAATGGATACCATCCTAGCTAGTTTAAGCAAAAATATGTTTAATTCAGATAATTAGGTGCTTACAACACAAAATCAATGAAGGGACTAGAAGAGCATATTCTCATCTAAGCTTCTAGAAATGAGTTTTAGAATAACACTGTAGATCAGACCTGCCAAGAAATTTGCTACCACTGCCAAGGTCAAGAAAGTGGGGCACTAGGAAGACATTGCCCCAACTGCCTGGCTCCAAAATCACATCACCTCCAGCTCCATCCATGCCAGGCGAAATGGATACTCCAGACCTTGTCTTTGGACACCCACAGCACTGAGACCTCTGCTACAACTGCCACAGGAAACCATGACTAACCTTTTCAGGAGAAACAACAGAAGCAAGAGAAGCACAGCCTCTGCCTCACTTCTTCTGCCTTGACTTGAATAAGAAGAACTCACTTGTGGGAAGATCAGAGCAAGAGCCTCTGGACAGACGGAATAGAAAGTGCAAAGAACCTGAAGTGTATAAGAGAAAGAGAAAGCAGGCTAGCATGCCTGGAGCATAATGAACAAGGAAGACAGAGCAAGGTGTTTTTAAACATAGGCTGTATTATTATTATTATTCAGATACAGTACAACCAACAGATCAGGAGACAAGCCATTGAAAAGACAGTCTATTACAATTCCTGAGAAGGGGGTCACACCACACCATACAGGGCCACATGAGAAAACACCAGGTCAATCGGGAGACAGAGGGAGCAAGGGGTAAATGTGGGCAGAAGCCTTTCTTGTGGTTTTCATGGAAGAAATGTGCAATACAGGGGAAGCAGGCTAAACAGGCTGAGAATTGACTGGTTTGAGTAATTTCAGTGAGCTCTGGGGTATAGGGCTGTCTCTAGGTGTCTACCTGACCCTGGGTGATTAGGACTGAGGAATATTGCCCCAAAGTGTTAAAGCCCAATAAAGGAGGCAGTTGAGGGTATGGACCCTTGATTGGTTGGTTTGCACACAAAAGGCACTCTTGGCGGGATTTTATCTAGGAATTAGCTGACCCTGGGAGGGGCAGTCTCTCCAAGGTCAGTAAGGCCCCAGATGTCAAAACATCAGAATAAAAAGACAGGCTAAAGTGGGGTGTGGTGGTGCGCACCTGTAGTCCCAGCTACTTGGAAGGCTGAAGTGGGAGAATTGCTTGAGCCCAAGAGTTGGAGTCCTGCCTGAGCAACATAGTAAGACCCCATCTCTAAAGAAAAAACACAAAGAAAGGAAAGGACAGGCTTAAGACAAGGGATCAATTCAGTAGGGTCTCGTAAATCAGTGAAAGGAGTTTGTATTTTATGCCCTCTATAATGAAAAGCTATGAGCTGTTCAAGGAAGGCAATGGGCAGGTGTGGTGGCTCATGCCTGTAATCCCAGCATTTTGGGAGGCCGAGGCAGGAGGATCACTTGAGGTCAGGAGTTCGAGACCAGTCTAGCCAACATGGTGAAACCACATCGCTACTAAAAATACAAAACTTAGCCTGGCGTGGTGGTTCATGCCTGTCATCTCAGCTACTGGAGAGGCTGAGGCAGAAGAATTGCTTGAACCCGGGAGGCAGAGGTTGCAGTGAGCCAGGATTGCACCACTGCACTCTAGCCTGAGCAACAGAGTGAGACTCTGACTCAAAAATAAAAATAAACATAAAAAATAAAGGAAAGGAATGACATTGTCTGATCTACACTTGGAGAAAATCTCACCAGCTGAGTGAGATGCAGAGGGCAGCAAAGGCCCAGTGAAAAACAATTTGCTGTGCCCAGGTTTTAGCGGCAAACATGGTAAGAGAGGGTGGCTTGGGATTAACTTTTTGAGGTAGAACTGTGACAGGACTTGCTGAGAAAAATTAAGTGTGGGATGTTAAAAAAGAAATATTAATAAAATGGACAGCTGGATTTTTGGCCTGAGCAACTGGGTGGCAACAGGTCTCTTACTGCACTGGGGAAGCTCAGGAGAGGAACAAGAGCTCTATTTGGGACACGGTAAGTTTGGGGCGACTCTAAAACACCTAAGGGGAGATATTCAGTTGTGTTGATAAGGAAAGGCTAGGGACAAAGAAATATGTTTGAAAGTCACAAAAGTTAAATGAAGTGTTTCAGGAAGAGGAGGGGACCAAATGTGTTAAAGACTGCTAAGAGATTAAGATGAGGACTGAAAATTAACCATTGTATTTGGCAACATGGAAGTTGTTGGTTATCTCGATAAGAGAAAATTCTGGAGTGGTAGGGACAATTGGAGAAAATGAGAGATAAAAAGTGGAGACAGCAAGTGTCAACTAGAGGACATCAGGGATTTAGGCAAAGGCCCAGGTTATCTCAGATAACACCTCTGTTCTATCCCCAAATGTCACCACCTTCCATCATCCACCACACCGTTTCTATGCTGAAAATATTCAGAAGGCTGAACTCTCTGTGTAAGTTCCCCACTCAGCACATCTGCAATGACATAGGAGATTGGGGATTGATGGAAACCCAGCTCTCCCTCCTGTGAGCCCCTGGATAAGCAGACAGGCAGTCTCCTCACTGGAACACTTTCTTCCAAAAAAGCAAACCAAGCATGGAGATCAATGACATCACTGGCATAGCCTCTAGAATTCTCCAGGAGCATCTACATTTAACAGGAAGCTGAGATTTCACTCACGGGAGTTAATTCCCAGGATGAGACTCTAGACATGAGGGACAGAGACCCTCAAACCTCATGCCGTCTGTAACCAAAGAGACCCTTCATGAGTGGGGAGGCAATAGTTATCCCAGAGAAAAACGGTGTCAGGAAGTTGACCAAGGGCAATGAGCCTAAGGACAGGAGGAGAACACAGCAGGCACTGGGGATCCAGACAGAATTATCTGGCCCATGACACTGTCTCAGCTCAGGGTTACCCAGGGAAACCCCAAGAGTCAGGGGTTCCCAAATCTCCAGCAGGGTGGAGGCACAACGCCAGCTGGAGAATGACTATGGGCGCCACAGAGGCTGAGGCTTCCTGGGAGGAGAGAGGGCAACAGCAGAGCCTCCCCTGTGCCCAACAGCCCGCCTCCCTGGCAGGATGACAATTTCACCTCCTTGGGTAAGTGCTCCACACAGTGCCAAGCAGCCTTGGGCCTTTCTCTGATGCATCTAGACCCTGCCAAAAACAGGAAGAGAAGAGGAACAGTGGGCAGATCAGGGCCCATTCAGGGCCTTAGGACCTCTTGCTGTGTGTTGGGAGTCAGTATCTGTCCCTGGGCGTGGGAGAAAAAAGTCCAGAGACGGTTCCCAAATCTCTACTATTGCATTTGCAGAGGTGTGATTCAGATATCATTAAGCTGGCTGGACAGGGAGAAGGGCTGGGAAGGAGACAGAGAATGTTGGACAATTTCTGCCAGATAAAACTGCACATAACAGAACAAGGCAAGTGTGTATATACGCAGACTGTGCAAACCTTTTATGTATGGTGTGAGTAGGTATGCTGTGGGGTATGTGTAGCATGTTATAAGTGTGGTGATCGTGTCATAGGCATGTCTGTGGTATGTCTAATAGGATGGGGTGTGTGGGGTGAAGTGATGGAGTGAGGCAGTGGATAGTGTGTACAGGCTTGTGGGTTTGCGTGCAGTGTGTAAGTCAGCTGGGCATCACAGCCTCAGTACTGTCTATGGTCAGCATCTCTCAGGCTCCTGTTAATGGGTCCCATCCCAGATCCCACAGACAGCTGCCTGCATCCTCCTTTGCTGCCCCACACCCTCTCCAACACACACACATATACACCATGTGCAGCTCCCATTAATACTTTAGACAAAACAAAAAATCTGAAAGAACAAAAGCTAGTTTATTGCCTGGCTGTGCTCCCCCAGACCTCTCTGACCCAATAAATGTTGTCCTTCCCTCATTTCCCCCATTTCCCGCAACCCCATTAGGCTCCAGAATCCCAACTCCCTTGCCCCCAAGATGTCAAAGCTACCCCTCAAGATCTGCTTTCTGTTCCATTCAGCCTTTAACAGCCTCATCTCCTGCATCCAGGGGTCACGGGTAACCAGTCCTGTAGCCAGCCAGCCACACCCTGCTGGTCATCCTCTGTCCATCTAGCTGGTTAACCACAGGTTAGCTGTTCCCCAAGCCACATGCCCATTCACTGATCAATTTGCCATCTGCCTGTCTCTCTAAGGCTTATTGGAGGTATACGGATGGTTTTATGGTTTTAAAAAGAGCCACGGAAGGGGGAAATGGAGAATTGCTTAATGGGTATAGAGTTTTCATTTTGCAAAATGAAAAAGTTCTAGAGCTCTGTTGAATATACTTAACAATACTGAGACATACACTTAAAATGGTTAAGATAGTAAATTTTATGTTATATGTTTTCACCACAATAAAAAATAGTGTTTTTTAAAAAGAACTTCATCCCCTCTCTGTGACCCTGCGGGCAGTTACTCTGTCTTTCTCAGCGATCCTCTGTGGGAGGCTTTGAAAAGTTTAGTGGTGACTTCAGGGCCAATGTCTCTCTGAAGATTGTCCCAACTGTGTCAGGATGTGTGGGAAGAGGAAAAGGGAAATTATCAGAGTCAGAGTGGAAATAGGGAAGGAAGAACAGACAATCTGGGGGAAACTTGCCTCTCCACCCTCACGGACGACATCTTAAGGCAAAATCTAATTAGAGGTCTGAGAGTGAAGAAATGCTCACAGTGTGGAAAAGGTGAGGTGAGTATGGAGGGAGGGACAGGCCTGGATGAGGACAGGGAGGGTCAAGGAGTCCAGAAGAGGACAGGGTGAGAGAGGGCTGAGGGGAAAAAAAAAAAAAAATCCTATTGGCACAATGTACACTATTTGGATGACGGGTGCACTAAAATGCCAGACTTCATCACTATACAATTCATCCATGTAACCAAAAACCACTAGTACCCCTAAAGCTATTGAATTTTTTTTAAGGGACCTGTTTTACTAAGAGATGAAAGGTTGGTATTGCCACTCATGTGTCCAGCTACAGGAATCCAAAACAATTATAACACAGCGAGACCCATAAAAATGTCCACATGCTTAGCCAATAATATTACTCTTAATTTACCCTAAGGGAATAAGCTAACAGAGCAAACTGAGACACACATGAAAATATTGTTTTCATCATTGTCTACCATAGCAAAAAAAAGATGGGACAGCGTAAAGTGCACAAGGATGAGAAGCGTTTGTTAAATGTTAGTGGAGAAATTCAATGGACTACTACAAGAATTTTTTTTGAAAGATTGTTCAGAATACCATGCGGTCTCATGGCAAAATGCTTACAGCAAACATTAAAAAAGGAAAAGAAGACATAAGGTATATACACTATGACTACAAGCATAGAATATGGGTTTGCAGTGGGACAAAGACTTGAGAGTGATATATGAGAAAAAAAGAATTTAAGGTGATGGAATAATGGTGGATTTATTCCAAATGTTTCCTAAATATTTTTAATTGAAAAAAACAACATTTTAAAAATTTGAAAACATCAGGATCTATTTCGTGTTTTCTTGGTGGTGTGGACATCTGAAAAGTTTTTTTTTCCTTTTTAATCAGCCAGCCCAAAATGTCATGAAGATTTATGGACGAAAGTAGAGAGGACTAATGAACTCAGATACTCCTTCTGTCCAAACTGACTACATGCAAGTTCATCTCCCAAAAGTGTAGAGTGAGGCTATTGGCCTCACAAGACATATAGTAAGTATGTGGTTGATACCTCAGGCTCAAAATTACAATTCTGGTTCTGCTGTTCACTGACTTTGTGATCTTGCATAGGTCGTTTAAACCCTCAGAGCTCTGGTTCTTTATCTGCAATGACAAAATAACAATTGTCACTAATGTTGTTATAAAGGTCAACTGATATACTGTATAATCCCCAGCACACAGCACTCTCCAAACATAAGCTAGAATAAATGGTTTAAGGCCACAAAAAAAAAAATATGTTGAGAGAGCAGAGTGAGGGTGGGATGAAAGTTAAGTGCAATGGATAGAACTTTGAGGCTCTGTTTCCTAAATATGAAGATGGCCAGACTAACCTCATGGCGTGGGTCAATATGGGTGATCAAAGCTCCGTGAATCTTGGGACCAGGACTTCTGAAAGTCCAGTCCAGTTTCCTGTCTTTGTCAAACTAGCTGCCTAAATTTAGGCAAATCACTTAATTGTTCTATTTATCAGTTCCTCTGTCTTTATAACTGAGATTCGTTCACTCATCTAATAAATGTTTAGCGAACACTCGACATGGTCCAAGTACTGAGCTTGTTTTTCTGGTGATTAACCTCTTTTTTTTTTTTTTTTTTTTTTTTGAGGCAGAGTCTCACTCTGTCGCCCAGGCTGGAGTGCAGTGGCACGATCTCGGCTCACTGCAAGCTCCACCTTCTGAGTTCACGTCATTCTACTGCCTCAGCCTCCTGAGTAGCTGGGACTACAGGCGCCCACCACCACGCCCAGCTTATTTTTTGTATTTTTAGTAGAGACGGGGTTTCACCGCGTTAGCCAAGATGGTCTCGATCTCCTGACCTCGTGATCCACCCACCTCAGCCTCCCAAAGTGCTGGGATTACAGGCGTGAGCCACTGCGCCTGGCCTTGGTTTTTTTTTTTTTCTTTTTTTTTTTTTTTTTTTTTTTTTGACTGGTGATTAACCTCCAAGGCAGTTGATAACTTGGTGGTTAAGATCACAGGCTCTGGGGTTAGGCAGACCTGGATTTGAACCCAAACTCTGTCACTTACAAAATGTGTGACATTGAGAAAGTTACTTAACACTGTCTGGGCTTCCCTCTCCTTATCTGTAAAATGGAGAAAATGAAGGTTTCTATGTCGTAGTGTAATTAGGAAGATCCAATGATTTAATGAATGTTTAGCCCTTAGCATGGTGCCTGGCAGGAACCAAGCACTTGGGAAACATTAGCAGCTGCTAAAATAGGTAACTGCCTCCCCACCTCCCCACCACGTCCTGCAGGATCTCACAGTGGAGTAATAAGTGCTAGGACAAAAGGACAAGCAACATCTCATGAAAGCAGAGATAAAAGTGCCTTCCTCAAATACTCAAGGGCTCTCTGGTGCAAGAGGAGTTAAATATTGTATGAAATACTAAGCATTTAGCCAAGACCAATACAGTAAAGTCTTTTCCTACAGGCAGAAGAGGCCATAGCTAGAAAGGGCTACCTCAATAGGTGGTGAGTTCCCCATCACTGCAGATGTTCAAACAGACTCTGCACAGCACCCTTCTAAAATGTTGAAGATAAGATCCAAGTACTGTCATATGGAAATATATGTTCCTAAATGTCACTTTTAATCTTGAAATGCCATGGATAATTATTTCTGAGCCTGAGGATCACAGAAAGCTGCCACCGAGATAGCGAAACTTGAGTGAAGGCTTGAAGTGTGATGGGATTTTAATATGAAGAATAGAAATATCCTCTGAAAGGAGACACTATGGCAATGCATGGAGGCCTGACAGAACAGGGTGTGCTGGGACAGAACAGCTAGTGTAGCTGATCACAGGGCCCCAGATAAGAGGAGAACAGAGAAATCAGGGAAGGTGTCAGAATCCCAATGATACCATTGGGCAGTATTATCACAAATAGTCATATCACTGTGTGACACTCTTAACCCACAGCTCACTATGGTGAACATTAGACACCAGTTCGGGACAGTCCCTGGTGCTACCCAGTTTCTTTTGTGCCTCAGCATCCATCTAGAGAGTACAAAGGGGCCTAGGTCATAGCAGCTGCTTCACCCCTCACTCTGGAGAGAGATCCAAAGATCAGAGCTAGAGTCTTTACATATGAGAGTCAGGCCCCAGACACAGGACGAGAGCCCAGGAAACAGTGAGAAAGGCGTCGAATTTGGAGTCAAGAGACCTGGATTCAAGTTCCAGGCCTGCCACTTTCTAGATATTACCTCAGACACATTATTTAATCTCTCTGAGACCCATGGCTCATTCAGAGAAAGGTATTAATTCTCTCACTTGATTTTGAGAGGAACTGTGTGGCAAGTGCTTTACCAAATTACAGAAATGTTGCTTGTTATTTCTAAATAACTTCTCTTCTTGGCTGTGCCTCAGCTTCTGGCCTGGAGTGATGGCTGGGGAAAACCATACTACACTGCCTGAATTCCTCCTTCTGGGATTCTCTGACCTCAAGGCCCTGCAGGGCCCCCTGTTCTGGGTGGTGCTTCTGGTCTACCTGGTCACCTTGCTGGGTAACTCCCTGATCATCCTCCTCACACAGGTCAGCCCTGCCCTGCACTCCCCCATGTACTTCTTCCTGCGCCAACTCTCAGTGGTGGAGCTCTTCTACACCACTGACATCGTGCCCAGGACCCTGGCCAATCTGGGCTCCCCGCATCCCCAGGCCATCTCTTTCCAGGGCTGTGCAGCCCAGATGTACGTCTTCATTGTCCTGGGCATCTCGGAGTGCTGCCTGCTCACGGCCATGGCCTATGACCGATATGTTGCCATCTGCCAGCCCCTACGCTATTCCACCCTCTTGAGCCCACGGGCCTGCATGGCCATGGTGGGTACCTCCTGGCTCACAGGCATCATCACGGCCACCACCCATGCCTCCCTCATCTTCTCTCTACCTTTTCGCAGCCACCCGATCATCCCGCACTTTCTCTGTGACATCCTGCCAGTACTGAGGCTGGCAAGTGCTGGGAAGCACAGGAGCGAGATCTCCGTGATGACAGCCACCATAGTCTTCATTATGATCCCCTTCTCTCTGATTGTCACCTCTTACATCCGCATCCTGGGTGCCATCCTAGCAATGGCCTCCACCCAGAGCCGCCGCAAGGTCTTCTCCACCTGCTCCTCCCATCTGCTCGTGGTCTCTCTCTTCTTTGGAACAGCCAGCATCACCTACATCCGGCCGCAGGCAGGCTCCTCTGTTACCACAGACCGCGTCCTCAGTCTCTTCTACACAGTCATCACACCCATGCTCAACCCCATCATCTACACCCTTCGGAACAAGGACGTGAGGAGGGCCCTGCGACACTTGGTGAAGAGGCAGCGCCCCTCACCCTGAAGGGACTCGGATGTCTGCTCACTCACTCAGTGCTCATCCTCCCACTCTTCAGGGACTGGATTTAAACCCCACTCTCACAGAAATCATGCAGCACCTCAAAGGAAAAGGCTTCCTGGAAGAAAGTGCTGAAATTAAAACAGAGATAAATCTACATATTGCCTCTTATCCCAGAGTCCACACTCACTATCAGAGCATGGGTTATTAGGTCAAGGTAGAATGAAAGTGATTGCTGCCCTAGGGAAAGGACATTTATTTAGCATCTTCTAGATTGTTCTGGATCCCTGAGCACAGTGATTGCCATGGCTGCACCGGTAGCCAGAGGTCCATGTCAGTCATGAAAGCAGGTGTCTGTGAACTTGACATCCAACTAAGTGGCCCACCCAAAGCCTGTGGAGGAGTTTACCTAGCCCCTCTGTTACATTTTCTTCCACCACCTGTGTCTGAGCTTTCCTCTACTCAGTGGAACATCTGTTCTCCCCTTGGCCTTCAGGAAGAGGGGCATCTGAGGGTTCCAGTCATAAGGCTCTCTCCTTCCCAAGATACCAGCACAAAAGGGAAGATGGTCAGATGGTATCAAAAAGGACCAAGTTAAACATCAGGAAAAGTTATCTCCCAGGACAGCCTATACATGTCTCCCAGAAACACACTGGGGTGTCCTACTGTGGGTGCTTTTGGGAAAGAGCTGGTCAGGGATTCCAGAAGACCCACCAGCTTGAGAGGCAGGATCCAGAGCTGGAGCTAACCAGGGAGCCAGAAGCAAGACAAGGTGGAAGGAAAACACTCCCATCCCTCTGTGCTGAGGTGCCACCGGCTGCCCACTTCCCTCAGCCCAGGGACAGATGTTTCTCCTGCTTTATTCCCTGGAGCCCCCCATAGCTAAAGGGCAGCAGAAGGCCGAGGCAAAAAGACAGGCTGTTCCACGTCCCCTCTATTCCCTCACCTCTCACACATCATTACCACCTTTGTGTCCTCTAGCCAAGAAATGCCAGAAACTCTGGCTTTCAGTGAGGAGAGACCTCAACATTTCATCAATAACATGAGCTGTTCAGGAAATGATGGGAACCCAGTCTTCCCTCTTACCACCCCTGTGATCTTCAAGGAGTCCTTATCCCTCACAGAGGCTCTGCTCTTGTGCGAAGGAGTATTCAGCCATGGGAATCAGTGTGTTCTTCTGTAGCCCAGCCTCTGCACCCACTTCTTTCTTTTCTTTTTTCTTTTTTTTTTTTTTTTTTTGATGAAGTTTTGCTCTTGTCGCCCAGGCTGCAGTGCAAAGACGCAGTCTCGGCTCACTGCAACCTCCACCACCTCCCAGGTTTAAGCAATTCTCCTGCCTCAGCTTCCCAAGTAGCTGAGATTACAGGCACGCCCGGCTAATTCTGTATTTTCAGTAGAGATGGGGTTTCACTATGTTGGCCAGGCTGGTCTAGAACTCCTGACCTCAGATGATCCAGTCAAAATAAGTCTCATGAAGTTGTTCTCATTCCTAGAAATAGAGAGTAGAATGGTGGTTACCAGAGCCTGGAGAAGGAAGTGGGGAAGGGGACATAGGGAGGGATTGGTCAGTGGATACAAAGGTACGTTTAGAAGGAATAAGTTCTAGTGTTCTATGGCACCATAGGGTGACCTCAGGTAACAATATTGTATTGTAGATTTCAAAATAGCTAGAATAGAGAATTTTGAATGTTTTCACCACAAAGAAATGATAAAGGCATAAGGTAATTATAAATTTAGAAAGGGAGATTTCTTTTTTTTTTTTTTTCTAAGACAGGGTCTCACTTTGTCACCCAGGCTGGAATGCAGTGGTATGATCTTGGCTCACTGCAACCTCAGCCTCCCTGGTTCAAGTGATCCTCCAGCCTCAGCTTCCCAAGTAGCTGGGACTACAGGCACATGCTGCCATACCAGCTAATTTTGGGGTTTTTTTGTCTGTTTTTGTTTTTTTGTAGAAACGGGGCTTCACCATGTGGCCCAGGCTAGTTTCGAACTCCTGAGCTCAAGTGATCCATCCACCTTGGCCTCCCAAAGTGCTAGGATTACAGGCGTGAGCCACCGCCCCCAGCAGGAGGCTTTATTTCTTAAAAACTGTTACAGCATGTAAGGTGGCCATTCTAACAGGCTGGGAAGCATAGGCTCCAGCCAAAGCCCAAAAGGCAGGCACTTCGAGGGAGAGGCAGGTGGAACAGGGATTTATGTGCTAAGCAGGTTGGCCAGGTGTACACATTCAGTAGGTTACGGGAGGAGCTAGGAATATTCCTGAAGGTGGTCCTAACATGTAGGTGCTAAATAAACATATATGTAGCATATGACCCATGTTCACCTTGGGGTGCAAACTTAACATTTACGTGCATTACAATTTAGACCCTTACATCAAAAGGTGAAGCAGAGACACAAAGGCATTCAAGTGTGCAGCCTCTGTAAACTGGCCAGAAGCAGCCCCTGGGCAGTGGTCTTCTTATCAGGAGAAAGTTACTGAAATCAATCATTTGGCCAATCAAAGCTGTAGTTATGGCTTGTGGAACAGGGGAGTCAGCCAGTAAGTGTCTGGTGGTGGAGGAGCTACAACTGTTTTGCTATTGCTTATCTCGAAGCCAGAGCTTGTTTAGCTGCTAGAGAAAAAGGAAAACCTTGTGGCAGTTAGAACATAGTTTATTCTTTAAGTGTAGGAATGTGTGACTTAACCTTTGCCTGGCATGGCCTTAAGTCCTGTTCATAATTTGATATATTATTGCCACAAAGAGTCTATTCTGTCAATCTCATGACCTCTATTTTAACATTAATGCTGGTCAATTGTTGTGTCTAAACCATAGAAGAGAGGAGGTACAATAAAGTGTGTCTGACCTTCTATTCCATCTTCTAGATTGTTCTGGATCCCTGAGCACAGTGATTGCCATGGCTGCACCGGTAGCCAGAGGTCCATGTCAGTCATGAAAGCAGCCATCATGGCTGAGGACTCCGTTTTTAAGGTTTCTCAGTGGGTGGGGGGCGTGGGATTTCATCTTTAGTTTACAATATGCTAAATATCTTGATTTACTTATTACACAAGTGTATACATGTATTAAAACATCACAGTGTACCCCACAAATATGTACAATTATTATGTATCAATTAAAATAATAGGCCAGGTGCAGTGGCTCATGCCTGTAATCCCAGCACTTTGGAAGGCCAAGGCAGGAGGATTGCTTAAGACTAAGAGTTTGAAATCAGCCTGGCCAACATAGCGAGACCCTGCCTCTATTTAGGTTTTTTTAATTAAAATAATAAAACAAAATAAATGTCATACTCCCTGCATTCACCACTATCACCCAGTTACAGACAGAGGATCCATACAAATTACAGGTCACTCCAAGCAGGGGCTCACCATTTGAAGGGAAAAGAGTACATGTGGCCAAAGGCAAGACAGCCTGAAAGAAAAACCAAAGAAGGCAAAAATGCTCTCTACAGTACCATGAGTAACTAAGGTCACTCCTCCACCTATGAAGAAGCAAGTCAGGGGCCAGAGAGGACGGCAGGAAGTGTTTCTACACTTGTTTCTCTCTGGGAGTGGAATAAAAAATCCCTTCACCTTGTGGAAAGCCTAAGGATCAGGGTAATTACTAGTGCTCCCACCTCCACTGGGTACAGACCATAAGGATGTTGTGGGCCACTTGAGAACTTGGGGGCTCATCCTCAGTGACAAGACCAGGTTTGAGTTTTTAAAAGATCACTCTAGCTGTGGTATGGAAAATAGGTAATAGAGGCACCAAAAAGAGACACAGAGACCACAAACCAGTCCATCAGTCAGGGCACTTAGTTGCAAACGACAGATTCCACTCTGATCATCTTAAGCAGAGACTAATTATTCAAAGAAGATTTCACAGTGCACAGCGTCTCCAAGGGGAACAGGTTTACCAGCCGTGTGGCCAGGGTGACACTCAGCACCCGCAAGGGCAGCTCCAGTGTCAACTCCACGGCACTGGCAGCACAGTTCACACAGCACTGCCCAGTGCCTACAGCTGGCTCTCGGGACGACAGGCCTGGGCTCTGCCAGATGCCTTCCCTACAAGCTCATTAGATGGTGAATTCTGCATCCTCCTCTGTAGAATCTGGAAAAGCAATTTACCTTGGGGAATGAAGACCAGTGAGGCATAAAACTTCCCAAACATTGAAAGGGTGTTCCAAAGGCACTGGACAGACAGAAAAAAAGACAAATGTCCCCCAGAGATGCCACTGCTGCAACCAGGATCCAGGTGGCCAAGACACTCTCTACTGAAAAGATAGAGAGATACGGTGCAGTGATCTGGAGCAGGCAGAACTTGGAGATGATTAGAATCTGAACAGGAAGCATGGAAAGACAGTCAAACCAGAATGAATAGTAATAAGAATAGGTAACATCACATACATGCTAGGTACCAAAGACTATACTAACCTCTTAACCTGTAACTGTCTTATTTAATCCCCATAAAAACTCTACGAGGTACAGATCTCAATTTTATGGGACCTAAAGCTCATACAATTTAAGACAGCTCTATTTAATAAAAAATATCCATGGCTACTTCAACACCCCCCAGAAGAAGAGGAAATGTGACAGAGAGGAAGCAAGAGTGAAAAAGACAGACATTACAACAGCCTGCAGTTAACACATCACTTCTGCAATTTATATAAGGACATTTGACCACAGGAACACAATTGCTAAGGCTCTTTCCACACCTTTATGAGGAACCCATACAAATGAAGAGCCCCAAAAGCTTAAGCTTGACAGTAGGTCCACCTGTAGGTCAACTCTATTGTTATGCCAATTTCAACCAGTTGAGGAAACCGAGGCACAGAGACATTAAACAACTTTCCCTAGGTAACACAGCTAGGAAATAACAGACTTGAGTTTCCAGCTCTAGAGCCCATGCTTTCAATTCTCCCTCCAAAAACGTGAGTTTAGAGAAAGTAGAAAGATGAGGGCAGCCAAGGAGCTAAGGAGCATAAACAGAGGCAAGAAAATGAGATCAGTGACACACGGTGTGGGGGGCGGGGACAGGAGAGCCTCCTCTGCTGGAAGCCACTTCCTCTCATCTGGACTGGGTATGCAAATCTTGAGAAAGAAAATGCAATTTTTCCCGTCTCATAAGCAGAGAAGATTCCAGAAGCCACTTGCTGTTGCCTGGCAGGGCACAAGGTCACCCTTCTTATCCTGCCTCAGGGTTACATCGGCTTTCTCGCTCTGCGCCACCAAATCCACAGGCACCTTCATCAGGTCACCACCCCGTAGAGCACCACACTGGTCCATTCTATTGATGAAACTACACTGACAGCATCTGGAGAGAGGAAAATGGCAGGTACCCTTGATGTACATTTATAACTAGGAGATAAATTTAGGGGCCTGGCCTCTCTGTGAAGGTTTTCTGGGGATATCAGGGTATCTCCTCAAATGTTACGGACAAGTTGCCTCACCTTTTGCTCCCTACAGTAAGAAAAGACCTCTTGTAGTTATCTGGATTTGGGAAGCGACATATAGTCCTTTTGGGTTGGCTGCTTCAACCCACTTATCGGATGTCCTAAAAGCCAGAGGAAGCAAATGCTCTCCCAGTGGCCCACGCTGCAGTTCCGCCACTGGGCCTCCCAACTGCCCAGCAGACTGTAAGAGGCTCAGTGTCAGTGGCACTGGAGCCTGCGGTAAATCCAAGAGGTGAATCACAGATTTGGGAGCCAAACCTTGCCCTTTGGGGCAAACAATCAAGATCCTTTTGTGAAACTGCTCTTGGGCTGCTTGTAGGCAACAGTATACACTGAACAGCTGACCACTGGACACCAGGTGACTATGGAACAGTATTGCACACCATGAATTGGGTGTAATTTGACCCACTCACCCTAAAGTTAAGTATCCCCAATAGCACTTAATAGACAAGTGAAATTGGTAAAATCAGATGGGGCCCAAGCACAGCCTGAAAACAAAAGGAGGTTGCATATACCTCATTCTCCAGCAAATCAATCTTTTTGGGGGGTATGGGGATGTGGGAGCAGGAGCTTGCTCTGTCGCCCAGGCTGGAGTGCAGTGGTAAAATCAAGGCTCATTGCAGCTTCGAACTCCTAGGCTCAAGTGATCCTCCCGCCTCAGCCACCCAAATAGCTAGGACCACAGGCACATGCCATGACCTCCAACTAATTTTTTATTTTTACTTTTGTAAAGATGAGGGCTCGCTATGTTACTCAGGCTGGTCTTGCACTCCTAGCCTCAAGTGATCCTCCCACCTTGGCCTTCCAAAATTGCTAGGATTACAGGTGTGGACCACTGAGCTTGGCCCCAGTTCATTCTTAATAGGCCTACAAATAGAAGGGTCATAATGGCAGGAAAGGAGGCCATCCATGAACTTAACAGGGTCTTCCCCCCAAGCTCTAAGTGGATAGAGCTTGTGGGGGACAAAGCTCTATCCACTTCTACAGAAGCCATTAGGCCCAAATTTGTGGATTCTCTAAACTCTGACAGCCGAGACACAGCCCTGTGATCTTAGCTAGTCCTAGCAGATGCAACTGCCTAAGACTTTGAATCAGGTGCAAGTGATTCAAAGAAGTAAAGTTTACAATTCATTTTGGTGATGACCACAGTGGCATCCAGGCCCACCAGCAGCAGCCTCAGCACCTGCACGGTGCCAGAGGAGTCACGGGCAACAGTGCCAGCAGTGCCTGCAGCATCCTAGCCAACCACCCCTGTGCTATGACCTGGCCTGTGGTTCTGGCCTCTCAGCTTCTTTTGGTACCTGATCATTGCCTAAGCCTGGTTTTCCAAGATTCCTCTCAACTCCTTGAGCTACCAGAGTCAGGTTTTCTCTAACCCAGAATTGTTCACCTGCTTCTTTCCTCCTCTTTCATGGCCCCTATGGCCCATCTGATCCTTTCTGAGTTATCCCCCTCATAGCTCACACCAGGATTTCCTCTTTTCCAAAAACTCTCTTCCCCAAATCCCACACACACTTCTCCCCTTCCTCTCTTCAGCATTAACACATTTTAAACTTTCCAGCAACTTTAGGGGGATTTTTTTAACAAAGTCTCAAACTTTTAAGACATCTAAAAACTGCTCTGAAAGTCATCATCAAAGTTCATAAGAAGGCAAATGATAGTAGTAGCAATTATAGTATAATCGAAATAGATTAGTGAACACTATTACCTACATGCACTGTGCTAAGCAGCTTTCATATATTCATTTACTTATCGATTCAGCAAATATTTCCTGAATACCTACTATGTGCCAGGCACTAGGGATACACTGGTAAACAAGACAGGCAGTTTCTTCCCTTCCCCCTTTATGGTACATCTCATTTTAATGAAAGGAGAGAAGCC
The DNA here is from genome assembly GCF_000001405.40 of Homo sapiens. Taxonomy (NCBI): domain Eukaryota; kingdom Metazoa; phylum Chordata; class Mammalia; order Primates; family Hominidae; genus Homo; species Homo sapiens. Next base: position 55,645,139 of record NC_000012.12, read on the forward strand.
ACAAACAAACAAGTTAATTTATATGTCAAGTGATGATGTGGTATAGAATGGCTGAGGAAGGCTGTGTTTAATCCTCACAGCAACCCTGTGATACATAGAAACGATTATTGTCATGACTTTACAGATGCAGAATTTAAGGCACAAAGATGTAAAGAAAACTCCCACTATTTCAGATGGTAAGTGATGATCAGGATTTGATCTTGGACTTGCCAACCACCAGAGGCAAGCTCCAAACCACCCTGTCATAGTGCTATCTACAACCCAGCCTTCTGGTCAGCCTTCCTTAGCCAGCTCCTTATCCTCTACTCCTAGACTTTCCACTAAAAGAAAGAAATCTATTCTCTTCTTTGATGTCCCCTACTCCCAAGGACAGACATGGGCTTTTTGCTCCCTGGTATTCATAGTGTACTTCCAGTCCAAATATGTCCCACCCAGTCCTTGGTAAACTGAGGAAAAGTGAGTTTGTGTCTTCATTGGATCCTTTCTGCATCATAAGAATATTAAGTATCTATACCTTCCCCATTCTTCTCTTCCTTGCCACACTGTCTTCCACAATGGTTGAACTAATTTACACTCCCATCAGCAGTATACAAGTGTTCCTTTTTCTCCACAACCTCATTAGCATCTGTTTTGTTTTTGTTTTTTGCTTTTTAGTAATAGCCATTCTGACTGGTGTGAGGTGGTATCTCATTATGGTTTTGATTTGCGTTTCCCTAATGATCAGCGATGTTGAGCTTTTTTTCATAAGCTTGTTGACTGCATGTATGTCTTCTTTTGAAAAGTGTCTATTCATGTCTTTTGCCCACTTTTTAGTAGGATTGTTTGGTTTTTTTTCTTATAAATTTAAGTTCTTTTTTTTTTTGAGATGGAGTCTCACTCTGTTGCCCAGGCTGGAGTGCAGTGGTGCAATCTCGGCTCACTGCAAGCTCCGCCTCCCGGGTTCTCACCATTCTCCTGCCTCAGCCTCCCGAAGTTCTTTATATATGTTGGATATTAGACCTTTGTCAGATGCATAGTTTGCAAAAGTTAAGAAAATCAGTGTTATTTTAAAGGTCTCAGCACAGGCCGAGAATCCAGCCGGAAGTAGCGGGTGGTGCTGCGCCGCAGAAGGGCAAGGTGAAGGCGAAGCGGGCTCGGAAGACTAGGGCTCCTCAGGTAGTAGAATGCAGCGGCCGGCAGATGGCGTCACAGCGGCGGAGGCCATGGCCCTGCGCAAGCGCATTCGGCGATGCCAGGGAGGGCGAAGAAACCCAGCAGCGGGAAGCCGCCTACCGGTGGGCTAGTGCGGCGGGGGAAGGGAATCGGCCTGCATCCGAGACTCCGCCGCTGTGGCGTGGGACCTCCCCTAAGGAGAAGTGGTGCAGGAGGAAGTGCGTGGGCCAGCGCAGGCAGAGGCTGCCAGGGCGAGGACGACGATCAGGGAGTTGTCCAGCAGGGTCACCAGATGTTTGCAGAGCACTGCCCAAAACAGAAGGCCCCGGACGGAACCAAAACCTGAGAGCACCAACAAAACAAGCTCAGTCATGCTGTGCCATTGCCACCGCCATGTCCCCAAGGCCAGACTGGAGGACGGGGCCAGAGGAGGGCTCGTGCTGCCCCAGGAAGCATCCAGGCAAAGACAAAGGCCGCAGCAGGAAAGCTGTGGGAGAGGCCACAGGAACAGCCCAGCTCTCCTTCCCGCCCAGAAAACTCCTCTGAACAGGAAGATTAGCCAGGGGAGTTGAGGGAAAATGGCAGGACCTTCCTCAAGGCTGGGGACTTAACGGACACCAGGGTGGTTCCACTCACCCGAGTTCTGGGCTCTAGGAGCAAAGAGCTGGGACCAGCGGGACAGCTGCCTTTGAGAAAGTGGTTGAGAATATGGGCAGAAAAGTGGGTGAGCAGACAGAATAAAGCTGACAGGAGATCAGAAGAAAAATGGATCCACCATGAGGTGCAGAGTGAGTGGGAGTGAGAGCAAGAGTGAGAGAGAAGACAGGATCAAAGACCACGGATAAAGGCCTGGTGGGGCTTTACCTTCAGATGGGGCCCCTCCTGGGCAGCCCTCGCAGCACCTCAATCTCCCCAAGAGCCTAGTTCGCAGAGCAGAGAGTGGGGAGGGAAAGTAGGCAAGGCAAGATGAAGAAGGGGGAATAAAGTTTTGCCCAGGGACCAGGGAAAAGGAAGTGACTTTCTCCTGCCTCATCACTGTGCCTAAGCTCCTAGGTCTAGAGTCTCCATCCCAAACAGTGGAGAGACTACATGAGGAGGGGGCTGGGATTTATTTGCGGTCCGTCAGCAAGGCCTGAATGAAGCTGGGCTCAGAAACCAAGTGTTTCAATGCCTTGGCCGATTTCTATCTGCTAAACTGCCCAGTCCATTGCCCAAAGGGCTGCCTTCTGCCTTTGTGGCCCATGCGTAGAATTATTCCCTAGCTTAGCTGCCTTCTTCTTTTATATATATATAATTTTTTTTATGAGACTCTCTGACACCCAGGTTGGAGTGCAGTAACACAAACACAGCTCACTGCAACCTGAAACTCCTGGGCTTAAGCGATCCTCCCACTTCAGCCTCCCAAGTAGCTGACACTACAGCACACACAACCACATCTGGCTAATTCTGGAAAGCACTTTTTTTTTTAATTTTTTTAGTATTTATTGATCATTCTTGGGTGTTTCTCGGAGAGGGGGATTTGGCAGGGTCATAGGACAATAGTGGAGGGAAGGTCAGCAGATAAACATGTGAATAAACGTCTCTGGTTTTCCTAGGCAGAGGGCCCTGCGGCCTTCTGCAGTGCTTGTATCCCTGGGTACTTGAGATTAGGGAGTGGTGATGACTCTTAAGGAGCATGCTGCCTTCAAGCATCTGTTTAGCAAAGCACATCTTGCACCGCCCTTAATCCATTTAACCCTTAGTGGACACAGCACATGTTTCAGAGAGCACGGGGTTGGGGGTAAGGTTATAGATTAACAGCATCCCAAGGCAGAAGAATTTTTCTTAGTACAGAACAAAATGGAGTCTCCTATGTCTACTTCTTTCTACACAGACACAGTAACAATCTGATCTCTCTTTCTTTTCCCCACATTTCCCCCTTTTCTATTCGACAAAACCGCCATCGTCATCATGGCCCATTCTCAATGAGCTGTTGGGTACACCTCCCAGACGGGGTGGCGGCAGGGCAGAGGCACACCCCACCTCCCAGACGGGGCGGCGGCTGGGCGGGGGCTGCCCCCCACCTCCCCGACGGGGCGGCTGCCGGGCGGAGACGCTCCTCACTTCCCAGACTGGGCGGCTGCCGGGCGGAGGGGCTCCTCACTTCTCAGAGGGGGTGGCCGGTCAGAGACGCTCCTCACCTCCCAGACGGGGTGGCGGTGGGGCAGAGACACTCCTCAGTTCCCAGACGGGGTCGAGGCCTGGCAGAGGTGCTCTTCACATCTCAGATGGGGCGGCGGGGCAGAGGCGCTGCCCACATCCCAGACAATGGGCGGCCGGGCAGAGACGCTCCTCACTTCCTAGACGGGATGACGGCCGGGAAGAGGCGCTCCTCACTTCCCAGACTGGGTGGCCCGGCAGAGGGGCTCCTCACATCCCAGACGATGGGCGGCCAGGCAGAGACGCTCCTCACTTCCTAGATGGGGTGGCGGCCGGGCAGAGGCTGCAATCTCGGCACTTTGGGAGGCCAAGGCAGGCAGCTGGGAGGTGGAGGTTGTAGCGAGCCGAGATCACGCCACTGCACTCCAGCCTGGGCAACGTTGAGCACTGAGTGAGCGAGACTCTGTCTGCAATCCCGGCTCCTCGGGAGGCCGAGGCTGGCAGATCATTCGTGGTCAGGAGCTGGAGACCAGCCCGGCCAACACGGTGAAATCCCGTCTCCACCAAAAAATACGAAAACCAGTCAGGCGTGGCGGCGCGCGCCTGCAATCCCAGGCACTCAGCAGGCTGAGGCAGGAGAATCAGGCAGGGAGGTTGCAGTGAGTCGAGATGGCGGCAGTACAGTCCAGCCTCGGCTCGGCATCAGAGAGAGACCGTGCAGAGAGGGAGAGGGGTGAGGGGACAGGGGAGAGGGGAGAGGACTTTTTAAAAATCCTTTTGTAAAACAGTGCTAATCTTCAAAGAAAACCACTGAATGAGAAACAGGCCTGACTTGTGGGAGAACTTCGCAACCCAGCTGAGGGGTTCAGCCCACTCCCTAGCTGCTGCAAAAGATTTCAATATTGTCTGTCCTTTAGAAATAGGAAACATTTTCTTAGATCTGAGTTGGGGCAAATGACATCTACTGCAGCAGGGGATGACAGAGGTGACACAAAAGAAAGTATTTCTCAAGCACTAATGGCTCAATGAATAAAAAATTGTAGGTCCTTAATATGTGATATGGTTTGGCTGTGTCCCCACCCAAATCTCATCTTGAATTGTGGTTCCCATAATCTCCACGTGTGGTGGGAGGGACCCAATGGGAAGTAATTGAATCATGGAGGTGGTTTCCCTCATGCTGTTCTCATGATAGTAAGTTCTCACAAGATCTGATGGTTTTATAAGGGGCTTCCCAATTCACTCGGTTCTCATTCTCTCTCCTGCCACCATGTGAAGAAGGATGTGTTTGTTTCCCCTTCTGCCATGATTGTAAGTTTCCTGAGGCCTCCCCAGTCATGCCGAACTGTGAGTCAAACCTCTTTCCTTTATAAATTACCCAGTCTTGGATATGTCTTTATTAGCAGTGTGAGAACAGACTAATACAGTAAATTGGTACCACACAGAGTGGAGCACTGCTGTAAAGATACCCAAAAATGTGGAAGCAATTTTGGAACTGGGTAACAGGCAGAGGTTGGAGCAGTTTGGAGGGCTCAGAAGAAAAATGGAAAATGTGGGAAAGTCTGGAACTTCCTAGAGACTTGCAGAATGGCTTTGACCAAAATGCTGATAGTGATATGAACAATTAAGTCCAGGCTGAGGTGGTCTCAGATGGTGATATGGTTTTGTTCCTGGACCAAACTGAGGGTCGAGCTGCTATTTCTCGTGGCCCAATAATGAGATGCAGAGGAACTGGGGAGCAAGAGAGTTTTTATTTCTGTAGCCAGCTACTGGGAGAAGGCCTGGAAATTATCACCAGACCAACTCAAAATTACAAAGTTTTCCAGAGCTTACATGCCTTCTAAGCTGTATGTCTACATGTAAGTGTATATTTATCTAAACACATAAGTGATTAACTTCTTTTAATCTATAACTAAGATCTGAGTCCTGAAGACCTTTCTCTGGAGCCTCAGTAAATTTACTTAATCTAAATGGGTCAAGGTGCTGGGGTGATTACCCTTATCTTGTCTCCCACTAAATCATGGAGGTTTGGGGAGTTCCTTCAGACCCCCAATAAACTTGTTTGTGGAGGCCTGGGGAGTTTCTTCAGACCCACAATAAAACTTGTTTAATCCTAAATGGGTCCTGTTAAGAATTCCTGTTATTTTGTCATGCATTAAGGCCCAAGAAAGGCGTAGGCAAAACTCTTGACGGGCTACTGTTACATCCCAGCCTTTGTATAAGGGCACTGGCTTTTAATATTTAACTTAACCACTCAGTCAGTACTGAAACAGTTGTTATGGAGGCCTGCATTAGTGAGACCTGGCCTGCCACAGTTTGGCTGTGTCCCCACCCAATCTCATTTTGAATTGTAGTTCCCATAATCCCCACATGTTGTGGGAGGGACCTGGGGGGAAGTAATTGAAACACGAGGGCAGTTACCCCCATGCTGCTGTTCTCATGATAGTGAGTGAGTTCTCACAAGATGTGATGGTTTTATAAGTGGCTCTTCCCCCTTTTGCTCATCACTTCTCCTTTCTGCCATCATGTAAAGAAGGACATGTTTGCTTCCCCTTCCACCATGATTATAAGTTTCCTGAGGCCTCCCCAGCCACGTGGAACTGTGAGTCAATTAAACCTCTCTCCTTTATAAATTACCCAGTCTTAGTCATTTATAGCAGCATGAGAACAGACTAATACAGATGGAGATAAGGAACTTGTTGGGAACCCGGAGTAAAGGGCACTCTTGCTTTGCAAACAGACTGGCGGCATTTTGCTGTGGAACTTTGAACTAGAGAGAGATGTTTTAGGGTACCTGGCAGAAAAAAATCTCTAAAGCAGCAAAGCATTCAAGAGGTGACATGGCATAAAAGTTTGGAAAATGTGCAGCCTGACAATGCAGTAGAAAAGAAAACCCCATTTTCTGGGTAGAAGTTCAAGCCAGCTGCAGAAATTTGCATAAGTAATGGGGAGTCAAATGCTAATCGCTAAGACAGTGGGGAAAATACCTCCAGGGCATGTCAGAGATTTTCACAGCAGCCCCTCCCATCACAGGGCCGCAGGCCTAGGAGGAAAAAAAATGGTTTCTTGGGTTGGGTCCAGGGCCCCGTGGCTATGTGCAGCCTCAGGACTTGGTGCCCTGTGTCCCAGCTGCTCCAACCATGGCTGGGGCCGAGGTACAGCTCAGGCCATGGCTTCAGAGGGTGCAAGCCCCAAGTCTTGGCAGTTTCCACTTGGTGTTGAGCCTGCGGGTGCACAGAAGTCAAGAACTGAGGTTTGGGAGCCTCCACCTAGATTTCAGAGGATGTATGGAAATGCCTGGATGCCCAGGCAGAAGTTTACTGCAGGGGCAGAGCTCTCATAGAGAATCTCTGCTACAGCAGTGCAGAAGAGAAATGTGAGTTGGAGCCCACACACAGATTCCCCACTGGGGCACTGTCTAGTGGAGCTGTGAGAAAAAGACCACCGTCCTCCAGACACCAAGATGGTAGACCCACTGACAGCTTTTCCACCCTTGCACCTGGAAAAGCCACAGACACTCAACACCAGCCATTAAAACAGCTGGGAGGGGGGCTGTACCCTGCAAAGCCATGGGGATGGAGCTACCCAAGGCCATGGGAGCCCACCTCTTGCATCAGTGTGACCTGGATGTGAGACATAAAGTCAAAGGAGATCATTTTGGAAATTTGAGGCTTAGTGACTGCCCTATTGGATTTCAGACTTGCATGGGTCCTGTAGCCCCTTTGTTTTGGCCAATTTCTCCCATTTGGAATGGGTGTGTTTACTCAATGACTGTACCCCCATTTATCTAGGAAGTAACTAACTTGCTTTTGATTTTACAGGCTCATAGGCAGAAAGGACTTGCCTTGTCTCAGATAAGACTTTGGACTTGGACTTTTGGGTTAATGCTGAAATGAGCCAAGACTTTGGGGGTCTGTTGGAAAGGCATGATTGTGTTTTGGAATGTGAGGGCATGAGATTTGGGAGGGGCCAGGGTGGAAAAATATTGTTTGGCCATATCCCCACCCAAATCTCATCTGGAATTGTAGTTCCCATAATCACCACGTGCGGAGGGAGGGACCTGGTGGGAGGTAATTTGAATCATGGGGGCGATTTCCCCCATGCTATTCTCATGATAGTGAGTAAGTTCTCACAAGATCTGGTGGTTTTATAAGGGGATTCCCCCTTTACTCAGTGCTCATTCTCTCTCCTACCACCCTGTGAAGAGATGTCTTCCACCATGATTGTAAGTCTCCTGAGACCTCTGCAGGCATGCTGAACTGTGAGTGAATTAAACCTCTTTCCTTTATAAATTACCCAGTCTCAGGTATGTCTTTATTTTCAGCATGAGAACACAGTAATACATTATGTATGTCACTTAACCAAGAAAGAAGTTTTCTTCATTGTCACAGATTCATATCCTCATAGTGTTCTTTGGAGATACTTCTAATACAAGGCAGTCTCTTGTTTGTTTGGGTTATTTTTCTTTTTTAGGTTGCAAAAGTGTGTTAAAAACTCCAAAAAATATGTAAATATGTAATATATAAATAATATATAAATAAAATATGTAAAAATATGTAAATATAAAAAAGTGTAGGTAGCTTGCCCTCAAGGAGGGAAGACATAACCCCCTACTCCTTAAGTGTGGGCTACAGATAGTGACTTTCTAGACAGGAAAGGAAAAGAACAACTTTACCATACAGCAACCTGACAAACACACCACCTCAGGCAGGTGACTGTGGTCAACATTGACAGTGACAGCCCTTTATAAAACCACCAGATCTTGTGAGAACTTACTATCATGAGAATAGCATGGGGGAACCGCCCCCATGATTCAATTACCTCCCACGGGGTCCCTCCCACCACACGTGGTGATTATGGGAACTACAATTCAAGATAAGATTTGGGTGGGGACACAGCCAAACCATATCATTCCACCCCAGCCCCTCCCAAATCTCATGTACTCACATTTCCTCTATGGCCTTCCTCCCAAAATCCATAACCCCAGACTAATCATGATAAAAACATCAGATAAAGTGGAATAACAGGGCCAGGTGCGGTGGCTCACGCCTGTAATCCCAGCACTTTGGGAGGCCAAGGTGGGTGGATCACGAGGTCAGGAGATCAAGACCATCCTGGCTAACATGGTGAAACCCCATCTCTACTAAAAATACAAAAAAATTAGCCGGGCGTGGTGGCGGGCCCCTGTAGTCCCAGCTACTCAGGAGGCTGAGGCAGGAGAATGGCGTGAACCCGGGAGGCAGAGTTTTCAGTGAGCCAAGATTGCGCCACTGCACTCCAGCCTGGGTGACAGAGTGAGACTCCATCTCAAAAAAAAAAGAAAACAAAATTTCAATAACAGTGCACCCTAAAAACACCTAACTACTCTACTCCTTGAAATTGTCAAGATCATCAAAAACAGGAAAGTCTGAGAAATTAGGAAGACATGACAACTGGATGTAATATGTTATCCTGGATGGAATCCTGAAACAAAAAAAAAAGACATTAAATGAAAACGAAGAAAATCTGACTAAAGTACAGACTTGAATTAATAATAATGTATCAATATTGGTTCATTAATTGTGACAAATGTACCTACTAATTTAAGACAATAATAAAGGAAACTGGGTGTGGAGTATATGGGAATCACATGTACTATCTTAGCAATTTTTCTATAAATTCACAACTATTCTAAAACGAAATGTTATTCTTTAAACGTTTTTTGACATAGAAGTTTATAATGTATTGCTAAATGATAAAAAAGATTAAAAATATTAAATTTTCAATAAAATATGTATTCAGATCAATACATGACAGATAGATATATATACATCTGGATAAAATATGTATCTAGATGTATAAAATATATGTATTCAGATCAATAGATAATAGATAAATAGACACATACATACCAAAGTATTAACAATGATAAGCTCTAAGTGGAATGGATTTGGGTGTTCATTATGTTGTTTTGGTTTTATATTTTTATATTTGAGATCCACTAATCATACAATAGGAAAAAATAGTGTATAAAACATTTAAACAAAATGATAGAATGTTTTATTTTGATTTTTTTAAGAAAGGATATATACATATATATATATTTGTTTGTTTTGTTTTGTTTTTTTAAGTGGGCTCTGGGAACAGGGTTAGTCCATTAGGGCCTTCAGTGTCCTGGTGGTGATTTTGTCCTTCTCAGTGATGTGGACAATGACTCCCATGCCTGACACGGCATCCCGGTCCACAGCATTCAGCATGGCTTGGAAGATGGTTTCAAACAGCTGTTCTGGATCCATGTTGCACTCCCAGAGGGACTCGCACATTTCATATATTTGTTCTGCACAGGTGCCACTGACCATAAAGTCTTCAGTCACCATGGGTCAGCCAATGAGCTCTAGAGAGCAAATAAAGGGCTTAAAGGTCTTCAGGTCCAACCCAGCAATGACTGGCTCAGTATAGTAGGGGCCAAACGTTTCTCAGACAAGAGGCCTTGGCCACCATGCTCATAGGGTATAAGATTTGACTGCCGACCTTCCTTCAACTCACACAGGTTCAGCCGGAACTTGAGGCACTGGACAACTGTCTCGATGTCAGTGACGAGCCGGGCCAGATGGATATACAGCCGGTCACCCATGGGAAAGATCTGGAAGTCCGTGGTAACCATTTGGGCCTGGATCCCGAAGCGCCTGTCTGCAGCTATAGCCAAACAGCTCTTCTCCTTCATGGCCATGACGGCCCCTCGGTTATGGGACATAATAAACATAATTGTGGTATACTAGCAACCCTCCATCACCAGCGCAATTCCGGTAAACTGGGTCTAGCCTTCCCTTATTTTGACATTTTTAACGCCTATTTTTAACCAATTGTGCCTACTTTACGCCTTTAGAAATGTTTTATCAATAGTTTTATTTTGTAGTCCGCGTGTGGTGGCTCACGCCTGTAATCCCAGCACTTTGAGAGGCCTAGGTGGGAGGACGGCTTGAGCCCAGGAGTTCAAAACCAGCCTGAGCGCCGGGCGCGGTGGCTCACGCCTGTAATCCCAGCGCTTTGGGAGGCTAAGGCAGGCGGATCACGAGGTCAGGAGATTGAGACCATCCTGGCTAACACGGTGAAACCCCGTCTCTACTAAATATACGAAAAAAAAAATTCGCCGGGCGTGGTGGCGGGCTCCTGTAGTCCTAGCTCCTCGGGAGGCTGAGGCAGGAGAATGGTGTGAACCTGGGAGGTGAAGCTTGCAGTGAGCCGAGATCGCGCCACTGCACTCCAGCCTGGGCGACAGAGCGAGACTCCGTCTCGGAAAAAAAAAAAAAAAAAAAAAAAAAAAACAGCTGAGCAACATAGGGAACCCCGCCCCCCACCCGCCGCCGTCTCTACAAAAAAATACAAAAATTAGCTGGGTCGAGTGGCGGCACCTATGGTCCCAGCTACTCGGGAGGCTGAGATGAGAGAATCGCTTGAACCCAGGAGGTGGACGTTGCAGTGAGCTGAGATCGCGCCACTGCACTCCAGCCCATGCGACAGAGCCAGACACTGCCTCAAAAAAAAAAAAAGGAACTTGATCAATAGTGAATATTTCCCAATTGTCAATGCCCTTTTTTTTTTTTTTTTTTTTTGAGACAAAATCTCACTCTGTCTCCAGGCTGGAGTGCAGTGGCGTGATCTCCACTCACTGCAGCCTCCGCCTCCCGGATTCAAGCAATTCTCCTATTCTCCTGCCTCAGCCTCCTGAGTAGCTGGGACTACAGGTGCGCGTCACCACGCCCAGCTAATTTTTGTTATTTTAGTAGGGACAGGGTTTCACCATGTTGGCCAGGATGGTCTCAGACTCCTGACCTCGTGATCCGCCCGCCTTGGCCTGCCAAAGTGCTGGGATTACAGGCGTGAGCCGCCGCGCCCGGCCGTTAGTGCACATTTTTTAAATGCATGCGTGGTAGAAAGGCTACAAGCAGAACACAGAGTGCTAAGTACTTACATTGTTTCCAGCTTTCTGATGTTCAAAATTTCTGAAATTTCTGGTTAAGGTGAGTCAAAAATAAAAATAAGAAGGAGTAGAGTCTGAAAAATGGACCAAAAATTGAAGTTTTGTTTGCTTTTCCCAAAAATCTGCTGTTCTGGAGCCGGTTCAAATGGGGTCATATCGCCCCCGTGTGGTAAATCTCTGAACAGCCATGTTCAACAAGGCGTCCCCCGTCCCTGAGCTGCCTGGGAGACGGTAAAGGCGGTCTTGAACATCTTCTACTGGTCCAAACCCTTCATTCTGCACAGGAGGACGATGAAGTCGAGAAGAACTCATTTAGTTTACCCAAGATCAATTAGTGAATTAATGACTGAGCTAAGACCAGTAATAATATATATCATGTATGGGACACGGCACTGTTACATAAATCACCACCTGATACAAAGTTTAAATAATCCCACTCTGCTGATGAGGAAACTGGGGTGAGAGAAATGAAGTTCCTTGTTCGAGGTCACACAGCCCTACAGCAACAGAGCCAGACCCAAACTTAGTCTATCTGCCCCCTAAGCCAGTGGAACTAGACACTATAAACCCAGCCTCCAAACACAATGCCCACCCCACCTGTCTCTGTAACGTGTCTGCATCTGGGTCACAGAAAGAAGATGCCTTGGAGACACCTGCTCTTATTCCATCATGTGGCAGAAGAGGAAACAAAGGCAGAGAAGAATATGGTTTATCCACAGTCACTAAGGGTCAGAGCTGGGGCTTGATCCCATGACTCCAGGATGCTGGTGTAATGCTGTCTCTAGGACTGTTCCACCAGCCCATCTACTGCAAGTCTATGTGTGGATGTGTGCCTTGTGTTGAATGTGTCAAGGTCCGTGTGAGTGTGTGTGTGTGTGTGTGCATGCGCAGGACAATCCTACCCACAGAAAGAGTAGCCGGGAAAGCCCAGAGTAATCCCCACCAGTAAAGGTAGCTTTTCCAATCAGCACCTGTTCCACAGCAGAGCCATGAAGTCAGAGACAGGGATCAAAGTTTAGGGGAAGGAAGGGGCCATTGGTGATGTAAGGTACCACAACTGGGCCCCTGAGAGACTGAGGGTGCTTCCATGGGTGCAAGATCCCAGAGACTTACTTCACTGAAGTCCAGAGTGCAAAGCTCAGAGGGTCAAATAGGCCACCATGGGATCAGACATTGTACGAATAGGAAGAGTTTAAGCCACAAGCCTGCCTTCCCCAAGACAGAAGCCTCTTCCATGCTCCTGCCTCAGCAGCAGAACTCAGTGTCTCTACAGGGATCCTGGGGGAGGAACAGGCACATTGAGATAGGGGACAAAGATGGTGCAAGAAGTGGCCCTGGCAGGAGAGTGTCAAGCATGGCCAGAGATAGGGGCAGAATTTCCCTGATGCTCCCATGGCAGGGGCTCCCTAAGTGCCAATGAGCTCAAGCCACAGTACCTAAGGGCAAGGTGTGAGGCAGCACAGGACAGAGGCCACAGGTCCTGTGCAAATGTATACCCGTGCACAAGACAGTCCACTCTCACTCCAGATGGGACATCCTCCAAATGGAGAAGGAAGGAATGAAGGAAGTCAAGGTGAGGGAAAATGAACTGAAGAATAACATGAACATAAGAGAAAGGAGACCATGACCACAGAGGTCTACAAAGAAAAAACAACAAGAAAGGGGATCAGTGGCTGTTGGCCAACCCACAAAGTTAGAAGGTGAAACTGGCCTCAAGTTGTAGCTGAAGACATTGCAATTAGACCCAAGAAATTAGAATTGCAGTGGTCTCTTCCCTAGAGATCATGAAAACATATGAGGGAACAGAGCTGCTAGGAGAGGGGGCCCGAAGGTGGGCAGCACTGGGTGGTGTATTCCCACGTAAGTCTAGGGAAGCCATTTACCCTGAACCCTGCAACTTCTTGACTCTCCTGGGCCAAATTCCGGGGTCAGGGAGCGGTTATTTGTTTGGTTTTGGTTTTTTTTCTTGCAGAAAATGTGTGAGCAAAGATCTTACCTGTGCTAAGAGCTCCTGAGAGAGTACTTGAGACAGGGGACTGGGCTCTGTAAACCCCTGAGATCCTTTTCACTCTGAAAGTCTAAGCAATAAACTGTGTACATCCGAATGCAACGTAATGATTAACATGTACTTTCTCCCCACAGATGCTGGGTAAGTTTTAATTAATTCCCTGGGATCAGTCAAGTCTCTCTGTTTCCTTGAGGCCTGCTCCCCAGCTCCACAGCACCCAGTGCCTCTGCCACAGTCATTACCTGCTCCAAATAGGACCATCTCCATGAAGCACAACTGTAATCACAGCCATAATAATTCCACAATTATTTTTGTCCCTCAACATTTAAAAAAAGAAAAGATTTGCAGCCTAGCAATGAATAGAGCACTTGTGCAATTTCATTGCATCATCTCATTTGGCACTCACATCAACCCCAGAGATAAACCTAGCAGGTATTCATTAATACTCTGGTTTAGTGATAGTAAATTAAGGAGCCAGGTGACTCCTTAGTCACCAGGCCAAAGTCACTTGGCCAACAAGAGCAGAACTCAGACTTGAAACCTAGAAGCCTAATCCCCAGCTCCCAGTCCAGGACACTCCCTAATATACCACCCAGTCCTGCCCACCTGAGAGCCCCCTCTCCTACCAGGTCTGTTCCCACATCTGTTACTTATCCTCTGAAAGCCCAGCTTTTTCCACCACTAAAAGCCTGCAGTGTCCTGCACAGCAATCCAAGAACAGCTGATCTCCTCTAGGAACCCCCTACCTCCTCATACCCTGACTCCTCAGCACCTGCCCAGTCTCCTGGAGTGGGAAGTACACCCTATGGGGAGGTCACTGGTCCTTGCCCACAGACCTCACTATGCCTCTGTCATACCACCCACAACTCTTCCCGCCACTCCCGTCTCACAGCTAAGGAGAGACTCGCTGCTTATATTTATTTTTTCAGAGTCCTGTTGCACAGCATAAATAGCTTACCAAGACATGTAAAACACCATGAGATGGCAGGTATTAAAACTAGGAACAAATAAATACAAAGAAAAAAGAGACTTTAAAAAAGAAAGATGGAAATAGGGATCTAAAATCGCACCAGGAATGAACCTTAAAAATGTGAAATACAAGACCTGTACCCTTCCTAAGGGTGAGCCACAAGTCTGACTCAAAACTGTTCAGCAGCCAACCCAAAAAGGAAAGTCTGGTCCGTTCTGAAGTTCACGGTGTCCATGAGATAAAACAGACAGATGACGCAGGGAAGCACAACTATTCTTGGAACTGAGACCAGACAAAAGTTACTCCCAAGGACACTCCTAGAGAGATGACGGTGGTTCACAGCCTTACCGTTGCCCTGACGGTGAGTTTCCCAGGATGGATTCTAAGAGCCGCCCTCGACACAGGGGAGGCCCTGGCACTGAGGGACCTCTGTGGTTGTGGGAGAGAGAGGATGCACCATGACCCTGCTCTTTCCCGATGAGTTTGTTGTAAGGCAGGACTGTTCAACCTTGGTACTAGTGACATTAAGGCCAGATAATTCTTTGTTGTGGGGGCTGTTCTGTGCATTGTAGGATGTTTAGCAGCATTCCTGGCCTCTGCCCACTAGATGCCAGTAGCACCCTTCCCTCCAATTGTGATACCACAATGTCCCCAGATATGGCCAAATGTCCCCTGAGGGACAAAATTGCCCCCAGTTGAGAACCAATGATCCAAGAGTAGAAATCATTGTTTCTATTTTCCTTTTAACATAGAAAGGCAAAGAAGGAACATCTAGTTTTGTTTCTATTTTGTTACAGGTTTATTGAGGTACAATTTATATACTATAAAATCCACTCATTTAACATATACAATTTAGTGGTTTTTACTGTAGACACAGGATTATGCAACCATCATCACTGATTTTAGAACACTTGATCAATCCAAAAAGTAACTCTGTACCCCTTAGGAATCACTCCTCATTCTTCCTTCCTCCCAACCCCCAGCAATCACTACCATATGGTCTCTGTATGGATTTGCTTATTCTGGACATTTTGTACAAATAGAATCATGCAATGTGTGATCTTTTGTGACTGACTTTTTCACTCAGCTTGATGTTTTCAAGGTTCATCAATGCTGTAGCATGTTTTAATACTTCAATCCATTTATTGACAAATAATATTCCATTGTATGGCTATATTATTTTATTTATCCATTCTTCATTATATAGACATTTGTGTTGTGTAAACTTTGGGACCATTATGCATAATTCTACTATGAATGCTCATGTACAAGTTTTTGTGCAGACACATGTTTTCAGCTTTCTTGCGTGTATACCTAGGAACTGAATTGTTGGGTCAGATGGTAACTCTAGGTTTAATACTTTGAGGAACTGCTAAACAGTTTTCCAAAATGGCTGCATCACTTTATATTCTCACCAGCAATGAATGAGGGTTTCAATTTCTCCAGATCTTCATCAACACTTGTTATTGTCTTTATTTCAGCCATCCTAGTGGGAATGAATTTGTATCTCCTTGTGGTTTTGATTTCCATTTCCCAACGGCTAACAATGTTGAGCATCTTTCATGTCCTTATTGGCCATTTGTATATCTTCTTCGGAGAGGTGTCCGTTCAAATCCTTCTTTCATTTTTTGATTGGGTTATTCAACTCTTTGTTGTTGAGTTATATGACTGCTTTATGTATTCTGGATACAAGGCTCTTACTAGATATAATTTGCAAATATGTTCTCTGATTCCATGGATTATCTTTTTACTTTGTTGACGGTATCCTTAGAAGCACAAAAGGTTTTTTCGTGGGTTTTGTTTTTTGGTTTTTTTTGAGACAGAGTCTCACTCTGTCCCCAGTCTGCAGTGCAGTGGCCCGATCTTGGCTCACTCCAACCTCTTGGCTGGGTATGGTGGCTCATGCCTATAATCCCAGCACTTTGGGAGGCGGAAGTGGGTGGATCACTTGAGGCCAGGAGTTCAAGACCAGCCTGGCCAACATGGCAAAACCCCATCTCTATAAAAATACAAAAACTAGCAGGGCGTGGTGGTGCACACCTGTAGTCCCGGCTACTTGGGGGGCTGAGGTGAGAGGATCGCTTGAATATAGGAGGTGGAGGTTGCAGTAAGCCAAGATTGCACCACTGCACTCCAGCCTGGGTGATGGAGTGAGGCTGTGTCAAAAAAAGAAAAGAAAAAGAAAGAAAGAAAGAAAGAAAGAAAGAAAGAAAGAAAGAAAGAAAGAAAGAAAGAAAGAAAGAAAGAAAGAAAGAAAGAAAAGAAGAAAGAAAGAAAGAAAGAAAGAAAGAAAGAAAGGAAATCAAAAATAGAAAAACAATAGAGAAAAATCAACAAAATGAAAAGTTAGTTCTTTGAAAACATTAGCAAAGTTGACAAACTCTTAACTAGACTGACAAAGAAAAAAAAGAGAAAGAGTCAAATTACTTAAATCAGGAATGAAAGAGGGGACATCACTACTGATCTTACAGAATAAAGAGGATTATAAGGAAATATTATCTGTCTAGTAAGTCCAACGTCTGAGCTTTCTCAGAGAAACAAGCCTATTGATTGCTTTCTTTTTTATTTTTTTATTTTTTTATTTTTTTTTTTTTTTGAGACAGAGTCCCACTCTGTCTCCCAGGCTGGAGTGCAGTGGCACGATCTTGGCTCACTGTAACCTCTGCCTCCTGGGTTCCAGTGATTCTCTTTCCTCAGCCTCCTGAGTAGCTGGGATTACAGGCACATGCCACCATACTCGGCTGATTTTTTTCTATTTTTAGTAGAGACTGGATTTCACCACGTTGGCCAGGCTGGTCTCAAACTCCTGACCTCAGGTGATCCGCCTGCCTCAGCCTCCCAAAGTGCTGGGATTACAGGTGTGAGCCACCGCGCCTGGCCAACATTTTATTTTTTAATCATACTGTATTATCTTTGACTAAATGCAAAGACCTTTCCAACATGTCATCTAGAGACCATTTTACCCACTGCTCTGTTTGACCATCAATCAGTCTCTTGTCCCTCTCTTTGACAATGGTGAGGTGGATACATTTTCCTTGGGGAAGAGAAATCTATGATTTGTTGCCTTTGCCAATAACAAAAATGTTGGAGAGCTGGGTGGCAAAGCTGTTGCCACTGGCATCTTTCACAGAAACCACAATATTTTAAGTAATACACTGTGGCAGCTTCAGAAATCAGATTCCTACTCCCTCAGGACTTTTTGTTGTTGCTGTTTGTTGTGGCTGCTGCTACTGCTATTGCTGCTCTCGTATGTGTATTTGTTTAGTGACTTTCCTGGACTAAGTCTGTAAATTGTGTATTCTTTGTCAGGTGTGTCTGCTTGGTTAGCTTAGCAGTCAGCTAATGCCGAAACAGAGATTTCCTTAAATGCCTTTGACCATTGAATCTCCCACCCTTTGTTGAGGAGTGTGTGTGTGCATGTGAGTGTGCGTGCGTGTGCATGTGTGTGTGTGATGCCTTCAATACTCCAATTACTCTGACCTAGGCTTCACTTGCTGCTTGCACAGGGCTTTAAGGTGAGCCAGAAGTGAGAGGTGCACAGCCTTGCACATGTGTGTTGCCTTCTAGACCCCCAGGAATAAGTAAGAGCTTTCCAAGCCCCCTATGAACATCCCCAGATTTTCTCTGTAAGATTTTGGCCAGCCTGATTTTGCCCCAGTGTGTATCACTATCTCAGGCAACTGCAATTCTTAAATTGCCACTGATTATTTTACCAATGCTCTGGGGAAAGGGCTTTCCTCAGTGACCAAATAAAGATAAGCCCTATGAATGAGGCTTTTCCAGGGATCTTCTAGACATGTCGAATAGTGACAATTCTCTGGCAACCAGGTCTTTGGGGATCTTGAAACCCACTCTACCACCTCCAATGGCTGCTAGACCTCTGGTTTTCAGTGACTCTGGTTCCAAGGCTGCTGGTTTCAAGGCCACCATAGAGCTGGGAAGAAGGGGTGGAAACAGGACAAGTTAAAACACCACAAACCTCACCGTTCTTACAAGAGCCAGCCACTTTTCTTGAAAAAACTCTTAAGGTTGTTGTAAGCCTTTGGTTAATTTCTAGAGTTCTGAAAAACTTGATATTGACAATTTTTGCCAATGTTCTTGCTGCTCTTACAGAAGAGCAGATTTTCAGAAGTGTTTTTCCACCATTCTAGAAGTACTTTCTCCTGGTATTATGTTTTAACCACACTTCCTCAAGAGTCCCCCAGGGACTCGGGAGAGAGTGAGTCCTGAAGAAACAACCCAACAATCAAATGTAGATTGGTGGAGGCATTATGGAAAACTGTGTGGAGGTTCCTAAAGAATTAAAAATAGAGCTATCTGCAGGGTGCAGTGGCTCATGCCTGTGATCCCTGACTCTTGGGAGGCTGAGGTGGTAGGATTGCTTTAAGGCCTGGAGTTCAAGACCAGCCTAGGCAACCCCATCTCTATTTCTTAATTTAAAAAAAAAAAAATACAACCATCTCCTCTGGGTCTTTGTAGTCAGAAAAAAAAAATTTTTTTCAGGATCTTTAACTTTGTCAGCAGCTACTGAGCTACAGAATACAAACCAACCGAAAACATTAAAGAAAGGCTGCTTGAAACAGATATGTACAGGTATACTACACAGAAGCAAAACCTGTATCATCCAATCCCAAAGCCACCCCTGTGGGGAAGGATGGCCTTAGCTATGGGCCAAAGGAGTATGGAAGTTACAACATAAGAGTCCCGTCCATCCAGGAAAGCAGTGAACAACTACAGCAGCATGGGCACCAAAAGTTTATCTGACATTAGTTTTTTGTTTGTTTGTTTGTTTGTTTTGAGACAGAGTCTCGCTCTGTCGCCCAGGCTGGAGTGCCGTAGTGTGATCTCGGCTCACTGCAAGCTCTGCCTCCCGGGTTCACACCATTCTCCAGCATCAGCCTCCTGAGTAACCTGGGACTACAAGTGCCCGCTACCACGCCCGGCTAATTTTTTGTATTTTTAGTAGAGACGGGGTTTCACCATGTTAGCCAGGATGGTCTCGATCTCCTGATCTTATGATCCGCCCGCCTCAGCCTCCCAAAGTGCTGGGATTACAGGCGTGAGCCACCGCACCCAGCCCTGAGATTAGTTTTAAAGGTTTAAAGGTTCAAATGAAAATAGGTACCCCTCTTCCTGTAGGCTTTCCAGCTCACTACCCAAAAGACTTGAGTACTTGTATTAAGGCAGCTGGAAGCCCACCCTGGACTTGAATGGCAACTTGTCCTTTCTCAGCCGGTAATGCAATCCAACAGAATATGCCACAGGGTAGATAGGAATTTCCACAGTGCTGCCCTCTGGTAAAAGGGAAACACAGCACTCAAAGCCAAAAGGCACAGAGGGCTCCCTGAGAACCCAGTACAATTAAGCGAGGCCTTCAACTATCGAGACAAACTTTGCAACTGGATCCCGGTGGGACAGTGCCCTGCGGCGAGGAGTAGTGTATATGCCAATGAGAGGGTCCAGCTTCCAGGAACTGTTACAATGGCGTCCGGAGTCATTTTCTCTCTCCCACTTGCATTCGAGAGTGAGAAAACACACACCGTGGCCTTGATTCTCGCTCACCACAATCCCCCTGTACAGAGGGGTTTGTTTCTAAGTTTGGATCCTCAACACGAGGCTGCGATGCTTCATGACGTGCTCTCTCCCACGGTCCAGCCATCTTTGGTGGTCTCCCCACAGTGCTTCCCCATCTTCTCACGCTCCTGTGGAGGGACCATGGGATGGGCCAGGAGGAAACTTGGGATCACTCTGACAGGAAACAGAAAAGCACAGCTGCCAGCTGCTCTGGCCTCAGTCTCCAGTTGTTAGTCTCAGGATCAAAAGAGAACTGGAAAGACCTCTTGGTCTTTGTAGTCAGGAAAAAAAACTTTTTAAGAAAAAAAATAGAACTACCATAAGACCTAGCAATCTGTCTTCTGGGTATATATCCAAAGGAAATGAAATCACTACCACATAAAGATATCTGCACTCCCACATTCACTGCAGCATCATGTACAATAGCCAAGATATGGAAACAACGTACATGTCCATCAACAAACGAATGGATAAAGAAACTATGGTGGCCAGGCACAGTGGCTCACACCTGTAATCCCAACACTTTGGGAGGCCAAGGCAGGTGGATTGCTTGAGCCTAGAGTTCAAAACCAGCCTGAGAAACATGGTGAAACCCCATCCCTACAAAAATAAAAATAAAAAATTAACCAGGCATGATGGCATGTGCCTATGGTCTCAGCTGCTTGGGAGGTTGAAGTGGGAAGATCACTTGAGCCCCGAAGGTCGAGGCTGCAGTGAGCCATGATTGTGTTACCAATGGGGAGAGTCCAGATTCTTGGCATCTTGAAGAAAGAATTGGACAAAATGCACAAACAAAGCAAGGAAAAAATGAAGCAACAAAAGCAGAGATTTATTGAAAATGAAAGTACACCCCACAGGGTGGGAGCAGGCCTGATCATATGGGTTCAAGAGCCCCGTTACAGAATTTTCTGGGGTTTAAATGCCCTCTAGAGGTTTCCACTGGTTACTTGGTGTATACCCTATGTAAATGAAGAGGATAAAGTTACAAAGTCATTTACTCAGTGTACACCCTATGTAAATGGAGAGGATATTTCCTGACATAGCTGAAGTGTTTCCATCTGATTTAGTTCTAGGAAGTCAGCATGAATTGACCTTATGTTCCCTGCCTCCAGACCCTATTCTCCTGCCTCAGTTGTACCACCGCACTTCAGCCTGGGCGACAGAGCAAGACCCTGTCTCAAAAAAACAAGGTTAAAAAATAATAATCATAATAAACAAATAGAGTATTATACAGCCTTTAAAAAAGGAGATCCTGTCATTTGCCACAACTTGGAGGAACTTGGAGGACATTATGCTATGTGAAATAAGCCAGACATAGAAAGAAAAATATTGCATGATCTCACTTATATGTGGAATCTATAAAAGTGGTCAGGCTGGGCGCGGTGGCCCACACCTGTAATCCCAGCACTTTGGGAGGCCAAGGCAGGGAGATACCTGAGGTTGGGAGTTCGAGACTAGCCTGACCAACATGAAGAAACCCCATCTCCACTAAAAATACAAAATTAGCCAGGTGTGGTGGCATATGCCTGTAATCCCAGCTACTCAGGAGGCTGAGGCAGGAGAATAGCTTGAACCTGGGAGGCGGAGATTGCGGTGAGCCAAGATTGTGCCACTGCACTCCACCCTGGGCAACAAGAGCAAAACTCCATCTCAAAAAAAAAAAAAAGAAAGAAAAGAAAAGGGGGAATATCATTTTCACACTGTTTCAGAGCATACAGAACCATGAGTAACTTTCTGCAACTGTCATAGCTGATTTCACTTTCTACCTATCACCTGGGTGCAGCAAGCAGGGCTACTCAGAGGTCCCGAGGTAAGAGGCAGGACTCGACTTCAGAGTGGGGGCTCAGACACTGAACCAAACTGAGAATAGCTAAAATAGGGACGGGAGGAAGCAGCTTTCCACAAGACACGCCCACCAGTGTGCCTTGTCAGTTTACCACTAACATGGCAGCACCCGGGATTTACTGCCCCTTCCCATGGCAATGACCTGATGACCCAGAGGTTTCTACCCTTTCCCTAGAAATTTCTGCATAAATCACCCCTTAATCTGCATGCAGTTAAAAGTAGGTGTAAACCGGGCGCGGTGGCTCACGCCTGTAATCCCAGCACTTTGGGAGGCCGAGGCGGGCGGATCACGAGGTCAGGAGATCGCGACCATCCTGGCTAACACAGTGAAACCCCGTCTCTACTAAAAAAAATACAAAAAATTAGCCCGGCGTGGTGGCGGGTGCCTGTAGTCCCAGCTACTCAGGAGGCTGAGGCAGAATGGCGTGAACCTGGGAGGCGGAGCTTGCAGTGAGCCGAGATCGCGCCATTGCACTCCAGCCTGGGCGACAGAGCGAGAGAGCGAGACTCTGTCTCCAAAAAAAAAAAAAAAAAAAAAAAAAAAAGGAGGTGTAAACATGACTGCGGAACTGCCCTGAGCTGTTACTCTCAGCACACTGCCAATGGGGTAGCCCTGCTCTGCAGAAGCAGTCACAGAGTTGCAACACCGCCTAGGCTATAACACTGCCACTTCAATAAAGCTGTTTTCTTCTATTACAGGCTCACCCTTGAATGTTTTCCTGGGAGAAGCAAAGAATCCTCCCATGCTAAATCCCAATCTGGGGCTCGCCTGCCATGTATCAAGAGGACTAGACTTCTAGTTTTCAGCCTCTGGGTATTTTTTAAAATGAAGAAATGCCAGAAATGAGTCAATATAATAGTGATGTGGTTTCGAAGTTTGGTTTTCGTTTTTTTTTTTGTTTTGTTTTGTTTTGTTTTGTTTTGTTTTGTTTTGTTTTGTTTGAGACGGAGTCTCGCTCTGTAGCCCAGGCTGGAGTGCAGTGGCGCGATCTCGGCTTACTGCAAGCTCTGCCTCACAGGTTCACGCTATTCTCCTGCCTCAGCCTCCCAAGTAGCTGGGACTACAGGTGCCAGCCACCACGCCCGTCTAATTTTTTATATTTTTAGTAGAGATGGGGTTTCACCGTGTTAATCAGGATGGTCTCAATCTCCTGACCTCATGATCCACCCGCCTCGGCCTCCCAAAGTGCTGGGATTACAGGCGTGAGCCACCGCGCCTGACTGCAGATGTTTGTTTTTAACCAATCAAAACTTTGAGTTAATCCAATAAATACAAAGACAGTGTGATCTTATATGGCAATAATAGCAAAGTCTATACTGTGCTTGAGGCCCTTCATGAATACCAGGCCCAGGCCACACTTCTTCTGGTTCCCTGAGTAACAATAAGACCCTTCCTTTCCTTCCTACTGGGAGTTCTTTGCTCTCCTATGGACAGAAGGGAATGAGAATTCAGATAAATCAGCCTTACGTTCTCTCTTGCCAGGAGAGCCACTTGCAGCTCAGTGGATCACAAGTTGGCTCCTCCTAGCAAACCCAAGGTGATGGGGACAGGTGCATCCACTCCCCATCCATGGCCATCATATCTCAGCCCCTGCCAGCATTCTCTTGCCTCTCCAGGCTTCCACGGGGAGAAAAAAAAATCACTCTCACTGCTTTAGTGGATCTACACTATTTTCTTTCCTGGCACGCCAGGGAACTATTACAGAGAATTGTAGAGTAAAAGGACTGGAAGTTGCTGATTTATCTAAATAACTCATTCCCAGGCCAGGCGTGGTGGCTCCTGCCTGTAATCCCAGCACTTTGGGAGGCCAGGACAGGTGGATCACTTGAGACCAGCCTGGCCAACATGGTGAAACCCCATCTCTACTAAAAATACAAAAATTGGCTGGGCGCGGTGGCTCAAGCCTGTAATCCCAGCACTTTGGGAGGCCGAGGCGCGCGGATCATGAGGTCAGGAGATCGCGACCATCCTGGCTAACACGGTGAAACCCCGTCTCTACTAAAAATACAAAAAATTAGCCGGGTGTGGTGGCGGGTGCCTGTAGTCCTAGCTACTCGGGAGGCTGAGGCAGGAGAATGGCATGAACCCCGGAGGCGGAGCTTGCAGTGAGCTGAGATCGTGCCACTGCACTGCAGCCTGGGCGACAGAGCGAGACTCCGTCTCAAAAAAAAAAAAAATACAAAAATTAGCTGGGCATGGTGGCGGGTGCCTGTAATCCCAGCTACTCAGTAGGCTGAGGCAGGAGAATCGCTTGAACCCAGGAGGTGGAAGTTGCAGTGAGCCGCGATCGTGCCACTGCACTCCAGCCTGGGCGACAGAGCAAAACTCCCTCTCAAAAATAATAATAATAATAATAATAATAATAGCTAATTCCCTTGTATCACATAAGTAACAGCCCTTTTAGATCTAGGTTTTAAGAAGAAAAGAGTTTCTTGTGGACCCTTCCTCTCTCTCAACCCATGTTAAGCTTCAGATTTTAGCCAAATAATAACAATCTTTCTTCTTTACAGATTTTATCAGGTCCAAAGTGGCAAGGAACTATCTCTGGTTCCATGAATGAAGAAGACATTGCATGCTGCATCCAGTTTCTTCACAGGTTACCAAAGAAGCAAGCACACCTCACCATAGCAAGGATTAATTTTTCTATCAAGTCAAGACAATCTAGTTTCATATTAAGAAAGCATAGGCTGGGTGCAGTGGCTCGCGCATATAATCCTAGAACTTTGGGAGGCCAAGCAAATGGATCACCTGAGGTCAGGAGTTCGAGACCAGCTTGGCCAACATGGTGAAACCCCATGTCTACTAAAAATACAAAAGAAAATTAGCCGGGCGTGGTGGCGGGTGCCTATAATCCTAGCTACTCGGGAGGCTGAGGCAGGAGAATTGCTTGAACCCAGGAGGCAGAGATTGAAATGAGCCAAGATGGTGCCATTGCACTCCAGCCTGGGCGACAGATCAAGACTCTATCTCAAAAAAAAAAAAAAAAGAAAAGAAAAGAAAAGAAAGAAAGCATATATTGCCCCTAATGTTAACATTTTTACCATATTCCTTCCAAAATGATAACACTAATATGACTGCACCAAGGAATTACTGAGTTTCTGAGCCTGCACTAGCTCTAACAGGTCACTCAGTCCCTCCCAGGTCATGGGTGCGAGCTCCAAATTCTGATCCACAACTCTCTCTCCTGACAGAAAGAAAAGGGAGGTCTTAGAACTTCTTAAGTGTATAATAGTTCACATTCTAACGTGTATCTGGATGGTTTCAATTATTTTTGCTGTGAAATATCAAACCATCGTATTTGAACACAAGAGAATGACATGCAGGAGTCACACAACAAATACATATAACAAGAGCACATTGGGGTGCTGGGAGGGCACGCGCTCTTCTGCAACTTCACCCCATGCTCCCTGTAAGATGTCCTTAGAAACAGAGGCCTGAAAGTCTGCTAACTTCAGTAAAAAGCAGGACATTTTAACAGCCACCCCTTCAAAATGTAAAAATATTGCTTCAGATTGCCAAAAACCATTTTGCACTGAACATTCTGACCTTTACCCCAACCCTGAGCCTCACCCCATTCCTGAAGCTTGCCCTATCCCTGACCTTCTGAGCTGAGGGCCCAGCCCCAGTCCCTGCCCCAGCCCCAGGAACTACCTCATCTGATTCTCACCCTGACCCATGCTTGCTGACCAGGCCTCTGACTATCTGGCCTACCACTTCCATCTAGGCCCACTTACTGCCACACCTAGCCAGCCTGATTTTGGCTAGATCTATTTAGTCCTATTTAGCCAAGCCCAGTCCCAGTCCCAGTCCCAGTCCCCAGACAGCTCCTGTTTAACCCTGCCTGTGAGATGCTGAGTCTCCAGACCTGCTCATCTGGTCACACCTACTAGATTCAAGTCCTTTGCTCTATTTCTCCTGAAGTCTGGCTCTAACATCCGTCAGCCGAGCCCCACAGAGCACTACTTCCTGAGGAGCAAAAGAGACCTAAGACCTGAGCTCACAGGCTCCATCCTTTCCCAGGCAACAGAATTGTTTTCTCGGACAGTGCCTCTCAAAATGGAATGCACATTCGAATGACCTGGGAGTCTTGTTAAAAATGCAGATTCAGATTCAGTAGGTCTGGAGTGAGGCCCTAAAGCCTGCATTTCTAACAAACACGCAAGTGAAGCCCATGTTGGTCCAGAAAACAAACTTTAATTAGCACAGTTCTGGAATACCAATTATAGTTTTGCAAAATTAAAAAAAAATGTTTACAGTATCAACAGCCTTAATTTCTACTAAGGGAAGAGAACTCATCCCCCCATAGAATGCTCCAGCCTACAGAACTTAGAGTCTGTCCCACATATATTGTGCACTAATCACACAGTGCTTTGAATTTCACTCAATAGTTTCCTATATGTGTGTTTTATTATTCATTTGGTTCCTTTACAGCATTTGTTCATTCTGCAAACATTATTGATCATTAATCTATTAGGGCCATAAGAATATATAAGGCATAGTCACTGTGTCCCATAAGGCAACAGGCCATTAAAGAAGATAGATATGGGCCAGAAGCGGTGGCTCACACTTGTAATCACAACACTTTGGGAGGCTGAGGGGGGCAGATCACCTGAGGTCAGGAGTTCAAGACCAGCTTGGCCAACATGGTAAAACCCTGTCTCTACTAAAAATACAAAAAATTAGCTGGGCATGGTTGTGCATGCCTGTTAATCCCAGCTACTCTGGAGGCTGAGGCAGGAGAATCACTTGAACCCGGGAGGTGGAGGTTGCAGTGAGCCAAGATCACGCTGCTGCACTCCCGCCTAGGCGAGAGAGCAAGACTCCATCTCAAAAAAAAAAAAGATAGATAGATATGTAAGCAGATCTTTTCAGCACAATAACAGTATATGTATATAGCGTGGAGGAAAAAGAGACCTGTAACCCCATTGGAGTTGGGGAATCAACAGGAAAGCCATTCTGGGCAAAAAAGTAGCCTGAGCTGAATCTAACAGAGGAGTGAGTCAAATGAAGTGCAGGGGACCCACAAGGCAGAGGAGCAGCCTGGCAGAGGCCCCCGGGTGAAATGGCTGGGTCAGAGAAGAGCTGCACACACCCAGGTTGTTGGGGCACAGTTAGCAGGGAGGAAGCCTCCAAGAAGAGGCTGAGGTGTCAGCCAGGGAACGATCACAGGGACCTTGTGTGCCACATTAAGGATCTTGGACTTTAGCCTGTGGACAATAAGGAAACAATTTAAGTTTTTAAATAAGGCCAAGGCACGTTTGGGTTTTAGGTAAATCACGTTTGGTGACTGTGCAGAAAATTAAACTGAAGGTGCCAAAACTAGAAACAGGCTGGGCAAGGTGACATAAGCCTGTAATCCCAACACTTTGGGAGGCCAAGGTGGGAGGATTGCTTGAGCTCAGGAGCTCGAGACCAGCCTCGACAACATAGCAAGACCTCATCTCCACTAAAAATAAGTGTAAAAAATTAGCCAAGCATGGTGGTGCGTGCCTATAGTTCCAGCTACACTCTGTTGTCCAGGCTGTAATGCAATCGTATAATCATGGCTCACTGCAGCTTCAACTTCCTGGACTCAAGCAATCTTCCCACCTCAACCTCCTAAGTAGCTCAAGCAATCCTCCTGCCTTGGCCTCCCAAAGTGCTGGGATTACAGGCGTGAGCCACCACATCCAACCAATGCTACCTTTCTAACACCTGTATAAATATCCTCCTCTCTGTCCCCACCACTATTGCCTTACTTCTCATTAGCCTTTCCTGGTACCATAGCAAATCATCTCTTAACTGATCTCCCAGCCTCCAGTATTTTTTCCCTTAAATCAAACATCGGAGAAATGTTTCCAACAGACTAATCTGACTATCTTAGTCTGTTTTCTGCTGCTGTAACGTAATACCACAGACTGGATAGTTTATAAAGAATAGGAGTTTATTTTGCTTGTAAGTCTGGAGGCTAGTAAGTCCAAAAGACCATGTTGCCAGTGTCTTGTGAGGGTCTTTGTGCTGTGTTATCCCATAGCATAAGGGCAAGCAAGTCCATGAAACAGAGAAAAAATTAAGCCTATTCTCATGATAACTAATCCGCTCCTGTGACAGTGGCATCAATACATTCATGAGGGCAGAGCCTTCACAATTTAATTGCCCCTGAAAGGTCTCCTCTCTCAATACTGTTATATTGAAAATGAAATTTCGACATGAGTTTTGGAGGGGATATTCAAGTCACATGGCACTGACCATGTGACTCTTTCCCATTTCCTATAGGACAAGAGGCAAACCCCATAGATTAGTGTATAAGATCCTCAATGACATAGACATTTCTCAATGATATGGGTCCTTTCT
This sequence comes from Homo sapiens, assembly GCF_000001405.40. Taxonomy (NCBI): domain Eukaryota; kingdom Metazoa; phylum Chordata; class Mammalia; order Primates; family Hominidae; genus Homo; species Homo sapiens. The sequence continues at coordinate 55,673,118 of NC_000012.12, forward strand.
CAATGATATGGGTCCTTTCTCAATGATATGGACCTTTCATTAATACATCTACTAAATGTGTATTGAGTGGTCCCTGAAACAGGCACTAGAAATGGCCCTGAAGATATTACCATGAAGAGAAAAATATACTCTGGCATTGTAGAGCTAACATGCTAGAGGAGACAGCCAATTTTAAAATATAGACAAGCCAGGCCTGGTGGTGCACACCTGTAGTCCCAGGTACTCAGGAGGCTGAGGCAGGAGGATCCCTTGAGGGCAGGAGTTCGAGGCCACAGTGCTGTAATCACACATATGAATAGCCACTGCACTCCAGCCTACACAACAGAGTGATACACCATCTATAAAATTAAATTAAAATATAGAAAAATTTAAAAGCTTAAATGTGATAAAGGTATTCATCATCTATTTGACATACACATTTTTAGTGTCTACTACTTGCCAGGCACATGCTAGATGCTAAACACGTGGTGATAAGGGAAAAGGACACAATCCTTACTGTTATGGAGCTCATGGGCAGACACTAATACCATAATAACAGTCATGAACAGTATCACAAACTGGCCTAAGGGCTGTTGACCAAAATGAATAAGGGAAGGGATGCTTGATACAAGAACCAAACAATGAGTTAAAAAATTAACTAGGCAGGAGGGAGGAGGGACTGCTGAAAAGAAAGCAAGCATATCAGGAAGAGGAAGACAAGCTCAACAGCACTGAAGCTAAAAGGAGTGAGAGTATGAGGAACTGAAAGAAGATTGTATAGCTAAAACACAGGGTTAAGGGAGGGTAGCATGAGAGGTGGACAGGGGCCAGATCACACAGGGCCTTATGGGCTACAGTAAGGAGTTCAGATTTTGTACCAAAGATAATGGGAATCCACTAAAAGGTTTTAAGCAGTGGGTGAAAGTGGAGAGACAGTTAATGAGGCCCTTGCAGTGGGCCAGGCAGCGGAGGGTCATGATCTGGTCTAGGGTTATGCCAGTGGAGATGAAAGAAATGCATGAAATTAATGAACTGGGAAATAGAGCTGACAGGACTTGTGAGTAACTTGAAAGTTATATATATATTGGCCGGGCGCGGTGGCTCACACCTGTAATCCCAGCACTTTTGGAGGCCAAGGCAGGCAGATCACGAGGTCAAGAGATCGAGACCATCCTGGTCAACATGGTGAAACCCTGTCTCTACTAAAAATACAAAAATTAGCTGGGTGTGGTGGTGCGTGCCTGTAGTCCCAGCTACTCAGGAGGCTGAGGCAGGAGAATTGCTTGAACCCAGGAGGCGGAGGTTGCAGTGAGCCGAGATCGCCCCACTGCACTCCAGCCTAGCAAAAGAGCGGGACTCTGCCTCAAAAAAAAAGAAAAGAAAAGAAAGTCATATATATGTTATAGAGAGATACAGATGGAGATGAAATGACATGATGTTTGGGATTTGCTTCAAAATGACACACAGGAGAAGGAAGCAGAAAGTAGAAAAGGATGTGGATGGGGAAGGATTGGCTGTGGGTTGATAGTTGTTGGGATGAATGATGTATACATGGGGGTATCTTATACTGTTCTGCCAACTTTTGTGTATATTCAAAATTCTCCATTATACAAAGTTAGAAATGAGAAAAGAAAAGGAGGAGACAGAGAAGAAATAGAATAAATCCTAGGTTTTTGGTTGAGCAATCAAGAAGCTAATGGTGCCATTCACTGAGATGATGAAGAAGATGGGCAGAGTAAGACAAGAGACTTGGGGAGTACCGTAAGTGTCATTTTGGACATGTTAAGTTTTATATGTCCAGAAGATATGCTGAGGAGGAGGATCAAGTACACAACTGGGTATACAAATTTGAAACTCAAAGGAAGGATCTGCACTAAAGATATAAATGTGTGAATAATTTGCATATACATGGCATTTTAAACCATGAAAATGGATGGGATTTGGTGAAAATTATGTGTCAATGTAGGTTCATCAATTGTAATAAATGTCCACTCTGGTGGGGGATACTGATAATGAGGAAGGCTAGTCATGTGTGAGGACAAAGGGTATGTGGAAAATCTCTGTACTTTCCTCAACTTTTCTATGAAGCTAAAACTGCTCTAAAAAATAAAGTCTATATTAAAAAAAAAAAGATGAGGTTATTTAATGAGAGAATTTAGACAGAGAAAGACCCAAGACTAAACCCAAAGAAACAAAATTTAAAGGTCGAGTAGATGAGAAAGATCTAAAAAAAGAAGTTTCTAAGAAGTAACAGCCACGGGAATGTTATAGAAACAAGAAGACTGTTATGTTAGGACAGCCTAGATGAGAGAATTTTTCAAGAAGAAATAGTAGCCAACTATTTCTGAAGCTGTTGAAAAGTCAGATAAGATGAGAACAGGGAATATTCACTGGACCTGGCATGTGGAAATAATTAATAGGCTTGATAATAATAGTTTCGGGTTTCTTTGTTTTGTTTTGTTTTGTTTTTAGAGACAGGGTCTCTCTCTGTCTCCCAGGCTGGAGTACACTGACCCAGTCATGGTTCACTGTAACCCTGAACTTGCAGGCTCAAGCAATCCCCTTGCCTCTGCCTCCTAAGTAGCTGGGGCTACAGGCGCATGCCACCACACCCGGCTAATTGGCTAATTTTTTTATTTTTTGTAGAGAAAAACAACAGCCTATGTTGCCCAAGCTGGTCTCAAACTCCTGGGCTCAAGCAGTCATTTCCTCTCGGCCTCCCAAAGTACTTGGATTACAGGCACGAGCCACCACGCCCGCCCAAAGTCATAATTCTTGAGTCATCTGCTCGTGTTATCTTGGTTTCCTCACCTTCCATTCACTCTTTCTCCCACTCCAATCCATCACTAATAAAAATTTCTTGGGCTTGGCACAGTAGCTCACGCCTGTAATCCCAGCACTTTGGGAGACCAAGACAGGAGGATGGCTTGAGGCCAGGAGTTCAAGATCAGCCTGGGCAACCCTGAGAGATACCCTGTCTCTACAAAAATTTTTAAAAGTTAGTAGGCATGGTGGTATGCACCTATAGTCCTAGCTACTCAAGAGGCTGAAGCAGGAAGGGCAGCACAACCCCAGGAGTTTGAGGCTGCAGTGAGTCAGAATGGTGCACTCCAGCCTAGGCAACAGAGCAAGATCCTGCCAAAAAAAAAAGACTTTGACATAGATTTGTAAAATGGAGTTTTAGCTAAAGTGACATGTGGTGTCAAGAGGGTCAGTTTATTATTAACCTGAAATATATTAGAGCATATTCATATTTTGAAAGATCCATGGAAAGGCAGAGATTAATGATTTAGGAGAAAGAAAGATAAAATGAAGACAAGAATTCATAGCAGCATTGTTTATAGTACCCCAAAAGTGGAAACAACCCAAATGTCTATCAACTGTTGAATAAATAAACAAAATGTGGCATATCTGTACAATGCAATGCTACTTGGACGTAAAAGGAATGAAGTATTGATACATGCTACAACATGTGTAAACTTTGGAAGCATTATGCTGTGTGAAAAGCCAGTCACATAGGCCACATGTAGTATGATTCCAATTACATGAAATGTCAAGAATAAGTAAATCCATACAGACATAAGTAGAGTAGTGATTGCCTACGGAAAGGAAATTGATGGTACTGGGGTTGGGATGGGGATGGGGGAAATGGGAGTAAGTGGTAAAAGCACAAGTTTCTTTTGGGGTAACGAAAATGTTCTAAAATTGATTGTGGTGGCTGGTTGCACAACTCTGAATATACAGTCACATGTTAAGTCATATGTTGCTTAACAACAGGAATAAGTTCCGAGAAATGCATCGTTAGGTGATTTTACCATTACGGGAACATCATCATAGAGTGTCCTTACACAAGCTTGGATGGTGTAGCCTACTATACAGCTAGGCTATATGGCGTAACCTATTGCTCCTAGGCTGCAAGCCTGTACAGCATGTTACTGTACTCAATACTATAGGCAATTGTAACACCATGTTAAGTATTTATGTATCTAAACGTGGAAAAGGTGTGGTAAAAAATACAGTATAAAAGATTTAAAAACGGCATACCTATATAGGGCACATATCATGAATGGACTTTGCAGGACAAGAAGTTGCTCTGGGTGAGTCAGTGAGTGACTACACTAAATTTATTTACATTTTTTTTTTCTTTTCTTCAATAATAAACTAGCCTTAGCTTACTGCAACTTTTTTACTTTATAAACTTTTTAATTTTTTTAACTTTGACTCTTGTAATAACACTTAGCTTAAAACATAAATATTCTACAGCTGTACAAAAATATTTTATTTCTTTATATCCTTATTCTATAAGCTTTTTCTATTTTTTAAATTTTTTTAACTTTTTTGTTAAAAGCTAAGACACAAAGACACACATTAGCCTAGGTCTACACAAGGTCAGGATCATCAAGACATCACTACAGGACAGGGATTTTTCAGCTACATAATAATCTTATGGTACCTCCATCATATATGTGCTCTGTCATTGAGCTAAATGTGTTATGCAGCACATGGCTGTACAGTTGACCCTTGAACAACTCAGGACCTAGGGGACTGATACCCCTCACAATTGAAAATCTGTGTATCTGCAGGGTGGGGAACACCACACATTGGGGCCTGTCGTGGGGTGGGGTGGGGGGAAGGATAGCATTAGGAGATATACCTAATGTAAATGACCAGCTAATGGGTGCAGCACACCAACATGGTACATGTATACATATGTAACAAACCTGCACGTTGTGCACATGTACCCTAGAACTTAAAGTGTAATTAAAAAAAGAAAATTTAAAAAAATATATATGTGTGTCTGGCCAGGCATGGTGGCTCACGCCTGCAATCCCAGCACTTTCAGAGGCCGAGGAGGGTGGATCACGAGGTCAGGAGATCGAGACCATCCTCACTAACTCGGTGAAAACCCATCTCTACTAAAAATACAAAAAAAAATTAGCCGGGCGTGGTGGCGGGCGCCTGTAGTTCCAGCTACTCGGGAGGCTGAGACAGGAGAATGGCATGAACCCGGGAGGCAGAGCTTGCAGTGAGCAGAGATCATGCCACTGCACTCCAGCCTGGGTGACAGAGCAAGACTCCGTCTCAAAAAAAAGAAAAATTAGCTGGGCATGTTGGCATATACCTGTGGTGACCACTACTCAGGAGGCTAAGGTGGGAGGATTGCTTGAGCCTGAGAGGTTGAGGCTGCAGTGAGCTGTGATCGCACACTACACTCCAGCCTGAGTGACAGAGCAAGGCTATCTCAAAAATAAAAAATAAAATGAAAATTTCTAGAAAAGGAAATACAGAGGCTCTTAATTATAAGAAACAAAAATTCAACCTCACGCAGAAAAGAGTAAGTAAGCCGGGCACGGCAGCTCATACCTGTAATCCCAGCACTTTGGGAGGCCGAGGCTGGTGGATCACCTGAGGTCAGGAGTTCGAGACCAGCCTGGCCAACATGGTAAAACCCTGTCTCTACTAAAAATACAAAAATTAGCCAAGTGTGGTGGCATGCGCCTGTAATCCCAGCTACTCGGGAGGCTGAGGAGGGAGAATCGCTTGAATCCGGGAGTCGGAGGTTGCAGCAAGCCGAGATAGTGCCACTGCACTTCAGCCTGGGCGACAGAGTGAGACTCTGTCTCAGGAAAAAAAAAAAAAAAAAAGGAAAAGAAAAAGAAAAGAGCAAATAAAAAGCACAGGATAATACTACTTTGCCTCTTTCTGTGTCCATGGAGCAGGCCCAGGAGCAATTACTCCCCAGTGATAATCACATCCAGCATTCAGATCTTGGTTTTTAAATACCATCCTCCTCACAAAAGACCAGTGCTTCTTTGAGAAATAACTAAGTTCGGGGCTGGAGCAGGGGAAATACAAGATGAGCCTGGAACATCTTCTTGTAGCAGAAAGTAAGAAAATGCTCAAAGAGTGATGGAGTTGTGTCAAAAGGAGACAGGAGCCAGCTTGCAGGTGCTCCCCCAGCCAAATCTAGGGCAATTTGAACATCAAAATACACACCCAGGTATTCACCCAAGAGAAATAAAAGCATACGTCCACACAAACCCATGTACACAAACAGTTCATAGTAGCTTTATTTCTAACAGTCAGAAATTGGAAACAACCCAAACGTTTATCAACAAGTGAATGGATAAAAATATATGTGGTATATCCATACAATGGAATACTACTCAGAAATGGAAATGAACTGCGGATGCATGTACAACATGGATGACTCTCCAAATAAACATGCTGAATGAAATAAGCCAGATGCTGAAATCCCATACATTATAGGATTCCATTTACACAAAATTCCAGAAAATGCAAACTATTTGGGAGGCCAAGGTAGGCGGATCACCCGAGGTCAGGAGTTTGAGACCAGCCTGGTCAATATGGTGAAACACCGTCTCTACTAAAAATACAAAAATTAGCCGGGCATGGTGGTGCATGCTTGTAATCCCAGCTACTCAGGAGGCTGAGGCAGGAGAATCACTTGAACCTGGGAGGTGGAGGTTGCAATGAGCCAAGATCAAACAACTGCACTCCAGCCTGGGCCACAGAGTGAGACTCTGCCTGAGAAGAGAAGAGAAGAGAAATTAATCTATACTGACAGAGAGCAGATCAGCGGTTACCTGAAGATGGGGATGAAAGAGGGGCGAATGGATTACAAAGAAACACAAGGAAACTGATATAGTTTGGATGTTTGTCCCCTCCAAATCTCATGTTGAAATGTAATCCTCAATGTCAGAGGTGGGGCCTGGTGGGATGTGTTTGGCTCCTGAGGTCCCAACCCCTCATCAGTGGCTCAGTGCCAACCCCTTGGTGATGAGTGAGTTCTCGCTCTGGCAGTTCACGCAAGGTCTCTCTTGCTCCCTCTCTTGCCATGTGATACACTGCTCCCCTTCGTCTTCCACCATGATTGTAAGCTCCCTGAGACCCTCACCAGAGGCCAAGCAGATACTGGTGCCATGCTTCCTGTGCAGTCTGCAGAACTATGAACCAATTAAACTTTTTTTCTTTATAAATCAACCAGCCTTAGGTATTTCTTAACAGCAATGCAAAAGCCTAACACATAGACATGTTCATTATCTCGACTGTGGTAATGGTTTCCCAGGTATATACTGTGTCAAAAATAATCTATATACTGTAAATATGTAAACCTTCTTATATATATTATACCTCAAAGAAACTGTAAATAAATAAATAGGGTATTAGGTTACAAATCAGTGAATAAAATAGGAATCTATGCATCAATAATAATATGAACACATAAAAGACACATAAAACCAAATATTGCTGGTGGACGTGTAAATGGGTACAATCACTTTGGAAACCCATTTGCTATTATCTACTAAATCCAATACATTGTTAAGAAGGGGGGGAAGCAAGGTATACAAGAGTGTGTACAATATACTACTATTTGTAAAAGAAAAGGGAATATGTATATGTATATATGTACATGGATCTAAACACGTGGTGTGTGTGTTCCCTGCTCGTTCACAGGTCATCTCTGGAAGGATTCACAAGAAATTGGCAATATGGCATTTAGTGCCTCCAGAGAGGAGATCTGAGTGGTTGGGTCACAGGAGTAGAAGAGAGAATTTTCCCTGTAATCTCTTTAGTATCTTTTTAATTTTGTACTAAGTGAATGTACTGCCTCTTCCAAAAAAAGTTGTTTAATAATGTTTTGTAAAAAGAATTCTTCTCAGCCAGGCGCAGTGGCTCCCAACTGTAATCCCAGCACTTTGGGAAGTCGAGGTGGGTGGATCACCTGAGCCCAGGAGTTCAAGACCAACCTGGGCAACAGGGTGAAACCCTGTCTCTACAAATTACAGAAAAAAAAAAATTGCTGGGCATGGTGGTATGCACTTGTAGTCCCAGAAAATCAGGAGGCTGGTGTAAGAGGATCACTTGAGCCTAGGGACATTGAGGTTGCAGTGAGCCCAGACTGCTGCCACTGCACCCCAGCCTGGGCAGCAGAGACCCTGTCTCAAAAAAAGGAAAGAAGGAAAGAAGGGAGGAAGGGAGGGAGGGAGGGAAGGATCTCTAAAAAGTGGCTATTCTCTGACCTCACTTCCCCCTATTTGTCCAACTTACCCCATTCCCCACAGAACTAAACTTCTCACCCTTTCCAGGAGAGGGCATGCTGTCTCTGTCCTGTACACCTACTTTTTCCTCTGCCAAGAGCACCCTTCCCTTCCTATGGCCCCTCTGAAGTGCCTGACCTGAGGACGAAATGAGGCCAGGATATGTCCCATGAGTCAACTCTGTCCCCAGCATTCACCACTACCAACCCACCCCCAACGCCCTGCCAGCCCCCGACACTCCCCCGCCATGAGTCTGTCATCTGAAACATATCCCCTTACCCCTTCCCACTCCCTCTGAGATGACTCAGCAGCCCCTGCCCCCCTTCAGCTGGGCACAGTGCCCCAGAACTCAGGAACATGGGTACCACCTGTCCCTCCGCCCACATAAAAGTCATTGAAGAGCTTGTGGGGCTGTGGGACCTGCGCCCTCTGGAGGAATTCCATACACCCACTCAACTCTGGCAAATAGGAAATTGTCAAGTAGGAGACAAGGAGCAAAGTCCTATCACAGCGGGAGGGGACGCCAGCGCCTGCAGAGGCTGAGCAGGGAAAAAGCCAGTGCCCCAGCGGAAGCACAGCTCAGAGCTGGTCTGCCATGGACATCCTGGTCCCACTCCTGCAGCTGCTGGTGCTGCTTCTTACCCTGCCCCTGCACCTCATGGCTCTGCTGGGCTGCTGGCAGCCCCTGTGCAAAAGCTACTTCCCCTACCTGATGGCCGTGCTGACTCCCAAGAGCAACCGCAAGATGGAGAGCAAGAAACGGGAGCTCTTCAGCCAGATAAAGGGGCTTACAGGAGCCTCCGGGAAAGTGGCCCTACTGGAGCTGGGCTGCGGAACCGGAGCCAACTTTCAGTTCTACCCACCGGGCTGCAGGGTCACCTGCCTAGACCCAAATCCCCACTTTGAGAAGTTCCTGACAAAGAGCATGGCTGAGAACAGGCACCTCCAATATGAGCGGTTTGTGGTGGCTCCTGGAGAGGACATGAGACAGCTGGCTGATGGCTCCATGGATGTGGTGGTCTGCACTCTGGTGCTGTGCTCTGTGCAGAGCCCAAGGAAGGTCCTGCAGGAGGTCCGGAGAGTACTGAGACCGGTAAGCAGGGTGGGAAGGGGATGGGTGTGGGGCAGGCAAACGCAGCATCAGCCGCCCCAGGGTTCGGCCCCCAGAATGGGGCGTCTGAGGTAGTAAGTAGCACATTAGACACCCCATCCACCTCTACCTGCTGGTGAATAGGAGACATGACCAGTGCCATGACGGGGCACAATTGGGTGCTGTGGAAGCAACAGGAGGATCACCTACCACCATGGGACAGGGAGGGGAGTGGGGAGGACACCTAAGGAACTGAGGTTTAAATCGAGATCTGTGCTTGGGAGGCTGAAGCAGAAGGATGACTTGAGCCCAGGAGTTCAAGACCAGCCAAGGCAACATAGTGAGATGCCGTCTCTACAAAAAAAAAAAAAAAAAAAAATACAAAAGCTAGCCAGGCGTGGTGGCACATGCCTATAGTCCTAGCTACTCAGGAAGCTGAGGTGGGAGGATCACTTGAGCCCGAGTTCAAAGTTACAGTGAACTATGATCGCACCACTGCACTCCAGCCTGGGCCACAGAGTGAGACCCTGTATCAAAAAAAATAAATAAATAAATAAAAAGAGAGAGAGAGAGAGAGATCTGAGGGATTAAGCAGAGTGTGGACGGGGTGGGGAAAATAAAAGAGTGTTCTAGGTAAAGATAGTAGGGGAAGTAGAGTAGAATCCATCAGACTGTGGAGAGAACGTTCAGAATAGTTTCCAGGTTTCTAGCATGAGCAACTGAGGGGAGAGCTGATGAAAAGTGCCATTTGCTGAGATGGAAGAAAGCTGTTTTGGACTTACTAGGTTTGAGATCACCTAGGGAGAGTATAGTGAGGCGAGGAGCTTGAGGAACCCCAGCTTCAGTCAAGAGTTGGGCCTGAGGTTTCCCTGGGATGTTCACAGCGATGTCCAGGAAGCAGCTTGTGCATGCATCTGGGTTTTGTGAGAGAGGTTGTGCGTGTATCTCAGAATACAATAAGCCCAGCTGGGCGAGGTGGCTCACGCCTGTAATCCAGCACTTTGGGAGGCAAGGCAGGTGGATCTCTTGAGGCCAGGAGTTTGAAACCAGACTGGCCAACATGGTGAAACCCTGTCTCTACTGAAAAATACAAAAAGTAGCCGGGCGTGGTGGCTCATGCCTGTAATCCCAGCTACTTGGGAGGCTGAGGCAGGAGAATCGCTTGAACCTGAGAGGTGGAGGTTGCAGTGCGCCGAGATCACGCCATTGCACTCCAGCCTGAGCAACAGACTGAGACTCTGTCTCAAAAAATAATAATAATAATAATAATACAATGAGCCCTCCACTCCTGTTTCTCAGTTTCCCCTTCTGCATGCCCTCGGTTATTCTGGTCAGGCTTTAAAGATCTCCCACCAGCCACTCCTTTCAGTTATGAGGTTCTTCACATGCACTTTGAAGGCGGTAGCAGGGGATGCAGAAAAGGTCAGGGGCACGACAGTTTGCTCCATGAACTCTCAGACCAGCAGCTCCCATTTCACCAAGAAGTTTGACTGTCTTGATCAGCGCGATAGGGAGCAGGGTCAGAATGGAGCCAAGTGACACTAACTCTCTCATCCCTCCCAGGGAGGTGTGCTCTTTTTCTGGGAGCATGTGGCAGAACCATATGGAAGCTGGGCCTTCATGTGGCAGCAAGTTTTCGAGCCCACCTGGAAACACATTGGGGATGGCTGCTGCCTCACCAGAGAGACCTGGAAGGATCTTGAGAACGCCCAGTTCTCCGAAATCCAAATGGAACGACAGCCCCCTCCCTTGAAGTGGCTACCTGTTGGGCCCCACATCATGGGAAAGGCTGTCAAATAATCTTTCCCAAGCTCCAAGGCACTCATTTGCTCCTTCCCCAGCCTCCAATTAGAACAAGCCACCCACCAGCCTATCTATCTTCCACTGAGAGGGACCTAGCAGAATGAGAGAAGACATTCATGTACCACCTACTAGTCCCTCTCTCCCCAACCTCTGCCAGGGCAATCTCTAACTTCAATCCCGCCTTCGACAGTGAAAAAGCTCTACTTCTACGCTGACCCAGGGAGGAAACACTAGGACCCTGTTGTATCCTCAACTGCAAGTTTCTGGACTAGTCTCCCAACGTTTGCCTCCCAATGTTGTCCCTTTCCTTCGTTCCCATGGTAAAGCTCCTCTCGCTTTCCTCCTGAGGCTACACCCATGCGTCTCTAGGAACTGGTCACAAAAGTCATGGTGCCTGCATCCCTGCCAAGCCCCCCTGACCCTCTCTCCCCACTACCACCTTCTTCCTGAGCTGGGGGCACCAGGGAGAATCAGAGATGCTGGGGATGCCAGAGCAAGACTCAAAGAGGCAGAGGTTTTGTTCTCAAATATTTTTTAATAAATAGACGAAACCACGAAACCACTAGACTGATGGCAGCAAACTAAGGTCAGATGAGAGGGGAAACTAGAGAAGGAGCAGCCTGAGTCAGTGACACAACCTCCTCCCCGACCCTCTAGGTTAAGGCACTTCCGGGGAGGCAGGTCCTTGGGGTCCTGTTACACAGGGTGAATGGGAGAGGAAGGGATTAGGATCCCTTCTCCCCACCTTTGCATCAGGACACCCCTGCCCTTCTCACCCTACCCCATGGCCCTGTCCCTGATTTACCCACTCTCATCTCACAGCACTCTAAGGGGAAGTTGGGTGGGAGGAGTTCTTGTGGGTGGGAGAGGTCTGTGCCCCTGAGGAAGCCGATCCTGCCAAATCTTGATGCGACACCAGCAGCCCACTCTACCCTCTTCATCCCAAGGAGCCATCTCTGGGGAAGGGATGGAGGGCAGCCACAGGCCAGGCTGGGACATGGGAACCTAGGCGGTGCCTGGCCCTGGATGCCCATCGGGGCCCAGCTCGGGATGCCCGTCAGCAGCCAGGATGGGGTGTGCATCCGGGCCCTCCCGCCGGGGGCTGCCCCAGTTGTTCCTCAGGATGGTGCCCGTCTTCTCCTCCTTGAACTGCTGTCGGTCTTCCCGAGGAATCTTCACCGCATGGTACTGGGGCACGGTGGCCTCGGGGTGCTTCGCCCGTTTGAAGAATCCCATCTATAAGGACACCAGGCCAGACCATGAGGAGCCTGAAGAGCTGCGGTCCCTGGAGCAGATGCCTAGCGCGGCACAGCTCCTCACCCTCACCATCCCTGCTGCGGCAGAAAGGAAATAGGCTGAATAGCATCTGGTGTGGTGGGCAGCACCCACGGTGCTCCCATCAGTGCTGTGTCCCCAGGTTCTCATTCACAGCAAGAGAGAGACCAGAAGGGCGTCCAAGAGGCAGGACCAAGGGTATCTCCCTTGGCCCCTGAAAGAGGGCCTTGAGGGTGGAGCATCAGGACCGGACTCAAGATTTGTACCCCCTCTAGCTTCTTAAGAGACCCAATAGTGTCCCCCAGAACACAAACAAGACCTGAGGAAGAAAATGGCTTCCTAGTCCCCTGCATCTCTGGAATGATACCTCTCAAGCCTCATAAACATGCACCCCGTGTACTTGTACCTTGGGCGGCACGCCCCTTACAGCAATACCCTCTTGTCCATCAATACAGTAGTCTAGCCCCACCCTAAATGAGGACCATGCTGGCCCTTACACACCAGGGTGGGAATGTGCCCCTGCACACTCACACTCAGAGGCCCAGGACTCCTACATGCTCAGACTGCATGGCATCTCCTTACACATTCATCTCCTTGCACACTCATGCCCATAGAAAAAAGCATGCATGCGACCTCCCCACACTCCCACATGCTCACACCCCATGAGCCCACCAACCCTTTGTGCACGCCTCAGGCTGTGTAGACTTACCCTTATATCTGCACCCTTCTAATTACCTCTCACCTCACATCACTCTCATGCAATCTCATTTTTCACCCTGAACATTCCTGATCCCCTGAATGCTGGGAATTCTCCTTATATTCACACACATACATACCCACACACACTAGACACATGCACACACACAACAGTTACCCCACAGTCCCTGGACCCCCAACTTCCATGGCTGAAGGCTGCACAGCCAGACAGGCCCGGTGATAGTTGGTGGGAAAAGATGAGCTCTGGCTGCTCCGATGGAAGAAGCCACACTAGGATGTCGAGGGAGAAGCAGGGCAGAGGAAGCAGAGGATGGAAAGATTGAGGAAGGACAGGATCCCCTATCTCTGCTCTGTCTTCCTTCCATGGGAGCAGGGAGCAAGCATCCTGGGACCAGTTTCACAGAGGCATCAATCTCCCCTAAGACTGGGAAGGTTCCCAACAGCTTGGATGCCACTCCAGAGCCTGGTCTACTGATGATTCACACTTGCCAAAGGGTGGCTCAGTCTCTGATTGGTCCCAAAGAGCAGGCACAGGCAGGGGCAGTTCTCCAGAGCCCCAAGGACATGTGTGGTTCTGAACATAGCCCCCGATGTGGCAGATGGCTCAGCATATGACCCCGGTGATGTATGTGATTCCGTGTACTGACGTGTGCATGTGCATACTTTTACATTGAGCCCTGGATACCAGTATGATTCGGTATACAGCTCTGGGTGTACAAGAATGCTTCCATGCAGAGCCTGGTATGTGGAAGCTCTGAGTTCCGCCATGAGGGCAGTCCCCTGGAGGCCGTTCTCCGTGCTTGTTGGCCTTCTTGGCCACATTTACCTTTCCAGTTTTCACTGCCACATTCTAGTTAAGTCAGATCACACTTCTCTGCCTCCACGACTTTGCCTACCATGGTCCTGCTGGACCCCACCTACCTCATCCCCTTACATCCTCACCCTACTACCCCACCTTCCTCTGAGGACTGGTTCCAGTGCTACCTCCTCTCAAGCTTTTTTCCCTCTAAACTCCCACTCCATTTTCTCAACTCAACACTTCCTGCCTTGTCCTTGACTACAGGCTCACCACTCCCATCCCACTGGACTATAAAATCCCTGAGAACGAGATCTGCATCTGATTTCTTTTTTTTTTTTTTTTTTTTTTTTTTGAGACAGAGTCCTGCTCAGTCCCCCAGGTTGCAGTGCAGTGGCGCAATCTTGGCTCACTGCAACCTCCACCTCCCGGGTTCAAGCGATTCTCCTGTCTCAGCCTCCCAAGTAGCTGGGATTACAGGCACCCCCCACCATGCCCAGCTAATTTTTTTTATTTGTTTGTATTTTTAACAGAGACAGGATTTCACCATGTTGGCCAGCTTGGTCTTGAACTCCTGACCTCAGGTGATCCACTCACCTCAGCCTCCCAAAGTGCTGGGATTACAGGCATGAGCCACCATGCCCGGCTTTTTTTTTTTTTTTTTTTTTTGAGATGGAGTCTCGCTCTGTCACCCAGGCTGGAGTGCAATGGCGCCATCTCGGCTCACTGCAACCCCACCTTTCGAGTTCAATCGATTCTCCTGCCTCAGCCTCCCAAGTAGCTGGATCTACAGGTGCGTGCCACCACGCCCAGCTAATTTTGTATTTTAAGTAGAGATGGGGTTTCACCATGTTGTCCAGGCTGGTCTCGAACTCCTGACCTCAAGTGATCCACCTGCCTAGGCCTCCCAAAGTGCTGAGATTCCAGGCATGAGCCACTGCACCCAGCCTGCATCTGATTTATCTTTGAAACATCCAGGGACTAATAGAGTTCCTGAGACATGCAGGGCAAGTGTTCAGTGCAGATTTGCTGAATACATGAGTGTGTGGGTGGGTGACAGAACCACAATACAAAATGCTGCTCACCCAACCAGGAAGTCCACCCCCATCAGCCCCACCTCCAAGCCTCACCTTCCACAGGAGCAGCACCAGCAGTGCTAGCACCAGCAGCCCAGCCAGTACAGCCAGGAGGATGACCCACCAGGGCACTCCTTCTGCCACCACAGCCATGGGGTCCAAGTATACCATCACTGGGATCTGGGGAGCAAGGGGTCAATGGAGCAAGAGGTCAATGGAACAAGAACTGGAGGGAGCAGGAAAGAAGAGAGTCCTCCCCACCTATCCCCCAACCCTGCAGCTCACCACTGTGGAGGCATCTCGGAGCATCAAGTTCTTTATGGAGGACTTCACTGTGATGTTGGCCCGGACAATCACTTCCAGGGACTTCACAGCTGAGTACTCCTAAGGGAACAGGGAAGGAGACCCTTCTCCTAAATGCCCCATGTCTCCCTCCCTTCCCCTTACCTCCTGAAATTATAAATGTAATGGTGCCCAACACAGAGGATGTTTCTGCCTGGTTTGGGTTAAGAGTATGCTGCGTTTGGGCTGGGCACAGTGGCTCACACCTGTAATCCCAGCACTTTGGGAGGCCAAGGAGGGTGGATCACCTGAGGTCAGGAGTTTGAGATCAGCCTGGCCAACATGGCAAAACCCCGTCTCTATGAAAAATACAAAAATATCGGGTGTGGTGGCACGTGCCTGTAATCTCAGCTACTCAGGAGGCTGAGGCAGGAGAACCTCTTGAACCTGGGAGGCAGAGGTTGCAGTGAGCTGAGATCGCACCACTGCACTCCAGCCTGGGGGACAAAGGAAGACTCCGTCTCAAAAAAAAAAAAAAGGGGGGGGATGCTGCATTTGGACAGTGAGGAAGGAGGAGGAGAAATGAGTCCTGGAGGGGCTTTGGAGGAAGAAGAAACACAGACTAGAGCCGAGTGGTATCCTCACCTCCAGAAAGGTGCTGTTCCAGAGACGGCCCCAGACATGCAGCACAGCCGCGCGGTCAAAGCTGTAGAGTGGGCAGCTGAACACCACACAGTTGGCCGTGCCCCGGGCGCAGTCCTAGGGATAAGGACAGACAGGGGTCTAAGCCACTCAGCTCAACCCTGCTGAGACTGCCATCTCTCCCATTTTCCTTACTTGACCTCAAACTCCCCTCCTCCAGGAAGTCTTCTCAAACTAATCTTATATCCAAAATAGCTGCCTGCCCCAAATCTGAGCTATTCAGCTTTGAAATGCGTGGAGGGGGCAGCATGGAAGGGAATCTCTTACTTGACAGCACAGGCAGAGTAGCTTCCCCAAGTGATGCTTATGTTACCTAATGACAGTCCCATTTATTGAGCACCTACTACTTGTCAGGCACTTATCTCACTTAAGCTTCGCAATAGTCCTACAAGGTGCACATTATCATCCTCATTTTTCAAAGGAAGAAACTGAGGAGGCCCAAGGAGGCCAAGCGACCTGCCTCAGGTCACAGCACTAGCAAAGCTAATGAGTGGTGGAGCAAATATTTGAACTCAGGTCCATATTCGGCAAAGCCACACCCCTGCCCTAAACCCAAACTCGCTGAAGGAGGAGGAGGTAGCCTCAGGAGCTCCTGGGTAGACAGGGGACTCAGGCTCTGTTCTTTCCAGGACTGACCTAAATCCATTTGGCCCAATCACCACCTCACGACCCATTTGCCTGAAAGTTATGTTATATTCATCACACCACGATCCAGACACAGAAGAATGGCTTTAAGAGTGTCTGAATTATTTGAGTTATCTTTTATTTTGCCACTTTTGAGCCATTCAAGAATCCTTAGCCAAGCTGTCTAAAAGCAAGGCCTTCTGCCTTTTTAGTAAAAGAATCTACTTTAGTACTAGTACCAAAACAGAGATATAGATCAATGGAACAGAACAGAGCCCTCAGAAATAACGCCACATATCTACAACTATCTGATCTTTGACAAACCTGAGAAAAACAACCAGTGGGGAAAGGATTCCCTATTTAATAAATGGTGCTGGGAAAACTGGCTAGCCATATGTAGAAAGCTGAAACTGGATCCCTTCCTAACACCTTATACAAAAATTAATTCAAGATAGATTAAAGACTTAAATGTTAGACATAAACCATAAAAACCCTAGAAGAAAACCTAGGAATTACCATTCAGGACATAGGCATGGGCAAGGACTTCATGTCTAAAACACCAAAAGCAATGGCAACAAAAGCCAAAATTGACAAATGGGATCTAATTAAACTAAAGAGCTTCTGCACAGCAAAAGAAACTATCATCGGAGTGAACAGGCAACCTACAAAATGGGAGAAAATTTTCGCAACCTACTCATCTGACAAAGGGCTAATATCCAGAATCTACAATGAACTCAAACAAATTTACAAGAACAAAACAAACAACCCCATCAAAAAGTGGGCAAAGGACATGAACAGATACTTCTCAAAAGAAGACATTTATGCAGCCAAAAAACACATGAAAAAATGCTCACCATCACTGGCCATCAGAGAAATGCAAATCAAAACCACAATGAGATATCATCTCACACCAGTTAGAATGGCAATCATTAAAAAGTCAGGAAACAACAGGTGCTGGAGAGGATGTGGAGAAATAGGAACACTTTTACACTGTTGGTGGGACTGTAAACTAGTTCAAACCTTGTGGAAGTCAGTGTGGCGATTCCTCAGGGATCTAGAACTAGAAATACCATTTGACCCAGCCATCCCATTACTGGGTATATACCCAAAGGACTATAAATCATGCTGCTATAAAGACACATGCACACGTATGTTTATTGCGGCACTATTCACAATAGCAAAGACTTGGAACCAACCCAAATGTCCAACAATGATAGACTGGATTAAGAAAATGTGGCACATATACACCATGGAATACTATGCAGCCATAAAAAATGATGAGTTCATGTCCTTTGTAGGGACATGGATGAAATTGGAAATCATTCTCACTAAACTATCACAAGAACAAAAAACCAAACACCGCATATTCTCACTCATAGGTGGGAATTGAACAATGAGAACACATGGACACAGGAAGGGGAACATCACACTCTGGGGACTGTTGTGGGGTGGGGGCAGTGGGGAGGGATAGCTTTAGGAGATATACCTAATGCTAAATGACGAGTTAATGGGTGCAGCACACCAGCATGGCACATGTATACATATGTAACTAACCTGCACATTGTGCACATGTACCCTAAAACTTAAAGTATAATAATAATAAAATTAAAAAATAAAAAATAAAAAAATAAAATAAAATAAAAAAGAATCTACTTTAGACATTATGTTAAGCAAAGTAAGCCAGATTCAGAAAGATAAATACTGCATTATCTCACTTATATGTGGAATCTGAAAGTTGAACTCATAGAAGTAGAGAGTAGAATAGTTGTTACCTAGGGCTGGAGTGGAGGCGGGGTGTGGCTGGGGAGATGGAGGAGATGGTGGTCAAAAGATACAAAGTTTCAGTTAGACAGAAGGAAGAGATATCTATTTAAGAGATCTAATGCACAACATGGGGACTGTAGTTAATAACAACATATTGTATTCCTGAGAATCACTAAGAGAATAGATTTTAAGTGTTCTTACCACAAAAATAAGTATGTGAGGTGATGCATATGTTAATTAGCTCAATATAGCCATTCCACAGTATATACATATTTCAAAACATTGTATTATACATGATAAATATAATTTTTGTCATTTAAATAAATAAATACATTTTAACATGAAAACAAAAAGAATCTATTTCAAAGTTCCCATTTAAAAGGGAGGCCTCTCAGAGGAAATCGGTCACGTGGAGAAGGGAGGATTATCCATGTAATAGAGCAACAGCCACGACATGGGTTCCTACATCCCCTGACGTTCTTCAGTTTGCCTCATGCCATGCTCCCAGGGGAGCTGAGGGCCCAAAGCAGGGACTGCAGCAGCTGCTGACATTCCCCTGCAAAGGGTCTCCTTGGCTCTACCTGGGGTTTACCTCCACCTCCTTACAATCAAGCCAAAGACCTCCTAATCTAAGTCCCCACCACATTCTCACTGCGAGCCCCATCCTAGCAGGGAGGGGCACAGAGCATGTGCGGATCTGCTCAATACCTTCACCTAAACAACACAACTCTGCAAAACAAGCAGAAAAGGGGAAAGCAAAACTGCTCAAAAGGGGTAAACTTAATAAATCACATATAATATACGGTTGTCTTAATTATTAGAACTTTTAGAATTTAGTGTTTTTGCTGAGCGCGTGGCTCAGGCCTATAATCCCAGCACTTTGGGAGGCCGAGGCAGACAGATCGCTCGAGGTTAGGAGTTCGAGACCAGCCAGCCTGGCCAACATGGTGAAACCCCGTCTCTACTAAAAATACAAAAATCAGCCGGGTGTGGTGGCATGCACCTGTAGTCCCAGCTACTTAGGAGGCTGAGGAAGGAGAATCGCTTGAACCAGAGGCAGAGGTTGCAGTGAGCTGAGATCGTGCCACTGCACTCTAGCCTTGGTGACAGAGCAAGACTCCGTCTCAACAACAACAAAAAAGAACTTAACATTTTTAATACTGTAAAAATCAAGCAAGTGTCCTTACACAAATTGACTTTTTTATCTTATAAGAGTTCAAAAGAACGACAAACAGACCTCAAAGTGTGAGGATGGGCTAACCCCATCCCATCACGTATAAAATGTAATGCTTTATATAAACGTAATGTGAATCAATTGCTTGGCTAACTAACTGGCTTCAGGTGGAGTGACCTGTTCTAGAGTGAGCAATTGCAGGGGCTGAGCAGGAAGGGGGTCTGCAGTGTCAGTAGCTGCCTCCCGGGCACCCCCTCCTATGAATTGTGATGGGAACATCTGGTCAACTTGCACCCAGACCATCATGTGTCTCAACAGGTACCCTTCCTGGACACGCAGCACCCCGGAGCTCTGGCTGCACCGAGTCTGGCCTGCCCTCACCAGGGTGATGTTTTTCTTCTTCTCAGCAGAGGACACTGGCCACCAGGACATGCTGGGCTCCTGCCGCTCACCAGGCTCCTGCTGCTCAGGTGGCTCCAGCTCCCGCCGCCTCCTATCCCTACTGTCCACATCCTGGACACGGAAGGGGGGTCTTAGTGAGTGTCCCTCCAATCACAGCAGTGCTAAGATCGAATCTCCTCCCCACCGCCTTCCTCCTGCCCCATCACTGCACTCACTACCCTTACTCCCCATAACATCTGTCCCCACATCTAACCCCCACCCCCACCTAAGCCTCACCAGGTGGAGGATGTTGGGCCTGGGAGAGCAAAGCCCTTTCTGCCCAGGCCCCTGCCCGCCCTCCAGCTCAACCTGCATTGGGTACAGCAACCACTTCCCATTGGCAATCTCATGAGGCCACATGATGTTGAGGAAGGCAGAGCCCAGGGTTCTGAGCGACTGGCCTTGGTTGGAAACCTGTGGGAAAAAGAGAGTATGAGGGGAGAGACCTCAGTTTTTCTTTTTTTTTTTTTTTTAATTTTTTGTAGAGACAGGATCTATGTTGCCCAGGCTTGTCTCTAACTCCTGGGCTCAAGTGATCCTGCCACCTTGGCCTCCTGTAGTGCTGTGATTACAGGCATGAGCCACCGTGCCCAGCCAAGGAACTCAGCTTTCAAGTGGATCCTAAATCCACAGAGATGGAAGGAACAAGGGCTGAAGAGAAGGCCCTCAGGAAACACAATTTCAACAAATACTCAGGATCCTAGACCCCACCAGGCACCATTCTCTCCACCCACCAAATCCGGGAAACCCTGGAAGTGTCCCTGGAAGGTGTGAGGAGAGGCCCCAGCCAAGCAAAGGCAGAGTTCTAGGGAGAGACATTAACCCCCCGCCCCATGTTCCCATCCCCCAGCTGAGGCCCACAGCAGAGAAGCTTCCCTGGACTCTCATGGCCTACCACACCAGCAGGTGAGACAGCCAGACAGAATGACCAGGAAATGGTCAAATGAGGCCCCAGCAGGAACACCTTCCCACAGCCAAGGTCCATATGCAGGACAGAGGCCTCAAACTGCATGCTGCCACATGGTAGAAGAGCCCCAGCCCTGGGGACACAGCTCAGCCTCTCCTCTGTGCCAAGGAGGGAGGGTGACCATGGAGGGGCCTCATCCCTGACACTTACCGTGACCTCATACTTGACCTTGCTGCCCACATCCCGCTCAGACTGCATGGCTCTCTCGCCCCTCACCACACCAGAGAAGAAGAGTTGCTGGGGAATGGCCATTCTGGCGTGGAGAGGTCAGAACAGGGGTGAGAAGGTCTGGGGCCTGGCTCAATGAAGGCAGGGCCCTGGCCAAGGTTTGGAAATGTCAATGCCCCCTCCCTCCAATGGAGGTGCCCCCTTGGGCCAGGCTCACCCTGCAATGGACAGTGGCAGCTCAATGAAGACACGGGCTCGTGCAGAGACTGGATGCAGCTCCTGCTCACTGATCCTGGTGAGTGGGCAGGGGCAAGTATGGGCATCAGGCACAGGCACCTCCCAAGGGGTCAGATGAGGTCAATATGACTACCCCCACCTCACCCTTCCGGCCCCGCCTGGCTTACGTGGCCAACAGCAGCTCTACCTCCAGTTCCGTGGTCTCAATGCTGATCCCGGAGGTGCTAAGGATGAGGTAGAAGGTGACCTAGGCCAAGGGTGGAAAGAGATTAGAGTCAGGGGTGGTCTACGGGCTTATGGAGAGGCTACTCACGTAGGGATAAGGGCAGATGTGCCAACCTGGGCACCTCTCTTCATGGGGTTCCCCAGCTCACACTCAACATGGGAGGCATTCTCATTGGACAGGCAGAGTGGCTTCTCCTGGAATGGGAGAGAAGGCAAGGTCAGTCTGGGTTACTGGAGCCCCTCAAGACCCCACCCCATCCTGCCCCCAGGTCCTCACCGCAGGGTCCAGGGCCCGGACCCCTGAGTAGTGCAGTGAGTCAGGAAGCATGACCAGGAGCTGGGCTTCATGGGCATCATCCCCATCAGCCTGGGGCTGGGCTGGGTCCGATGGCAGGTTGGTGACCATCAGCTCCAGGCCAATGACTGGCTGCCCACTCAGTGCAAACAGGGCTGTTGTTCCATCCACATCCCTGGAGAGTCAGACCCCACTCCTGCTAAGTTCTGAACACCTCCCCCTACCATTCCCCCGCCCAGTCTGCTCCCCCAGTACCTGCCTTCACTCCCTGAGCCTCTCTTCCCACCCCAGGTCCCCATCACACCCGTCCAAGCCTCAGGCCTCTGTACACACGACTGGGAGTCAGGGGACCTCCGTTCTCATCTCAGCTCCACCATTACTTACCTTGGCCAAGTAACTTAACCTCTCTAGGCTTCAGTTCTCCATCTATAAAATGAGACTAATATAATTCCTACCTCACAGAGGTTTGAAGACTAACCAATGAGATGTATGTAGACTGCATATTATTAGTGTACTGTGAAGGATTGCTATTCCTTGCCATGGGAGCCCCCGTGGCCCCATCACTGACCCTCATCTCAGTCTCCAAGTCCATCGGCAGGTCCTCTTCCACCTTCTGCCTTTTCTGCAGGCTCAGCCCTTCCCTCTGACTGGTCCTCCTGAGAGGGCTTTCTCTCAATCCTTGAACTCTTGCCCTCCCACCCCCACCCTGCTCTCTGCCCCCCTCACATGGGCAGAGGTTGGAATTCCGTGTCGCTGACCCGGGTACAGAAGCGGGCGCGGACCAGCTGCAGATTGCTCTGGCAGATCTTGTCTTCACCACAGCCTTGCTTCAGGAAGTGGATCTGGGGAGAGACATGAGATAAGGGGCATTCCTAGGGGGCAAGGCAGGGGGCAAACCTGTCACCATGGCATATGGTGGGTTAGAGTATCACAGGATTAAACAACCTGTCCTCAACTCTCAGATCTGCTGCTTATTAGCCATGTGATCCTGAACTGGGTCCTCTCCTCTGGGTCCTCTCATCATGGTAGTGATGGGAGCACTACCATGCCATGGTAGAGACTAGCAGCAAGTCAAGAGCTGGGCCACACTGCCCCAGCTCACATGCATGTAACTGAGTTCCGGATTTAGAACGGGAAAAGATGTCAAGGGCACCACTTCTGGGCCAGCCATAAAAACCATGCAAGCAAGGGGCCTCATGTTCTCCCTTCCAGCTGAATGGGATGAATGTGACTTCAAGAGCTTGAAGGCCGCATTTGAAGATTACAGAATCCCATCAACCTGAGCCCCCTGAATGACTACATGGAGTAGAGGAGCTCTGTCCCCTTGACTAGGAACATGGTCATTTAGGCACCTAGAGATATGAGGAATTACTGGAGTAGCATACGTGAAAGGGCTCTGTGAGCTGTGAATTGGTGTCACTGGGGAGGGACCATGATCTTTGCCCTCCCAGCTCCTCCCCCTGGGCTAAACCAGAACCCATGCTCACCTCTGCCCGCTGGGTGCTGGGCTGGTGGGCATTGAGGATGGGGGCCACTGGAGGCAGCCCCTGGCCAGGAGCCTGTCGCCGGAGCCGAGGGGTCTGGAGACTGTAGGACAAGGTCACTACAATGGCCCGAAGCTTGTCTTTGACATTTTCCTAGGAAGAGGAAGGTCTATTCCTCACTGGAACAATCCCCAGGCCTCAGCCCTGCTCAGTGCCCCAGCCAGACCTAGGACCAATTCTAAAACTTGGAAAGAATATTAGGGAGATGAATGAGAGAGGTGGAGAACTGAGCAAGGAGGAGGGAGAAAGACTGGGGTAGGGGACAGGGGAAACCTTTAGGGCTTTGAGGACCAGATGTGATGATAAAAGCTGCCACCTCCTCCATTCAGCTGGAAGAGGGGACATGAAGCCCCTTGCACCTCCTCCTCCTCCAGGGAGTGCAGAAATGACAGGAGAGGGCAGCAGATGAGGAGGAAGTGAGCTCAGAAGACAGGTTTCCCACGTGTCTAGGTCTTAGAAGGAGGCACGAGTGTGCTCGGGAAAAAGCAGCTAAGAGGAATCAGGGAAAAGAGATGGAGCCATGAAAATGACCCTCAGAAGCCAAGGGGTCAGTGTCCACCTGGAGCTGGAACATGGCGTCTCCACAGACTCGGTCATGCTGGTGCTTCAGCCACACGGTGCCCGAGGCCTGGTGCTTGGGTTCTTCCAGGTTACGGCTCAGGAACGTCACACGGGGAACCTGGCCCCGGAGCCTCCGGTCTGTGTCCGCATCTAACACATAGTCCAGGGCTGTGGCATGTTGGGAAAGGAGGAGCTGCTGAGCTGCAGAGCTGCTCCAGCTCACCCCATTCCAAGGGTGCTCTTCTACCACCTCGAAGTGACCCCCCTCCCTGGGAAACCCAAAAGGGCGAGCCACAGAGGGGGGACCGCACTCACCCACAGTAGGGCTATAGCTGCTGGGGACTGCAATGTAGCTGAAACAGACCCTTAGGTCCACACTGCGGGGGCAAAGGTGGCTCCTGAGCCAAACGAGGCTGATGGGCCAAGGCCCCTACCCCCACCCCATCTGTCACATCCTGTCACAGCCCCAGCCCCAAACTGGGGAGATAAAGGATCAAAGGGAGGGCAGGGGAAGCTGCCAGGGTCCAGGTGCCACCCGATCCCACCTCACCAGACCGAGTGGCCGCCAGCACAGTTGGGCTGCTCCAGGTCGATGCTTCGTGGAGCAATAGAGACCTCATGGGAGACATGGAGGATGGGTCTGGCCCTGGGATTGGGGAGTCAAGAGCACAAGAAACATGAGAACATGAGGCTGGGAAACACTCTTCAGCATTAGATTTGGCACTGAGGTCGGGGTCAGAGTCACAGGGAGGGGCTGACGGCCTCAGGGAGGGAAAAGGTTGAGAGGGGCTCACCTGAAGAGCACTGCGGTGTCAGCCAGGGAGCCCACCAGCAGGTCAGGGTATTGGTTCCCATCCATATCCAAGCTGCCTGACAGGGAGTAGCCGAAGCTCTTGATGCCCACAGCCTCGCCCTCCAGCACCTAGAGAACCAGCTGTCAGCCTCCCTCAATCCCACCTCCCGCAGGCCTCTGCCTCCCCTGATGCCTCTGCTGATTCCACCCACACCCATTCCCTCATCCCAGCGACTCCCCTCACCTGTGAAGGTTTGGCGACAACCCCCAGGCTGCTCCCATGGTAGATGAAGACTTTCCCATCACCATCAAAGGGGGCACCCACTGCAATATCTGCAGGGCACAGGGAAAAGGCAGTCACGCTGGCTGGGGGCCTTGCAGACAAGATCCAGGCCTCAACTCCCCCCAGTCACTCAGGTATGTTTTCTATTTTATTGAGAGGCTACAAAATCCCAGGCACTCTACATACATCATCTTTAATCCTCTTGGCCACTCCCTGCAGATATTACTAACGCAAAAAGGTTAGGAACTTGCCAAGGTCAGAAAGCTGGTAAATGGTACAGCTCAGACATAAGCTCAGGGACCCTCTCTCCCTGAGTCCTCAGAAGACCACACCCTGACCTCTGAGGGGCTTCCCCATCCCTCCTGTGGCCCCTCCCTCCCTGAGCCTTTCCAGTTCCCCGTCACACCTGGAAAGCCATCTTGGTTGAGGTCCCCCAGGACAGCCAGGCTGATCCCGAACATGGAGTCAGGGGAGCCGCAGAGCCGGAGAGGGGAGATCCCAGCCCAGTGACCCCCCTGGTTCAAGTACACATACACAGCACCCCCCAGCTCTTCTTGGCGCTCAAAGAAGTAGGGGGCACCCACTATCAGGTCTGGCCAGCTATGGAGAGAGGGAAACATTCAGTGTGGGTCCTCCCTGGCCAGAGGAGCCAGCAGGAGGCTAAGTGGCCTCAGCCAGACTGGGGCTACTAGACCCAGCCTCCCTCAGGTGGCACGGCCCTCTACCCACTCACCCATCACTGTTGAGGTCAGCCACAGCCAGTGAGTAGCCAAAGCCGGAGGTCAGGCGCTCCCCAGACAGCATAACCTCGGGCACCAGGCGACTGGCGCTGTCCTTGCGCAGGATGACCACAGCACCCTTGTGGTTGGCGCGGGGGGCTCCAGCCACAAAGCTCAGCTCTTCTGCACGCACCAGACCTTTCCCCGAGTCAATAGAGAAGCCTGGGGGAAGGGTGACTTACCCCTAAGTCTTCACCCCAAGACTCAGAAGCTGGGGTGTGTCACAGCTCCCCCAGCCCCTGCCCCCTCCCTACAGGTTAAGAGCCAAGTCACAGCTCCCCTGCACCCTGCCCCCTCCCCTAGGTTAAGAGCCAAAAGATAGGTCCCCCCAAGTCATCAGCACCACAGCTGGATAGCTCTTCCTCCCCACAGGGCCTGGCAGCCTCCCACACCCACCAGGCCCAGAGACAAGCTTGGCACAAAAAGTGCAGTGAGGTCAGCCTCAGGGACTGGGCAAGAGAGAGAAAGGTGATGGCTGAGAAGGCCAGGAGCCCAGGTAGGAGGCTGAGCACAGTGGCCTCACCCTGCCCACACCCAGGGAGCTAGAAGAGCTAGAGGTCCCTCTCAGGCCCGAATCCCACCCAGTGCACCTCTTTCCCCCAACTCCCTCATCCTGGCAGGGAGGGGAAGTCTTCACATGGATGAGGGGGAGACAAGGGGGAGTGAGAGAGCGCCTGCTTCACCCAAACATCTCCCAGGCCTGGTTTCCTCCTCCTCTGCAGAGGAATGCAGATGAGACAACGAGAGGGACTTACCAACAACATTAGCCCTTTCTTCAATATGTGCCCACCATCCATCCCCTCAGGGAAAGTCCCCCTAGAAGACAGGACTGTCCTTCCCAAAATATCCTCAGCCCTGGCCCTCTCATTCCACCTGAATCTTCCTCCATGGAGACCCCTGGCTCACAGCCCCAGAGGCCACCACCCTGGGGGCCTCCTCCTCTTAGGCCTGATCATTGGACCCAGCTCTTCTCTGCAATTTGGGCCCAATGTATGTCTCCCTGGGTGTGTGTTGGGGGAGGAGGAGATTATAAGGCACCAAAGGTCGAGTTCCCTGGGGAAGGAGGGGAGGCTGGGCCATGCCCCTAGAGTCCAGGAGGTGGGAGCTTACAAACCTAAGTAGCTATTGAGGGCCAAGTCTCCGGCTGGTCCTGGGAGCCGGTCAGCAGGGTCCAAAGTTTTATACACCAGCTGGTCGGGGTCTGAGCTATCAATGTTGGTCACAAAAAGCAACCCTGTGGGGGGTGGGGTGAGACACCAGGGAGGGGACATCCAGAGTAGGGGCCACAGAGTAGGGAGACAGAGCCACAGAAAGGCCAGAAAATGGTGGAAGAAGAAGAGGTGGAGAGAGAAAAAGAGACCAGAGAGATCACAGCCAGAGACAGAAAGACAGAGAGAGACAAGGTGAGAGACAGAAACAGAGACAGAAGGATGGGAGCATGGAGAGAGAGGACAAGAGAGAGGAGCAGAGGGTTAGAGCAGTTCTGGGCCGGGGAGAGGTCCCTACCAAAGTAGCTGTTGGCAGGGACCGGGATGAGGCGGGGGTCCTGCTCCTTCTCTCCCCCCGCCTCGTAGGGACCGTCGTCCAGGTGTGCCAGGTCCGCTGAGCCCTGTGCACAGAGCTCCACCCTGGCCGTGCCTGCAAGGACAGACCTGTTAGTGCCCAGGGCAGGGCGCAAGGAACACCCCTCAGGCCGGACACTGAGTTAGACAGGCACACGGGGAAGCCCTGCCTCTTCTTTCTAGCCCTCTCCCCACCCTGTCCCCAACCCAGGCTTCCTGGGGTCCCCCAGATGTGGCATCACACTCACCGAGTGTCAGCTCAGCCAGCAGCAGCGTGCGGAGACGGGAATGGCAGTGATGAGGTGTGGGCTAGTGTGTTGGAGCATGCAGGCCCCAGCTGCAGGCCCAGCGTGCACTTGGGGCCCATGCCAGCATGTTGAGGAACACTTGGCCGTGCGAGGGAAAGGAGGCACCCCCCATTCATGTGTGCACTAGCTCAATGGGGTGGAAGGCATGGCAGTGCCCTGGGGCCATACAGCAGTGCACATGTGGTCATGCTTGGCCATGTGCCATCCCCAACCCTGTCTCTGAGGTAAGAGGAGGTTTTGGTCCCCTTCTCCCCTTCCCGAGGAGTGACTCACCCTTCCAATTATAGGTTCCTGGGGCCCCAAAGAGGAGGTAGTGGCTATCAGGGGAGAAGGCGGCAGCTGTGCCCTGCTGGCAGAACCCAAATTGTTCATGGCCTTGGGGGCGTCCCTCACAGAACTTCCATTCCCCACCATCCAACTCATCCCGGATGGCCAGGTCCTGGCTGAGCACAAAGCAGCGACCAATCATATCCCGCGTCTCCAGGATCTGGTCCACTCGCTGCCTTGCCTCATATCGGTGTGCACAGGTCTGGGGGAGGAAGGGATGGGGATCATTTCACTCTGTGGGCCAGGGACCTGCTTGAGGCATGCTGCCCATATGCAGAGATTTGGCAGATACTGATACATGTGTGCTCACATGCACATGCACATGCACACATACACACACACCCCTATGCCGGCACCACTCAAGCACCATTACCCTGCCAGTGTTACACAGGTCCATGCATAACCCAGCAACCTGTCTGCACCCACTTCCTTGCCCTCAAATGGAGATCTCCTTGTTCCACATTCTGCCTGGAGCCAAAAGACACAATTAAGCCACCACATAGGATGTGTGTCTCCCTGATCATGTCACAGTCCTCCAAAATGCCAAGCTTGGCCCTGTCCCTGGACCTTTGTAAGTGTCACCATCTCATCTGCAAAGAACTTCCTGTCCGCTTCACTCTCCAAGTATTACTTTTTTTTTTTTTTTGAAGCAAGGTCTCACTCTGTCACCCAGGCTGGAGTGCAGTGGCACAATCATGGCTCACTGCAGCCTCGACCTCCAGGGCTCAAGTGATCCTCCCACCTCAGCCTCCTGTGTAGCTGGGACTACAGGCATGCACCACCATGACTGGCTAATTTGTTTTTATTTTTTATAAAGATGAGGTCCCACTATGTTGCACAGGCTAGGTATTACCTATTATTAAAGCCTGGCTCAAATCATCCCCTCTGCAGAAGTCTTCTCTCTACTCCTCCTTTGGACTTTTATAGACTGGAGACTAGACCACTCACTTAACATGAACCAGATTCTGCCCCACAGTGATCTGTATTGGTAATTGTGTATCTATGCGTGTTACTGAAAGATAGAGAGAGAGAGAGAAACAGAGAGCTCTGGTTTTTTCGTTTGTTTGTTTGGTTGGTTTTGAGACGGAACTTTGCTCTTGTCTCCCAGGCTAGGGTACAATGGTGCGATCTCAGCTCACTGCAACCTCCTCCACCCAGGTTCAAGTGATTCTCCTACCTCAGCCTCCCGAGTACCTGGGATTACAGGCGCCTGCCACCACACCTAGCTAATTTTTTTTTTTTTTTGAGACGGAGTCTCGCTCTGTCACCCAGGCTGGAGCGCAGTGGCGCGATCTCAGCTCACTGCAAGCTCCGCCTCTCCGGTTCACGCCATTCTCCTGCCTCAGCCTCTCTGAGTAGCTGGGACTACAGGCGCCCGCCACCACGCCCGGCTAATTTTTTGTGTTTTTAGTAGAGACGGGGTTTCACCATGGTCTCGATCTCCTTACCTCGTGATCCACCCACCTCGGCCTCCCAAAGTGCTGGGATTACAAGCGTGAGCCACCGCACCCGGCCACGCCCGGCTAATTTTTTTGTATTTTTAGGAGAGACAGGGTTTCGCCATGTTGGTCCGGCTGGTCTCGAACTCCTGACCTCAGGTGATCCACCTGCCTCGGCCTCCGAAAGTGCTGGGATTACAGGCATGAGCCTTCCCCTGTAGTAACTAGCACAATGCCTGATGCTTAAAAGGTTCTCAGTAAGAGTTTGACAAATGGATGGATGAATGAATGGACAGACATTTTTACATTTATAAGGACAAGGACCATGTCTCACACCTTTTTATATCTCCCTGATGTACTTGGAATCATACCATATTCCTAACTTGTGTTCTCTAAGCACACCTATGCGTATGCACACACCATAAACACACACACACACACACCCCATCCGTGCATTCAGTCATGAGAAGCAATACTCACAACAATCTTGCCCCCAGGCCCCTGGCTCCGAACACTGACTCCCAACCACTGGTTCTCCTTGCTTTCCTTTTGCATATCAGCTAGAGGCAGGACACTGGGAATTAGGGGAGGGAAGAGGAGCCCAAGTCCTCTCCTCCCCGCTCACACGCTTCCCCCACTCTGTTCATGCAGGGCCACACCTCCCTGGTCGATGTCCACTCTGTAGCAGTCAGTCTCCTCCAGGCTCAACGGGCAAGCGAAGAGGCCTCCAGTGCGATTCGCCTGCTGCCCAGGAAGAGCCAGGGCCTGGGGAGCACCCACCAGCAGCCTGCAAGATGGGGCAGGGGCAGGGACAGGGACAGGAGTTAGAGGTCAGAATGACCCAATCTCATTAGAGCTGCCCAGGCCCAACCCCTCAGTACTAAAGAGAGTGTTCAAGGACTAAAGAGAAGGGGCAAATGTCAGTTTTCTCAAACCCTGGCAAGGACAAATTAATATGCTTGGTCATGCAGTCATCACGTTGCATGTACATACTATCTGGATAAGGGATCAACATACACAGTAGATACACACACACACACACACACACACATACACGCCAACCCAAGCAGCCAGGCCAACAGTGCTGGTTTGAAAGAACTGCCTGTTCCCAGCACCTGTTCCTGAGTAGGCCTTCCCTATCCCCTCCTTGGCCCCATCCCCAAGCTCTGCCCTGCTCCCCAACCCAGTCCAGTTGAAACCCAGCCAGAAATGCCAAGAATGCTGGGAGCAAAAGTAACAGGGCCCCAGACTGGCATCAGAGTGTGGCTCAGGGACCAGCTTCAGAGGCCAGGCAAGAGGCTAGATACGGACCCACTGCCCCCTCATCAGGGACCCAGCAAAGACCCCACCTCCCAGAAGCTGTGCCAGCCCAGGATTCCATCAGTCACTCTGGCTGGCATGGAGGTAGGGACAAGTTTCTCCTTCTGCCTCCAATGCTACCCCATTCTCTTCCCGACATCCTGAATCCCCTTCCCCATCCTTCCTTCTCCCCATGTCCATGATTTCTCCTTCCCTTCCACCCCCACCCAGTCTTCTCTCCTGCCTCCCCCTCAGCCTCTTTCCCAGCTACAACTTTCTTGGCAGGACAATTTTCCATGATCACAGCCAAGCCGTCTTCCCCAGGGGAGCACAGTGCTGGGAATGGAGGCTGCCTGGGTCCCCTGGGGCTGAACCCCCAAGCCAGAGTGAAGGCGGGGGTGAGGTAAGATGACTGACACCCAGCTGGCTCCATGGGTCCTCTCTTTGCAGAAGGAGAGACTCAGAAGTGGCAGTGGGACAAACCTCAACGCCTCTCTCCCACACTCTTCTCCTCCATCTCCCTTCCTGGGGGGCAAGGCCCAAAACCATGTTAGGCAGTATTACAGACAGGCATCTGTGGGGCACTGTGCCAGCTCTGATGGGGTGGAGGGGGAGGGCAGAGAGCCATTCTTCCTTCCCACAACTCCTCCTCATCTCTTAGCAGCTGCCATCCCTTGTCAGAGCCAGTGTCAAGACAGAGAAGGGGTATAGGGAGTAGTAGAGAAGAGAAGACACATTTGGCATTCAACTACTTATTGAGAGTCTATTGTATGCCAAGCCCTGTGTCAGGCGCTGGTGAGACAAGGAAATCATATTTATTCAGCACCTACTATGACGTCAGATCCGAGGCTAGACACCAGGGATATAAGAAACTAACATTCATCACTGTCCACATATGTGCCAAGCACCAGGATAGGCAAGTCACATGCATTATGTCATTTAATCATCAGAACAATCCTATGAGATAAGGATTCTTTTCTTGTCTTTCAGATGAGAAAACTCACTCAAAGACATTAAGCAGTGATGCTGGAATTCAAATCCACATGGGCCTAACTCCAACACTTTGTCACTCCACCCAGTGACTGACCTGTCTCTAGAACACTGAGACCACCCCAGAAAGGGAAGGAGAGAGTGGGGAGATGAGGGTACCCTGGGCAGAAAAGGAAACGGGGTGATACAGCCCTGCATAAATAAATGGCAACCTTCAGGCAAG
Organism: Homo sapiens; assembly: GCF_000001405.40. Taxonomy (NCBI): domain Eukaryota; kingdom Metazoa; phylum Chordata; class Mammalia; order Primates; family Hominidae; genus Homo; species Homo sapiens. The sequence continues at coordinate 55,704,904 of NC_000012.12, forward strand.
TCAGCAGTACCCCCAGCCTCCAAACATAGAAGTGGCCATCTCTCTGAGTGTCGGGGCTGTCTTTTCATCTTTGTGCTTGCCCCATAGGGAGTGTCAGAATGTGTTTACTGAACACACACATTTTGTGGACTCATAGAGATACCCAGTGTCACAGCTGGTCAGTGCATAGCTAAGCACCCAGATAAGTTATCCTTGTTCTATGTTCACATCTCCTCTGGAGGCCAAAAGTAGGGAGGAGGGGAGGGGCCCATGTGGAAGAAAGAAGCTGAGTGCATAGATATGCCCAGTCCGCTCTTGGTGGAGAAGAGACCAATCGATCCTTAGTGGAACAAGAGCACCCAGCAGCATCCTCTCTAGTCCCTCCACCTCTGGTCCAGCCACACACACTCCTTCCTGGCTTCATGCCATACGCCCTAACCACCCCAGTCTTCTGGACAGCCACAGTGTAGCCACTGCAGAGAGAAAAGCAAAAAAAAAAAAAAAAAAGTGTTGGCAGCTGGGGGGCAGAGGGACCCCCTGGGAGCTCAGCTAAGTGAAGACAAAGGAGTAGCCCACGACCACTGCACTTCTCGATTCTCCACACACTCCAGGGCCCCAGCCCAAGTCCAGCCCCTCTTTGGCCCCTCTCAATCTGGGTGGCCCTCTGGGGAGGATGCTTGGCCTGGAAGGCTGGCTCAGCCAGGGAGGCCCTCTAGCCAAGCCTTTGGATCCAGAATCTCTGTAAGGCGCTCTGTGAATCACAATACAAGAATAGCAATACTACTAACACTTCACAGCACTCACTGCGGGCTATGCACTATTCTAAGCATTTTATATATATTAAGAACTCTTAATCTGCACAACAACCCTATGTAGTAATACTATGTTTATATCCTTTTTACAGTTGAGGGAAGTAAATGAGGCTGGAACCACACAGCAAAGGTTAGACCTTAAAGTCTCATCCCAGAGCTAGACTAAAAGACATCAAAACAGGCAAGAAGTTTTTTTCATCAGTGAGTGCTAAGGCAGGCCACCTGCAACTCAAAAGCTAGGGACTGAGCAGGTGCCTGGCCTCTCACATACCCCCCGCCCCCCAGCAGCAGAGCACCCCCTGCTGGAGCAAAAGCAGGGTGAGGCAGTCAGGCCCTCTGGGAAAGGCCCCAGCTTGGCTCTGGGAGACGGAACCAGGGGCCACCTTCAGAGAGGAGGGGGAAATGACAAGAGACCAAGCTATTAAAAATAACCTAGAATTTGCCTGGAAATAGCTTAGAGAGTTCAGCATGTCCTAAAAAGGCCTCCAGTCCTCGAACTCTGACAGATGGAGAAGGAGGGAGGAAGGGAGGGAGGGAGCAAAGGTGAATGAGGAAGCAGATGGTAAACAGAAGAGGAGATGAAGTCCGTTGCTTTCTATCTCTCCCAAAGTTTTGGGGACCACCGACCCTGCTACCAGATGATAGGGATAATGGAAGAAGAAAGATTAGAGCTAGGCCCCCACTCCCCAAGCAAGTGAGGAGAAATGAGCTCTTGTCCCTGCCCCCTGCCCCCAGACCGACAGTAGAGGCAGAAGACAGTCCCAGTGGACAGCATTGATCCCAGTAATGGATACTTAATGTGGCTTAGGCACTGGTTGAAGAGAGAAAAGCCCCCTAGCAGGAGCAGGTGAGAAGCTTTCTTCACCTCTGGCCTCCCTTTTTACAATCAGACATGTAGCAAGAGCCAAGGATACAGGCAACATGACCAGTCACAGGCCCCTCACAAAAGTATATCCATCTCCCATGGGTCCTGAACTGATTAGAAAAAATTAGAATTGTCCTCCACCCCTTACTCCTCCTGGCCCTTCCCAGCTGCTGAGATTCCTGGAGTTGGAAATTTGCTAAGGAGGAGGAAGGGGAGCAGCCTGGCCAGCATCCTTCCTGGATCTCTCTCACTGCTACAGCTGCTGCGGCTACTACTACTGCTACTAGTACTTTGAGGGTTCAGTTTGCTGCCACTCTCTATCACCAAGCCACCTACTGCAGGTTGGCAGACCTGCAGATCCTCTCCCAATCTTCCCGTGGTCTTAAGCCACAGAAGTGGAAGCTCTCTCCTGGCCTTCCAGTGCCCTGCTGCCCTCATTCCATCCATGGCAATGCTCTAGCAGGAAGTTATTTCTGGAGTCTGCCCTGCATGCATCCCTCTCATGGCACCCTCAACTTCTATGTCCTTTCCATCTCCTCCCATTCTAAGCAGAGACAGACAGTCTCCCTCCCTTGGGGAATTCAGCCCTTGGAAGAAGCAGGGGAGCCAGAGGCCCTGGGGCTGGATCAAGGATGCAAGTTGGGGGAAAGGCCCAGAAGAAGGAGATGGTTCGCTGCCAAGACAAGAACCTTGCTTTCCAACTCATCCCTAAAGCAAAATACTGGTCTCAGGGCCGGGAAGTGCAGCTTCAGACGCAAGCCAGATGAGGCAAGGCTCCAGGTTGGGATGTGGGATGTCTGTGGGCAGTCTAGGTCTTGGTGGGGCTAGAAAACAGAGAAATGAGGAGGCCCACAGAGTGGGGAGGGGGACGATCTGTGGCTCGGGCATGGCGACTCTGGGCGGGTGCGGTGACTCACCAGCTCTGGGGTCGGGGCTGCAACTGCCGGTGCAGGGCCACAGAGAAGCCGAAGAGGCTGCCTGGCTCGCCCTCCTTGCGCAAGGCACCCATCACGTCCAGATTGAAGGCGACAGCCCGTGAGAAGAGCAGTTCGACGAGCAGGGAGCCAAAAAGGTAGCAAATCCCGGAGGCCCCCCAAGGGTCGCGGCTCCGAGCCCCGGCCATGGGACGATCCCTGCGCGAGCTCCCAGCGAATGCAAGGGAAATCTCGCACGCCCCAAGCCCCAGGTCCCCCCAGGCGCGTCTCTGGTCTCCAAAGTCTCGTTGGTCTTTCAGACGTCTCCCAGACGTTCGCCCCGCCAGCCCTCCCGCCCGCCCGCCGCTCCGCCACCCCGCCGCCCCAGCACCGGCTAGGACAACTACAGCAGCCGCAGCTCCGGCGCCCACTCCGGCTCCCGCCTCCTCTCCCGGGGACGCCACTCAGGCCCCGCCTCCGGCCCCGCCCCTCGCTCCCGCGGCAGGTGGAGACCCAAGCCCGTCTCCAAGGGGATGCCCAGGCTGGTGGCTGGGATGGAAACTAGCCTTGCTGACCCCCCACCACCACGCCCCCCAAGCCCAGCACCGTCTCCGGCTCCGCCCCTGCGCGGCGCTCTCCTCCCCTTCTCCCCCAACCCCATCCCCACCCCGGGAGTGGTGGAGGCGGCGCCTTGGAATGCGGAGGGAGAGAAGTACAGATAGAAAGAGAGGGGCTGAAACAGAGGAAGGAGGGTAAGAGATGAGAAGTTGGGAAGACGCTAAAAGACAACCTGGGAAGAGAGATGTGCAGATAGAGAGGAAATGAAAGGGGAGCCGTCCTGGGCCTGGGTGCAGCGTGGCATCTTAGTGCTCCCTGTTCCCCCATGGTCACATAGAGCACTCTTTCTGCTGTTGGGATCAGACCGCTGCCCTCCCCCATCCTATCCCATCCCCCGCCCCCAGCCCGGCAATGACCACAGCAGTGCTAGCCACATCGTCAGGATTCAAGGGAACAGAGAAAAAGAGGCAAGAAGAGAGAGAGAAACTCGGGAGATACGGGGAGCAAATGGAGAAATGGAAAAAGGAAAGGAATAGAGAGGAAGAAAGAAGGGCAAGAGATTAATTGACAAGGGATGGAATGAAGGGAGAAAAGAAAACGACTGGGGATGATTACAGGAAGAGGAAATTAAGCAGTGGGGAGGGGAGTGGGTGTCAAAGAAGGCAAAGATGAAAGAGACTGGACCCAAGAGGCAGAGGGATGTAAAGGGTGTCCCCAGCTACCAGACCCGTCCCAGGACTGCACATTTCCTATCCATGAAAGGGGATGGGAGGGGGCAGAGTCCTGGACTGGCTCAGCAGGACCTGGGTGGGGCTGAGATGGGATCTCCACAGGGACCCATTGGCCTGTCCCTCTTCCTCTCCCTTTCCCTCAGGCTGGGACAGAGGCAAGGGGGTGGGGGGACACTTTCCAACTCTCTGCTATTTATAACTCCGATACAGAAATGGGGCCAGAAGGAGAGACAGGAAATAATTTGGCATAATGGGAACCTCGAATGCTCCCACTTCCCCTTCCTACTCCCCTTGCTTACTGGTGTTGGTCTTGTGAATATACATCTGTCCATCTTCCCTTCTCTCTCTCACTATCTGATTTTGTCTCATCCCAAATTCTATTTTGTCATCATTCTTGTCTCTGCCACACTTGGAATCTTTCTCAGAGTATTTCTCAATGTTTCTAGTGTTGTCTCTGCCCTTCAAACACTATCATATTCTTACGATTCTTTCTTCTCTTTCCCTTTCTTAAAAGTTCCAATAAGTGTCCTACCTCCTTCCTCTTCCTGTGTTCTGTCTTTCCTACTTCATTGTTCAGGATTATACTTCTTTGAAAACAAAAAAAAAGTGGGTTCTTACTCTGCTGCCCTGGGACAGTCTTTGCCTTGGATAAGTTAACAGACATTTGGAAGTCTGGCCCTCTGTTTTCCAATACTACACCTGTGGCTATCCCCTCCAGAGCACTAACACATCTCTAAACAGGTACTATAAGGAAATACATATGCTGTCAGCAGGGCTGGCACCAGGATTCTACTTTCACCATGCCCTCCCCATCCTTTTTAATATCTCAGAGCCCCAGACAGTAGAGAAGAGCTGACATGGGAATGCAGAATTGCAAAATTAGGACAGAACTGGGACTACTGACTCCCTGCCCAGGTCCCCCCGCCCCCGACCCAGCTCAAAATGCCTTTAGAGCCCAAGCTGCCTCCTATCTGCACCTGCAGCTTCTGCCTGTCTCCATTCCCACTCCACTGGCTTCTGTGATCCAGGGCTGAAATCAGATGCCAAGAATCTGCTTCTGACCTCCTCTCTCCAAATATTTGAGAAGTCACCTCACCACCACAGGAGGAAAGATCAGGAAAGAAGAGAGAGAGAGGCCACCCAAAATTAGCCTGGCTATAAATAGAGGGGCAAAGGAGGGAGGGGAACACACAAGAGCGTGCTAGACCAGCCTAGTAAATTTAGACATGTAGATTTCTCTCAAGGAGAAATGAGACCAGAATGTTGGAGTGGAAGATAATATCGTAGGTGAAGAGGGAAATTAAGAAACTAGACGGGGCCGGGCGCGGTGGCTCACGCCTATAATCCCAGCACTTTGGGAGGCCGAAGCAGGCGGATCACCTGAGATCAGAAGTTCAAGACCAGCCGGACCAACACGGTGAAACCCTGTCTCTACTAAAAATACAAAAATTAGCCGGGTGTGGTGGCGGGTACCTGTAATCCCAGCTACTCCAGAGACTGAGGCACAAGAATCACTTAAACCCAGGAGACGGAGGTTGCAGTGAGCTGAGATGGCACCACTGCACTCCAGCCTGGGTGACAGAGACTCCACATCAGAAAAAAAGAAAAAAAAAAGAAACTAGAAGGATCCAGAGAATGCGGTAAGCTCAATATTAAAATAAATAAACTGTTAGAGAACTTCTTGTATTTCAGTCAAGAGCTTAGGAATTAGTTAAATTAAAAATTAATGCTGAGCTGGGCACAGTGGCTCATGCCTGCAATCCCAGCACTTTGAGAGGCCAAGGCAGGAGGATCACTTGAGCCCAGGAGTTGGAGACCAGCCTGGGCAACATAGGGAGACCCCCATCTCTACAAAAAATAGAAAAGTTAGCCAAATCTGTGGTCCCAGCTACTCAGGAGGCTAGGCGGGAGTGTCACTTGAGCCCAGGAGGTGAAGGCTGCAGTGAGCCATGATCTTGCCACTGCACTCCAGCCTGGGTGATAGAGTGAGACCCTGTCTCCAAACAAAAAATGCTGAAACTGTATTATTCCACTCGCATACCATTCTCAAAATGACAAAACTATAGAAATGAAGACCAGATTACTGGCTGCCAGGGGACAAGGATGGAGGGGGGTGGGGACAAACATAAAGGAATAGCACAAGGGGGTTCCTTTGTGGTGATGGGTTTTGTATCTTGATTGTGGTGGTGATTATCCAAATCTATACAAGATATAAAACTGCACAGAACTACAAACAAACAAATAAATGCATGTAAAAAATGGTGAAAACTGAGTGAGGTCTGCAGGCCAGTTAACAATACTGTACCAATATCAACTTTTTGGTTTTGATTTTATGCTACAGTTACATAAGATGTCACCATTAGGGGAAACTGAGTGAAAGGTACACAAGACTTCATGTGCTATTTTTACAACTTCCTCTGATCTATAATTATTTCAAAATAATTTCCAAGCCAGACATGGTAATCCCAGCACTTTGGGAGGGAGGGAGGTGGATCACTTGAGGTCAGGAGTTTGAGACCAGCCTGGCCAATATGACAAAAACCCATCTCTACTAAAAATACAAAAATCAGCTGGGCGTGGTGGTACACACCTGTAATCCCAGCTACTCAGGAGGCTGAGGCACAAGAATCGCTTGAACCCAGAAGGCGGAGCCTGCAGTGAGCAGAGATAGCACCACTGCACTCCAGCCTGGGGGACACAGTGAGACTCTGCCTCAAAAAAAAAAAAAAATTTAAAAATTTTGTGCTTCTAAGGATACCACTAACAAAGTAAAATGATAATCCATGGAATAGATTATCCACTCCACTCCATGGAATAGATTAATACACTGTACTTCAGCCTGGGCAACAGAGTGAGACTCTGTCTCAAAAAAAAAGAAAAAGAAAAAGAAATGTGGCTAGTATGACTGAGAAACTGAACTTTTTAAATAAATTAAATGTAAAAATGAAAGATTAATAATCTTTATAAAAATTTCCAAAATTTTAGACGTTGAGAAATGTCCAGATCCAGCCAAGATTTTAGCCCTTTAGCTTTTGTATGAGTGGAAGCTGAGGCTTTCTCCAGCTCCTTCCCTTTTCAACATCTTCTTCCCCACTTTGAGATCAGTATTTTTCAGCTCCCTCAAATCACACTTTTTGCAACTGTTGTCTCTAGCTTACAAGCAAACACTTCCAGAACACACACTTCAGGGCTAACTTCTCCCTCCACCTCATCTGGCAACAGAGCCTTGGAGCTTATGTCCCAAGGTCAGGCTTTTCCGTCCCAACATGCACACCATGAGAACTTTTTTACTTCACTCACCTCTCCAGCACTGGAATCCTTCTGCCTGCCTCTGAATTCTGGTTGTAGTCAAAGCTTGAACCATGGGAGTGGCTGGGAGGAAAAGAACATAAATGTGATTGAGGGAATTCAGTGGGGAAACAGCTTGACCGCTCCGGTCTTTGACGATCCAAAAGAAACCCTTAACACTTGAGAAGGACTGGGAGGTCACTTACCAAAGGGAGCCATTTGGACTGTCTCAAGGGCCCCCTTTCTTTGAGCACTGGCTTCAGGCCAACATTTGGAACTTAGCCACACCACCACCAACCCCCTCTCTTGAAGCCCAGCCAGATCTCCCAGTATGTGAAGCCTTGTCTACTCACTCTGTGTCCTCCCTCAGCCCTCATCCAACCCCTAACAACTCAGCAGCTTCCAGCCCTGTTTGGCCCAGCCAGTCAGTTTGGAGCTTGCTAATTAAAGCTAACTCTGAAAGAGACCTCAAAAGAAGAGGGAAATGAGTGAAGAAAGGAGTGTGGAGTTGCATTCATTCAGTCCAAGGGAAAATAATCTGAGTAGGAAATCGTAAGGAGAGGTGAGCAGAAAGAGACTTCAAATTTCAAGAGTCATTCTCCAGATAGATATGTATGCGACTTGTGTCCATCTCTACCAAGGACAAGTGAAGCTGAGCTTCAACTGCAGCAGAAACTAAGGTTAGACAGTGAACAATAAAGGCCCAGAAAAAGAACAGATGGAGGATAACCCTAGAGAGATCAGATGGGGACACTAGATACAGATACCCCATGTCCTCTGCTCAGCTCTAGGGCAAAGGAACAGCCAGTGTGTGGGAGAGAAGGGAGAGGCTAATGTCTGCAGAATCCTGGCAGTCTCTACACCGATTGTGAAAATGTCAGGCAGTTGTGCCAAGAAGGGTGAGGGTAATACAGGATGGGCCTGACACTCTCCCTGAGTTGGCCTAATCTTAACATTTAGACTCACTTTTGAGACCCCCCCAACACTAACCCCCATTAGCCCTCACCCTCTGTTTCACTTATCCCATGTCACCATTATCTTGACACTTCCAACCCATGTCCTTCTCTTCCAGGCCCCACAGCTCTGGAGGTGAGGCACCAGGCATTTCCAATCTGCCTCTATTTTGCTTGCTCACTGCAGTTGGAAGCTGGAGCCAGAGAGTGGGGAGGACAGAGCCAGGCTGCTCTGTGATGCTCTCACTCTTCCCACTTCTATTGATTAGCCCTTCTCTGGAGCAGAGCCTCTTCTCAAACACTCCTCCCCTGCCAGGATTCTCTACAGCTCATGCCCAGCAAGCTAGAGGGGCATAATGATTAGAGACAGAGAGATTCCCAGAAAAGTGCTCTGGGTCTACCCTCCTGGGGTCTCAACTGTGGTTTATGCAGTATACAGCGGTAAGACTCAGGCTCTGGAGTCAGATAGCCTGGATTTGTATCCTAGCTCTACCACTAATGAACTCTATTACTTAACTGCCTTGTACCTCAGATTCTTCATCTGCAAATTTGGGATACTCGTAATAATATTTCACAGAACTGTTCTAGGGATTAAATGAATACATACATGTAAAGTGCTTGACTATGATGAGTACTAAGAAATGTTTAGAAAGAAGATACAGTACACATATAATTTAGACACATACACACAGTATCTAACGTTTTTATTAGAATTTTTATTTTGGCACTTAAAATGTTTTGCTTTATGCTGCCACTTAAGCATTTCATGTGCTTCTCCTCACTAATCCTTTGACAGTTGCACATCTCCCAGGATTTGGGATGCTATTCTGCAAATAGTTGAATGAATCATTGATCAGTAATTCTCAAATCTTACTCAGAAAATTCAAGAATGTTTTCTTCTAATGCAATCAGCACCCATTTCTCCTCCCCCTGCAAGTAAATATAATGACGTCAACTTCAACTATGCCAATGAATCACAAAATGAGAGAATGCCAAAGCTGGAAATAGTTTTAGATATGGTTTAGCCCAGTGAGTTTCAACCCTGGATACACATTAGAATCACCAGAACAGCTTTTAAAATATACTGATAAGGCCAGGCACGGTGGCTCACACCTGTAATCCCAGCACTTTGGGAGGCCGAGGCGGGCAGATTACCTGAGGTCAGGAGTTCAAGACCAGTCTAACCAACACGGTGAAATGCCATCTCTACTAAAAATACAAAAATTAGGCCGGGCGCGGTGGCTCACGCCTGTAATCCCAGCACTTTGGGAGGCCGAGGCGGGCGGATCACGAGGTCAGGAGATCGAGACCATCCCGGCTAAAACGGTGAAACCCCGTCTCTACTAAAAATACAAAAAAAAAAAATTAGCCGGGCGTAGTGGCGGGCGCCTGTAGTCCCAGCTACTTGGGAGGCTGAGGCAGGAGAATGGCGTGAACCCGGGAGGCGGAGCTTGCAGTGAGCCGAGATCCCGCCACTGCACTCCAGCCTGGGCGACAGAGCGAGACTCCGTCTCAAAAAAAAAAATACAAAAATTAGTCAGGTGTGGTGGCACATGCCTGTAATCCCAGCTACTCAGGAGGCTGAGGCAGGAGAATCGCTTGAACCTGGGAGGTGGAGGTTGCAGTCAGCTGAGATCATGCCACTGCACTCCAGCCTAGGCGACAGAGCGAGACTCTGTCTCAAAAATAATAATAATTTTATATATACATATATACATATACATACATATATACACATATATACGTATACATACATATATACACATATATACGTATACATACATATATACATACATATATATAGTGATGTTTGGTCTTCACTCCTTAGATTCTATTTAATTAGTCTGGAATCAAGGCTTTTTTTTTTTTTTTTTTGAGACAGAGTCCCACTCTGTCGCCCAGGCTGGAGTTCAGTGGCGTGATCTCGGCTCACTGCAACCTCTGCCTCCCAGGTTCAAGCGATTCTCCTGCCTCAGGCTCCTGAGTAGCTGGGATTACAGGCTTGTGCCACTACGCCTGGCTAAATTTTGTATTTTTAGTAGATACAAGGTTTCACCATGTTGGTCAGCCTGGTCTCGAACTCCTGACCTCGTGATCCGCCCGCCTCGGCCTCCCAAAGTGCTGGGATTACGGGCGTGAGCCACCGCACCCGGCTAATCACGGCATTTTTATAAGCCTTGTGATTTCTGTGATTCTAATGTTTAGATTCTAATGCTTAGCCAGGGTTGAGAACCACCGATTTAATCCAATCCCTTCTCCTAGTTTTACTAAAGAGAAAACTATAACCTAGAATGGTGAGCAACTTGCCCAAAGTCACCCAACATGTTAGTGCAAGGTGCACCGAGAGAGATTGTACCAGTAGCAAGAATATGCTCATGATGTTTATAATTGTTCTCGCTGGAGTTAATCCCGGAAGCATTTCTTTTTAGTTCACAGAGGCCTTATATAAATTACTTTTTACTTTGGCACAGCACTTACGCTTCTGCTAACACTGAAATGGGTTCGCATTCCTGACCACAAAAGGACAGAGATGAAATTCTACATTCACACAGCCCGCCAAGTTAGCCAAGCTCCCTAGGAGGCTGTCTGAAGTGCCTAAAATGCTTCTCTACAATGATCACCCAGAGCTGAGAGACTTCAGTGGGGTAGTGAGAAGAAAGAGGGTTGGGAGAGACAGGAAAGCATCCTCTCCTTGAGGGAAGGAACTGGGAATCAACTGAGAACCAGCTAGCACTGCCAGGAGGTGAGGAGAGGGAAGGAGAATAATTTAAATGAGGCCAGGGAGCTTCTGCTCCCTCAATTAAACGGTGATAGACGGCCTGACACCACCAGCCCTCGAAGCCTGAGATCCACAGGAAATGTTAAAAACTGGCTTGGCAATATAAGTATTAGAAAATACTTCTTCCAACACTCACCAAAAACTAAGCTCCCAATAAAGAACACTTCACCTGCCCTCCGCAACCCTCTACCTCTCTTCCCCGCCAAGATCTTCACCCAAGGTCTCAAGAGGGCGGTTCCCAACCTCACGTGACACAGCGGTCACGTGACATGGCCCCGGGGAGCCGAGGTGAGCGTTCCAGCTTCCGGAGCCGGAGGGGGCCCGGCGTACCCAGCCCCCAGCCCGACGTGACCATGCTGTCCCGCCTCCTAAAAGAACACCAGGCCAAGCAGAATGAACGCAAGGAGCTGCAGGGTGAGCCAAATATCCTGTCGGCCGTTTTCTCTTCGGCCGCGGCCTAGCTTCAGCCCGGAGCCTGGATCTCGAGTAACTAACCATATCCAGGGAAAGACGCCAGCTAGCGGGCAACGGGCATGGGGGAGAGGGAATTTCAGAGAGGCTTTTTTTGAAACTCCTTTCCCTTGCCAACTGGCTCCGGTCCCTTGGGCAATACTCCGGTCCCCTCGGCAACGCCCCCAATCCCCGACCTGCCGCACCTTAGCCCCGCCCCTGCCCCGGAGCGCCCTGCCTATTGGCCCTGGGAGCCTCTCGTCCTGGCGGCGGGAAGGAGCGACTCTGGAGGGAGGAGGGTGTGGGGAACCCCCCAGAGATGGGCTTCTTGGAGGCCTGAAACCACCGGAACGGAGGTGGGGCACTTGTTTCCTGAGTCCGGGCTGGAAATCTCGGAGTTACCGATTCTGCGGCCGAGTAGTGGAGAAAGAGTGCCTGGGAGTCAGGAGTCCTGGGCGCTGCCGCTGACTTCCTGGCGTCCCTGAGTGAGTCCATTTCCCTCCCAGGGTACCAGTTTCCTCATCTCTAAAATGAAAGAGGTTGCGCTATGTTTTGCAAGGTCCTTTTCAGCTCCGGCATTCAGAGATTAGTTAAGAAATTTCGGCAACTAGCAGAATAGTAATGGATGGGTAGGGAACCTTTAACACTACCCCTCAAAAAACCAAGTCTCCCCTCCAATTCCTTTTCCCCCTCTCCCCAGAAAAGAGGAGGCGAGAGGCTATCACTGCAGCGACCTGCCTGACAGAAGCTTTGGTGGATCACCTCAATGTGGGGTATGGACCTCTTATCAACATCAGTTTCCTCCTTCCCCACCCCGCCCAAGTTTAGGCACTGGCCAGTCTGGCCCTCAAATAGCTGTTGAAGGGGTGGGATGTTCCACTAATTCCCCTATCCTACCCCGCCCCTCCCAGCTCTTTGTAGAGCAACTTGAGTCAACTCTGAGTCCTAGCACTGGGCAAGGGAGGAACAGCTGCCGTGGTTAGAGAAGCAGCCAGATTTCCCCTTCCCCACGTTAACTTCCCTGGCATTTACAACTTGATGCCATCTGCCCACCTCCCTTCACCCTTCCAAGTCCAGCTGTCACTTCAGCAGGAGGGAGAGCACCCTCCTTCATTACAGCTTACCACCCTCTCCTCTGCCTCCCACCCTCTGGCAAGCCTGGGGAGCAGCTGGCAGGAAAGAGATGGCAGAGCTGGTGGTGGTGAGAGTAGAACCTGTTCCGGGAGCTATGGCAGAGCCAGGCTGTCTCTTACCTTCCTATTGGGTCTCTAGGGACCACACCCTGCCCCAGCCCTAAATGAGAATGCAAGTAACAGCCAAAGACTTGGGAAAAAGCAAAGAACATTGTCTCTTGACCCTAAGTGACCCAGAAGCGTGCAGAGATGATGATTTGCTAGTCTGCCTATTGGAAGAAAGGCAGTATGGTACCTTCCACCCCAGGTCAAGTAGAACAGCTCGGTGTGAATCCAGAGACTGAGTCATCCAAGTGAGCCATGCAGGGGCTGGGGTCATCTTTGTTACTCATCTTGGGGGAAGGTTGAGAGAAAGAAAGTTGTGGCTGGGGCCTCTGATCTCCCTTCTCTCCAGGCAGCTCTCTTTACTCAGTGTGAATATAGAAGCAGGTGGTCAATGGGGAAAACCAGAAGTTCAGGAATTCTCAGGGGAGTCTGTTTCAGTTCCTACCCGACCCTTGACAGTGACCCAGCTGTCTCCCAAAAAGAAGGAACAGGGTCTGCCCTCCCATTTCCTCCCTCCCACATTGGCACCTCCTGGGCTCTGCTGTGCCCATCATTTGTGAGATTGGCCCAGGCCTTTCCCTCTTCTTTTCCTTTGCTAGATGCCACCCCACTTTCAGCTTAGAGGGCAGCTAAGCCAAAGCCAGATTAGAAAGGGTTTTGTGTTGCTGCCCACGCCTCCTCTCATTCCCCGGAAAGGAAAACAAAGGCTCAGTCTATCTTGGCCCCTGTCAGGTGTCCTGCCCACTCCCTCAGCCCCCACCAACCCCTTCCCCGCTCCAGCCCCCACACATTCCAGTGGGTGGGGGCACCGGATGTGGAATCTCCTGGCTGAGTAGAGCTCTGGGGTGGGAAGTGAAAAATTCAACAGCCAATAAAGGAGAACAATTATTGCAGGGGTTGGGGAGGGCAAAAAACACTGGCAGAAGGTTGGGGACACCAACCCCATGGTAGTAATGGTAACCACAGCCCATACCTTGATTGAAAAGAAAAACTAGTGCCTAAGGCAGAAGGGAGGGAGAGCATGTGTGTGTGTGTGTGTGTGTGTGTTTGTGTGTGTTCCTTGATCTGTGTGGGCAAAAGCGAAGGCTTGGGAGAGCAACTGAGAGCCGAGAAGAAACCCCTGGGATACCCTCTTTTGACCCAGGGTTCCTGGGGAGGGGGTTTGTACTCCCATCCTAACCCGGCTTCAGGGAGGGGCCCAATTTCCCTCTCCAACTTCTTGCATAGATCCCTAGGCTTCCAATCACTGCCAGATGTGTTCCTCCTGCTGGATTTTCCCAGTTTTTCCATGCCCCTTTTTCCCTCCCAGCTTTTTCCTCAGGGATATCACCCCAGGTTTTCCCTCCCTTCCCCCACTCAGCTGCAGGAACTCCTTTTTGGGGTTTGGAGCTGGTATGTTTCTAGTCAGCTCCGAGCTTGGCTCTCCTGGGAATCCTGGGAGTGAAAGGAAGGAGCTGGGTTTATTTGCATGTACTGGTAGTCATTTGCATCACATCCAAAAATGGCCAAAATTATGAGCCCTGATTCTTGGCTGAACTCCCACTGCTGCAATGGAATATTAGTCCCGGAGACCACCCCCAACTAGCTGGAGCTGATCTCCTCCCTCCTCCAACCCCCCAGTGTGGCCCAGGCCTACATGAACCAGAGAAAGCTGGACCATGAGGTGAAGACCCTACAGGTCCAGGCTGCCCAATTTGCCAAGCAGACAGGCCAGTGGATCGGAATGGTGGAGAACTTCAACCAGGCACTCAAGGTGGGCCATACTCCCTACCTCACCACCCCAATCCTGGGCCCCCATTGGCTGCCTCCAGTCAGGTTACCTCAGGTTTAGGTTAAGGAGGAAGTAGGGTGGTCCCAGAAACCCCATCTATAGCCCCAGTGTCAGAAAAGGTAGAGAAAGAAAGAAAAGCAGTTGGTGGGTCCAAGTAAAGCCTTTTCCAGGAGATGAATAAAACGTATTCCCCAGACTGGAAGCCATACTCTACCCATTCTGATTCCTGGGCTCCCACCTCCTCTCCCCCTTCCCAGGAAATTGGGGATGTGGAGAACTGGGCTCGGAGCATCGAGCTGGACATGCGCACCATTGCCACTGCACTGGAATATGTCTACAAAGGGCAGCTGCAGTCTGCCCCTTCCTAGCCCCTGTTCCCTCCCCCAACCCTATCCCTCCTACCTCACCCGCAGGGGGAAGGAGGGAGGCTGACAAGCCTTGAATAAAACACAAGCCTCCGTTTCTCTGTGGTGTGTTTCAGAGAGCTACTAGCTCCAGTGTCGGGGGTGGGAGTGGAAGGTTCAAAGGTGGTTTCCCTGAGGGACAGGTACCTTTTGGGGAGAGGGTGGAACTAGCTTCCTCTTACTATCCCAACTCTCTTCTCCTCCATGGCCCTTGTGCAGGTGTCTGTTAGGCAAGCAGAGGGTGGGAGTTCCCATCCCTCCTGAGAGAAGGTCCTAGTAGCCCTGCCCCAAGCTTCCTAATTCAGGACTTGTTTCCTACAGAAGAGAAACAAGGCAAGGTACAGGCCTGGTCCCCAGCTCTGGCTTTCTGCCTCTCCACGTGCTCATGGCCTCTCCCAGGCTAACTCTAAGCAGTGTCATGAGTCTGAGCCAGGTGGGAGATTAATTCCTGGGGGCACTTCAGGGCTGAGAAGGGGGAGGAATGACAGGTCCAGTAACCGTTACCAACAGAGCAGTGCAGCTGCCATCCTTGACAGCTCCCTCCTCCTTGGAGACCATGACATAGATGGTCAGGAACCCAGGCTGAGAAAGACAGCCAAGGGGTGGGGGGAGCCTAGGCAAATCTGGCCTCTGCCAAGTCCTGGCTTCAGCCAGGCAAGCTCCAGCCTCCCTGGCTCCTCCTCCTCCTCAGTCCTATCCCCACCCTGTCACACATACACTTAATACGCCTGGCATCCAAGTCCACCCACTCCGGACTTTGGCCTTAGCAGTAGTTAGTGTGGGAGGCTGGGAAGACTGGGAGCAGTCTCTTAAACAAAAGCAAAAGAATAAGCTTCGGGCGCTGTAGTACCTGCCAGCTTTCGCCACAGGAGGTAAGTGGATACTGGGAGCTGGGGGAACTGAGAAGACTAGCCAGATATTACATGTATTGCCAACTCAAAACTTTCAGCTTTTAACATGCTTCCTCACACATTATCCCCTTTGATCCTCCACAACTCTGAGGTGGACCTGGTGGGTCTTAGCCCCACTTGGTAGATGAGAAAATAGGTTGAGAGAGACAGTGAGATGCTCAGTATCACACAGCAAACCTCTTGGCCCTATACATCATTCCAAACACAAGACCCAGGTTGCATATAGAAGGTTCAGTGTCCCTGGTTTAGAAGGAGAGGTGGTGTGAGGCAAGCAAGAAGATGCCTCTGCTGCACTCCAGCCTGGGCGACAGAGTGAGACTCCATCTCAAAAAAAAAAAAAAAAAAAAAAAGATGCCTCTGCTCCATACAGCAGGTCTGTACACAGGATCTGGCTCATGTGGTTTTAGTTAAGTTAGCCACAAATACAGGGTCTGCCCACATCTTTGCTTTGAACAGATGAGCCATGGTTGGCCAATTATCTGCCAACCAGATAATTTCTCAATATGCTCACACCAGATGCTTCCAGCTAGGGAGGGTATTAGGGGAAAGGGCTTGAGGGCCACAGTAAACTGGACAAGTTTTTCTGCCCAGCCTAGGCTGCCACCTGTAGGTCACTTGGGCTCCAGCTATGTGGCTGCCTCTTCTGCTGGGTGCCTTACTCTGGGCAGTGCTGTGGTTGCTCAGGGACCGGCAGAGCCTGCCCGCCAGCAATGCCTTTGTCTTCATCACCGGCTGTGACTCAGGCTTTGGGCGCCTTCTGGCACTGCAGCTGGACCAGAGAGGCTTCCGAGTCCTGGCCAGCTGCCTGACCCCCTCCGGGGCCGAGGACCTGCAGCGGGTGGCCTCCTCCCGCCTCCACACCACCCTGTTGGATATCACTGATCCCCAGAGCGTCCAGCAGGCAGCCAAGTGGGTGGAGATGCACGTTAAGGAAGCAGGTAAGTATGGTAGACCACCAGGAATATGGTGTGGGGTGTCCTGATCCCCACAGTCACCCCAGGAGTCACCTGCAAGGGCTGTGGTAAGCTAAAGGGACAATTTGAGGAGAAGCAGTTTTCAGATGCTCCCAGGAAGAAGAGGGAGCTGTGGGAGTGCCTCACCTACCCCCAGCATCCTTTTCATCTCCCCACAGGGCTTTTTGGTCTGGTGAATAATGCTGGTGTGGCTGGTATCATCGGACCCACACCATGGCTGACCCGGGACGATTTCCAGCGGGTGCTGAATGTGAACACAATGGGTCCCATCGGGGTCACCCTTGCCCTGCTGCCTCTGCTGCAGCAAGCCCGGGGCCGGGTGATCAACATCACCAGCGTCCTGGGTCGCCTGGCAGCCAATGGTGGGGGCTACTGTGTCTCCAAATTTGGCCTGGAGGCCTTCTCTGACAGCCTGAGGTGAGGGGTACAGGGCTCTGGGTTCCAGGACTAACAGCAGCCCACTCAACAAACGTGGGCCAGCAGAGGTGGTTAAGATACAGCACATTGGAATAGTTAAGAAGAGACAGTTTAGGGCTAGACTTCATGGGTTCAATGAAGTCTACCCTTATGTAAGCTTTGTGACCATAAGTAGATTACTTCTCTTTACCCATTTTTAACGTGTTTGTTTTTTGTTTTTTGAGATGGAGTCTTGCTCTGTCGCCAGGCTGGAGTGCAGTGGCGCGATCTTGGCTCACCACAATTTCCACCCCCGGGGTTCAAGCGATTCTCCTGCCTCAGCCTCCCGAGTAGCTGGGACTACAGGCATGCGCCACCATGCCTGGCTTATTTTTGTATTTTTAGTAGAGACAGGGTTTCACTA
The DNA here is from genome assembly GCF_000001405.40 of Homo sapiens. Classification (NCBI taxonomy): domain Eukaryota; kingdom Metazoa; phylum Chordata; class Mammalia; order Primates; family Hominidae; genus Homo; species Homo sapiens. The sequence goes on from NC_000012.12 coordinate 55,722,351, forward strand.
TGTTGGCCAGGTTGGTCTCAAACTCCTGACCTCGTGATCCGCCCACCTCAGCCTCCCAAAGTGCTGGGATTACAGGTGTGAGCCACCACGCCCGGCCTTGCCTCTCGTCTTTAAACAATAAGGTTCAAAGTTCCGTGGGAGCACAAAGGAGACATGATGAGGACAACGGGAGTAGGGCCTGAGTTTTTTTTTGTTTTTTTTTTTTTAAGCGTTTTGCTCTTGTTGCCTAGGCTGGAGTGCAATGGCGAGATCTCAGCTCACTGCAACCCCTGCCTCTCAGGTTCATGTGATTCTCCTGCCTCAGCCTCCCGATTAGCTGGGCTTACAGGCACGTGCCACCACTCCCAGCTAATTTTTTTGTATTTTTAGTAGAGATGGAGTTATACCATGTTGGCCAGGCTGGTTTTGAACTCCTGACCTCAGGTGATCCACCCGACCCGGCCTCCCAAAGTGCTGGGATTACAGGCATGAGCCACCACACACGGCCCAAGGCCTGAGTTCTTAGCAGGAGTATAAGGCGCCTAAGCTTAGTCTACCTTCTAAGGAAGCCTGCGTTTGTCACCATCACTCAGCAAATAACCTGAATGTCTCCTGTCTCTCAGCCTTAATTTTTCAGGCAGCATCATGGGACACATACTTTTAGTTTTGAGACAAGGCCTTGCTCTCACCCAGGGTGGAGTGCAGTGGTGCAGTCACGGCCCACTGAACTTCAAACTCCTAGGCTCAAGCAGCTCAAGCGATATCCGCCTCAGCCTCCTGAGTAGCTGAGACCACAGGCGCGTGCCAGCATGCCTGGCTAGTATTTTTTTACAGATGGGGTCTTGCTGTGGTGACCAGACTTGTCTCCAACTCCCGGCCTCAAGCGATGCTTCCGCCTGGGCCTCCCAAAGTGTTGGGATTATAGGTGTGAGCCACTGCATACTGGAACACATACTTTATACTTGAATTTTTTTTTATCCCCTTCCCTCCTGCTCCTTACCTATACTTGGATTTCTACATCTGTGCCAGGGCAGTGGGATGTATCCCCACTTTCCCCATCAGCTTACCCTCCAGCAAATACGAGACTATACCCTTCAATATCCAGCACTCAGGGCTCAACCATGTGTTTTGGGAGCAAGGGAATGGGGTTCCTCTAGGTCAGGAATCGGCAAACTCAGTACTCAAGCCAGATCTGGCCAGCTGCCTACAAGCTGATAATGGTTTTTTTTATTTTTAAATGGTTACATTGTAAACTGTTATATAAGTACCTGATAATATCATTAATTTTGTTTCTTGGCCTGCCATGCTTAAAATATTAACTCTCTGGCCCTTTAAGAAAAAAACGTGCTGACCCCTGCTCTAGATCAAAGAAAACAAACCTCAAAAATACTTTCCTCCCTCTACCCCACTTGACCCTTGTCCCGGGGCAGTAGGCATCTCCGTCAAAACTCTTGTCCCTGGTCTGTGGTAACTTTCTCAGCTCCCCAACCCATGTCCCTCAAAGTCCCCTCCCTATAGGGCAAGAACCCAGCAACTTCGCTCTGCCCCGACTCTAGGCGGGATGTAGCTCATTTTGGGATACGAGTCTCCATCGTGGAGCCTGGCTTCTTCCGAACCCCTGTGACCAACCTGGAGAGTCTGGAGAAAACCCTGCAGGCCTGCTGGGCACGGCTGCCTCCTGCCACACAGGCCCACTATGGGGGGGCCTTCCTCACCAAGTGTGAGTAGCCAGGCCCACACAGGGGCACATGAAGGGAAACAAGTACCAGAAAGGCCAGTCCTGCATAAGCCTGCTAGGAGGTGGGTGGGGCACCCAGGGCAGGGTTGAGGGTGAACAGGATGTTACAAGAGTGCCCAGGCCATGTGGAACCTGCCCACTCCCCACACTGAGGAGGGGACTGAGGGTGACAAGCCCAGGGCCCCAGAAGACAGTACCTAAGATGGGCTGGAGTGAGGAAGGGAAACTGATTGCAACCACCTATGGGGCTGCAGACCTGAAAATGCAACAGCGCATCATGAACCTGATCTGTGACCCGGACCTAACCAAGGTGAGCCGATGCCTGGAGCATGCCCTGACTGCTCGACACCCCCGAACCCGCTACAGCCCAGGTTGGGATGCCAAGCTGCTCTGGCTGCCTGCCTCCTACCTGCCAGCCAGCCTGGTGGATGCTGTGCTCACCTGGGTCCTTCCCAAGCCTGCCCAAGCAGTCTACTGAATCCAGCCTTCCAGCAAGAGATTGTTTTTCAAGGACAAGGACTTTGATTTATTTCTGCCCCCACCCTGGTACTGCCTGGTGCCTGCCACAAAATAAGCACTAACAAAAGTGTATTGTTTAAAAAATAAAAAGAAGGTGGGCAGAAATGTGCCCAGTGGAAGGCTGACCCCATTTAAGTGCCAACTACTCCAAACCGACATGCTCACGGTCTCTGGCCTGTTCAGTCCCTGCAAAACAGCTAGCACCCACAGTGGGGCGCCAGGGAACTGCCTCACATCTACAGCTGCACGTCGGGGAGTGGCCATCAAAGGGCACTTTAATACATTTCCCTTATTTTCTGAAGGGGAGTAAGGTTGCAATTCAGTGTCTGTACTGGGAATGGTCTTCATATTTCTTGGGGGAGAAGAGCAGGTGATGAGGGTTCTGGGCCAGGCTGGGTGGCTTCCATGGAAGAAAAGGCAATATTCACATAAATTCTCCTGCTAAGGACACTGACCACACAGGTGTCAAGGCAACTTATCATACTTCGAAAGGAGCTGGATCCCTTGAGGATTGGCCAGGAAGGGAGGTGCTGGGCCCTTAGCGGTGCACAGAAGGCCAGGAAGATGTCCAAGGCAGATGGGGGCTGGGCTCTCGCAGGTGGGACCTTTCTGGGGAGCTGCTTTGACTTATGCAGCAGATGGCTTCATGAATGTTCATAGTGAGCCTGGCAGCATAAGACTAGGGGGCAGAAAGCACCACAGTCTCTGGATCCTCACTTCTCCCACTGCCTGCCCAACCAACACCTTCGCAAAGTCCTCCTTTCCCAAACACCCCCCAAAATAGACCTCGAAGTACACATGCATTAAGGTCCCAGAGGACAGGGAACATCAGTAAGGAAAGGAAGGAATCAAGCATCACTCTAAGACAAACTCAGACCATCTCTTTTCGGTCTGAAAAAATAATCCGTTTAATTGAAAAACCTGGAGGATACTATTCCACTCCCCCAGATGAGGAGGCTGAGGAGACCAGACCCCTACATCACCTCGTAGCCACTTCTGATACTCTTCACGAGGCAGCAGGCAAAGACAATTCCCAAAACCTAGAAGGAAAGATGGGGACAGGGGTGGAGAGGAGTCAGAAGGGCTAGCTACCTCAGACCCATGCAAGAGACTCCAAACACACACTCCCAGGCCAGTACCTCCTGTTCAGCACCCTCCTCCCCTCAGCCCCTTCCCTCCAGGCACCCTGGACAGAGTCCCAGCCCCTGCTCAGGGTTATCTCTTACCTCGACAAAAGCAATTCCAAGGGCTGCTGCAGCTACCACCAGCACATTTTTCCTCAGCCAGCCCCCAATCTTCTCCACACAGCCCTGAAGGTGGCAGGCACAAAGGACAAAAGCACCATCAGAAACTTCCCACCCCAACCCCCTCCCTTGGTCCATCAGTCTCTTCCCTGCCCCTGTACCTTTCACCCCACCCTTAGCATTTCCAGATCCCCTCCCCATCCCTGACCCTGTCCACCTCCATCCTGGGTCTCTTGCATTCTAAAACATTTCCCAGGTTTCCCAAGTCCCATACACAGTCTCCTCCCTACCTCCTTATGGATCGCCTTCTCGTTGAAATTAATCCCACAGCCCACAGTAACATTAATGCAGCAGGAGTCGGGGACTCGGTTCTTCGACATGGAAGGGATTTTCTCCCAATCTGTGTAGTTAGCAGCCCCACAGCACTTAAACTGGGGGAGGGAAGAAATATGGAGAAGAAGGTTGTTAAGTGAACCTTCACCTTCAATATGGAGATGAGAATTCTTTTTTTTTTTTTTTTTTTTTTTTTGAGACAGAGACTTGCTCTGTTGCCCAGACAAGTGCCCAGCGGTGGCTCAATCTCGGCTCACTGCAACCTCCGCCTCCCGGGTTCAAGCGATTCTCCTGCCTCACCCTCCTGAGTAGGTGGGATTACAGGCACTCACCACCACACCTGGCTAATTTTTGTATTTTTAGTAGAGACAGGGTTTCACCACGTTGGCCAGGCTAGTCTTGAACTTCTGACCTCAGGTGATCTGCCCACCTCGGCCTTCAAAAGTGCTGAGATTACAGGCGTGAGTCACCACACCCAGCCTTGGAGATGAGAATTCTCTATTCCCACCACCCCTGCTCCCAGCAACCCCACTCACATCTGCCTGCATCCTGTCCAGGATCGAAGCAGTGTGGTTGTTTTTCGGGTAATTCTCCATCTGCTGCCGGAAGTTGTTATTAAACTCTGACATCACCTGAGAGTACGGAGGAGCACTGTTGCAGTCAGAATTCAAGCACCAGGGTCCCAGACCCGGCTGAGGCAGGCCCTTCCCATTATTCCCTGCTTACCTTATCTCTAAACACATAGCCAGCAATGGCTGCGGCCACCTCCACCAACATGATAAGAGACAGAAAGATGGCAAACTGCAGGAGCAAAGGACAGAAGTCAAGTTTGGAGTCTATGCATTACAGGGGCCCGTTTTGGCACAGCCGGTCCCTGGACACTCACAAAGGTCTTCCTCACCCACCCACCTCACCCACCTTCCTGAGCCCGAACCAAGCTGCTCTGGCAGTCCCAGACCGCCCATGTTGGTCCCGCCCCCAACTCACCGTGATCATAAGACAATAGTTCTCCTTGCAGGCCCCGCAGCAGCCCACAAAAGCCACCAGGAAGAGGAAGACACCCACTGCGATGATGACCACTGGCAACAGAGAGCCAGGGGTAGCCCCCTGGATTATGGTCTGACTCAGGACAAGCTGTGCCCCGACACCCACGGCAATCAGTCCCACTGCACAGGCCTAAGAGAAAATCAGGTGAGGATTAGGCCATATCCACAACACAGTGGCCCTCCATGGTGGAGGGCAGGGGGTACACCTAGGACACAGACTTGACCCCATCCGGAAGAGAGATTCTCACACCTCTAGGGAATTTCTTTGGCTGTGGGGTAGGGGGATGACCCATCCTTGCCTGCCCCTACCTCCCCTGATCCCCTCCCGGCTCTTTAATCAGGGACATGACCAAATTCAAAAACCTCCCAGAAAGCCTTGACCTCAAGACACGTATTTCTGACCTAGAATAATGCTTTCTACAGGCCTCCAGGGCTCCCAGCTCAATTCTCTCCCAGAACTGCCCCCTCACTATCCTCCAGTGCACATCCCACGCGCGCATCAGCTGTGACTAAGGTTCCTCTGGCCAGTTAGGCCAGGAGAAGGGAAGAGGAAAAGGGAGCAAGAGTGATGTGTCCCTCCCTAGACAAACAGTAGCCTCTCAAGCCAGGAGCCCAGGGCAGGAGCAAATTGAAGTGGGCAGAGCCCTTCCTCACCCCCAAGCGCTGGGAGGAGGGAAAGGGGGAGAGGGGCTGGACAGGGATGAGAGGGTTGGGGAGGGAGAGAGGGGAGAAGGGAGAGCGAAGGGAAGCCCCATGGCGATAGCATCAGGCGGTTGGCTGGTTGCCCCACTGCCCCATATCACAAGTGGTTGGGTCACCAGACAGGAAGGGCCAGGAGGGATGGGGGTAGGGGTTGCTGCACACCCAGGATGGCCATTCTCGGTGGAAACAAGCCTCAGGTGTCCAGGAAAACTGGAGGAGGGAGTGGCTGCGCTGTCTTTCCCTGGCTTTCTTTCCACATCTGGTCTCCAGCTGCCTTAATTCTCATTCCCTCAGCCCTCACCACTGTGGAGCCAGGTCTCCCCGCACCCTGCCGGCGCGCCCCCCAGGACCCCTCGCCACTCACGCAAAAGGCCAGCAGGAGGACGTAGAGCAAGAACTTCACACATTTCATTCCTCCTTCCACCGCCATGGCTGCCGGGCCTGGGGCAGAGGGGAGGGCGGGGGGATTAAAACTGGCCGAAGGGGGACCTCGGTTTCCGGGCTCCCGGCCGGCCCTCGAGGGCTTCCCTTCACGGCCCCGATTCCCGGCCCCTCCCACCCGGAAACCCGCGGTCGGATCCACGTCTCCCAGCCCCCTCTTTACCCGCAGGAGAGGGGTGGGGGCGACGGCCGCGAAGCCCGGACCCCGCCCCGCCGCCTCTGGGGCCCAGGACAGATCCAAGGGCGCCGGCAGGGGCTTGAGCCTGACGCCGACCCTCGGCCCGCCAGTCTCCGGGCGTCAAACACCCTTTCCCCACCCAACACCCAGCCTGGAGAAACGGTCTTCAGCCCAACCCCGACCCCCGCCCCAGCCCCTTTCCCCTGGGCTCTGACCTCCCCGCCCACCAAAAAAAAAAAAAGTGCAGCCAGCACCCCCGCCACACCCTGCCCGGGCCCAGGGAACTTCGAAGCAAAGTTGCTCCAGGGCGGCTGGAGAGCGCCGGACGAGTCTCCGCGGGCCTGGGGCGAGCCCTGGAGGAAGGGACTGCGGGTGGTCTCTCCCAGCCCGCGCCGAAGTCCGCCGGGTCCCCGCGGCCTCACCTGGGCTTCCCAAGGCTGGCTGCGCGTTCCTCTCCCGCCGCGGCTCCGGGGCTCTCTAGCTGCGCCCCCCGGCTCCCGCCCCGCCTGCCGCGCGGCCCCGCCCCGGGCTCCAGCCACGGTCCCCTCCCCCGCCGAGTGGCCGCCGGCCTCCCTCATGTGACGCGGTAACAGCTGCGGCCTGAGTCACTGGGCCCGGCGCGGGGTGGGCCGAGCCCCCCGCCCGGCCAGGGCCACGTGGCCCCTACCCGGAAGAAGGCGCCCACCCCCGCAAAGGGAAAGCCGCAAGGGCAAGACCTCGGGGCGCCTGGGGCCCCCCTCTGGCGCTATACCTCCGTGCCAACTCGGGGTAGGAGAGCGGGGCGGAGCGCAGCCTGGGTCACTCTGGTTCAGAGAAGCGGACGAGGTGGGTGAGAGTTACCCTCTGAGCGCCGGGGCGGAGAGCTGAGGCCGGGTGACAATGTGGTCTGTGAGGTTTCCCCATCCTACCGTAGGGGATGAGCCAGCTCTCTCCTCTGGCTCCAACTCTGTGCAAGCCCCCTCCCCATCCGACTGTGCAGACAGCTGGGGACTGCCTGGGGTCGGGTGGGGCCAGAACAAACACTTCCAGAAAGTCCCTGGCTCACATCCTGGGTGTCTCCCAACATTCTACAGCATTCTAGAGTGGGGATTTCTGGCCCCCCTCTATTAGCACAGCTTCTCCATTTTCCAGGGATCCTAGTCTGAGAAAAGGGGAGGAAGCCCTTCCCCGAAGCCACGCTACCCAGTCAATCAAGACACGTCCGCGTCGGGTCCCGCCCTCTGGGGGAGGATTGACAAGGTCTGTGCTTCCAGCCTCCCAGACAGCTCCTGCATCCGTCTGTGATAGCGAGGGCTTGGGGGAAGACACGAAGGCAGGAGAGGCTTACATCCTCTGGATTTCCCCGTCTTATCCCAGAAGACAAAGCCAGGTGAGGGCTGGAAGCGGGCTAGGGGGATCAAGCTGCCTCCCTCCCTTGTGTGCCAGGGGTGGTCCCCAGAAGGAGCTGATCTGAACAGGCCGGAGAGTAGGACCGGCCGTCACACCCCCACACCTCCAGCCTCGGCCCCACTCCTTGGGCTCTTAAGGTCCTGCCTCAAGAACCACTTCCTGAGTCTTAGTGTATGTGTGTACACAAAGAATGAAAGAAGTCTCTAGAGCTAAAGGAAGGAGATCCGGGCTGGGCTGAGAAGCATCTTCCAGGATCACGGCCTTCCCGCGGGACACACCAAGCCCATTCCGGATCTTGCTCTTCCTGACCATGGCTGGCAGGCTGTGGAGGAGGAGCGGAGAGCAGAAGAAAGGAGTATTCATCAGGTTCCTTATTGTGCTGCCACTAGATGCCAGGCATGTGCTAGGCTTGGGGGCTGCAAGGAGAGGAAGACAGCGGCCCTGCCCTCTGCTAGCAGGCAGAACCGAGTTCTGGCCACACTGTGAAGAAAGGCAGAAGCCTGCGGTGGCAGCTGGTTAAGCTCAGAGGGAGGGAAAGGGAGAGGAGAATGGATTTCACGGAGCAGAAGGATGTGCTCAAGGTGACCTTGGAGAATAAAGGGGAGAGCTCCAGGGACAGAGAAGCAGTCGACTGTGGAAAAAAAAGGAGCATTTTGTAAAGTACATGGCAGGTTGGGGTTGGCTGGCTCAAAGGGCTTGGGACGGATGTGGTGAGATGGGCTGAAGGTGGTCTGAAGATCAAGATTGAGAGACTAGATACATAACAACCAACTGCAATGTTTGGTCCTTCATTGAATGGTTGAACAAACCAGCTGTGAAAGACATTTTGGGACATACAGACATGGACTGAGAATTAGACATAAGAAAATTATTTTGTTAACTGTTATCATGGTTAACAAAACGGTCATATAATATGATTATGTAGAGAAGTTACTCTAGTTTTTCCTCTTTTTTTTTCTTTATTCTCCTATCAGCCAATGCATTTGTTACAGGAAAGGGGTCCCAATCCAGACCACAAGAGAGGGTTCTTGGATCTCATGCAAGAAAGATTCAGGGCGAGTCGCAGTGCAAAGTATAAGCAAGTTTATTAAGAAAGTAAAGTGGTGAAACAACAGCTGCTCCATAGACAGAGTAGGATGTTCCCCAAAGTAAGAGGAGGGGCTAGGCGCAGTGGCTCACCACACCTGTAATCCCAGCATTTTGGGAGGCCTAGGCAGGTGGATCACCTGAGGTCAGGAGTTCGAGACCAGCCTGGCCAACACGGTGAAACCCCGTCTCTACTAAAAATACAAAAAGTAGCTGGGCACAATGATGTGTGCCTGTAGTCCCAGCTACTCAGGAGGCTGAGGCAGGAGAATCACTTGAACCCAGGAGGCAGAGGTTGCAGTGAGCAGAGATCGTGTTGCTGCATGCCATCCTGGGCAACAAGAGTGAAACTCCGTCTCTCTTTTTTTTTTTTTTTTTTTTGAGACGGAGTCTCGCTCTGTCACCAGGGTGGAGTGCAGTGGTGCCATCTTGGCTCACTGCAACCTCCGCCTCCCGTGTTCAAGTGATTCTCCTGCCTCAGCCTCCCAAGTAGCTGGGACTACAGGCACGCACCACTACGCCCAGCTAATTTTTGTGTTTTTAGTAGAGATGGGGTTTCACCATATTGGCCAGGATGGTCTCCATCTATTGACCTCGTGATCCGCCCCCTCAGCCTTCCAAAGTGCTGGGATTACAGGCGTGAGCCACTGTGCCCGGCAAAACTCTGTCTCAAAAAAAAAAAGTAAGAGGAGGAACACATTCACCCTCGGTATAATGCTTGTATATATGGAGAGATGTGCTCTGCTACAAAAGTTTGTGATAAAGGATTAATTTTCTTAATTACTGTATTTTGTAAGAATCGATATTATCTTTTTTATTATTATTAATTTGTTTCCTTAACCATAAACATCTAGGTTTTTTGTTTTTGTTTTTGTTTTTGAGATGGAGTTTTGCTCTTGTTGCCCAGGCTGGAGTGCAGTGGCACAACTCACCACAACCTCTGCCTCCCAGGTTCAAGAGATTCTCCTGCCTCAGCCTCCTGAGTAGCCGGGATTACAGGCATGCGCCACCATGCCTGGATAATTTTGTATTTTTAGTAGAGCCGATATTGTGCCATTGCACTCCAGCCTGGGCAACAGAGCGAGACTCTGTCTCAAAGAAAAAGAAAGAAAGATGAAAATGTTGTGGAGATGGATGGTGCTGATGGTTGCACAATGTGTATGTACTCAATGTCCCTGAATTTTATGTTATATATATTTTACTACACACATACACACAAAGAATGGCCCACTTCTACAGCCTGGAAAGTTGACACAGAGCTCCATGTGTTTGCTGGGGTGCAGGATAGAGGGGCCTCTTAGTGGGAAGTGGCTGATCTCAGACCTGGCCCTTCACATCCTTCAGATCCCCCAGCACCTGTTCCAAGTGCCTGACATCCAGATATGCCACCAAGCCGTCCTGGCTGGCCCAGGCTGCTGCCTCTTGGTTGCCTGGCACCAGTTGGTGGTAGGTGTGCTGAGGCGGGGACCCTTGTCCCTCCACACCAAGCAAAGCCAGCTTTCCCTCCAGCTTCACCACGCCTCCACCTAGGCCCAGCGACACAGCATGGGGGCCACAGATGTCTCAAGCAAACCTGCAGCCTTCTGAGAGCATGTAGGCATCAGCCAGACCCAGTGCCATGCACAGCAGCTTGTAGCCTGCATCTAAGCACAGGAAAGGGTGAGGGGATATGAGGAGGGTGAGGGGATATGAGGAAGGTGAGGAAGAAAGAAGGGATCCAGAATCAAGGGAAAAGAACAGTTGAGGAGAGTTGGGAGAGGGGTGAGGAAAAACCGGAAAGTGAGAGACATAGAGGAGGGTGGGAGGCATGGGGAAGGATGGGGGAAGAGGAGGCAAAAATACATGAAGGATCAATGCTTCTTGGGCTTCAGTTTAAAAAACATTTTCTTTAATTTTTGAAAAATAGGTGTAAGAGAGGAGTGGGGAGAGGGAAGAGGAAGAGATAGGGATGGGAGGGAAGAAGGAAACAAGGATGCATCATCAAAGCCATCCCCCCACTGGGAGGGTAAGGAGAGTGGTGGATAAAATTCAAGGTCCAGAGGTTGGGTCTGAAATGGGGGCCTGAAATTTAAGTCCAGAGGCCTCAGCTTTGGATAAGGATAGAGGCACGGTGCTTGATGGCATCTCTCAGATCGCAGGGTGAAGGAGGGGCTGCACCTGCGCGTTTGCAGGTCCTGCTGGCAGAAAAGCTCATAGACCATCCCGCAGGGCTCTCCAGAGAGTAGGTTATATGCCCCAGCACCAGCACTGAGTGCAGCCCCCAGGGGAGTACTGTGCACGGGCTCCATGGCGACATCACCACTATGTATTTACTGGTTGGTGGAGACTGGGGAACACAAAGGAGTCTCCAGGCCAGGCGCGGTGGCTCACGCCTATAATCCTAGCACTTTGGGAGGCCGAGGCGGGTGGATCACCTGAGGTCAAGAGTTTGAGACCAGCCTGGACAACACAGTGAAACCCCATCTCTACTACAAATACAAAAATTAGCCAGGTGTGGCCAGGGCGGTGACTCACGCCTGTAATCCCAGCACTTTGGGAGGCCAAGGCAGGCGGATCACGAGGTCAGAAGTTCGAGACAGCCTGACCAACGTGGTGAAACCCCGTCTCCACTAAAAAATACAAAAATTAGCCGGGCATTGTGGCGCACGCCTGTAATCCCAGCTACTCAGGAGGCTGAGGCAGGAGAATCACTCTAACCCCGGGAGGCGGCGGTTGCAGTGAGCTGAGAACACGCCATTGCACTCCAGCCTGGGCAACAGAGCGAGACTCTGTCTCAAAAAAAAAAAAAAATTAGCCGGGCGTGGTGGTGCACACCTATAATCCCAGCTACTCAGGAAGCTGAGGCAGGAAAATTGCTTGAACCTGGAAGGCAGAGGTTGCAGTGAGTCAAGATCATGCCACTGCACTCCAGCTTGGGCAACAGAGTGAGACTCCATCTCAAAAAAAAAAAAAAAGGAGTCTTCCAGTCACTGGGTGGCCATCTCTGCTCCAACTTTTTGGGGGAGGCCACACCCTTCATAATTGGCAAGACTACATTACCATGGTATCCAGAAGAACATATTGCCAAAGTCCCTTTTTTATCTCACTTCCAGGAAAGTGGGGCTCAGAGAGGTAAAGCCACTCACTCAGGGTCAACAGATCAACCTGCACGTAAGAATCTGGGTCTTTTTTTTTTTTTTTTTGAGATGAAGTCTCACTCTGTCACCCAGGCTGAAGTGTAGTGGCACTCAGCTCCCCAAAACCTCCGCCTACCAGTTTCAAGTGATTCTCCTGCCTCAGCCTCCCGAGTAGCCGGGATTACAGGCTGTAGCCCGCCACCACACCTAGCTAATTTTTTTAATTCTTTTTTATTTTTTTCCGACAGAGTTTCGCTCTTGTTGCCCAGGTTGGAGTGCAATGGCGCGATCTCAGCTCACTGCAACCTTTGCCTCCCAGGTTCAAGCGATTCTCCTGCCTCAGCCTCCTGAATAGCTGGGATTATAGGTGCCCACCACCACGCTGGCTAACTTTTTGTATTTTTAGTAGAGACGGGGTTTCACCATGTTGGTCAGGCTGGTCTTGAACTCCTGACCTCAAGTGATCCACCTGCCTTGGCCTCCCAAAGTGCTGGGATTACAGGCGTGAACCACCACACCCTGCCAGGGTCTTGATGTACCACTCCAGTGCTGTCACACCTGCCGCCAGCAAGAAGCTCTCTGAGGCCAGAAGCCCTGGTGTGAGACCTGGTTCTGCTGCTCATGAATGGGGTGACCTCTCTCCCTGAGCCTCAGCTTTCTCCCAGTTGAGTAGGAGGGAAACAACTCCCTTCCCCACCTCACAGGGCAGTTGTGAGGATCACAGAATAAACTAAGGGAATTGGTTTTATTACTTTAAGAATGGTGGCCAGGCCGAGTGCAGTGGCTCATGCCTGTGACCTAGCACTTTGGGAGGCTGAGGTGGATGGATAGCCTGAGCTCAGGAGTTTGAGACCAGCCTGGACAACACAGTGAAATTCCATCTCTACTAAAATACAAAAAATTAGCCGGGCGTGGTGGCATGCACCTGTAGTCCCAGCTACTCGGGAGGCTGAGGCAGGAGAATTGCTTGAACCTGGGAGGCAGAGGTTGCAGTGAGATCACAGCACTGCACTCCAGCCTGGGTGACAGAGCAAGACTCCATCTCAAAAAAATAAAAAAATAACAGAAAAATGGTGGCTGGGCACAGTGGCTCACACCTGTAATACCAGCACTTTGGGAGGCTGAGGCGGGCGGATCACCTGAGGTCAGGAGTTCAAGACCAGCCTGACCAACATGGACAGGCCCCCGTCTCTACTAAAAATACAAATTAGCTGGGTGTGGTGGCACATGCCTGTAATCCCAGCTACTGGGGAGGCTGAAGCAGGAGAATCACTGGAACCCGGGAGACGGAGGTTGCCGTGAGCCAAGATGGTGCCATTGCACTCCAGCCTGAGCAACAAGAGGGAAACTCCGTCCCAAAAAAACAAAACAAAACAAAACAAAAAAAAGGAACGGTAAGGCTTGGCTGGATGTGGTGGCTCACACCTGTAATCCCAACACTTTGAGAGGCTGAGGTAGGAGCCCAGGAGTTCGAGATCAGCCTGGGCAAGACGGTAAAACCCCATCTCTATAAAAACAAAAACGGTCGGACGCAGTGGCTCACACCTGTAATCCCAACACTTTGGGAGGCCGAGGCGGGTGGATCACCTGACGTCAGGAGTTCAAGACCAGCCTGGCCAACATGGCGAAACCCTGTCTCTACTAAAAATACAAAAAAATTAGCTGGGCATGGTGGCATGTGCCTGCAGTCCTAGCTACTCGGGAGGCTGAGGCAGGAACATTGCTTGAAACCGGGAGACGGAGCCTGCAGTGAGCCGAGATCATGCCACTGCACTCCAGCCTGGGCAACAGAGCAACACTCCTGGATCAGCCCATCTGCCAGCGTTTTGAGGTCCTTCTCCAAAGACCTCAAAAAACAAACAAAAAAGAATGATGAGGCTTTATCATACCCTGTTTTCAGACTCATGGGAATTAAAATGATTTTGCTTTGAGAAATATCTGGATACCCCACCCCAACTGACATAGCCAAGGTAGGGGTGGGAGGGACAATCCAGCCTCCTTCTGCCCCTCACACTCACCTTGGCCTTGGCCTTGGCCTAGACCCCCCAATTCAAGCCCCAAGGTCTAGCTCCTCTGGCAACCCCACACTCCAGCCCCACCCCCACCAGGATCTGTCCTCAGGGCCCGCCTCAATTCCTTTCCCCATTTCTTGGGCCCCTAGTTCCTGACCTCTGGCCCCTCATTGTCACTCCTGTCCCAGTCTCTTCCCAGCCAGTGCCATCATTAACAACGAGGTCCATCCAAATGCCCAGCTGGTGAGTGGGCAGGATGAACAGCTCCAGCCCATCCTGCTTGAGAGCCTCGTCCAGGTTCATGTCTTGTTTATGCACTCCCTTGGCCAGGATCTTAGCTGCTGTGTGGTTCTGGCCCAGAACCAGGCACAGGAGCACAGAGGTATCTACCTGAGAGTCACAGAGCCTCACAACTAAAGTTTTTCCTAGGATGGAACAGAGATAAACATAGGAGAAATGACAAAGAGGTGATGCTGGGACTGGGTGGTTATCTCAGGTTTCTGTTCCTTGGGACTAAAAGGCCAAGAGGCCTAGGCAGGGGCTCAGGAAAAATTCATTCATGTATTAATCCATGTATGGGGAGCCTAAACATGGAGATAAGTAAGACATGTCCCTGCCTTCAGGGTGCTTACAACCTTATAGGCACAGACAAAAAATACAGTGTGGTGAGAGGGCTATGACAAAGAGAACCCCTGGGTTCTGGAAGCTGCCTAGCACAGGCTGGGGGATGCAGTGGGGCAGCAGAGGACCTGAGATACCTGCCAAAGAAGAAGGGCCTGTGGCAGACTCACCCAGGCTGTTCTCAAATTTGTTGGGTTGTTCCCCATGGATGTGGTCTTGCAGCCCAGGGAACTAGGGGTGAGGAGTGCTGGCACCCCTCGGTAGAGCCCAGACCAGTTTCTCCTGCCCTCACCAATTTCAGGCTCCCATTCCCAGATCCCAGCCAGACCCGCTGGTCGTCCTGACACCCTCACCGTTCACACACACACACATGCCCCTCATCTGACAACTTTGACCTTCACTACCCTCTGCTTTCTCCTTCATTCCCTCTGGAGAGAGAATTCCCTCTGAACACTCCTGCAGTTCCCCCCTGCTTCCCAACAGCTCCCTCACCTGGCAGCCCAGGTACTGCTTTGTCGCCTCCTGGATCAGCCCATCTGCCAGCATTTTAAGGTCCTTGGAGAAGCTGACATTGCACTTAGACCCGTTCTTTTCCTGGAGCAGCAGCTGGAATAGTGGTGCCTCCTGCTGGCAGCATTGGCCACTGCCAGAAACAGGGCCTGTAATGAGGACCCACCATGGGCCCAGAGAGGGAGCAGTAGGTGAGAACTCAGGGAAGAGGTGGGGACCCCAGGGAGGCCAAGAATGAAGATAAGCAGCAGCTTGCACCCAGTGGAGTTGTAGAGCTGGCCTGCCATGAGGAGAGAGGGGACAGATTGGGGATAAGCAGGAGGGAGGCCAGAGGCAAAGGAAGACATAACCCCAAATGATTCTTAGAGTCCCCCAGTTGTATCCTGCCACACTGCCCCCCACCCCAAACGCAAACTCTTTGGCCCCCTTCTCCCAACTCCCAACTTCTCTTAGAGGGCCTTGGGGCTAAAGAGGTTAACAAGACTGCCAAGTGATCCCGGCAAGATAATTATAGGATTTAGAAGGTGGTGTGGGAGAGGACAGTAATTACAGTGACATCCTCTCTGGAGCTGCAGGATTTGTGGGCAGAGGACTGGAAGGGGTCCACTCTACTAACACACCACCCCCTAGCCCAGAATAGCCTCCCCACTCCCCCAGAGGCACATGCAGGGAGAGCAGGAGAGCCGGGGAGTAAGCCTCTCCCCTCTGCTACATCTCAACGAGATGTAGCCCCTCCCCTCCTTAGAAAGCCCTGCAGTGCCAAAGAATGAGTCCACTGACCCTCAAAATAGAAACTTTAGGAGAAAAAAGGAAGAAGAGATAGGATTAGGGATCCTCCCTAGGGAGGGGAGAAAAATAGCTACTCCCCACTGAGCCTAGCTCTGATAGACAAGGCAGTTTGGGTGTGGAGGTGGCCATTGTGGTGAAGGTGCAGGGTGGCGGGAGTCCCCCCTTACAGGGTTCCCTTACAATGGTTCCCCTGTTCTGGCAGCAGCACTTCTGATCATGGTCCAGGCAACTCTGGCCTCAGACCCCGGTGACAGGCTCCAGGGAGCTGCAGCTCTTCCTGAGGATATAGCAGACCATCTACCCAAGCACCTCTCTCTCTAGCAGGTCTTGAAACCTCATACCCTCCCCCGGAACACAGCCTCCTTCTCTCCCGGCAGCTCATACATTTTAAGCCTAAATGCCTCCCTTAGGCTGCGACCCACATTTGCTATGAACCAGTCAGGACCTTGAAGAAGGCGGGCCTGAAGGTTGCCTGGGTAACTCTGGGAGAGGGGCACCCTTGGCAGGAAGACAGTTGCCAGGGAGACTAGGACAGTGGGCGGGGCCCCAAACCTAAGCATGTACTAGGATAAGGAAAGATCTAATGTCCAGATCCCCCCGAACTTATTTTCCGTAAAGCCACCAGTGCCCCATTTTTAGGGAGTCTGGGGCAGCTGGAGTTCTGAAGCTCCTAAAAGAAACCTCCCAGGGGTTAATTCCTGAAACTCAGGGGATCCCAACAGGACCAAACCTGAGGGAACTCAAGGAAATAGGCAAGATCTGGGAGGCGCTGGGGAAAGGACAAGGCTTAATGCATTATGATATGGAACTTTTCGAACTAAAATTCTAAAATGAAAATGTACAACGTATGCAAAAATAAAACCCTTAAGCCGTGCTTTCAGTTCCACCTCCGAGGAGCTGATATTCCAGATTCTACCATCAGATGGCAGTCTTGTCCACTTATTGGATTAAGTTTAGTCTTGGAAACTGAGGAGGCTATCAGGAGATAGAAAACCTTTCTGTCTCAAATGTTCCTGACTCCAATTCCCTGTATTTGGCAGATACCAATAACCCCTCATATATACAAATACACTGTCTTCTTTCCCCCACCCAACTCTTATCAAGTTCACTTAGCAGGCCTCATTCATTCTTTATTCAAAGCTGTTAAGGAATACTTTGGTGAAAAAGTTCCTGCTCTCTCTGGTCTCCCAAGGTGAGCGTTGTAAGTTGGGGTAACAGTAATAACTAATGCATTTAGAACAGTTTTTCAGACATTTAATCTTCATAACCTTATGAAATAGGTACAATATTGTTATCCTTGGCCAGGTACAGTGGCTCACGCCTGTAATCCCAGCAATTCGGGAGGCAAGGCGGGTGGATCACTTGAGGTCAGGAGTTCAAGACCAGCCTGGCCAACATGGTGAAACCCTGTCTCTACTAAAAATACAAAAATTAGCCAGGCTTGGTGGCGCGTGCCTGTAATCCCAGCTATTCGGGCGGCTGAGGATAGGAGAATCGCTTGAACCTGGGAAGTGGAGGTTGCAGTGAGCCGAGATCTCGCCACTGTACTTCAACCTGGGCGACAAAGCAAGACTCCGTCTCTCTCTCTCTCTATATATATATATAATTATTCCCATCTTACAGGTGAGGAATCTGAGGTATAAAGAGGTTTAATAACTTGTCCAAGTTTACACAACCAGAAAAGGGAGAGAGCTGGGACTTGAACCCAGCCAGCCTACTTCTAGTCTAGAAGCTAGGCGATTATCTCCATACCTCACAGAATGGTGCAGATATATCTGGGAGAAGCAACTACTCTAGACCCGAAGTCAGGAAGGGATTCTTGGATGGGATCTATGCTGAGACCTGAAGAAAGAGTAAACTTGGCCAAGAGATTGGTGGGTGGAAGAGAGTGGAAGTAGTAGGGGGAATTGTTCTAGGAAGAAGAAACAACCTGTGCAAAGATTCAGAAATGGTCAAGAGGACAAGGGTGAAACAAGACATTCAGATTTCTAGCCTGGATGATTGTCATTCACTAAAATGAAAAGCTGCAGGATGGGACACATTTTAGGGAGAAAGAAGGGGTTCTCTAACCTGTGATATTTGAAGTGCCATGAAACATCCAGATTGAGATATGCAGGAGGCATCTGGCCTAGAGTTCTGGCTGGTCCTGTTTACTTAATGTCTTCTTTTCTTTTCTTTTCTTTTCTTTTCTTTTCTTTTTCTTTTCTTCTTTTCTTTTCTTTCTTCCTTCCTTCTTTTTTTTTTTTTTTTTTTTTTGTTTGACAGAGTCTTGCTCTGTCGCCCAGGCTGGAGTGCAGTGGCATGATCTTGGCTCACTGCAACCTCCGCCTTCCAGGTTCAAGTGATTCTCCCATCTCAACCTCCTGAGTAGATGGGACTACAGGCGCATATCACCATGCCCAGCTAATTTTTGTATTTTCAGTAGAGACGGGGTTTCACCATGTTGGCCAGGCTGGTCTCGAACTCCTGACCTCAGGTGATCCACCCACCGTGGCCTCCCGAAGTATTGGGATTACAGGCGTGAGCCACCGCGCCCGGCCTACCTAGTGTCTTTTCTAGTTTATATGTTCTCTGAGGAAAGGAGCTGAGTCTTACTTACTTTTGCATCTCATTTATCTTTGTACCTGCCACTAGATACATGTTTGGTGAGGAAGTGAAGCCTGTACTACCTTCTCTAAGGGAGAAGAAGGAGGTGACACCAACTTTGCTCTCACAGCCTTTCCAATTTTGCTGAAGAAATGACAGAGAAACATTTTAGAAAATAGGATATGCCAGAATATGTGCTAAAGGCAATCGCTGCTCTGGAAAATCAGAAAGGAAAGGAAGAATCATGAAGGAGAAGAAGCCCATGAAGGCCACTATTGATTGCTTATATGTAATCCCCACAACCAGTTAAGGGTAGGAATTGTGGCCCCATATTATAGATTAAGAAACTTGATGAAATGCTGAAATGCCCATGTCTTGGTTGAAAGCAAGGGAGGGAACAAGCTAAGTTTTTGTTCCAGTCTGTTTTGTTTTCAGTTTCTGTTACCCATGGAAATGGATTGTCTCTTCAAAGCTCCCCAGCTTGGTCCTCCTAACCCCTACCCAACCTCCTCCCCTCATACCTGGATCCCCAGTTTCTTCCCTTATTTTACTCCAGTTCCTCAACCCAACTCTATCCTTATGTCTGGTGCTCCTGATGCCTATGCCAAGCCAACTTTAAGATATGTTATTGGGCTTTAATTCCAGAGAGGAAACCAATGCCCCTCTATTCTGAGAAGCCCAATAATAAAGTTCATCCATTTATTAAATAAACATTGTGAATGCCAGGAAATTAGCAAGACCTGATTCCTTCAAACATTTTCTTTTCTTTTCTTTTTTTTTTTTTTTTGAGACGGAGTCTCACTCTGTCGCCCAGGCTGGGGTGCAATGGCGCGATCTCGGCTCACTGCAAGCTCCGCCTCCCAGGTTCACGCCATTCTCCTGCCTCAGCCTCCCCAGCAGCTAGGACTACAGGCACCCGCCACCACGCCCGGCTAATTTTTTGTATTTTTAGTAGAGACAGGGTTTCACCGTGTTAGCCAGGATGGTCTCGATCTCCTGACCTCGTGATCCGCCCACCTCGGCCTCCCAAAGTGCTGGGATTACAGGCGTGAGCCACCGCGCCTGGCCTGGCACAAACATTTTCCATTTGACTATTGCTCCAGGGCTTTCAGATCCAGAAATAAGCCTGGAAAACCTGAAGTCAGAAGTTAAGCACATTCAAAACATTTTTTCACCTTAGTACTGTTTTACTCTGCTCTCTGACTGCCCAGGATCACACCTGAAGACTAGGGCTGGTCCCACATCTGTATTTCATCTCGTGCATCTGAGCGCAGACTTCTTTCCCATGCTCACCCTTGCAACCTCCAGCCCCTTCTCAGACTTCTAAGACCCTGCAGATCCAAAGATATAGCTAGAAATCCAGAGATCTAGATTTCTCCCCAAGTATAACAGCCTCCAGCCATCTCCTCTCACCCTTCCCCCAGTGGCCTCTAGCTCCTGCCTTTTCCAGCCGGCTGACTACATTAGCCCTGTTAAGCCCCAGTTTCAAGCTCACAGTCTTCCCAGCTCTATGTCTTCCCTCTGTTTCAGTTCTTCCCATCACCTCTCCACCTTCTTAGGTTGTCCCTGACCTCTTCCTCTCCTAGTCCCCTTAATCCCTCTGATGAGCCTAGCCTGGTGCTTCCTTCCATGGCTTCCTTGAGCATCTTCTTTGGGCTACCTCTGGTGGCTAGAGCTCCTCTGGTCTCAAGTTCTCCACCTCTGTCCCCTGGGCTCTCTGTGCTCCCACCAAGGCTGACTCTTGTGGCTCCTTCTCTCAGGAGTTTCTGCCTTTCCTCTCCCCCACCCCCAATCCCCTGCACCTGCCTCCTCAGGGGCTCCCTTGTTGTCTCCCTGTCTGTGCCCCTCTCTCTCCTCCCCCATCCTGATTTCTCTCCCCCCCACCCCCCCCCCCACCCCTTTCCCAGGGCACTCTTCTGTCCTCTGTTCCTCTGCCGCTGTTCCCATCTCCATGACCCCCGATCTCTTCTGGTCTGGCTCTGTAGACCTCTGTCTCCCCCTATCTAGTGGTACCCCTCTTCTCCCCATTTTTGTCTCCACTCTAACTCTCCCACTAGTTGTCCCAGTCTTCCTCCTTCTTGGTTCTGTGTCTCCCACAGACACACAATTTCCCTCTCTAGCTAAGTCTCTCACCTCTGCGTCTTCCCCCTGACTCTTCTTTTCCTCCTTTGTCTCTCCCTCTCTCCTCCTCCTTTTCCTATCTCTGTCTCTTCCCCCTTATCTCTCTGATTCTCCTTGGTCTCTCTGGCTCTGACTTTCCCTCTATATCCGCCCCCCCGCCCCCTCATATCTCTGTCTCTTCATCTCTCTCTGGCCCTTGCTCCCTCATTCCCTCCCTCTCTCTATTCCTCGGCTCTCTCCGGCTCCCTCTCTCGCCTCGGATGACAGCGCTGCCTCTTTTGTTGGCTCCGCAGCCAATCGCGGCCGCTGACGACACGGGGGCCGGGGCTATAAAGGGCCTGGCCCGGGCTCGGGCCCCCCCAGCCGCCCGCCCCGGCCGCCCGCCCGCCCCGCCCGCGCGCCCGCCGCCCCCGGCCCCCCGGGTCCCCCCTCGGCCGGGCAGCCCCCAATCCCGCGCCGCCCGGACCCCCTCCTCCTCCCTCCCTCCTCCCTCCGCCCCCTCCCCGCGGGACTCCGGCGTCCCCGCCCCCCAGTCCTCCCTCCCCTCCCCTCCAGCATGGTGCTCGCGGCCCCGCTGCTGCTGGGCTTCCTGCTCCTCGCCCTGGAGCTGCGGCCCCGGGGGGAGGCGGCCGAGGGCCCCGCGGCGGCGGCGGCGGCGGCGGCGGCGGCGGCAGCGGCGGGGGTCGGGGGGGAGCGCTCCAGCCGGCCAGCCCCGTCCGTGGCGCCCGAGCCGGACGGCTGCCCCGTGTGCGTTTGGCGGCAGCACAGCCGCGAGCTGCGCCTAGAGAGCATCAAGTCGCAGATCTTGAGCAAACTGCGGCTCAAGGAGGCGCCCAACATCAGCCGCGAGGTGGTGAAGCAGCTGCTGCCCAAGGCGCCGCCGCTGCAGCAGATCCTGGACCTACACGACTTCCAGGGCGACGCGCTGCAGCCCGAGGACTTCCTGGAGGAGGACGAGTACCACGCCACCACCGAGACCGTCATTAGCATGGCCCAGGAGAGTAAGTGGGCTGCGGGGCGCGAGCAGTGGGGTGCTGGCTCTGGCCCCGCGAAGGGCGCCTTCTGCTCCAAGCGGGGCGCTCCCTGCTGCCCCGGCCCGGAAGCTTTTTCTGCGAAAACTTGACGAATTAGGGAGCGGGGGCTACTTCATAGAAGTTTTCCGAGCGGTGGAGATGGGCTGCAAAGTTGTATGCACGCCTAGTTCCCGGAGGTTGGGGCGGGGGAAATGGGGCGGGTTTCGAGATAGTGCCTTCCACCCCCAGTATGCTAAAAAGATCCTTGTTGGAGTCCGGGGAAGCTGGGGCTGGGCAGTGACTCTGTCCTGAAAAGCCGTGGTGGGGAGGCTGGAGAACAGAATCGGGAGGCTGCAGGACCCCCGCAGCCCCAGCTGGACTGCAGTGCTCTCTGCTTCCCAGTGGCCCTGGCGGTAACTCCCCACTCCGTGCTCCGTTCGCAACGTGCCCAACGGGTTGCAGAGAACTGTGTGCTTTCTCCCAAGAATAGGGTCCCAGAGCCCTGTACACCTCCTGGCAGCCCAGCTGGCACCCTTTCCATCCTGACCCCTGTCTCAGACCGGGTATCCCAAGGGGTCGGAAAAGCTGTGCCTTCTTGATACTGACCGAGCTCGGAGAGCTCAACTCCATTGCGCTGGGGGCTAAGGACACTCATTGGCTACTCAAACCTTAGTGTTCCATCCCTTATTCGCCCACCCCTACCGCAGGTGGACTTGAGAGAGACGAAGACCTAGGAAAAAAGAGAAAGTAGTAGATGGGGGAGCAGGAACCCAGGCATCCGAGCCCCTGACCAAACGGAAGATGAACATATAATAGACATGAGCTGCTTTGAAATTTTATGGCCTGGAAAATCCAGGCGAATACTACACCCCCCCTTTTCCAGCTCTCCTTAGGGTCAGGTGACTCCTTCTCCTCCCCCACTGAGGTCTCCCCCCCTCCCCAACTACAGGGAACCAGGCCTCTCTTATTCCCTAGTGGTTTGGCAAGGTTCCCCCCTTCCCACAGCCCCCTGCAACACACACAGAGTTTGGTTTTATGGCTGTGAACAGAAGACGGGGGAGACTGGTTTATTGGCAGATGGGTCATAAAAAGCTGGGGGCTGAGGGGAGTCCCAGTGGCCCACCCCCATGGGAGAGGCACAGGAACCCAGGTGTGCATCTGGGAGGCTGAGTGCCTCACACTGCCCCTGGTATTTCTGCAGACCTCAATTCCACAAGACTTGGTCAGGGCTGTTAAACTCAAAGAACCAGGAAACTGGCTGTGGGGGTGGGAGGTATGGGGATCCGGTCTGGGGTTCCTCAGTTTCCCTTCTATTCTTAAGCCTTCTGCTTATGGAAGCTAGGGTCAGTCTCAGATCGACTGAGGGCAGGGGTAGGGGGTGGGGTTTCTAGGAAACAGAGTTATAGAGGAATTCAGATCAAGAGTTTGCTGGAAGATGAAGGTTACAGAGGGAAAAGATACTCTAGTCTCTGTGGTGTAGTGTGTGTGAAGATTTCCAGGATGGGTGATGGGGCTGTGGACTTCTCCTTGCCCCTAAATATCCTTAGCATCCCTTAACCAACAGGCCTGAGCCCACCAGAGTTAGCTCTGGTAATGGGGATACACGAAGTGAAGGGACCCTGCCTTCATGAGTTGGGCTGTGCAGGTGAGGCCTGGGTCGGTGGGAAGGGGACACCAGCTGGTAGGATCCCATCAAAACTTACAGTCCCGTGCCACCCCAGGACTTGTACAAGTAGGGAACTGGGTCTCCGGCCAGGTATTGTACGTCCCCTTTAAGAGCCTAGCTGAGCTCTTAAGAGAGGGAGGGGGAGTGGAGGGGAGGGGAGGGAGAGAGGGGAAAAGGAAAAAGAGACTTTTATAGTCTAATCCCCAGGGACCCGCTTTAATAAGAGACTTGTGCTCTGCTAATCGGGGGAGGTGTTTGTCAGCAGAGATGGCCTCCGTTCCCCTCCCCCTCCCTCCCCTCCCCCAGCCCTCAACCCTGGACCCCAGCCCCCACCTCTCCTAGGCTGCTCTGCCTGCCCTAGTTCCCTCTACCCTCTCAGGCTCTCCCACCAAGCCTTCATCCTGGGAACCCAGCCCCCTGCCCTTCTGGGAGCCAAGCCCAGCCCGAGTTTCTCTCTCCTCCCCACACCAAGAGGCCCCTGCCCTCTCAGCCCAACCTCCTGCCCTTAGGCCTTCCAGCCATGGTTGGGAGTGTGTGTGTTTGGGGGGGTTAGGGTGGGGGGAAGGGGAGGTGGTGTGCAGGGAGGGGGTTGGGCATTTGCTGAAAATAGTGCAGTGACCTCTCTCTCCCACCAGCGCCGCCTACTAAACCTGACCTGCTGCCTGCCACCAGCCCGATCAATTCAACACAGATGTGGCCCCTTTTCCTCCCCATCAGAGCTCGGCATATGTGTGCTGGGTACTCTCTCGAGCCCCGTTTCCCTCTGTGGCTCTACCTGCTTCTCCTTTGTTCCTCAGTCTGTACCCTTTCTATCCTTTCTCTCCTTTACCCCACTAGGTTTAGCTTCCTCCCACCTTTAGCTTTCTAACCATCACCCACTCCTTTCTATCACTGCCTCTGCATCAGGATTCTCAAACTCTCAAACTTATTCTCCCTTTGCCATGATTATCCCCTGCATCTTTCCACTCTAACTTCTATTTCTCTCCCTATATCTACTAATATGCCTTCAACTCTTAACAGTCTCTTCTCTATTATCTCCCTCACCATCTCCAGTCTCTCCCCTGGCTCTTCTCCCTGCTCTTTTCTTTCTCCCTATGTTCTACCTCCTTGTAGCACTGACTGTCCCCTGTCCACTGGGACAAGTATGTGGAACCAAAGACTTAGATGTAGCCCTCATCTTCAAACCCTGGATCAGCTTAGGTAGAGGGAGGGTTATGTTTAGAGCTTAGTAGAGAATGCGAAAATAGTAGTAGCTTCTCAATAAATGTTGGTTTGTTTGTTTCCTATTTTCACATTCTCTAGTTAATGCTCAGCACTCATGTGAAGCAAGAATTATTATTATCTGTATCACACTGAGAAGTTTGGTGAGTAAGGTTAGATAGTGGTTAGTAAGGAATCAGGCAGTGATTAAACCCACTTCAATTATAGCCAAAGAACAGAATTTAGATGCCAGGAAGAACTTTCAGGCACTTGCCTGTATAATTTAAGATTGGGAGTTTAGGGAGTTCATTCACCATGTATTTATTGAGTGCTGTCTAGCACTATGGGAGGCACTGAAGCTACAATGGTGAGCAAAACAGACACAGTATGAATAACAACAGTGTCCACTCTCATGGAGATTAGTACCTAATGGCAAGAAAATAGACAATTCTTATGCTGAAATTTGTAAAGTATGCTATTTGGGATGTTGCTTGTCACTCCCCATCTCACTAGTAGCTTCCCTATCCCAGCTACTTCTGATCTCTGAATTCTCACCCCCCAAACCCTACTCCATTGCACCATCACTGAAGCTCCAGCCAGTAAAATAACTGGACTACCAGGGCCCTGGGACCTCAGAGAATAATCAAGAAAAAAAAAAGCTATAGAGACTTTGGGTATCATATCCTGAATATATGAAGTTCATTAAGCACTTTCTCCTCATCTCCCTTAGAAGGTCCTCTTTCTCCCAGGGTGGGGGTGGGGAAGAGCTGACAGGACACCCTAAGTCCATCCTGATTTTGCAGAACTCAAGACATGGGGAGGATACTTAAAGGCCTAGACTTCCTAACCCTGCTTATATGGCTCTGGAAGCTCATTCCTGATTCTTCCTATCTAGAGTCAGGATAGACATATTCTGTCCAATGGAGACATGTTGTAGGACACTCCCAACTGACTTAGGAAAGGCAGTGAAGAGGAGCTGGAATGGAGGCAGAGGCAGATATTTATTGAGAATCATCTATTAGACCCAAGAAGGATCAATTTAAGGTCCAGAGCAAGGGGAAATGGGTCAAAATGTAAAGTTGGGATGTTCAAACTTTGTAAAGACCTACTGGCACTAGACTGAGAAGTCAAAGGAAGCTCAGGGGAGAAAAAAGGCATTGTAGTTAATCTGGTGTATTTAATATTATTTCTGGTGCTTTAGGCAAATAGGAGGCAACACCATGGAGGTAATTATTCCTTTCCTCAAGAGCTGGGGGCAGTCATGGTGATGATGATGGAGCAGCAGCTGAAGAAACTTCTTAAGAGAGAATGGGGAGACAGATGTATAGGAAGTGCTTGGATAGTTCCATTTTGCTGGGTGTTATTCCTAATGGGAGTGAGGCAAGAAGCCTAGATCTGAATTCTGGTTTACATAATGGGATAAATTTAGCTCATGCTCCCTATCTGGACCCTGGGTTATCCCCTCTCTGAGGCCATCTGTGTTATTTTGTGGGGGAGGGATGTGCCAGGCTCTACCTGTCCAGCAGATAAATCAGAGCAGATAGGGGAAAGGTGATGGAAGGGCAGCAGGTGTGATAAGAGGTATGGCTTCTATAAAGAGCTTCAAAGATTCAGAAAATGTTGGAGCCTTATATGCTGGGAAAAGTTGGACAGTAAGGATGGTGGTGGATGAATAATTTTGCAGGTTATCTGGTAGACAGGAACCTATATATTAGGGCAAATGGATTAGGAAATGGACACAGATCAGTAAGGCCTTATAGGGCCATCATCCTAAAGAGGAAGTGCTGTTTTAGGTACCGGAGACATGGTATAAGATAGGCATGGGAGAAGGGTAAAGAAGAACTGGAAAATCAGGCTGAGAAGTCCAAAATTGCCAGTGCCACCCAGGACTACTGATCCCCTACACAAACACCCTTTGCTGATGCTGTGCCCTTCTCTCTTATCAGCGGACCCAGCAGTACAGACAGATGGCAGCCCTCTCTGCTGCCATTTTCACTTCAGCCCCAAGGTGATGTTCACAAAGGTACTGAAGGCCCAGCTGTGGGTGTACCTACGGCCTGTACCCCGCCCAGCCACAGTCTACCTGCAGATCTTGCGACTAAAACCCCTAACTGGGGAAGGGACCGCAGGGGGAGGGGGCGGAGGCCGGCGTCACATCCGTATCCGCTCACTGAAGATTGAGCTGCACTCACGCTCAGGCCATTGGCAGAGCATCGACTTCAAGCAAGTGCTACACAGCTGGTTCCGCCAGCCACAGAGCAACTGGGGCATCGAGATCAACGCCTTTGATCCCAGTGGCACAGACCTGGCTGTCACCTCCCTGGGGCCGGGAGCCGAGGGGCTGGTGAGCAGGGGGCCTGAGGTGGTGGATATGTGTAACCTGGCCCTGAGGAGATAGGGTTACATTGGAAAAGGTAGACAAGGAATGTGAAGGAGGTTGGGGACCAGCATTACTTCTCTGGGGTCAGCAGCTGATTCTAGAGGAGGAGGTGAGGAGTGGGGTGGCAACTATTACTTCTCAAGGATCCAAATCAGACAACAGCTGAAAACTGGATTTGAAGGTAAAGGTGTCAGTTAATGGAAGAGCTGTGAGAACAAAAAAACTGGCTGTTGAGGCGTTGGGCCAAGGGGCTGACAGGGATCAGGTTGCCAGAAGAGTAAGAATTAGAGATGGTGAGTTGAAGGAGAGCTAGCTAGCTGGCAAGAAAAGTGGGCAAAAGATAAATTCTGGGGGTGGGAGCAATGGAAAAGCTGAGAAGTCAGCAGTCTCTATTCTGATGCCCCTGGCAGGTGGGAAAGGAACAGGGAAGAGGAACTGTTCAGGACCATATCACATTTCTTTCCCCTCTCCCTGACCCTCAGCATCCATTCATGGAGCTTCGAGTCCTAGAGAACACAAAACGTTCCCGGCGGAACCTGGGTCTGGACTGCGACGAGCACTCAAGCGAGTCCCGCTGCTGCCGATATCCCCTCACAGTGGACTTTGAGGCTTTCGGCTGGGACTGGATCATCGCACCTAAGCGCTACAAGGCCAACTACTGCTCCGGCCAGTGCGAGTACATGTTCATGCAAAAATATCCGCATACCCATTTGGTGCAGCAGGCCAATCCAAGAGGCTCTGCTGGGCCCTGTTGTACCCCCACCAAGATGTCCCCAATCAACATGCTCTACTTCAATGACAAGCAGCAGATTATCTACGGCAAGATCCCTGGCATGGTGGTGGATCGCTGTGGCTGCTCTTAAGGTGGGGGATAGAGGATGCCTCCCCCACAGACCCTACCCCAAGACCCCTAGCCCTGCCCCCATCCCCCCAAGCCCTAGAGCTCCCTCCACTCTTCCCGCGAACATCACACCGTTCCCCGACCAAGCCGTGTGCAATACAACAGAGGGAGGCAGGTGGGAATTGAGGGTGAGGGGTTTGGGGGAAAGGGGAAGCAGGGGCATAGTCAGGGTGGGGAGTGTTTGAAGTTTGCAGATGAGAAGGTTTGACAAAAAGACAGAGAGATGTAGAGACAGTGATAGAGACAGAGGAACAAAAAGAGCAGCAGTGAGAAGGCAAAGAGAGAGGCAGAAGAGACAGACGAGGCAGAGACAAAACACTGAGAAAGAGACTGAAATGGAGTAATAAATGAAAGCCCCACACCAAGCCTCCTTTCTTCCACTGGCAAGGTGAGGGGCTTGGTATAGTTTGGGGAGATCCCCTGACTATTCAGTAGGAGAAGAAATCAAAAATCCATTCTTTTCTCCTTCTCTCCCTCCAACAGTGGCCAGGGGAAGGGGAAGTGAGGGCAGGGGCAAAAAGATTTGGGAATTTTTATTTATTTATTTATTGTGACTTTTCATTTTTTTGGTATTTGGCTTTACTGGAATAGGAGGGCCCCTGCCCACTGTGCCCCGTTTATCCCTTATTCCCCAAACCCTGCTCTCCCCAACACCTACTCACTTAAGCACTTGTATAAAGCCTCCAGGGTTGGGAATGGGAGTAAAGGGCAAGAGGGCGGACACATGAAGTTTAGTTTCTAACCCATCATCACCCTAACTCAACCTTTTCTGAGCCAAATGGCTTGAATTGAAGCCAGTTGTCATGGAAATAGTAAGAGGTTAGGGTTTAAGAGCTGGGGATGCGGGGGTGGGAGAGAGAACCCTCAACATCCAGGATCTATATAATGAGAGCTACTTTAAACCCTCAGGTCCACCCTCATGATGCTGAGTTATTTAGCCAGAGGGTGCAGCCTGCTTATGCCCAAATTCCCTCAGCCAAGAGAGAGACCAAAGAGCCTCTGGAATGGCCCTGCTCCCAGCCTCTATCTTCAGGTCAATTAGAGAGAGTATAGAGACCCCAGAGTCCCCTGGGTCTGGAAAGCGTTAGGAGAGGTCAAGAAAGGAGCAGTAAGGAGGCTGAAGGTTACAGGGCATTTGAATCCAAATCACTGCTCTGGGCTAGGGAATAGAGCCAGCAGACCAAGGTGGGAAGGATTCTGGAAGGGGGACATTTTAGTCTCCTAACCCCAAAGCTCAGGGTGGAAGAGGGGAGAACAAGGAAGCAGAGTGTATAATTATTTTTTCCTTTTATTTTTGGAATCTAACAGTACCTGGCAGCAGGGAGGGGAAAGTACAGTGGGGAAAAGCATCTGACAAGGCCAGTTAGAACAGAGGATGGGAAGGATGGAGACTCCCGGGCTTGGAAGGCTAGGAAGCAGGCAGAGACTGGTTGCCATTTCAAGTCACTAGCTAGGCCCATTCATTCCTCCCACAACCCTGACCCATTCTCCTCTGGACTCACTGTGCCTCAGTTTCTTCCCCTCAATGGAATGAGAAATGACAGCACCCGCCACAGCCAAGAGATGAATTCTGAGCACTTACCACGGGCACTTTATGGACATAAAATACCTCTCGCTGTGGGACAGATAACCAGGGCACCAGAGTAGTGGTGAAGAGATGTGAGGCTTAAGAGGAGTCACAGGCTTCAGAGTACAAGTTCCCCTCTGCCTCCCAGCTGGACAGTGCCTAGAAGCCAAGGAGTTGAGAATCTCCTGATCCACACCCTATCCTTACTTCACCACCAGGCCTCTTGGCTCCAGGCAAGAGCTTAGAGGATGTCAGGAGAGGTGGGGGTAAGAATCTTCAGCAAAACTGTCACTCTAAGTAGAGCCAGCAGTTACGGGTCTGATAAAAACAGTACTGAACTAAAGTAAAGCCCAAGCTGGTGAGCAAAACTGGATGGCTCATTCTTCCCAAGAGCATGACTCTCCCCCTTGGCCAGTTGGTGGAAGGGGCAAAGGTATGTGACCACCCTTGAGAAGGTGATGTTGGTGAGCTTTAACATCTTATTCCTATTCTTATAGTGAGAAAGTGAAACAAGATCTTTCAGTAGAGGAATGGGCAGGGCTGTTAGGCTCTTCAGCTTGCCTTCACCCATATAGCAGCTATGCTAACCCCAAGCCTCTCTGGCCCTGTTCTTCATCCTTCCTTCTGCCCCAATCCTGAAGGACAA
Source organism: Homo sapiens (assembly GCF_000001405.40). Lineage (NCBI taxonomy): Eukaryota > Metazoa > Chordata > Mammalia > Primates > Hominidae > Homo > Homo sapiens. The sequence continues at coordinate 55,752,134 of NC_000012.12, forward strand.
GACACACCCGGCCATCAACACCACTCACATTTCCTTGGTGGAAGGAAAGGAACAGAGAAGTGAAGAACAGATACCTCCCTCCAAGGTCAAATGCCTCGTGATCTTGGCAGAGTAGGGATTGGGCAATAAGCATCAGGTATCTTCCCTCTACAGATTCTAGAGAGCTGGGGCATTAAATATGGGGGACACTTAGAATACAGCTCCTTAAATACCACCAAATAAAGACCTTTGTGTGTGTGTGGTGGGTGGGGGGGGGGCAGGGGTCTTTCTCTTATGAACATAAATCTGTGAGCTGAAGTCTCATTCCCCTGTTCCTCCCTACCCCCAAAGAGGCACAGAGTGAAGGGACTTGGGGGGCACAGCTCAGCAACCCAGTGGGAGTTAGCACCCCCTCCCACCTTATGATGTGTGTGGACCTGGCCAGTGCCCCTCTGAACATATCATTATTAGTGTAATTATCATTTATTTTGTGTATTTGTCACATTGTGTGCATGACAGCCTTTGTTAAGGGTGTCTGAGGAGTATGGAGCTGACAGGGGCATTGGAATGCCAGGAAAGAACTTCTTCAACTGAGATCAAGGCTTCCTGGAGGGAACCACTGCAAAAAGGCCATCAGGCAGTTTTCAAGTTATGTGACAGAGGGCAAAGACGGCCATAGGGTGCTCTGAGTTTTGGGATGGTCACATGACACAATCCAGCACTTGAACCTGAAAAAAAAAATAAAAGCGGTCAAAGAGTTTAGAATTCAGTGCTGAGCTCTTCTCCCTAATCAAGTGCCACATTTACACCTTGGAGAACCGGAGGTGAAGAGGATCTGAGACAGGAAACCTCGTGTTCAATGACTAAGAAGATGGGGTCCTGGAGCAAGACAGAAAACACTAAGGGCATGGTGGTATAAGGTTTGGGACATGCAGGCCAAGGAAGGATGGAAAGAGGACAGGAAACTGGGGGTACCTAGAACAACCCCTCTCTGAAAAGCTTGAGCCAAAACAGTCCCAAAGACAACAAGACCCCTCTCCCAGCCTCCACAGAATGGAAGATCTAAAGGTTCTCTTGAGATGATCCAGCTAGTATGGAAGATCTAAAGGTTCTCTTGAGATGATCCAGCTAGTGTCCTATTCTCCTGCAGTCCCTGTTCCTAGGTTTCCTCAACGAAGTTTGACAAAAATCTAAACCAACATAGCCAACGAACTTGCCTTGTTACACAAGAGTGGCTAAAATAGCATCTCAAATATTCTTTCAGTTCACTGTAAAAATTTTTCCCATGTACCTAGAGCACAATTCCCCAGGAATATGAGTTGGGAATGGCAAAAGAATATTGCCTGACTCACATTTTTCAAAAATAAGGAAAGCTGGCTGGGCGCAGTGGCTTACATCTGTAATCCCAGCACTTTGGGGGGCCGAGGCGGGCGGATCATGCAAGGTCCGGAGTTCGAGACCATGCTGGCCAACATTGTGAAACCTCATCTCTACTAAAATACCCAAAATTAGCCGGGCGTGGTGGCGTGCGCCTGTAATCCCAGCTACATGGAAGGCTGAGGCAGAAGAATCGCTTGAACCCAGGTGGCGGAGGTTGCAGTGAGCTGAGATCGCACCACTGCACTCTAGCATGGTGACAGAGTGAGACTCCCATCTCCAAAAAAAAAAAAAAAAAAAAAAAAAGGAAAGCAGGACCCAGTGGTGTGCTCCTGTAGTTCCAGCTATTCAGGAGGCTGTGGCAGGAGGACCACTTGAGGCCAGAGGGTCAAGGCTGCAGTGTGCTATAATTGGGCCTGTAAATAGCCACTGTACTCCAAGCTGAGCAACACAGTAAGACACTGTCTCTAAAAATAATTAAAGTAAAATAAAAATAAGGAAAGCTCCTGTGACATCAACCTGATCCAGAATTGGGGACAGCGCTACTGCGGGTTCAATGTACTGCCATGTTTTCCCTGTCTTATCAGTTCTATCAGCACACTGACCCCACTCGAGACCAACTACAAGACTAAGGCTGGAAGTGGTTGAGTAGCAGAAGTGTTATGTATTCTATCTTCCCAAGGGAACCATATCCACATCTACCCCTAACTTTGGCCTGAGCTGAAAATGGGTTTTCTCTCCCTGTGGCTCATTTGTTTCCTATATTGAGAGAACACCCAAAAAAAGACTACTCAAGATGACTTTTTACAAGTCTTTTCTTTATCCTAAAACATCCTCCAACCGAAGGCATGGGAAGCTATCCTATACTCTGACCTTGCCTATATTTTAAATGGCAGGGGCCCCAAGCTAAGAATCAGCAGGCAGTGGCATCTACAGCTTCTGGTCTGTAGTGGCGTAGAAGCAGGAAAATCAATGCTCCAAAGCAACAATGTCCAGCTTTCCTGCCAGTGAGCTGGGCTTGAGGGAGTGAATGGGACTCTTTCTGCCTTTTCTTTTTCTCAAAATACGACTGCATTAACTGGGTGTATGCACACACAAACATGTTCAAACTAGGGCACTCATACCTAGCTAGAACCTACTCAGGGAAAGAAATATGTATTTCCACAGTACCCTGATCACCCAGTAAAAGCTAATATTTATTGAATAATTACTATGCAAATTATGGTAAGCAAATTGTAGTGTGAATACATGATATGAGAATATCACTTAATTCACACAGCAACCTTCACAATGGGGTTCCTTTTGGTACAGTCTGAAAAGAGAATGATTATCTGCGCAGGGTCTCAGAGCTAGTGTGGTAGAATAAGAAATTAAACCTAAGTAGTTGCTAAACAATATTACATTCTAATCTATCCTATTGAAAGTGATCCGGGAGGTAGAAACCTAAATACAGGAATAACATAAGGGAAAGAGATAACAAGAAAGTTAGGGACACCTTGGACTCAAAGAATCTGGAAAGATGTGAAACCTGTAATTTTAAATCCCTTTGGAAGGGAAAAACAAGAAAAGTCTAGATATGGCAAGAGAAGGGGAGGTTAAATTTTGGGGGGATTCCAATAATCAGAAATAAGTGGCATTGCCAGAGGCCCTCATATAAGAGAACAGCAAAAAAGTTATCCTCCCTTAAGTTCCTCCCTCACTCCTCATATCAGACACAGCAAGAGAACTCAGCTCAACACCAAGAAGTCCTGCCCTTATTCACACCTTCCTTCCTATAGCCCTCATCCTCACAGAAGCTTCTAGCCTCTATCTTCAGCAGTTCTTAAGAGGTGGGGTGGGGGGCTGGGCAGTTTAGAGTGAGAGTGGAAAAAAAGAATAATCCTAGAGAACCATAAAAAAGTACAGATTTACAGCTGAGGAAGCTAGTTCTCCCCACAGCTTTTATAGACTCCCTCATTAAGAGCTTCCAGGTATGCAGAGAATGTCACAGCTTCAGGAATTGGAATCAGTTAACCACATCTGGATGCTGGATCAACTATAGTAGGGAAACGGGGAGAGGAAGGAAGGGTACTAAGATCTCAGGTAAACAATTACAAGCCTCAATGTCTGTTCCATCTCCAAACGGAATTACTATTTTAAAACTGAATTGGGAAAAAGGCATCCTGAACTATTCATGCTCAAAGAGTATGTGGAGAATGACTATAATGAGATAGGAAGGGGAGGACTTCATCTGGCTTGGAGGTTAGAGACTTCTGACCAACATAGGAACAGCTGCTGAAATGGGATGAAAGAGGTTAATAAGAAAAAAAAAAAAATCCTCACAAATTGGAAAACACTGTTCAAAGATCTAGGGGAAGTAAGATGAGTGAGGAGAATAATTAGGCTTCAAGAAGAGAATCCTGGCAAGTAAGGCTGAATATCTTTCTGGAAGGTTATAGAGGATAAAGAGACGAAGAAAACTTCCAAAAGATCCACTGTTCCACTTCATAATCAGCATCTGCTCTATTCCCTCATGTATTTTTCTCTTTTTAAAACCATATTCAGGAAGAAACCATTAGTGAATCTATAATCTCTCAAGTTACAAATCAGATCTATTCTGTTTTCAGATGAAGGCAGAGTAGAGAGAGGAAAAGCTAGCCCCAAGATCAGAGCCTGAGGTAAAGAAAAGGAAGGCAGACAGAAAAGAGGGAAAAGGGAAGGTCATTCCAATTTTAAGGTTTATTTGGTTGAAGAGGTGTCAAAAATTTAACCAGCATTCCCTTTTGTTCACTTCTCCAAAGTCTCAGAATGGGGCAAACTTCACAACAAATGGGCAGCAGTTTTTGGATCTGCTCTCCAAGGCACAATTTTTCTAAATTATCTAAACTTTAGGTCCCTGCTTTCCTCACCAACCAGAGACTTTGGAGAAATAAAGAGATATCTTGACATTAGAAAGGTGATCAAACTATTACCATTTCATTAAGCACAAAACCAGGCAGGTTTTAGTAGAAATAAGGATAAAGGATTACACCACAGCAACATGGGACCTGATCATAGTACCAAAGTCTTCAGGTAAGGTGTCAGGCTCCTAAGTCTTATTACCAAAAATAGCTCAAACAAAAACCGAGCTTATATAAAGATTAAGAGGAGAAATTCTGCAATAACATATCCAAAAAGATTAAGCAGGTTTCAGATCTACATGAACTTGAAGCCTCCAGTTCCACTGCTTATGTTCCCAATGATTTAGCTAACAATGCGTAACAGCTCTGACATCCTCTGTCATGCTTTGATTCTGCATACAAAATTTCTTCTGTCTCTGAGGGATATCCAGCCCATCTCCCTTCCTGAACTGACTGACCAACATAGTATCGTATCACATCACCCTTGAAATCAGGGCCCTTTTCCTTTAATGTGGGACCCTGGACTCCATTTTATCCAAGAAAAAGTCTGCATTATTAGCTAATAACAGAAGGCTACTAATCACTGCCCTTGTATTTATATCCTTTGCAACACCTAAAACCTCCCATGTTCTGTTTTATTTCAGTGGGTCACTACAAGCTGCTGGAGCAAAGACTTGGTGGGTGGGTAACTTAACCTCTTCACAGAGGATAAAAAATGCTTGTGAGTATGACAGAAGGGAATAAACAGGCTTAAAGGGTAAACTCAGTCCTTTTCCTTGTCTTCTCTTCTAAGGGATAAAGGTATTATGGCCAATTCTCTATAATATTTGCCCCTGAAGCTCCCCTTATCTGGTCTAATCTAGCTCCAATAAATCAAAGGAGCACCTAATAAAACACATTGTTCTCTTTTCTATTTTTTTTTATTAACAAGCAACATAATCAAAAACAAAAACACAACAACCTTAAAGCTGAAACAGCAATAAGTCAAACTGCTGCCGCAGTTCATGGATGTACCTGGGGTACATGCTCCCTCATTGCGAGGCAGGACGTAGGCACATGACTGTGCATTTAGGCATATATGTGACCAAGAAGAAGGAGAGAAATGGAAAACACTGGAGAACAGAAAGTATCAGGAACTTTTCATCAGGCAATCCCAAAGCGCTCTGCTCTTTTCCTCTTCTTTGCCTGTAAAGAAGAAGCAAGAAGAAAAAAATTAGACTGAAGACAATAGTTGCCTGGGTTCCTGGCTGCTTTAATCCAAACTCACATGAACTGTCACAAGGCCCGAGAAGGAAGGATGGCCCAGACTTGAGCTTGGTAGCTAGAGATTTCATTCCTGAATCTCTCCAATCCTTCCAGTTATCCAGTAGGAGCTGGAAAGTTTAATGGGTAAGGAGGGTGAGGAGTAAAGAAGATTACTGGGGGTGAGGGACAGAGAGAAGAACAGTGGTAGAAAATGGGAAGATTCCTGAAGCAAAGAGAGCCACTCAGCCTGAGATCAAGCTAGCCTGGAAACAATGGGCTCTTAACAGGCTGGGAAAAGTCTTCCAGTCAATGGGGAGACGGAAGATTTCAGAGGATAAAGGATTAACCAATGCTATTCATAGAGGTGAAGGAGATGCCCTTCTGAGCAGTCAGGCCCAGACAGTAGCTATTCCTTAGGACTCCAACCCACAAAAAAGGCATATAAATCTTTGATGCCAACAGAACGAATAGGGAGTGAGTGGTATGTGGGTGAGTCCCTATCATAGATCTCTTAAAGGAGACAGCAACACTGGAGAGGACACAAAATGGTGAGGGAAGACTTCTGGTTCTGGAAGTGACTCACAGAACAGCACCAAGTCCTTCATGGGCACTCCCAACCACTGCCCCTAGCAGAATACAAACTCCTCTGGCTTTTTTCTAGTGAAGAGTGTTAGCTGATCTGACTCTAAAATTTTCAGGGTTTAATTTACAAGACTGACTCTGATACTTATTCATGAAGAAGCTTTTCATAGGCCAGGCATGGTGGCTCACGCCTGTAATCTCAGGACTTTGAGAGGCCGAGGCAGGCAGATCACGAGGTCAGGAGTTCAAGACCAGCCTGACCAACACGGTAAAACCCCGTCTCTACTAAAAACACAAAAATTAGCCGGGTGTGGTGGCACACGCCTGTAATCCCAGGTACTCAGGAGGCTGAAGCACAATAATCACTTGAACCCGGGAGGCGGAGGTTGCAGTGAGCTGAGATCGCACCACTGCACTCCAGCCTGGACGACAGAGCGAGACTCCATCTCAAAAAAAAAAAGAAGCTTTTCATAAAGCATCATCCTGTTGGTACTGTCCTCAAGATAGTAAGTTCTTGCCAGATATGGCTGTTTAAGGCCTTCCACCATGATTGTAAGCTTCCTGAGGCCTCCCCAGAAGCCAAGCAGATGCCAGCACCATGCTTCCCATAAAGCCTGCAGAAATGTAAGCCAATTAAGCCTCTTTTCTTCATAAGTTACCTAGTCTCATGTATTTCTCCTTTACAGCAATGCAAGAACAGCCTAATATACTTTTTTTTTTTTTTTTTTTGAGACAGTCTTGCTCTGTTGCCCAGGCTGGAGTACAGGGGTGCCATCTGGGCTCACTACAACCTCCACCTCAGCCTCTGGAGTAGCTGGGACTACAGGCACATGCCACCACACTCAGCTAATTTATTTTAAACTTTTAGTAGAGATGAGGTCTCACTATGTTGCCCAGGCTAGTCTCCAACTCCTGACCTCAAGTGATCCTCCCACACTGCTCTCCTAAAGTGCTGGGATTCTTTCATTTTGAGAAACTATCTGTAAACAAAGTGACAAGAACAGGAAGTCTCATTTGAGTCCACTGTCCTTTTCCAGAAATGAGTTAGGCACAACCAGTTCTTATTAAATATTTTAAAACTATCCCTTTTTATACAGAATCGTTTCACTCTTTAAATAAAACTTTGAGGTAGGTTTTATTATCTCCACTTCCTAGATGATGAAACCTGAGGCTCAGGAAGTACTGTAACTTATTAATACTAAGTGGCAAAGCCTTTTTCTTTTCTTTTTTTTTTTTTTGAGAGCAAGTCTCACTCTGTAGCCCATGTTGGAGTGGCGTGATCTTGGCTCACCGCAACCTCTGCCTCCCGGTTTCAAGAGATTCTCATGCCTCGGTCTCCAGAGTAGCTGGGATTACAGGCACATGCCACTGCACCTGGCTAATTTTTTTAAATAAGTAAATAAATAAATAAATAAATGTATTTTTAGTAGAGATGGGGTTTCACCATGTTGGCCAGGCTGATCTTGAACTCTCGACCTCAGGTAATCTGCCTGCCTCAGCCTCCCAAAGTGCTAGGATTATAGGCGTAAGCCACCATGCCCGGCCGCCTTTTTCTTTTTTGAGACAGGGTCTCACTCTATTGCCCAGGCTGGAGTACAGTGGCGCCATCCAGGTTCACTGCAGCCTTGACCTCCTGGGCTTAAGTGATCCTCCCATCTCAGCCTCCTGAGTAGCTGGGACTATAGGTGTGTGCCACCACGCCTAGCTAATTTTTGTATTTTTAGTAGAGACAGGGTTTCTCCATGTTGCCCAGGCTGGTCTCAAACTCCTGGGCTCAAGAGATCTGCCTGCCTCAGCCTCCCAAAGTGCTAAGATTACAGGCATGAGCCACCACACCCAGCCCAGAGCCAATTTTAGAATCCAAGCCTACCTGATTCCAAACGTTATACTCTTTGCCACTAGTCTAACAGACTCTAACACTGAATTAAGTATATTGATGGAATTCAGTGTTGCCACTTCACCCAGAAAAAAAGTTATCAAGAAAAAAGCAAAATATTTGGACACTTAAGAAGTAGGTGGGTGGCCAGACATAGTGGCTCATGCCTATAATAATCCCAGCAATTTGGGAGCTGAGTGCAGAGGATCGCTTGAGCCCAGGAGTTTGAGACCAGCCTGAGCAACAGAATGAGACCCCATCTCTACTTAAATAAATAAATAATTAAGAAGTAGGTGGGAAAACAGTGTTTCTCTACTCAGTTTATTCACTCTCACTTCCTGGGCAACAGAGACCCCAACTCGACTTAAATAAGTAAATAAATAAATAAATAAATAGGTGGGGAAACAATATTTCTCCATTCAGTTTATTCACTCTAATTTCCCTTCAAGGTCTATGAAGCGTTCCAGGTATATTTTTACCTCTGTATCCTCTGTGGTTCCAGTTCCAGCTGAACTTGTGACAATCCCAAATCGCTCCTTCCTCTTTTTCAGTTTCTCATCATCTTCAGACTGTTCAAGGACAAAGGAAAGAGTTGAAACAAACTAGCCTCCATTCACCAAGTAAATGGGAATGAAATGATAACTTATTGGTCACAAGGTGCTAACCAACCCTGTGCCAAGAACTAAGGATCACATAAAGAGATAAGATACATAAGAAACTGAATAAGCTAGCATATACTATGTTGTACCTAGAATGACTAAAAACTTAATTTTAGGCAGGGCCTCAATACTCATAAGACAAGTAGGGTAAAGAAACAGTAAGAGGCCGGGCACGGTGACTCACACCTGTAATCCTAGCACTTTGGGAGGCTGAGGCGGGTGGATCAGGCAGTCAGGAGTTCAACACCAGCCTGGCCAAGATGATGAAACCCCATTTCGACTAAAAATACAAAAAAATTAGCTGGGTGTGGTGGCGGGCGCCTGTAATCCCAGCTACTAGGGAGGCTGAGGCAGAGAACTGCTTGAACCTGGGAGGCAGAAGTTGCACTGAGCTGAGATTGCACCACTGCACTCCAGCCTGGGTGACAGAGTGAGACTCTGTCTCAAAAAAAAAAATAATAAATAAAATAAACAGTAAGAAACACCCATAAAACAAATTTCTATGCTCAAGCAATTCTGGCAGTTGAGGGATATGGAAAACTGAGGTTTCACTGAATAACACCCAAAGTTACACCTAGTAACACCTAGTTAGAAGGTACCCAAACTACTTGTTGAACAATGCTTACACGTTACCAAGGAAAGAAAGGGGAAGAGGGCCAGAGTGGTATTTCTGAAAAACTTATTTGCTTGAAACACCCAGCAAAGCCATAGAAGGCTCTGAATAGTTTGAAATGATTCTTAAAACAGGTGAATCAAGGTGACAGCCATGGTCAACTCTCTAAGAGAAATGCTGTGGACATTTTCCAAGCATCTGTGAAACTCATGATGTCTGCCTGGGAATGAGAGAATATTTCAGTTTACCATGAGTTGGAGCTCGCCATTATTCTAGGTGTTTTGTATCATTCATGTCCAACACTGCTCAGTATAAGAGTCTATATATTTTCCTATCAGAACCTAAACCCTACCATTTTATTTAGCCCACTTTAACAGTTATTTTCTCTTTCTCCACCTCCCCCTCACATCTTATCACCAGTCATCAGAAGCTCAGCCTCAGGATTAGAAAACATCTGAAATCAGGTAGGCTCCTCGGGTGTCTTTCCCCCAGGAAGGACTTTCTAAAATTTGGCACATATATAAAAAGATCTCATTCTCTCATAATCTCAAGAGACCCTCTACTCCCTAGAGATGTACCCATCCTCACTAAAGAGCAGGACAGTTTCTTTGACTTTATTTACGTTGTTAACCCAACAGAAGGACAGATAAGCAAGAGTTCAAACAAGGGCACAGTGGCTCACACCTGTAATTCCAGCACTTTGGGAGGCCAAGGCAAGCAGATCACTTGAGGTCAGGAGTTGGAGACCAGCCTGGCCAACATGGTGAAACCCATCTTTACTAAACATACAAAAATTGGCCAAGCATGGCCGCAGGTGCCTGTAATCCCAGCTACTTGGGAGGCTGAGGCAGGAAAATAGCTTGAACCCAGGAGGCGGAGGTTACAGTGAGCTGAGATCATGCCATTGCAGTCCAGCCTGGGTAGACAGAGTGGGACTCCGTCTCCAAAGAGTTCAAACAAACTTTTTTTTTTTTTTTTTTGAGACAGAGTCTTACTTCGTTACCCAGGCTGGAGTGCAGTGGCACAATCTCAGCTCACTGCAACCTGTGCCTCCCAAGTAGCTGGACTACAGGCATGTGCCACCATGCCCGGCCAATTTTGTATTTTTAGTAGAGACGGGGTTTCTCCATGTTGGTCAGGCTGGTCTCGAACTCCCAACCTCAGGTGATCCGCCCACCTTGGCCTCCCAAAGTGCTGGGATTACAGGTGTGAGCCACTGCGCCTGGCCTCAAACAAACTTTTAAAGAATGTCTGTGTGGTGCTTCTGAGCTGGATTTGTTTTTAAATCCCAAGGAAATTATAGTCCTACAGTCTATAGGCAGGCTGTGTCTCTGGGTGTCCCAAAACTACAAGGTCAAAAGCAAAGGTAACAAAAAGACCTACAGAAATATACAGCAATTTTTCAATGCCTCTACTCTCAACCCCAACCAAGGAGTTGTCTTTGTCCCTGTGGCCACAGCAGCCACCTGTACAAATCAAAAGCAGGGCAGCTATCCAGCTTTCTGTGCTCAATTTAACTAGTCCACCTGTCTGAACACAGCAGGCAGGAGTACTGTCTTGGTCTTTAACTCTTTCAGCTTGAGAAAGATGTTCATTTTCTCCCTTTTGCTGCACCTGCTTTCTAGTGAGTAGGAAGAGACCTAAGAAAGAATGATGGTTATGAAGCAATTAAGAATCCTATACAAGTTATCATTTAATCACAGTTTATTACTAGAATAAACTACTGCCTACACAGTTTTTCTGCCTTTCTCATTATGACCACCAGCAAATCCATAGCGGGTACCTCATTAATGTACTCTGAACTATTGTAAAAACATTAAGCCAGGTTCAAAGAAAAACATAAGTATTCTTGTCCTTAATAATAATAAATTAAAATAATAACATTATAGCCATGAACATCTGAGTGCTTAGTATATGCCAGGTACTGTGTGCAGTTCTTTACACATGCAATATCTCATTTACTACTTTTTTTTTTTTTTTTCCCCAGAGACAGAGTCTCGCTCTGTCGCCCAGGCTGGAGTGCAGTGGTGCCATCTTGGCTCAATGCAGTCTCCACCTTCCAGGTTCAAGGGATTCTCCCGCCTCAGCCTCCTGAGTAGCTGGGACTACATGCGCACGCCACCACACCTAATTTTTGTATTTTTAGTAGAGATGGGGTTTCGCCACGTTAGCCAAACTGGTCTCGAACTCCTGACCTCAGGTGATCCGCCCACTTCGCCTTCCAAAGTGTTGGGATTACAGGCGTGAGCCACTGCATCCAGGCTCATTTACTACTTTATTTTAATTTTTGCAGAGAGGGGGATCTCGCTATGTTTCCCAGGCTAGTCTTGAACTCCTGGGCTCAATCAATCCTCTTGCCTCAGCCTCCCAAAGTGCTGGGATTACAGGTGTGAGCCACTGTACCTGGCATCATTTACTTCTTATAATAATCCTATGGAGTAGGCACAGCAATTAAATTCATTTCATAGATAGGAAAATTTAGTCTTGGAGAGATTAAGTGACTCACCCAAAATTTCACAAATAATACGAGGATTGGAATCCAGGACATTTTACTCAGGAATCCACTTTCTTAGCCTTACCACCTCCTCAAGGTATCTCACTTAAGTATTTCTTTGGAAGAACAGTAGGACAATTAAGTGCTTAACTCCCAAGGAGGAAGGATCACTAGAACCCTTAGCTAAAAAAACTTGTAAATTTTAATCACATCACTCAAATAATCAGGTCAAGAATACTAGGACCCCTTCTTCTAACGTACCATATACCTACAATTTATAAGTAACAGTATCTAGGAAAAGGGCTCCAGTTAGTAATCTTGTACTAATGTTTTTCTCAGCTAAATCTGGTTCTAATTTTGCTTAATTGGCTATTCCATTTGTTGAGATGTAATAAAAGAATAAGGGGCTGGGAGCAGTGGCTCACATCTGTAATCCCACCACTTTGAGAAAATCCCAGGAAGGATCTTCTAAAATCCTGAGGTCGGGAGTTCGAGACCAGCCTGACCAACATGGAGAAACCCCGCCTCTACTAAAAATACAAAATTAGCTGGGCGTGGTGGCGCATGCCTGTAATCCCAGCTACTTGGGAGGCTGAGGCAGGAGAAGCGCTTGAACCCGGGAGGTGGAGGTTGCGGTGAGCCGAGATCTCGCCATTGCACTCCAGCCTGGGCAACAAGAGCGAAACTCCATTTCAAAAAAAAAAAAAAAAAGAATAAGGCTGGGCGCAGTGGCTCACACCGGTAATCCCAGCACTTTGGGAGGCCGAGGCAGGCAAATCACAAGGTCAAGATATAGAGACTATCCTGGCCAACATGGTGAAACCCCATCTCTATTAAAAAAAATACAAAAATTAGCTGGGTGTGGTGGCGAGTAGTAGTCCCTACTCGGGAAGCTGAGGCAGGAGAATCACTTGAACCCGAGAGGCGGAGGTTGCAGGGAGCCAAGATCACGCCACTGCACTCCAGCCTGGCAACAGAGCCAGACTCTGTCTCACAAAAAAAAAAAAAAAAAAAAAGGAAGGTTTCCAACAAACATTAAGTCCCACCACATTTTTTACTAACAAAGTCAAGGGGGAAAGTTTCCTTGATCTACTACCACTAAGATAAAGTGAATACGGAATATAAATGGGGATTTCAAGTTGAGAACCTCTAGAATGTTCTAGTTGATATATCTTCACTAAGTCTCCCGGCCAAGTAGGAAACAGTTTTCAGGAAAATAAATGGAGCCTCTCTTCTTGCGGAGAGGCAAGACTAGACCACTATCTTGTTAAACTACCATTATAAACTTTTTTCCATTCAATTTAGCACTAGCAGTACTTCAGCAAGTTCAAATCACAGAGGAGATAAGACTTTTGAAACCCAGACATTATATAAGCACAAACCCTGAGGCCAAGCCCTCCCCCAACGTATGTCCACTTGGAATGTGCGGGCCAGTTTTGCTTCTCCTGGTTCTTTATTTGGCTATATCCTCAAATGGGGAGTCTGATTTCCCCATTAGCCACCTGCCTCGCTGCCCACGTTTTTTAGAGACAGGGCCTCACTCTGTTGCCATGCTGTCGTGCAGTAGCATGATCATGGCTCACTGTAATGTTGAATCCCTGGGCTCAAGTAATCCTCCAACCTTAGCCTCCTCAGTAGCTAAGAACTAAAGGTATGTGCCATGCCTGGCTAATTTTTTTTTTTTTTTAATAGAGACAGGGTCTTGCTATGTTGCCTAGACTGGTTTCAAACTCCCGGACTCAAGCAATCCTTTCACCTCGCCTCCCAAAGTGCTGGGATTACAGGCATGAGCCACCACACCCAGCCTAGCTTCCCTTTTAAACAAGATCTTTGGTGCCTCTTCAGGAGATACAGGCAGAGCATCTGTTCTAAACCCATTAGGGGTTCCAGGGGAAAACAACAACAACAATACATCGTTCCCCCAACCCTCCACAAATAGCCTGCTCTTCCCTCCCCACCCAGCACCCCTCAGCTCCTCTCTTAAAGCCTCTTTCCTCCTTTCCCTGCAGGGAAAGTGCACAACTGGGCCCAGTAAATCAACACAGTTCTAATGATCTCTCTCACTTGACCCTTCTAGCGTGACGGTGTTGCATGGAAACAAACGTACAATAAACTTCACTCCATCTTTAGCTCCTTGCTGACAGGTTTTGATTCATGGGATGGTGAACCCCATCTGAGGGAAATTACCTCGATCAAAACTCATGTCTCTCTGCATTCATCAGGCCAATGCTCCCTCAGGCCATGCTCAAGTGCACAAATGGGGTTGTGGCATCTGCAGGCAGCAGTGACCCCTCTAGCTCAGTGTCACATGCATTTGAAAACCTTTCCCTTCTTCATCCCTCCCCCACTACCCTCTCTCAAACCCTCAGCTACTAACAAATCTCTTTTTTCTTCCCATGCATACTCCTGTGTGAGAAGAGAAGTGCTTGAATCTGAAGTGCCCTTATTTCCTATCAAATCTATACTCCTAAAAACAAACAATTTGCACCCAAAATCAAGAGAAAACTGTCCTTACTGGCCAAATACATTCATTGGATGTTCAGATTAATCCATACATTTCAATTCCTCCCTCCTCTTCCATCTCAAGATTTAAAACACCAAGCCAACCGACAGATGCCAGTAATTTCAGTATATACAAACCTCATGGTACCTAATACCTGTCTTGTTCGCTTTCCTTAAGATCTCATTTATAAACATGAGAAACAATTGTGCAAAAGAGGAGAGAGTACCTATATAAGAACAGAAAGCATAGTCTATATATTTTGTGGGTTTTTTTGGCGGGGGGGGGGGGGGGGTTGTTTTTTTGAGACAGTCTCACTCTGTCACCCAGGCTGGAGTGTAGTGGCTCAATGTCAGCTCACTGCAACCTCCACCTCCCAGGCTCAAGGGAGCTTCTTACCTCAGCCTTCCAAGCAGCTGGGACCACAGGCGCAAGCCAACACGCCCAACTAATTTTTGTTTTTTTGTAGAGAGAGGGTTTCACCATGTTGCCCAGGCTGGTCTTGAACTCCTAAGCTCAAGCAATCTACCCGCCTCTGCCGCCTAGTCTCTGCCTCCTAGTCTCTGCCTCCCAAAGTGCTAGGATTACAGGAATGAGCTACCATGCCCAGCCCCAGGGTCTATATTTAATAAAACCAAATACCCTTAGTATCATTGTATTTTCCATTGTAGAATACAGTTCCAAACTGAGCCCTTGAAAACAATACCTGAAAGAGAAAAGACAGACATTCAAGCCTGCTCCAAGATACAAATTACATGTGTAAAGAGTGCTTTGCACACAGGAACTATAAAAGGTATTCAATAAATGTTAGCTATTACTTTTATTGCCGTATTTCTCCTGGTCCTTGAAACAAAGTTTGAGATCACAATCAAAATTTAAGCTAACAATGCCATTCATTCTTCTAGATAAGAAGTGAAATCATGGTGGCCTAGTGTGGTGGTTCACACATGCCATCCCAAGCACTTTGGGAGGCTGAGGTGGGAGGATCACTTGAGCCCAGGAGTTCAAGACCAACCTGGGCAACATAGTGAGACCCCATCTCTACCAAAAAAAAAAAAAAATTTAGCTGGGCATGGTGGTACATGCCTGTGGTTCCAGCTACTCGAGAGGCTGATGGGGGAGGACTGCTTGAGCCAAGGAGGTTGAGGCTGCAGTGGGCCATTGTCACGCCGCTGCACTTCAGTCTGGGCAACAGAGTGAGATCTTGTCTCAAAAATATACAAATACAAGCCGGGCACAGTGGCTCATGCCTGTAATCCCAGCACTTTGGGAGGCCGAGACGGGTGGATCACGAGGTCAGGAGATCGAGACCATCCTGGCTAACACGGTGAAACCCCGTCTCTACTAAATATACAAAAAATTAGCCAGGCATGGTGGCGGGCGCCTGTAGTCCCAGCTACTCGGGAGGCTGAGGCAGGAGAATGGTGTGAACCCGGGAGGCAGAGCTTGCAGTGAGCCGAGATCGCGCCACTGCACTCCAGCCTAGGCAACAGAGCGAGACTCCCTCTCAGAAAAAAAAAAAAAAAAAAAAAAAGGATATACACACACACACACAAATACAAATAAACAAATAAATAAATGAGCAAAATCACCAAAGGCTGGTAAGAATTAGATCCATTACCAAGGCAACAAGAAAATTCCCTTTAGCTTCAAGGAAAATGAGTATATATTTGGACAGATGACTAAGGGTTAAAATTTGGGTTGTGGAAGAACAGTTACTGGACAAAATCAGTCTTCTCCACAAAGTCCTATTAACCATCTCCCTCCTTCCCTCCCTCTCTCTCTCTCTTATTTATTTATTTATTTAGAGACAGAGTCTCACTCTGTCACCAGGCTGGAGCGCAAAGGCGTGACATCGGCTCACTGCAACCTCCGCCTCCCGGGTTCAGGCGATTCTCCTGCCCCAGCCTCCCAAGTAGCTGGGATTACAGGTGCCTGCCACCACGCCCAGCTAATTTTTTTTTTAATTTTTAGTAGAGACAGGGTTTCTCCATGTTGGCTTGGCTGGTCTCGAACTCCTGACCTCAGGTGATCCGCCTACCTCAGCCTCCCACAGTGCTGGGATTACAGGCATGAGCCACCGTGCCCAGCCCTCTTATTTTTTTGAGACTGAGTCCCACTCCATCGCCCAGGCTAGAGTGTAGTGGCGCGATCTCGGCTCACTGCAACCCCCACCTCCCGGGTTCATGAGATTCTCCTGCCTCAGCCTCTGGAGTAGCTGGGATTACAGGTGCCCACCACCACCACACCAGGCTAATTTTTGTATTTTTAGTAGAGACAGGGTTTCACCAAGTCAGCCAGGCTGGTCTCGAACTCCTGACCTCAGGCGATCCACCCGCCGCAGCCTCCCAAAGTGCTAGGATTACAGGCGTGAGCTACCATGTCCAGCCTCTTTCTTTTTTTTGAGACAAAGTCTCATTCTGTTGCCCAGGCTGCAGTGCAATGGCACGATCTCGGCTCACTGCAATCTCCGTCTCCTGGGTTTAAGCGATTCTCCTGTCTCAGCCTCTCAAGTAGCTGGGATTACAGGTGTAAGCCCTATGCCCAGCTAATTTTTTGTATTTTTAGTAGAGATGGGGTTTCACCATGTTGGCCAGGCTGGTCTTGAACCTCAAGTGATCCACCCTCCTCAGCCTCTCAAAGTGCTGGGATTACAGGTGTGAGCCACCATGCCAGGCCAAACTATCTTCTCTTTCTCAGACCTTGAAAATCTGGGCTGCTAGGCTTTGCTGATTTCATAAACCCTAATAATTAACGACTAACAATAAAAGATATCTATTTAAGGTAATATATGAGGGGACTGGGCAAGGATCTAACCTCTATCTATGTAGATCCAATCCCAGGTTCTCTAAAGGCCCCTGAGGAATCTCTTTCACTGAATTATGTGACATCAGGTTCAATCAACATTTTCAATAGCATTGTAGCCATAAAATTAATTAATTCATTCAGTAGTCAAATGAGTATCTACTTTGGGTCAGGTACTGGGAATACAGAGATCAATAAGATAAAGTTAAGGAATAAGAACCTTAACTTCACGAGGCTTATGAATTCACCAAGTTACTATAAAGGTGTATACTACTGTTCTTTACATAACTACATTATGAGGACTCATAACGGAAATTTGCTTTCTAGCCCCCAGATCCAAAAGAGTTATGCTTTTCTTGGGCAACTTGCTAGCTTTTTACCTTCTGAATCTTGTGAATCACCATAAACAGTGCAACTGTGCTTTCCCTTTCTACTGGCTGCCATAAAGTTTGGAGCCAAATGTGTGGCCTACCTTTAGCAAGTGATTTTGAACATACAAATGGTCTCCAACTTATGATGCTTTGCCTTAAGATTTTTCAACTTTACAACGGCGAACGATGCATGCTCAGTAGAAACTATACTTGACGTATCCATACAACCACTCTGTTCACTTTCGGTATTCAATAAGTTACATGAGATAATCAACACTTTATTACAAAATAGGCTTTGTGTTAGATGATTTTGCCCAACTGCAGACTAATATAAGTGTTCTGGGATTTTTAAGGTCAACTAGCTAAGCTATGATGTTCAGAAGGTTAGGTGTATTAAATGCACTTTTGACTTAAGACGGGTTTTTATCAGGACATAGCCCCCATTGTAAGGAGAGGAGTATCTGTGTTTCTATTAGAAGAGAGAGGCCAGAGGTATTGAAGTGAGAGAGAAACATGAAATCCAGAGATGAAAAGCAAACACACAGAAACAGAGATAGGAATTTAGAAAGCAAGATGAAGTGTAGTTAGTTACAGGGTTGCTGCTGGTCCCTTAAGAACGTACTCCTCTATAAACATAATGGAATTTATTTTAAAATACTCAATGTCCTCAGAAGAAAAAAGAGAGAGGAAAGAGTCATCAGGTTATAACTAGAATTTTTTTTTTTTTTTTGAGATGGAGTCTCGCTCTGTCGCCCAGGCTGGAGTGCAGTGGCGTGATCTCAGCTCACTGCAAGCTCCGCCTCCTGGGTTCAGGCCATTCTCCTGCCTCAGTCTCCCGAGTAGCTGGGACTTACAGGCGCCCACCACCACGCCCAGCTAGGTTTTTTTTTTTTTTTTCCGTATTTTTAGTAGAGACGGGTTTACACCGTGTTAGCCAGGATGGTCTCGATCTCCTGACCTCATGATCCGCCTGCCTCAGTCTCCCAAAGTGCTGTGATTACAGGCATGAGCCACCACGCCCAGCCTATAACTAGAAATTTTAAATTAAGGGTTCTTAGCAATGATTTCCATGGCATATATACTGTAGCCAGGAAGTAAGTTGCAAAAGGAAGATCAGATGCAACAATTGGCAGCTGAATACCACAGATATTTTCTAAAGTGTCTGTTCCCTTTTTACAGCAGAGTACCATTACTATGTCTACCCAAAATGGAGTTCTAACTTTATTTTCTAAACCCAACCTGTGTCTTCAAGATATAAAGTCATGAGAACATTTTTCAAAACTTACTAATTTTATCCTAAATACAGTAAAGAATACTGCTCCTTGCTTGTGTGCCATGGCTGTTTACTCTGCCAAAAGGGGTCCAATTTGATGTAATTAGCATCCCATGGGTTGTGTGTTGAAAGCATTCACCTTCTTCAATCTTTTTTTTTTTTTTTTTTAACAGAGTTTCGCTCTTGTTGCCCAAGCTGGAGTGTGCAATGATGTGATCTCGGCTCACTGCAACCTCTCCTTCCCGGGTTCAAGTGATTCTCCTGCCTCAGCCTCCCAAGTAGCTGGGATTACAGGCGCATGCCACCACGCCTGGCTGTTTTTTGTTTGTTTGTTTGTTTGTTTGTATTTTTAGTAGAAACGGGGTTTCACCATGTTAGCCAGGCTGGTCTCGAACTCCTGACCTCAGGTGATCCGCCTGCCCCGGCCTCCCAAAGTGCTGGGATTGCAGGTGTGAGCCACTGTGCCCGGCCCACCTTCTTCAATCTTATTACCAGTGCCACTCCGGATCATATAAAAAGAAACTAGGAGAAACAAAGCAAAGTGTAACCCAAGCATCATTAGGAATTTGAACTCAGTAATTCCCAAGAACACAAAGCATGAGTACTTTCACTGGATTCAAATAAGAAACATCGTTATTCTCTGCGACCAAAAGAATTAACCAAGCCAGGCACTGTTCCTGGTCAAGTGTAACAAGCTCACTCACTTATCATCCCTCCTTATACCATGTGTGAGAAGCAGAAATTCCAATCTAAAGAGTCCAGTCAGAAAAATCCTTAGAAGCAGAAAGAAGCATTTCAGGGGAGCTCAGGTACTGCTATTATTTTCCCCCTCAAAAGTCTTTTCCCTAGAGTGATGGAAGAGAGGCTGACAGAGAGCTAAGATGTCATATTTCACAAAAATAACAAATAACTGCCCCCCTTTGTAAATGAGTTACCATACTAAGATGTTAATAGTTCTCAGGCCAGTCTGATTTCCAAAGGAATGTAAGGTAGCATGGCAAAAAGGAAAAGAGGGAGCCTGAATCTCAGTGCCACGTGACTGATGGCAGGATGAAAAGCAGAGCCTGGGGGCTTTCAGGCGATGGTAGATTAATGATGACACGGCCTTGACTTCCCAGAGGTAAAGGTTATGAAACACTCCAGGGTAAGCGAGCTTCCAATTTCATACTCTCAGGATGAATGACAGCAACTGATGGTTATTCTCTCAGAAACACTTGGATGCTTAAAAACACAGCTGTCACCTCCCCTGCCCCAGTTTCTGAAACTGTTTATTCCCGAGCCTTTATGCCAACCAGACGACAGAACATAGGGTGGTCCCAAAAATCAATGCACAGAGCTTAAGTAGATGAAGGTGAGAGACCAGACTAGCAGCAAGTACACCGCCTTAGCAAATAATATGGTAGAGACACTCCAACACTATCCACACATATACACATAACACACCTCCCCAATATAACCACCTTAACCTACTCTCAATAATCTCTTTCAAGTGTGAGATCAGTATCAACTTTCTAGGGCTGGTAGGGTGCTAGGAACTTTAAAGTTACACGACAATTAGAGAACACCAGGAATTGCATCTCCTCTTATCTTCACAGGATTTGAAGCCCAAGAACACAGTCAGCTCAGAACCACTCACTCACTAGGTTCTACCACTTTTTCTTTCTCTTGTCCAAATCAAGCTCTTTCCCCAACCCCCACTCCTCTTCAACCCCAGAGGAGGTCGTTTCGGTCTTGCTCTAGCTGATTGTAGGACAAAGCAAGGCAGGCAGAGGAAATGAAGGTGTCACACTTGACACCCCCAGAAATCAAGTTTCTATTAAAAGTCCCCATCTCCCTCCTTTAAAAGCCAAGGAGCTGCTGCTTTTGAGGATAAGTGATGCAGAGCCTGGCAGAAATGTCAAGAAGTCAGTAGAGGGAAGCTGAAACTTTTTTTTTTTTTTTTTTTGAGACAGAGTTTTGCTCTTTCTGCCCAGGATGGAGTGCAATGGCATGATCTCAGCTCACCACAACCTTCACCTCCCGGGTTCAAGTGATTCTCCTGCCTCAGCCTCCCGAGTAGCTGGGATTACAGGCACGCAACACCACGCCCGGCTAATTTTGTATTTTTCAGTAGAGACAGGGTTTCTCCATGTTGGCCAGGCTGGTCTCTAACTTCCAATCTCAGGTGATCTGCCCGCCTCGGCCTCCCAAAGTGCTGGGATTACAGGCGTGAGCCACCATGCCCAGCCTGGGAAGCTGAAACTTTTCAGGAGACGTGAATGCTGTCTTAGCCAAAACATACAGAGAAGGGAGGACAGTTACCTGACCATTCAGAAATTTAGAGTGAGCACTAGGAAAACAGATTATTTTCATCTAAAGTATTTAAAAATGCAGATTTCAGGCCACAACCCAACCTAATTAATCTGTATCTCAAAAGGGAAGGCCTACAGAGCTGTATTTTTTAAAGGGTCCCCTGTAACCCTTACATGCAACCATTATTTGGGGCCAATTTCAAGTAGCTTTGAAAAAATATAGACCAAACAACTTTTTAAAATTTCTCATCAAGTCCAAGTAAGACTCCCATCCTGCTCCAATTATCTCCTATAAATGCTAAGGGTATTCCAAAGTTTATGCTTCCTACAAAAACTATTTCAGCTGCAGAGATGTGAGGGGTAAAAAGAGAGATGTGAAGAAATCACAGAGGACTCTAGGTAGCACACCTGTCTTATTGCTCTCCTACAATTCAAATAGAAAAGCAGAGAGAATCTTTCATCATAGTTCAATACAGAAAGAACGTGCCAAAACAAGATCAGGGCACACTGCAGTTATGTGGGGAAAAGAGGGAGGCAACTAGGTTGCAGCACACAAAGGCATTTTTTCCTACAGAACTGACACAAAGGAAAAGGAGTAATATCAATAAAGTGGGGGAAAAGGAAAATGGGATTTCTTCTTCTTCTTTTTTGAGACAGAGTTTTGCTCTTGTCGCCCAGGCTGGAGTGCAATGGTGCGATCTCTGCTCACTGCAACCCTCCACCTCCCAGGTTCAAGTGATTCTCCTGCCTCAGCCTCCTGAGTAGCTGGGAATACAGGTGCCCACCACACCAGCTAATTTTTGTATTTTTAGTAGAGACGGGGTTTCACCATGTTGGCCAGGCTGGTCCCGAACTCCTGACCTCAAGTGATCCACCCGCCTTGGCCTCCCAAAATGCTAGGATTACAGGCATGAGCCAATGC
Source organism: Homo sapiens (assembly GCF_000001405.40). Classification (NCBI taxonomy): domain Eukaryota; kingdom Metazoa; phylum Chordata; class Mammalia; order Primates; family Hominidae; genus Homo; species Homo sapiens. Next base: position 55,774,000 of record NC_000012.12, read on the forward strand.
ACCTGGCCCTTTTTTCTTTTTGAGACAGAGTCTCTCGCTCTGTCACCCAGGCTGGAGTGCAGTGGCACAACCATAGCTCGCTGCAGCCTGGACCTCCTTGGCTCAAGCAATCCTCCCACCTCAGCCTCCCAAGTAGCTGGGACTTCAGGCATGCCACCCCACCCAGCTAATTGTTTATTTTCTTGTAGAGACAAGGTCTCACTATGCTGCACAGGCTGGTCTCAATTCCTGGGCTCAAGTGATCCTCCCACTCTGGCCTCCCAAAGTGTTGGGATTACAGGCACGAGCCACTGTACCACATTTGTTCATTTCTAACTGCTCCTTCTTTTCAACCACCTCATACCTAAGCATGGGTACGATATGCAAATTCTGTAACTGACTCCTCTATACCCCAATAAACTCCCTACCAATAATTACTTTCTAATGTCAAGATCAACGGGCTAGGCACGGTGGCTCATGCCTGTAATCCCAGGACTTTGGGAGGCCTACGTGGGTGGATCACTTTGAGGTCAAGAGTTCAAGACCAGCCTAGCCGACACGGTGAAACCCCGTCTCTACTGAAAAAAAAAAAAAAACAAACAAAAAAAAAAAAACAAAAATTAGCCAGGTGTGGCGGCATGCACCTGTAATCCCAGCTACTCGGGAGGTTGAGGCAGGAAAATTGATTAAACCCAGGAAGTGGAGGTTGCAGTGGGAGGTTCCAGCTTGGGTGACAAGAGCAAAAGCACCCTCAAAATAAATAAATAAAATAAAATGAAGTCCAGCTCAAGTATTTCAAATATAATCTCCTTCTCAGTTACGCATCTCCCCTGCCAGGGATTTCCAGATTTAATATTTGTTACAAACTCCAAATATACAACACCCTGAAAACACATTTCTATTTGTTTTTTTTTTTTTTTTTTTGGCAGATGGAGTCTCGCTCTGTCGCCCAGACTGGAGCACAGTGGCGCAATCTTGGCTCACTGCAACCTCCACCTCCCAGGTTTAAGCCATTCTCCTGCCTCAGCCTCCCAAATAGCTGGGATTACAAGTGTGTGCCACCACACCCGACTAATTTTTTTGTATTTTTAGTAGAGATGGGGTTTCACCGTGTTAGCCAGGATGGTCTCCATCTCCTGACCTCGTGATCCGCCTGCCTCAGCCTCCCAAAGCACTGGGATTACAGGTGCGAGCCACCACGCCCAGCCACACATTTCTATTTCTTTCCTAAGAATATGCTCTGGGAGTTAAAAGGTTAAAATTAAAAAAAAAAAAAAAAAAGAACATGAAAAAAAGATGGACAAGCATGGTGGCTCACGCCTGTAATCCCCAGCACTTTAGGAGGCTGAGGTGGGTGGATCACCCAAAGTCAGGAGTTCGAGACCAGCCTGGCCAACATGGGTGAAACCCGGCCTCTACCAAAGATACAAAAATTAGCCGGGCATGGTGGTGCATACTTGCAGTCCCAGCTACTCAGGAGGCTGAGGCAGGAGAATTGTTTGAACCCAGGAGGCAGAGATTTGCAGTGAGCTGGGATCGCGCTCTGTCTCAAAAAAAAAAAAACAAAAAACAAAAACAAAAAAAAAAAACTATGAAAAAAAGAGTAGCAAAGGAAGGGGAGAGGAAGAAAGGAGTTAAAATTTTCTAGATCTTAACAAGGGACTTCATATTATATTAAAAATGGGGTCTTTGCTAATTTACAAACATCACCAACAAGTATTCCCCTTAAAACATCTCCAATTTGATGTCCTGCCTCATCCCCACCTCCATCTCCAAAATACTATGGGATCTGACCTTCTTCAGCTATCAGTCATGAAGAGCAACTCTGCTATTTTGGTGAGTATATAAGAAAATGAACTATCCCATAATTGTTCAATCTTATTTTAACTGAACCCACATATATAAGCCTCTCAAGTATTAACATACATTCTAAACATTCCCATTCTGCCATTGCTCTCACATGAGGAGCCTTTAACCAAAATTTCCTATCAAAAAAATTAATCACATACACATATACCAAAAAATTCCTTCCCCAACACCACTTTATTTCCTCCCATACAGACTCTGAAGGATATACAGTTGTCCCTCAGTATCCAAGAAGTAATGGTTCAAGGACCACCCCTGCCTCCACCCGCAGATACCAAAATCTGTGGGTGCTCAAGTCCCTTATATAAAATGACATAAGGCTAGGTGCAGTGGCTTCCGTCTGCAATCCAAGCACTTTGAGAGGCAAGAGGACTCCTTGAGCCCAGGAGTTTGATACCAGCCTGGGCAAAATAGGGAGACCCTGTCTCTGCAAACTAAAATTAGCCGGGTGTGGTGGTGCATGCCTGTGGTCCCAGCTACTTGTTGGGGATGAGGTGGGATTACTTGAGCCTAGGAGGTGGAGGCTGCAGTGAGCCATGATCTGGGACACGGCACTCTATAAGTGAGACCACATCTTTAAAAACAAAACAAAACAAAAAAATAGCATAGTATTTGCATATAAACTATGCTCATCCGCCTACATACTTTAAATCATCTCTAGAGTACTTATGTATAAATAGCTGTTATACAATACTGCTTCATTTGTATTATTTTTTATTGTTGTATTTTTCCCCCCAAATGCTTTTGATCCACAGATGTGGAACCCATGGATACAGAGGGCTGAGTATACTTGGATTCAGAGAGCTCACATTTCACCACAGCTGGGGAGAGTATCTGGGAGTGTGGATAGATATTGCTTCACTTAGAAAGGCCAGGCCAACTATCTATCACCCTAAAATTAGATATACAACTGGATATAATGTAATTTTTAAAATTATTTACCTTATGTACTAAGAGTGGTACTTTCAAAAGAAAAAAGAAAAAACTCTTACCCAGACAATAAGCCCATCTCAAGAACCAGGCTGGCAAAAACAACTGAACCAGTTTGTCTGGCAAAAACAAACTGAATATTGAAAAGTAAAACAGACTTAACAGAATCCAGCACTCTTCTCCCTTTCAGGCTGTGTTTACTCTTGTGGCAAAGACGAGCAGGGGGCCAAAGAGAGGCATAAAACTTGTTTTTTATCAAAGTCATCAGTTCTGACACGTTAGACGAAGGAATGCAAAGACATTATGGAGGGGGTATTGACCAGGGAAAATAGAAAAGAGTTTTTTCTTACTACAAATTTCTTTACCTGAAGTTCTTCAGGTGCAAATTCAATGAATGAAATCAGAGAGAAATACATAAAATTAAAAGGTACAAGAGCTTAATGATCTCAGCCATGCACCTTTAGGGAAGTCTAAACATCTAACATAACTTTCCCAAATACCTAGTTTACAGTAAATATAGGGCAAGGCACCAGCCATGAATGTTGACATAGCATCAAAAATTTCACCTTGTTTCTCTAAATTTTAAAAACTTTTCCTTTTTTTTTTATTTTTTTTTTTGAGATGGAGTCTCGCTCTGTCGCCCAGGCTGGAGTGCAGTGGCACCATCTAGGCTCACTGCAACCTCTGCCTCCCGGGTTCAAGCGATTCTCCTGCCTCAGCCTCCCGAGTAGCTGGGACTACGGGCACATGCCACCATGCGCTGCTAATTTTTTGTATTTTTAGTAGAGACAGGGTTTCATCATGTTAGCCAGGATGTTCTCGATCTCCTGACCTCATGATCCACCTGCCTCGGCCTCCCTAAGTGCTGGTATTACAGGTGTGAGCCACCACACCCAGCCAAACCTTTCCTCTTAAAATGTTCAACTTATATGTCTAACGTCTCTTGTCCAATTTTTTCCTCATACACTGGCTACGTAAAAAGTATGTGTTGGAGGATTAGGGAATAGTGGGACAGTAGAAAGAGAAGTTGAGCAAAGAAACACCTGTCTCCTACTTCTCTGGTTGAATTTAGAATACATTGTCTAGCGCCCTAGTTAGGAGAGAGAAAAATTCCATTCTGCCTCTTTGCTCTTCCAAATTCCTATAGCCAAGTTGTTCAACAGCAGTTGAATGGCACACATAATTGACATCATTGATTGGAACCATAATAAAAGTAAGAAGTGTGGGTGTGGGGGAAACTGGGAAGGGAGGGAGATGATGTATTTGTGTTACAGACAAAAGACAAGTTCTGTTCCTCCGCAGGGACAAATGAAGAACCAGATGATGGAATAAACTGAGGTCAGAGAGTTTCCCCCATTGTTTCCTCTTTTTTTTAATTATTATTATTTTTGAGAGCAAGTCTCTCTCTGTTGCCCAGGCTGGAGTGCAGTGGCATGATCTCAGCTTACTGAGACCTCCACCTCCACGGTTCAAGCAATTCTCGTGATTCAGCCTCCCGAGTAGTTGGGACTACAGGTGTGAGCCAACACACTCAGCTAATTTTTGTATTTTTAGTAAAGATGGGGTTTCACCATGTTGGCCAGGCTGGTCTCAAACTCCTGACCTGAGGTGATCTGCCTGCCTCGGCCTCTCAAAGTGCTGAGATTACAAGTGTGAGCCACTGTGCTGACCTGTTTCCCCTTTAAACAGCTCCTTTTACCACTCCCTCAAAGTTTGTTCCATTGGGAGGGTGGAGAAAAGTAGTGTCTTTTTTTTATCTTAAAGGGGAGGAGACAGAAAAGAAGAAAACAGATATAGGATTACACGTTGTATCTCTCCTTGAAAAGGCCCAATATTTATTTTCAAAGTATTATGAATGAAAAGGGAATGTAAAGGAGTGGTTAAATATTTGTTTAGTCTTAAAAATGCTCCAAGAGGCCAGGTGTGGTAGCTCACGCCTGTAATCCCAGCACTTTGGGAGGCTGAGGCTGGCGGATCACAAGATCAGGAGTTTAAGATCAGCTTGGCCAACATGGTGAAACTCTGTCTCTACTAAAGATACAAAAAATTAGCCGGGCATGGTGGCGCACACTTGTAATCCAAGCTATTCAGGAGGCTGAGGCAGGAGAATCACTTGAACCTGAGAGGCAGAGGTTGCAGTGAGCCAAGATCGTGCCATTGCACTCCAGCCTGGGCGACAGGGCGAGACTGTCTCAAAAAGCAAAGCAAAACAAAACAAAACAAAACAAAACAAAACACAAAACACAAAAAACTAAACAAACAAAAAACTCCAAGAATGTTATCTAAGAAATCCTGAAGACTATGTGAGGTTGAGTTTTAGCTTTTCCTGAAATTTATCTTCTAAGATAACCACTCTCTCAACTGCTATCTCTATCTACCATAGAGTTATCTTCTTTCCTTGTTGGTTAATCTAAGTTGAAAAGAACATAGTTATTCAAATGGAAGAAGGATTTTGGGGAAAACTGATAACCTAGGATGAAGGAGGGGGGAAATTCCCCCAAAAGCTCTTGATCAGTGAGGTATCAATGGCTGAGGGAGCCTACGTTGAGTTTTGTTTTTTCCACTTAGATGTCTACTATCTGCGTTTTTCTTGGTCCCATGGCTGTATGAGAAAGAGAAATGGAGAATTAAATTTTACACTAAGCCTAGGCACTGCTGCTTGAGTATATTTGAATAGAACCCAAACTTACTAAGCAGGCTACTTTTCCAACTTACTCTGGAAACTAATTCTTCTACCACTACTTCCTTTAAAGATATTCTACCAAACTCTTCACCATAGCTTATGGTTCCTTAGGTTTATAAAGTTCCATGTTGGTAATATCCTATGCATGGCCCCATCATTCTTCCTTTGGAAAAGGTTTATACAGCCATACTTAAACTAAGAAATCCTAATTACAGACCCTCTGAGAAGACTGATGACCAACTTCTAAATCCATAGTACAGTAGTCCCTCTTATACAAGGGGGATACATTCCAAAACCCCCTGAAGCCACGAATAGTACCAAACCCTATATATACTATGATTTTACCTGTAATTTTAATTTATAAATTAGACACAATAAAAGATTAATAGCAATAATGAAATAGAACAGGCCAGGCATGGTGGCCCAACCCTGCAATCCCAGCAGTTTGCGAGACCAAGGCGGGAGGATCACTTGAGCCCAAGAGTTTGAGACCAGCTTGGGTAACACAGTGAGACCCTGTCTCCACAAAAAAATTGAAAAATTGACCGGGCGTGTTGGTCTGTGCCTGTAGTCCCAGCTACTCAGGAGGCTGAGGTGGGAGGGTCACTTAAACCCGGGAGGTGGAGGCTGCAGTTAGCTGTGATCATGCCACTGCACTTCAGCCTGGGCGACAGAGCAAGACCTTGTCTCCAAATAAGTAAATAAATAAATAAGGCCGGGCACAGTGGCTCATGCCTGTAATCTCAGCACTTTGGGAGGCCAAGGTGGATAGATCACAAGGTCAGGAGTTCAAGACCAGCCTGGCCAATATGGTGGAACCCCATCTCTATTAAAAACACACAAAAAATTAGCCGGGCATAGTAGCACATGCCCGTAATCCCAGCTATTCGGGAGGCTGAGGCAGGAGAATTGCTTGAACCTGGGAGGCAGAGGTTGCAGTGAGCTCAGATTGCGCCACTGCATTCCAGCCTGGGCAACAGAGCAACTCTGTCTCAAAAAATGAAAAAGAAAGAAAAGAGAAGAGAAGAGAAGAGAAAAGAAAAGAAAAGAAAAGAAAGAAAGATTAGCTGGGCATAGTGGCACATGCCTGTAATCCCAGCTACTTGGGAAGCTGAAGCAGGAGAATCACTTGAACCCGGGAAGCAGAGGTTGCAGTGATCCGAGATCACGCCATTGCACTCCACCCTGGGCAACAAGTGCAAAACTCTGTCTCAAAAAAAAAAAATTATAACAATATGCCAGCATCACTACTCTTGTGCATTAGGGCCAATATTAAGTAAAATAACAGTTACTTCAACACAAGCATTGCTCTAATGGGGAAGTAGTAGGGATATGCTGGACAAGGGGATGATTCACATACCCGAGCAGAACAGGGCAAGATTTTATCATGCTACTCAGAACAGTGTGCAATTTAAAACTTATAAACTGTTTGTTTCTGGAATTTCCCATTTAATATTTTAGGACTGTGGTTGACTGAGGGTAACTGAAACAACGGAAAGCACAACCACAGATAAGGGAGGACTGCTGTATGAACTTCTTTCATCTTTCCACATCCCAATGGCTAACCTCTACACCAAAACCTATCACTGAAGTGAAGGAACAAACAAATATTTCTTCACTTATTTCAGATGGTGGGAGAATAGAAGACAGAATACAATAGGCCCTCCAGAAGAGAATGAATTGAGAAAACAGCATGCCATCAGTTAGCTACAATGAAATCTGTATGCTAGAAGACTGGTGGCTATCTGTACTTTGAATTGACTTTGTCTCAGCTTCCTCTTTGGTACCTCAACATAGTTAAGTGACAAGCTCCTCAAAAACAAGGCAGGTCCCTTTGGGAGGCCAAGGCAGGCAGATCACAAAGTCAGGAGTTCGAGACCAGCCTGGTCAACATGGCGAAACCCCATCTCTACTAAAAATACAAAAATTAGCCAGGCGTTGTGGCGGGTGACTGCAATCCCAGCTACTTGGGAGGTCAAGGCAGGAGAATTGCTTAAAACCGGAAGGCAGAGGTTGCAGTGAGCTGAGATTGCGCTGCTCCACTTCAGCCTGGGCAAAAGAGCGAAACTCCGTCTCAAAAAAAAAAAAAAACAAAAACAAAAACAAACAGACAAAAAATAACAAGGCAGGTCCAATATCTCACTCACTGTGAAGTGGTTCATCTCCTACCAACGGTGATAAAAAATGTAATACAAAAGTCTCATGAAAATGATCACTGCAGCTATCCAAGAATATTCTAGTTTATTTTCAACCTTTTTATATTCTTTTTTGTTGTTGTTCAGATAGGGTCTTGCTCTGTTTCCCAGGCTGAAATGCAGTGATGCCATCATGGCTTACTGCAGCCTTGACCTCCTGGACTCAAGCAATGCCTTCCCCTCGGCCTTTCAAGGAGCTGGGACTACCGGCACTCACTACCATGCCTGGCTGTTCTTATTTTTTGTAGAGATAGGGTCTTATTATGTTGCCCAGGATGGTCTCGAACTCCTGGGATCAAACTCCTAAAGTACTGGAGCTAGGATTACAGGTGTGAACCTCTGTGCCCAGTCTAAACTTTTTATATTGTGACACTGTGTTAACACAGATCATAACCATCAGGAAAGAAGAGTGGCAAAAATCATAAACCTGGGAAAAGTATCCTTCAAGGTTTACTGGACTTAAGACAACTCTTTAGGACAGTTACCTATATGAAGGGCTGGAAGTAGAAAAACTCTGGTACTATTCTAATAGATAAAAAAGGAAGATGTACTAAGGTCAATAAGGATATAAAATGCTTGTACCTTCTACTAGTAATCAAGAATCAGTAACATATACTGCCCTCACATTCCTGGGGAAGGAGAAGAGTATCAACCACATTCCAGTTTTCTGCTTAGTGCCTGGGATTAGACTTGCTTTGTTTTTTAAATACCCATGTAGATGGATTTCCTATAATGTCCTAAAGTATGAAGTTTCTCCTTTCCGAGGGTGCCAATGTTTGAAAAATACCAAACAATCCACTCAAATTAGCACAGCAGTTAATACTACAGTACTAAGCCCAGACTTAGTTTTTACCAAAACTAATATCCTCTGACTACAAATAGATTAACTGAGCTGGCTTTATTCCCTCTATCCATCTCCCACTCTTTTCTTTCTTTTTTAAAATTTTTTAGGGAGATGGGGTCTCACTCCATCACTCAGGCTGGTGTGCAGTGGTATGAACATGGCTCACTGCAGTCTCGAGTTCCTAGGCTCAAGCAATCCTCCCACCTCAGTCTCCTAAGTAGCTGGGACCACAGGCATGTGCCACACTGCACCTGGCTAATTTGTTTTTACATTTTATAGAAGACAGGGTCTCACTATGTTGCCCAGGCTTCAAACTCCTTTCCAAGATGAGTTTCCAGCCGCAATGGCTCATGGCCGTAATCTCAGCACTTTGGGAGGCTGAGGCTGGCGGACTGCTTGAGTCCAGGAGTTCAAGACCAGCCTGGGCAACATGGTGAAACCCCATCTCTACAAAAAATACTAAAATTAGCTGGGTGTGGTGGCGCACGCCTGTAGTCCTAGCTACTCAGGAGGCTGAGGTGGGAGGATCACTTGACCCTGGAGGCTGAGGCTGCAGTGAGCTATCATTGCGCCACTGTACTCCAGCCTGGGTGACAGAGTTAGACCCTGTCTTAAAAAAATAATAAAAATGGTTTCCTATGTGCTAAGTTCTGTCCTTCACCAACGGCACTGACCCAAACACTACTCCTCTTGGGAGGCATGGGAAACAGATAGAGAAAAAACAACCAGTCAAGCACAAGACAGAAAACCTAGCTGGCAATCAATCAGAGCAAACCAGGTAGATGTTATTTATCTGAGTTTTGTTGTTTGAGGGGGGTGGGTGGGAGGTTTATTAGTCCATAGTCACCATGCGACTTATGAGAAAAGTCATGCCACTCTATCCTCAAACAGTCCAAAGAATTGAAGGGGACAATTTACAGCCTCTTGTGTAAAAAATTTCTGTAAATGCCCATGCCATTCTTTGCCTTGTCACCTTCCATTAGCCTAAACCAATAAGATTCTGTTCACTGAGACTTAAGCTGGAAACATGAACAAACAGACTTTTCTTGGGCAGAGGGAAAAGGACATGATGATTTAGGGGAGGCTGGGGGGAGGTGGGAGGAGGTGGGAGAGAGATTTCTTTACATTTCTGTGTAGTGCCTGATATGTGTATAGCATACTAGTGGAGCTAAAAACTGAAATATATAAATAGTCATGCAAAAGTCAGCCTAGGAAAAATAGCAGACTCAGGTTCTTAAATCTGTAATATGCTGAAGCCATAAATCTAAAATATGAAGAGGAGATGAGCAGATTGTGACAATTAAAAAAAAATTAGGCTGCGCACAGTGGCTAACACCTGTAATCCCAGCACTTTGGGAGGTTGAGGCAGGAGGATCACTTGAGCCCAGGAATTGGAGACCAGCCTGGGCCACACATGAGATCCTATCTCTAAAAAAAAGAAAAAAAGAAATCAATCATAAACATTATTCAATCCATGGCTCATTTGCTCTCATATACTTCCTCCCTTTATTCATATACTACACTGATCAGTAGCCAAGTCCACTAAAGAGAAATCAGCAAGCACGCAGGGTCGTAAGTTGGATCAAGCAGACAACAGAGATGACAAAAAGTGGGTTTTTCATTGTCTTGTTTAGAATACTAGGATAGAGAAGAGGCTACACTACCTGCTAACCTCCACTATTTTCACCACATCTAACTGAATAAAATCTGTGCCTAGAGAATTAAACAACCTAAAGACAAGCGACCAAATTATATAGAAGGCTACACTGGAACCCAGAATCCCAGGATGAAGTGGACAAAAGTATGCTCATCTGGCAGTTCCGTAAACACAAACTTAACCAAGTCACTAACCTCTGCCAACCAACCAAACGCTACGTAGCAACTCATTCTAGTGATAAATAGTTAAGCACAAGAACTAGGCAATTCTCATCAGACAATGTACCCAGCTGCAATTCCAGGATGTGGAACTAGAACGCTAAGTTCTAGAAAAAAAGAATCCTTACTTTTCTTATGTCTTACTCCTTTTCCTCCAACTTCTCTCCTTTCATAGATTTATTCTGAAACTGCTTATATTTTCTACAATTATTTAAAAAAATTCTCAGCTACAGATTAACAATGGTCCAAGTATGTGGTCTGATAAATAATTTCTACGCCACTCACAAGTATGAAAGCTGTGTGGGAGATATAAGCTAGATATGAGTTGTCCGATATGGTAGCCACTAGCCACAAATGGCTTTGTAAAATAAGTTTTACTGGACAGTGCTGGTGTAGACAGCAAAACATCAGCATTTCTGGGACACTGTGATGGTTTATGGGACAAAACAGACCAAAATGTTTAAATTAGGATAGTTCTGAAAATCAAGACTTATAACCAATGTAAATGGGATCTATACTCACAGAGCACATCTCAAAAGGTCACAAATCTTCAAGTGAAGTAGTCCCTGGAAACCATACATATTCTAGTAAAGTGTTACTTAAAATATAGTCTTCCTCCTGGTGCTAGTCTCCAAACTGTTTCTTACCAGTGTGTAAAGGTCCAGAAATTGAAAATGTTAAGAAACTTTCAGAATAATTTAATGCTGTTGTAACATTTTAATTGTATTTTATAGAAGTATCCCTGTAATAATCAAAAAAATTTTTAAACTAGTTTTTTGCCACAGATAATTTCAGATGCACTACTCTAGCACATATGCAAATAAAAAAATATGCTATACGTATTGACAATCAATGTTATTAGAGAAGGAAGCTCACAGCCAGAGTTCTGCCAATTACCATTATTGTATTACAACCCTCCAGAGACTTAAAATGGGCGCTGAAATCTTATCAATGATCAACTAAAACTAAAATTGAGTCAAGTTAATTGACTCAGTTTTAAGGCCATAAAGCCAATTTACCAACAGAACTGAACTAAGAAAAAAGGAAGAAAACTAACATTTATTGAGGGTCAAAGTATCACTGTTAGGTAATTTCGAATACTGTATACAATTTTTTTTTTTTTAAGACAGAGTCTAGGCCATGTGCGGTGGCTCACGCCTGTAATCCCAGCACTTTGGGAGGCCAAAGTGAGTGATCACTTGAGGCCAAAGTTGAACAACATGAAGAAAATCCATCTCTACTAAAAATGCAAAATTAGCTGGGCATGGTGGCGCACTCCCATATTCTTAGCTACTCAGGAGGGTGAGGTGGGAAAAATCACTTGAACCCAGGAGGCAGAGGTTGTAATAAGCTGAGATCGCACCATTGCACTCCAGCCTGGGTGACAGAACAAAACCCTGTCTCAGACAAAAAAAAAAAAAAGACAGGGTCTCACTCTGTCACCCAGGCTGGAGTGCAGTGTCACTATCATGGCTCACTGCAGCCTCAAACTCCTGGGCTCAATTAGTCCTCCCACCTCAGCCTCCCAAAATAATGGGATTTCAGGCATGAGCCACTGCACCTGGCCCTGTATCCAATTATTTACTCTTCCCAACCAGGTTGCTAGTTATTGCTCTAAGTCTTACAGATGAGGATCAAAGAAGTTCAGTAATTTGCTCAAAGTCACAAAGTTAACATATGTATCTGTTTTACTCAGCCTTCTGTGGACTAAAAATGAAAAAAGGTCAAACAAAGAGAAAAAGTCTAGGGAAGGGAAGAGAAAGACCTGATATTCCTGTAATGAAATACTATAAAAATAACACAGGTATACAGTATAGCATTGATGGACAAATTCTTTTCAGCAATGTGTAGTAGGAGCTATGAGCTATGTAGTAAGAGATATGGTGTTCAATTTTGTAAATTCTGAAGGAACACAGACAATTCCTTAGAAGATGGAGTGAATTTTTACTGCTGGGGTTCTCACATATCTAGCCCTCATATAAAAGAGAAGACAGATGAGAACTAGGGCCGCAGAACCAAGGCACCCTTCCCCTTGGCCATATGGCACAACACAAGTGAGCTTTGGTTTGTTTGTTTGTTTGTTTGTTTGTTTGTTTGAGATGGAGTCTCACTCTGTTACCCAGGCTGGAGTACGGTGGCGCAATCTCGGCTCACCGCAGCCTCCGCCCTCCGAGTTCAAGCGATTCTCCTGCCTCAGCCTCCCAAGTAGCTGGGATTACAGGCACCTGCCACCGCGCCTGGCTAATTTTTTGTATTTTTAGAAGAGATGGGGTTTCACCATCTTGGCCAGGCTGGTCTTGAACTCCTGACCTCGTGATCCACCCGCCTCAGCCTCCCAAAGTGCTGGGATTACAGGAGTGAGCCACCGTGCCCAGTCGTGACCTTTGGTTTGTAACAGCCCTTCCCAATTAAAGTGCATGTGGCTTAAGAATCACATACTCTGCCTCTCAACTTCAAATTTTTTCTTACTTCACAAAAATGAGCAAGTATTCCCACTGAGCACCAATGGTCTCAGCATCATGCTAGGCACATGGACCTGATGCTGTATTTCTAGTTAATATAAAAAATGATAACCCAGGCCAGGCGCAGTGGCTCACACCTATAGTCCGGCACTTTGGGAGGCTGAGGCAGGAGGATGGCTTGAGGCCAGGAGTTTGAGACCAGCTGGGCAACACAGAGAGACCTCATCTCTAAAAAAAAAAATTCAAAAACTGGCCAGGCATGGTGGCACACATCTGTGGTCCCACCTACTCAGGAGGCTGAGGTGGGAGGCTTGCTTGAGCCTGGGAAATGGAGGCTGCAATGAGCTGTGATCATGCTACTGCTCTGCAGCCTGGGTGTCAGAGTGAGAACTTGTCTCAAAAAAGACTAAAAAAAAAAAAAAAAGTTAACGTAAATGGAAGAAAGATGGAACAAAGTTGTGCACAAGTGTTCCATAGTGGCACAATAATGATTACTTTTAGTGTTTAGTTTTTTTCCCAAGCAAAATATATAACCAATGTCAGGTAAGTTTCTTCCAATGGCTTTCTAGAGAGCTAAACGCTTTCATGCTGAGTTGGAAATACTGATGTTTTTCTTTTTTTGAGACAGAGTCTCACTCTGTTGCCCAGGCTGGAGTATAGTAGCACGATCTCGGCTCACTACAACCTCTGCCTTCCGGGTTCAAGTGATTCTCCCACCTCAGCCCCCCAAGTAGCTGGGATTACAGGCATGTACCACCATGCCCAGCTAATTTTTGTAGTTTTAGTAGAGACAGGGTTTCACCATGTTGGCTGGGCTGGTCTCAACTCCTGACCTCAGGTGATCTGCCCACCTCAGCCTCCCAAAGTGCTGGGATTACAGGCACGGTGGTGCTCGACTGATTTTTTTCTTTCTTTCTTTTTTTTTTTTTTCTTGAGACGGAGTCTCGCTCTGTCGCCCAGGCTGGAGTGCAGTGGTGCAATCTCAGCTCACTGCAAGCTCCCCCTCCCAGGTTCATGCCATTCTCCTGCCTCAGCCTCCTGAGTAGCTGAGACTACAGGCACCCGCCACCACACCCAGCTAATTTTTTTGTATTTTTAGTAGAGACGGGGTTTCACCGTGTTAGCCAGGATGGTCTCAATCTCCTGACCTCGTGATCCGCACATCTCCGCCTCCCAAAGTGCTGGGATTACAGGCGTGAGCCACCACGCCTGGCCCGATTTTTTTCTTAAATGCTGGTTTTTCTGGTTTCAAATACCCTGCCACCACTTTGACAACCAAGAAACATGTTCTTGTTCTAAACAACAAAGATTAAGAGACCACCTGCTCTAGGCAAATAGAAAAATCCTTATCATTTTCTCCAATGTGCCTAGCAAAACTACAAAGGCAACTATGCCCTGGGGAACCAATCACCCCACATAGCATGAAGTAAACAAAGTCATCTTGCTTAATAAACTAAATAATATCAGTTAGCTGAGGGGCATAAAGAATGAATTAACTTTTTTTTTTTGTTCCACCAATCCTCCAAGTTTTATTTCTAAGTACTTCTGACCTAAAGACAAGACTGTCTTCTCCTGATTATTTAATTCCCATTATGCCTATTATCAAAGTTAAAGTAGATGTAATAAGTTTTAACATCACTGAATTTAACATCTTAACCAACAGAAATATAGACCATACTCAGGCTGGGTGCAGTGGCTCACGCCTGTAATCCCAGCACTCTGGGAGGCAGAAGTGGGTGGATCCCTTAGGCCCAGGAGTTTGAGACCAGCTTGGGTAACATAGCAAAATCCCGTCTCTACCAAAAATTGAAAAAAATTAGCTGGGCATGGTGGCACGTGCCTGTAGTTTTAGCTACGAGAAAGGCTGAGGTGGGAGGATCACCTGAGCCCAGGGAGGTCAAGCCTGCAGTGAGCCGTGATCGCACCACTGCACTCCAGCCTGGGCAACAGAATGACCTTGTCTCAAAGGAAAAAAAAGAAAGAAAGAAAAGAAATGTAGACCACGCTCTAGCAGCCTGGGTGAAAGCTATGAAAACAATCCACGGGAAAAAACAATCAGCTTGTGAAATAATTCCTGTAACATAATCAAGAGTCAGTGAGAGGAGGTGACAGTCAATCAAGTATGTGAAATGAAATGCTTTGTAGCCAGCTACATTCTCAGGAGGGTCATTTCCAGCCTATGTAGTTCCCATAAGCTGCTCTAATGTCACAAAAACATTACTTCCATCGAGCCTACATTACCTTTCTGGAGATTGAAGAGACATTCAAACCAAATCTTTGAGCTCTTTCCTTCAGCTTATCCAAGTTAACCTATAAAAACATAGGGGAAAGAACATAGTTTTAAAAAATCAAAACGGAAAACAAAAAATGCAGAAACTATAGTATGAAGCTAAGAGTTCAAATAAGCCTATAACATCAAAGACACCCTATGAGCAAAATAAGAAAACTAAGCAGCAACCATCCAGTCCACTGATTATGGCCTCCTCTGGAATGCAGTGAAAGATTCAGCCCTGCCTCCTGCATTTATCACAGGTGTCAAGAGCCTAAGGAGGGCTTAAGATCAAGGGAAGCCAAACACTGCCAGGGAAAGCAAACACATGTCTAAATCATCACCTCCAAACAAGTCTACCATTCACAATCCAAAATCATTAATTCTCATGTGGTCTCTGCAAGTATTTCTTAACTCTATCTCCAAACAAAGAGAAACTATCACGGAAGCACCTTTTTCAGAAGACAACCTATAACTACTACCCAACTCGATTCTCTTCCCTCCTCTTTCTTGGAAACCTTGGTACATGGACTTGCTACTATTGTTAAGAATTATTTAGGGCCAGGCGCGGTGGCTCACGCCTGTAATCCTAGAAGTTTGGGAGGCCGAGGCAGGTGGATCACCTGAGGTCAGGAGTTCAAGACCAGCCTGGCCAACATGGTGAAACCCCGTCTCTACTAAAAATACAAAAATTAGCCGGGCATGGTGGCGGGCACCTGTAATCCCAGCTACTTGGGAGGCTGAGGCAGGAGAATTCCTTGAACCCGGGAGGCGGAGGTTGCAGTAAGCTGAGATCGCACCACTGCACTCCAGCCTGGGCAAAAGAATGAAACTCCGTCTCAAAAAAAAAAAAAAAAAAAAGAATATTTAGGAAATTTTCATTAATAATATTAAACCTTCACTTACAATATTAAACAGCAACCCCTAAAGCAGGATTTCATAAAGCTGATTCTATTTCACCACAGCATTCGTTACCATTTTTTAAATATGCTGACTAGTCACAATGGTCCAGAAAGCCATTTTATTCTACCATTCTTTACTCTGATTTCACATTTCACGGATAGTATTTTAAAAAAAAAAAAAAAAGCACTATCTACAAACAGAACTCCTAAATTGCTTCCATAGATTCTCTTGTGGTAATTATGAATTAGACATTATCTAAGGCCACTGGACAAGGCCTCCAGTACCATAAAACAGTTACATACATGGCTAACAAAATCCATTCTTACTTTCAAAAAGAGTGGTAGGAAGGAAGACGTCTGCAGTAATTGAACATGTGACAATTTTCCTGACCTCTCAGTATCTCCAACAATTTTTTAAATTCAAGACATACAACATTGTACTGAAAAGAGTCAACAAATTAATGTTCTCAGAGTTTCCTCTAATCTGGGGAGGAGGAGTCTCTAAAGTTAGCTATATAGAATTAAGATCTGGGTGTGTAAGAAATAAAAAAAGATTTCTTACCATAGGTTTGTTATCAGATGACAGACCTAAGGAAGTAAATAAAGTTTTATTTAATATTTTTAAAAGTCATCAAAGCCAACAGTCTTCAAGTCAAATTAGGCAACATAAAAACATCCTTTATCCTATGATGACAAAGAAAAGGCAGAAATTGCATGTAGCGATCATGTCTGCATTCACTGCTAGCAGGAACATAAAATGGTATAGCTGCTTTGGAAAACAATTTGGCAGTTCCTCAAAAGATAAATACAGTTACATATGATCCCACAATTCCACTGCTAGCTATACAGCTAAGAGAAAATGAAAACATATAATTACACAAAAATTTGTACATAAATGTTCACAGCAGCATTATTCATATTAGACAAAAAGTTAAAGAAAAACACCCATCAACTGATGACTGGCTAAATTAAGTATGGTATATCCATACAATGGAATATTATTAAACAATAAAAATGAATAGAGATACATGCTACAACATTAATGAACCTTGAAAACTATGCTAAGTGAAAGAATCCAGTCACAAAAGACAATACACTATACGCACTATACGAATTCATTTATATGAAGGCAAATTTCCATGGAGAAAAAAACCTCAGTGGCTGCTTAGGGCTGGGCAGGGAGAGGTAATGGAGGATATCTACTAATGGGCACAGACTTTCTTTTTGGGGTGATAAGCACGGTGATGATGGCTGCACAACTCTGTGAATATACTATGAAATAATGAATTATATATCTTTAAATGGATGAACTGTATGTTATATAAATTGCATCTCAGTAAAGCTATTAAAAAAGAGATCACATCTGGACAAACAAGAACTACTATCATGAGTTGAAATTATGGCTCCTGGCCGGGTGCAGTGGCTTACGCCTGTAATCCCAGCACTTTTGGAGGCCAAGGCGGGTGGATCACCTGAGGTCAGGACTTGTAGACCAGCCTGACCAATATGGTGAAATCCCATCTCTACTACAAATACAAAAATCAGCCAGGCGTGGTGGCGTACACCTGTAGTCCCAGCTACTCGGGAGGCTGAGACAGGAGAATTGCTTGAACCCAGAAGGCAGAGGCTGCAGTGAGCTGAGATGGCGCCACTGTGCTCCAGCCTGGGCGACAGAGCAAGACTCCATCTCAAAAAAGAAAAAAAGAAAAAAAGAGAAAAAAAGAAATTATGGCTCCTTAAGGCCAATTTTCTGTCCTGAAATTATCACCAAGAAACTAGCCAATAATTATTTACTTCAAACTTTTCAGGATTTCATTCAAAAAAACAGTGCTTGCTTTTAAATGTTCCCAAATTCCGTTATTTTTTAGAGTTACTCTATAGTTCTAAGATGTCAGAATTATGAGTAACACTGAAACTGTATTTTTTATCAGGTTCCCTTTTCAGACTATTAATTTTAACTATTATCTTTCTTCAAATAGCATTTTAGCCTTGCACCTGTAGTCCCAGTTACTCAGGAGGCTGAGGGAGGATTGCTTGAGCCCAGGAGCTCAAGTCCAGCCTGGGCAATATAGTGAAACCCTGTCTCTTAAAAAAAATAAAAAAGCACCACGTTCTATAATTTCTGTTGTATCTTCACCAATTATATCTCTCTTGATGCAACTAAGAGCCAGAAAAAAAATTTTTTTTTTCTAAAACACTTAGTGATAGCGGCCAGAATTTTTCTGTCTTTTTAAAAGCACAGCAAAACACTACAAGAAGATCTCTGGGGGACATTTTCTTACTTAAAACTACTGACGAGTCACAGGGAAAACTGGATTGAATTGGAAGACTACATTTAAGTTTTAAGTTCCTGAGAAAAGGGGCTATGTTCTTTTTGTTTTTTTGAGAAAAGAGTCTCATTCTGTCCCCCAGGCTGGAGTACAGTGGAGCAATCTCTGCTCACTGCAAGCTCCGCTTCCCACGTTCAAGCACTTCTCCTGCCTCAGCCTCCCAAATAGCTGGAATTACAGGCGCGCAACACCACACCCAGCTTTTTTTTTTTTTTTTTTTTTGTATTTTTAGTAGAGAAGGGTTTCGCCATGTTGGCCAGGCTGGTCTCAAACTCCTGACCTTAAGCAATCCACCTGCCTTGGCCTCCCAAAGTGCTGGGACTACAGGTGTGAACCACCGTGCCCAGCCTGTCCTTTTTTTAAATTCTGAGACAGGATCTTGCTCTGTCACCCAGGCTAGAGTGTCATGGCAAGATCACACTCACTGCCAGCCTTGACCTCCCAGGCTTAAGAGATACTCCCACCCCAGCGCCCCAAGTAGCTGGGACTACAAACACCTGCCACCATGTCTAGTTAATTTTTTAATTTTTTGTAGAAACAAGGTGTCACTTTGTTTCCCAAGCTAGTTTCCAACTCCTGGGTTCAACTGATCCTCCCGGCTTGGCATCCCAAAGTGCTGGGATTACAGGCATGAGCCACCATACCCAGCCGTTTCTTAAAAATAATAACTGTTTCAGGCTCGGCACACCTGTAATCCCACCATTTTGGGAGGCAGAGGTGAGTGGATCACTTGAGGTTAGGAGTTCAAGACCAGCCTGGCCAACACAGTGAAACCTGTCTCTACTAATAATACAAAAATTAGCTGGGTATGGTGTCACGCACCTGTGGTCCCAGCTACTCAGGAGGCTGAGGCAGGAAAATAGCTTGAACCTGGGAGGCAGAGGTTGCAGTGAACCAGATCACGTCCCTGCACTCCAGCATGGGTGACAGAGCAAGACTGTGTCTCAAAAAATAGTAATAATTTCCTCTAATTCATTACAAAAGTGATACATATTCATTGTATGGATTTTAATAACACAGACAAGCAAAAAGAAATAAATCATTCAAAATTCCACCAACCAGAGATAAGAGTATTAACAATTTAGAATACAGTCGTCCCTCCATTTCCTCAGGGGATTGGATCCAAACCCACCCCTCCAGCTGATACCAAAATCCACCACACTCAAGTCCTGCAGCAGATATAAGCTGCTCCTCCATATCTGCAGGTTTCACATCCCAAGAATACTGTATTTCTGAACCGCATTTGGTTATGGTGAACCCTCAGATACAGACAGCAAACTGTATTTATTGAAAAAAAAAAAAATCCAAGTATAAGTGGACCTGTGCAGTTCAAACCTTGCTGAAGTGTCTACTATGTATCCTTCCAAGCTTTTTTCCTATCTATACATGCACTCTTACATGACTAAAATGGGAACGTACTGTTAATATAATTTTGTAACTTTTTTCATTAATATCTCTGATAAATATCTTTCAATATTATTTCAGCACAGTAGTCTGCTATACCATGGCACACATTTAATAACTAATTCTCTGTTGTACAGTTGGTTGTTTCCAGTTATTGATCACTATAAATAATGCTGTGATAATCCCTGAGGCTAAGTCTTTATGCACATTCAAGACTATTTCCTTATACGTTCCTAGAAGTAAAACTGTTAAGGTAGAAGATATTCTTTTCCCTTTTATCACTTATAATAGCCAGTATAACACTAGATAGTATGCAATAATTTTATGCAGTTGAGACCCCAGAATAAGTAAGCAAAGTACTAGAGAAACTTCTTTGAAGATGTTCAAGAAAAGACAGACAAATGTTGGCACTTCCTATCCTCTCATAACATTCAGTATCTCTCTTAATTGCCCAGGAAGGCCTAAGTATAATTTTACCTAAAGCAGGAGATGAATGTTACAATCTCTTAAAGAGTTTCTACAGCTAGCAAATTTACCTTATTTTGGAGAAATAAAACCTGTTATACCAGAAAAGAAAGAATAAAAAGGTAACTTTCTCAGAAGTATCTCTGTACTCTTACCTTTTGTTGGAACTGAAGAAATCCCAAACCTGAAGAAGGAAAAACAAACTAAATTTTAGGAAGCTGTTCACACTCCTGGTTTGTCTGTCTCCGTGTCAAGTATACATATGACACTTCTTGCTTGTGATCTCAAGCCTTGCAATCATTAGCTAATTCTAACAACCCCATGAAAGAGGTTCAGAAATTAAGCTAAAAGGAAGCCTTATCAGAATTAGTAGTAGTCAGTTCCTGGCTTTAACTGTTACAAAAACCCTTCTCAATAAAGCTCAATTTATAGCTACTATAACCAAATCAGTAGACATGTTCTGAATAGGGTCAAAAAAGTGTTCATATCCTTCAGCAAGCCTCTATTCTACTTAAAATCAACAATTATACCTAAAAGCTAGGATCACACATCTTCATCTTTACAACACCCCTATCAGAGGCCCAAAAGGCTGGGGACACTCACCTAGCTGCCCGAGCAGCTTTCTTACTCTCCAAGCTCACAGGTACATTGAATCGTTCAGCCCTCTTCTGCATTCTCTAAGTAAAAATAGACAAAAGGGAGAAAAAAAAGTCAATTTATGGTTTAAGAAAGTCAGTCAGAGGTAGGTATCTTTAAAAAAAAAAAAAAAAAAAAAAAAAAGAGTCTCACTCTGTCCCCCAGCCTGGAGTGCAGTGGCATGATCTCGGCTCACTGCAACCTCAGCCTCCTGGGTTCGAGCGATTCTCGTGGCTCAGCCTCCTGAGTAGCTGGGATTACAGGACTGTGCCACTGTGCCCAGCTAATTTTTGTGCTTTTAGTAGAAATGAGATTTCACCATGATGGCCAGGCTGATATTGAACTCCTGGCCTCAAGTGAACTGCCCACCTCAGCCTCCTAAACTGCTGGGATTACAAGCGTGAGCCACCTGGCCCAGCCAAAGGTAGGTATCTTAAAAACATCAGAAGTAATTTCTTAGGGTCTAAACTGAAAATACTGACAATCCTAGAAGATATCAGGTTGTGTCCATGCTAGGACTTAACGGCCCTTCCCACAAAGCAAACAAAAAAAGACTATTACTAGATGCCCTCAAAAACAAAAGGGAGAAATAAAGTAAAACCTACATTATGCATGAAGCCAAGAAGTCAAAAGCTATGTTTGGCTGACCTTTGAAAAGTGATCAAAGGAATAGCTTGGTTCCAACACCAATGGTATTCTTTCAGTTAGAAATGAGGCAGCATTGTTTTATGCCATTCTAAAAGAGTTTAATAATTCTCTACTTTGCAAGTATGATACTGAACACAAGATCTCAAATGGAACCTGGTTTCACAGTCCTGCACCACAGAAACCAGAGAAATTTCAATCTCAGCTACTGGCCAGTAGCAACATAAGAGTCACATCTACCAATACATTTTCAAGGTACAATCCTCCTAAATCTAATCCTAGGTTTGAAAACATCTCAAAGAGAGTCACTGTTAAGACCATAATATTACATATAAAAAGACTACAACTTCAAGAATGACTACCCCTACGCCAGCCAAATATTTTCCAAAGAGTAGCTGGCAGTGAAACGTATCAACACCAAAATCTGCCAATACTGATTTTCTGCCTGTGAATAAATTTTAGAGGATGATGCAGATATAATAAAGGGTAAGAGGGAGAGAGAAATGTAGAGACTGTTCTACTAGGGAGCAGAATACCTACCTCAGTCTGTGGTATTTCAGATGTAATTTTCACCACTTTCTTCTCTGCTGCCCTAGAAAAGAAAGAGATTTTTTAAAATGAGAAAACTGATATTCTAAACCACAACCTCAGAAATGTGTAAGAATTCACCTGAGTCACCATTCTCTGCCCTATTATCTCTCTGCCACCCCCTAAGCCAAAGAAACATGAAGTCCACTAGAGCTTTGGTTCCTTTAACTGTCATCTATTGAGAGGAAAGAGTTCAAATAACAAACTAAGCTTCTTTAGCTAAAGTATAATAAAGAAATAAGGAAAGAAGTCTGGTTAAATATACTGGGCTGAAGGGAAACACTCAAAGGACACCAGAAACCATCTCATTTGCTTTTAGGAACTTTTCAATTTACTTTTATTTTTCTGAGACGGAGTTTTGCTCTTGTCGCCCAGGCTGGAGTGCAATGGCACGATCTCAGCTCACTGCAACCTCCACCTCCTGGGTTCAAGAGATTCTCCTGCCTCAACCTCCTGAGTAGCTGGAATTACAGGCACCTGCCACCACGCCGAGCTAATTTTTGTATTTTTAGTAGAGATAGGGTTTCACCATGTTGGCCAGGCTAGTCACGAACTCCTGGCCTCAAGTGATCCACCCACCTCGGCCTCCCAAAGTACTGGGATTACAGGCATCAGCCACCGAGCCCAGCCTTTAATTTACTTTTGAACTAATGAGTAACCCTCCAATCCTCCTTTAAGTACCACCTCCCAATGTTCATCACAACAATTAATAAGTACTCTACAAGGTCTGGTTTCCTTCTTTTAAAAATCCCTTATTTCTCCCATGGGGAATGTAGCTCTAGCTGGAACAGTCAAAGTGAAACAAATAAAAATGCCAAAGAAGGTAGGAAGAAAAAAGTCTAAGGGGAGTTTGAATTAGGAAAACATGGTAAGCTAGTGGTCAAAGGTTTAAGAGGAAACAAAAGAGGGGGGACCACAGGGGCGGGAGACAAAGTTCGGAAGTACCCACGATAAATGGAAGGGCATTAACCCTCCACCAAACAACTCCCATAAAACTGTGGGTCATAACCAGTCTCATTAAGGTCCCTCATTTAGAGACATGGGCAGCTTTTGTTCCAATATCCTGAACACTTTTCCCATTTGATGCCCTGAAAGGTAGTAATGGTTTAATGACATTTTCAGAGGAAGCAATTCTGGAATAAGAACTTACTCTCTTCCACCCTTTTATTGGAAATCCCTGGACTGAAGACAAGCAATGGGTGCCCCCTGCTGACTATAACGAAGTCCTACGATATGTAACCGCTTTAGCTGGTTGGGGGTTGGGAATCAAACTAGAAACAGGTATATTTTTGGAGAACTTCAGGCCAAACATGAAGAAGGGGATCTCCTTTTAAATAGTCAAGGAATCTAAACTAGCCCTGGCTATTCTGACGTTTAAAGAAATTTCTAAACGCTTCCCATTTCCTTGCCATCCTTCCCTAACCTTGTCTTATAATTTAGGCACAAAAGGCTAAAGTTTAATGTTTTACTTGAAATCCAATGCCATCAAGAAAGTAGTACTCTCCATCAACCCCAGTGTAATGACTTCCTCCCCATTACCATTCTGAAGCACAGTCAATGCAGTGCACATCATGGCAGAAAGGGAACCCCAGACGGGAAGTTTCCTTCCATTCTATTACAATTCCCTTAGGCAACTAAACTCAAGCGCAATAAATAAACATCGAATTCTGGGATGCATGGGAAATTTCCACTCTTCACTGAGAAATTTCTCTCCTACCCAATCACATAAACAACATTCCCTGAAATACAGAGACCCAGAATCTTTTTGTACATACTTCAGTCTAACCACAACTATCCTCTAAAAATCAAAAACGATCACCCCACCCACTTCAATTTCCTTGTTTCAAAATTCATTAATAGAATTAAAGCCCCCTGAACAGAATGCACATTTTAAATATTCTATGAATAATGAACTTCAAACTTTCGAACCTCTATTTTTTAACCCACAGAAGCCAATTATCATGGTATTCACTTGATCTTCTTTCTTGTTCCAGAAATCCCCATAACATTTCTATTTTAAAGCTATCTCACAAAGTCATTTTTTCAAGGCACTATATCTAATTATAAACATCTTATGATGGAAAGATAACTAAATGGCTTTAGAAAGTAGTATTTGATAGGCTGGAAAGTAGTATTTGATAGGCAGGTGATTACTGGCTCACACCTGTAATCCCAGCACTTTGGGAGGCCAAGGCAGGTGGATCGCTTTGAGCTCAAGAGTTTGAGACCAGCCTGGCAAACACGGCGAAACCCCATCTCTACAAAAAATACAAAAAAAGAGCTGGGTGTAGTGGCTCGTGCCTGTAGTTCCAGCTACTCAGGAGGCTGAAGCTGGAGGACTGCTTGAGCCGGGAAACGGAGGTTGCAGTGAGCCAAGATTGTGCCACTGCACTCCAGCCTGGACAACGGAGTGAGTCCCTGTCTCAAAAATAAATAAATAAAGGGATATTTGACAAAAATCTATCAAGATGTTAAATGTACATCCTCTGTGATGCAGCAAATCCACTGCTAGGAATTTACCCTGTGGGTATACTTGTGAGTATAAATAATTAGAAAAGGACATGCAGAACTACATTTTTTTTTAATGAATAATCTAAATGTCCATCAACAGAAGACTGGTGAAATAAATTACTGTTTATCCATAGAATGCAATACTATTAAATGCTAGAAAGAACAAGGTTCTAAGTTGATAACTAGTAAATCTGGGTGATAGGTAGATGAGAGTCTATTACACTAGTCGAACTTTTGTATATACTTGTAATTTCCCATAATAAGCTAAACAAAAAGAGACCACTTCCTAGGATAATTATCCTGACTTTACAGGGTCTACTGAGGATAAAATGACAGTACATGTAAAACATTCAGAACAATGCCTAGCATATAACTCTTAAGAACAATGCCTAGCATATAACTAACACTTACATAAGAAAATGATGATATAAAAAATTTCCAGATGTGAAAAAAAATCAAGTGTGCACAGTGTGTGTATACGTGTATCTATATATACACATACATACATATACACATGTACAGACCCCATATATAAAATCTTCCAAAAGTATGTACTGTTCTAAAAACCTCAGTAAAGTCAGATCTGAGAATGGATACAAAGAGTACTTAATTCTTAATTGATATACTCCACTATGTACTGACTTTTTACTTGTAAATACACTGCCTTTTATAATTAAATGCACTAACACAACTATGAGGAACAAAAATGTTCAAAGTTTAGGACTCAACGGCTCTTAATGTACTATAGTACAAAATGGCCAGACATTTGTGGAAAAAGCCCCAAATTAAAGATGTTTAGGATCACCCTTGTGGAACAGTTTAAACAAATCAAGATCTACTTTCCATTCTAGCACTTTGTCCTCCCATCCTCCACTGTAAATCAGAAAGCAAGAGAGAACAGAGTGCTACTTCAGAAACATAACCTCTACCCAACACCCTCCTCCCTTACAAAACTCCTTTATATAGAGTGTCACACTTTTTTTTTTTTTTTTCCCGAGACAGCTGTGGCTCCCAGGCTGGAGTGCAGTGCCACAGTCTCGGCTCACTGCAACCTCCACCTCCCAGGTTCAAGCAATTCTCCTGCCTCAGCCTCCCAAGTAGCTGGAATTACAGGTGCCCTCCACCACGCCCAACTAATTTTTGTATTTTTAGAAGAGACAGGGTTTCACCATCTTGGCCAGGCTGGTCTTGAACTCCTGACCTCGTAATCCACCCACCTCGGCCTCCCAAAGTGCTGGGATTACAAGTGTGTGCCACCGTGCCTGGCCTCAGTTTTACACTTTTCCAGAAAAGTGCAAAACTCTTATGAACAGTTAACAGAATGGGCCGGGCACGGTGGCTCACACCTGTAATCCCAGCACTTTGGGACGCCAAGGCAGACGGATCATTTGAGGTCAGGAGTTCAAAACCAGCCTGGCCAACATGGTAAAACCCTGTCTCTACTAAAAATACAAAAATCAGTCGGGCAGTAGTGGCACACACCTATAATCCCAGCTACTCGGGAGGCTGAGGCAGGAGAATTGCTTGAGCCTGGGAAGCAGAAGTTACGGTGAGCCAAGATCACGCCACTGCACTCCAGTCTGGGCAACAGAGTGAGATCCTGTCTCAAAAAAAAAAAAGTTAACAGAGTTTACACAGTTTTACACTGCATACAGAATTGTACAGATTCTCTATAGAGTAACAGAATAATCTATTATGGTGACCCTACAAAAGAACAACAAAGGCTAGGAGAATTAAACTATGTCTGGTCTTGAAGTCACCTGGTCCTCATTACCTATTACATAACTCAGAGACAATTTGCTTTACTTCACTGGGACCAAGTACTTTGAAGTAGTCCCTTCTAAAAAACAAAAAAATGACCTAATCAGAAAGGAAAAGGCCAATGGGAACATGTAAGAGGTAAACAAAGTTAAACATTAAATACATTAAGAAAAGAGCTGCCTGCTCTGTACTCAGATTATAAAAAAGGGATAATTACACATCAACAGTTTTTTCAGGGGGTTCTTCCTCTTTGACAGGGAGCTCAATGGGCTTTGTTTCTTCTTCCTAAAACCAAATGAAACAAGGTGGTTAACATAAATCTAAAGAATAAATATCTATCAAAAGAAGAACATCAGAACTCCAAAATAAACCAGTCTCTCAGAACCTTCATACCCATCTTATGCTCCCCTAATAAATTTACATCTAAGTCCTCCAATGACTGATGTTAAAGCAATGTGGCCAAAGCAGTGGCACATTACCAGAGACTAACCTTACTCTATCCAACTCACCTCTGTTTCATCTCCCAGTACATCTTCTTCATTTGCCTCCTCTTCAGCTAAAGAATATTAAAATATTCAGGTCAAGCCCTGCTACAAAACCATCTTGATCACTTACCAAGGTTAAAATTATAATCACTTTGCTTTCCCCCAAAAAATCCAACAGTGAAGGCAGAAACTGATGCACATAAAATCTGCTACATCTGGAGAAGATAAAACCAGATTTCTACCTAACATTAATTACAAATGTGAACTCC
Organism: Homo sapiens; assembly: GCF_000001405.40. NCBI lineage: Eukaryota > Metazoa > Chordata > Mammalia > Primates > Hominidae > Homo > Homo sapiens. The sequence continues at coordinate 55,801,099 of NC_000012.12, forward strand.
AGTTGGACTGAAGAACTAAATGTGAAGTCAAACTAGAGAATTAATTTTAAAAGTAATGTTGGGCCAGGCACCGTGGCTCTCTGTAATCCCAGCAATCTGGGAGGCAGAGGCAGGTGGATCGTTTGAACCTAGGAGTTCAAGCGACCAGCTTGGGGAACACAGCGAAACCCCGTCTTTACAAAAAACATAAAAAAATTAGCTGGGTGTGGGGGTGTGCGCCTATAGTCTTAGCTACTGGGGAGGCTGAAGTGGGAACATTACTTGAACCCAGAAGGCAGAGGCTGCAGTGAGCTGAGATCATGTCACTGCACTCCAGCCTGGGTGACAGAGCAAGACCCAGTCTTGAATAACAAACAAAAAAAGTATGTGGAAAAGTATCTTTGAGATTTAGTGGTGGGGAAAGATTTGTTTAAAAGAAAAACAACCCAGAACCAAAAGTAAGAGGTGAAAAATTGAAGATTTTTCAAAACTAAGTACTTCTACTTAAGGATAGCACAAAGAAACTTAAAAGACAAATGACAAGACATTTGTTTTTGTTGAGACAGAGTCTTACTCTGTCGCCCAGATAAAGTGCAATGGCACAATCACAGCTCCCTGCAGCCTCCCCCTCCTGGGCTCAAGGGATCCTCCTGCCTTAGCCTCCCAAGTAGGTAGGACTACAGGTGCACATCACCACACCCAGCTAATTTTATTATTTTTCTTAGAGATGGGATCTCACTATGCTGCCCAGACTGGTCTCAAACTCCGGGCCTCAAGAGATCATACCACCTTAGCCTCCCAAAGTGCTGAGTTACAGGCATGAACCACCCCGCACAGCCAAAGAAGATATTTGTGCCTAAAATCAACAAAACAATAGTTATTAGAATATAAAAGAAATGCCTGCAAGCCAACAGGCAAATTATGGGAACCTCAACAGAAAAATGGGCAAAGAAGAAACCCAAAGAATTGTGAAATGTTTAAACTTTTTTCATGGAGAACATAAAACAGCCAACAAATTAGCAAAACTTAGGCCACTTGATAGGACAGTGCCAAGTTTAGGTTTGTGAAGATACAAGAACCCTTATGTACTAGTAATGAGACTGCAGATCTACAGAGCAATTCTGGAAAATAATTTGGGAGTCCTTAGTCACATTAAGTATATATTTATGAATATTAATTAGCAATACCATTCTTGGGCATATACCCCAAAAAGACTTTCACAGGAACATAAGAGCATAAAATAAGTAGTTCATAATAATATACTATATACTATTAGTATATAGGATATAGTATACTATATCCTACAGGTTAAGCATCACCAATCTGAAAATTCAAAACCTAAAATGCTCCTAAATCTAAAACTTTCTGAAGGCTGATATGATACAAGTGGAAAACCCCACACCTAACCTCATGCAATGGGTCACAGTCAAAACTTTGTTTCATGTACAAAATTATTTTAAATACTGTATAAAACTACTTTCAGATATGTGGATAAGAAACAAATAAATTTTGTGTTTAGGCTTGGATCTCACCCCCAAGATATCTCATTATATATATACACAAATATTCCAAAATCCGAAAAAACTAAAATCTGAAACACTTCTAGTCCCAAGCATTTCAAATATATAACACTCAACCCATAGTATAATATATACTATATACTATTATATACATATAGTATACTATAAGTAGTATCACTTATAGTAGCAGAGGCTTGGTGGCAATAAAATTTTCTGTCACCGAGTGAATTAAGTAAAATGTGTGGTTATCCATCATTGAATGCTATGCAGGAATTAGAATCAACAGACTAGATAACTACACAGTCACATTCCACATGGACGCATCTTTAAAAAAAAAAAAACACAATACTTAGTGAAAAAAATGAGAAATAAAGCAAGGCTATGGCCAGTTATGTAATTACCAATTATATAAATGAAAACATTCTACAAAACAACACTACATAGTTTACCAGGAAAAACACCAAAAAAATACATTCAAACACATTAGAACGGGTGCCTAAATGGGTTGGGGAGAAAGTGAAATGAGGAATAGAAATAAAAGGGAATACGTAAATAAAAATTAGATAGAGGACTTGTACAACCTAAGATGTAGGTTGTACAAGATGGCTGGGCGCGGTGGCTCACAACTGTAATCCCAGCACTTTGGGAGGCTGAGGCGGGTGGCTCACCTGAGGTCAGGAATTCTAGACCAGCCCAACCAATATGGTGAAACCCCGTCTCTACTAAAAATACAAAAATCAGCCAGGCATGGTGGTGCTCGCCTGTAGTCCCAGCTGCTTGGGAGGCTGAGACAGGAGAATTGGTTGAAGCCGGGAGACAGAGGTTGCAATGAGCTGAAACTGCGTCACTGCACTCCAGCCTGGGCAACAGAGCAAGACTCCATCTCAAAAAAAAAAAAGAGAGAGTTTTCTTGATGCCGTTAATTAAGAGCTTACATTGCTAATGACCTGAAAAAAAAAAAAGAAATCTTTTCAGTGTCAAAGCCTGAAAATCCCCTCACTCACATCACTCCGCCTCCACAAAGTACTCACCATGTTCTTCAAGATATGCCTGGAGTCTGTGGATAAGATCTTGCTTTATTCCCTTGGTCTCCAAACCACGAGCAAGACATTCTTGCTTTAGTTCGGCAAGCTGAGGGGAAAAAAATAAAACTTTTCCTTAGTTAACAGGATGAACACCAGTGAATAAAATGGTAGTTCCCACAAGGAAAAGAAAAAAAGAAAATGAAGTTCCATCCCAAATTACTGCCCTTAATTCTACCAAGGCTCTAGGTCCACAAAGATGATCCATTTTCCTCTAACGATATTCAATATACAAGAGGAACTGCCTAACAGATGCTGAAGAATAAACATCACACTTTAATAAAAAACCTCATCTATTTGTATACCTACTAACTGTCACAAATCTCTAGTTATTTCTAAATATTCTGAGGGGGGAAAAAGGTTTTTTTCTTAAGACTACTGTGGCAGCCAGCATATTGGAAGAATGAACCTTCAAGTAGAAAATCCAATGATCTAAAAGCAGATTCTCCTTACCACTTATTATCCCAGATCCGTTATTACAATCTACCATATACATGCATACAGGTCTAACCACCATAGAATTAGGTAGATGCATTAGCTAATGTGAACAATGAATTGATTAAAGGATCTGTGTCAAAATGGGAAGAAATATCTAATGGCATACCATAGAGTTCTGCTGAAGATTTAACTTATCTAAAGATATAAAAGCTATGTTCATCAATTTTACAGACAATAGGAGGAAGGAGAATTGATGGATTATTGACATAACTAAGCTTAAAAAATGCAACACGGAAACAGAAAAAAAAAAAAACACTTCTTCAGGACTAATAATAAGCCAAAACAAAGACTCAATTTAGTAGGAATAAGGTATACATATAACTTCCTACACTTAGATTCAAAACTTCAGTTATATAAAAACTGGGTAAGGGAGGATTGGCTCAATAGTAACTCAAAGGATAAAGACATCAGAATTTTAGGCAAAGAAGGTTAACAGTATGATTTGCTACCTATAAGTCATAGGTAACTGAAATATAGACTCCATAATAAACGATGTAATGGCCTTACTGGGCTCTATACTCTTATTTTACGAAGCACAACGACATGCTGACCCAGGAGAACAAGCAGGAAAGAAAGGCTCCAGAAATTCTATATGCAGATCAACACACAGATAGATCTTTGGTCTGAAAGATGACCTTTTTTGTTTTGGAGTACAGATCTATGACCAATCAGTAGAAGCTAGAAGGCAGACTCCTATAGACAAAAAATTTTACAACTATGGAGGATGCTCTGCATCTCTACGTTTTTCAGCTAGGAGAACATTTCATAATGAAAAGTGGAGAGTTTTTTAAAACATATCACAATGGCCGGGCGCGGTGGCTCACGCCTGTAATCCCAGCACTTTGGGAGGCCGAGGCGAGTGGATCACAAGGTTAGAAGATCGAGACCATCCTGGCTAACACAGTGAAACCCCGTCTCTACTAAAAATACAAAAATTAGCCAGGCGTGGTGGCAGGCGCCTGTAGTCCCAGCTACTCGGGAGGCTGAGGCAGAAGAATGGCGTGAACCCTGGAGGCGGAACTTGCAGCGAGCTGAGATCGACCACTACACTCCAGCCTGGGCGAAAGTGCGAGACTCCGTCTCAAAAATAAATAAATAAAATAAATAAAACATATTACAACGACTAGCAAAGCATTTAGTGAGTGGGGCGGGCAGGCAGGGATGCTATGAACAGAACTGCCCAACCCAACAAGCTGAAAGCAACCTCTACTGAGGAACATGGTAGGTAATCACCCATTAAAAATTATTTTTAGGCCAGGGACAGTGGCTCACGCCTGTTATCCCAGCACTCTGGGAGGCCAAGGCGGGCAGATCATCTGAGGTCAGGAGTTCAACAGCAGCCTAGCTAACATGGTGAAACCCTGTCTCTACTAAAACTACAAAACTAGACCAGGTGCGGTGGCTCACGCCTGTAATCCCAGCACTTTGGGGGGCCTAGGCAGGCAGATCAACTGAAGTCAGGAGTTCAAGACCAGCCTGGCCAACACGGTGAAACCCTGTCTCTACTAAAAATACAAATATTAGCTGGGCATGGTGGCAGGTGCTTATATTCACCCAGCTATTCAGGAGGCTGAGACAAAAGAATTGCTTAAACCTGGGAGGCGGAGGTTGCAGTGAGCCAAAATCGTGCCATTGCACTCCAGCAGGTGAAAGAGTGAGACTGTCTCAAAAAAATAAATAAAAATAAAAATAAAAATATAAAATACAAAACTAGCCAGGCATGGTGGCACATGCCTGTAATCCCAGCTATTGAGGAGGCTGAGGCAGGAGAACAGCTTGAACCTGGGACGCAGAGGTTGCAGTGAGCCGAGATCACATCATTGCGCTCCAGCCTGGATGCCAAGAACAAAATTCTGTCTCAAAAAAAAAAAAAATTATTTTTAAGGCTTTTGCCAGTTTTAAAAAAAAAAATGACTGCAGAGTGACTGGAGAGCATAGCCTCTGAAGCCAGACTACTTAGGTTTGAATTCCAGTTTTACTACTTGTAACCTTATGTGAATAACTTCACCTCTCTATGCCTCAGTTTCCTTACTTGTGAAATGGGAATGATAACAGTACCTATTTCATAGGGTTGTTATGAAGACTAAATTAAAAAAAATTTTTTTTTTTTTTTTTGAGACGGAGTCTTGCTCTGGTGCCCTGGCTGGAGTACAGTGGCATGATCTCGGCTCACTGCAACCTCTGCGTTCCAGGTTCAAGCAACTGTCCTGCCTCAGCCTCCTGAGTAGCTGGGATTATAGGCATGTGCCACCATGCCTGGCTAATTTTTGTATTTTTACTAGAAGCAGGGTTTTACCATGTTGACTAGGCTGGTCTCAAACTCCTGACCTCAAGTGATCCACCTGCCTTGGTCTCCCAAAGTTCTGGGATTACAGGTGTGAACCATAAATTAAAGGAAAAAAAAAATTTCTTGAGACGGAGTCTCGCTCTATCACCCATGCTGGAGTGCAATGGCACGACCTCAGCTCACTGCAACCTCTGCCTCCCGATTAGCTGGGACTACAGGCGCATGCCACCATGTCCAGCTAATTTTTGTATTTTTAGTAGAGACGGGGTTTCACCATATTGGCCAGGCTGGTCTCGAACTCCTGACCTTGTGATCCACCTGCCTCCGCCTCCCAAAGTGTTGGGATTACAGGCATGAGCCACCGCGCCCGGCCTTAAATCAAGAATTTTATAAAGCATTTAGAACAGTGCTTGACAGCCAAAAAATGCTTTATATTTATTAAGTACTAAATCACTGGTCTCAGATTTGAGAGTTTCACAAATCAATGCATTTTTTATTTTATTTATTTTTAGAGACAGTGGTCTCGCCATGTTGCCCGGGCTGAACTTAAACTCTTGAACTCAAGAAATCCTCCCACCCGAACCTCCAGCTGGGACTACAGGTACACACCACTGTGCCCAGCTCAATGTACTTTTAAATAGGTAGGCTGATAAGGTTGCTTTTTACAATATTCCAATCAGGTCACGGAGCAATACTTTCGCAATAACAATAAAAATCAATTACTACAAAAATGAGCGTAGTGACTTGGATATAGCAGTGACATCAAACTGCTATAAAACTTTCTAAAAGCTTACACTCGGTTTTTGTATTTATCTCACTACTAACCAGGAACAGCTAGTTCATGGACCAGCACCCCAAGGACTGTGAACCACGCCTTAAGTAACATTATAAGTGATCTTTAATGTCCATTTATTAAGTAACAATCTTGATCTTGGTGGCTTATGCTTACAATTCCAGCCCCTTGTGAGGCCAAGGCGGGAGGATTGCCTGAATCCAGAAGTTAGAGACCAGCCTGGGAAACACCATGAGATGCCATCTCTATTAAAAAAAATTTTTGGTCGGGCGTGGTGGCTCACTCCTGTAATCCCAGCACTTTGAGAGGCCGAGGCAGGCGGATCATGAGGTCAGGAGATAGAGACCATCCTGGCTAGCACGGTGAAACCCCGTCTCTACTAAAAATACAAAAAAAAAAAAAAAAAATTAGCCGGGCGCGGTGGCGGGCGCCTGTAGTCCCAGCTCCTCAGGAGGCTGAGGCAGGAGAACGGCGTGAACCCGGGAGGCGGAGCTTGCAGTGAGCCGAGATCGTGCCACTGTACTTCCACCGGGGTGACAGAGCGAGACTTTGTCTCAAAAAAAAAAAAAAAAAAATTTTTTTTAAGAATCTTGATCTTTCTCACACTGATACATTATTTTCTTCCCACTTCCTGGAGAACAAGTCTTTTGATCTTAATTACACTTTAAATTTTTTGTTTGTTATAAAAGTATTATGTTCACTGTAGAATAGTTAGAAAATTCTGAAAAGTTTAGAGGAAAATAAAAGTCGTATGTAATCCCAGCACTTACAGATCACTTAACATTTACATATATCATTTGTAGTGAGGCGTGAGCCACTGTGCCCAGCCTACACACAGCTTTTACATAGTTGTATTACTTCTTTTGTTATATAGTGAGTTCTTCTCATATACTAGGACGTTATTTTAAAAGGAAAATAGACATTATTTTAAAAGGAAAATAGAGGCTGGGCATGGTGGCTCATGCCTGTAGTCCCTGCAAGTTGGAAGGCTGAGGCAGGAGGACAGCTTTGAGCCCCGGAGTTCAAGAACAGCCTGGGCAACAGAGTGAGACCCTGTTCCTACAATTTTTTTTTTTTTGAGATGGAGTTTCACTCTTGCTGCCCAGGCTGGAGTGCAATGGCGTGATCTTGGCTCACCGCAACCTCCACCTCCCGAGTTCAAGCAATTCTGCCTCAGCCTCCCGAGTAGCTGGGATTACACACACGCGCCACCATGCCTGGCTAATTTAGTGTTTTCCCATGTTGGTCAGGCTAGTCTCGAACTCTCGACCTCAGGTGATCCACCCGCCTCGGCCTCCCAAAGTGCTGGGATTACAGACATGAGCCACCACGCCCAGCCAAATTTTTTTTTTAATTAGTCACACAAGGTAGCACACGCCTGTGGTCCCAGCTACTAGGGAAGCTGAGGTGGGAGGAACGCTTGAACCTGGGAGGTCAAGGCTGCTATGAACTGTGATCACACCACTGTACTCCAGCCTGGGCAACACAGCAATACCTGGCCTCAAAAGAATGAATGAATGAGAAACAGATGAATAAAAACATAAAACAGCTGAAAATGATGTAATTTCTTTTTGCACGTATTTCAGCACAATTACATTAGCAGAACTAAAACCTTTTAAAACTTAAAATAGGAACTAACATAAAATCTTATCCCATTTTTCTAAATTGATTTGATTTGATTTGAAATGTTTTGGCTCCAACACTTTGGGAGGCTAGAGGTGGGCAGATCACTTGAGTCCAGGAGTTCGAGACCAGCCTGGACAATATGTTGAAATCCCATCTCTACTAAAAATACAAAAACAGCCAGGCATGGTGGCATGTGCCTGTAGTCCCAGCTACTTGAGGGGCTAAAGCTGGAGGATGGCCTGAGTCCAGGAAGTCGAGGCTGCAGTGAGCCGAGATCATGCCACTGCACTCCAGCCTGGGTAACAAAGGGAGACCCTATCTCAAAACAAACAAAAAATATTTTAACAAGTATACTGAATGAATTGTATGGTACGTGAATTGTATCTCAGTAAGGCTATTGAAAAAAAAAAATTAGCCGAGCATAGTCGCATGTGCCTACAGTCCCAGCTACTCAGGTGGCTGAGATGGAAAGATCACTTGGGTCTGGGAGGCTGAGGCTGCAATGAGCCATGATCATGCCACTGCACTCCAGCCTGGGCAACACAGTAAGACCCTGTCCCAAGAAGAAAATAAACAAAAAAAACCAGCTAGGTAGGCACAGTGATTCACATCTGTCATCCTAGTACTTTGGGAGGTCGACGCAGGAGGATCACTTGAGCCTAGGAGTTCAAGACCAGCCTGGGCAACACAGTGAGACCCTGTCTCTCAAAAAACAAAAAACTAGCCAGGCACACTTGTAGTCCTAGCTACTCGGGAGGCTAAGGCAGGGGCATCACTTGAGTCCAGGAGGTTGAGGCTGCAGTAAGCCATGATCACACCACTGCACTCCAGCCTGGGCGACAGAAGGGAGACCCTGTCTCAAAAAACAAAAAAAAAAAAGAAAAGAGTTATAGAACATTCTATAAGGATACTAACATTAATGTAAAAAATAATACACACACATCTCTGTATAATGTGTATAAACAAGATGCCTGGAGAAGAAACAGGTAAGTTAACACTGGTTGAATCTGAGAAGAGGAAGCTAGTTTGGGAAAAGTGTAGGAAAGAAACTTTTTACCATATACTCTTTTGTGAACTTGTGCATGATTACCTATTCAAAAAGTTTTTTAAATCTTATTTTTCAGTATCAATAAAGCATTCTCCATTCTACCTATCCAACCCACAGAGAAAAGACATATCAACTTACCCTCATCATACATTTGACATTAATCATGCATTGCCCTGTGATTTCTATTTATTTTTATTTTGACTCAGGGTTTTGCTCTGTTGCCCAGACTGGAATGCAGCAGTGCAATCGCAGCTCACTGCAGCCTCGACCTCCTGGGTTCAAATGATCCTCCTGCCTCAGCCTCCTGTATAGCTGGGACCACAGGTGTGTGCCACCACAGCCAGCTAATTTTTTTATTTCCAGTAGAGATGAGGTCTCACTATGTTGCCCAGGCTGTTCTTAAACTCCTGGGCTCAAGTGATCCTCCTGCCTCAGCCTCCCAAAGTGTTGGTTAGGATTATAGGCGTGAGCCACTGTGCCCAGCTTGCCCTGTGATTTCTTCTAGTTAACTGACCTTGAATTTTTTTTTTTTTTTTTTGAGACTCAGTTTCACTCTTGTCACTCAGGCTGGAGTACAGTGGCACAATCTCGGCTCACTGCAACCTCCGTCTCTCCAGTTCAAGCGATTCTCCTGCTTCAGCCTCTCCAGTAGCTGGAATTACAGGCGTGCACCACCATGCCCAGCTAATTTTGTATTTTTTAGAAGAGATGGGATTTCACCATGTTGGTCAGGCTGGTCTTGAACTCCTGACCTCAGGTGATCTTCCCGCCTCGGCCTCTCAAAGGGCTGGGATTACAGGCATGAGCTACCACACCCGGCCAAATTTTGATTAAAATATTTTATCAGAAATCTTTTTCACGTTGGCCAGGCGCGGTGGCTCACGCCTGTAATCCCAACACTTTGGGAGTCCGAGGCGGGCGGATCACCTGAGGTCAGGAGTTCAAGACCAGCCTGGCCAACATGGTGAAACTCTGTCTCTACTAAAAATACAAAAATTAGCCAGACGTGGTGGCAGGCACCTGTAATCCCAGCTACTCGGGAGGCTGAGGCAGGAGAAGGGCTTGAGCCCGGGAGGCAGAGGTTGCAGTGAGCCAAGCCAAGACCACGCCACTGCACTCCAGCCTGGGTGACAGAGCGAGACTCCATCCCAAAAAAAAAAAAAGAAATCATCTTTTTCATGTTATGTCAACATATAGTTTGTAAATTCTTTGAAGGCAGAGATGTTTTAGACCACCTATAACATATATGATGGGAACTCAAAATCCTTACAAGGAACCTAAGTGGTTGGTATTACAATTAGGCTTAAAGAAATTCAATAACTTGCTTAAATATCACACAGCTTGGCCAGGTGTGGTGGCTCATGCCTGTAATCCCAGCACTTTGGGAGGCTGAGGTGGGAGGATTGCTCAAAGCCAGGAGTTTGAGGCCAGCCCTGGGCAACACGGGTAGACTCTGTCTCTACAGAAAATTAAAAAATTAATACACAGTTCAGGTGTGGTGGTGTGCCCCTGTAGTCCCACCTACTGGGTGGGAGCAGGGGCTGAGGTGGATCACTTGAGTCCAGAAGACTGAAGCTGCAGTGACCCCTGATTGTGCCACTACACTCCAGCCTGGGAGAAAAAGCGAGACACTGTCTCAAAAAACAAACAAACAAACAAACAAACAAACAAACAAACCACAGCTTGTAAATAGTAGACCAATATGCCAGCTCAAGTGTCTCTGATTTATGCTCAATATTAACTGCCAAAGTCTTGGCACTTCTTTCTTTCACTCTCTCCTCCTCAGCCTCCTTGCTAGCTCTTCTTCCACTCAAACCTGTAAATATTCACTAAGATTCCTTCTTTGGGCGTCTTGTCATTCCACATATATCAAAGGCTAATTCACTTCCCGATTTCAATCAGCGGCAAAGTCTATCAGCATTATCTTTAAAATATATCCAAAATCAAACCCTTCTCACCACGGCAAATGCTACTACTCTAGTCTTTCTTTCATACAGATTATTGTCAAAATTCTTCAGCCCTTGCCTCACTATAGTTTATTCTCAACAAAGTAACAGAGTGATCTTTTGAAAATTTAAGTCAGAACATGTCACTCCTCTAGTCAAACATCATCCATTGGTTTCGTATCTCACTAAGGGTAAAAGGCTGAATCCTATCACCTAAAAGGCCCTGCAGCTTTGCCCTCCCCTACCATTACCTTATTACCATTGCTCACTCTGATAAGCCAAACTGGTCTTGTGCTATTCCTCTAACACTTTGCACATAGCTCATTCCTTCACGTCCTTCAACTCTTTTTGTAAACATCTCCTTGTTAATGACTTCCCCAGTCACTCTATTTAAAATTACAATACCCTTCCCATTGTACTCCCTATTCCTTTCTCCTATTTTTCTCTATGTGCCTTATCAATCACTATTTGACATACCATAAATTTTACTTTTTATTTTGCCTTCCCTCAGTAAAATACAAGCTCTATGAGAGCAAGGATTTTGTCTCTGTTGTTCACTGCTGTATCTTTGGCACCCACAGTAACTGGGACATGGCAGGTGCTCCATATTTTCTGAATAAATCCCAAGTCTTCATCATCAGCTTTCAGCTCTTGAGTGAAAGACCCACATTTCCAACTGACTACCTGACATGTCCAAGTGGATGTCCCACAGACACCTAAGCCTCAAAATGAACTTACCTCTTCTGTGCAAAACTGGCTTCTCCTCCTCCCAACCCAGACTAAAGGTATCACTACCCAAACCCTGGAGTCATCTTTCATTTTTCCCATATCTAACTGATCTATAAATACTTGAAATTCTACTACATCCTAAATGTCTTTCAAATTCATTCCCATTCTTTTGAAGTCTTGACATGCTTATTCACTCAACAAATCGTTATTGAGCACCTACTGTATTATCAAGTATTATCTTGGATACAGGGAAATAATCATGAGCAAAACATAAGAGTCCTTCCCATTCCGAGCTTACAATCTTGCAGAGAACAAACCAATCAATGATCAGATAGCGTTTAGCTGATTTTTTTTTTTTGAGACGGAGTCTCACTCTGTTGCCCAGGCTGGAGTGCAATGGCGCGATCTCGGCTCCTGCAACCTCCGCCTCCTGGGTTCAAGTGATTCTCCTGTCTCAGCCTCCCGAGTAGCTGGGATTACAAGTGCGCGCCACCAGGCCCAGCTACTTTTGGTATTTTTAGTAGAGATGGGGTTTCACCATATTGGTCAGGCTGGTCTCAAACTCCTGACCTCGTGATCTGCCCACCTTGGCCTCCCAAAGTGCTGGGATTACAGGCATGAGCCACCGTGCCCGGCATGTTTAGCTGATTTTTTAAGAACACACAGGGTCTTATGAAATTATATAAAAAGTGGCCTGACCATGTTTGTGGATAGAACATAGAAAGCTTCCTTGGGTAAATAATATTTGAGTGAAACACCTGAAAGGGGTGTAGTAATTAATTAGATAAACGTGTTAGGGAGGAAGGGCAGCCGGAGTACTACAGCCGAAAGAAAACTCCAATTGCAGCATATGTGAAGGTTCTAGGTTGAGGTAAGAGGGAGAAGCAGTGTGCAATGATTAGAACATGAATTTTGGACACAGGCTGCCTGGAATTTTTTTTTTTTTTTTTTTTTTGAGACGGAGTTTCACTTTTGTTGCCCAGGCTGGAGTGCAATGGTGCCATATCGGCTCACCGCAACCTCCACCTACGCGGTTCAAGTGATTCTCCTGCCTCAGCCCCCCGAGTAGCTGGGATTACAGGCATGTGCCATCACGCCCAGCTAATTTTGTATTTTTAATAGTGACGGGGTTTCTCCATGTTGGTCAGGCTGGTCTCGAACTCTCGACCTCAGGTGATCCGCCTGCCTCGGCCTCCCAAAGTACTGGGATTACAAGCGTGAGCCACTGCACCCAGCCTGCTTGGATTTAATATACAACATTTTAGCTGTGCAACCTAAGGCAAGTTACTCAGTTACTCTCTCTGAGCTATGGTTTTTCTTATTTTCAAATGAGGATAATACAGGTATTTACCTTACAGGGTTATTATGAGAATTAAATCAGTTAGTGTATGTAAATGGCTTCAAACAGTGCTTTGCCACATAACAAATGCTAAGTGTTGGCAATTGATGAAGCATTCTGAAGAAATTAAATAAAATAAGGCCACAGTAGTTGAAGAGTTAGTAACTATGCTGGAGAGACGGGCAGGGATATAATTTAAAGGTTTTAAGCAGGGGAATGACTCCTATAATAAATATCTAAGTGGTGAAATCGCTCCCCCTACAAATCCCATCCGCCAAGAGAATACAAGCTGATCACATCAAGCTCCTCCTTTCAAACTTCCAAAGGCTCCCAGCCCTACTTCTTACATGACAAAGGCCAGAAGTCCTTACATAACTTAGAAAGCCCTTTTCAATATCACTCTGATTTACCTTTATAGTTTACCTATTTTCCTTTCCAAACTATCTTCAACTACCAATATATTTCCTCACTTCACTTTTCAATACAAATGTCTCACTATTCTCAACACTCTGACACTACTATCACTTTCTCCTCTCCTCTGCAATAGTTCCTTTTCTAATGTTTGACTGGATATCTGATACTGTTACAGTTCAAGCCATTTTCATCCACAGTTCAATCTCTCTTTCCAAATGTGTTAGTATGGGCCAGGAGTGGTGGCTCATGCCTATAATCCCAGCACTTTGGGAGGCCAAGGCAAGAGGATCACCTGAGGTCAGTCAAGTCCAGCCGGACCAATAACATGGTGAAACCCCATCTCTACTAAAAATACAAAAATTAGCCAGGCATGGTGGCACGTGCCTGTAATCCCAGCTACTCGGGAAGCTGAGGCACGGGAATTGCTTGAACCTGGAAGGCGGAGGTTGCAGCGAGCCGAGATCTTGCCACTGCACTCCAACCTGGGCGACAGAGCGAGACTCCATCTCAATTTAAAAAAAAAAAAAAAAGAATGACTGCATTTCTACAAAATCCTCAGAAATTTGCTGTTGATATGACATTACATATCAACTCAGATACATACTATGTTTCCTTCCTGCTTCAAAAGGTATTCCCTTCCCCTGAGGTTCCATACCAAAGCCCAAAATTCTCTTTATGACAATGGAGAGATTTTTTTATTTTCTTTTTTTTGAGACAAGGTCTCCCTTTGTCACCCAGGCTGAAGTGCAGTGGAGCAATTATCACACAGCTGACCACAGCCTTGGCCTCCCAGGCTCAAGCAATCCTCCCACTTCAGCCTCCTGAGGAGCTGGGACTACAGGTGTGTGCCACCATGCCCAGCTAATTTTTTAATTTTTTTTGTAGAGACAGGGTCTCACTATGTTACCTAAGCTGGTCTCAAACTCCTGGCCTCCGCCTCCCAAAGAGTTGGGATTACAGGTGTGGGTCACTGCACCCAGCCAAGATTTTTTTTTAAGGCAATAAAACCCCAAGTCAACCCAGAAGTCAGGATCATTGCATCAAGATCACCAGTGGAACCAAACATTAATTGTCCTAAAAATCAGAATCAAAGGCATGAGTTCTTTTTTTCTTTTTGAGACGGAGTCTCACTGTCCCCCAGGCTGGAGTGCAGTACACCATCTCGGCTCACTGCAACCTCCAACCCGGGCTCAAGCGATTCTTGTGCCTCAGCCTCCTCACAGCCTCCTCAATAGCTGGGACTACAGGCACTTGCCACCACACCTGGCTAATTTTTGCATTTTTGGTAGAGGCGGGGTTTCGCCATGTTGCCCAGGCTGGTCTCGAACTCCTGGCCTCAAGCAATCCGCCCGCCTAGGCCTCCCAAAGTGCTAGGATTACAGACGTGAGCCACCACGCCCAGCTAAAGGCATGAGTTCTTAACCAGAGGTCCATGGACTCCTCGGGGCTACAAGGTAGTTTTATGAAGCCCCTCAAACTGCATGCAAAATATGTGTACATGCCTTTTTCTGGGGAGAGGGTCCATACCTTTCATCAGAGTTTCAAAGATATCTGTGACCTCCAAAAGGTTAAGAAGTGCTCTAGAGAAAAAGCAAAGACAAGCAAATGTGATTAAAGAGCAAGTCCTTTTTAGGCTGTCAGGAGTGCCTAATGTTCTCTTAGACTGTAACACTGAAATCAGGTCAGAGGACTTTACGTAAAAGTTACTTATCCAATCAAATACAAATTTTATATAGACCTGACAAATACAGATTTGATGGAAGGAGGAACTCCATAAACCAACACAATCTATAAATGCAAGTAAGTCATCGGGCAGCTGGTGACTTACTCCAGGGATTTCAAAAATAGGACAAATAGGAAGAAAATATTAGCTCTTCTATATATAGTTCCTTTTTATCTCATTCAAAAATTCCTTTTCTGTGTTATATTTTATAACAGTCCAGAAGTATACAATTTCTATAAGTACAGTATATATAAACAAAGTGGAGATGATTGCTCAATTTTTTTTAACTCATCACAATAAAGATCAAGAGACCGCTGATATAGTCTATGCATTTCAGTATCATCAAGTTAACAATAACTCCAGAATAACACAAAAACCCACTAACAGAGTTTAGAATCCAAGAGTAAGAAAAACATCAGTTTCACAGAAAGACTAATTGGGGTCAACTAATAAGTGACTAAAGAAGGGTCCTCTCCCTACCCTTACTACCCTTAAGCTTTCTTAACAGCAACAAAAACAAAAAAAAACTTTTCGAGCTTTAAAGGATCACTTTTCAGTTTCAGCTATATCAGCCTGGTTTGTCCAAAACATCTAATGGGAAAACTACTTGTGAAACCACAAACAGACAATTACTCAAGATATCTTAATTTACCCTAAAAGAAAATACTTTTTAAAATGTTCTTCTTTTTAATATATTTTTTTAACTTTTTTATATATCTAAGTGTGAAAAAACTACCAAGAGTCTCATAAGACAATTTAAAATAGCTTCTGTGATTCAGTGTCAGCCAATGGTAACACCAGGAGATGCAGGGCCCACCCGAGATATGAAATGGAACAGAGATAATCTTAACCTTGGAATTGTTTTTCCCAAATATTGCAGGTGTGAGTTCTCTCTGGTGGTTGGAGATGGTGTGTGAGGAAGGCTGGCGGGCCGAGAGCCGCGTGACAGAACTCGAAAACTTTTAAATCTGAGGTGTCTGTACTTCTACTATTCTCAAGACCTCCTCAACCCCAGGCTTCTAAGGCGAGACCGATCTTCTGAGAGGCCTCTCCCTGTTTCAAAATTCGGCTTGGGGCGTAATCCCACCTAGAAAAGGGGAGTGGAAGTATTTTCTGAGTGTCTGGTACCTATTTAGACAGAAATACACAAAAATGCCACCATTTGCTAACAGGGAAATCTCAGCTTCGGACGACAGACTGGAAACATCATCCCAGGGAAGAAAAACGGATCCTGGCTCCGACATGGGGCAAAAAGGAGGGACCAACTGACGTAATGCAGCCCTGAAAAGCAACGAAGAGTATAACAGGTAGAAGGCACTTACACAACCCAGTGGGGAAGGGTGACGGACGATACAATGATGAAGGAAGCAGAAATAACAAATAAATATAGCAGTAAAGCCGTGAGGAGAAATGGGAAATTAGGGAAGGCGTAGTGTGGAAGGGTGGCACAAAAGAGCTACGGCGGGAGCCGAGAAACGAAGTGGAAAAGGCTGCACGGAGAAGACGTAGGAGAAGGCGCAAGCTACCCTGTAGAATTCAGTTCCTAGAAAAGTCCAACTCAGCCCTTCCCCGATTCACGGTACCTTTAGCTTATGGAGCTCCACCGTCTCGGTCGCCATCTTGTTACCCCTCACTCCACTAGGCCCCCACCCGCGGCCTCCGCCTCCAGGAGCTCCCGCCTTAGGCGTAGAGATGCAAGGCTGACCAATCGTTGTCACTCTTGCTCCCACGCCATACCATCAGCTCTTCCCATTGGTCAATAGCTGACGTCGCTCTCACTTCTCTAGGCAGCTTGCCCCACCTCTTTCAAAAGGTGGAACTGGGAGAGGGGCGGGCACTGTATCTTGCGAACGACAGAAATGGCAACCAACTGTGCTTCTGCATTACAGACCACCAACCAATGGGTGGTGGCAGCGCTGATTCTGTTCCTCCAATAGGAAAGGGGCAGAAGGAGAGGCGTTACTTCCTGGAGACTTCAGGTGTGGTAGCCGGCGCCGCGCCCATAGCCGGACGGGGATCTGAGCTGGCAGGTAGGAGCTGCAAAGACTGTAAGGGTTGCTGAGGAAAAATGGTGGGAGGCGAAAGGGGCGCCGAGGGAGTGGTGACCTAAATACTGAGAGGGGAGCGCTGAAGGGAGCCCTGAAAAAACCGATGAACATGAGGAGGAAGCTGGGAGGGGCATGGGGCGGGCTTAAGGAACTGGCGGTGGGGCTGGGGCGGGCAAGAGCCGCTTCCTAACCAGACATCATCAGCTTTAGAGCTACCACAATTTTAAAGATCCGAGTTCAGATAATCACTGCTGCCCCTGGAGTCAGAGCCAAGGCTCCACCTTTCGAGGTATTGAGCTCAGGTCCCTTCCTAACCCAGTCCAGAAGCCGTGGGCAAGTTGTTGTCGTGCCCCACGCTTGAGAGAAGTAATGGGGATGCAGACTGTTTACATGCCACGGAGGTGAGAGAGAGGGTGGACAAGCCCCAGAGAACAAAGTGGGGACCAGAGTGAGCTTTACTCTGTCATCCCTTCTTAGTGGTTCTTTGATGATTCCATGACTTTCGCCTGGAATTCTGGGTGTACGTGACCTCTTCATGGTTATTAACTTCTTCAGCAAAGTCAGATACTCCTATTTCCCTTGCTCCCTGAAGTGAGTGCCCCAAGCCTACACATACACCTTCATGTTACAGTTGACGTGTAAAGATCAGAGCAATAATGACTATGTCTCTGAAATGTAGTGAGGACTCTTCTTGTCTTTTAAAGTTTTCCCCAAGTCTTCAGTTTTTATTTTCTGCGTGATGGGTAAGTTCTTCATTCCCAATAGAGTTCAGGGGATTGGGGCTATCTGAGAGACAACTGGGAGATAGCTCAAGAGGGGTTGAGAAAAAACTGAGCTGGACTCCTGCCTGATCCCCCATTACGGCTAGGATGAATGTGGGGGTGGCACACAGCGAAGTAAACCCCAACACCCGAGTGATGAATAGCCGAGGCATCTGGCTGGCCTACATCATCTTGGTAGGATTGCTGCATATGGTTCTACTCAGCATCCCCTTCTTCAGCATTCCTGTTGTCTGGACCCTGACCAACGTCATCCATAACCTGGTGAGCACTAAACCACGCCCTTGTACCCACCCCAGGGTTTCCCAACCAAAAGCAAAATAAAATCACCAATTGTTTGGGGATTTATGTGTTCCTTTTGGGATCTTAACATAATTCTTTGACTGAAAAACTACTTTCTGCCCCTCACACTGCCACCTTCCCTGTTCCCAGGCTACGTATGTCTTCCTTCATACGGTGAAAGGGACACCCTTTGAGACTCCTGACCAAGGAAAGGCTCGGCTACTGACACACTGGGAGCAAATGGACTATGGGCTCCAGTTTACCTCTTCCCGCAAGTTCCTCAGCATCTCTCCTATTGTGCTGTGAGTCTATGGGGGAAATGAGATATGCTGGGTTAGAAAGAGCTCCAAGAGCCAGGTAGAAAGGCCCATAGGGAAGCTGTTAAAAAGCAGACTTCTCATCTAAAACCCTTTGAAGATATTATGGTATACTAGTTCTAAGCCTACAGAGAGCAGTAAAATGTAGATTACAGTCAATACTGTAATCAAGCATTCCTTGCTGCCTCCTTGGTAGTAAGGAAATGAAGGGACTGAGAAAAGATAAGTGCCAAATAAAACCAAATGATTTTACACTGCCAAAAGAAGTAAATAAAGGCAGAACTGATATTAATCTTCAAAAACACTGTAGGGAGTGGAAGCAAAGAGGACTGTAACAGTCATACAGACTGAAATAGCTTGAGCCGTCATTTGCCATGTCATTAACAATTAACAGATACTGACTTACAGTCTCCAGTTAAGGGTGCTATCTCCTGAACCCCAAAGTAAATGCTGTTGATATAGCTGGAATAGTTTTAGATAATCTAGAACTATATACAGTAAAACTGGTCATTTAAAATAGAAGAGAAAGAGCAGGGCACTGTGGTGCATGCCTGGAGTCCCAGCTACTTGGGAGGCTATGGCAGAAGGATTGTTTGAGCCCAGGAGTTTGAGGTTGTACTGCACGTATCACACTTATGAATAGCCACTGCACTCCAACCTGGGAAACATGGTGAGAACTGTCTCTTAAAAAAAAAAAAGAATATGGATAGAGAAGGTCAACCTCACTCACCCTATTTTTTTCTCTCCCCAGCTATCTCCTGGCCAGCTTCTATACCAAGTATGATGCTGCGCACTTCCTCATCAACACAGCCTCATTGCTAAGTGTACTGCTGCCGAAGTTGCCCCAGTTCCATGGGGTTCGTGTCTTTGGCATCAACAAATACTGAGGGATGGGTTTTGGGACAGCTCCATGGGCATGGGGAAGGCACTGAAACAGAGGACTATAAAACATCCTTCTCTTATTCTCCATACTGTCTTCTACACCTTTAAAGCCTGAGAACTATACAACCTTTCCCAGACTCCCAAGAAGAGAAGAGATTGGCAAATGGGGCTCCTGGGCCCAGTCCTGCTAGTGGCAAGTTTCTTTGAATCAGGAAGGCAGGTGAGGTAAGGGCCAAATCACTCTCCTCCATAGCAGGAAGCCATTTGGGCAGCTTCTTTGGTGATTACATCTTTCCATATCTTTTACACTTACCACCTTCCAGCTCTGTTTTGCTGTGTATTTTTCTTACAATAATTTTTTTCAGCTATAGCTGCAGTTTAATCAGGATGGGTAGAGAGCTGTCCTCATAAGGCTGGGGGTGGGAAGATGGAATACTGACCTAATGTATAAAACTTAAAACAATTCTCCAATCCCCTCTCCTTTGGTCCAGTAGGAGGTGCCCTTCACTCTAAGCTTAACACTTAGTAGGGAAGAGATTCTCAAATGAGAAAAAGGGCTCCGGCTATATGGGCAACAAAGAGGGAAGATACAGGTTGCCAGTTATACATTTATAGAAAGATAATCCCCTGGCTTTAAATAGTCATGTACATACAAATATGAACAAACTTAAAAAAAAAATACAAACCCTTGGATCACATGGGGGCTTCTGGGAACCCCCGTATTCTTCCCCCTCACCCAAGGGCAGTGGGCATGAATCTACTTTTTAAAAATGATTAATTTTGGCCATCCTTGCAGAAAAGAGCCTAAAATTGGGTGATTTACCCACAAAGTGAAAGTCGAGGGAAAATTCAGTTTCCAGTCTCTGAACTCTATGCGATAATCTCCTATCATTAGGGCTACATGCTTTCTTGTTCTCTTTTAAATATTATATCAGGATAAAGGAGAGGGCTCCCTCCTGAAATGGGTCAAGAAAGAAGATAGACTTGTAGCTTTAAAAGGGTGGGAAAAAGTGTCATCTGCCCTAAAAGCAAATGACAAGACAAAGGCATACAGACCCCAGGGAAATACCCAGTTCCCACACCTAAAGGGATACACTGTCCAGCCCAGGTCCAGGCCCTAGGTTCTTTACTCTAGCTACCCCCTATTTCTTTGGTATTGTCAAAAGACAAGATTCAGGCCGGGCACAGTGGCTTATGCCTGTAATCCAGCACTTTGGGAGGCCAAGACGGGTGGATCACCTGAGCTCAGGAGTTCGAGACCAGCCTGGGCAACATGGTGAAACCCCGTCTCTACTAAAAATACAAAAAAGAATTAGCTGGGCCAGGTGTGGTGGTGTGTGCCTGTAATCCCAGCTACTCAGGAGGCTGAGATGGGAGAATTGCTTGAACCCGGGAGACAGAGGTTGCAGTAAGCTGAGATCACACCACTGCACTCCAGCTGGGCAACAGAGCAAGACTCCATCTCAAAAAATAAAAAGAAAAAGATTCAGTTCCTAGGTGTTGGGGGAGGAGGGATAAATCAAACTCCATCCTGTGCTACAGCCCTTTTGACTCCCTGACATTGATTTGAGGAAAGAGAAGGGGCATCAACGTTGGAAGGGCCTCCTCACTTTCTTCCGCCGCTTAGGTTTGGCTTCTCCCTTGGGTACTGTGCTGTTGGGCTTAGAGGCTGCAGCGGCTCCAGGGGCAGGCTGAGGAGCTGCAAAGAAGTTCCCATTGGGCATCTGCCCTGGGGGTACTTGAAAGATCCGACTCAAGAAATCCTGAAGATCAGCAGGAGGGGCATCTGGGGTGGCTCTGAGGTAAAACAGAAGAAATAAGGCAAGAGATGTTAGAGTCATATGGTTACCTAAGTTAGATATACTTATCAGTTCCCAAACTTCCTAGAAAACAAGGCCCCTGGGTGTCCTAAAAAGCAGGTCATCTGAAACCGTATTCAAAACTGAAATAGTGGATAGATTATTGACAGAAATACCACCTACCTCTGCCGCCCTCTGGTGCCTGGAATCCGAGAACCAAATGAGATGTGATAGGGGACTCTGTGGGTATCTGGGGAGATACCTACACGCTGGCATCCAGCCCACTCTATAAACATGAGAAATAATTAGCCAAAACGTCGCAGTTTAGAGCACATAAAAGATCAGGAAGTATGAGCCTGTATTTCTAGAGGACAGAGAGTACCTGTGATGTCATACACCTTTCCATCCATCAGTGCAAAGTAGGTGATCTTGAGGCCCAACATGCTTGACTCTGCCCAAAAGTCTCCTTCCTCAGCAGGATGCAGCCTATTACACTCAGCACAGTATCTGGCACTCTTAGGTTCCCGGTCCATTTCAAACCTCCTGCAACCAACAAAAGGATAGTTCCTTAATAATTTGTCAAGCCTACCTAGGGCACTGCTAGTAGTCTTACCATTATTCACAAATAGGGCTGAAACATCTAAAATTACCCCACTTAGTATTTCATATCCCTTCAACGTTCTATCCTAAAGCTAATGTTTCTTAGTGCTAATTAAAATCGTCAGTCTATTGACAATATGACAAAGGTAGAAACTTAAGGGTCTTTTTACTAATTATGAGATACAGATGTAACTCATAATTACCAGTACTCACTAGAAAGATCCTTGGTTACATAATCCCTGAGCTGTGATTGTCCCATCCCTCTCCTTCTATTTCATACCTATGCTTTCCTTGGCATCGGCTACACATCATAGTATTCATTGCCTCCTTGAGGTCATCTTGCAGCTTGGACAGAAACTCATTTACTGACCGGCTCAGCTCATTCTCTGCCATTCGTTTCCTAATAGAAGAAATGCTTTGTAAGTCAGAAGGTATTGAGGGAGGGACAAAGGAAGACATATCAGTTGGCCTCTTGAGGCCCCTGTCTAGCGAGAAAGACAAGTGACTTCAGTTCTCTCCATCTCAACAAGCCTCCACCCCCAAGTCCAGATGCCTCTGCTATTGAGGATTTTTCATTTACCATTATCTGATGATTTCCCATCTCCAACTTACATCTCATACTCCTTTCGCTTTTCAGCATTGCTGACAATGTCCCAAGCTGCTCGCAAAACCTTGAAGGCCTCCTCAGCCCGGGGATGATGATTTTTGTCAGGATGAACCTACCAAGACAGAGAGATTTCATTACAAATCCATTCCAACCCTCTCCTCACCTTGAATTTATTCTCATATCAAAGGGTTCTCTTTCATCACCCTTTTGAAGAGTCAGTGTAGCTTAATGATTAACTGCTCTGACTCTGCAGATCTGGTTCAATTCATGGCTCTGTTATAATTAGCTACATTACCTTGAATATCTTTTTTTTTTTTTTTTTTTTTGAGATGAAGTCTCGCTCTGTCACCCAGGCTAGAGTGCAGTGGCACGATCTCAGCTCACTGTAACCTCCACCTCCCAGGTTCTAGCAATTCTCCTGCCTCAGCCTCTCTAGTAGGTGGGATTACAGGCATGCACCACCACACTCAGCTAATTTTGTATTTTTAGTGGAGACGGGGTTTCATCTAGTTGGCCAGTCTGGTCTCGAACTCCTGACCTCAAGAGATCTGCCTACCTCAGCCTCCCAAAGTGCTGGGATTACAGGCGTGTGCCATCATGAATATCTATCATGGATTGTTGGGATTATCTATCATGTCAGCCTGAATATCTATCATGGATTGTTGGGAGGATTAAATAAGAATATATATGAAGTATGTAGCAAAGAATCAGGTACTACGGTGGATTCATCATTCCAGTTTGCCTGAGACTGTCCCAGTTTTAGCACTAAAAAGTCCCATGCCTCTAGAAACTCCTCAATCCCAGATGAACAGGGACAGTTGGTCTCTGGCACACACATGTATCAGTCATAAAATAAGAGTTCCAAAGATGTTACATCTTGAAACTCTTTTTTAACTAGAAAATTCTCATATCCAAAACTTCCTACAGTGATATGCCTTTCAGTCCCAGAAATGAAATAGCATATCATGGTCTCAGAGACTTTATGTACTTTTCAGCCTTCTCTCCAAGACAAGTAATATCCTCTCTTCCTACAGCTTCCTGATTGTACCCATCCCCATTCCCCAAAAATGCAGAGATAAAGCTAGTCTCCTGACTGATGCCAAATAACTAAAATGCTGTCAAATTTCCCACATTCCCAAGCTAATTGAACAGCCTTTTAGTCATGTTCACACTAGGGCTTAGTAAGGCAGTGAGAGGTTCAATAAAAGCCCAGAGACACTCTGGTCCAGGACAGAGAGAGATCTTTGGGGTATAGGGATAGATGTTTTGAGGTTAGGGGAACTTAACTACATCTCTACTTCAAGAGAAATTGAAAAATGAGAATTTTTGTTAAGAATAATATTCTCCAAAACAGGATGTCTACTAAAAGAAAGTGAGAAAAGAGCTCTACTACTAGTAGAATTAGTAACAATGAGAGTAAACAATTGTTACCCACTCTAAGAATACAGCAGAAGCCAAGCGCAGTGGCTCACGCCTGTAATCCCAGCACTCTGGGAGGCCGAGGCAGGCAAATTGCTTGAGTCCAGGAGTTCGAGATCAGGCTAGCCAACATAACAAAACCCCATTTCTACTAAAAATACAAAAAATTAGCCAGGTGTGGTGATGCACGCCTGTAGTTCCAGCTACTCAGGAAGCTGAGGTGGAAGCCACCTAAGCCTGGGGGATCAAGGCTGCAGTGAGCTGAGATCCTGCCACTGTACTCCAGCCTGGGGAACTGGAGTGAGACCCTGTCTCAAAAAAAAAAAAAAAAAAAAAAGAATATACCAAGCTACCTACTAAGGGGCATACATTTCCCACCAAATTAATTCAGTCCTTTGGTAAGTTACAGGTGTGGTGGTTTACTGTACCTTTAATCATTAATGGAAACTTTAGTTGCCCATTCCTCTTTGGTGTCATGCAGCCATTGAGGTAATTTGCACACTGTGATGTTTTACCAGTCCAGCTCCATACACTCCAGTGTAAGTAGGCCTCCAATTTACACACCTTACTTATATTCATAATAGTTTTATTTGTACAGAAATAGCAGTAACAATCTGTTATCTAATATCAACCTAATATCTACTTCTAATGCAATTTGATTGCATGCTTGTATTAAACCATTTCCCTCAAGCATAAGGTGCATGACAACTCCCATCTGCACACCCTCTTTTTTTTTTTTTTTTTTTGAGACGGTGTCTTGTTCTGTCGCCCAGGCTGGAGTACAGTGGCGCGATCTCGGCTCACTGCAAGCTC
Organism: Homo sapiens; assembly: GCF_000001405.40. Classification (NCBI taxonomy): domain Eukaryota; kingdom Metazoa; phylum Chordata; class Mammalia; order Primates; family Hominidae; genus Homo; species Homo sapiens. The sequence continues at coordinate 55,825,629 of NC_000012.12, forward strand.
TGCCTCCCAGGTTTACACCATTCTCCTGCCTCAGCCTCCCGAGTAGCTGGGACTACAGGCGCCCGCCACCACACCCGGCTAATTTTTTTGTATTTTTAGTAGAGACAGGGTTTCACCATGTTAGCCAGGATGGTCTCGATCTCCTGACCTTGTGATCTGCCCACCTCACCCTCCCAAAGTGCTGGGATTACAGGCGTAAGCCACCGCGCCTGGCCCTGCACACCCTCTTATCAATAAAAGCAACCATATTTTCATGTATGACATACATATGCATACACCTCCATTTTCTTGCCCTCTCCTATTCTGAGTTGCTGATCTTGAAACAGCCTGTTTTCTCCTACCTGGTGCTAAAATCCTTACATGCACTCCCTGACCCTCCCATACTAGGTCCATATTTGCTTCTCTGGGAGAAATAGTTGGGTTACCCCATGTTTAAAAAAAAAAGAAAACCCTCATTTGTTCAGGTAAGAGCAACTGAGGTGCTCTCTGAATAGGTCTTTTTCCCACTCCAGTTAGAGGGACTTCACCTAGATTTTCCAGGTGAGTGAGTTCTACACTGCCCAATATACCAGGTTCAAAGAATATATCTCGTGACAAACAAAATGGAGGGAAGATCAGATCCCATAGTGGAGGGGAAAATATCTTTTTTTTTTTTTTTTTTTTTTTTGAGATGGTGTGGCTTGGTTGCCCAGACTGTAGGTTCATGATCGCAGCTTGTTGCAGCCTCGACCTCCTGGGCTCAACTGATCCTCCCACCTCAGCCTCCCGAGTAGCTGGGACTACAGGCATGTGCCACCAAGCCTGGCCTCCCAAAGTGCTGGGATCACAGGTGTGAGCCACTGCACCTGGCCCAAAAAGTCTTTATGACTCTTTCCTAAGACTATGTTAACCAGCTGGGCACAGTGGCTCCTGCCTGTAATCCCAGCACTTTGGGAGACTGAGGCGAGCGGATCATGAGGTCAGGAGATCGAGACCATCCTGGCTAACACGGTGAAACCCCGTTTCTACTAAAAATACAAAAATTAGCCAGGCACAGTGGCAGGCGCCTGTAGTCCCAGCTACTCGGGAGGCTGAGGCAGGAGAATGGCGTGAACCCGGGAGGCGGAGTTTGCGTGAGCCAAGATCACGCCACTGCACTCCAGCCTGGGCGATAGAGCGTGACTCCGTCTCAAGAAAAAAAAAAAAAGAAGAACGTTAACCTTCACCTACCCGTTAACTTTCTACTCTGCCTTCCCTTTATTCCACTCTCCCTAAAACTGGAATAGAAAATATAGGAACAGGCTGGGACCAGTGGCTCACACCTGTAATCACAGCACTTTGGGAGGCTGAGGTGGGTGAATCATGAAGTCAGGAGTTCGAGACCAGCATGACCAACATGGTGAAACCCCATCTCTACTAAAAATACAAAAAAAATTAGCCGGGCATGGTGGCGCGCACCTGTAATCCCAGCTACTCAGGAGGCTGAGGCAGGAGAATCGCTTGAACCCAGGAGGCGGAGGTTGTAGTGAGCTGAGATTGTGCCACTGCACTCCAGCCTGGGTGACAGAGCGAGACTACATCTCAAAAAAAAAAAAAAAAAATATGGGAACAAAAGAGAGAAACAGGAAACAGAAGGGTACTCACCATCACTGCCAGCTGTCTATAGGCCTTCTTCAGTTCAACATCTGATGCTGTGGCCTCAACCCCCAGTACATGGAAAGGGTTTAGCTCATCCTCAGGAACCCCAGCCATGGTCAAGAGTCGAGCCACTTCCTCTTCAGGCTGGCAGTAGCGCCCACTAGCTACAGGTGCATTCCCCTGCCTATTAATATTCTGCTTGACCCAAGGCAACTCCAGCCAGCCCCACTGAACTATTCTTACCAGCCGCTGCCATGGCCTGCTATCTCTCAGCAGAGTCAAGCAACGCTGCAAGGCTGGAGAATCCAGCCAAGAGAAGAGCCAGGTAGCCTTATCCCTCCAGCCTAACCGGTCACCTAGTCCCACCAGAAACCGCCATCCCAACTGTAGAAAGCCCAAAAAGAGGGCCAGAGCCAGGAGCAGCAAAGCACCCAGCAGCTTAAGAAAACGAGTAAACAGTCCTACTCCACAGTAAAACCCCTGGCTTAGAAACTGAAACATGACCTGGGCCCAGCCCCCTAACCGCCCTGTCCACACTCCCATCCAAACTCGAAAAAGGTCCAAATCACTGCTTTTCAGTTGCCTGCAGGCATAGATGAGATGGCCACAAGTTTCTACGTACTCTCCCACCAATACCAGCAGTTCAATCAGCCACCAAAAGCCTGCCTGTCCAAGTTGACATAGTTCCTCGGCTCCCCACAATCCCAGGCCTTTGCGCTTATCTGCCTGACTTCGTTTCCGACCCAGCCGATGTCGACCAGGGGACCTGGGATCCCTACGTCCACCCTCCCGAGTATCCTCCTTCGTTGGAAAGCGGTGCCGCTGTCTCCGGGATGGGGGTTTCTTTCCGCTGGACACACGTGAAAAATCACTGGGGAACTTGAGAGATTCTTCATCATCATATTCCTCTTCCAACTCATCTTCCCCCAAAGCTGGAGAGGTACAGTGGTGGCAAAAGTTGCTAGAAGAACCATTTCCTCCCTCAGAGTAAGGCCCTTCTGGAATTCCAGGTGTTCCCTGGCAGTTGCAAGCAGATGGAATGGAAAGAAAAGAGTTCCCATCCTTCTGGTTCCCAGTCTCGTTTTCTTTTGAGAGTTCCTGGTCCACTCCTGATTCTTCTTCTGAAGACGTCTCACTCTGATCAGGGTCCTCTGCATCTCTAGGTGGTCCTGGACCCCCTGGGGGGCCATGGCTTGGGTCCAACCAATGGGCTGGGTTTGGGTGCTGTGTGTGCTTAGGACCAGAGTGCTCTGTGAGGCAGCGGGTACCATTAGGAGCAGTCCCTGCTGAGTCCCTGAGTCCTGAGAATGAAGGTATTTCAGGGTCCACGGAGGGTCCTAAAGTCCTGAGGGAGGCACCACCACTGTGGTGGGCTCCATACAACCCTCTTTCTCCGGGGTGCTTCTGGGCCATGACCCCGGGGCTTCCTGAGGGTCTTAGGTCACAGCCATCATGGTGTGTTCTGATGCCTGTAACAGATATCAAGGTGGAGACAGTCAAGGATGAGACCAAGAGAGGAATTAAACAATCTCAAATAGTGGACACATTTAATTCATCCACCTCCCTTGTTTTCCCAAGTTCTTTTGGGGCATTCGCTATTCCTAGCAATAAGCCAAAACTAGACTCACCACAACCCTGCTTGCTCCCTCCCCTCTCCTCCAAATCACTTAAGTTTTTCTTCTTTCCCCAGAAAACTATAACCTTCAATCAGGGAAACAGGGAGGTACCGTAAAGGGTGTGGTCGGGGGAGGGTGGGTCACTCTTAGGAAAATGGGAAAGACCGCCGGAAAGGGGGCCACAGACTTCCAGTAATGGGTGGGGGCCATGCGGCCCTGGAGGAAAATCTGGGGGCGGAGCTTAGGGCTGCCCCTAAGAAAGACTAACAGGGAACCCACCGGCTGTGTAGAAGGGACGAAGGTGGCCGGGCACCGTGGCTCACGCCTGTAATCCCAGCACTTTGGGAGGCCGAGGCCGGCGGATCACGAGGTCAGGAGTTCGAGACCAGCCTGGCCAACATGGTGAAACTCCGTCTCTACTAAAAATACAGAAATTCGCCAGGCGTGGTGGCGCGCACCTGTAGTCCCAGCTACTCGGGAGGCTGAGGCAGAAGAATCGCTTGAACCCGGGAGGTGGAGGTTGCAGTGAACCGAGATCGTGCCACTGTACTCCAGTCTGGGTGACAGAGCGAGACTCCATCTCAAAAAAACAAAAAAAAACGAAAAAAAAAAAAAAGACGGACGTACCGAAGAACGGCGGTAACTCCTCCCCCTCGAGCCGCCCGGCCTGGGGCCAGGGTGAGCTACGAGAGCCGCTCTCCCGGCTCCGCCTCCCGCTCACGCTCTGCTTCCGCCTTCCGTCCCCGCGGCCGCCGGCGACCTGGGCCTACTTCCACTTCCGGGGTCACCAGGGAAGAGACGGGAAGGAAAAGAAATAGCGGTTGGCTGAGAGGCAAGCCAATCCAGCTAGGGCTGCGTCGACTCCAAGGAGGCGGTCCTAAGGAAGTACTGGCCCCGCCATTTAAAGGCCCCTCCCTCCGCGTGTGGGAATGGGATTCCCGCAGGTTGCACCGCAGGAAGCAAGGCAGGTGGACTCTGCACCAATGCCTGCAGACTAAGGGCAGACTCTCAGGATTGCTCTGGGTGTATTCCTAGGCTTTGTATTCCTGGGAGATGGAGGGCAGCCACCGAGCCACATATAGTCTTTTTCCCTTGCAGACAAAACCAGGGAGCTCAGAAGAGTCACTGCCCTGATCCCTTCCGTGCCGGCAGCTGCGAGGACACAGGCCCCTTTGTATCCTGCGGTGCGGAGGTGGAGCAGAGGAGAGGGTGCCCCGGCTGGCCCCCTCCCTCGCCCCGCAGCACTGCCCCTCCTTTCACAGCAACCCACGGCCTCCCCCGCGCTTGACCCAGCTGGCGAGCTGCCCCTTATACCTGGATCCGCCCCTCGGGTCGCAGCTCCCCAGGCCCGATCACCGAGCGGTGCCTAGGAACTGGGAGCGTAACTTGGCTCGGCTCAGAACTTTGCCCGTGAGCCAAAGAACACTGAACTCATCTACCTGCTGCTTGACATCTCATCTGCATACCAAGCTATTTGGTGGACGTCCACAAGCGCCCCCGCCCCCACGTAGACCCAGTTGGGTCCCCGTTCCGTCGGTCCCCTCCTCTGCACACGCCTCTAGCCTTATACCCCGTCTTGATCCGAAAGTTTTTCCACCCATGAACCCCCAGTTGGCGCTCCCCGACCAGCAAAAGCCCCTTCCCTGGTCCACGATCCCGACCACCCGGTTCTCCAGGAGACAATACTCCAATTCTCTGGAAAGTGGAAGAAACCAAGCTGAAGCTAGGGGGGCGCTGGGACCCCTATTGGGGCTTTGAGAGCTTCCGGTTGTCATCTCCTAAGTATTCGGAGACCCTTCTCCAAAACTCTTGGGGTGACCCTCAAGACTCTTACCTGCTATATAGTTGGGGGTCTCTGGTCCTGGACTAGAGCAGTAGGCAACCTGGGTCCCCCCACACACACGGGAAAGAATTGGAGGGGCCTGCCTTGTGATGTCACCCCTCCTCCCCCCACCGCGCGCACGCGCGCGCGCACACACACAAACACAAACACACACCCCAACACACACGCCCTGTCCCCTTTCTCCACCCTGCAAGCTAGTTGCATTTAGCTCACAGAGCCTGGGCTGCGACTTGAAAGAGTTTAGGCAGCAACAGAGTGACCCTGGGGGTGCTCTTGACCGACAGCCGCACCCCCGGCGTCTAGGACCTCCGAGCAGGGATGCATCTGGAGGTCTAGGGAAGCACTTCCACCCCCTCCTCTCCTCAATCCTGGCAGGATGGTGAGTAGTTAACATCCCCTCCCCAACCCCCGCTTGTCCAGGGTCCCCAGACTTCCAAGCAGATTGAGGAGAGGAGCTCCGAGAGTCAACCCTCCAGCCTGTAAGGACCTTGATATCCAAAGGACAGCTGAAGAAAGTAATGTGCCTGCATTTTTGCCACTTCATTCCCACAGTGCCCGAAATGCCAGCTCCTCCTTGGTGTTCTCCTTTCAGGATTTGAATTCAAATCCCATTGGCAGCCCTGATACCGCTGGGGGAAGGGTGAGGTAGGAAAAGTCCCACCAATATCCTAAGGGGAGGTGCGAGTGGCTACCAGGATGTGAGATGTCTGTGGGCAAAGTCCCTGCTTATTCCATGAGGGGCTGTGGGATTAGGACTGTGGCTGGATGCCTCTTCCTCCAACAACTCCATCTCAGCATGAAGCTGAGGCTTTAAAACCCTGACAAACTGTGGGTGACTGTCTCTACTTAATTCCTCCTCCCAAACTCTTGGTGTCTGGTTTTTTCCCTCTTTCTGCCCTGGGCCTGGAGCAGCTGTCCAGAGACCCCCACCATGACTCATACTCTCCTGTTCTCCCTCCCTCTCCCCTCTCTATTAACCTCACCCTTCCCAATCCAGTGGGGTAGTATTAAGTCCCAGTCGCAGATGGGGCAATAATGTCCCAGCACCCCTCCCTCCACACACCCAGGGCTTCCTGTTCTTTCCACCCTCACCCTGAAGAGCTGCAGGGTGGTGGGGGGAGGCAAAGGCTCATTACTTTATAAGATTTTCATTACTTTATAAGATTTCATTTTACATTTTACTTAAGTGTACTTGTTTCAGAGAGTGGTAAAGACAGATCCTGCTCCTCTCAATCCAATCCTGTAGATTTCTTCAGTTACCTCAACAGGGTCATACTGGCTCCTGAAATGGGCACCATTATTTAAAAGAAATAGAGGTACAGAGTCCTCAAGATTTATGGGCACCTGAGTTTCTGCCCCGTGCCCCGCTGCAGGTTTCCCAATCCCCTAAAGACATTCATGGATGGGTGAGAGGAGCTGACACCTCCCGCTCTGTGACCACTTTCTCTTTGGCCATGGAGGAAGTCTTGCTGCCCCTGGCTGTGACATCTGACCCCAGGCCCTTTAATCAACAACTCCCAGAGCCTCCAGACCCAAGATGTGTTTTGGAACCCCAGGACAATCCTGAACTGGCACTTGCCCTGGTGTGTGCCCTTTGCTGCTGCTTTGGAATCATCTACTGCTGCTTCAGTGAGGGCAGGGCCAAGGACCTGGGGGGCCATTGCCCAAGACTGTCATCCTCAAGGATGATGCCAGCTTTCCTCCTTGCTCCTGGGCCATCTCACCTCCTCTGCCAGGGGTTCCTACCTCTAGTGTGGCCCATGTTGCTCTGGCTGTATTCCTAGGCCCATGTTGCTCTTGCCAGCTTCTTGTCCATCCTCCATGCCCATGCCTTCCAGCTTTCACCTCTGGCATCTATCATTTGCTCTTCTCTTAACTCCTACCTGAAAACCCCATTCCTAAATTATTCACTATATTTCAGACTTCTTCACTCTTCTCCAAAAACCTGAATCAGCTTGTGCTGATTTTTTCCTATCTGCTATCCCTAAAAGGACTAGACCTTCTTTCTATCCTTACTCCCCTCAATGTATCCATCTTACCTCTTGATTTTCCCTCCCATTCCCTCACAGTTCCTGAAACAGTGCCCCCCCCCGACCCTAAGCGACCCCTTTCTGCCCCTGGCCTTGAGGTCCCTTGACGTGCTGCTCCTGTCTTCTGCTCCTCTAGTGAGCCATTCCTCTCCCTTGGAATTCATCAGAGTCATCCCTGTAGAGCCCCCTTCCTGCCTCTCAATTCCTCCTGCCTCACTTCCCAGGCTACTGCTGCTTCAAGACAGTGACGTTTCTCTCCGGTCAGCTGTCAGGAGCGCTGGTGAGCTTCCTACTGTGCCACAAGGTGCGGGTGCTGGAGACACAGCTGAGCCTGGAAATGAGAGTGGGCATCGCCGTGGTCATCATGACTCCTCTGCGGCGTGGTCACCATGTTGGTTCACTGTGTTGGGCTCTTATTGACGGGTCTCCTGCTAGGCCTGACCTTGGGTGCCGGAGCCCTGCTGGCTTCTGAGCCTATCTACCAACCACCTTCAGCCTGGGTGCCAGCTGGGGGGCTGGTGGGGCTGGCGCTGCTGGGAGCCCTGCTCACACTTCGGTGGCCACGTCCATTCACAGTTCTGGGCACAACCCTGCTGGGTTCTGCAGTGCTTGTGGCCTGTGTTGACTACTTCCTGGAGGGGCTGGCACTGGGGAGTTGGCTGGGCCAACGCCTGCAGACACTTCCAGCCTTGCCTTCTCTCTGCTGATATAGCTGGGTCTTACTGGGGATCTGGCCAGCCTTGGGGGCCCTTGGAGCCCTGGCCCAGTGGAAGCTCGTGCCTGAGGAACATGGAGGCCACGCTAATGGTGAGTTAGTGCTGTGGTACAGAAGCAGCCAACCTGTGCCTACTCATGTCCCCAGTTCCTAGACTTAAGGAGGGAAGGGGAGAAATACACTTGAGGAAGGAGAGTGGGGGAGGATGTCCAAGGTGAATGGGGCAGGGCACTGAAAAAAAAAGTTGAAGGAGTCAGGGGAAGCAGGAAAGAGTTACAGAAGGAAAGGAGGATCTCAGGGAAGTCTAGGAGGAAAAATAGAATTTCGAAGAATTTCTTTTAGAATGAATTGTCGGGGGGGTGCTGGGCACGGTGGCTCACGCCTATAATCCCAGCACTTTGGGAGGCCAAGGCGGGCGGATCACGAGATCAGGAGATCGAGACCATTCTGACTAACACGGTGAAACCCTATCTCTACTAAAAATACAAAAAAAAAAAAAAACTAGCTGGGCCTGTTGGCAGGCGCCTGTAGTCCCAGCTACTGGGGAGGCTGAGGCAGGAGAATGGCTTGAACCCGGGAGGTGGAGCTTGCAGTGAGCCAAGATCGCGCCACTGCACTCCAGTCTGGGCGACAGAGCGAGACTCCATCTCAAAAAAAAAAAAAGAGGAATAAATGGGGGGGGAAGATGAGGCTTGAGAGAAACAACAGGAAGGTCAAATGGGTTTCTTTAGAATGTGAGTGTGTATAGGGTAGGATTCAGGGCCTAAAGAGGCCTTCTTGAGTCTGTATTGCCCCCTCCGAAGCAGTGGTCTTTTTTTTTTTTTTTTTTTTTGAGATGGAGTCTCACTCTGTCACCCATGCTGGAGTACAGTGGCATGATCTTGGCTCACTGTAACCTCCGCCTCCTGGATTCAAGTGATTCTCATGCCTCAGCTTCCCGAGTAGCTGGGATTACAGATATGCATCACCATGCCCGGCTAGTTTTTGTATCTTTAGTAGAGATGGGGTTTCACCATGTTAGCCAGGCTGGTCTTGAACTCCCAACCTCAAGTGATCCACCCACCTCAGCCTCCCAAAGTGCTGGGATTACAAGTGTGAGCCACCGCGCCCGGCCAGCAGTGGTCTTAAGCCACCAGCAAAGCCATCTCCAACTCCTTCAGACCCTTCAGCAAAAGGCCAAATGGCACTGGATCCCCTCTGGGGTGGGGCTTTGTGAGGGCAGCTGTCGGCATCAGCTCCCTGCCAATACCTGCAGCCCTGCTGACAGTCTCGCTCCAGTGAGTGGGGGACTTGGGGACACCCTGGGCAGATGGAGCAGAGGACATATGGGGATGGTCAGGGTGGGAGGGGGGCTCTGACCCAGGCCCCTCCTTACTCCCTCTCTGCCCTGTGTCCCTCCAGAGTTACTTCCAGAGTCTTCAAGAGTGCCAACTGGGACCAGGACCCCAGACCACAGCCCCCCACACCGTCCTGGACCTGGATTCTGACTGTGGTTCCACTGTACCCCTCACCTTAATCTCTGGTTCTAACCAGACCTGAGCCTAGACTTCCACTTTTTCCCTTACCCCTGTGAGGGCCTGGGAACACTAGGTGGGCAGGGTTTGAGCCCACAGGACCTGCACACAAACTTCCCCACCTCTTGGACTTGGGGACAGGATCTGTGCCTCAACCCAGACCAGCTTTGTAGGGATATGTTCCAAGAACAGAGAAGAGTCTTATGGGGAAGGGGGAGGAAGGGAAGTATGAATATTTACCTCTGACCAATAATAGAGGTGCCCTGGTCCCCAAAGAAATTGACTCCCGAATTCCCTCCAAGCCTTACCCATATAGCTTTTGTTTGTTTGTTTGTTTTCAGACAAGGTCTTGTTCTGTCCAGTGCCGTGGCGTGACCACAGCTCATGACAACTTTGATTTCCCCGGCCCAAGCGAGCCTCTCATTCAGCCTCCTGAGTGGCTGGGACCACAGACGCCACACACAGCTAATTTTTATGTATTCGTTTTTATTTTTTTGCAGAGACAGGGTCTCCCTATGTTGCCCAAGCTGGTCTTGAACTCCTGGGCTCAAGTGATCCTCCTGCTTCAGCCTCCCAAAGTGCTAGGATTATAGCCACCGCACCTCGTCTTGAAATAGCCTTTTAAATGTTCACCTCAGCTTGCCTCACAGTGGTAAAAATAAGCATTTTTTTGTTTTGTAGGATCAGGGAGCTTCCAAGGCATTTGATACCTTTTTGATGGGAAGAAGGGCTCTGAGGAGCTCCAAGATACCCCAACCTCCAGGCCCTTCATTAGGGGGTAGTTGGGTTTCTGTTTGGCCTTTCCCCCTGGGCCCCATAGGCTTAAACTACCCCCACCCCCACCTCCGCCTCCTACCTCAGCTGGGAGCACTGTCTTCCATGGGGCTTCCACTTCTCTCCTCAACCTGGGGAAGACCACAGGGCAGTGCCTGCCTCAGGACCTGCCTTCCCCAAAAGCTGGCTTCTTGCTCCAAGGAGAGAGCATTGACCCACCTGCCAGAGTCTTGCCTTTTGCCCAAAGGAGCCTGGTCTTCAGGGCTGCATAGGATGCAAGTGCCTTCTCTGCTTCTCACCGTGGGTGGCACTAATTTCCTCCTTAACCAGAACTTTGTTCCAGCCACTGACCCATTCTAACTCTTCCCCCTCTGACTCTCCTGCGCAGGGTCTGTTCCTGGTTTCCCAGATGCATAAAGGAAGACATATCCCTCCCCTGGGCAGCAAGGCTACAATGGGAGGGAGGGAGAACATGGGAGCATGTGAATAAAATGGCATTAAATACTGAACCAGGGAGTCCAGCCTCTGCTGTTGCTGCTCTTTTCTTTCTCTGCACCCCAAAACAAAGAGCTAACCATCTTGACAAATCCTCTGTCCCCTAAAGATCTAATAGAGATGCCCTTATTATACAGACTACTGTAAGAGTTATACAGCCAGACAGCTAGAGGAAGAGCTGTTCAGTCCTCTCTTATGAACATGGAGTTAGCTTTTATTAAACACAAATGTACCAGACACTGTGCCAGGCACTTCACATACAGTATTTCATTTAGTGCAACAATCCTGCAGTACTGGTCTTAACCTAATGTTGCAAATGGGGAATCTGAGATTCAACAAGGTTAATTAGCTTGCCCGTAATCATAAGCACATAAATGTGATTCTCAAGGATTCCAAGGCCCTTGCTCAGTTTACTGGCCATGCTGTTTTCTTGCATTTTATGTAGGAAGAACAGGACCCAGGCATCTCCCTCCACCATTGACCTCCAGAGAAGAGATGACACAGTTGGAAGGGCTGTCTAAGACAGACAGGAAATGGAGTTGGGGGCCAAATCTAAGTTAGGGGATCTGAGTTAGGGGAGCACTTCTCAGGAGTGAAAATGCACAGGAAAGTGGTGGCTGGAGTTGGAAGTGTTAGAGGCCTGAGATCTACGGTCTTGCGCCTGCTACAGCACCTGCAAGGTTCTACTGAGCAGACAGGTATTTCATTCAGCTATTAGGCCTTAGGCTTCTGGGGGGGAAATGAAAGGGTGGGTGGTGGAGCCTCAGGGGTTAATGTCCAAGATTGTGTCTGTGGGTGAGCAGTCAGTATTCAAACGTGGTTTCTGTGGCTGAGAGAGTGGTATCCAAGGTTATGCCCGTACCTGAGGGAGTGGTATTCCCACCTGATGGGGTAGTGTCTATAGTCCGGGGACGACAGTGCATCCAGTTGTGGGAAATATTTCTGGGATAGCCTTTCTCTACTCGAAGCTGCTGGTTGAGGCGCCAGTAGACTTTGCCCTTGAAGAAGTAGACTCGGCCATCTTGCCAACTCATAGCAGCCGAGGGCTGGTTTGGCACTCCCGTAAACAAACCCTTGATTGGTTTGGGGTAGCTGCTGAAGTCAGTTCGGGCTAGCTCGTCCCACTGCCAGTACCCGGAGCCCTGGATATGGGATGGGTGGGGAGAGGGGAGAGGAAGAGGAGAGAGCTTAGGACCCCCAGGGGTCCACCCCCAGCCCACTGCAGCTGCAGAACATCTCCCTTCAAGCGCAAGCTTTGCTTCTCAGTATAAGGTAGCCCACTCCTCCTAAGAAGGGATTTGCCCTTGCTTTGAACTTTATACCTTAAAGAGGAACACCTTTTGGTTGAGAGGCCAATAGAGAGCTGCATCCAGGTTAGGTTCTACCCTATTCAGCTTCTTGGGGAAGCCAGGAGACATCTTGAAATTAATGTAGCGCCACACCTTGTCTCCTGAGAGCATGTGAGGAAAGAACAAGTCACCTCTGTCCTCAGGTGATAGCTTTTGGTCTCCTCCGGTCCACCTATTCAGAAACTTCTCATCTCCCTCCCTTTTATAGTTTCTTTAAGATTAGGCCCTCCTCAAGTAAGACACTGTAACTAGCCTCCTTACCCTTAAAGAAGTGAATCCATTGTGTTCGAGGCGAGTAGACAGCAGCATCCAGGTTTCCGGGGAGCCCCTCCCAAAGGGCAGACACTCGGAACAAGGGGCCCGGTCCTGAATCTGATACAGTCCACACATAGTCCCCCTTGAAAGCATAGGTCTTCCCACGGGGCCCTGAGCGTAATGGTGTGTCAACAAGTCAAAAAGACAGAGGTCAAGTAGACAGAAACTTGGGGGTATCTCAGGCTGACTAACAATTTGCCCTCTCCCTGCAGGCTGATTCTTCAAAAATTCATTCAACTTTAATTCAAAGAGAAAATTAAAGGCAGACAAAGAGGACTCAGAATGCTTTGTTGCTCAGAGCGTTTCAGCTTTGGTCCACTCAACAAAACAAAAGCCCTGCAGATAGCTATTCCTCCTTAGGAACCTCACCCTCCCCTCCAAGTGGCTTCCTAGTTGTCCTTCCAACCAGGTGCACCCTCTCTAACAGGCAATCTGGGTAATATAGTTTTCTCCATCTTGCTGCATTTCCAGATGTGTTCTAGTGGCCCTTAGAGCGTGGCAGCCTTGGTAAGTGCCTGCCTAAGCCACCTTTAATTTGGCTCCGAACTCTCCCTCCCCATGTCACATGTCTCCTTCCATGGTCATTAATGCCTGGGGTCTAACCTCCATTGCTCATGCTGAAGTCCCATGTCACTCCCATTTGTCCAGGCCTCAGGATCAGCAGGCTGCCCCCACCGCCTGCCAACAGCCTGGAGGGGAGGGGCCTCACCCAGCATCATGGCATCCAGTTCACTACTGCAAGGGTCTGGCATGGGACTGGGTTCTGTGGGCACTGGGGGCACAGTGGGCAGCTCTGTCTCTTCTTCTTCCTCATCCCTTATCACTGGACTCTTCTTGCCTATAAGGTAAAGTAATGCTGCTTAGGGAGAGAACTCACAGCACCTGTCCTCCACACCAGTCTCCTGTAAGTTTTGCTCAGAGTCCCCATACAGAGGGGAAAAGGGAATCCTAGAGCGTTTTCATTTGTGGTAGGCAATATTATGTTGATATCAGCGGGAGACACGTTCTAGGTTTGAGAGACACCAGAAAGGGAGAAGGAGGATTGTTAAAATGTGCATTCTTGCCGGGTGTGGTGGCTCACGCCTATAATCCTAGGACTTTGGGAGGCTGAGGCGGGTGGATTGCCTGAGCTCAGGAATTTAAGACCAGCCTGGGCAACATGGTGAAACCCCATCTCTACTAAAATACAAAAACAATTAGCTGGGCGTGGTTGCGTGTGCCTGTAATCCCAGCTACTTGGGAGGCTGAGGCAGGAGAATGGCTTGAACCCGGGAGGCGGAGGTTGCAGTGAGCCAAGATCATGCCATTGCACTCCAGCCTGGGTGACAGAGTGAGGCTCTATCTCAAAAAAAAAAAAAAAAAAAAAGAAGGTGCATTCTCCATCCCCAAGCATGGGTGTAAGGAGAGAGGCCTGGAAGGAAGATTAGACATAGAAGAGTCTGAGAAAAACTGCTCCTGAAAATGAAGAAGCCTGAGTAACTGGGCTGGAGGAGAAGAAAGACACTAAGCTATATCCCTACATGGAGGCTAGACCTGTCTCTTCAAGCCTTGACGTGGGAGTCAGACTGACCCTCCCCCTCACTAGGGGGAGGGACTGACCATAGAGAGCCTGGATCCCTGCCACATCATCTGGGTGCAGCTTAAAGTGGGGCCGGTAGCCCTCGTAGACTGGGGCCATGAGGGCCTGGGAATATCGGGAGTGCCCAAGCCCCAGAGCATGGCCCACTTCATGGGCTGCAATGATGCGCAGGTTCACCCCACGGTAGGTCCCCTCAGTCCAGAACTCGTCTTCGTCGAAGTGCACACTGCCCAGCTCTGGGATGTCGGCATGGGCCAGGACTCTCCCTGGACAAAGGCAAAGGTGAACAGGAAGGAGGTCAGAGCCCGCTAGGCTAGAGCACACCCTGCCTATTATAAACTCTAATTAATGCATACCTTTAAAATTCCCCCAGCTATGTTCACTGTCTCTTGGATGCTTCTTTCTCCCCTTTCAGATTCCCCTGTCATCACCCAGTTCTCTCAGGAATGCCCATCACTGTCCCTTACCTTCCCAGCCACTCCCTGCTCTCTGACCCAGTCCTCTCTGGCCCATACCTCTAAGGTATGCCTTGAACAGGGGAACTTAAGGGAGAAAAAGAAGCATAGGCAGCCAGGGGTGATGGCTCACACCTGTAATCCCAACACTTTCAGAGGCCAAGGCAGGAGGATTGCTTGAGTACAGGAGTTTAAGACCAGCCTGGGCAACATAGCAAAACTTCATCTCTACAAAAATTAGCCAGGTGTGGTAGTGTTTGCCTGTAGTCTCTACCTGGGAGGCTGAGGCGGGAGGATCACTTGAGCCTGGGAGGTTGAGGCTGCAGTGAGCCATGATTGTGTCACTGTACTCCAGTCTGGGCAACAGAGTGAGACTGTCAAGCAAGCAAGAGAGAGGAAGGAAAGAAGGGAGGGAGGGAGGGAGGGAGAGAAGGAAGGAAGGGAGGGAGGGAGGGAGAGAGAGAAGGAGAGAAGGAAGGGAGGGAGGGAGAGAAGGAAGGGAGGGAGGGAAGGAGAGAGAAGGAGAGAAGGAAGGGAGGGAGGGAGGAAGTTTCAAACAGGAGGCTCCATGTAGATGACCAACTGCGCCCGTGCTCCCGTTAGGAGGTAATTAGAGAGCGTATGGTGCAGGTGGGATAAAGAGCAGCCCAAACATCAAGGTTCTAGAGTCACTGGTTCAAGGAGACAGAGGTAATCTCAGAGGTCTATGAGGTGGGAACTGAGAACTGTTGCCTACCAGGCCCATCAAAAGTATTGGAACAGTACGAGCTTTGGCGGCCATGGAAGGAGAGGCGGATGTCAGCCGCACCAGCCTGCACCTCTTGGAAGGTCAAGGGAGCCACATTGCTCCAGTCCTGGAAGGCTTGACGCAGGGCTGCCCGGGCTGTGTGGGGTGGAAGGGTGGAGGGCAGGTTCAAGATGCGGAAAGTCAGGTGCTTCTTTCTCCAGCGGCCTAGTTAATGACCAGAAAACAGATTAGAAATACAGATCCTTCTGCCAACCCCAGAGAGCTCCTCTGGGTTTAGGCACTCAACCCCCAAGACAGGTGACAACCAGGTAATCACCAGGTGATTATCTATTCAACACTGAGCTGGTCCAGACTGTCCTAATGCCACCCACACGCCAGAACCACATCACCCCCTCCTCTCCCTCTCTTTTCCAGGCTCTGTTCTCACCCAGCAACAGGTATTTAAGGGTCTTCTGGTTGAAGGGATCCTCTAGGCCACAACGAGGCTGCCTCATGCGGGCCCTTGTGGCATCATCCAGCTGACCTGAGACTGGAAGTTCAGATGCTTCCTGAAAAGCTCTGAAGGAGGGAGAGGGATGGGTCTACCAGGACAGGAAAATCTGAAATGACTGGGAGATGATTGCTCTTTGACTTCCTGCTGCCCAAGTTCATGGCCAAGAATAGCACAGAATCCCTGAAGCTGACAGGGTTACTCCAGCCTCCAGTCCTCATAACTGGGACTTTCTCTTCTGTTCTGCAGAAATGGAGATACTCCAGCTTCATCTCCCCATTTTCAGTGTCTTTTATTTGAGTAAGTTTGCCCTCAGGTGTAGCCTTCCTCCTCTACTGCAATCTTCCTTCCTTCCTTCCTTCCTTCCTTCCTTCCTTCCTTCCTTCCTTTCTTTTTCTTCTCTCTTTCTTTCTTCCTTTCTTTCTTTTTTGGTAGAGATGGGGTCTCATTATGTTGCCCAGGTTGCTGTCAAACTTCTGGGCTCAAGCAATCCCCCTGCCTGGATCTCCCAAAGTGCTGGGATTACAGGCGTGAGCCACCATGCCCAGCCCCTCTACTGCAATTTCTAACCTTCTCCTACTCTGTGGAGGTGTCTGGCTCCCCTGCTCTGGAGAGCTTTCCA
The DNA here is from genome assembly GCF_000001405.40 of Homo sapiens. NCBI lineage: Eukaryota > Metazoa > Chordata > Mammalia > Primates > Hominidae > Homo > Homo sapiens. The sequence continues at coordinate 55,841,791 of NC_000012.12, forward strand.
CTAGTGCTCCCACCTGACAGCCTGTCCTCCTTCAGCCTTCTCCCTTCCTGAATGGATACCCGTCCCAGCCCAGCTTGCCCTGGAGCAATTTCATCCATCTATGGACTGTCATAGGGCCTAGGGGCTTTTCAAGGGACCTGAACATATCTGAGAGCAGAAAGAAAAATAATCCATTACATCAACATATAAAACTATAAAATAGAAATAAATAAGTACCAAATTGAAGGCCCACAAAAGGTAATAGCATGTCAACAACTCAACTCAGTTTTACATATCATTACACTTTATGTGGACTATAACTAAATATTAGTATTTGAGATATGATGTGGGTAGAGACTCCAAAGGAATGCTTATGGCCTAGGAAGATCCAATGCCTGTATTCCTCATCTGTGAATCCCCATCTCACCCCATGCCCCACCACCATAATAATGATCGCCACCCATCTCTAAATCCCTGGCATGGTTTAGGGTCAGGAGGAGGTGGGCCTGGGGAGAGGAAGGGATGAGAAGGAAGAAGACCTTGAGACCTTAGCCCTAAAGGCATACACCTCATAGCTTCTCACCTCAGAGCCTCGGTGATATCTTCTGGCTTGAAGTTATTAGATCCTTCTAGAGGCTTCTGTAGGTACCCATATTGTGACAGGTAGTCCTATGATGGGAGTGGAGGTAAGCAGGTTAAAAGGGGGTTAGTCTCAGAGTAAAGCTTCTAAGTGACCTAACAGATCCATCAGGAGAGGAGGGACCTGATATGGAAGCACTAATGGAGAAGCACCTTAGAGAAGGGGCTCAGGTGGAACAAGGGGAAGCAGCGGGAGATGGGCAGGGTAGACCATGGGGCAGAGAGAGCAAGGGAAAGGCAGGCAGGCTGAAGGTCAGGAGGGAGGCTTCGATGGGGCTGTGGAGCAGTAACCCCTGTCCCTCCGCTGGCCCAGGTCTCTTTCTTGGGGGACTTACCACAGGCGCCACCTCTGCAAGCCCCAGGACCCGGCCTGAGACTGTCATGGGGAGTAGGAAGCCCAGCCACAGCTGCTGGCAGTTCATGGTCCCACCAGACGAGAGCTCCAGAGGCTGTCCGTGCCTCTGACCTGAGATTTCTGGGAGCCTTGGGGGAGCAGTGCTAGGCAGAGGGGCTCTTACCCCCAGTTCTTTTTACTCTCCAGCCTCTAGTCCTCTTTATAACAGCTGAGGGGAATTTGGGGGAGAGGCAGAGGGAGGTGACTCAGCCAAGAGATATGTTGCAATTCACCATTAACCCTTGCCCTACCAGAGAGCGGAAGCCAAAGAGAGTTCCCAATCGCTTCCCTCAGAGTCCTCTGCTGGAGATGGAAAAACTTCATACTGCCCTAGGGTGAGCATCCAGGCAGGACGAGAACCAGAATCTCTGGAGAGACTAGAGATAGGGATCATGGACATCCCCTGGAATTAGACATCAATGTGCCTCAGGGACCCTGGGCCAGCAAATCACTCCGCCCCTACCTTTGAGTCTCCCTAGAATAAGCTGAGAGGTAGGAAACAGCTGAGGTAGCTTGGGTTTCAGGTGAAGGAGTCAAGCGTGAAGTCTCAGTTTCTTTGTACCCAAGACCAAGTTGGGAATATAGATGCTCCTGCAACCTACTTATGTCTGCTTTAATAAAAAGTCATTATTTCAAGAATCTAATGAGCCTGGAATATGTGGGTGTAGGTGGGACTTAACAAGGGCACAAATAAGTAAAGGGCCCAGAGCCTACCCTCAGGGAGCTTACGGATCCAGTGAGGCAGATCCAGACACCTGGGAAGAGGGGAGCCAGCGTGCCAGGCCAGAGGTGATTCACCCTAAGGGGCTTGGGGCTGGGGGGAGGTTTGCTGAGAAGTCAGGCTTTGAGATGGGCTTTGAAGGCCAGCTAAGAATTGATGGGGTAAGGCCAGGCATGGTGGCTCGCTCCTGTAATCCTAGCACTTTGAAAGGCTGAGGTGGGTGAATCACTTGAGATCAAGAGTTCGAAACCAGCCTGACCAACATGGTGAAACCTTGTTTCTACTAAAAATACAAAAATTAGCCAGGTATGGTGGCGGGCGCCTGTAATCCCAGCTACTCGGCAGGCTGAGGCAGGAGAATCACGTGAACCCAGGAGGCAGAGGTTGCAGTGAGCTGAGATCACACCATTGCACTCCAGCCTGGGCAACAGAGCAAAAACTCCATCTCAAAAAAAAAAAGAATTGATAGGGTAAAAGGATACTGAGAGACAGACAGTGCAGGTCTTGAGTAAAAGTGCAGAGCTGAGAGACTGCTGTACTCAGTAAGTCAGAAGGGTCACGACTGCTTCATTCACCACTGAAGCCCGAGTGCCTACCCCAGGCCACCTCCATGCTTTCGAGGCTGTGCTTAATAAATCACTGTCAAAGAATGACCAGGGTGGGAAAGTGGTTGGGAGACAGAATTTGGAGAGGGCCTTAAATGCTATGCAAGGAAAAGAAGAAAAACTTACATTTAAAAATACCGGACGGGAGCAGTGGCTCACGTCTGTAATCCCAGCACTTTCGGAGGCTGAGGTGGGCGGACCATGAGGTCAGGAGTTTGAGACTAGCCTGGCCAACATAGCAAAATCTTGTCTCTACTAAAAATACAAAAATTAGCCAGGCGTGATGGCATGCGCCTGTAATCCCAGCTACTCGGGAGACTGAGGCAGGAGAATTGCTTGAACTGGGGAGGCGGAGATTGCAGTGAGCTGAGATCGCGCCACTGTACTCCAGCCTGGTGACAGAATGAGACTCTGTCTCAAAATTAGTTAATTAGTTAATTAATTAAAATAAAAATACCTATTATTGGGTGATGGGTGAACCAAAATCTCACAAATCACCACTAAACACTAAAGAATTTATGTAACCAAATACCACCTGTTCCCCAAAAACCTATGGAAATAAAAAATTAAAGGAATTAAAGTCCGGGCATGGTGACTCACACTTGTAATCCCAGCACTTTCGGAGGCCGAGGTGGGTGGATCACCTGAGGTCAAGAGTTTGAGACCAGCCTGACCAACATGGTGAAACCCCGTCTCTACTAAAAATACAAAAATTAGCCAGGCGTGGTGGCACGCGCCTGTAATCCCAGCTACTCAGGAGGCTGAGGCAGGAGAATCGCTTGAATCCGGGAGACAGAGGTTGCAGTGAGCTGAGATCGCACCACTGCACTCCATCCTGGGCGACAGAGCGAGACTCTGTCCCCCCACAAAAAAAAAATAAATAAATAAATAAATAAAAAGCTACTATGTATTACATGCTTTATATATTACCTCCTATAGTTCTCACAGCCATCTGGTGAGGGGAAAATTATTCCGGCCACTTTTTGTAGGAGGAAATAGATACTCAGAAAGGGAAATTTGACCAAGAACATGGAACTCCCAACTGGCCTGACCTTATTTAAATCCCTCTGCTGACTCTATAACTCATGCTCTTTCCGTACACCACACTGACACTTAGAGCTTTGTTCTTTAAGTAACTAGGACCCCTGAAGGCTCCACCATCAGTTACACATCATACAACATTTTCATATTGTTCAAAAGCACAGTGAAGTAGACATAGGAATGGGGGAAAAGGTAACTGAACTTTTATGTTCTCAGAAGGGCTGGGAGGCCACAAGGGAACACCTCACAGCCCAGGATCAAGGTGGGGGATGCTCCTGATCCATATTGCTGCCCTCAATGATGCTGGTCCGTCTGGCCCATCCACCACCCAACTGGTAACCATTGGGTGACTAAGTCTCAAGTGACCAGTGACAGGCAAGGAAGGACAGAAAGCCTCTGAGCGATGAGTGACAGGGCCCATCACCAAGGCTGATGCACCCAGGAAATGATGGAGTTTGGGGACAAGTTCCTGCTTAGTCCCCTGCGGGGCTCTTCCTCCTCTCTTTCTACCCCCTTTCCAGTCTTTCTCCTTTTGAGAACAGAACATGCGCCAATTGAAAATTAATTACGATTTTTAAAATTAATGTTTTGTGTTTTTTTCCTGAATAAGTTATTCATCATTCATTATAATATTTGGTATTAGAAAATACCAAAACAAACAAGGAAGAAAATGAAAACCACTAGTAAATTCTACCCAAAAGAGAACCACTAGTAACATTTTGATGCATTTCTTTGAAACTGTCTGTGGAACTGAGCTCACCCAGCTCCGCCTGCCTGGCCTCAGCCCCTAGAGACTGTCTGGGAGGGAGGAGAAAGCTTTGGGAGCCAGAGAGGATAATGGAGGAGAGGTGAGGGGAGGGGTGGGGAAGAGACAGACAAGGAGGATGCAAGGGACAGGAGTAAAGTAAAATGAATGTTATAGCAAATTACTCCCTCCCCTTAGAAACCTCATGTAAGGAAAAAAAGAAAAAAAAATTTTTTTTTGGGTCTCCCAGGCTGGAAAACAGTGGCACAATAATCCTGGCTCGCTGCAACCTTCGCCTTCTGGGCTCAAGCAATCCTCCCACCTCAGCCTCCTGCATAACTGGGGCTACAGGCACACACCACCCAGCCCAGCTAATTTTTGTATTTTTTGTAGAGAGTGTGGGGGGTGGGGGAGGCGGGTTTCCTATGGTGCTCAGGCTGGTCTTGGGCTCAAGTGATCGGCCCACCTCGGCCTCCCAAAATGCTGTGATTATACGTGTGAGCCACTGTGCCTAACCAGAAAAAAAAAGTGTGTGTGTGTATATATATGTGTGTGTATATATATATATATATATTTAGTGTGTTAGGGAGAGAGATGGCAGTTATCATAAGGTGAGGGTGGGTACTAACTCCGGCCTCAGAAGGCCTGGGGGTGGAACTATATTCTAGCAACTTAGGAGCCAGGAGAGAGAGAATAAATCAAAAGTAAAAGCTGCCAAATAGATAACTTCATTTAAATTTTAACAACAACCCTTCAGCCAGTATTATCATCTTTTTTACTCCTTTTCTGAGACTGAATCTCACTCTGTAGCCCAGGCTGGAGTGCAGTGGCGCAATCTCGGCTCACTGCAACCTCTGCCTCCCGGGTTCAAGCAATTCTCCTGCCTCAGCCACCCGAATAGCTGGGATTACAGGCGCGTGCCACCACACCCAGCTAATTTTTGTACTTTTAGTAGAGATGGGATTTTGCTGTGTTGGCCAGGCTGGTCTCAAACTCCTGAGCTCAAGTGATCCACCTCCCTTGGCCTCCCAAAGTGCTGGGATTACAGGCGTGAGCCACCGCACCTGGCCAGTATTATCATCTTTTTACAGAAAGAGAAACTGAGTCTCTAATAAGTTGCTTCAGGTCACATAGCTAGGATGCAGCAGAGCCTGGAGCAGGCTCTAAAGCTGCCATCTTTGCTCAGCACTCTTCAGTCTCCCAGAGTTCCCACAGGCACCCAAACAAAAGCCCCTAGAGTCTGGAGCTGCAGGCTGGGCACATGTGCAAGGATTGGATGACTAATTGTTGCCAGCACAGCATCATGACCACCCCCTCCACCAGCTCCTACCCCCTGAGCCGGGCTGACCCAGCTCTTTTTTGTCATCTCTAAATTTGTCATCTCTCACTGGGGGAGATGTGGACGTGTGTGCGAAGGGTTAGGACATGTGGCTTGCCTGCCCCAAAAAGAGAACTTGATCTGAGAGAAAAAAATGGGTTCTTTGTCTTGCTTGCTCCCTTCCTGCAAGTTGGTTTCCCTCTCTGTCCACAAATTGTGGCAAAAGAGTTTTACAGAAATATTTTTAATGACAATATTTTAAACTATAGCAAGTGGGAGTAGAGTAGACCTCTGAGAGTATTTTCTAATGATCAGGGGCCATGGGGTTATGGGTGGAAGGCAAAAGTTTGTAGAGATTTCTAAGCCCAGCAGAAGCTAATCTCAAAGCTATCGCCCACCCCCTCTGACAGCCACCCTTACCCTGTGGAGGCAGTGGGCAGGGAAGCTGGGGAAAGAAGAAAGGGGAATCCTGGAGGGCAGGTAGAAGGGCAAGTCTGGAGCCTGAAACTGGAAACTGGAGGTGAGAAAAACATGAGCTGTAACCAAGTTAGGGCTGGCCCCGACTTTGCCCTTGACCTGGATAAATGTGGGAGTTGGTGGTGTTAGCCTCTGACCTGTTTCCCCCTCAGGGAGTCAGGACATAGGGAGCTTTCTTTGGCAGAGTGGGGTTGAATTTTTAAGCTGTTACCCTGGAAACCTCTGTTTTTAGGAGGACTCCCCTACATACCCACAAACACAGACATACACACACACTTTTTTAATTACTCATAAGTTCCTAGAAGCCGTATGGGAAGTGATGGTCAGGACTGTGCACAGCTGGAATTGGTTAGTGACCAGGGAAGTGGGAGGGGCTTGGGGATGGCTCAGGGACAGGGCCAGCACATTCTGTTCCCATGATGCTCCAAACTTCCTCAACCCCCATATGAACACTTCCTGGCATTCCCACCCACCCACCACTGCAGCTTGCACACACACTGCGTCGGGCACTGGCCTGCATCAGCTCAGTTGAGAGGACGTCAGACCCAAATCCAGAAGTTCTTCAGTTTCTGCCAAAGTGTGAGGGAGACCAACATCTGCTCCCCTTCTCCATTTCTCAGAAAAAGGTGCTGTCCCACAGGACTCCCCTGGAAATGGCTGGAGGCTTTTCTTTTCTTTTCTTTCCTTTTTTTTTTTTTTTTTTTTTTTTTTGGTGAGACAGAGTCTCACTCTGTCACCCAGGCTGGAGTGCTATGGCATGATCTCAGCTCACTGCAACCTCCACCTCCCGGGTTGAAGTGATTCTCCTGCCTTGGCCTCCCGAGTAGCTGGGATTACAGGCACGTGCCACCATGCCCAGCTAATTTTTGTATTTTCGCTAGAAATGGGGTTTCACCGTGTTAGCCAGGCTGGTCTCAAACTCCCGACCTCAGGTGATCCACCTTCCTCGGCCTCCCAAAGTGCGGGGATTACAGGCGTGAGCCACCACCCCCAGCCTGGTGCCTTCTACTGGTGGTCTTATTCCCCAGCACAGCGCCTGTTGCATGAAGGGATGAATTATAGCCCCTGGGACAAGGAGGAGACTAGAGAAATGAGAAATGTCAGTGTTCTCTCAGCATCTGGGATGATAGGGAAATGAAGGTAGCACAGGGGTTTTTTGCTGCTTCTAGGAATGGCAGGCTTTTCTTTCAAGAAAACCAAACTGCTTTTCCTAAGGGAGGTAGGATGTGGGTAAGCACTTTGCCCTCTTGTCCTCACCCTGTGACACCAGGAAACAGATCTGTCTTGACGTTGGGAACTGTCATGGGCATGGAAAACCCACGTTTGGTTCCTTTTTTGTTGGCAAAAGGGCTTGATAGGGGATTGGCAAGGGAAAGAGCCCAGCGCTGACCTCTCCTTCTTTTTTTTTTTTTTTTTTTTTGAGACAGAGTTTCGCTCTTGTTGCCCAGGCTGGAGTTCAGTGGCGCAATCTCAGCTCACCACAACCTCCACCTCCCGGGTTCAAGCGATTCTCCTGCCTCAGCCTCCCGAGTAGCTGGGATTACACGCCCGGCTAATTTTGTATTTTTAGTAGAGAGGGAGTTTCTACTAAAACCCAGAGGACGTCAGACCCAAATCCAGAAGTTCTTCAGTTTCTGCCAAAGTGTGAGGGAAATCAACATCTGCTCCCCTTCTCCATTTCTCAGAAAAAGGTGCTGTCCCACAGGAGTCCCCTAGAAATGGCTGGAGGCTTTTCTTTTCTTTTTTTTTTTTTTTTCTGTTTCTTTTTTTTGTGAGACAGAGTCTTGCTCTGTCCTCACCTTGGGTGAGGACAAGAGGGCAAAGTGCTTACCCACAACCTACCTCCCTTAGGAAAAGCAGTTTGGTTTTCTTGAAAGAAAAGGCTGCCATTCCTAGAAGAAGCAAAACCCCCTGTGCTACCTTCATTTCCCTATCATCCCAGATGCTGAGAGAACACTGACGCTTCTTATTTCTCTAGTCTCCTTCTTGTCCCAGGGGCTAGAATTTATCCCTTCATGCATCCTGGTGAGCCACTGCGCCCAGCCTGACCTCTCCTTTAGAAGAGAGTGGTAACTAGATGAGGGAGGGAAAGTTGGGAAAGACCTAGCTCTGTTCGTGCCAGGCCAGCAACTGCAGAGAGGGGTTTTGGGGTGAGAAGGCTGTCCTTGATGACGAAGGGATGCCTTGACACCTGTTTTGATGGGGTGGGGGGTTCTCCGCAACCCCTATTTTGCCTCTAAATTTTTTAAGAAGGATACTGGGTGTTCACCAGTGTGTTTTTATTCTTTTTTAAATGGAATTCATTAATTTGACCACAGGGGAAGGGTTGATGCTGTGTACAAGTATATCTTGCACAGAGGAAGAAAGAACTAAAAGGTTTTAAAGTGGTTTTAAAGGGGCACAATTCCAAACTCAAACTGGAATTGAGCTGTGTGCAACTTTGGCACAATGAGCACTGCTGCTCAGCTGTGAAAGGAGTTTTTGAAATGTGAAATAGGAAAAGATAACTGAGAAAAAAGACTGTTGATCCTAAGGAGACTGTTTTCTCGGATTTTTAATCTTTCTTTGCCTTCACTGGTTTGGAACCGCCTTCACTGTGAATCTCTCCTGGGCAAACAGAATGTGAATTGTTGCCTTCACACAGCCCCACAAACTAGAGGACATTTTACAGGGCTAGTGTCACCCTCCCCAGTGAATTCTTGGAGCCACACAGTCTTGGTGCATAGCATGGTCTTCGGGTCTCAGTTCCCTTCCTAATCCTTAGTGTTGTGGTTTTTAAGTGGAATCAGCATCCCAGACTAAAAAGCAACATTTATAGCTCCTTGAACAAGCCACCAGGGAGGCACAAATACCTCCCTGCTGTCTATAATACACCCTTACAAATCACAAGCTGGCTGTGTGATTGTCACCCTGTTTGACCTGGGGTAAGAGGGCACAAAGGAGGAAGCAGAAGGGGAAATTAAGTCTGAACTAAACAATGCCATAATACAAAGAAATTCCAGACTGCTTTTTTATGCTCTCAACTTCCAGAGGGATCTAAGACCCTGTTAAGTGAAAACTCAGGAAATGTTGACTACATCTTTTGCAAAAGGCTGAAAGACAGAAGACAGAGTGAGGTTGCAGGACCCAAGGATTGATCCCTGGTCTTCAGCACCTTTTAACTGAAATGGGGAGGACCCAGCCAGACAGGACCTAATAGGTTACTTGGATATTTCAGATAATTTGTCCTGGGGTTGTTGCCTCTTCTCAGCGCCCGGTTTAGAGAACATATGTCTCAAGCCATAACAGTCCAAAGGGGACATTACATCCTCAAGTCTTCCATTTTCAAGTGCCTCGTCATGAGTTGGAGAAACCTGGCCCAACACTTTGCTGACTCCTGACCACATTCCAGGCTTTGCTGCTAGCATAGCAGGGAATTGCTCTTCAGTGAGATCAAAAGCCTTGTTACAGGGAGGAGTTTCACAAGGGGAACCTAACTCTGTGGATGCCCCAGCTCTCTTTTTTGGTTGTGAATGTTCTCTACTTAATGTAATACTTGGTTAATATACTTTTTTAATTGAGAGATAGCACACATGCAATAAAATGTATAAAGTGCACTAATTTTAAGTGTGTATTTTGATTTTTAAAAATGTGTATATTGGCCTATGAAGCCATCACTCAGATCAAGATAGAAAATATTTCAGGCACCCCATGTTCTTTCCTTGTCTGTATTCCATCAAAGGTATTCTAGGCCAGGTATGGTGGTTCACACCTATAATCCCAGCACTTTGGGAGGCTGAGGTGAGAGGATAGCTTAAGCCCAAGAGTTTGAGACCAGCCTGGCAACATAGGGAAGCCCCCATCTTTAAAAAAAAAAAAAATCCATCCTGGCCAACACGGTGAAACCCCGTCTCTACTAAAAATACAAAAATTAGCTGGGCGCGGTGGTGCATGCCTGTAATCCCAGCTACTTGGGAGGCTGAGGCAGGAGAATTGCTTGAGCCTGGGAGGTGGCGGTTGTGGTGAGCTGAGATAGTGCCACTGCACTCCAGCCTGGGTAACAGAGCGAGACCCAGTCTCAAAAAAAAAAAAAATTATCCAAATGTCATAGCGCATGTCTGTGGTCCCAGGTACTCTGGAGGACGAGTCAGGAGGATCACTTAAGCTTGGGAGGTTGAAGCCGCAGTGAGCTGTGATCCTGCCACTGCACTCTAGCCTGGGCAACGCAGCAAGACCCTGTCTCAAAAAAACATCTACAAACACCTGTTCTGCTTGCTGCTTGTTCTTTTTTTAAAATTTTTTTAAAATTTGAGACAGGGTCTCTAAAGGTTATATGGAAAGGTAAAAATAAAACACAACAAAACAGAATAGTCAACTCAATATTCAAGAACAAAGTCAGCGGGCTAATACTACAAGACTTCATGACTAATAATAATCAAGACAGTGTGGTATTGGTGAAAGAATAGACAAATAGGCTGGGTGAGGTGGCTCACACCTGTAATCCTAACACTTTGAGAGGCTGAGGAGGGTGGGTCACTTGAGCTCAGGAGTTTGAGACCAGCCTGGGCAACATACTGAAAACCCATCTCTACAAAAAAATGCAAAAATGAGCTGGACATAGTGGTGTGCACCTGTAGTCCCAGCTACTTGGGAGGCTGAGGTGGGAGGTTGGCTTGAGCCCAGAGGTTGCAGTGAGACAAGATCGCACCACTGCACTCCAGCCTGGGTGACAGAGCCAGACCTTGTCTCAAGAAAAGAAGGATAGATAAGTAGATCAATGGAGCAGAATAGAGAGCCCAGAAACAGAAATAGAGCCGCATAAATATAGTCAACTGAGCTCCGACGGAGGAGCAAAGGCAATACAATAGAGCAAAATAGTCTTTTCAATAACTGTGCTAGAACAGCTGGAAATCCTCATGCGAAAAAAATGAATCTAGACGCAGACCTTATATCCTTCACAAAAATTAGCTCAAAATGGATCATAGACCTAAATGTAAAATGCAAAATTACAGAACTCCTGGAATATAACATAGGAGAAACCTAGATGACCCTGGGTATGGAAATGACTTTTTAGATACAATACCAAAGACATGGTTCATAAAAAAAAGTGATAAATTGGACTTAATTAAAATTAAAAACTGCTCTGCTAAAGACAATGTCAAGAGAATGAGAAGACATGACACAGACTGGAAGAAAATATTTGCATATCTTAATCAGAAATCTTATCTGATTTGTTTATCAGATATGTTTATCTGATTAAGGATTGCTAACTAACATATGCAAAGATCATTTAAAATGCAATAAATATATAACCCAATTAAAACGTGGGCAAAAGATCTGAAGAGTCACCTCATCAAATAAGATATACAGATTGCAGGTAAGCATATGAAAAGATGTTTGACATCATATGTCATTAGAGAACTGCAAATTAAAACAACAGTGAGATATCACTTACACCTATTAGAATAGCCAAAATCCAAAACACTGACCATACCAAATGCTGGCAAGGATATGGACCAACAGGAACTCTCATTCATTGCTAGTGGAAGTGCAAAATGGTACAGTTACTTTGAAAGACAGTTTGGCAGTTGCCTACAAAATTAAACATACTCTTATCATATGATCCAGCAGTTGTGCTCCTTCGTATTTACCCAAATGAACTGAAAAGTTATGTCCATACAAAATTTCCACATGGATGTTTACAGCAGCTTTATCCATAATTGCTGAAACAGGGAAGCAACCAAGATGTCCTTCAGTAAGTGAATGTATTAATAAACTGTAGTACATCCAGACAATAGAATATTATTTATTACTAAAAAGAAATGAGTTATCAAGCTGTGAAAAGACATGGAGGAAACTTAAATGCATATTACTAAGTAAAAGAAGCCAATCTGGGCCTGGCGCAGTGGCTCATGCCTGTAATCCCAGCATTTTGGGAGGCCAAGGCAGATGGATCACCTGGGGTCAGGAGTTTGAGACCAGCCTGGCCAACATGGCGAAACCCCATCTCTACTAAAAATAAAAAAAAAAAATTAGCCGCCTGTGGTGGCGGGTGCTTGTAATCCCAGCTACTTGGGAGGCTGAGAAAGGAGAGTTGCTTGAACCTGGGAGGTGGAGGTTGCAGTGAGCCGAGATCGTGCCACTGTACTCCAGCCTGGGCGACAGAGTGAGACTCTGTATCAAAAAAAAAAAAAAAAATTAGCCTGATGTGGTGGCATACACTTGTGGTCCCAGATACTCAGAGGCTGAGGTGGGAGGATCGCTACACCCCAGGAGGAGGAGGTTGCAGTGAATTGAGATCATGCCACTGCACTCCAGCCTAAGTGACAGAGTGAGACCCCATCTCAAAAATAAATGAATAAATAAACAAAATAAAATAAACAAGCCAATCTGAAAAGGCTACATGCTATGATGTAGCTTGTATGTATGATTCTAACTATATGACATTCTGGGAAAGGCAAAATCATGGAAACAGTAAAAAGATCAGTGTCAGGCTGGATGTGATGGCTCATACCTGTAATCCTACCACTTTAGGAGGCTGAGGCAGGAGGATCCCTTGAACCCAGGAGTTCAAGACCAGCCTGGGCAACATGGCAAAACCCCATGTCTACAAAAAACCAAAAACGGCCAGGCGCGGTGGCTCACGCCTGTAATCCCAGCACTTTGGGAGGCCAAGGTGGGTGGATCATGAGGTCAGGAGTTCGAGACCAGCCTGGCCAACATGGTGAAACCCCGTCTCTACTAAAAATACAAAAATTAGCTGGGCATGGTGGCAGGCGCCTGTAATCCCAGCTACTTGGGAGGTTGAGGCAGGAGAATCGCTTGAACCTGGAAAGTGGAGGTTGCAGTGAGCCGAGACCATGCCATTGCATTCTAGCCTGGGCAGCAGAGTGAGACTCCGTCTCAAAACAAAAAAAAAAAACAAAAATTAGCTGAGTATGGTGGTGTGTACCTGTGGTCCCAGCTACTCGGGAGGCTGAGTCAGGAGGATTGCTTGAGCCCAGGAGATCAAGGCTATGGTGAGCTGTGGTCACACCCCTGCACTCCAGCCTGGGCGACAGAGTGAAATCCTGTTTCAAAAATTAATTAATTAGGCCGGGCACGGTGGCTCACGCCTGTAATCCCGGCACTTTGGGAGGCTGAGGCGGGCGGATCACGAGGTCAGGAGATCGAGACCATCCTGGATAACACGGTGAAACCCCGTCTCTACTAAAAATACAAAAAAATTAGCCAGGCGTGGTGGCGGGCGTCTGTAGTCCCAGCTACTTGGGAGCCTGAGGCAGGAGAATGGCGTGAACCCGGGAGGAGGAGCTTGCAGTGAGCAGAGATCGCGCCACTGCACTCCAGCCTGGGCGACAGAGCGAGACTCCGTTAGGAGACATACATAATGTAAATGACAAGTTAATGGGTGCAGCACACCAACATGGCACATGTATACATATGTAACAAACCTGCATGTTGTGCACATGTACTGTAGAACTTAAAGTATAATAAAAATATATATATTTTAAAAATTAATTAATTAATTACATGCATTTATGTTCACTCTGTCCTCTAAAATGTTAATAAAGGAATAAACCCACAAGGACAAGGAGAACAGGAGAAGAGTCAATGCATGGGAGATGACAACACATTTTTGGAAGAGGGAAATCAAATAGAGGAGTGATAACATATAGTTTGGAGAGAGTTGAAGCCTAAATGCCCATGGAAGGTGAAACAAACAGGAAGCAAACCAATTTATGCCCTGACCCTGTCTCCTTTTTTTTGAGATGGAGTTTCGCTGTTGTCACCCAGGCTGGAGTGCAATGACATGATGTCGGCTCACTGCAACCTCTGCCTCCCAGGTTCAAGTGATTCTCCTGCCCAGCCTCCTGAGCAGGTAGGATTACAGGCACCTGCCACCACACCCAGCTAATTTTTTGTATTTTTAGTAGAGATGGGGTTTCACCATGTTGGCCAGGCTGGTCTCGAACTCCTGACCTCAAGTAATCCACCTGCCTTGACCTCCCAAAGTACTGGGATTACAGGCGTGAACCACCGCGCACGGTCGACCCTGTCTCTTTTATTCCAGAAGTATCAGAAATTGAAGGCATCAATCTCTCAGATGGCAGGGGAAGGGATAATTTAAATAAGACATATAGTTTATATAAGATCCGCAGTAAAAAAGTTTGTGGACCAGGCACAGTGGCTCGCGCTTGTAATCCCAGCACTTTGGGAGGCCAAGACGAGCAGATCACTTGACGCCAGGAGTTCAAGACCAGCCTGGCCAACATGGTGAAACCTCATCTCTACTAAAAATACACAAATTAGATTACAGGTGTGTGTGGTGGGATAAGCCTGTAATCCCAGCTACTCGGGAGGCTGAGGCATAAGAATCGCTTGAACCTGGGAGGTGGAGGTTTTAGTGAGCCAAGATCATGCCACTGCACTCCAGCCTGGGTGACACAGCAAGAATCTGTCTGAAAAAATAAAATTTATTGAGGCCCCTATACTTGTGTTTCTCTCACCAGGCCCAGGCAAATTCCCAGCAGATGTGAGGTTTGTTCTCCAGAGAAATTGATCCTGGGGAGGCAGAGCAGGGCATGAAACCAGACTGAAAGCAGAGATTTAAGTGAAAGTCACTGTATTCCTTTCCTATGGCTACTAAAACAAAATACCATAAATTGGCTGGCTTTCAAACAACAGCTATGTATTCCGTCACTGTCCTGGAGGCCAGAAGTCTGAAATCAAGGTGTCAGCAGGGTCACACACCCTGCAAAGGCCTTGGAGAAAATCTGTTCCTTGCCATTTCCAGCCCCTGGTGGCTCCAGGTATTCTTTGGCTTACGTCCACATTATTCCAATCTCTGCTTTCGTCTTCACATTATCTTCTCCTTTGTGAGGGTCTCCATCTAACCATCTCACCTCCCTCTGCCTCTGTCTTATAAAGGTGTGTGTAATAGTGTTTAGGGCCCATCTGGATAATCCAGAATAAAAAATCTTTTTTCTTTTTCTTAAAAATCCTTAATTTAATCATATCTTTTGCTATACAAGGTACTTTTTTGTTGTTGTTTTTTTTTGGTGTTTTTTTTTTTGTTTTTTTTTTTGAGACGGCATCTTGCTCTGTCACCAGGCTGGAATGCAGTGGTGTGATCTTGGCTCACTGCAACCTCCACCTCCCAGGTTCAAGGGATTCTCCTGCCTCAGCTTCCTGAGTAGCTGGGACTACAGGTACCTGCCACCACACTCAGCTAATTTTTTGTATTTTTAGTAGAGATGGGGTTTCACCGTTTGACCAGGATGGTCTCGATCTCCTGACGTCGTGATCCGCTCACCTCAGCCTCCCAAAGTGCTGGGATTACAGGCCTGAACCACTGCACCCAGCCATATGCAAGGTACTTTTAACTCTTTCATCAAATAATGTAATAGTCACAGGTCCTGGGGAATAGGAAGTAAATATATATCTGGAGGTGGGGGCACTCTTTCTGCCTATCAGAGTTACCATACTGAAGAATGAGACTCCTTGTCCTTCCCCGCTGCCAGTGTACTGGCATCCAGAATTTCGCCCACCATACAGAAAACTGGAGTATTCTTCTCTGGCAGGACTGAATAGCTCCAGAGGAAAGCACAAACACTGATACTTGGGTAGCCCCTTGACAAAAAGCCAACACACTGCCTGCTTCCCCACAGTGAAACTCATCATCAGCAGGTCACTGTGAAACACACAGAGCTTCTAACTAGGTTTTTTAGTTCCACACTCTTACATATAAATGAACAGTCACAGTTCACAAGACATCTGAGGAAAACTTCCAATATGGAAAACTGAGACCAGAACAAACAAGAAAAAAAAAAAAAAAAAGACTTGGAGAAACAGAATAAGCAACAGAAAAAGATTGCTTTTTAAATATATATATTTTTGGACAGGAGAAAACATCAGTGCCATGAAATGAAAGGTGCTATTTTTTTCTTTCTTTTTTTTTTTTGAGAGTCTCACTCTGTCGCCCAGGCTGGAGAGCAGTGGCGCGATCTTGGCTCATTGCAACCTCTGCCTCCCAGATTCAAGTGATTCTCCTGCCTCAGCCTCCTGAGTAGTCGGGATTATAGGCGAGCACCACCATGCCTGGCTAATTTTTGTATTTTTAGCAGAGACGGGGTTTTGCCATGTTGGCCAGGCTGCTCTCAAACTCCTTGCCTTGGCTTATCAAAGTGAAAAGGTGCTATTTTTTATAATTCAAAGAACAAGAAAAAAGTCATGGAAATTTAAAGTATGATAACCAATATAAAAACATTCCATTGGAAAAGCTGGAAGCTAAAGTCAGGGAAATCTCTAAGTAGAACAAAAAGACTAAATGAGTGACAATAGGAGTGAAAAGGATAGAAAACTCAAATGTCAGTTGAGAAGATATAATATCAGAAAGGAACAACAGAGAGAGAAATAAGGAGGAAATTACCAAGGAAATAATATGAAAATGCTTTCCAGGCCAGGTACAGAGGCTCAAGCCTGTAGTCCCAGCACTTTGGGAGGCCAAGGCAGGAAGAACTTGAACCCAGGGGTTTGAGACCAGCCTGGGCAACACAGGAAGACCCCATCTCTACAAAAAATAAAAATGAATTAGCCAGGCGTGGTGGCGAGCACCTGTAGTCCCAGCTATTCCGGAGGCTGAGGTGGGAAAATCTCTTGAGCCTGGGAGGTCAAGGGTACAGTGAGCCGTGTTTGTGCCACTGCACTCCAGTCTGTGTGACAGAGCAAGACCCTGTCTCAAAAAAGAAGTTTTCCAAAACTGAAGATTAGTCTCAAAATTTAAAAAAGTGTTCTAAGCATTCAGAAAGATAAAAATAAAGATAGAAATATACCAATCACATCATCAAGTTAAAGAGCGGATCCCAAAAACTTTCTTTTCTTTCTTTTTTTTTTTTTTCTTTTTTGCGACAGAGTCTTGCTCTGTTGCCCAGGCTGGAGTATGCAGTAGCACAATCTTGGCTCTCTACAGCCTCTGCCTCCCGGGTTCAAGCGATTCTCCTGCCTCAGGTTCCTGAGTAGCTGGGATTACAGGCGCCCACCACCACACCCGGCCGATATTTTTTTTTTTTTTTTTTGAGACGGAATCTCGCTCTGTCTCCCAGGCTGGAGTGCAGTGGTGCGATCTCGGCTCACTGTAACCTCCTCCTCCTGTATTCAAGCAATTCTCCTGCGTCAGCCGCCCAAGTAGCTGAGATTACTGGCACCCGCTGCCACACCTGACTAATTTTTTTTTATTTTTAGTAGAGACAGGGTTTCACCATGTTGCTTGCCCAGGATGGTCTTGATCTCCTGCCCTCGTGATCCTCCAGTCTCAGCCTCCCAAAGTGCTGGGATTACAGGCGTGAGCCACCTCGCCCAGGTTTGTTTTTTTTTTTTTTTTGAGACGGAGTCTCGCTCTGTCGCCGAGGCTGGAGTGCATTGGCGTGATCTCGGCTCATTGCAACCTCCGTCTCCCGGGTTCACGCCATTCTTCTGCCTCAGCCTCCCGACTAGTTGGGACTACAGGCGCCCGCCACCATGCCCGGCTAACTTTTTTGTTTTTGTTTTTGTATTTGTATTTTTAGTAGAGACGGGGTTTCATCCTGTTAGCCAGGATGGACTCAATCTCCTGACCTCGTGATCCGCCCACCTCCGCCTCCCAAAGTGCTGGGTTTAGAGGCGTGAGCCACCGCGCCCGGCCCTTTGTTTGTATTTTTTTAGTAGAGATGGGGTTTCACCATGTTGGCCACTCTGGCCGCAACCTCCTGACCTCAGGTGATCTGCCCACCTCGGCCTCCCAAAGTGCTGGGATTACAGGCATGAGCTACTGCACCCAGCCCCTAAAACTTTCAGAGAGAAAGCACAAGTCATATATTAGGTATCAGGAATGAGATGACATCTGTTTTCTCAATGCAATATTGAAGGCTAACGTTAAAAAAAAATGCCTTTAAAATTCTGAAAGAAATTATTTTAACCTAGAATTAAATACCCAGCCAAACTATAAGTCAAATGTGAAAGGTGAATAAAGGCATCTTCAGAAATTCAAGCTCACAATTTATCTTTCTTGTACCTTTTCTCAGTAAGGTTTTGTAGGGGCCAAAGGAAAACTTACCCTCTAGCCTCTGAAGGTTCACTGAAAACTCAACTCACAAAAGGCAGATTGATTGGAGAAAAGGCATACAAACTTAATAATGTGTACAGGGGAGACAGCCGTAGAATGATTATCCTATCCCCAGTGTGGTGCAGAAGCTTATATACCATCTCGAGGTTACAGATAGAATGGGGCTCAGAGCATGGCCAAAAACAGGCTACAGTGGTAAATCAAGTTATAGTGGCAAAACAGATAATGGGAAGGCGAGAAGAGGCCTGGCTAGCAAAGGTGGTCTTGTACTGCAAATGAAACCTCTCAAGCAGCAGCCCTCAAAGAGGATTGATGGTACATGTTTCTTTCAGGGGTTTAAAGGTGTCAGACTCTCACTGAATCTTCTCTGGATTTGGGCAAGGGAAGGCCAAGCTGTATCAATGCAGATTCTTACAGATGCAAATCTTCCCCCACAAAATACAGCTTTACAGAGCTACTATTTTCTGGCTCTCTGACAGCCATCTCAGAATATATCAAATAAATATATTTTGGGGTAAAACATTTTTATTTCCTTCAGTCCCCACTTTGAAACTTAAAAATGATTCAAATATTAAAAGTCAGGTTGATAGCTTTGGAGAGATTTGAGTTGAAGGTTGTTAGATAGAGATAGAGAAAGGAGCTGACAAATTTGGATAAGCAGAAAAGAGCAAATTTAAATGTATCATCCCATTTCTTCATTAATCAGAGTCTTAGTTCTGAGAATAGATCAGTTTGGTTAAACAGCTGTGTCCCATTCTAGGCGGTGCCACTGCAGATGGGCTAGGCCTCTATTTATGATGCAGACAAACAGATCTTTAATAAGAGTCATTTATATGGAAACGGAAGAAGAGCAAAAGTTAATGTCAGGAGTAGTCTATAAATTCATTTTTGCAGAGTCTCTAAAGTATCTTCAGATTGCCAATGCAATCCGACAGATTTTTCTGAATTGTAATTCGAACCAGGTGTTCAGGTGAACTTTCTGAGTATTCTATACATTAGCAAGCACAAATGCTGTTTCTACATAAGTTGCTGTGGTGATTTCTCCTGGAGTATACATCAAGCTATCTAGCTTCAGTATGCAGGGCTTCAATAAAAGCACAATTTTAATTTTTAGTGAGTCTGAGTCAGAAAAATCGCAGGAAAATTTGAAAACATTAGTTTGGAGACTTGTATCTGGGAAAGAATTCAGATTCAGTCCAAATTGTAGGCAAATAATAAAGACTCAAAAACAACGGCCAAGGCTACAATCTAATATCATGTGTACTATATTTTTTTGTGAAACATAATTTTTCTCTTTCCAGTTCCCCATTTCTACTTCTACCAAAGACAAATAATAATAGGATCAATTTATTTGCAAAATACATTTTACTTGTATTATACGTGGCCTGATTATCTGCATAAAGTGCAGCAAGAATAGTGATTGGTCATATAGTATATATAGTATCTTTTAAAGTTGTCTTTGCTGAAATTTTTTTTTTTTTTTTTTTTGAAATGGAATCTCACTCTGTCTGCCAAGCTGGAGTGCGGTGGCACGATCTTGGCTCACTGCAACCTCCGCCTCCCGGATTCAAGCAATTCTCCTACCTCAGCCTCCCTAGTAGCTGGGATTACAGGTGTGCACCACCATGCCCAGCTAATTTTTTGTATTTTTAGTACATATGGGGTTTCACCATGATGGCCAAGCTCGTTTTGAATTCCTGACCTCAAGTGATCCGCCCGCCTCAGCCTCCCAAAGTGCTAGGATTACAGGTATGAGCCACGGCACCTGGCCAGAATTTTTTAATAAGGAATTTTAGATTCGACTTTTAAAAGCCTGAAGGCTAGAAACCCACGTCAAAGATTTATCATCAGATTGTAACACCTATATGAATCTGGTGAATTCTTTTCTTCCCAAGGTCCTCAAAATACCTTGAAATTCCTAGACCTGGGCTGGGTGCGGTGGCCCATGCCCATAATCCCAGCACTTTGGGAGGCTGAGACATGCGAATCACTTGAGGCCAGGAGTTTGAGACCAGCCCGGTCAACACAGCAAAACCCCGTCTCTACTAAAAATACAAAAATTAGCCGGGCATGATGGTGGGCACCTATAATCCCAGCTTGAGAGGCTGAGGCTTGAAAATCACTTGCGCCTGGGAGGCAGAGGTTGCAGTGAGCTGAGAGCATGCCACTATACGCCAGCCTGGGTGATGGAGTGAGACACTGTCTTAAAAAAAAAAAAAAAAAAAGAATGAAAGAAATTCCTAGACCTGTCAGAAAGTGACATTCTTTACTTATCACAAGTCAGAAACCTTGTTAAGGGAAATATGTAGACAAGGTAGCAGGCCAGGCTTTCCAGGAGGCTTTATATCAACTCTGCAAAGTCTACTTCAATTCCTGAAAACAATTGGTCATATTTGAAAATATGCCAGTCCTGTCACAGCCTTAGTAAAATAAGGCTCCAATTGTGTCTCTTTACAAAAGAAAACGGATTCTTATTGAAATTTTTCAAATAACCATATTGCCATAAACTAAGAATCTTCACAAACAGTTTCTGAATTCTGGAGAAATCAGGCAGAGAGAAAAGCAAATATTTTGATTTTGCTCATAGAAGTATAATTTACCCAATTGTTATAAACTATAAATAGCTCAAGGCCAAGTGCAGTGGTTCATGCCTGTAATCCCAGCACTTTGGGAAGCCAAGGCTGGTGAATCACTTGAGCCTAGGAGTTCCAGACCAGCATGAGCAACATGGCAAAACCCCATCTCTACAAAAAATACAAAAATTATCCAGTGGCATGCATCTGTAGTCCCAGCTATTCAGGAGGCTGAGGAGGGAGGACTGATTGAGCCCATGAGCTCAATGCTGAAGTGAGCCATGATTTTGCCACTACACTCCAGCCTGGGTGACTGAGAGAGACTTTGTCTCAAAAACAAACATTAGGCCACACACAGTGGCTCATGCTGTAATCCCAGCACTTTGGGAGGCTGAAGCAGGTGTATCACTTGAGATCAGGAGTTCGAGACCAGCCTGGCCAACATGGTGAAACCCTGTCTCTACTAAAACTAGGAAAATTAGCTGAGTGTGGTGGCACGCGACTGTAATCCCAGCTACTCAGGAGGCTGAGGGGCAAGAATCACTTTAACCTGGGAGGCAGGGGTTGCAGTGAGCCAAGATCACGCCACTCCACTCCAGGCTGGGTAACAGAGACTGTCTTTTTTTTTTTTTTTTTTTTTTTTAACAATCTGATCTCTCTTTCTTTTCCCCACATTTTCCCCTTTTCTATTTGACAAAACCGCCATCGTCATCATGGCCCGTTCTCAACGAGCTGTTGGATACACCTCCCAGACGGGGTGGCGGTTGGGCAGAGGGGCCCCTCACTTCCCAGACAGGGCAGCCTGGCAGAGGCGCCCCCCACCTCCCGGACAGGGCGGCTGGCCGGGCGGGGGCTGCCCCCCACCTCCCTCCCGGGCAGAGACTCTGTCTCAAAAATAATAATAATAATGATAAAGGCTGGGTGCAGTGGCTCATGCCTGTAATCCCAACACTTTGGGAGGCCAAGGTGGGTGGATCACAAGATCAAGAGTTCAAGACAAGCCTGAGCAACATAGCAAGACCCCATCTCTGCAAAATCTTTTAAAAATAGCTAGGCGCCAGGCATGGTGGCATGACCCTGTAGTCCTAGCTACTCGGGAAACTGAGGTGGGAGGATCACTTGAGCCCAGAAGTAGTTCTAGGCTATCATGAGCAATGATCATGACACTGTACCCTAGTCTGGGTGACAGATTGGGATCCTGCCTCTAAAAAACAAAACAAGGAGCCAGGTGCATTGGCTCATACCTGTCATCCCAGCATTTTGGGAGGCCAAGGTCAGAGGATTGTTTGAGCCCAGGAGTTCAAGACCAGTCTGGGCAACATAGTGAGACCACATCTCTATGAATATTGTTTAAATTAGCCAGGCTTTGTGACATTAGCCAGCTAGTCAGGAGGCCAAGTAGTTTTTGCAGTTTAATTAAAAGGTAAGCAAAAATTGGCCAGGCGAGGTGGCTCACGCCTGTAATCCCAGCACTTTGGGAGGCCGAGGCGGGTGGTTCACGAGGTCAGGAGATCGAGATCTGGCTAACACAGTGAAACCCCGTCTCTACTGAAAATACAAAAAAAATTAGCCAGCTGTGGTGGTGGATGCCTGTAGTCTCGGCTACTCTGGAGGCTAAGGCAGGAGAAAGTCATGAACCCAGGTGGCGGAGCTTGCAGTGAGCCGAGATCATGCCACTGCACTTCAGCCTGGGTGACAAAGTGAGACTCCATCTCAAAAATAAATAAATAAAATAAAATAAAATAAAAATACAAACAATTAGCTGGGCGTGGTGGTGGGTGCCTGTAGTCCCAGCTACTCGGGAGGCTGAGGCAGGAGAATGGTGTGAACCCAGGAGACAGAGCTTGCAGTGAGCCGAGATCGCACCACTGCAGTCCAGCCAGGGTGACAGAGCAAGACTCAATCACAAAAAAAAAAAAAAAAAAAAAGTAAGCAAAAATCTTTTACTGTCTCTTAATACTGCACAAAAACCTTGTTTAAAAGAGAAAGCCAAATTCTATCTTTGCATGTGTATTATTAATGCCAAAGCTAATTTTAATAAACTCTTATAAACAAATCCATCCAATTTCAACCAATTTTGACCACACAAGGTAACATTTTTGTAAACCTTTTATAACCTCTTACAATTTTTTCATTCCTTTTTTCCAACTTTTTTTTTTTTTTTTTTTTGAGACGGAGTCTCGCTCTGTCGCCCAGGCTGGAGTGCAGTGGCGGGATCTCGGCTCACTGCAAGCTCCGCCTCCCGGGTTCACGCCATTCTCCTGCCTCAGCCTCCCAAGTAGCTGGGACTACAGGCGCCCGCCACTACGCCCGGCTAATTTTTTGTATTTTTAGTAGAGACGGGGTTTCACCGTTTTAGCCGGGATGGTCTCGATCTCCTGACCTCGTGATCCGCCCGCCTCGGCCTCCCAAAGTGCTGGGATTACAGGCATGAGCCACCGCGCCCGGCCTTTTCCAACTTTTTATACCCATTTAGTTTTATCTATCATCATTCTTCAATTTAAAACAACTTTTTTTTTTTTTTTTTTTGGAGACGGAGTCTCGCTCTGTCACCCAGGCTGGAGTGCAGTGGCATGATCTCAGCTCACTGCAACCTCTGCCTCCTGGATTCAAGCGATTCTCCTGCCTTAGCCTCCTGAGTAGCTGGGACTATAGGCACCCGCCACCATGCCCGGCTAATTTTTGTATTTTTAGTAGAGACGGGGTTTCACCGTGTTAGCCAGGATGGTCTTGATCTCCTGACCTCATGATCCGCCCGCCTCGGCTTCCCAAAGTGCTGGGATTACTTTGCATACAGAACTGTTTCTCTTGTATGTAGTAGTTTTTTGTTTGTTTTTTGTCTTTTTTCTTTTATATCTAGTAGTTTTAATTACACATATTCATTACAATGTTAGCTCTTAGTAACCCTAATTTTTAGTGTGAAACCTAGGAAGTAGGCAATTTTAATTATGTACCAGATGCAGATCCCAGGGCAAAGGACAGATCTGTGAAGATGCTGCCTGGAGGATCCAGCCACTCCAGCATGGCCAGGAGGCACAGCTGGAATAGTGAGGATGGGGCTGGGTGCTGTCCTCGGGCCTCACCAAGGCCACTTGTCTAGACCTGGAAATCTAAAGGCTCAAATTCAAAGACATAAGCTCACAGACAAAACAAGGAAGTATCAAAAAATATCAGAAGCAATAATTTTATGACCTTAAAATATCTAGCAGAGATAACATAAACTTGGTAGACTGATAGACCCAGGCAAAACAATGTCTAAATTAAATTTCGAAGATGTTTCTGTTTGATTTTTACCAATTTTTGAACAGGTTTTATTTACCAAAGATTATTAAAGTCACTTGAACTTGAAAAGCATTTGGGCTTATTTACTTAATTTATGAGTTTTCATTTATTTATAATCTAGTTTGATATCATATAGACAATATATAAACATAGACATGTATACATATAACATAAAGATACAAACAAACACAAATAAAGACTTTATATCTTTATTTTTTTTAATTTTAGCCATGAGACTGGTAAAACTCACTAGTTTTAAAAGGACAGTTGGATTAAAACTCTGCCTTTGTGAATGGAAAAGGTTAAAGTGTATTTTTTTCAATCCTAATGCTTCTGTAATTCGTTTCACATGGCTGAAGCCCTGAGTTTTAGAGAAAACAAAGTGGCAAATTTATATCTCAAAGCACAGAAAGAAAATTTAAGCTTTTTGAAAAAGGAGTTTGGGTGTGTTAGAGAAAGATTAAAAATAAATGCCATTCATAGCCTGCCAGGAATTTAAAAAAAAAAAAAAAGCACTGGACTCAGTGGCTCATGCCTGTAATCTCAGCACTTTGGGAGGCTGAAGTGGGAGGATTATGTGAGGTTGCGAGTTCAAGGCCAGCCTGGCCAACATGGTGAAACCCCATCTCTACTAAAAACACAAAAATTAGCTGGGCGTGGTGGTGGGCGCCTGTAATTCCAGCTACTTGGGAGGCTGAGGCAGGAGAATCGCTTGAACCCAGGAGGCACAAGTTGCAATGAGCCAAGATTGTGCCACTGCACTCCAGTCTGGGTGACAGAGCAAGACTCTGTCTCAAAAAAAAAGAAAAGAAAAGAAAAAAAAAAGGGTGCCAAGGAAACACAAAATCATAAGAATTTACCATAGGATTTTACAAGGAAACATATAGATGAGCCTAGAGGGAATTTAGAAATCTTATTAAAATAACCAGCTAAATCCCAGAAAGTTGTATTTTGGAGACTAACCTAGCTAAACAGTTTTTAATTTAGTCTCTGTTTTCTCACTGCATTGCGAAACTCAGGTCAGCGCCCATTAATGAACAGGGCCAACAAAGCATTTGCAGTCTGGGGGGCCTAATAATTTAAATATGTGAAAGCAGGCACAGCTGGAAAACAGAGCACCCACCTCTTTAAATATTATATATATTTTATTTATTTATTTATTTATTTATTTATTTATTTATTTTAGACAGGGTCTTGCTCTGTTGCCCAGGCTGGAGTACAGTGGTGTGATCTCAGCTTACTGCAACCTCTACCTCCCAGGTTCAAGTGATTCTTGTGCCTCAGCCTCCTGGGTGAGTAGCTAGGGTTACAGGCATGCGCCACAATGCCTGGCTAATTTTTTGTATTTTTAGTAGAGATGGCGTTTTACCATGTTAGCCACACTGGTCTCGAACTCCTGACCTCAGGTGATCCACCTGCCTCAGCCTCCCCAAGTGCTGGGATTACAGGCGTGAGCCACTGCGCCCGGCCTAAAAACCAAGATTTCTAATTTTACATTGAATCCTTGGTCCCCCCAAAAGAGGGAAACACCATGAGACTAGCACCATGTTTCCACAGTGCACCTTGCTGCAAGGACATTCCCCCAAAGCTGGTGGGTAACCAACACCAACCAACCCACCCTGTGATCAGCCCATCCCCCATGGAAGTTTTTTTTGTTGTTCTTTTTTTTTTTTTTTTGAGACAAAGTCTCACTCTGTCACCCAAGCTGGAGTGCAGTGGCGCGATCTCGGCTCACTGCAACCTCCACCTCCCGGGTTCAAGCGATTCTTCTGCCTCAGCCTCCTGAGTAGCTCGGACTACAGATGTGCACCACCATGTCCGGCTAATTTTTGTATTTTTAGTAGAGACGAAGTTTCACTATGTTGGCCAGGCTGGTCTCGAATTCCTGACCTCGTGATCCACCCTCCTTGGCCTCCCAAAGTTCTGGGATTACAGGCGTGAGCCACTGCATCCGGCCTCCCCCTGGAAGTTTTATCCCTTGATGGTGAATGTTCTCATAGCCTCCAAGTGCACTAACCTGTAGTCTCCTGCAGTAACAATTATTTATCACAACTGAAGTCAACCACCTCCAAAACTGCAGCTCTTACCAGTGACTTGCCAGTCATCACAAACACAAAGGTTAAGTTATCTCATAGTACAGAGTAACCCCTGGTACCTCCAAAAGTCAAAGACAGGCCGGGCGCAGTGGCTCACGCCTGTAATCCCAGCACTTTGGGAGGCCGAGGCAGGTGGATCACCTGAAGTCCAGAGTTCGAGACCAGCCTGACCAACAAGGAGAAACCCCATCTCTACTAAAAATACAAAATTAGCCAGGCATGGTGGCGCATGCTTATAATCCCAGCTACTCCAGAGGCTGAGGCAGGAGAATGGCTTGAACCTGGGAGGCGGAGGTTGCTGTGAGCCGAGATCACACCATTGCACTCCAGCCTGGGCAACAAGAGCGAAATTCCATCTCACAAAAAAAAAAAAAAAGTCAAAGACATCAGGTAACTCAATACAAAGCTTTAAACCTGAGAAGAATATGTCCACCATTCTTCAGACTCCATAGGAAGAGAGAAGACCCAAAAAAAGGGGTTAGTGGTGCCTTTTTCTGTGTTCCTTAAAGGGTCTGAGTCACTATAAGTTCCCTCTAAGCCAAATGCAGTGGCCCACGCCTGTAATCCCAATACTTTGGGAGGCCAAGGCAGGCAGATCACTAGAGCCCAGGAGTTTGAGACCAGCCTGGGCAACATGGCAAAACCCCATCTCTACAAAAATACAAAAATTTGCTGAGGGTAGTGGCATATCACGTACCTGTAGTTCCATCTACTTGGGAGGCTCAGGTGGGAGGATCACTTGAGCCCAGAGGTCAAGACTGCAGTGAGCCATAATTACGCCACTGCACTCCAGCCTGGGTGACAGAGTGAGACTCTGTCTCAAAAAATAAATAAAATAAAATAAAAGTCCCCTCTAGATCCTTTCCTGTGTTAATGAAGGGGAAAGAGAAGCAGGGAGAAGTAGAAGTAAACGGGAGAGCAATCCTTAAGAAAGTAAGAGAACACAGATACCAAGCACATAATTTTCTCTCTTTTTTTTTTTTTTTTTTTTTTTTTGTGATGGGGTCTCACTCTGTTGCCTGGGCTGGAGTGCAGTGGCACAATCTCAATTCACTGCAACCTCCCCCTCCCGGGTTCAAGTGATTCTCCTTCTTCAGCCTCCCGAGTAGCTGGGATTACAGGCACCCACCACTATGCGTGGCTAATATTTTTTATTTTTAGTAGAGACAGGGTTTCACTATGTTGGCCAGGCTGATCTCAAACTCCTGACCTCGTGATTCACCCACCTCGGCCTCCCAAAGTGCTGGGATTACAGGTGTGAGCCACCACGCCTGGCCCAAACACATAATTTTCAAAAGGGATTTCAGGGCTGGATGTGGTGGCTCACACCTGTAATCCCAGCACTTTGGGAAGCCAAGGTGGGCAGATCACTTGAGGCCAGGAGTTTGAGACCAGCCTGGCCAACATGGGAAATCCCCATCTCTACTAAAAATACAAAAATTAGCTGGGTGTGGTGGCACGCACCTGTAATCCCAGCTACTCTGGAGGCAGAGGTTTCAATGAGTCAAGATCACACCACTGCACCCCAGCCTGTGCAACAGAGTGAGACTCCATCTCAAACAAACAAATAAATAAAGAGGGGTTTCAAGGCTGGACATGGTGGCTCATACCTGTAATCCCAGCACTTTAGGAGGCCAAAGTGGGAGGATCATTTGAGGCCAGGACAACATAGCAAGGCCTTCTCTACAAAACATTTTTTAAAAAATTAGCCAGGCATAGTGATACTCACCTGTATTCTCAGCTACTTGGGAGGCTGAGGTGGGAGGATCACCTGAGTCTGGGAGTGGTCCTAGGCTACAGTGACCTATAATCATGCCATTTCACTCCAATCTGGGTGACAAAGTGAGACCCTGTTTCAAAAATTAAAAATTAAAATAACTTGTTTGTAGAAGATTCCCATCTCCCCAACGTTGTCCCTTCAGTTTTCAGAATTTTTTTTTTCTTTTTTTTTTTTTTTTTAGACGAAGTCTCGCTCTGTCGCCAGGCTGGAGTGCAGTGGTGCGATCTCGGCACACTACAACCTCTGCCTCCCAGGTTCAAGCAATTCTCCTGCTCAGCCTCCCGAGTAGCTGGGATTACAGGCACGTGCCACCACACCCAGCTAATTTTTGTATTTTTAGTAGAGACGGGGTTTCACCATGTTGGCCAGGATGGTCTCAATCTCCTGACCTCGTGATCCACCCGCCTCAGCCTCCCAAAGTGCTGGGGTTACAGGTGTGAGCCACCATGCCCAGCCAGAAATTTTAATTTTAAAAAGTCATAGGCCTTTTGGAAGTTGTACATTTGTCTAAGCAATAACTAAAATTTGTTTCTTCTTTGGTTGTTGAGGTGTACTAAATTTAAAGAAAATAACATCTACACTTTCCACAGTATAATTTCTGCTTTGTTGTCTGTACTTTGCAGCAGGCTTCACTGCATTTTCAGAAACGTCCTCTTTAAAATTTTCATATTTCATTATGTCAGCCATACTGAATTCCTTTTCAAAATCTGTATGAATCTGTTCCACGGCCTGAGGAGCCTCCATCTCTTTGCAGATGGTCTACGTATGTACTTCATCTGGGCCTGCAGTGAAAAAGTGTTCTAGCAGGAGTACTGCAAAACCAGCCTTAATGATCTTTAGCAAAGTACTCTGTGTCATGTTCACTTTCAGATACTCTGTCTCTCTCAGTACTCAGTTCTTGCAACATGTGTTCCAAGGCCCCACTCAAAGTAATGACCAATACACCGGAGTCATACTTGTCCACCAACTCTTTATTTTTATCAAACATTCATTTTTCTTTCTAATGCAGACTTTTTCATAAAGATTAATCAAGTACACCACTGGTTTAGAAGTAAAAAATAAATATTTAAAAATACAATCTCTTTGTCCCAATCATGATAGAAACAATGATGTTTCTTTTGATCTATACCCAGGATTTGACTGCAAATTATATCATGTTTGGGGCTTGTGATGGTTAATACTGAGTGGCAGCTTGATTGGATTGAGGGATACAAAGTATTAATCCTGGGTATGTCTGTGTGGGCATTGCCAAAAGAGATTAACATTTGAGTCAGTGGGCTGGGGAAGGCAGATCCACCCTTAATCTGGTGGGCACCATCTAATCAGCCCCCAGAGAATATAAAGCAGGCAGAAAAACATGAAGAGGCGAGACGGGCCTAGCCTACCACCCTACATCTTCCTTTTCCTTTTTTTTTTTTTTTTGAGACGGAGTCTCACTCTGTTGCCCAGGCTGGAATACAGTGGCATGACCTCGGCTCACAATCTTTATCTCCTGGGTTCAGGTGATTCTCCTGCCTCAGCCTCCCAAGTAGCTGGGATTACAGGCATGTGCCACCACACCCAGCTAATTTTTGTATTTTTGGTAGAGACAGAGTTTCATTATGTTGGCCAGACTGGTCTCGAACTCCTGACCTCAAGTGATACACCCGCCTCAGCCTCCCAAAGTGCCGGGATTACAGGCGTGAACCACCACACCCAGCCCACCCTACATCTTTCTCCCGTGCTGGATGCTTCCTGCCCTCAAACATCAGACTCCAAGTTCTTCAGTTTAGGGACTCAGACTGGTTTTCCTTGCTCCTCAGCTTGCAGACAGCCTATTGTGGGACCTTGTGATTGTGTAAGTTAATACTTAATAAACTACTATATATATATACTATTAGTTCTATCCCTCTAAGAGAACCCTGACTAATATAGGGTCTTTTGTTTCTTTGAAGACAGGGTCTAATTCTGATTGCCCAGGCTGGAGTGCAATGGTGCAATCTCGACTCAGTTCCTCGAGTTCCCAGGCTCAGGTGATTCTCCCATCTCAGCTCCCCAAGTAGCTGGGACTACAAGTGTGTGCCCCGACACCTGGCTAATTTTTTGTATTTCTTTTTTCAGTAGAGGCAGAGTTGCGCTATGTTGCCTAGGTTGGTCTCAAACTCCTGGACTCAAGCAATCCGCCCGCCTCCGCCACTCAGAGTGCTGGAATTACAACTGTAAGCCACCGTGCCTGGCCTCAGGTTTTAATTTTTTATCTCCTTCACTAGTTTTCACTAAACTAGAAAAAGGCCACCTTTTCTAGTTTATCTTTAATGGGCCCAATTATTCCCTCATATTTAAGCCCTTCATGTATTAGTTTTTGTTGTTTTTTTTTTTGAGACAGAGTCTCACTCTGTTGCCCAGGCTGGAGTGCAGTGGCATGATCTCGGCTCACTGCAACCTCCACCTCCCAGGTTCAAGTGATTCTCCCAACTCAGCCTCCCGAGTAGCTGGTATTAAAGGCTCCTGCCACCACGCCCGGCTAATTTTTGTGTTTTTAGTAGAAACGGGGTTTCATCATGTTGGCCAGGCTGGTCTCAAACTCCTGACCTCAGGTAACCCACCTGCCTCAGCCTCCCAAAGTGCTGGGATTACAGGCGTGAGCCACCACGCCCGGCCTCATGTATTACTTCTATATCTCAAACAGGATCTATACTTTCTTTAACATGCATGATATCATTATCTTTGGAAGCAAGTGTTAGAGGGAAGATTCCATCACAGGCACTGATTTGAGATAAAAAAGCGTCTCCACGGCCGAAATCAACTCCTCTCACAAAGCCAGCAATATTCACTACATCTAGAAAGGCAGAAATTTTGCGTGCTAGTTTGTGGTCCTGACAAAGAAAGTCAAATCTTTCATCTGGCACAGGTACTCTCCTCTAGTTAGAATCAACAGTTTAGAATAGGAAGTTTACTGCTGAAGTCTGACTACTGGTTAATACAGTGAAGATGGCAGATTTCCAAACATTTGGCAATCCAGCAACACTAATTTTCAGTGAGATTCCAAATCTTCCAATAATTGGGAGTGGTTTAATTCCATCACCTCCCTTTTTGGGGGTCATCATCCTTGGGGTGGGCAATGATATGGGGTATCAGTGTCAGCGAGGGACAGGTCCTGCTGGCAGTCAGAGGTAGACAGGAAGGAAGAGAGAGCAGGCCTGGCCCCTCTGCTAAGTGGCATGCTGAGCAGTAGTCTATTTTAGGTCAATTTTTGTTCTTTAATTTTTTTCAAGATAATTTCTTTTCTTTACTTTTCTTTTTTTTGAAACAGAGTCTTGCTCTGTTGCCCAGGCTGGAGTAAGTGGTGCAAACTTGGCTCACTGCAACCTCCAGGTCCTGGGTTCAAGCGATTCTCCTGCCTCAGCCTCTCTAGTAGTTGGGACTACAGGCATGCGCCACCACGCCCAGCTAATTTTTGTATTTTTAGTAGAGATGGGGTTTTACCATGTTGGCCAGGCTGGTCTCAAACTCCTGACCTCAGGTGATCCGCCCATCTTCGCCTCCCAAAGTGTGGGATTACAGGCGTGAGCCACCGAGCCCAGCCAAGAGAATTCCTAAGACTAGCCATGACATGATTATGTGTCTTTCTTTTAATTTACTCTCATAAATACAAATAAGGCAATTATTTAGAATGAGAAATCTCTATAATCTTTTTTTTTTAATTGAGGGATCTTTCTGATTTCAGGGATCCATTTTTTGGCCACTGATTAGAATTGCCAATGATGCATTTATTCCAATAGTGACACAATCCAATAGTCTCTTCATGGAAAAACCATGATGTAATTTTCCAGGTTTAGAAAAAGAGGTGTTTCCTAGAGAGCAGTATAAAAGGCAATCCTAAAGATTTCCACCCAAAAATTCACTCCCAGGAATAGGCTGAGATAACAAAGACTCTTGTTGCCACAGACAGTTAAGAATGGTGTTTCTGCATACAGTTCCTTCGGTAACCCACAAATTTGTGGGGGGCGGGGAGCTGGCAGTCACAGACTCATTAATCTGTGACACTCAGTAGGCCCTCCTGGGATTGGATCTTCTCTGGATTAATTTGGCAACAGGGGTTGAAACAAAAAAAATCCCTTATGTGCCAGCCGTGGTGGCTCACGCCTGTAATCCCAGCCCTTTGGGAGGCCGAGGTGGGTGGATCACTTGAGGCCAGGAATTCAAGACCAGCCTGGCCAAAATGGTGAAACCCCATCCCTAGTAAAAACACAAAAATGAGCCAGGTGTGGTCGCACGCACCTGTACTCCCAGCTACTTGGGAGGCTGAGGTGGGAGAATCACCTGAACCCAGGAGGCAGAGGTTGTAGTGAGCCAAGATCAAGCCATCGCACTCCAGCCTGGGCGACTCTGTTTCAACAACAACAACAACAACAACAACAACAAATTCCCTTATGGATGGAACTTATTATTAAGACAAACTCTACTGAGAGCTTGACACATTCAGAACAAAAAGTTTGTTGCTTAAAATCTTACATATCTTGGGTTCCCAGCCATTTTCAGACTGGCGACCTGACATGGCCTGAAAATCACAGCCCCTCAGATGGCAGAAACTAAGAGAAAGTGCTCCCACTCGGTCACACATCAAGCTCTCAAGGACATAAAACAAGATGAGAGGGGAACTTCCCTGGGCTTATATTTTGGGGACCCACAGCAAAATTTATATGCCAGTCTGATCAGAACCACAAAACTGACCAGTCTGCAGGGTCAGCTTGAATAATGGGCTTCTGTGGTACCTCTCTTTATGACAGAGCAACACAGAAAGACAAAGACAAAGGAAAAAACTATTTCTTGGAGGAAAGAGATCAAACAATATGAATATTCATACCAAAAAGTACACCAGAATGGCTATACTCAAGATTTAGTCACACAAATTCTTTTCTCCCATTAGACTTTGCAGAGGAAAAAGGGACAAACAGTGATTTTTACCATCTGCCTGACAGAATTCCACAGAAAGAGAGGCTGCAAGCCTGACCGAGAAATTCTTAGCCTTCTTCTGGCTTGTCATGTACTGAGTTCCCTTCACTGTGGCTTCCAGAAGAGTGGAGCTTTGGTATTCTGTTCACAGTGCCAAAAGTGTAGGAGCCAATGGGAAACTTCCCCCTTGCTCACTGAAGTTTCACTGAAAAACCAACTCACAATACTTACCTGGCAGGGGAGATATCATGATCACAAAGGGGATTTTTCCAGGGCGAGGCTTCTTGTTTGCACTCCAGATGTGCTGACTCCTGCAATTTCCCCAAATGTGGGAAACTCAAGTAAACAATTTGTGGCAGTGGGGAACTGCATTTGCACTCTTCCCTGATGTTTTTCATTCCAAAAAGCAAGTCACTTGTTTTTGCAAATATATAATACATTTGTTTGTTTGTTTGTTTGTTTGAGATGGAGTCTCACTCTGTTGCCCAGGCTGGAGTGCAGTGGCACGATCTCAGCTCACTGCAACCTCCGCCTCCTGGGTTCAAGCGATTCCCCTGCCTCAGCCCAAGTAGCTGGGATTACATGCGCACGCCACCACACCCGGCTAATTTTTGTATTTTTAGTAGAGACGGGGTTTCACCATGTTGGCCAGGCTGATCTCGAACTCCTGACCTCAGGTGATCCGCCTGCCTCAGCCTCCCAAAGTGCTGGGATTACAGGCATGAACCACCGCACCTGGCCATAATTTTTAAGAAAAAATATATAAAAAGAAGAAAAAGAAAAATCATCTCACGAAAGGCAGACTAATTGGGGGAAAGCATACAAATTTATTAATGTGCACATGGGGGAAAACCACAGAATGATTACCCCACCTCCAATGTGGTGCAGAAGCTTATATACCATCTTAAGGTTACAGAAAGAATGGTGTCTTCGAGCATGGCCAAAAACGGACTATGGTGGTAAATCAGGTTATAGTGGCAAAACAGGTTATGGGAGGGAGAGAAGATGAAGCCTGGCTAGCAAGAGTGGTCTTGTTCTGCAAATGAAATCTCACAGGTAGCAGCCCTCAAAGAGGAATGATGGTAAATGTTTCCTTCAGACCTTTAAAGATATCAAACTCACAGTTAATCGTCTCTGGATCTGGACAAGGGAAGAGGTGGCTGAATCGATACAGATTCTCTACAGATGCAAATTTCCCCAACAAAAGACAGCTTTGCAGAGCTACTTCTATTTTCTGGCTCTCTGACAGCCATCTCAACATATGTTAAATAAATATATTTTGGGGTAAAATATTTTTATTTGTTTCAGTGTTCTCCACCAAAAAGAATTAAGCCAAGATAGAGGAAAATATGAAGGCCAGGAAATGAGATTCTACCCATGAGATGGGTGAAGATCATCGCTACAATGTGGCAAAGGGAAATTCCAGGATATCAACAATGTAGCAGGCCCAGTTCTGAGGCCTCAGCAGCCAGTCCCAACTAAAAGGCATAAAGGTAGGCCCCAGAGGGATGTCACCAAGGAGAAACAACGGAATCAATAGATTATCTAGGCAGCCACTCCAAATCTATTCTAGAATCTTCGAGTTCTGGTGGGCTGCCTGTAAAAAGGAAACGAAAAGAAAGAAAAGAAAAAAAAAAGATTATCTAAGGATTCTAGGAAGATGGCAGAGTGGGAAGCACTGGGAATCTGTCTCTCCACCTACACAATAATTGCACTGGCAGAATCTGTCTGGTGTGAACTGTTTTGAAACTCTAGAGTCTATTGAATGCTTGCAAATTCCAGGGCAGGGCTTGGACTGTAAATTGCAGCTACTTTCAGTCAATTTCAGCTCTCTTAGCACAGTAAATTTTTTCAGCCCTTAGCCACCCATTCCTCACACCTCAGCTGCAGGCAGCTGTGCCTGTGTTCCTGGAACAGCTTGCCACAGTTTGCAGAGCCAGGTAGACAAAAAAGGATCTTACTTTCCAAATATTGGTTATCTATGCTCTCATAATTGATTGCTGCTTCTGGTCACAGAACTACAGAAAAAGAGTTGGGTGCCCTTGTTTTTTTACTTCCTTCCCACTCCCCTTTAAATCCTTTAAAGCCAGCACCCTTTCCTCTTGCCACACTTCATTTTTCTCTTTTTCCCCTTTTGGAACCCAGTCATTAAAGACTTGGACATTCAAAAACAACTACATATGTGGGGAAAAATTAGAAAATGACCATGCATGCACAGAGAAAATCTCAGAAAAGAGCTGAGAAGGAAGACCCTAAGTTCACATCTCAGGCCAATCCTCAGAACAGACACAGCCTACAATAATTAAAAAATTAAAAAGTTGGCCAGGAGCGGTGGCTTACGCCTGTAATCCCAGCACTCTGGGAGGCCGAGGCGGGCAGATCACAAGGTCAGGAGATCAAGACCATCCTGGCTAACACAGCGAAACCCCGTCTCTACTGAAAAAAAAAAAAAAAAAGCAGGCTGGGTGTGGTGGCTCACGCCTGTAATCTCAGAACTTTGGGAGGCTGAGGTAGGTGGATCACGAGGTCAGGAGTTCAAGATCAGCCTGGCCAAGGTGGTGAAACCCCATCTGTACTAAAAATACAAAAAAAATTAGCGTGGCGTGGTGGTGGGCACCTGTAATCCTAGCTACTCGGGAGGCTGACTCAGAGAATTGCTTGAACCCGGGAGGCGGAGGTTGCAGTGAGCCAAGATCACACCACTGCACTCCAGCCTGGGTGACAGAGCGAGACTCCATCTCAAAAATAAAATAAAATGAAACAAAAAAGCGATCAACAAAAATAATATCTAAAAACAGCAAACTCTCAGGGAGGGGACAGAATCTAATTTCCAGAGTTACCACATTATTAGATTCAAATGTCTAGTTTTCAGTGAAAAATCAGAAAATATACAAAAAAGGAAGGGCCCAAAGGAAAAACATAAATCAATAGGAGCTGTCCCAGAAAAAGACGTGATGACAGATAAACTAGACAAAGACTTTAAATAAACTATCATTAAGATACTCAAAGAACTAAAGGAAGATATGGACAAAGTGAAGAAAATGAGGCATAAACTAAATGGAAATATCAATGAAGAGATGGAAAATTTTAAAAGAAACCAAAAAGAAGTTCTGGAGCTAAAATTACAATAACTGAAGTAAAAATTTAACTAAAAGGCAGTTTGAACAGGCAGAAAAAAGAATTAGGGAACTTGAATAAAAGACAAAGGAAATTATCAG
This sequence comes from Homo sapiens, assembly GCF_000001405.40. Taxonomy (NCBI): domain Eukaryota; kingdom Metazoa; phylum Chordata; class Mammalia; order Primates; family Hominidae; genus Homo; species Homo sapiens. Next base: position 55,877,673 of record NC_000012.12, read on the forward strand.
GTCTGAGGAACAGAAAAGAAAATTATTGAAGAAAAGTGAACAGAGCCTAAGGAACCTGTGGGACACCATCAAGCAGACCAATATATACATTGTGGGAATCCCAGAAGGAGAAAAGAAAGTGAAAGGGACAGAGAATATTTAAAAAAACAATAGCTGAAATCTTTCCAAATTTGATTTAAAAAACATGAATTTGAACACCCAAGAAGCTCAAAAACTCTAAGTAAGATGAACTTGAAGAGATCTACATGACAAATATTATAATCAAACTGTCCAAAGACAAAGAGAGAAGCCAAAAGTAATAAGAGAGAAGTGACTCATGACATACAAGGGATCTTCAGTAAGATCATGAACAGATTTCTCATCAGAAACTTTAGAGGCCAGAAGGTAGTTGCCAGATATATTCAAAGGAAAAAAAAAGTTCAACCAATAATTCTATATCCAGCAAAACTATCCTTCAAAAGTGAGGGAAAAATTAAGATATTCTCAAATAACAAAGCTGGAAAAGTGAGGAATAAATTAAAATATTCTCAAATAACAAAGCTGAGGCTGGGCATGGTGGCTCACACCTGTAATCCCAGCACTTTGGGAGGCCGAGGAGGGCGGATCACGAGGTCAGGAGCTCGAGACCATCCTGGCCAACATGGTGAAACCCCATCTCTACTTTTACAAGTAGAAGCCCTGTCTCTACTTTTTGTATTTTGTAAAAATACAAAAAAATATTAGCTGGGCGTGGTGGTGGGCGCCTGTAGTCCCAGCTACTCGGGAGGCTGAGGCAGGAGAATGGCATGAACCCGGGAGGCGGAGCTTGCAGTGAGCCAAGATCGCGCCACTGCACTCCAGCTTGGGCGACAGAGCAAGACTCCGTCTCGGAAAAAAAAAAAAACAAAGCTGAGAGAGTTCATTACCATTAGACCTGCCCTGCAAGAAATGTCCAAGGGAGTCCTACAGGGTGAAATAAAAGAACACTAGACAGTCACTTGAAGCTGTATGAAGAAACAAAGATCTCAATAAAAGTAAATACATGGGGCCGGGCGCGGTGGCTCACGCTTGTAATCCCAGCACTTTGGGAGGCCAAGGCGGGCAGATCACGAGGTCAGGAAATCGAGACCACGGTGAAACCCCGTCTCTACTAAAAATACAAAAAATTAGCCGGGCGTGGTGGGGAGCGACTGTAGTCCCAGCTACTCAGAGAGGCTGAGGCAGGAGAATGACGTGAACCCAGGAGGCGGAGCTTGCAGTGAGCCGCGATTGCGCCACTGCACTCCAGCCTGGGCGACAGAGCAAGACTCCGTCTCAATAAAAAAAAAAAAAAAAAAAAAAAAGGAAATACATGGGGACAGGCACAGTGGCTCATGCCTGTAATCCCAGCACTTTGGGAGGCCAAGGTGGGTGAATCACTTGAGGTCAGGAGTTCGAGACCAGCCCGGCCAACATGACAAAACCCCGCCTCTACTAAAAATACAAAATTTAGCTGGGCATGGTGGCATGCACCTGTAATCCCAGCTACTTGGGAGGCTGAGGCAGGAGAATCACTTGAACCTGGGAGGTGGAGTTTGCAATGAGCCGAGACTGCGCCACTACACTGGAGCCTGGGCAACAGAGTGAGACTCTGTCTCAAAAAAAAAAAAAGTAAAATACATGGGCAATTATAAAAGATAGCATTGTAGCAATGGTTTGTAACTACTTTTTGCTTAATACACGATTTAAAAGACAAACACATTTTTAAAAAACAACTATTAGTCTAAAAGATAGTATTATTGTAACTTTAGTTTGTAAATCCACATTTTGTTTTCTACATCATTTCAGAGAGTAATGCATTTTAAAGAATTATTAATTTATGTTGTGGGACATATAATGTATAAAGATGTAATTCTGGCCGGGCATGATGGCTCATGCCTGTAATCCCAGCATTTTGGGAGGCCAAGGAGGGTGGATCACTTGAGCCCAGGAGTTCAAGACCAGCCTGGGCAACATAGTGAAACCTCGTCTCTACTAAAAATACAAAAATTAGGCCAGGCATGGTGGCTCACGCCTGTAATCCCAGCACTTTGGGAGGCCAAGGTGGGCGAATCACTCGATGTCAGGAGTTCGAGACCGCCTTTGCCAACATGGTGAAGCCCTGTCTCTAATAAAAAAATACAAAAAAAATTAGCTGGGCATGGTGGCGAGCACCTGTAATCCCAGCTACTCAGGAGGCTGAGGCAGGAGAATCGCTTGAACCCAGGACCCAGAGGTTGCAGTGAGCCGAGATCCTGCCACTGCAGCCTAGGCAACAGAGTGAGACTCTGTCTCAAAAACAAAACAACAACAAAAAAACAAAAATTAGGCCAGGTGCAGTGGCTCACGCTTGTAATCTCAGCATTTTGGGAGGCCGAGGCAGGCGGATCACCTGAGGTCAGGAGTTTGAGACCAGCCTGACCAACATGACAAAACACCGTCTCTACTAAAAATACAAAAATTAGCTGAGCGTGGTGGCACGTGCCTGTAATCCCAGCTATTCAGTTGGCTAAGGCACGAGACTCGCTTGAATCGGGAGGCGGAGGTTCCAGTGAGCCGAGATTGTGCCACTGCACTCTAGCTTGGGCAACAGAGTGAGAGTAGGTCTCCAAAAAAAAAAAACAAAAAAAAAAATTAGCTGGCTGTGGTGGCGGGCGCCTATAATCCCAGCCACTCAGGAGGCTGAGGGAGAAGAATCACTTGAACCTGGGAGGTGGAGGCTGCAGTGTGTGGAGATTGTGCCACTGCACTCCAGCCTGGGTGACAGAGGGAGATTGGGTCTCCAAAAAAAAAAAAAGTAAAAAAAAAAAAAAAGATGTAATTCTGTGACATCAACAACTGAAAGGGGTGGGGATAGAGCTATAAAGGAGCAGAGTTGCCAGGCACAGTGGCTCACGCCTTTAATCCCAGCACTTTGGGAGGCTGAGGCAAGAGGATTGCTTGAGCTCAGGAGTTCAAGACCATCTTGGGCAACATTGCATGACCTCATTGCTGGGCGCAGTGGTTTATGTCTGTAATCCCAGCACTTTGGGAGGCTGAGGCAGGCAGATCACAAGGTCAGGAGTTCAAGGACGGCCTGACCAATATGGTGAAACCCCGTCTGTACTAAAAATACAAAAATTAGCTGGGCGTGGTGGCCTATGCCTGTAGTCCCTGCTACTCAGGAGGCTGAGATAGGAGAATCGCTATAACCCGGGAGGCAGAGGTTGCAGTGAGCCGAGATTGTACCACTGCACTCCAGCCTGGGTGACAGAGTGAGACTCCGTCAAAAAACAAAAAACTTTAGAATGCTAAATGTCATCCCCATGGAAACCACAAAAAAATAGCTATAGAATGTACATGAAAGGAAAGGAGAAAGGAACTTAAACATTTCACTACCAAGAAACCAACCAAACACAATTCTAAATAGAAAACAATACTGCCCAGTCTGGGCCTAATTAGGAGAAAGAAACCACACAGTAATTTGAACAAAAAAAGTTTAATATACCAAAGGGCAGAAAAGAAACTGTGATGCCACACCCTCAGGACTTGCTGGAAGTCTGCCCTGTAATGTGTCAGAGAAAACTATTCATGAGAAGATGCCTCACCTTTTGCTACAAAACCATCCAAGAAGGGGAATGCCATGGAAACTGCTGAGCTCTGGGCACTGCTTGCCACCATGCACTGCAGGAGCCAGGCACTGGAGAAGCCTTGCAAAATGCCGGAGCACATCAGAACCAGGAAACAAAAGACCTTCCTCCTGTAATGTCTCTGCAGTGCTCTCTTCTGATAAAGCTTCAGTGCCTACTGGCAAAGGAAAACTACTCAAAGCATCCCCATTCATTTCTTTTTCTTTTTCTTTTTTTTTTTTTTTGAGACGGAGTCTCGCCCTGCCACCCAGGCTGGAGTGCAATGGTGTGATCTCGGCTCACTGCAATCTCTGCCTCCCAGCTTCAAGCGATTCTCCTGCCTCATCCTCCTGAGTAGCTGAGATTACAGGCGCACGCCACCATGCCCGGCTACTTTTTGGATCTTTAGTAGAGATGGGGTTTCATCATGTTGGCTAGGCTGGTCTTGAACTCCTGACCTCGTGATCCACTCACCTTGGCCTCCTGAAGTGCTGGGATTACAGGCTTGAGCCACTGCTCCCTGCCATACCCCCATTCATTTTTACAGAGCAGGCCAAAAGGGTGAATTTGGAGCTAAGAGACAAAAAAAAATCAATAACCATCTCGGGGTTGACCTCTGTTGATTATCTTTTCCCTTGATAATTAGTCATATTTTCCTGCTTTATGTGTGTGTTGAAGACTTTTGGACTATGTCCTAGACATTGTGAATGTTATGTTATACAGACTCTGTTTGTTATATTCTTCTTAAGATTGTTGATGTTTCTTTCTTTTTATTTATTTATTTATTTATTTATTTATTTATTTATTTATTTATTGAGATGGAGTCTCACTCTGTTGCCAGGCTGGAGTGCAGTGGCACGATCTCAGCTCACTGAAATCTCCACCTCCCAGGTTCAAGTGATTCTCCTGCCTCAGCCTACCGACTAGCTGGGATTACAGGCGCATGCCACCACACCCAGCTAATTTTTTTGTATTTTTAGTAGAGACAGAGTTTCACCATGTTGGCCAGGATGGTCTCAATCTCCTGACCTCATGATCTACCCACCTTGGCCTCCCAAAGTGCTGTGATTACAGGGGTGAGCCACCACACCTGGCCAGAGTGTTGATGTTTCTGTTTGTGTAAAAAATAGGTTCTCTCTCACCTATGGTGGTGGGTGGTAGCTCGGATCTCAGGGTAAAATTTTAAGGCTGAAATTATTTTAGCCTTAACTGCCAGCTTCTCTCAGATCAGCCAGAGACTTAGTATTTATAAGCAGATTTGGGGGCCCCCATTTCCTGGTTTTCTTCTTTCTGGCATTGCCTCCTCACTTTCCCATGACTGTGTGTGCCCTGAGCTCTGAACTCTGGTTCTTCAGGCCAGACAGATGGTGGGTTTTTCATCAAAGTTTTAGCTGTCTCATTTCACACCATGATGTGGTATGCCCTTAGTCTAACAACATACAAATGGGAAACTCACCCTGGACCAAGTCCTTCATCCAACTTTCAACTCTCCTCCTAAATATGCCTGCTTTGGCTAACTCTCCAGAGCCTTCAGGTCGTTGTTTTGTTTTGTGTCCTCAGTTTATGTTGTTATCTGCAGAAAGGTAGGGCTGTTAGAAATTTCACTATTCTGGAAGAAGAAACCACTATACCTTTGTTGTTTTTATTAGTAAAGAAATTGCCTATTAAGAAGTAAGTTATAAACATCAATATATAGTGGGTCATAACAGAGCTAGGCAAAGCTATCAATTAAGGAAATAGAACAGTCCCCAGGCTAGAACAAGATGAAAAAGAAAAACTAAGCCAACCAAAGTAGTTTTGTAAGCCATGGAAGCATCAAAAAGCAGAGCCACAGACAGGCCAGGCACGTTGGCTCACACCTGTAATCCCAGCACTTTGGGAGGCCAAGGCAGGCAGATCACCTGAGGTGAGGAGTTCGAGACCAGCCTGGCCGACATGGCGAAACCCCATCTCTACTAAAAGTACAAAAATTAGCCGGAAGTGGTGGCGGGTAGCTGTAATCCCAGCTACTCAGGAGGCTGAGGCCGGAGAATCGCTTGAACCTGGGAAGCGGAGGTTGCAGTGAGCCGAGATTGCGCCGCTGCACTACAGCCTGGGCGACAAGAGCAAGACTCCGTCTCAAAAAAAAAAAAACAGGCCAGGTGTGGTGGCTCACGCCTGTAATCCCAACACTTTGGGAGACCAAGGCAGGTGGATCACCTGAGGTCAAGGGTTCGAGGCCAACCTGACCAACATGGCGAAACCCTGTCTCTACTAAAAATACAAAAATTAGCTGGGCATGGTGGCGGGCGCCTGTAACCCCAGCTACTTGAGAGGCTGAGACATGAGAATAGCTTGAACCCAGGAGGCAGAGGTTGCAATGAACCAAGATCATGCCACTGCACTCCAGCCTGGGCAACAGAGTGAGACTCTGTCTCAAAAAAAAAAGAAGCAAACACTGGTAGTGACCGTTCAAGGATGGTATTTGGGAGAATAAATCTTGGCAATGGACTTGAGTATTCAGGACACTTGACTAGGCCATCCCAACTGTGGAAGTAAATGCATCACACAATGGCAGCCTGATGTCTTCAATCTTTCTAGCGGTATAACTCACTCCCTGTATTAGTCCATTTTGCATTGCTATAACGGAATACCTAAGACTGGGTAATTTACAAAGAAAGGAGGTTAATTTGACTCACGGCCCTGCAGGCAGTACAAATATGGCACCAGTGAGGTCTTCCGAAGCTTTTACTCATGGCAGAAGGTGACGGGAGCAGTCGTGTCACATGGCGAGAGAGGAAGCAAGAGAGATTCCAGGCTCTTTTAAATAACCGGCTTTTGTGTGAGCTAATAGAGTGAGAACTCATTCATTACCATGGGGAGGGCACCAAGCCATTCATGAGGGATCTGCCCGCATGACCCAAACACCCACCTCCAGCCTCCAACATTGAAGGTCACATTTCAACATGAGATTTGGAGGGGACACACATCTAAACCAGGTCACTCCCCTAGTCCCAATTTCCATGCTGTGATAAGTTGAAAAATGTTCCCTGAAAAAAGATCTTAACTTCCTAATCCCTACAACCTGTAAACAATGCCTTATATGGCAAAAAAAAAAAAAAAAAAAAAGGTTGGGGGGCGGGGGGTGTCTTTGCAGATGTGATTAAGTTCAGGATCTTGAGATTATATTACTCTAGATTATGTGGCTGGGCCCCAAATACAATCACCTGTATCCTCATGAGAGAGAGAGAGATTTCACACACAAAGAGAGAAGACAATGTGAAGGAAGATAAAGGCAGGGATTGGAGTGATGCTGTCACAAACCAAGAAATGCTGGCAACTACCAGAAGCTGGAAAAGGCAAGGATTAGATTCTCCCCTATAGCCCCTGGGGAGGGAGAGTGCAGCCTTGTCAACACCTTGATTTTTCTTTCCTTTTTTTTTTTTCTGAGATAGAGTTTCACTCTTGTTGCCCAGGCTGGAGTGCAATGGTGCAAACTTGGCTCACTGCAACCTGTACCTCCTGGATTCAAATGATTCTCCTGCCTCAGCCTCCCAAGTAACTGGGATTACAGGCATGCACCACACACCCAGCTAATTTTGTATTTTTAGTAGAGATGGGATTTCACCACGTTGGTCAGGCTGGTCTCGAACTCCTGACCTCAGGTGATCCACCGGCCTCCCAAAGTGCTGGGATTACAGGTGTGAGCCACCGCACCTGGCTTTTTTTTCTTTTTCTGAGACAGGGTCTCGCTCTGCCACCCAGGCTGGAGTGCTGTGGCACAGTCATAGCTCACTGCAGCCTCCACCCCCTGGGCTCAATCGATCCTCCTAACTCACCCTCCCTAGTACTAGTAGCTCCCTAGTTGCTGGGACTACAGGCATGCACCACCATGCCTGGCCGACACCTTTGCTTTGATCCAGTGATACTGACTTTGGACTTCTAGCCTCTAGTACTTTGAGAGAATACATTTCTGCTATTTTAAGCCACCAAGTTGTGGTAATTTGTTATAGCAGTCACAGGAAACTAATATGCATACTCACCAAGTAACCTTCTGAATATAATTTGGTGAACCAAGGAGCAATGTTTGTGGGCAGTGAGAGTGCTGGTTGTGCTGACTCAAGTGTTCTATTCCTCATGGTAGGTTTGGTTTGTATAAAATGATAAACTGACATTCTAATTTATATGTTCTAGTTTATAAATCAGCCTTGTAAGCTTGACTAATATGGGTCTATCCTCAAGAATTGGATCTACTGTCTGTGCTGACAAAACCAGATGTCTGTAGGGATATTGGCAAGATCCAGACCATGGTCAACACATCAGGAAAAGAAATACTATTTTGTTGAGGTATCTTGAGAAGTACATACCTGGTTTCTCCTCATTTTCCATGATCTTACCATCAGTTCTCTATTTCAAAACTTCATCAATAATAACTAACTTTAGGCTGGGCATGATGGCTCATGCCTGTAACTCCAACACTTTGGGAAGCCCAGGCAGGAGGACCACCTGAAGCCAGAAGTTCACAACCAGCCTGGGCAATATAGCAAGACCCTGTCTCTACAAATAAAATTTAAAAATCAGCCCAGGCATTGTGGTGCATGCCTGTAGTCCTAGCTACTTGGGTGGCTGAGGTGAGAGGATTGCTTGAGCACAGTAGGTGGAAGTTGCAGTGAGCTGAGATCACGCCACGGCACTCCAGCCCAGGAGACAGAGGGAGACTCTGTCTCAAAAAGAAAAAAAAAAAAGAACTGAGATTTGAACCCGGTATTCTGAGAGCAAACCCTGGGAACTAGATTTGTTCAAAAAACAAACAGCTATATTATGTTTCATTATACACTAGGTACCAAGAATCATGGATTTAGAAATGGATAAGACTAGTCATTTCTACAGCCATGAGGAGCTCCTAACCTAGTAGGAATAAATAGAAATAATTCGCTGAATTTGCCTTTGTATTTTAGTGTTTGAGGATTGTTACAGCCTGCACTTTATTATCTGAAACACTATTGTTAGATAAGGCATTGTTTTTACAACCCATTTAAAACAAGCTTGTCACTCAAGGAGAGGAACTCCAGGCAGAAGGAATTCATATCAGGTTGGGCACTGTGGCTCACACCTGTAATCCCAGCACTTTGGGAGGCCAAGGCAGGTGGATCGCCTGAGGTAAGGAGTTCAAAACCAGCCTGGCTAACATGGTGAAACCCCATTTCTACTAAAAATGCAAAAAATTATCCGGGCATGGTGGCGCCTGCCTGTAATCCCAGCTACTCGGGAGGCTGAGGCAGGAGAATCTCTTGAACCCAGGAGGCAGAGGTTGCAGTGAGCTAAGTTCACGCCATTGCATTCCAGTTTGGGCAACAAGAGCGAAACTCCATCTCAAAACAACAACGACAACAACAACAAAATTAATCAGGCCTGGTGGTGCGTGCCTGTAATCCCAGCTACTTGGGAGGCTGAGGCAGGAGGAGGAGGAGGTTGCAGTGAGCTGAGATCACGCCACTGCGCTCTACCCTAGGCGACAAGAGCAAGATCCATCTCAAAAAAAAAATTATCCTTTTACAACATAGTTCTTTATTTTTTTTTCTAATCTATCTTCAGATAGAATAGTGGGTTTTGGGGTTTTTTTTGGTGGCTATATGGCATTTTATTGTATATCATATTATATTTCACCAGTGGTCTGTTTGGGGACATTAAAATTGAATTCTTTGTTTTTGTTTTGTTTTGTTCCATTTTGTTTTGTAAAACTACTCTTTAAAAATCCATATGACTAAATCTTTACACATCTCATTTTTTCCTTAGGAAAAATTCTTAGTATAATTACTGTGTCAAAGAAAATGTACCATCTTAGCTCTCTCGTTTTTAATTTTTTCCTTATTTTTTAATTGTGATAAAATATACATAACATAAAATGTACCATTTTAACCATCTTTTTGTCTGTGTGTGAGACTGAGTCTCACTCTGTCACCCAGGCTGGGTATAGTGACATACTTGTAGCTCACTGCAGTCTTGATCTTCTGGGGTCAAGCATTCCTCTCACCCCAGCCTCCTGAGTAGCTAGGACTACAGGCATGCACCACCATGCCTAGCTAATTTTTTAATGTTTTTATAGAAATGGGTTCTTGCTATATTACCCAGGCTGGTCTCAAACTCCTGACCTCAAGCAATCCTCCTGCCTCAGCCTCCCAAAGTGCTGGGAAAACAGGCATGAGCCACCACACTTGGCCATTTTAACTGTATTTAAGTGTATAATGCAGTGGCATTAAGTACATTCACAATGTGTTGTAACCATCACACGATTTCTAGAACTCTTCAATTATCCCAAACAAAAACTCTATATCCATAAAGCAATAACTCTCAATTCTCCCTCCTAGTCCTTGGCAACCGCTATTCTACTTATATCTATGAATACATCTATTCTAAGTACCTCTTATAAGTAGAATCATACAATATTTTTCCTTTTCTGTCTGGTTTATTTCACTTAGCATAATATTTTTAAAGTTCATCCACATTGAAGCAAGTTTCATAATTGTATTCCTTTTCGTGGCTGAACAGTATTCCATCCTATGTATATACCACATTTTGTTTAACTATTCATCTGTTGATGGATAATTAACAGATGGGTTAACCAACTTGGGTTGTTTGTGCTTTTTGGCTATCGGCCTCTAATACTTTTAACAAACTGTCCATACAAGAAATTTGCACCACCAGAAATATGTGAATGTACCCATTTCCCTGAGTCTTACCGACAGTGGACTCTTTATTTATTTATTTTATTTATTTATTTTTGAGACAGAGTCTCATTCTATCACACAAGCTGGAGTGCAGTGGCGTGACCTCGGCTCACTGCAACCTCTGTCCCCTGGGCTCAAGTGATCCTCCTGCCTCAGCCTCCCGAGAAGCTGGGATTACAGGTGTGTGCTGCCATGCCCGGCTAATTTTTTTGTATTTTTAGTAGAGACAGGGTTTTACCATGTTGGTCAGGCTGATCTCAAACTCCTGACCTCAAGTGATCCGCCTGCCTTGACCTCCAAAATGCTGGGATTACAGGTGTGAGCCACCATGCCCAGCCTCTTTTTATTTAAACAACACAATAGTAAAGTATATCTTATTGCTGTTTTACTTTTCCTTTCTAACAAAGACGCATTCCATATATGGGAACAAAGATAACAATGTAAGTCTAAAGACAATAGAATGACACCTTTGAAGTATTAAAAAATGTGAACCTAAAATGTTATACCCAGTGAAAATGGAATTGTATATTTATGACCATGACAAAGTAACTGGTATCTGACTAACCCATCTACCATTTTAAAAACTTAAACTGTACACAATATGTGAAACAACATTTTTCAGATGTTAGACAAAGGCAGCATAGGATTATGATCCCTGAGAAAAGGAAAGAAAACAAATTGTGTAAGCCTTTCAATTATCCCAACTATCTGCCAGAGAAACTTTCCAGACTGGCACAGGAATGGGAAACCTAAGCAGAGCACAGTAGTTTTGCTGAGTTGAAGGGTCAAAGATCAGAGTTCGGGGAGATTGAGGAGGTAGATATTACGGAAGAGAGTACAGGAAAGAAGGGAGCTATGCAAAGAAACAGCTCCACGTTGGCCTCCCAAAGTACTGGGATTACAAGTGTAGGCCACCACATGCAGCCATGAAAACCAATTATCAAAGCCAGGCGTGGTGGCTTACGCCTGTAATCCCAGCACTTTGGGAGGCCAAGGCAGGTGGATCACAAGGTCAGGAGTTCAAGACCAGCCTGGCCAAGATGGTGAAACCCCATCTCTACTAAAAATACAAAAATTAGCTGGGCGTGGTGGCGTGTGCCTGTAGTCCCAGCTGCTTGGGAGGCTGAGGCAGGAGAATCACTTGAACCCAGGAGGCAGAGGTTGCAGTGAGCCAAAATCGCAGTACTGCACTCTAGTCTGGGTGACAGAGGGATACTCCATCTCCAAAAAAAAAAAAAAATTATCAAAAGGAAATCTGAAAAGAAGCCAGAGAAAAAGATAAGTTACATATAGGGAAGCAAGGATAAGAATAATCACCGACTTATTGGAAATAATGCAGGCCAGAAGACAATAGAATGACATATTCAAAGTGCTAAAAGAAAAAGATGTCAAGCTAGAATTTTGTATCCAGTGGAAGTAACATATACCCATCAAACACAAAAACATTTTTAGACAAACAAAAGTTGAAAATGTTATCATTTGCACTACAAGAAATTTTAAAGGAGGTTCTGCAGATTGAAGAAAAATGATATTAAATGGTAACTGAGGCCGGGCGCGGTGGCTCACGCCTGTAATCCCAGCACTTTGAGAGGCCGAGGCAGGCGGATCACAAGGTCAGGAGCTCGATACCATCCTGGTTAACATGGTGAAACCCCATCTCTACTAAAAATACAAAAAAAAAAAAATTAGCCAGGCGTGGTGGCAGGCGCCTGTAGTCCCAGCTACTCGGGAGGCTAACGCAGGAGAATGGCGTGAACCCGGGAGGCGGAGTTTGCAGTGAGCTGGGATCGCACCACTGCACTCCAGCCTGGGCAACAGAGCAAGACTCCATCTCAAAAAAAAAAAAAAAAAAAGGTAACTGAGATCTACACACACAATAAAAGGCCATGCAGGAGTTAGAGACCAGCCTGAGCAGCATAACAAGATTCTGTTCCTACAGAAAAAAAATTGTTTTAATTAGCCAGGTGTGGTCACATGTGCCTATAGTCCTAGCTGCTTAGAAGGCTGAGGTGGGAAGATTGCTTGAGTACAAGGTTGCAGTGAGCTGTGATCGCACCACTTGCACTCCAACCTGGGTGACAGAGTGAGACCCTCTCAAAAAAGAAAAAGAAGGAAGAAAGAAGAAGAGGAAGGAAGAAGAAAGGGCATAGGAAATAGTAAACATGTACGTAAATATATTTTTTAATTTTTTTAATTATTTAAAAGAGCCAGGGCTGAGCACCGTGGCTCATGCCTGTTATCCTAGGACTTTGGGAGGCCCAGGTGGGAAGATTACTTGAGGCCAGGAGTTTGAGACCAGGCTGGCCAACATGATGAAACCTCATCTCTACCAAAAAATACAAAAATTAGCTCGGCTTGGTGGCACATCCCTGTCATCTCAGCTACTCGGGAGGCTGAGGCAGGAGAATCACTTGAACCCGGGAGGCAGAGGTTGCAGCAAGCCAAGATCACGCCACTGCACTCCAGCCTGGGTGACAGAGCAAGACTCCATCTCAAAAAAAAAAAAAAAAAAAAAAAAAAAAGTCAAAAATAATAATAGTGTATTGTGGGATATAATAGGTTTATAATATATGTAGAAGTAAGTACAAAGTATGACAACAATAGCAAAAAGGATGGGAGAGGGGAAAATAGAAGTATGATTTTATAAAGTTTTTACATTACATATGAAGTGGTATAATATTATTTGGGGCCGGCATCGGTGGCTCACGCCTGTAATCTCAACACTTTGGGAGGCCGAGGCGGGCAGATCACTTGAGGTCAGGAGTTTGAGATCAGCCTCGCCAGCACGGCAAAATCCCATCTCTACTAAAAATACAAAAAAAAAATTAGCCAGGCGTGGTGGTGGGTGCCTGTAATCCCAGCTACTCAGGAGGCTGAGGCAGGAGAATCTCTTGAGCCCAGAAGGCAGAGGTTGCAGTGAGCCAAGATCATGCCATTGCACTCCAGCCTGGGCGATAAGAGCGAAACTCCATCTCAAAAAAAAATTAAAAAAAAAAAAAAAAAAAATATATATATATATATATATATACACACACACACACACACACACACATATAAAATCATGTATTATAATATATAAATATGATTATATATTATAATATATAAATATGATTATATATTATTTGAATGTAGACTAATAAATTAAAGATACCTATGGTAAACCTTAGAGTAACCACTGAAAAAAATAAGAAATATAAGGGGAGATAATGTGAAATATCAAAAATAATCCAAAGACAGCAGGAAAAGAGGAAGAAAGCAAAAGTAAGTTGGGTACTGTGGCTCATGCCTGTAATCCTAACACTATGTGAGGCTGACGTGGGCAGATTGCTTGAACCCATGAGTTCAAGACCAGTCTAGGCCACATGGCAAAACCCCATCTTTACTGAAAATACAAAAAATTAGCCAAACGTGGTAGCATGTGCCTGTAGTCTCGGCTGCTCAGGAGGCTGAGGGAGGACCACTTGAGCCCAGGAGGTTGAGGCTGCAGTGAGCCATGCTTGTGCCACTGCACTACAGCCTGGGCAACACAGCAAGACTCCGTCAAAAAAAAAAAAAAAGAAAAAGAAAAAAAGGATGGAACAAACAGAAAACAAACAACACTATGGGAGATTATGGTAGACTTAAACCCAACCGTCTCAATAGAAATTGTCTCTTTAAGTACTTTGCCTGTTTTTCTGTTGGAGTAGTTGTCTTTTCTTGTTGATTTGCAACAGCTCTTTGTATATTAAAATATAAATTCTTTGTTATATAATATAGCCTTTGTTATATATAAATGTTATGCTTAGGAAACGTTTCCCTTTCCAAAAGAGTGTTGTGACAAGCAAGATAAGAGGAATAGCATAAACTTAGACCCTGAGGTAGAAAAGCATTAGCTATGTTCAGGAAGTAGTAAGTAGGTGGGTTTGTCTGTAAAAGGCACTTAAGGGAATTATACGGTATAAGATTGAAAGAGTAATTTAGGACCAGAACATAGTGTGCCTTGATTATTCAATGGACGAACTTAGTCTCCACCAGGTAGAGCAAAGTGAACTACTAAAGGTGGTTGTTCAATGAAATGTACCATCAACATTGGGCTTTAGGGAAGTAAATCTTGTTGAAAATCAAAGTGTTTAGGACATACTGGGGAAGTGGGTGGTGGGGAGAGACCTAAGTTGAAGACCAGTTAGTGTGGACCACTGGTTTGTAGTAGTCCAAATGAGAAGTAACTAAGATATCCACCTGGGTAATAAAAATATTGATACAAATTATTATGATCACCATAAAAGCTCATAGCCTCAGGCTTCCTTCAGTGTTTGGTTTTTAGACAAGTTGAATTTTAAGCATCAACACCAAAATAGGAGATATCTGATGGTTTTAGAGAGATGACTGGGCTAGAAAAAGATTGGGCATTATTAGCATAGATGTAATTATTGAAATCACAGGAGTAAATGAAGACACCAAGGGAGACTTGAGTACAGCAGAAATGTGTGGATTTTCAGGATGTTAGAGAGATACTATTAATTTTTCCAGACTCAGCCTTGGCCTCCATGTCATCTCCTCTGGGAAGCCTTCCCTGAGCACCATCTCCCCATCCCCATCTTCATAGCTGACTGAAGAGTCCACTCTCAGCCGGGCGTGGTGGCTCACACCTGTAATCACAGCAATTTGGGAGGCTGAAGTGGGCGGATCACTTGAGGTCAGGAGTTCGAGACCAGCCTGGCCAACATGATGAAACCCCATCTCTACTAAAAGTACAAAAATTAGCTGGGCGTGGTGGTGCACACCTGTAATCCCAGTTACTCAGGAGGCTGAGGCAGGAGAATCGCTTGAACCCGGGAGATGGAGGTTGTAGTGAGCTGAGATTGCGCCACTGCACTCCAGCCTGGGCGACAAGAGCAAGACTCTGTCTCAAAAAAAGAGTCCACTCTCTGCTTCCATAGCACCCTGTGTATGTCCCTATTAGGGTACTTATCACCTTGTATTGTGGTTGGGTATTGACCTGTGTTTCCCTTTAGTTTCTAGAAAGGAAAATTTATTCAACTTTCTATTATTCTGGCCTATAGAATGCTCTTGAAAAATGTTTTTATATTCAATATTTTCATTTATTCAAATTCTATGACTTGTTGCTTTCCCAAAGAAGAGATCCTTTAACATTTCCTTTTTCTCCTCCTCTCAGCCAATTATATTACCCCACACAGCCAGTTGTTCATTTGGGGTATAACCCCTATCCCTTCCACTGCAATAGAACATCTTCTTTAATCTCCAGGAGAGAATGGAATGCATTCCTGATCTTTAAGAGGTGGCAATATTGACCAAAAAATGTACCTGCTTCATCTTAGATTTTCTATCCTCCTCAATTTGTTCATCTAGGTTATATTTGGGAAGGAGAGGAAGATCTAGATACCCTTTCCTGAAATTATTGGGAGCCTGGGGAGAAAAAATTATCTAACAAAATAAACCTATCTGCTACTCTGAAAAAAAGCTGGAGTTTAGGGTCAAGGTAACTTGCAAACATTGGCTCCTCCTAGTACGACCTAGTGGACAATAATAAACTAACACATAGGTTCTGAGCCCATGAAAGTAAATGACCAGTCCTAAAACAACTCACTTCCAGATCCCTAGAATCTTGCTATTTGCACATCATGAGAGAATCACATGCAAGGCGGAGAGCAAGATTAAATAAATAGCCTTAGAAATAGAAAAGAAAGTCAAGGGATAATTTAATTTGCCATAAACTACACGGGCCCATTGGGGAAGTAATTAAAATAATATCCTTCTACCTCACACATCCCAAATATAGGAACCAGAAGAAGGAAAGGATGCGTGATACCTCAGCCTCTCACAATTGATTGTTATCAGTGGCTATCAAATTTATTATATATATATATAGTATTATGTACAGTTATGTGTTGCTTAGCAACAGAGATGTGTTCTGAGAAATGCATCATTAGGCCTTTTCATCACTGTGCAAACATTATAGAGTGTACTTACATACTAGATGGTATAACCTCCTACACACCTAGGTTATATAGTATGGCCTATTGCTCTTAGGCTACAAACCCCTATGGCATATACAAGCATCTACTGAATACTGTAGGCAAATGTAACACAATAGTAATTTATTTGTGTATCTAAACATGTAAACATAGAAAAGGTACAGAAAAATTAGGATATAAAAGGTAAAAAATGGTACACCATGAATGGAGCTTGCAGGACTAGAAGTTGCTCTGGGTGAGTCAGTGAGTGAATGTGAAGGCCTAGGACATTATTGTACACTGCTGTAGACTTTATTAAAGTATACTTAGCCTGCACTAAATTTATAAGAAAGTATTTTTCTTCAATAATAATTTAACCTTAGTTTACTATAAGTTTTTTTTTTTCTTTTTTCTTTTTTGAGATGGAGTCTCACTGTGTCACCCAGTAGAGTGCAGTGGTGCAATTTCAGCTCACTGCAACCTCCACCTCCCGGGTTCAAGTGATTCTCCTGCTTCAGCCTCCCGAGAAGCTGGGATTACAGGCACACACCACCACACCTGGCTAAGTTTTTGTCTTTTTAGTAGAGACAGAGTTTCACCTTGTTGGCCAGGCTGGTCTCGAACTCCTGGCATCAAGTGATAAACCCACCTCGGCCTCCCAAAGTGTTGGGATTACGGGCGTGAGCCACTACACCCAACTGATGTTTTTACTTTACAAACTTTTAAATTTTTTGTTAACTTTTTGACTCTTTTGTAAAAAACACTTAGCTTAAAACAGAAACACATTGTACAGCCGTACAAAAATATTTCTTTATATCCTTATTCTATAAGCTTTTTTCTATTTTTATTTATTTACTTATTTATTTTGAGATGGTGTCTTGCTCTGTTACCCAAGCTGGAGTGCAGTGGCGTGATCTCGGATCACTGCAACCTCTGCCTCCTGGGTTCAAGCAATTTTCCTGCCTCAGCCTCCTGAGTAGCTGGGATTACAGGCACACACCACAGTGCCCAGCTAATTTTTTTGTATTTTTAGTAGAGACCGGGTTTCACCATGTTGGCCAGGCTGGTCTTGAACTCCTGATCTCAAGTGATCCACCCGCCTCGGCCTCCCAAAGTGCTGGGATTACAAGGCGTGAGCCACCACGCCCGACTCTTTTTTCTATTTAAAAAATTTTTATTTTATTTGTATTGTATAAACTTTTTTGTTAAAAACTAAGACATGGGACAGGGCGCAGTAACTTTTAGTAATGTTTTAGTAACTTTTAGTCTCCACTAAAAATACAAAAAAAAAACATAATTGGGCGTGGTGACACACGCCGTAGTCCCAGCTACTCAGGGAGGCTGAGGGAGGAGAATTTCTTGAACTCAGGAGGCAGAGGTTGCAGTGAGCCAAGATAGCATCACTGCACTACAGCCTGGGTGACAGAGGGAGACTCCATCTCAAAAAACAAAACAAAACAAAAACAAACAAACAAAAAAAAAACCCCTAAGACATGGGAGCTGGGCGTAGTGGCTCATGCCTGTAATCCCAGCACTTTCGGAAGTTGAGGTGGGCTGACTGCTTGAGCCTAGGAGTTTGAGACCAGCCTGAGCAACATAGTCAGAACCCATCTCTAGAAAAAAATTTAAAAAATTAGCGGAGTGTGGTGGCACATACCTGTAGTCCCAGCTACTAAGGACGCTGAAGTGGGAGGATCACCTGAGTCCAAGGATTTAAGGCTGCAGTAAGCCGTTATCGTACCACTGCACTCCAGCCTAGGTGACAGAGATCCTGTCTCAAAAAAAGAAGGCCGGGAGTGGTGGCTCATGCCTGTATCCCAGCACTTTGGGAGGCCGATGCAGGCAGATCACTTGAAGTCAGGAGTTAGAGACCAGCCTAGACAACATGGTGAGACCCCGTATCTACTAAAAATACAAAAATTAGCCAGGCATGGTGGTGCACCTGTAATCCCAGCTACTGGGGAGGCTGAGGCAGGAGAATCATTTGAACCCGGGAGGTGGAGGTTGCAGTGAGCCTAGATCGTGTCACTGCACTCCAGCCTGGGCAACAGAGCAAGACTCTGTCTCAAAAAAAAAAGAAAATTAACTGAGCATGATGGAGTAAGCCTATGGTCCCAGCTACATAGGAGGCTGAGGCAGAAGGATCACTTGAGCCCAGAAGTCAAGGCTGCACTTAGCTGTGTTTTCACCACTGCACTCCAGCTTGAATGACAGAGAGGTGCTGCCTCACAAAAACAAAAACAAAAGCTAACAGACATATTAGCTTAGGCCTACACAGGATCAGGATCATCAATATCACTGTCTTCCACCACCACATTTTGTCCCACTGGAAGGTTTTCTGGGGCAATAACACACATGGTGCTGTCATCTCCTATAACAATGCCTCCTTCTAGAATATCTCCTGAAGGATCTTCCTGAGGCTGTTTTACAGTTAACTTTTTTTTTTTTTTGAGACAGATTCTCGCTCTGTTGCCCAGGCTGGAGTGCAGTGGCATGAACTTGGCTTACTGCAAGCTCTGCTTCCCAGTTCAAGCAATTCTCCTCCCTCAGTCTCCCGGGTAGCTGGGATTACAGGCGCGTGTCACCACACCTGGCTAATTTTTGTATTTCCTAGTAAAGAGGGGGTTTCACCACATTGGCCAGGCTGGTCTCGAACTCCTGACCTCAGGTTATCCACCCGCCTCGGCCTCCCAAAGTGCTGGGATTACAGGCATGAGCCACTGAGCCTGGCCAATAATGGTTTTTAAAGTATAGATTCCTGTAAGATATCTAAATTTACAAAGCATCAAACATCTCTGTATAAGCCAATTAAATCTCACATATAAAATCTCTATAATTTTATAGGGATCCTATGAAAGGGAACTCAGGCTGCTTTTGGTCTCACACTTGACTGGGGTGCTCAGTCAAGTACTCATTAACTGTTCAGCTGTGCGTGAGGCACTAATTATCCCCCATCTTCTGTTCTGCACATGACTTGCAGCCTCATTCAGTCAAATATTTGAGAATGTACTATGTCAGGGACTGAGGATGCAATGATGATAAATACAATCCCAGGGCTTGAGGAGTTCATAGTTTAATAAGGAGGAGGGCTGGCTGGGCACAGAGGCTCACGCCTGTAATCCCAGCACTTTGTGGGGCTGAGGCTGGCGGATCACCTGAGGTTGGGAGTTTGAGACCAGCCTGACCAACGTGGAGAAACCCTGTCTCTACTAAAAATACAAAAATCAGCCAGGCGTGGTGGTGCATGCCTATAATTCCAGCTACTCGGGAGGCTGAGGCAGGAGAATTGCTGGAAGCCGGGAGGCGGAGGTCATGGTGAGCTGAGATTGTGCTCCAGCCTGGGCAACAAAAGCAAAACTTTATCTTAGAAAAAAATAAAAAATAAATGCTACTACAAAAGTTAAGTTTGAGCTGGGCGCAGTGGCTCACGCCTGTAATCCCAGCACTTTGGAAGGCTGAGGCGGGCACTCACTTGAGGTCAGGAGTTCAAACCCAGCCTAGCAAATATGGTAAAACCTGTATCTACTAAAAATTAAAAAAAAAAAAAATTAGCCAAGCATGGTGGTGCACGCCTATAATCCCAGCTACTCAGGAGGCTGATATAGGAGAATCGCTTGGACCTGGAAGGTGGAGGTGACAGTGAGCTGAGATCACGCCACTGCACTCCAGCCTGATGACAAGAGTGAGACTTCATCTGAAAAAAAAAAAAAAAAAAAAGAAGCCAGGAATGGTGGCTCACGCCTGTAATCCCAGCACTTTGAGATGCCAAGGCTGGTGGATCGCTTGATGTCAGGAATTCAAGACCAGCCTGACCAACATGGTGAAACTCTGTCTCTACTAAAAATACAAAATTAGCCAGACATGGTGGCACACACCTGTAATCCCAGCTACTTGGGAGGCTGAGGCAGGAGAATCACTTGAACCTGGGAGGCAGAGTTTGCAGTGATCTGAGATCACACCATTGCACTCCAGCCTGGGCAACAACAGCAAAACTCCATCTCAAAAAAAAAAATAAAAAAAAAAAAAAGAAGAAGGCTGGGTGTGGTGGCGTGAGCCTGTAGTCCCAGCTACTTGGGAGGCTGAGGCAGGAGAATCACTTGAACCCAGGAGGCAGAGGCTGCAGTGAGCCGAGGTCGCGCCACTGCACTCCAGCCTGGGTGACAGAGCAAGACTGTCTCAAAAAAAAAAAAAAGTAAGTTTGGAGTTAAAAAGGAAGCAAATAAAGGTGCATAAATTAACATTTGAGAGTACAAGGCAGGCGGATCACCTGAGGTCAGGAGTTCGAGACCAGCCTGGCCAACATGATGAAACCCCGTCTCTACTAAAAATACAAAAATTAGCCCGGTGTGGTGGCACACGCCTGTAATCCCAGCTACTCAGGAGGCCGAGACAGGAGAATCACTTGAACCTGTGAGGCAGAGGTTGCAGTGAGCCAGGATCATGCCACTGCACTCCAGCCTGGGTGACAGGGTGAGACTCCATCTCAAAAAAAAAAGACTTCAAGACCAGCCTGTCCAACATGGTGAAACCTCGTCTCTTACTACAAATACAAAAATTAGCTGAGCATGGTATTGGGTGCCTGTTACCCCAGCTACTCAGGAGGCTGAGGCAGGAGAATTGCTTGAACCTGGGAGGCGAAGGTTGCAGTGAGTCAAGATTGCACCACTGCACTCTAGCCTGGGCAATAGAGCAAGACTCCATCTAAAAAAAAATATATATATATATATATATATTTATATATACACATATTATTTGTGTGTGTGTATATATACATATATATGTGCATATATATACACACTATATATAGTATATATATATACACACACATATATATGTATGTGTATATATATGTATGTGTGTGTGTGTATATATGAATAAAGGAAGGCTTCCCAGAGAGAATAACATTTAAGAGAGCCAAAGGCTAAGAAAAAGTTCATTAGGGGCCAGGCTCGGTGGCTCACGCCTGTAATCCTAGCACTTTGAGAGGCTGAAGCAGGCAGGTGGCTTTAGCTCAGGAGACCACCCTAGGTAACATAGTGAAACCCCGTTTCTATCAATTAAAAAAAAAGTTCATTAGGGGGTCAGGAAGTGTTCTAGGCAGAGGGACAAGCAGAGGCAAAGGACTGAGACTCAGACAGAATATGGTTCATCTGAAGAACTGAAAGAAGTTCAGTATAGCTGCAGCAATGAGTTTGATCAGAGTTGGAGAATGGAAAGACATGACGCTGGAGTTAAGTAGGGCCAGATTATATGTGAGCTTATGAGTCAGGCTAAGAACTCTGAACTCTTGAGATAGTTCATTACAGCTGACTTCCCACTCCTTTCATCTCCACCCCCACAGCTAGCTAGAGAAAAAGGCTGCGATAAATGAGGGTATGGAAACCAGAGGACATGTAAAAATTAAGTGACAGATCTTTTGGGTGTAAGTTCCTCTACATGTATCACTAATTTGCCCCACAATGCCATCTTGGGGTGGCATCTAAGAAGGTGAAATTTCAAAAGAGTTGTCCTAGGTGCAGCTGTGAAATAAGATTATCTTCAGAAACAGTAAGGAAGGTACAGAACTCCCGTTGCTATTCAGCACACTAATGGCAACATATAAATTAACATGTCAAGTTAAATTTGTTCTAAGTTTCATTTGATTATAACACTAATTCGTCTACTGAAGTCTCAGCAAACATGCAGAAATTAGTGTTGCTAATTTGGTCATAAACTCACAATTTTTAAAAATTAAATACCTCTGGCCGGGTGCAGTGGCTCACGCCTGTAATCTCAGCACTTTGGGAGGTTGAGACAGGTGGATCACCTGAGATCAGGAGTTCGAGACCAGCCTGGCCAACATGGTGAAACCCCATCTCTACTAAAAATAAAAATAAAAATAAAAATAATTAGTCAGGCGTGGTGGTGCACGCCTGTAATCCCAACTACTCAGGAGGCTGAGGCAGGAGAATCGCTTGAACCCAGGAGGTGGACATTGAAGTGAACTGAGATCATGACACTGCACTCCAGCCTGGGCAACAAGAGCAAAACTCCATCTCAAAAAAAAAAAAATTAAATACCTCAGGCTGGGCTCGGTGGCTCACGCCTGTAATCCCACTTTGGGAGGCCAAGGCAGGTGGATCACCTGAGGTCAGGAGTTCAAGACCAGCCTGACCAACATAGTGAAACCCAGTCTCTACTAAATACAAAAAATTAGCCAGGCTTGGTGGTGGGCACCTGTAATCCCAGCTACTTGGGAGGCTGTGGCAGGAGAATCACTTGAACCCGGGAGGCGGAGGTTGCAGTGAGCCGAGATTGCACCATTGCACTCCAGCCTGGGCAACAAGAGGGAAACTCTGTCTCAAAAATAAAGTAAATAAATAAATACCTCACCCTCATCTATACCAACTACGAGGTGGGCAAGGGTGACTTATGTGAAGGCACTCCCCAGGCAACTGAAGCCTTTTGAGACCCTGCCGTCCCAGAACCAGGGAGGATAGGCCTTCATTGTGGGCGACCAGATATCCCTCGCTTACTACAACCTGCTGGACTTGCTGATCCATGAGGTCCTGGCCACCAGCTGCCTGGATGTGTTCCCCCTGCTCTCGGCCTACATGGCACACCTCAGCGTCCGGCCCAAGCTCAAGGCCTTCCTGGCCTCCACTGAGCACCTGAACCACCCCATCAATGGCAACGGGAAACAGTGAGGGCTGGGGGGACACTCGGCGGGAGGCAGGGGCCGTTTGCCTCCCTTTCTCCAGGACCAACGAAGTTTCTAAGAGAAAAAAAAAAAATTAAAAGAAATATTGGGCTGGGTGTGGTGGCTCACACCTGTAATCCTAGCACTTTGGGAGGCTGAACTGGGTGGATCACCTGAGGTCAGGAGTTTGAGACCAGCCTGGCCAACATGCTGAAACTGTCTCTACTAAAAATACAAAAATTAGAGGGGGTGTGGTGGTGGGTGCCTATAATCCCAGCTACTCGGGAGGCTGAGGCAGGAGAATTGCTTGAACCCGGGAGGCAGAGGTTGCAGTGAGCTGAAACCGCGCCACTACACTCCAGCCTGGCAGACAGAGCGAGACTCCATCTCACAAAAAAAGAAAAAGAAAAAAATATATATCGGCTGGGCACAGTAACTCATGCCTAAAATCCCAGCACTTTAGGAGGCCAAGGTGGGTTGATCACCTGAAATTAGGAGTTCAAGACCAGCCTGGCCAACATGGTGAAACCCCATCTCTACTAAAAAATTAGCCAGGTGTGGTGGTGGGCACCTGTAATCACAGCTACTCGGGAGGGAGGCTGAGGCAGGAGAACTGCGTGAACTCAGGAGACAGAGTTTGCAGTGAGCCCAGATTACGTCACTGCACTCCAACCTGGGCAACAGCACAAAACTCTGTCTCGAAAAGAAAAGAAATCACTCCCAATACTTGTCTTCCTGTGCCAAACTCAGGAGATACAATATCTACTAGGAGCTGAAAATAAGGAGGCAAAGCCAGACATGTCTACTTGTGTTTATTCTCATTTTTGCTTTTTTTAAAAAAAAAAAAAAAATGAGGGATGGAGAGGGAAATAACCCATAAACACCGCGAACAGGAACCAAGACTCCAAGACTTGGGCATACTCCCTCTACCCTCAGCCTCAGTTCTCCAAGAGATTCCCACCCACCTGATTTTCTTTTAAACAAGACACCCAAATCAGCAGCAAAGGTACCTGGGGTAGTCACTGAGATTTTGAACACTGGGAATGGGAGGGGGAAAGTCCAAAAAGTAGAAGTTGGGAAGAAAAGGGAAGGATTGAGGGAGACGCTAGGCTCTGGAGGACAGAGCTGGGCCGCAGGAGGTGGAAGTAAGCCAGTATGGGGGGTACCCCTCCTGACTGCTGTTGCCCGTATTCCCCCAGACCCCAGAGAGCCCCACGGTTTGTTCTGCAGTCCATTCCCTATTCCCCAAAGGCCTCAGAGGCCTAACTCCAAGTCCTCTAACTCCTCTTCTAGCGCCCTCCTCCTTGCTAGCTTTTCTAGCTGCTCTTTGCTAGGCTGGCTGACTTCCCCAGCCTGGATCCGCTGCTGCAGCTCTTCCACCTGCCGGAGTTTCTTCTTTAGGTTCTTTATCTTCTTGGCTTTCTCAGTGGTGGCAGCTGAGTCAGGCTGGTCAGATGCAGCTGTGGGGGCTGCCCGAGAGCCCTGTGGAGCACTGGGGAGTTGGGCTGTCTCTTCCAGGGACACCTTATCAAGAGTCCTGCTCAAGGCCTCTGCCTCTCCTTTCTCTTGCTGCTGCCGCCTCTTCTCCTTTCGCTTCAGGTTACGTTTGGCTGTCTTGGAGAGGCCTGGTTCACCACCTTCAGGCCTGGATGGGGTGACAGGAGCAGTGGCCTCAGGGCTTAGCCCTGGGGGCAACTCTGGTTTACTCTTGAAAAACTTCACATACTTGTTTTCATATCTGCAGGAAACAAAGGATGTCAAGAGTTTCAGAGAATTACTGACTTTTTGATCCCTTTTCTTAAACTTCCAAACACTTCATCCTCATTACATTCTTGCTTCCTTTTTTTGTTGTTGTTTTTGTGGGGTTGTTTGTTTTTTGAGATAGAGTCTCGCTCAGTTGCCCAGGCTGGAGTGTAATGGCGCAATCTCAGCTCACTGCAACCTCCACCTCCAGGGTTCAAGCAATTCTCCTGCCTCAGCCTCCCGGGTAGCTGGGATTACAGGCGCCTGCCACCACGCCTGGCTAACTGTGTATTTTTAGTAGAGATGGGGTTTCACCATGTTGGTCAGGCTGGTCTTCAACTCCTGACCTCAGGTGATCCACCGATCTTGGCCTCCCAAAGTGCTTGGGATTACAGAGAGCCACTGCGCCTGCCTGTTTGTTTTTGAGACAGAGTCTCGCTCTGTCGCCAGGGCTGAAGTGCACTGGCGCAATCTCAGCTCACTGCAACCTCCCACTTCCCGGGTTCAAGAGATTCTCCTGCCTCAGCCTCCTGAGTAGCTGGGATTACAGGCTCGTGCCACCACGCCTGGCTGATGTTTGTATTTTGTAATTTTGTATTTTTAGTACAGACGGGGTTTCACCACTTTGGGGAGGCTGTTCTTGAACTCCTGACCTCAAGTAATCCACCTGCCTAGGCCTCCCAAAGTGCTCAGATTACAGATGTAGGCCACTGGGCCTGACCACCTTTCTCTCTTTATGGTCCCTCCCCAACTTTCCTCTGCTCTGCAGGAAAGATGCAGCGAAGTCCCTAGAACCTAAAGCTCTGGAGGTTCTAATGAACAGAGGTCAAAAGTATAGGACTAGTGATCTGTAACCCTCACTCATCCCTGAATCCCAGACTCTTTCTCTCCTTTCTCAGATAGTTGCCCCTCCTTCCATTTCCTTGGGGCTTAGGAGAGTCCTCCCTGAACTTGTAGGCATAAGGATATTCTATCCTTCTGTAGGGACCCCATCAGAAAACCCCTACGCAAAGCCTAACCACGTACACTGGGACCTCCTCCTGGGGCACATATCCTTCTTTCACCCTCCGCTGCTTGCGCCAGGTCCCGTCAGGTCGCTGTGTTGACGCGATATACTTGCCTAAAATAAGAAAAATCAAGTTGAAAATTACTCTTATTTTCAAACATTTTACAAGATGAGACAAGAATGTATAAATGTACATACCATCTCTCAGCACCCATTCATCCAAATGCAACCATTAGGCTCCTTTTCTCATACCAACACTCAATCCCTCTCTCATTATTTATTTACCGAGTGCCAATACACCGTACAAGAAACCATCCTTGCCCTCAAGAAGATTCTATTTGTAGGTAAGACAGGATAGGCACAGAGGAAGAATTTTGTTAAAAAACCAAGGCAATAGCATGGGAACATGAAAGGCAGTAAATGAACAAGAGGCTAAAAAGACACAAAAACCACGGGGAGGAGAAATGACAATAGCGGATGTTGTAAAGGAGAAATTTTATTTAGATGGAACTTAAAAAAATAGGTCAACTTTTAGGAATTCATACCATAGATACATACACACCAGTACACGAGGATGTATTTAAAGGGTATTTGGTTTTTGTTTCATTTTGTTTTGTTTTTAGATGGAGTTTCACTCTGTCACCAAGGCTGGAGTGCAGTGGTGCAATCTCAGCTCACCACAACCTCCACCTCCCAGGTTAGGTGATTCTCCTGCCTCAGCCTCCCGAGTAGCTAGGATTACAGGCCCCTGCCACCACATCCGGCTAATTTTTGTATTATTAGTAGAAATGGGTTTCGCCATGTCAGCCAGGCTAGTCTCGAACTCCTGACCTCAGGTGATCCGCCCGCCTCGGCCTCCCAAATTGCTGGGATTATAGGCATGAGCCACAGCGCCTGGCCTTTAAAGGGTATTCGTTGATGCATGATTTAAATTAGCAAAAAGCTGGCCAGGCACGGTGGCTCATGCCTATAATCCCAGCACTTTGGGAGGCCGAGGGGGTTGAATCACGAGGTCAGGAGTTCGAGACCAGCCTGACCAACATAGTGAAACCCCGTCTCTAATAAAAATACAAAAAAAAATTAGCTGGGCATGCTAGAGAGCGCCTGTAGTCCCAGCTACTCAGGAGGCTGAGGCAGGCAAATCACTTGAACCCAGGAGGCGGACATTGCAGTGGGCAGAGATTGCGCCACTGCACTCCAGCCTGGGCAACGGAGTGAGACTCCATCTCAAAAAAAAAAAAAAAAAAAAAAAAGAAAAAAAATTAGCAAAAAGCTGAAAGCAACTTAAAAGGCCATCAAGTGGAGTTCGAGACCAGCCTGGCCAACATGGTGAAACCCTGTCTCTACTAAAAATACAAAAATTAGCCGGGTGTGATGGCACACGTCTGTAATCCCAGCTACTGGGGAGGCCGAGGCACGAGAATCGCTTGAACCTGGGAGGCAGAGGTTGCAGTGAGTCTCAAAAAAAATAAAATAAATGTTCTGACACTGACTAGTGTTCAAGATACACTAAGTGAAAAAGCAAGCTGCAGGATAACATGTGGAGTAGTGGTCCTCTAACTTTTTTTATTTCAGGACCCCCTTTACACTGTTATTTTATAATATGCATATCATTATACAATATTTATTTATATTTATTTATTTATTTATTTTGAGACAGAGTCTCGCTCTGTCGCCCAGGCTGGAGTGCAGTGGCGCAATCTCGGCTCACTGCAAGCTCTGCCTCCCGGGTTCACGCCATTCTCCTGCCTCAGCCTCCCGAGTAGCTGGGACTACAGGCGCCTGCCACCACACCTGGCTAATTTTTTTTTTTTTTGTATTTTTAATAAAGACGGGGTTTCACCATGTTAGCCAGAATGGTCTCAATCTCCTGACCTCATTATCCGCCTGCCTCAGCCTCCCAAAGTGCTGGGATTACAGGTGTGAGCCACCGTGCCTGGCCTATTATACAATATTTAAAAGAGATCATATTCATTAATCTCATCACTAAAGTATTTAAGTACATGGAAGCTATCAAGCTCAGAATGGGAAATATAAGTTTTCCAAAATTCTTGGCAGGGCACAGTAGCTCATGCCTGTAATCCCAACACTTTGAGAGGCTGAGGCGGGCGGATCATCTGAGGTCAGGAGTTCGAGAGCAGCCTGGCTAATATGACAAAACCCTGTCTCTACTAAAAATACAAAAATTAGCTGGGCGTGGTGGCAGGCGCCTGTAATCCTAGCTACCCGGGAGGCTGAGGCAGGGAGAACTGCTTGAACCCACGAGGCGGAGGTTGCAGTGAGTGGAGATTGCGCCACTGCACTCCAGCCTGGGTGACAGAGCGAGACTCCAACCCAATTAAAAAATATATATATATGTATATATATATATATTTTATAGAATTTTGGAAAATTTATTTTATATTATATATATATTATTATTATTATATAAAATAAATAAGTTTTCAAAAATTCTAATTTTCTATATATATTAGATATATATATTATATATTAGATATATATATATCTATTAGATATATATATTATTATATATATCTAATAGATATATATATTATTATATATATCTAATAGATATATATATTATTATATATATCTAATAGATATATATATTATTATATATAATATAAAATAAATAAGTTTTCCAAAATTCTAATTTTCACCTAAGTGTTTGAATTTTATCATTGGCGAGAAAAACTATCAGTTGTTTTCCTTCACTTTCACTTCCTTCATTTTCAGGAAAATGATCATTGGATAGTCAGGTCTGAATTACCATAGTTTGTCAGTGTTTTTTTTTTTCAAGTAAAAAATACTGCTCCATGAGAAGAAAGTTTGTTCAGCTTGCAATTCAGACAACCATCCTACTTCGGTATGCAGCAGAAGTGTTTCATGCTTACTTCCCATGAGTCACAGAGAACATTAAAAAAATATGTATTCAAGGGCTGGGCTTAATACAATTAATCATTTTCATTGTATCATCAATGATATCCTTAGGTGAAACTGGCATTTACAGCAAGTGTGTGGCAGTGAAGAACAAAATGATTAGTATAATTTGGTGCCACTGCCCTGACAAATGCATGCTTACAGGGCCAGCAGTTTCACCAACCATGTCTTTTGCACCATTGGTGCAAAGTCAACCCCATGAAAAAGACAAATAAATAAGCATGATTATGAGAATAGTTTTGCTTGCAGACCTTCTGAAAGAGTCTCAGGGACCCCCTTAAGGGTCCTGAACCACACTTTGAGAATCGCTGATATAGAGTATGGTACTATTTTATTTTATTTATTTATTGATTGATTTTGAGATGGAGTTTCGCTCTTGTTGCCCAGGCTGGAGTGCAATGGTGCAGTCTCGGCTCACTGCAACCTCCTCCTCCCAGATTCAAGTGATTCTCCTGCCTCAGCCTCCTGAGTAGCTGGGATTACAGGCATGCACCACAATACCTGGCTAATTTTGTGTTTTTAGTAGAGACGGGATTTCTCTGTATTGGTCAGGCTGGTAGCAAACTCCCGACCTCAGGTGATCCACCCGCCTCGGCCTCCCAAAGTCCTGAGATTACAGGTGTGAGCCACCGCACCCAGCCAGTATGGTACTATTCTTGTTGGAGTAAAGGGCAACACTTAAAGACATGTAGTCTGTGTACAGGGACAAAGAAAAAGGTGTGCAAGGACACATACCAAACTGTTAATACATATCAAACATATATATATATATGTTAAGAGAGAAAGTTAACATATATATATATATATATATGTTTTGTTGTAGCTCTCTTATTTTAAGTATTACTTTTGTAAAAATAAAGAAAAAAGATTTTTAAGGCCAGATGCGGCGGTTCACACCTGTAATCCCAGCAATTTGGGAGGTTGAAGTGGGTGGATCACACAAGTCCAGGAGTTCCAGACCAGCCTGGCCAATATGGCAAAACCCTGCCTCTACTAAAAATACAAAAATTGGCAAGGCAAGGTGGCTCACACCTGTAATCCCAGCACTTTGGGAGGCCGAGGCAGGTGGATTGCCTGAACTCAGGAGTTCAAAACCAGCCTGGACAACATGGTGAAACCCTGTCTCTACATACAAAACCCTGTCTCTACATAAATACAAAAAAAAAAAAAAAAAAAAATTAGCCGGGCACGGCGGCATGCGCTTGTAATCCCAGCTACTTGGGAGGTTGAAGCAGGAGAATCACTTGAAACAGGGGGTTGGAGGTTGCAGTAAGCCGAGATTGAGCCACTGCACTCCAGCCTGGTGACAGAGCGAGACTTCGTCTGGGAAAAAAAAAAAAAAAAATTGGAGGCCAGGCGCAGTGGTGCACACCTGTAATCCCAGCACTTTGGGAAGCTGAGGTGAGTGGATCACTTAAGGTCAGGAGTTCGAGACCAGCCTGGCCAACATGGTGAAACCCCATCTCCATTAAAAACACAAAAATTAGCTGGGTGTGGTGGCAAGTGCCTGTAGTCTCAGCTACTCAGGAGGCTGAGGCAGGAAAATCACTTGAACCCGGGAAGTGGGGTTGCAGTAGGTCAAGATCATGTCATTGCACTCCAACCTGGGCAACAGAGCGAGACTCCGTCTCAAAAAAATAAAAAATAAAAAATAAGGCTGGGCATGGTGGCTCATGCCTGTAATCCCAGCACTTTGGGAGGCTGAGGTGGGCGGATTACTTGAGGTCAGGAGTTCGAGACCAGCCTGGCCAACATGGTGAAACCCTGTCTCTACAAAAATACAAAAAATATCCAGGCGTGGTGGCGGGCGCCTTTAATCCCAGCTACTTGGGAGGGTAAGGCAGGAGAATCACTTGAACCCGGGAGGTGGAGGTTGCAGTGAGCCAAGATTGCACCGCTGCACTCCAACCTGGGCGACAGAGAAAGACTCCATCTCAAAAAGTAAAAATAAGTAAAATAAATAAAAATAAAAAAATTAGCTGGGCATGGTGGCACGTTTGTAATCCCAGCTACTGGGGACGCAGAGGCATAAGAATTGCTTGAGCCCAGGAGGTGGAGTTTGCAGTGAGCCAATATCGTGCTACTGCACTCCAGCTTGGGCAACAGAGTGAAAATCTTTCTCAAAAAAAAAAAAAGAAGAAAGA
This sequence comes from Homo sapiens, assembly GCF_000001405.40. Classification (NCBI taxonomy): domain Eukaryota; kingdom Metazoa; phylum Chordata; class Mammalia; order Primates; family Hominidae; genus Homo; species Homo sapiens. Next base: position 55,908,451 of record NC_000012.12, read on the forward strand.
AAAAAGAAAAAAAGACTTTTAAAATAAATGTCTAGGGCCTCCTACATGAATTATATATTATTACATGAATTGGTTTTTTGTTCAAAATGCAAATATCATTAATACATTAAAACAAAAAAGTCCAGGCGCACGGGCCCACTCCTGTACTCCTACCACTTTGCGAGGCCGAGGCAGGCAGATCACCTGAGATCAGGAGTTCGAGACCAGCCTGGCCAAAATTGTGAAACCCCATCTCTACTAAAATACAAAAAATAGCCAGGAGTGGTGGCTGGGCGTCTGTAATCCCAGCTACTCCAGAGGCTGAGGCAGGAGAATCACTTGAGCCCAGGAGGCGGAGGCTGCAGTGAGCCAAGATCATACCATTGCACTCCAGCCTGGGTGACAGAGCAAGACTCTGTCTCCAAAAAAAAAATAAAATAAAACAAAAAAAGTTGTTAAAGGCAATGGGTGATTCGACAGGTGGAGGGCATGGAAGAAAGAAAAATCATGAGCAAAGGGGCTCAAACTTGAGCAAAGAAAGGCATGGATGTGGGAATGGGCGTGAGTAGGGAACAGAAAGTTGAGAGGTTCAGGTGAATGAGACAGTTCATGTTAGGGAATAGGAAGCCTGGTTGGAAATGAAAAATGGGGTAATCGCAGAAAGCCTTAAAAACAAGGTCAAGAACTTTGGACTTTACTGGGTGAGTAAAACATAACTACTATGGATATTTTTTGCCCAGCTGTGACAAGAATAAAAACCAAAGAAAAAAAACTAGGAGGCTTCCTGGAGGGAGGACTGAGACAAGAGCTGGGCTTTGAAGGAAGAGTCAAACTAAACAAAAAGGGAGACAGAGTAGATTAGAAACAGTTCGTTCTCAAACAAAAACTCACGCATGGGAATGTAGATAGCATTTTCAGGCAACGACAAATAGACCAGTCAGGCTGAGCCAGAGACAAGGGCTGGAATGTTCAGACCTTGAATACCAGTTAAAGATTTTAATATCTGGCACATGGCATGCACTCAACAAATATTTGTCAAATGAATTAATCCTTTATGCGAAGTATTGTCTTAGGGCTTTGAATAAATGAATGAATCCTTTATACAAAGCAGTGTTTCAGAGTATTTAATCTAGCATAATAAAAGGGTGACTTGGAAAAAAAAAAAAAACACCAGAGACATGGAAACTAGTTAGGGAAAAAATATTGTGATAATCCTGGCATGAAGGGACAGAATTGGCTGAAACAGGGGCACTGGAACGTAAGAGACTAAGGGCAGATACATTATCAAAGAATCAACATTTGGTAATTCACTAACTAGGGAAGGAGTAAGAGGATAAGAAATCAAAGATAATTCAGTACACTTTTTATTTTAGTAATCTCAATGTCCACAATTTACCATAAACAGTTACTATCGGAAAAAATAAAAACAAAAAAGAGAGGAAGAGATAATCATATGAATATGATAAGCATTATCAATAAATAGCGAAAGGTCAGGCACAGTGGCTCATGGCTGTAATCCCAGCACTTTGGGAGGCCAAGATGGGAGGATCCCTTGAGCCCAGGCATTCAAGACCAGCCTGAGCAACATAGGGAGACCCCTGTCTTTACGAACTATACAAAAATTAGCTGTGTATGGTTAGTGGCATGTACCTGTGCTACCAGCTACTCAGGAGGGTGACCTGTGTTGATGAAAAGAGTCAAACTCTGTAAAATATTTTTAGAGATTCTGAGCCAAATATAAGTGACCATGGCCTCTGACACTGACCTTAGGAGGTCCTGAGAACATGTGCCCTAGGTGCTTGAGGTACGGCTTGGTTTTATACATATATATATATATATATATATATATATATATATAAAATTTTTTTTGAGACGGAATCTCACTCTGTCTCTCAGGCTGGAGTGCAGTAGCCCGATCCCGGCTCACTGCAATCTCCGCCTCCCCGGTTAAAGTGATTTTCCTGCCTCAGCCTGCCGAGTAGCTGGGACTACAGCGCATCACCACACCTGGCTAATTACTGTTTTTGTTTTTTGACACAGTCTAACCCTGTTGCCCAGGCTGGAGTGTAGTGGCATGATCTTGGCTCACTGCAACCTCCGCCTCCTGGGTTCAAGTGATTCTCTTGCCTCAGTCTCCCGAGTACCTGGGACTACAGGAGCCCACTACCACGCCCAGCTAATTTTTTGTATTTTTAGTAGAGACAGGGTTTCGCCATGTTGGCCAGGCTGGTCTCAAACTCCTGACCTCAGGTGATCCACCCACCTCAGCCTCCCAAAGTGTTGGGATTGCAGGCGTGAGCCACCACACCTGGTTTTATATATTTTAGGGAGGCATGAGACATCACTCAAATACATTTAAGAAATACATTGGTTTGGTTCAGAAAGGTGGGATGACTCAAAGCAGGGGGCTTCCAGGCTATAGGTAAATTTAAACATTTCTGGTTGACAATTGGTTGAGTTTGTCTAAAGGCCTGAGATCGATAGAAAGGTTCAGGTTCAGATAAAAGATTGTGGAGACCAAGGTTCTTTTGAAGTCTTATGGTGGCTACCCTTAGAGACAACAGATGACAAACGTTTCCTATTCAGTTCTTTAAAAGGTGCTAGACTTTTAGTTAACCTCTTCGGCATTGGGAGAGCCTGGAAGAAATAGATCTAGCTATGTTAATACAGAATTTTATTTATTTATTTATTTTTTTGAGATGGAGCTTTGCTCTTGTAGCCCAGGCTGGAGTGCAGTGGCACCATCTCTGCTCACTGCAACCTCCGCCTCCCAGGTTCAAACGATTCTCCTGCCTCAGCCTCCCGAGTAGCTGGGATTACAGATGTGTGCCACCACGTCCGGCTAATTTTTATATATTTTTAAGTAGAGATGGGGTTTTGCCATGTTGGCCAAGCTGGTCTTGAACTCCTGACCTCATGTGATCCACCCGCCTCGGCCTCCCAAAGTGCTGAGATTATAGGTGTGAGTGACTGAGCCCGGCCTGTTAATAGAGATTTTTTACAGATGCAGTTTCCCCTACAAAGGTCGGCTTTGCAGAGCCATTTTAAGATACGGCAAGAAACATGTTTTGGGGTAAAATATTTTTATTTTCTTGTTATGTCAGAGTCAAATTGAAAAGTAAGTAACGAGGCCAGCCATGGTGGCTCACGCCTGTAATCACAGCACTTTGGGAGGCCAAGGTGGGTGGATCACCTGAGGTCAGGAGTTTAAAACCAGCCTGGCCAACATGGTGAAACGCTGTCTCTAGTAAAAATACAAAAATTAGCTGGGAGTGGTGGCGGGCGCCTGTAATCCCAGCTACTCGGGAGGCTGAGGCAGGAGAATCACTTGATCCCAGGAGGGGGAGGTTGCAATGAGCCGAGACTGCGCCACTGCACTCTAGCCTGGGTGACAAGAGCGAAACTCCATCAAGAAAAGAGAAGGGGAGGGGAGGGGAGGGGAGATACAGGGTTAAATAACCCATCTGATGAGAACTTATGGTTTGTAGGGCATGACTCCCCAGACCCCTTAGATAGGAATTTTGGCAAGATAAAAAAAGTCAGAGCTTAGTCCTCATGTGGTAGGATCAATTGAGTCTTGGACAACATATTGAGACCCTATCTCTATTTTAAAAACTTTTTTGAAAATAATGTGCAAGGCAGGGTATAGTGGCTCATGCCTGTAATGCCAACACTTTGGGAAGCCGAGGCAGGTGGGTCACCTGAGGTCAGGAATTCGAGACCAGCCCGGCCAACATGGTGAAACCCTATCTCTACGAAAATAAAAAAAAAAATTAGCTGGGCATGGTGGTGCATGCCTGTAGTCCCAGCTACTCAGGAGGCTAAGGTGGGACAATCACTTGAGTCTGGGAAGTGGAGGTTGCAGTGAACCGAGATCACGCCACTGCACTCCAGCCTGGGTGATAGAGCGAGACTCCACCTCAAAAAATTAAAAAAAGAAAAGAACATGCAATAATGAAAATTCTATTGGGGTGATAAGATAACTTTTCTGTTAAAAATTTCCATTAGGCCAGGCGTGGTGGCTCACGCCTGTAATCCCAGCTACTTGGGAGGCTGAGGCAGGAGAATTGCTTGAACTTGGGAGGCAGAGGCTGCAGTGAGCCAAGATCGTGCCATCGCACTCCAGCCTGGGCAACAGGAGCAAAACTCCGCAAGAGGGGGGAAAAAAAAAAGGCCTTCTTGATTTACCTCTTGCTAGTTTTCAGCCTCTTAGCATAAAGCCACCATACTCTCTGCTCTAGAAACAAATATTTGGCTGGGTGCAGTGGTTCACGTATGTAATCCCAGCACTTTGGGAGGCGGAGGCGGGTGGATCATCTGAGGTCAGGAGTTCGAGACCAGCCTGGCCAACATGGAGAAACCCCATTTCTACTAAAATACAAAAATTAGCAGGTCACTGTGGCAAGCTCCTGTAATCCCAGCTACTTGGGAGCCTGAGGCAGGAGAATCACTTGAACCCGGGAGGCGGAGGTTGCAGTGAGCCAAGATCACGCCATTGCACTCCAGCCTGGGCAACAAGAGCAAAACTCCGTCTCAAAAGAAAAAAAAAAAATAGAAACTAAAATATTCACAAATCTCAACCTGACCCATGTCTCTATTCTCTGTACCTTTTTGCTTTTGCTTCCTCTGGCCTGGAATAGACTATATTTGCTTATCTTAAGTTCATTCCCATTGGTCTTTAAAGGTCAAATTCAAGTATCAACTCAAGGCAGCCTTCCTGACTTCCTTACGCCAAGCCAGGTTAAAACTTGCTTTCTGTGCACTCGCAGCACCTGTTTTAGCTTTTATCATGCTCTAATGCTTAACATAATTATTTGCTTGTTGGAAAGCAGAAACTGTCTTTGAACTTTGTAGCAAAGAGCCTGGCCCACAGAAGACAGTAAATATGGACTGAATTAATGAATAAATGTGAGTATCTCATCAGGGAAGAGCAAGAATCCAGAATGTTCTGGGCAAAAAGCATATGTAACGTGAAAAGAGACTCAGGGTAAATTAGTGAGACTATGAAAGGTCTCCAACCTCCACTGAGTTTGGACTGAAGCCTTAAGCTGTAGAATACTGATGGCCAATAAGGGAGTACAGGTGATCTGTTCAAAGCAATGATTTAAGATTAAACTGAAAAATGTGTACCATAAACTAAAGGTAGAGAAAATGAAAACAACAGCTGCAATGTGAAAAGACTTGACTTCGATGGTTTCTACAGGTAATGAAAGGAAAATGAAGGAGAAATTCATTGTGAAGATTAAATCAACAGGATCCAAAGACTTACCAAGATGTGAATTAGAGAGGAAATAATCAAAACAGTGACACAGTGGATTTAATCTCGTGCTTTTCACATGTATTCTTATTTTTCTCAATATACGGTAGGGCACATGGTAATCACATTTATTCACACGTGGATTTTAAATTTTTATTGAGCACTTACTCTTGTGCCAGACACTGTAACAGAAGCTAGGAATACAACAATGAATAAAGCAAGCAAGGTTCTTGCCTTCTTAGAGTATACATTCTAGTGAGAAAGATAACAAACAAGAACACAACTATTTATAATTATCACTCTTGAATTTGGAAAATTGGGAAAATAAAAACTACTGATATAAACAAAGTCCACAGGGGAAAACAACTTTGTGGAAACAATTCAATTCAGGCAAGTGTTTTACATGGAATTTGGGAGAAAGGGACAATACTACAAACATATATTTAAGTTGATTGCATAGAGATTATAGCTGAAGGTTTAGGAGGACTAAAGATAGACTGTAATGAAAGGCAGAGCAGAAGCTTCTTGAATGGCCATCCTGTGTGGAAGCCCTCAGAGATACAAATAGCCCATTATCACAAAGGAGCACCTATTTTATGTTATCTTGGTTCCATCCTCTGGCCTTGATGGTATCCAAGGGTGAAGTCAAAAAGAAGGGAGAGGTTTGGCGGTTCCCACCCCTAGAAATAAAAACCAAGGGCAAAATATCAGGACTTTCAGATAATATCTTGCAGAGAGTCAAAAACTAGAGATTGGGGACTGCTACTGTAAGAATCTTTTTAAGCTTTGTCATTTTCTCACATCTGCCGTTTTTTAATTCTCAATCTATTTCCTTAAGTCTGTCAGCAATAAAAACTCTTACACTGAAAGGGTCCTTGTTTCCAGGGGTTGCAGGTAGACAGTGAAAAGACAACATAGCAAGGCATGGAGGAACTCCAAAGAGGTAGGGGACATGGTTGTTAAAGGTATGAGACCTTTTTCAAATAAGAAAAGAGATCTAAGTCACAGGTCTCAGCCTGCGGATGATCTCAGGGCCAAAATAAGACCTGGATGTGGTTTCCAACACAGAGAAAATATAACAAAGAGAAGATGAGAGCTGGAGGAATGACCCTGAAATAATGATCATAATCATTTCCCTCAAGGAAGAAAAGGTGACAGCAACAACAGGAAATGATTCATAGGAAAGGAAGACCAGGACATGCTAAGCCATGGAGACCAACAGTTTTAAATAAAGGTAGGTAGGTGATGGCCGGGCATGGTGGCTCACACCTGTAATCCCAGCACTTTGGGAGGCCGAGGTGGGTGGATCACGAGGTCACGAGATGGAGACCATCCTGGCTAACACGATGAAACCCCATCTCCACTAAAAATAGAAAAAATTAGCCGGGCATGGAGGCACATGCCTGCAGTCCCAGCTACTCAGGAGGCTGAGGCAAGAGAATCCCTTGAAGGCGGGAGGCAGAGGTTGCAGTAAGCCAAGATCGTGCCACTGCACTCCAGCCTGGGCAACAGTCCAAGACTCTGCCTAAAAAAAAAAAAAAAAAAAAAAAGTAAAGGTAGGTGATTAACAGTATTAAATACTGCAGAGAGATCAAGGAAAGGAGAACTGAGAAAAAGGTTCTGGCTTTGGCATTTTGGAAATCCCTGGTTATCTCCACAAATACAGCCTCAGAAAAGCACGGTGGTAAAGAGGCCAGACTACAAATTAAACAAAATAAACATTAAAAGCCTCCTAGCTGGGCTTGGTGGCACACACCTGTAATCCCAGCTACTCGGGAGGCTGAGACAGGAGAATCACTTGATCCTGGGAGGCAGAGGTTGCAGATCATGCCATTGCACTCCAGCCTGGGCGACAGAGCAAGAGTTTATCTTTAAAAAAAAAAAAAAAAAGCCTCCTAGAAGAAAAGTACCGTAAGTGCCAATAGGGTTATCAAGATGAGTAAGATGGTCCCAATTTTCAAAAAATTTACAGACTAAGTAAGGAGGAAGTGGGCAAATTAGGCAAGCAAAGCATAAGACAAAAGTAAGAGTGTCGTAAGTATCCTAAGAGATGACAGGAGATAATCAGGAAAACCTCATTTGACACTAAAGACTAGAAAGTAGTAATAATTAATGATAACAACAAATCAGCAGCCAGTATTTCTGCAGGCAGAGAAAAGGGAAAGGGGATAAGAGGAACAACAAAAGCAAAATCCTAGCAGTGGAAAACTCAGTATTTAAGAATGATTAGTAAAGAGTATTTATTAATAAGTAGCTACATTACAGGAGGAACTTTGTATACATCATCCTGTTAAATCTAAACGATAGATAGATATCATCATTTACAGCCAAGGAAACAGTCTTCAAGAGGTTAAACACATGGTCAAGTCTTGGTGCGGTGGCTCACGCCTGTAATCCCAGCACTTTGGGAGGCCAAGGCGGGCGGATCACCTGAGGTCAGGAGTTCGAGACCAGCCTGGCCAACATGGCGAAGCCCCATCTCTACTAAAAATACAAAAATTAGCCAGACGTGCTGGCACATGCTTGTAATCCCAGCTACTCGGGAGGCTGAGACAGGAGAATTGCTTGAAGTCAGGAGGCAGAGGTTGCAGTGAGCTGAAACCACACCAGTGCACTCTAGCCTGGGTGACAGAGTGAGACTCCAGCTCAAAAAAAAAAAAGACATGGTCAAGATCCCAAAGGTAGCACATATCTGTAACCTGAACTCAAGTCTGATGCCAAAGCTTACACACCATCGCACTGCTGTTCCACATCAGCCATACAGCCCAGTTTCACTAGAGGGTATGGGCAAAAACATAGCATGTGATAATACTACATTTAAAAGTAGTCAGCCAGGCACGGTGACTCACGCCTGTAATCCCAGTACTTTGGGAGGCAGAGGCGGGCGGATCACCTGAGGTCAGGAGTTCAAGACCAGCCTGACCAACATGGAGAAAGCCCCGTCTCTACTAAAAATACAAAAATTAGCCAGGTGTGGGGCACATGTCTGTAATCCCAGCTACTCGGGAGGCTGAGGCAGAAGAATCACTTGAACCCGGGAGGTGGATGTTGCGGTGAGCCGAGGTCAGGCCATTGCACTCCACAGCCTGGGCAACAACAGCAAAAGTCGGTCTCAAAAAAAGAAAAAAAGAAAGTAGTCTGAGGTTGGGCGTGGTGGTTCATGCCTCTAATCCCAACACTTTGGGAGGCTGAGGCAGGCAGATCGCTTGCATCCAGGAGTTCAAGACCAGCCTGGGCAACATGGTGAAACCTCTTCTCTACAAAAATTAGCTGGGCATGGTGGCGCACACCTGTAATCCCAGCTACTTGGGAGGCTAAGCTGGGAGGATCACTTGAACCCAGGAGGTCAAGCCAGCAGTAAACTGCAATCACACCACTGTACTCCAGCCTGGGCAACAGAGTGAAACTCTGTCTCAAAAATAAAAAAAAATTTAAAAAGTAGTTTGTCAGCTGGGCGCAGTGGCTCACCATGCCTGCAATCCCAGCACTTTGGGAGACCAAGACGGGTGGATCACCTGAGGTCAGGAGCTCGAGACCAGCCTGGCCAACATGGTGAAAGCCCGTCTCTACTAAAAATAAAAAAAATTAGCCGGGCGTGGTGGTGGGTGCCTATAATCTCAGCTACTTGGGAGGCTGAGGCAAGAGATCACTTGAACCCAGGAGGCAGAGGTTGCAGGGAGCCAAGGTCGCACCATTGCACTCCAGCCTGGGCAACAAGAGCAAGACTCCATCTCAAAACAAAAAAAAATTAATTAATTAAATAAAAAGTAGTCTGTCACAGCCATAAAGAGCAAAATAATGTCCTTTGTAGCAACATGGATGCAGCTGAGGGCCATTATCCTAAGCAAATTAACACAGGAACAGAAAACCAAATACTGCATGTTCTCACTTATAAGTAGGAGCTAAACACTGGGTACTCACGGACATAAAGATGGCAGCAACAGACATTGGGGATTATTAGAGGCGGGCACGGGTTTAAAAACTATCTACTGGGGCCAGGCACAGTGGCTCACGCCTGTAATCCCAGCACTTTGGGAGGCCAAGCTAGATGGATCGCCTGAGGTCAGGAGTTGGAGACCAGCCTGGCCAACACGGTGAAACCCCAACTCTACTAAATACAAAACTCAGCCGGTCATGGTGGTGCATGCCTGTAATCCCAGCTACTTGGGATGCTGAGGCAGGAGAATCACTTCAACCCGGGAGATAGAGGTTGTAGTGAGCCAAGATCACACCACTGAACTCCAGCCTGGGCAACAAAGCAAGACTCCATCACAAAAAACAAACAAACAAACAAAAAAAAAACTTAACTATTGGGTACTAAGCTCACTATCTGGGTGATGGGATCACTCATACCCCAAACCTCAGCATCACATAATTATACCCATGTAACAAACCTACACATTTTCTTTTTTTTTTTTTTCTTTTTTTTGAGACGGAGTCTCGCTCTGTCGCCCAGGCTAGAGTGCAGTGGCGTGATCTCGGCTCACTGCAAGCTCCGCCTCCCGGGTTCACGCCATTCTCCTGCCTCAGTCTCCCGAGTAGCTGGGACTACAGGTGCCCGCCACCATGCCCGGCTAAGTTTCTTTTGTATTTTTAGTAGAGATGGGGTTTCACCGTGTTAACCAGGATGGTCTCAATCTCCTGACCTCATGATCCGCCCGCTTCGGCCTCCCAAAGTGCTGGGATTACAGGCGTGAGCCACTGCGCCCAACCACAAACCTGCACATTTTCTAAATCTAAAATAAAAATGGAAATCAACAAATAGGCCAGGCATGGTGGCTCACGTCTGTAATCCCAGCACACTAGGAGGCTGACGTAGGAGGATCACTTGAGCCCAGGAGTTCAAGACCATCCTGGGTAAGATGGTAAGACCTCCATCTCTATAAAAAATTTAAAAATTAGGCTGGACATGGTGGCTTACACCTGTAATCCCAGCACTGGGAGGCCAAGGCGGGTGGATCACCTGAGGTCAGGAGTTTGAGGCCAGCCTGGCCAACACGGTGAAACCCCGTCTCTACTAAAAATACAAAAATTAGCTGGGCGTGGTGGCACGTGCCTGTAGTCCCAGCTACTTGGGAGGCTGAGACAGGAGAATCGCTTGAACCTGAGAGGCAGAGGTCGCACTGAGCCGAGATTGCACCACTGCACTCCAGCCTGGGCGACAGAGCAAGCGTCCATCTCAAAAAAACAAAAATAAAAAAGGTAGTCCTATCATTTAATCACATTTCCCAAAGCTTTTGTTATGTAAAATACTACTCCCATAAGATATTAAACAGGGGTTATCCCTAAAAATTGTTAAATAAGTTTGGGAAATTCTGGGTTAAACACCAAAAAAGATTTTGCGTTTGTTTTTTTTAACAGCAAGGCTTAAATGAGTTACTATGTTCTTATTCAGGTACATATGCAAGATGGGAATATGGTTTACAGTGTTTCTCAAAATTTGTGCACAGAAACATTATTTGCATTTTATTTTATTTATCTTTGAGATGAGGTCACTGTCACCCAGGCTGGAGTGCAATAGCTGGACCTTGACTCACTGCAGTCTCCACCTCCCAGGCTCAAGCAATTCCTCCCACCTCAGCCTCCCAAGTAGTTGGGACTACAGGAGTGTGTGTGTCACCACACCCAGTTAATTTTTTGTATTTTTAGTAGAGACGAGGTTTTGCCATGTTGCCCAGGCTGGTCTCGAATTCCTGGGCTCAAGCAATCCACCCGCCTCAGCCTCCCAAAGTGTTGAGGTTACAGGCGTGAGCCACCACTCCCGGCCTCTATTTTAGTTATTTATTTTGTGTCACATCTCAGAAGATTACTAGGTGTTTCAAGGATTCATATTTTAGAAAATAACAGCCAATCTTAACAGTATAATTCAAAATATGTCATTTTACCTTAATGTTATATATGCATATGTGCTTAGAAAAACTAGGCTGGGGGCCAGGCATGGTGGCTCACGTCTATAATCCCAGCACTTTGGGAGGCCAAGGCAGGCAGATCACCTGAGGTCAGGAGTTCGAGACCAGCCTGGCCAACACGGTGAAACCCCATCTCTAACTAAAAATACAAAAAAATAGCTGGGCATAGTGGTGCGTGCCTGTAATCTCATCTATTTGGGAGGCTGAGGCAGAATAGCTTGAGCCCAGTTGGCAGAGCAGAGATCGCGTCACTGCACTCCAGTCTGGGTGACTGGAGACAGAGCAAGACTCCGTCTCAAAAAAAAAAGAAAAAGAAAAAAGAAAAACTAGGCTGGGTGCAGTGGCTCATGCCTGTAATCCCACCACTTTGGAAGGCCATGGTGGGAGCACTGCTTGTGAAAATGAGTTTGAGAACAGCCTGGGCAACATAGCTCTATAAAAAAATTCAAAAATTAGCCAGCCATGGTGGCGCATGCCTGTAGTACTAGTACCAGCTACTCAGGAGGAGGAGGCAGGAGAATTGCTTGACCCCAACAGTTAAGACTACAGCAAGCTATGACTGTGCCACTGTACACTAACCTGGGCAACAGAGCAAGACCTTGTCTCTTTAAAAAAAAAAAAGGAAAAGAAAAACTAGTTGCTCATGCCTATAATCCCAACACTTCAGGAGGCCAAGGTGAGAGGATCACTTGAACCCAGGAGTTGGAGACCTGCCTGGGAAACATAGCAAGACCTCATCTTACAGATAATTTAAAAAATCAGGCCGAGCACGGTGGCTCATGCCTGTAATTCTAGCATTCTGGGAGGCCAAGGTGGGCGATCCTTTGAGGCCAGGAGTTCAAGACCAGCCTAGACAACATGGTAAAACACCATCTCTACTAAAAATACAAAAATTACCTGGGAGTGGGGGTGCATGCCTGTAATTCCAGCTACTCGGGAGGCTGAGGCAGGAGAATCACTTGAGCCCAGGAGGTGGAGATTGTAGTGAGCAGAGATCGCACCACTGCACTCCAGCCTGGTGACAAAGCGAGACTCCGTCTCAAAAAAAAAAAAAGAAAAAAAAAGAAAAAGAAAATAACCCTAAATGCCGAAAAAGATGCATGCACAAAAACATTCTAGTGTTCTTATAATAAAAATTCTGAAAACAATCTAAAAGTCCAATAACAGAAGAAAGTAAGATAGGGTGCATGCCCAAACTATAAAACACTCTGCCAGTATTTTAAAAGATGTTTACAGAGTTTTTAATAGCAAGGAAAAACATTTACCTCATAAGGCTAAATGAAAAGGCAAGATATAAAAATGTATATACCATCTGGTTCTGCTATGTTTAAAACAGTTTAGAAAGATATATGCCATATATAACAGCAGACTCTGGGTTGATGAATTAATATTGAACAAAAATTACATAACTAAATTTGCACTTAAGAAGCAGTAATCTGGTAGCAGTGTATCTGTAGAAATGAAACAAGAGAGGGACTGGAAATACGATGACCAGTTTAGGAGGTCACAGTAATATTTGCAGAACAACAGAAACTAGAATTTTAGCAGGCACTTGGAATGGCCCAAGTACTATGCCTGGTACTTGGCCATATATAGTAATTTCTTCTAACCCATACAATGACCCTTACATAATAGTAATAATTATAGAACAATGTGTTGGACACTTTTTATGTGCCAAACATGTAAATTACTTTATTTAAATTTTAATACGCATAATAATCCTGTGTTGCAGGAGTTATTCCAATTTCATTGATGAGAAAACTAAGACTTAGATTCCCAAGGCTATATAGCTAACAAGTACTGTAGATGGGATAAGGGTAACAGCAGTAGGAATAAAAGAATGATATTTTGATAACTGATATACATGAGGAGGGCAAGAGAGAAGTAAAAGATGATAATAAAAATAATCATAAAAAAATAAAACTCCCATAAATAAAAAAAAATACTCCCATAGAAATAAAAACACCTAGTGATCAGATCTTAGTTTTTAACATTACTCTTTAGTAAAAAGAACAAGGGCTTCTTGGAGAAATGGCAGACCGCAGGACTGGAGCAGAGAACAAAATCATACCTGCAATGATGGCAAATGTCAAAGGGAGATGGGCCAAGTAAAAAACTAAAAGAGTTCCCAATGTTCAAAACTGGAACATTTGAGCAATAAAGCAAATAAAATAGTATTGGATTATAACCTAACATATAAAATACACATCTATAAGTCCATATTGATATACATAAATTAATAAAGGAAAAGAAAAAAATCTCCTGGGCAGAAAAATGCCAAATAGTGTGTTTTTTTAATTGTTTTTTGAGACAGCCTCTCACTGAGGATGGAGTACAGTGGCACAATCACGGCTCAATGCAGCCTCAGCCTCCCTGGCTCAATCTTCCCCTCTGAGGCTCCCTGAGTAGCTGGGACCACAGGTGTGTGCCACCTTACCCAGCTCGTTTTTTTTTTAAATCTTTTTGTAGATAAGAGGTCTTGCTATGTTGCTTAGGATGGCCTCAAGCAATCCTCCAGCCTCAGCCTCCCAAAGTGCTGGGATTACAGGCATATGCCACCATGCCCAGCCCTTAATCTCTTTTTTTAAGGAGAGCACAACTCTCTACTCCTTATGCGTGGGCTGGCAATAGTGACTTCCCTACAGTATGGAAAGGAAGGGGGTAAAGCCTAACTTTACAGTGAAGCCTTACAAACAATATCTCTGCCAGATGATCACGGTCAATACTAACAGGCTGGGCATAGTGACTCATGCCTAGTAATCCCAGAATTTTGGTAGGCCAAAGGGGAACAATACCTTGAGCTCAGGAGTTCAAGACCAGCCCAGGCAACATAGTGAGACCATCTTTACCAAAAAAAAAAAAAAAAAAAAAATTAGCTGGTCATGATAGCACACGCCTGTGGTCCTAGATACTCAGGAGGCTGAGGTGGGAGGATCAATTGAGACTGGGAGGTCAAGATTTCAGTGAGCCATGATGGCATCACCGCACTCCAGTCTGGGCAACAGAGGGAAGACCCTGTCTCAAAAAAACAAAAATATTAACAGTAAAAAATCATTGTGATACTATGTACCCTGATACAATGTGATGAAAATGTCACTTTACCTCTGTGGTCTTCCTCCCCAAAACACATAACCCAAATCTAATCATGAGAAATACATCAGACAAATTCCAATAGAAGGATATCCTACAAAATACCTGACCAGTACTCCTCAAAACTCAAGGTCATGGAAAACAAGGAAAGCCTGAGAAAATGTCACAGCCAAGAGGAGCTTAAAGAGACATGAGAACTAAATGTTATGTAGTACCCTGGATAAGATCCTGGAACAACAAAAAAAAATTAGGTAAAAAGGCTGGGCGCAGTGGCTCACACCTGTAATCCCAGCACTTTGGGAGGCCGAGGTGGGCAGATCACCCGAGGTCAGGAGTTTGAGACCAACCTGACCAACATGGAGAAACCCATCTCTACTAAAAATACAAAATTAGCCGGGCATGGTGGCACATGCCTGTAATCCCAGCTACCCAGGAGGCTGAGGCAGGAGAATCACTTGAACCCGGGAGGCAGAGGTTGCGGTGAGCTGAGATCTCACCATTGCACTCCAGCCTGGGCAACAAGAGCAGAACTCCGTCTCAAAAAAATAGTAATAAATAAATAAATATAAAAATAAATTAAGTAAAAACTAAGGAAATCAGCCAGGCATGGTGGTTCACACCTGTAATTCTAGCACTTTGGGAGGCCAGGGCGTGAGGATTGCTTGAGCCCAGGAATTTGAGATCAGACTGGGCAACAGAGCAAGACCGCATTTCTACAAAAAATACAAAAATTAGCCAGGCGTGGTGGTGTGTACCTGTAGTCCCAGCTACTCAGTAGGTTGAGATGTGAGGATCACTTGAGCCCAGAAGTTAAGACTACAGTAAATGGTGATTGCACCACTGCACTCCAGCCTGGGTGACAGAGCAAGACCCTGTCTGAAAAAAAAAAAAAACAAAACTAATGAAATGATGTATGGATTCTAGTTAATAGTAATATATCAATATTGCTTCATTAATTGCAAGCAAAGTACTATATTAACGTAAGATGACAGTAATGGGGAAACTGAGTGTAGGGTATATGGGAAATCTCTGTAGCATCTTCTCAATTTTTCTATAAATCTAAAAGTGTTCTAAAAAATCAAGTATATTTAGAATATTAAAAAAAGAAATGGCTAGGCGTGGTGACTCATGCCTGTAATCCCAGCACTTTGGGAGGCCAAGGCTGGCAGATCACGAGGTCAGGAGTTCGAGGCCAACCTGACCAATATGATGAAACCCTGTCTCTACTAACAATACAAAAATTAGCCAAGCGTGGTGACATGTGCCTGTAATCCCAGCTACTCAGGAGGCTGAGGCAGAAGAATCACTTGAACCAGGGAGGCGGAGGTTGCAGTGAGCCGAGATCGCGCTACTGCACTCCAGCCTGGGCGACAGAGTGAGACTCTGTCTCAAAGAAAAAAAAAAAAAGAAACGATACAAAAGTTTACCTTGGGTTGGCTAGAATAATGGTGCCTTTAACAGAAATAGTGATGGAAAAACTGATACTGGTTTTGGTCAGGTTGGATTTGAGGTATAACAGTATATCCAAGAGTGAAGATATTCACGAAACAATTAGAAAAAGGCATAGGCAACTCGAGAGAGGGTAGTGCTAGAAATAATGACTGCAAAGAGTTAAGAACAAATAGGCAGCAAGGAAACAGAAATATCAGGAGATTTCTTCATATTCGAGAAATCTGGGGCCAGGTGCATGCTCACACCTGTAATCCCAACATTTTGGCAGACTGAGGTGGGAAGATCACTTAAGGCCAGGAGTTCAAAACCAGCCTGGGCAACATAGCAAGTCTGCATCGCTTCATTTTTAAAAAAAGAAAGAAACAAACAAAATCTGGCTGTGAAGAAAAAGGAAACAAAAATGATAGGCCTTGAGTTTTCAGTGAAATAAAAATGAAGTCTTCTGCCAAAAGAAGGAGAATTAAAAGGGATGGTCACACAGATCTGGAAAAGGTTGGGGAAACAGCTATGGAAGAACATAAAAAATAAATTTAAATATTTATTTATTATTTATTTTTGAGACAGAGTCTCGCTCTGTCGCCCAGGCTGGAGTGCAGTGGTGCGAACTCAGCTCACTGCAACCTCTGCCTCCTGGGTTCAAGCGATTCTCCTGTCTCAACCTCCCGAGTAGCTGAGATGACAGGCCCACGCCACCATGCCACCACACTCAGCTAATTTTAGTAGTTTTAGTAGAGACGGGGTTTCACCATATTGGTCAGGCTGGTCTTGAACCCCTGACCTCAGTTGATCCACCCACCTCGGCCTCCCAAAGTGCTGGGATTATAGGCGTGAGCCGCCATGCCCAGCAAAAAATTTTTTTAAAAAGAAAAAAATAATTAGAAGCCATGATCTTGGCAGAAGTTAAGTTATATTGAATCTGATAGCTCTGTACTTTTTCTCTAGCAACATGCTGTGGCCTAGAAGCGGAAGCCAAGAAAACATCTCTAATCATACCCATCATTAGAGACAACAGAAGTGCCTGCTTAGTATAGAAAATCAAAATGAATAAAGAAAGCAAGAGGATATTATCAAAGTGGCTGGTCACAGAGGTCTAGCTGGGCAGCACCAAAGGCCATAAGGTACTGACAGATTCAATGAAATGGGAAGGTCAAGAACCAGAGAACTTGAGGACAAAAAGCTGATCCTGTGGGTTTAAGATAGTGAAATAGGTGACTGGTAAGGAGGCTAAAGTGATGGGGAGCAGCTGAAGAAAAAGCGGTGTCCTAGATGAGATCCAGGTTGTAGTGATTCTGATGTGCAACTGGTTTGAAAATACAAAGGAAAGTCGACCGTCTCATGCTGAGGAACTATGAAATCAGAATATTCCAATGGTGCTGGAGACACTGAAAATGATAGCAAGAAAAAAAGGAGAGAAAAAAATATGATGCAATAGGTCTGGGTCCCTGTGGGCAGTAAATGATGACACTAAAGTTTTACAGAAACTGCTATAATTGCATGGCAATACCTTCCATGAGGATTAGAGTGACAGTGGTAGATCAATGATCTGGACATAGTAAAGGAAAACAAAAAAGCAGTTTATTCCTTTTTCTCTTCCACATAGTCACGGAAAACAGAAAACAGCTTTTAGTGACAAGGTAAGGTAAGATGTGATACCTGGATTTTCACGGAGTCAGGGTAAAGAAAATGATTAAGAGTAAAGAGAAGTATACTGGATAAGTAGTATTTTCAAAACACACATTAAAAGTTGGTAATTCATGAAGGAGCTACTGGGTAGAGAACAGAAGGAAAGAGGTAGTACCACTTTAAATTGTGAGGTTGGGGAGAAGTAGCAGCAACCTGGGTTGTCATCAGATACCATAAAATAGGTGGGCTGAGGTGTAAGGAACATGGAAAGCAGCAGAGCAAGAAGCAAAATGGCACATTTTAAAACACCGTGTGTACCAAGGCACAGGCACACTGTTGCTTCTACAGACTACAGACTACACATATGAGGGCTACAAAAACAGAAACACTTTGCACTTGCACAGTATTTTATAAATTGCTTTTACATATATTATTTGATCATCATTGAGTAGCTATTACTACTATGCATATTTTCCTAAAGATGAGGCCATTAGGAAGGGACAAAACCATGATAAAAGCTGTGATTCTCCGTTTCCAACACATACACCTTACATACACAGCAGACACTTCAGCATCTCGGCCAGCCAGGCTGCAAATTCTTCTCTAGCCAGAAGGAATAGTGGGTTTTATTCACTTGTCAAAGGGCTTCGGAGAAAAGCCACTAGATACTTTCCTGTTTGCCTTTTCCCACCTTAGACCCCTCAATTTCTATCACCATCACGGGAGAAGGTAGCGAAGGGTGGCTCCATCAGGGAGAAAACTCAAGCTGAAAGTTGTATTAGGGTCCTCTTCCCTTCACACCTCTAAACCTCAGTGACCCAACAAATGAAGATACGGGAGAGGAAAAGGTACTATGTAGAAACGAGGAGGTCTTCAGCAAATAAAGCTTCGAGAAAAATAATGAAAACGGGACTGGGGTAGGGCAGAAACCAAGTATAGCTGAGATGGGGGAGGGGAAAAGAAGGAGGGCAGGAACTGGAGGGAAATGAGAGTGTAGAAGCCCCCAAGCCTGAAGAACCTAAAAGAGATATGAGTGGTCCAACTGCTGGAGAAAAGCTAAGGGCCCGTGAGGGTCCTGAAGCAGGGACCAGCACTGAAGGACCCCAGGGTTTGGGTGACCGGAAGCAGAGACCCCAAACACGAGACCAGAAGGGGGCGCAGGAGACACCCCGTAGGAGAGAATGAATGGGGAAGGCGGTCCGGGGGGCGGGGCAAAGGAGGGGCCCCGGGATGGGCGGGGCACAGACCCCTTTCCAAGTCCGAACCCCTGCCCCGAGAGCCCGGAGAGAAGCGGCTCCGCGCCTCCCGCACTCACCGCCGGTCTCGTCAGTAACATAGGGAGTCGCCATCTTGAAAACGCAAACCACTTCCGGCGTGAGCGGGCTGGGGTCCCGCCCCCCTCCCCACCGGAAGTGGAGTCCCGATCGTAGCAAGCCACCATCTTAGTCTTAAAGGGAGAGTGCACCATTTCATGGGCGGAGGTGGAGGAGGAGGAAGAGTGGAGAAGCTGAAATAGTTAATAAAATAAAGCCGTGGGCTTTTTACTGCCACCGATACCATTACTGAGCGCTTGCTGCCTGTAAAACAGTCCTCAGGGAGCCAAGAGAAGTTCCGAGGCACAGTCCCTCTCATCCCCAGGAACTCCTCGTACGTCCAGGACCTGCGAGGGAAAAGGGCGCAAGGCCCACCTGCACCCAAAAAGGGGGCCTTATAAATGAAGAAAGGAAGAATATCCAGGCTCTGGCCTGCACCCAGATCTCAGAGCGGCTTGGTGACGTGGAGCAGACAAACTCCAGGAACGCACTGGGGCGCACAAGTGTTTCTAGGGACGGTTGGAGACCCTATCTAACCCTAAGAAGGTGGGGAGGTCGAATTCGTGTGCCGATTGCTGTCGGCCAACCCACTCAACCACCAGAGACCCGCGGGAGGGGCGTGCAAGGCGGAGGGCGCCGCGGGTCGGTCACCTGTCTCCGTAGCCGCAGGGCTGCCGGCAGCTTCCATGGCCGAAGAGGCAGCGGACCAGGTTGGGCGGGCGGCCCTGGCCTGGCTCTGCCCCGCTGGGCGGCGCCGGGGATTCGGCGGCGAAGTGATGAGGGCCCTAGTTGCTTCTCGCCCAGACCTCCTAACCCTGAGTGCCTCCTCGGGCTGGGCCCTAGGGTCAGAGGGCAGGGTGAAAGCTTCTGGGCGGACCTACTTAGTATTCTAATTAAACTCGTCCAACCGCTGAGGATCTAAAGCGGGGCAACTCGCCAATAATCCGGTCCCGTAGTGTCACTCCATTTGTAGTCCTGCCCTGCGCCGTACCTCCCTATTCTGCAGACGAACCCATATGGTCTCCCTCCGCCGCCCATTTCAGCAACTGTTGTTCCTTCAGGGCTAAGTCCTGTTAAACTTGTTTCCCCTACAGCCTGAGAGGAGCCCGGCTGCAGGTTCCTCTCCTCAGGTGTCAACTCTGCCCTCCTCCACCCTCATATAGCTTTTTCCTTATCAACCCTTTTACCTTCCTGCTTATATCCCCACTTTGGCTTAGTTTAATGTCCAGCAGTACCCCTGGAACCAGGGAGGAGGCAGGAGGTAAGTATTGGTGACTACCTCCAACACTAGGCAGCATGTCCCATTTAAAAAACAAAACAAAACCCAGGCGCGGTTGCTCACGCCTGTAATCCCAGCACTTTGGGAGGCCAAGGCGGGTGGATCACGAGGTCCGGAGTTCAAGACCAACCTGGCCAAGATGGCGAAACCCCGTCTCTACTAAAAATACAAAAAAATTAGCCGGGCGTGGTGGCGGGTGCCTGTAATCTCAGCTACTCGGGAGGCTGAGGCAGAGAATTTCTTGAATCTGGGAGGCGGAGGTTGCAGTGAGCCAAGATCGCTCCACTGCACTCCAGCTTGGACGACAGAGTGGGACCCCGTCTCAAAAAAAAAAAAAAAAAAAAAAAAAAAAAACTAAAAAACTGAGCAATGGCTGACTAGGACCTTTATAAGACAAATTAGGCCTCAGAAGTTTTCTGGGGGCCGCAGCTTGCCTTCCTTCCCATCCTCCATGTCTGTGACTTCCACTAGAGGCCAATTCAGAATGTCTGGGGGTGGGGCTCATTTAAAAAGTATTTCCAGGCCGGGTGCGGTGTCTCATGCCTGTAATCCCAGCACTTTGGGAGGCCCAGGTGGGCAGATCACTTGAGGTCAGGAGTTCGAGACCAGCCATGGCCAACATGGTGAAATCCCATCTCTACTAAAAATACAAAAATTAGCCGGGTGTGGTGGCGAGTGCCTGTAATCCCAGCTACTCGGGAGGCTGAGGAATGAACCTGGGAGGTGGAGGTTGCAGTGAGCCAAGATCGTGCCACTGCACTCCAGCTTGTATTATAGAGCAAGACTCAGTCTCAAAATAAATAAATAAAAAGTATTTGCATACGATACACTGTTATTGCAAGTGTTGTGACACTGTGGTCTTAAACCCTTGCTCTCTTTTCACCGATTGTACTTCAGCCCTGCAGGGTCTAACATCTTGTCCTTAACCTTGTTATGATTAGACGTGAGAGTGTGGGATGAAGCCTCTAAGAACTAATGGGATACGTTGGTCTTGACTGAACTACCTCAGGAGTGGTCTCTGCAGCTTTCAGAGGCTGCTCAATAGACCTTTGTGCAGGAGGGAAACCTAAAGTCGCCCCTGTTCACTACCAACCCTAGGCCCCCTTCCCACCCCCAGACATCCTGCCTCAGCACTAGGGTTGACAGGAAGTGAAACTCAATTGTCTGCTTAGTAGACCTGCCTGGGACCCAACCCGGGGCCCCGGATGTGGCCCCCCACCCTGAGGAGGAACAGGGCAAAAAAGGCCGGGGAGAACAGGCTGTTGTTTTTTCCTTTCCCTTTGTTCATTGCGGTTTCTTTCTTTCTGATTTTTATGATGTGGTTGATTAAAGAAATGAGCACCTGGAACCGTAGGCATTAAACGCCTCCTTCTTAGATGTTTCTTGGCTTTTCTTCCCCCACCCACACCCCCCAGTAACTGACTTGGGGTATGATGGAGCACAGATCCTAAAGAAGACACAAAGAAGTCTAGAGTAAGACTGATTCCACCTTATTCCTTATTCGAGAGATAACATTACACCCCACTTTGAAGTACCAAAAACTATCTTAAAAGGAGTGTCTTCAACTTTATTTAGGGACATATCTAAAGACGATAGAGTGAGAAACACAGGTAATACATAGGGTGGCATTACTTTGAGCATTCTTTGCAAGGAAAGCTGAGTGCCTTAGAGATTAATATCGTTCCAAGATTTCTAAATGAAAGATCCAGGGACAGAAAACTGATAGGCAGAGGTGTTAGGGGACCTATTCTTACATTGTATGTTTGTTTAAAGTAGCTCAGAGCAGAGAGGCTTTACACACATTGCACCACTCATTGATATAGTCCCTAAACTGGACTATGTTTTTGCTTGTATTGCAGAACTAAGTACAGGACTTAGTGTATAAAAGGCCTTCAGAAGAGTTTGTTTACTATGACTAAGGAGGTCATAGAGGAAGGAGAGATGAAGCTTTGCTAACAGTGAAGAAAATACTGTAAAGACAGGATGGGGAGTGTCAAGGGCCTTGTTTTTTTTTTTTTTTTTTTTTTTTTTTAGACAGAGTTTTGCTCGTGTCACCCAGGCTGGAGTGCAGTGGCATGATCTCGGCTCACTGCAACCTCTGCCTCCCAGGTTCAAGCGATTCTCCTGCCTCAGCCTCGCGAGTAACTGGGACTACAGGCATGTGCCACCACGCCCGGCTAATTTTTTGTATTTTTAGTAGAGACAGGTTTTCACCGTGTTAGCCAGGATGGTCTCAATCTCCTGATCTCGTGATCCGCCTGCCTCAGCCTGCCAAAGTGCTGGGATTACAGGTGTGAGCCACCGCGCCCGGCCTTTGGCCCTTGTCTTTTTATGATTGGGGGTGAGAGGGTGAGACTTGGAGGGGCACAGGAGCAGAGAGACAGACCCCTCTTCAACCTATGCCCGAAATCTCCAGTTTGGATACAACAATACTCCCAAACCCTATTACTCAGCAGCTATATTTCTGGCAAATGTGGAGGAGTCTGTTCCAACAAGCCTGTCTTGAAACAATCAAGAACTGCTTAGATATCCCTGTTTCCACTAGAGGGCCTCATGTATTCATTCCCTTTCCAACCCCCACCAAAAGTATGTATATATTATGTGTGTGTATGTATGCATACACAATACCCACACATGCATATACCCTTCTAGTCAGAGGTCTCCCCTCCCCCTTCTTCCCACCCCCAGGTGTAAGAAGGACGATTCCAGGAACCTAAGGCTTTGTTACTCTGCCCCATTTTCAATGAAGGGTAGGAGGGAGTTAGACAGGGGTTGGGGCGGGGCCAGTGAGCAGGATGCCTGGGTCTCCAGTTCCTGCCAGTGAGTCCCTAGGCCTCCATCTCTCTCCCTTGCTGTACCACCTTCACCACCATCCATGCGACCCCAAGAGCCTTAATGACTCTAGAAGAGACTCCAGGCAGGGGAAGCTGAAAGGACCTTTCACTCCCTACTTTTGGCCAGGGCCTTCTGTGCCACCTGCCAAGACCAGCAGGTAAAGTGGGAGGATGAGGGCGTGGAGAAAGGGTGGACATAGACCAAAGTGCAAAACTCCACCCTAGAATTAAGGAGAGAACATGAGTCTTGACAGGAGGTGTCCTTAGACTGGGGAAAATAGGTCTAAAAGGAAAGAGGAACGTGAAGAAGGTGGGGAGATTGTCTCAAGCAGGGTAGAGCCCGGGGCGGGAGGGAGGTGTTTGGTCAGGTTGTGGAGTTTGGGACTCTGGGCTTGCCCCCGTGGGATCTCCTGAGTGTGAAGTCAGTGGTGGATGGAAGGGAGTTGGTTAGGGAAGTTCAGGATGGCAGCAATCAGGAGAGAATGAGACGTTGGTTGGGTGCCCAACTGCCGAGCTGTTCTGTTAGCGGCCCGCCCGGTATCTTGGTCTCCCAGGTTTGGGATGAAGGGAGAGGCTGTGAGTGATTAGAAAGAAGGGAAAATAGAAGCAGAGCTGCCGCCGGCGCGGGAAGAAGATGAGGAGCGCAGCAAATGGAGAAAATGTGTCCAAAGCCCCGGACATATTCGAGGGAGGGTGGAGCAGGTTATGGTGAACTGGAAACCTAGAAACGGGCCTCTCCAACTTCGAAGTTCCCAGAGTCGGGGGCGCCGGGCGCGGGCGCGGCGGGCAGGCTGGGGTGGGGGGCGGGCAGCTATGTCGTCAGGAACGGGGCGGCCCCGCTGCGGCCGCGTCTGCCTGGCCCGTCCCCTCCAGCCCAGCTCGGGCTCCAGCTCCAGCGCCGGCGCTTCAGCTGCGACCGCGAGCCCTCTCAAGCAAGGTAGAGACCCCGCGAGCCCCCCAGCGCCCCACCCTCCCCCATCGGAAAAGGACAGGGGTAGGGAAGCCGAGGACCCACGGGCTGCGTTCGTGCTGCTGGGTCGGGAAGGAGGAAGCGTGACAGCTGGAGCGGGTATCGAGAAGGGTCTGCGCTGGGACGCGGGGGTGCAGCGGGAGGGCTGGGCCCGAACCCGGTGGGTAACGTTTCCCAGACCTTCCCCTCCATCCCTCCCGCTCATTCGGAGGGATGGTGAAGCCCGGTTCCTGGGACCCGACTCGGAGGGAAGTCCTCTTCGGAACCTCCACAGTGCCGCACGGGTGGAGAAGGGTTCTTGTTTGGCCTCCAGGTCCCCAACTTCCCACCCCATCCTCTCCCCACCTGTCACTGGGAAGTTTCTGAAAATACCTGAGTCTGAATCTCACTTTTCACCTTGATAGGAGAAATGAGCCTTCCTGAGGAAGAATGGCAAATATTACTGGGCATCTCTTCAGCCTCAGCACAGACAAGCCCACATCCCCCAACCATGCCAGTATCGTAACTTCCTCCTATACTACGCAATGACACCCTCTACACACACACACACACGCACACACACACACACACACACACACACACACAACCCCCTCAGCCAGGTGTAGCACTGCAGTCTTCAGTGTTTGTGGAGGCTTAATAAGTTTTGAGGCTTCAAGCAAATGATTCCCTCTTGAGGGCTACCTACTAGCAGCAACGGTCAGGGAGAGGAGGAGGATACAGTCTATGATGTGATTAAGGAATTCAGAAGTCCAGGTAATCAGGCCTGGGCCCTCAAATTCGGGGCTCCTGCCCCTCTGGGGCAGCCTCAATATTCTGGAGACATAGCTATTTCCTGAGTAATGGTCGACTTAAAGGACTTGGAATGTGAGCAATGAACGCTTAAGTGAAAAAAGGAAACTTTAAATACTAACACAGGCTTTGGAAACAATATTTATCTCTTGGTTAAAATTTTAGTATTTGATGTTTAAAATTAGATCCAGAGAGCCATGAGCTCTAAGATTTAGTGGAATGTACTAAGGATGGGTGTCTAGAGTCTGACTGTGCCCTTAAGAGAGTAATTCTCTCTCTATGCCTCAATTTCCTCCTCTGTAAAATACGAGGGTTGGTGACTCCCAGCTCTGTGGATGTTCTAAGATTCTCTGCCTCCAAGTCAACTTCTTCCTTTCTCGCCCCAATTGGGTAGGGGCGGGCAGGGAAACCAGAGGAGGGAAGGGAAGGGTGAGTCACAAATAGCTGGCAGGCTGGCAGCAGACCCCACCCTCCCAGCCCTGGCCTTCGCCTAGACTAGCCCAGGTTATAGCCTCAGGGTTGGGATGGACCTGGAGGAAAAAAAATGGACTTGTTCTAGGTCTTCAAGTCCCCAGGATCCCACAGTTTGCTGCCCTTCAGCTCCAGGGATAGCTAAACTTTCAGTCAGAGAAGTCAAGAAAACCACTGAAAAGATCCCAGGAGCACTCGTTTCCAAGATTCCAGCCCAGGGGTGTCCTTGAACCCTGAGAGTCTAGCTCTAGCCACCTCGTCATCCTCCCAGAGGCAAAGTTCAGAATCCTGATACTACATGTTTGCACCTGACAGATATATTAATAACAAGGGGTAAGACGTACAACTGGGCTTCACTGATGCTAGCAGTCCCTGAAATTTATGCCTTCCTGGTTCAAAGACATCATTTTTCCTAATCTCCAGAAATGTTTCTCTAGGTACTACCCTTGTGTAATAATGATAATAGCTGATGTTCATTGAGTTCTTATTCTGTGCCATGCTGTTTGCTAAGTACATTGCATATATCATCTTATTTAATGCCCACATTGCGACTGATTTCTGTAGGTGCCCACTTTACTGATGAGAAAACTGAGGCTCAGGGAGATGAAATGACCTTTTAAAGAGCTAGGATTCTGATCCTTGCCTGTCCAATTTGCAAGTCCATTCTCTTAACTTCTACTGTATACTACTTCTCCAGGTTTAAGACCTGGGGAGCTAGGAAGGAGCAAGAAAGAGTTAGATCATTGTAAAAAGAGAGGCAGAGAAGAAGCCTGTCCTCTCTCCTTTGCATTGTAACTTGTTTGCTCCCTCCTTGTCACTTTCTCCCTCAGATTCCATTTCCTAGAACTTTGGAGTCATCTTAGAATCCCCAGGGGTAATCAGAGAGGCTAATTAAGCTATAGAGGCCCCATTAGCCATAAGACTATTAGTATTCATTAGGTCTGTTGGCAGCAGAAGTTGGACTATGGTCATTGAAAAGTGCCAGATGGGTAGAGTCCTTTCTCTAGGATGTCAGTATCCCAGAACCCTCTTCTGAGTGTTCCCAGAGAGCTGCTGGAATAGGAATGGTGTGCTGCATAAAAGTAGGCAGCAGAGATGTCCCAAGGGAAGAGGCTGCAGAGAAAGTTCTTGCATCATCAGAAAGGAAAAGGGCTAGGCTGTTCTTGAACACCCAAACTGCTTCCCTTACCCAACAAGCCCTAAATGAGTGGGTGGAGATCAGGGTGTTTGATGGGGTAGTCAATAAGTGCTTTTCAGCATCATTCATTTATTTAACAAATATTTATTTAGCACCTACTCTATGTACTACAAATTATCTCCTTTCCTCTGACTGTCAGGTGGACACTCTGGCATCCTATTCCCATGTAACCATATTTGGATTAATAGCCCCAAATTATGAATCCCCAGCTTTACACAATCATGTGTACAACCAATATTCAGCACCCACTACATACTGGGAAGGGTATCCCAGGCAGACAGAACAGTAAGACTCATTGCTTTGAGCAGGGGAGAGCTTGGCATGCCTGAGGAACAGAAAGGAGCACAGTGAGACCAGATGGCGGGGTGTGAGGAGAGAGTGGAACAAGAGGAGGGCAGAGGGACAAACAGAGGCACTACCACATGGCCTTGGGCTGGAGCCTTGGATTTTCCATCTATCAACTGCCTTAGGAAATCCAAGCTTCTCTGAGCTCCAGTTTCTTCATCTGTAGAATGGTTATGCCAATAATTTCCTATGTCTGATGATTTGATTCTAATTGTTAGTACAATAATAACTAGCATTTCTTGTAGGCCTCCTAAATGTCAGGCATTGTATGAGTGACTTTTCATATATTGTTTTACGTAAGCCACACAACTGTGAAAAATGGTTCTCATTCTCCCCATTTTGCAGATATAACTTCCCCAAGTCACACAGTGGTATCAGAGCTAAGAATGGGACCCAGATATGACTGATCTAGTTCTGTTCCAAAACCGTGCTGTATTATATTAACGTAAGATATGTTATTATCATTACTGAATCAAGGAAAGTCGCCCACTGCACCTTGGTCCCTGGATCCAGTAGCCAAAACCTGGGGCTCCCTAAGCACTGCTGACCTAGCGGAGTGGAAGGAAGTTCCCAGGAGCCGAGACACTAGCACTCGGCTCCATCGTCCCAGGACTGGGAAACACTAGATCTGTTGGCAGCAGAAGTTGGATTATAGTCATTGAAAAGTGCCAGATGGGTAGAGTCCTTTCTCTAGGATGTCAGTATCCCAGAACCCTCTTCTGAGGAAGAGACTCTGTGGGTACCCAGAGTCTCTTCCCCTGCCTCTTCCCTACCCCGCGCCTAGTTCCCCACCCTTCCCTAGTGGAGCTCCGCGGAACGCAGTCCAGGCGGGGCCGGGGCTAGGGACCTTGCCAGAGCTGGTTCTGTGTCGCGCGTCAGAAGCGCTAGAGGTCGTTGCGTGGCGTGGGTGGCTCGGGGAGTGGGTGGCTGAGCGGAGCTGGGGTCCCTGGCCAGAGGCGGAACAAAATGGGGTCATGGCCAGGAAGACGCGCTAACGCAGTAAGAGTCACTCAGAGGGCCGGAACTGCCGGAACTGCCGAAGACCCGAGATGGGAGAGAGCTCAGGATGGGGAGAGTCTGCAGAGATTGACGATGGTGGAAGAAAGCGCAGAAACAGACAAGGGACACACCCACAGAAACATATATAGACTGAGAAAGCCGGGTGCGGGTGGGAAGGTGAGGGTGGTCAGATGAATCAAGATAGGTTGGGGGAGAGGGAGAAGGATCCAGAAATGGAGAGACAGAGATGAGTCAGAGAAACAGAGACAGAGGACAGACACTGTCAGGGAAGGTAGAGGCATAGGGAAGAGGGACACAGGGAAAGGAAGATGTTTAGGGAGGGACTAGGAGAGAAGGAAAGAACAAAAAATAATAGTGGGAGTAGAGACAGAATGGAACAGACAGAAGAAAAGACACCCAGACAGCTGGCTCTTCCCACTGTACGCTCTGTCACCTTTCCCCAGGCCTACCCTCTGAAGAGGTCCAAGCAACGGAAGTACTACTACGAAGCTGCCTTTCTGGCCATCCTTGAGAAAAATAGACAGATGGCCAAGGAGAGGGGCCTAATAAGCCCCAGTGATTTTGCCCAGCTGCAAAAATACATGGAATGTGAGTCTTCCTGTCAGGCCTTCAGTTCTGGAGACCCTGCCCCAGAGAATCCCTCCTCCTCCTCATTACACCCCCTGCCCCCCAGCTTCCTCAGTGGCTTTGAGCAGTGTGCTGCTCAGATGTGCCCATGACTGGAAATGGGAGGAGTGGGAGATGGGGAGATGTCAGAAAAAGATCCGGATCTACCACAGTCTAACTGGGCTGCATTGTGCAAGGTCTCGGCTCTCTACCCACCTTCGCTATACCTGGACTGCTTGCTCCAGCTCTCAGAGAAGAGGAGTAAAGAGTGGTACTGTTTTGGAGGATCTGAAATATTTTTCCCTCTGTATTTCTGTGTTTCTTCTTGGAATTTCTTCATCTCATTTGAATCTTTTTTCCTGCTGGATTTCTCTGGCAAGAGAACTCAGCTGGACTAATAATGCTGTTCTCTTACTCTCTCTACACCCTAGACTCCACCAAAAAGGTCAGTGATGTCCTAAAGCTCTTCGAGGATGGCGAGATGGCTAAATATGTCCAAGGAGATGTGAGTGGCAGCTGGGAAATCTTCTTCTTGATCAACTCTTCCCATCTTTGTTTTTGATCCCCAACTTCCAGGAATTATTCTGGGCCTGCCCCTCACTATCCCCTCTAGAGATACCCTAGTGTCCATTGTCACTCTGACTATTGCTTTAGGATAAAACAAGGGATTCTATTAACTCAGGACTTAATCAAAGAAACCATACTCCTGCCTCAGATGCTTCTCAGCTCTGCATTTATTATCCCTGTCCCCGCTACTCCCAATTCTTCAGCCCCAGCTCTGACCTTGCAGACTCCCCAGGATAATGCTCACTCTCATTATAGGCCATTGGGTACGAGGGATTCCAGCAATTCCTGAAAATCTATCTCGAAGTGGATAATGTTCCCAGACACCTAAGCCTGGCACTGTTTCAATCCTTTGAGACTGGTCACTGCTTAAATGAGACAAATGTGACAAAAGGTATGGTCAAGCAGGTAGGACTGGGCTAAGCCTCTGGCAGAAAAATCAAACTAGTATGGATTTGGGGTTGAGAATTAACTTGAGTCACACGTTGTGCAGGTTGGGGGAAATTGGTGGAGAATAGTCAGGCTGGTCTAGGAGCTAAAGGGAGGAAAGGTAAAGGGGAAAGGTAAGTCGAGGGCAGTGGCTCACACCTGTAGTCCCAGCACTTTGGGAAGCTGAGGTGGGAGGATTGCTTGAGGCCAGGAGTTCAAGGTGCAGTGAGCAGTAATCATGCCACTGCACTCCAGCCTCAGTGACAGAGCAAGACCCTGTCTCTCAAAAAAATCAGTAAATCTTTTTTTTAAAAAAAGGGAGAGGTGGGACAAACAAAGGATAAAACATGAGCCAAAGTGGAGGGAGCCCTGACTTCTGATCTGCTTTTTTGTAACCAGATGTGGTGTGTCTCAATGATGTTTCCTGCTACTTTTCCCTTCTGGAGGGTGGTCGGCCAGAAGACAAGTTAGAATGTGAGTTGCCCTTCTGAAGTGAGGTGGCAGGGCAGTGAAGGGAGAGAGAGGTGTTTCCCATCCTCCTTTCCCTTATTCCTTCAGGATTCCTAAAGGCTGACAGGTCTAGACAAAGGTGGGGCCAGAGAATGAGCCCATTTCCTGTGTTCTCCCAGACTATTTATACCTAATACCCTTCACCATAGTCACCCCAGTACCCATGTCTTGTGCATTCCCATGTAGGCGGCCTAGGATGTCCTTGGGATATGGATTATGTATTGTCTCCCCTGACACATTCACTGAGGGTAGAGTCCATGCCTGTTTTCCTTTCCTTTTTGTCTCTCTCTCAGTCCCATCCCAGGCTCTAGGCTTCTCACCCAAAAGCTCTCTCCCTGTCTCTTTGTTTCCCCCATATTCTGGTATGAATTCTTTGGGTATCTCTCACAAACTGACCCTGGCCCCCCTAAAACACCCCACAGTCACCTTCAAGCTGTACGACACGGACAGAAATGGGATCCTGGACAGCTCAGTGAGTTGGGGACCCTGTATGCTGGGCAAGGGAATATGTGTTAATTTGTCTGCACCCTCCTGCCCCAACTCTTCCAGGGTCTTAAGAAACAGAAGAGGATGGGGGGAGAGGTTGAGTCCTCTAGGACTAAATTTGAAAGTAAGTCCCAAGCTCTTGACCCCTCAAAGAGAATGCTGGATACATGAATTGGGTCTGCCTTACAAACATACAAACACATTTATTTACTTGGCAGACATACCTGAGAATGAGAGGTGTGAATCTGGGGTGGAACCCAGGAACACTGATTTCTGGAAAAGAGTTTGGATGGTGGTAGTAAAGGGGATATGGCTGTGGCTCTTGCCCTTTTTGCTCCAGGAAGTGGACAAAATTATCCTACAGATGATGCGAGTGGCTGAATACCTGGATTGGGATGTGTCTGAGCTGAGGCCGGTAAGGCAGCTCTTCCTTCATGTCCCTTCTTGTACCTTCTTCCCTGGTGAGTCCTGCATCTGCCTTACTTCATCTCTGACAGGCAACCTGGTTCCCTTGGCTAGGATGGCTGGGCTGGATATCCTAAGAGGCAGTGGAGAGGTGTTGGGTCTGAAGACCCACTCATACTGAAAGTCCCTTTCCACTCTGTGCTCAGATTCTTCAGGAGATGATGAAAGAGATTGACTATGATGGCAGTGGCTCTGTCTCTCAAGCTGAGTGGGTCCGGGCTGGGGCCACCACCGTGCCACTGCTAGTGCTGCTGGGTCTGGAGATGGTGAGTAGGAGAGACTTTGGGGGATGAGTAAGACAGCCTTGGGTTATGCTTGCCCGGATTGGCCCTGTAAGGGCTTTGACACTCCCTAGCATCTACTGTGCCTTCCTAGACTCTGAAGGACGACGGACAGCACATGTGGAGGCCCAAGAGGTTCCCCAGACCAGTCTACTGCAATCTGTGCGAGTCAAGCATTGGTCTTGGCAAACAGGGACTGAGCTGTAACCGTGAGTAATGGGAGCTGGGAGGTAGGGGAAGAGGGTCAGC
Source organism: Homo sapiens (assembly GCF_000001405.40). Taxonomy (NCBI): domain Eukaryota; kingdom Metazoa; phylum Chordata; class Mammalia; order Primates; family Hominidae; genus Homo; species Homo sapiens. The sequence goes on from NC_000012.12 coordinate 55,939,570, forward strand.
CCAGCTATCTGTGGGAGCTTGATGCTGTAAACTTAGAAAAGACCTAGGTTTGAATCCTGGGCTCTGCCACTGACTAGTTATGTGACCTTGGGAAAGCCACATCACTTCTTTAAGCCTTAGTTTCCTCAACTGAAAATGAGGTAATTGTGAGCATTAAAAAAGTTGGTGCAAGAAAAGTGCTTCAGATGGTGCATGCACATACTATAAAATGCAATAAAAAATATCTATTATGATTACTGTTGCTGTTAGACCTGGGCCTCCCAAGCATTATCCAGCTCAGTTCCTGCCTGGCACATGGATGGTGTGGGGCAGGCATGCAGTAGCAGCTGATCTTTTAGGAGGAAGAGTAAGGAAAAGGCGTGGGTTTTGGAGGTGGGCACTTCACCCCGAACTTTTATTCTGCTACACCCTCAAGCAAGGGATCACATATCTGATCCTGCCTCACCCTCAGGTAAGAAGGAAATAGGGGGAGAGGCTCAGCTAAGCCTCCCAACTTCTTCCTTCTCCCTCAGTCTGTAAGTACACTGTTCACGACCAGTGTGCCATGAAAGCCCTGCCTTGTGAAGTCAGCACCTATGCCAAGTCTCGGAAGGACATTGGTGTGAGTGATCTCATGCCTCCACCCCCAACATCACCTACATCCTGGCCCTGGCCCTGGCCCTTGGCCCATTGCTGCCCTCAGCCCCTCCCTCCCCTAGGTCCTGCTCAGACCCTGCCAGACAAGGAACTGCCTTTCTCCCCAAGGTCCAATCACATGTGTGGGTGCGAGGAGGCTGTGAGTCCGGGCGCTGCGACCGCTGTCAGAAAAAGATCCGGATCTACCACAGTCTGACCGGGCTGCATTGTGTATGGTGCCACCTAGAGGTCAGTTTGGGAGCCATCCCTTCTGGGTGCGTCTTACCCCGCAGAGCTGCCTTCTCCACGGGCCTCCGGCCACACCTCCTTTACAGGCACAGTTGCCCCTGCTCCCAAGGGCTCTTTCCAGCCCAGACTGCCAGGTTGAGAGGAGACAGGGTTACCTTCGTGATCTCTCTGTGCCCACCTCGTCTTTCAGATCCACGATGACTGCCTGCAAGCGGTGGGCCATGAGTGTGACTGTGGGCTGCTCCGGGATCACATCCTGCCTCCATCTTCCATCTATCCCAGTGTCCTGGTGAGACCCTCGGCAGCAGCGGGGAGGGGACAGGAGTGCCTCCCCGATTTCCCACACGCACAGAGTGGCATTTAGAATAGAGAGCTCATACTTTTAGGATTCAAGTCAGACCCCTCTATTTAGGGATTCATGCACAATACAGCTTTTCTTCCCTCTACTTTCTTCCCCTCCCAGGCCTCTGGACCGGATCGTAAAAATAGCAAAACAAGCCAGAAGACCATGGATGATTTAAATTTGAGCACCTCTGAGGCTCTGCGGGTACAGGGCTGAGAGTCTTGGGCTTCATGATGGGGGCAGGTTTTTCACTGGAGCCCTCATGGGTGGGAATGAAGTGGGAGAGCCTGGTGGGGAGCGGTTGATGCTCACTCTCCAGAAACTCCACCATGGTAGGGGAGGGAAGGGGAGGGAAACAGGAGGGAGGGGGGAAATATCTTGGTGGAATGCTAGCCCTCTGCCCCTGTCTCCTGGGCCCACCTTAACTCTGACAAAATCCTGCTTTCTTTGTCCTTATTTTCTTCCCCCAATGCAGATTGACCCTGTTCCTAACACCCACCCACTTCTCGTCTTTGTCAATCCTAAGAGTGGCGGGAAGCAGGGGCAAAGGTGAGGAGAAATATATTGGGTCTTCTAAGATGAGAGGCAGGGCCTGCCTGCAACACTTAGAAGGTGGAAGGGGATGTGTGTGTCTGGAGGGGCATACCTTGAGGAACACACAAAGAGGGTGAGGTTCAGAAGATCACCCCCAACCCCCGCGCCTGCCATGAACTTTTCTTTTTCCCACACACAGGGTGCTCTGGAAGTTCCAGTATATATTAAACCCTCGACAGGTGTTCAACCTCCTAAAGGATGGTCCTGAGATAGGGTGAGCACAGGTTAGGGACTGTATCACAGTGTTTTCGTGGGTCTGTGTATCTGTATATGTTAGGAGAGTGCAGGAAAGAGTGCAGATTGGGAGAGGAGGGCTAGAGATCCCCAAGAGGCCAGAATTCAGAATATTTCCTTCCCTAGGGTCACTGGGTATCCCATCCTCCGAGCTCTCTGGCCCATCTTTGTCCTGCTCTCAAAGAATGAAGATCCAATTTTTCCCTAACCACTGAGGAGTGGCTATAACTTTCCCCATTGTTCTTTTCTGTGACCTTCATAGAAACTCAAGTCTTTTGACAAAAAGGAGGAGGGTCCTACGGAATGAGAGACAAGAAGCAATCTGCCTGCTCAGGACTTGGGTAGCCTCAGTCCTGTTATCCTTCTTCATATTCTCTCTCCCCTTTGTCTCAGGCTCCGATTATTCAAGGATGTTCCTGATAGCCGGATTTTGGTGTGTGGTGGAGACGGCACAGTAGGCTGGATTCTAGAGACCATTGGTCAGTGCAGGGAGGGGCGTGGGGAAGGTATTGGGGTCGTAGTCTTGCAGAGCTAACTCACTCCATCCTTCTCTTCACCTGCCTCCGCAGACAAAGCTAACTTGCCAGTTTTGCCTCCTGTTGCTGTGTTGCCCCTGGGTACTGGAAATGATCTGGCTCGATGCCTAAGATGGGGAGGAGGTAAGTGGTTAGAAATTGTTTTGCTGTAGGCTGAGAGGAGTTGTGTAGGAAGGGAAAGGCACTTAGAGAAGAAACTAGGCATCTGGTATGGAAAGGATTGGGGAAGAAGAGGGGCACAGACAGGTGGATACAAAAGTGGAATGTCCAAAAAGAAGAGAGCTTTGGAAGAAGCAGGGACCACAATCTGAACCTAGAAGGGTCAAGGGTGATAGTCCCCTTTCCTGTAAATATTTTTATGTTTCTCCCAACCAACTCTTATGGCTCAGAGAATCAAGGAATATGGGGGTGGGGAACAATGTGTGAATAAGGAAGGTTGTATAAGAGCTAAGCCAGATGCTGAATGATGGAGCTAGCAGGTCATGACTCATTCACTCATTCAAACAATTAACCAGGTAGTCATTAATTAATTCACTATGATTTCTTTCAGAGTATTGCAATAGTCTCCTAACTGCTCTCCCATTTCTAATCTCTTATGCCTTTCAAACAGAAGGAGTTTGAGGGATGGTATTGGTAGATAAAGAGGTCAGTGTAGGGCAGATTGTGTTTGAGGAATCTTGGAGTTGAGGTTATTGGGTTCAGGGTCCAGCTCTAAGATCTTGCTGGAGATCTTAGGGAATAGAGATCTGCTAAGGGCAGCGGAAGGCATTCTAGGTGGAGGAAGTAGTGTAAGGCCAGAGGAGCCACCAAACAACATGGTGGTGCATTGGGGGAACTGTAAGTCATTCATCATGATTGGGACATAGGGTGAAAGGTGGAAAATGTGGAGAGGGAAGACTAGTTGAGCAGAGTCCAGATGATGGAGGGTTATGAATACTGTGCCAGGGAGTTTTTAATTTTATCCTGTCAGAGATTGCAAGCTGACAGCCCACAGTAATGATTTTGTGTTGTTTTGTATTAGTTGCCTTGCAGTGTTTTCAATTTCTTTGTACTTGATTATTTCTAAGTGGGACATGTATTCTTCAGTTTATCACAATCCCCTTGGCTCCCTGCTAGTCACTTATTCACTTTCCCTTTCTTTTTTTTTTTTCTTGAGATGGAATCTCGCTCTGTTGCCCATGCTGGAGTGCAGTGGTGCCATCTCAGCTCACTGCAACCTCTGCCTCCCAGGTTCAAGTGATTCTCCTGTCTCAGCCTCCTGAATAGCTGGAAATACAGGTGTGTGCCATCACGCCCTGCTAATTTTTGTATTTTTAGTAGAGACGAGGTTTCACCATGTTAGCCAGGATGGTCTTGAACTCCTGACCTCAAGTGATCTGCCCACCTAGGCTTCCCAAAATGTTGGGATTACAGGTGTAAGCCACCATGCCCAACCCACTTTACCATTCAAGCCACTCAGGTATTTGAGTGTGCAATCCCTGAACTATGAGCAAACTCTTTTTTTTTCTTTTCTCTTTTTTTTTTAACTCAATCAAACAAGCAGCAGTGAGGGGGAACTCGATGTAAGTAAAAGATGTAACTAAAAGAACAAATAGGAAGAAATATCTCTGAGTGCTCATTATAACTTGTTTTATATATAGACATATAACCAATTCTTTGACCAGTTTTCAGATCCTCAACATCTGACTTCTTCATTTATAATATTAGATATTTTGAAATTACATATTTTATGTCTTCCCTGTATTCTGCAAACAAAAATCAAGTTAGCATAAACAAGCAAACAAGTTAGCAGAAAACATTGCAGTTTTCTGCTAACTCAACCTGAATCATGACAATAAGGATATAAATGTAGCACTAATGAAAATGTATGTTGGGCTGGGCACGGTGGCTGATTCCTGTAATCCCAACACTTTGGGAGGCCAAGGTCAGAAGATCGCTTTAAGCCAGGAGCTGGAGACCAGCCTGGACAACAAAGTGAGACCAAGTCTCTACAAAATATTTTTTAAAAAATTAGCTGGGCATGGTGGCACGCACCTGTAGTCCCAACAACTCAGGAGGTGGAGGCTGGAGGATTCCTTGAGCCCAGGAGTTTCAGGCTGCAATGAGCTATGATTGGGCCACTGCACTCAATCCTGGCTGACACAGTGAGATCTCATCTCTAAAAATAAATAAACACACAAATAAATAGCCAGGCATGGTGGCACATGCCTATAGTCCCAGCTGAGGCTGAGGCGGGAGGATTGCTTCAGCTGAAAAGATCGAGGCTGTAGTGAGCCATGATTGCACCACTGCACTCCAGCCTGGGCAACAGTGTGAGACTTTAAATTAAAAAATAAAAAGGAAAACATGTTGACACTGAAAAAATCATAAGGTTCGAAGAGGGGGGATTGAAGGGATTATCACTATGGGAGCTCTGTGGAAGATGGATTGTAGGAAGGAGACAGAATAGGAAATTACCTGTTTGCAGTAGTCCAGACAAGAGATGATGAATACAGAAGCCAAGGCAGCAGCAGTGGAGTTAATGAGGTAGAAGCCACAGCTCTGGATAACTGATAGGTTGTGGAGAAGGAGGTAGAGAAAAGTCTAGGACATTTCCTAGGTTTGTGGATTCAGCAGATGGAGGTGGCATTTATTTATTCATTTATTCATTTATTTATTTTTATTTATTTATCTTTTTGAGACAGAGTCTCATTCTGTTGCCTAGACTGGAGTGCAGTGGCACAATCTCAGCTCACTGCAACTTCTACCTCGCAGGTTCCGGCGATTCTCCTGCCTTACCCTCCCGAGTAGCTGGGATTGCAGGTGTCCACCACCACATCCAGCTAATTTTTGTATTTTAAGTGGAGACGAGATTTCACCATGCTGGCCAGGCTGGTCTCGAGCTCCTGACCTCAGGTGATCCGCCCACCTCTGCCTCCCAAAGTGCTGGGATTATATGCGTGAGCCACCGTGCCCAACCTTGGGGTGGCATTTATTAAGACAGGGAATATAGGAGGAAGACCAGTTTAAGGAAGAAAAATTCAGTTTGGGGCAGGTGGAGATGTTGTGGTGGGTGGTTAGAAATACATGTCAGGAATTTAGGAGAGAAGTCAAATATTTTAGGAGATACATGTTTGAGAGTCATCTGCTCCTAGGTGGTAATTGACATTCTGAAAGTAGCTGAGATTACCCAGAGAAAGAGGTAAGAGAAGGTGAACAAAGACAGCAAGATCCTGGTAAACACCCTATTTAACAGTTGAGCAGAGGAAGAGGAGTTATTAAAGGGTCTGCATTAGCGTCCCATTGCTGCTGTCGCCAATTACCACAAACAGTGGCTTAAAGCAACACAAATTTATTGTCTTACAGTTCTGGATGAGAGAAGTCCAAAATGGGTCTCACTAGGCTAAAATCAAGGTGTTGGCAGGGCTGAGTTCTTTTCTAGAGGCTCTAGGGAATAATCCTTTGCTTTTTCTAGTTTCTACAGGCTGTCTGCATTCTTTGGCTCAAGGTCCCCCTTCCAACCAGTGGTCTTATCACTCCAACCCCTGCTTCCACAGTCACATCTCCTTTTACAACTCTTTTCTCCTGCCTTCCTCTTTCACTTATAAGGACCCCTGTGATTACATTGGTACCACCCAGATGATCCAGTATGATCCCCCATCTCAAAATCCTCATTTTTTTTTTTTTTAAGACAGAGTCTCCCTCTGTTGCCCAGGCTGGAGTGCAGTGGCACAATCTCGGCTCATTGCAACCTCTGCCTCCCTGGCCCAAGCAATTCTCATGTCTCAACCTCCCAGGTAGCTGGGCTTACAAGCCTATGCCAACACACCGGCTAATTTTTGTATTTTTAGTAGAGACAGGTTTCACCGTGCTGCCCATGCTGGTCTCGAACTCCTGACCTCAAGTGAACCACCTGCCTCAGCCTCCCAAAGTGCTGAGATTACAGGCGTGAGCTACCATGCCTGGCCCAGAATCCTCAATTTAAATGTATCTGCAAAGTCTCTTTTTCCATGTAAGGTAACATTCACAGTTTCTTTTTTTCTTTCTTCTTCTTTTTTTTTTGTTTTTGAGAGGGAGTTTTGCTCTTGTTGCCCAGGCTGGAGTGCAATGGCACGGTCTGGGCTCAATACCACCTCTGCCTCCCAGGTTCTAGCGATTCTCCTGCCTCAGCCTCCCTAGTAGCTGGGATTACAGGCATGTGCTACAACACCTGGCTAATTTTGTTTTGTTGTTGTTGTTGTTGTTGTTGTTTTTGGAGATGGAGTCTCACTCCATCGCACAGGCTGGAGTGCAGTGGCGCGATCTCAGCTCACTGCAACCTCTGCCTCCCAGGTTCAAGTGATTCTCCGGCCTCAGCCTCCTGAGTAGCTGAGATTACAGGCGTGCGCCATCACAACTGGCTAATTTTTGTATTTTTAGTAGAGACAGGGTTTCGCCATGTTGGCCAGGCTGGTCTCAAACTCCTGACCTCAGGTGATCCACCCGCCTCGGCCTCCTAAAGTGCTGGGATTACAGGCGTGAGCCACCTCACCCAGCAATATTCACAGTTTCTTGAGATTAAGATGTGGACATCTTTGAGAAGCTAGTATTCTGCCTACCACAAAGACTAAAAAGGAATAGTCAAAGAGAAAGGAAAGTCCCTCTGTAACCGAGAGAGTGATATTTCAGAGGTTAAGTGAAGACTTTCAAGAGTTAAAATGAGAACGAAAGATACACTGTTGGCAGGAGTCATTGGCAATCTTTGCCAAAAAAGTTTCAGCAGGGTGGGATGGGCAAAAGGTAAATTACAGTGGATTGAACCCTCAGTGGAGTGTGAGGAAGTGGAGACTTTTTTTCTTTTTCTTTTTCTTTTCTTCCTTTCTTTCTTTTTTTTTTTTTTTTTTGAGGCAGAGTTTTGCTCTTGTTGCCCAGGCTGGGGTGCAATGGCGCGATCTCGGCTCATTGCAACCTCCACCTCCCGGGTTCAAGCGATTCTCCTGCCTCAGCCTCCCGAGTAGCTGGAATTACAGGCATGTGCCACCACGCCCAGCTAATTTTGTATTTTTAGTAGAGATGGGGTTTCTCCGTGTTGGTCAGGCTGGTCTCGAACTCCTGACCTCAGGTGATCCACCTGCCTTGGCCTCCCAAAGTGCTGAGATTACAGATGTAAGCCACTGCGCCCAGCTGTGGAGACATTTTTAAAACCTTTTTTCTTCCCTGACTACAATTATAATACATGCTGGTGGTAAAAAATAACTCAAACATTTCATATACATGTGCCAAGAAAGTGAAAGCTCCCTATAATCTATGCCCTACAGTTTTGGGGGCTGTTCCTCCATGTTTTACTTCCTAGACACAAACTAACATGTATTTAAACAATGAGATCATTTTATAGATGTTTTTCTTCTTTTTCTAACTTAACAGTTCATATTGATTATCATTATATTTCTATACAGTCAGGTTTGCCTCATCCATTTTAGCACTGAATAGTGTTCCGTTGTGTGAATGTGTAATCATTTATAAACAGTTCCCTATTGGTGGACATTAGGGTAGCATTCAGTTTTTTAATCTTACAAACCATGGTGCAGTGAACACTCATACATCTATCTCTGCGCACAGATATGAACATTTCTCTAGGAGAGACTTCTAGAAGTAGAATTGCTTACTCGGAGAATATGAACATTTTTATTTTATTTTATTTATTTTTTTGAGACGGAGTTCCACTCCTGTTACCCAGGCTGGAGTGCTATAGTACAATCTCGGCTCACTGCAACCTCCACCTCCGGGTTCAAGCGATTCTCGTGCCTCAGCCTCCCAAGTAGCTGGGACTAAAGGCACGCGCCACCACGCCTGGCTAATTTTTTGTATTTTCGGTAGAGACGAGGCTTCACCATGTTGGCCAGGCTGATCTCGAACTTTTGACCTCAGGTGATCCTCCCACCTCGGCCTCCCAAAGTGCTGGGATTACAAGTGTGAGCCACCATACCCAGCCGAAAATAACTATTAATAGTAAAATGTTCATGCTGGACATGGTGGCTCATGCCTGTAATCCCAGCACTTTGGGAGGCCAAGGCGGGTGGATCATGAGGTCAGGACTTCAAGACCAGCCTGGCCAAAATGGTGAAACCCCGTCTCTACTAAAAATACAAAAATCAGCTGGGTGTGGTGGCAGGCACCTGTAATCCCAGCTACTCAGTAGGCTGAGGCAGGAGTAATCGCTTGAACCCAGGAGGCGGAGGTTGCAGTGAGCCGAGATCATGCCACTGCACTTCAGCCTGGACGACAGAGCTAGACTCCATCTCGAAAAAAAAAAAAAAGGTATTTTCTTTTTAAAAAACTATTCAAATAGCTGAACATGGTGGCTCACACCTGTAATCCCAGCACTTTGGGAGGCCAAGGCTGGAGGATCGCTTGAGCCCAGGAGATTGAGACCATCCTGGGCTACACAGTGAGACCTCATCTCTATGAAAAATAAAATAATTAACCAGGCATGGTGGCACACGCTTGTGGTTCCAGATACTCAGGAGGCTGAGGTAGGAGGATAGCTTGAGCCTGGCAGGTTGAGGCTGCAGTGAGCCAGTGCACTCCAGCTTGGGCAAGAGAGCAAGATCCTGTCTCAAAAAAAAAAAAAATTACACAAATGGGCTGGGCGCAGTGGCTCACGCCTGTAATCCCAGCACTTTGGGAGGCCAAGGTGGGTGGATCACGAGGTCAGGAGATCGAGACCATCCTGGCTAACATGGTGAAACCCTGTCTCTACTAAAAATACAAAAAATTAGCTGGGCCTGGTGGCACACGCCTGTAATCCCAGCTACTTGGGAGGCTGAGCAGGAGCATAGCTTGAACCTGGGAGGCAGAGGTTGCAGTGAGCTGAGATCATGCCACTGCACTCTAGTTTGGGCAACAGAGCCGGACTCCATCTCAAAAAAAAAAAAGAAAAACTTACATAAATAAGTCATCAGTACGTTGTCACCGTAAAGATTTAAAGACTCCCCACAAAACTCCATGTACCTCCTCAGAGATAAACATTGTTTCCTATTTACAGTCATTTTTCTGTTTTTACATGCATGCACACACACACACACACATATGCATAAACAGACATTTTTTTTTTTTTGAGACGGAGTCTCACTCTGTCACCCAGGCTGGAGTACAATGGCACGATCTCAGCTCCCTGCAACCTCTGCCTCCCGGCCTCAAGCGATTCTCCCTGTCTCAGCCTCCTGAATAGCTGGGATTATGGGCACCCACCACCATGCCCAGCTAATTTTTGTATTTTTAGCAGAGACAGGGTTTCACCATGTTGGCCAGGTTGATCTCGAACTCCTGACCTTAGGTGATCTGCCCACCTCGGCCTCCCAAAGTGCTGGGATTATAGGCATGAGCCATGGCACCCAGCGAAAAATATGTTTTGATAAAATTGGATAACATTTTGATAAAATTTGCCAAAATGCTTTCCAAAAATGACTTATCAAGTCATGCTGTAGCTAACAGCAAATGAGAATGCCAATTTATTCATAAACTCATTAGCATTTGGTTTTCTGAATCTCCTTATACTTTGCCAACCTGATATGCAACAAAAGTTAGCTAATTGTTTTAATTATGGTTCTTGAAATTGTTAGTAATACTGAGCACCTTTCCTATGCATATTGGCCATTTGTATTTTTTCTTCTATCATAGGCTTGTTTGTATTATTTGCACATTTTTCCTTTTTTGTTTTTTGTTTCTTTCTTTGTTTTGAGATAGTCTTGCTCTGCTGCTCATGCTGGAGTACAGTGGTGAGCTCACAGCTCACCACAGCCTCGAACTCCTAGGCTCATGCAATCCTCCCACCTCAGGGTAGCCTGGACTACAGTCACATGCCACCACACCTGGCTAATTTTTTTTTTTTTTGAGACAGAGTTTCACTCTTGTTGCCCAGGCTGGAGTGCAGTGGCGCAATCTCAGCTCACTGCAACCTCCGCCTCATGGGTTCAAGCGATTCTCCTGCCTCAGCCTCCCAAGTAGCTGGGATTGCAGGTGTCCGCCACCACGCCTTGCTGATTTTTTGTATTTTTATAGAGATGGGGTTTCACCATGTTGGCCAGGCTGGTCTGAAACTCCTGACCTGGTGATCTGCCCTCCTCGGCCTCCCAAAATGCTGGGATTACAGGCATCAGCCATCGCGCCCGGCCTACACCTGGCTAATTTTTATTTTATTTTATTTTATTTTATTTTTTATTTTTTGAGACGGAGTCTTGCTCTGTCACCCAGGCTGGAGTGCAGTGGCGCAATCTCGGCTCACTGCAAGCTCCACCTCCTGGGTTCACGCCATTCTCCTGCCTCAGCCTCCTGAGTAGCTGGGACTATAGGTGCCCACCACCACGCCTGGCTAATTTTTTGTATTTTTAGTAGAGACAGGGTTTCACCATGTTAGCCAGGATGGTCTCGATCTCCTGACCTCGTGATCCGCCCGCCTCGGCCTCCCAAAGTACTGGGATTACAGGTGTGAGCCACTGATACCTGGCCAATTTTTATATTTGTTGTAGAGATGAGGTTTTGCCATATTGTCCAGGCTGGTCTCAAACTCCTGGTCTCAAGGGATCACCCGCCTCAGCCTCCCAAAGTGCTGGGACTACAGGAGTGAGCCACTGTGCCTGGCCTTGTTTGTTTGTTTTTTGAGATGGGGTCTCACTATGTTGGCCAGGCTGGTCTCGAACTCCTGGGTTTGAGCAATCCTCCTGCCATGTAGCTGGGATTATAGAGGCTACCATGTCCGTCTAGTTTTAAATTTTAATATAATTATATTTATCTATCTTTTTCTTTTGGGCTTCTAGTTTTGTATCCATTCAAAGATTATAAAAACATTTACTAATGTTTTCTTCTAGTACAAATTCTGGCCAGGCGCAGTGGCCTGTAATCCCAGCACTTTGGGATGTTTGGGGTATGGATGGTCACATCATGCAGGTAGCGAGCATAGAACCCAGTAGGTAGTTTTTCATGCTGCTCCTCCCTTTCCCCAGCACCATTTATTGAATAATCTGTCTTTTCCCCATTTATTTGAAATGACATCACATACTAAATTTCTATATATACTTGAGTCTATTTGGGGGCTCTCTATTCTTTACTATTGAACCTTTTATTGCATTCACTCTGCCTGTATAACACTGTTTACACATGGTTGCTTTGTACTGTGGTCTGTCTGAATGGGGAGTGAAAGCATCAGGGGTCAAGGGTGAGAGAGGATTATCCCCATTTGTCACCCATCTTTTTCAGCATTCTCCTGGCTATTCTCTCCAACCTTCCAGATGACTGTTGGCACCATCTTTGCATATCCACACACATTGGAAACATTCACCCTCCACACAGCATGGAGGAAAGGTCCATGGGAGCTGTGACCATGCACCCTGCCCTGTCACTGGCTAGGGCTGGGAGGCTCTGTAGAAACAGGGCAGAAGGCCCCTGGGAATTTGTGGAGCTGGGAGCTGAGAAGAGGCCTCTCTGGGACCCAGAGCTCAGTGCTAACCTGTCTTCTCCACTCCTAGGTTATGAAGGACAGAATCTGGCAAAGATCCTCAAGGATTTAGAGATGAGTAAAGTGGTACATATGGATCGATGGTCTGTGGAGGTGATACCTCAACAAACTGAAGAAAAAAGTGACCCAGTCCCCTTTCAAATCATCAATAACTACTTCTCTATTGGCGTGGTCAGTGGAATGGGGCCTGGGGAGAAGGGAGAAAGGGGGGGCCAAGCAGTCAGAGGCTGGAGGAGAGCAGAAAAGGAGGGGGAGGTTAAGTGACCTGTGACACAGGGAAATTGGGAGTGCAGTACAGTGCTGAGTTGCAAGGGAAGATCTTGGGACATGCTGTGGGGAGCAGCATGGGGACTTGGGAAAGAGGGGAGACCGGGAGGGAGAGATTGAGCTCTGTACTGACCTTCATGTCCCGAACTCTCCAGGATGCCTCTATTGCTCATCGATTCCACATCATGCGAGAGAAATATCCGGAGAAGTTCAACAGCAGGTTAGGGAAAGGAGGGGGCAGTGTGGGCATACACAGTGTCAGGAGCCAGGTTTTGACCAAGTTTGACTCAGATTGCTCAGAAGAACAGTGGCACCTCTAGGAGGTCCCCCCAACCAAAGCCACCCTTGTTCCCCATGGGACTAAAGTTAGGAGGTTGATGCCCTTCCCTGTCACGTACCACCCCTGCCAGCACTGTGTAACCTGTCCCTCCCTACTGGGCCTTGTGTTGGGGCTGACACAGAATGAAGAACAAGCTATGGTACTTCGAATTTGCCACATCTGAATCCATCTTCTCAACATGCAAAAAGCTGGAGGAGTCTTTGACAGTTGAGGTGTGTGTAATAAGACTTAACCCTACATCCTTTTCAGCTTCTTAATAGCCAAGTTTCTCCCTCCATGGCACCCTTAGGAACTTCCCATATTCTTGAACCTATGCTTCTTTAACCTCCCAGCTCTCCTACCCCAATTCTCCAAGTCCTCAAGATACACTAGTCCCTATTTCCATTCCTTGCACACCTCCAAATCCTGCCTTCTCCAGTTTGTCATCTGGTGGAGGGAGCGATCACATCTATGATCATGCCATGAGGTGAGGATCTGTACCCTCCCTAACTGGGACTGTGCCCCCTCCTCTCAGATCTGTGGGAAACCGCTGGATCTGAGCAACCTGTCCCTAGAAGGCATCGCAGTGCTAAACATCCCTAGCATGCATGGTGGCTCCAACCTCTGGGGTGATACCAGGAGACCCCATGGGGATATCTATGGGATCAACCAGGCCTTAGGTGCTACAGCTAAAGTCATCACCGACCCTGATATCCTGAAAACCTGTGTACCAGGTGAGAGGAGCAGCCTTGGGAGCTGAGTGGGCAGGACGAAGGGAAAGTGTGACTCCCTATGGGGATACCCTGTTTATGTAAAACTTTACTCCCTACTTCGTCCCCAGACCTAAGTGACAAGAGACTGGAAGTGGTTGGGCTGGAGGGTGCAATTGAGATGGGCCAAATCTATACCAAGCTCAAGAATGCTGGACGTCGGCTGGCCAAGTGCTCTGAGATCACCTTCCAGTAAGGAAGACTCCACCAGGGTCCCTGAGGGAAGGTGTGGGGCTGGGGCAGCAGAAGGGTCATGGGAATGGTGGGGAGGGGCTTTACTAGATCTCCCTCAATGACAAAAGGTCTCAAAGCCAACCTAAGAAGCAGAGTTTTGGTATTCGATTGGTAAGGAAATCACCAATGTTCCTTGGCCTCCTATAGCACCACAAAAACCCTTCCCATGCAAATTGACGGAGAACCCTGGATGCAGACGCCCTGTACAGTGAGTATTGACGATCCCAGCCAAAAATTAAACCCTTGGGCTCCATGGATCCTAAATCCCCATTCCACAGCTTCTTTACACCCTTCTGATGCCTGAACTTCCCCTGCACATCATTCATCCTAAACCCTGATTTCTCAGCCCCTGGTTTCCCTATCGTGGCCTCTCTAGGAACCTAGCAACCCACCCCAAACCCCACAGATTTCCCTCTAAATCTCTGAAGCCACAGCCCCAAAGTATCAGGTCCTGCCTCTGAATGTGCTCCCTTCCCTTCCAGATCAAGATCACCCACAAGAACCAGATGCCCATGCTCATGGGCCCACCCCCCCGCTCCACCAATTTCTTTGGCTTCTTGAGCTAAGGGGGACACCCTTGGCCTCCAAGCCAGCCTTGAACCCACCTCCCTGTCCCTGGACTCTACTCCCGAGGCTCTGTACATTGCTGCCACATACTCCTGCCAGCTTGGGGGAGTGTTCCTTCACCCTCACAGTATTTATTATCCTGCACCACCTCACTGTTCCCCATGCGCACACACATACACACACCCCAAAACACATACATTGAAAGTGCCTCATCTGAATAAAATGACTTGTGTTTCCCCTTTGGGATCTGCTAAGTAAGTGGTACACTTCCTTCTTTTATACCTTCACTCCTTAAATGACGTAGATTCTCCCAAGAAGCAACAGAAAAACCAGCATCAGGCTCTGAGTATTTATTTCAGTTAATAGTAGTCTCCCAGGGAAGACTGGGGGAAATATAGGTGTTTCTGTCAACTCCAGGAAAATCACAGCATCATATGAGAGTACTCAGACCTGCTGCCCACTGAGGAGGGGGCTGTTCTCACCAATGGGACAAGAGCAGAAGATGCGGGGTAGACGCAGCCAGTGACTGCTGCTATGTGGCAACTGGGGTACGGAGAAGTCTTGCTTCATAAGTCTGCGCCTGATATTGGGAGAAGGGGTAAACTGGTTAGCAATGGACAAAGGTAGCTTGTCTGTGCTTCTCCAAAGAAGGGAACACACCCATATCCCAGTCTGCTTAGCCTTGATCCTAGCTTCCTCCCCTTCTCCTCACCTCCAGGGTTTACCCTCTCTTATTTCTGTGGTAACCTCTGTCCATTCCTCCCTCACCCCGTAAGCTTTCCTGCCTGAGGACCATGCCACCCCAGGCCTGGGGGATCTGCCCTTCTTGCAGGTAGAAAACTCAGTTCACCCCAGGCCAGGCACGGTGGCTCATGCCTGTAATCCCAGCACTTTGGGAGGCCAAGGTAGGCAGATCACGAGGTCAGGAGTTTGAGACCAGCCTGGCCAACATGGCGAAACCCTGTCTTTACTAAAAATACAAAAATTAGCCAGGTGTGGTGGCAGGTGCCTGAAATCCCAGCTACTCGGGAAGCTGAAGCAGGAGAATCGCTTGAAACTGGAAGGTGGAGGTTGCAGTGAGCTGAGATTATGCCACTATACTCCAGCCTGGGCAAAAAGGGTGAAACTCCGTCTCAAAAAAAAAAAGAAAACTCAGTTTACCCAAACTGCCCCCACTCTTCATATTATTAACAACAGTCATTAATATCAATTATTGCACTCTTGCTTCAGAGCCAGGTGCTTTACTCATTGTTTCTAATCTTTACAACAGCCCCACAGGGCAAGTATTAGTTTACCTACTTTTCAGAGGCTTAGACAGGTTAAGCTACTTCCCCCAGGTCCTACAAGCAAGACTGCAACCCAAGTCTGTCTAACTTAAAAGCCTGGGCTCTTTCCTGGACACCATGCTTCCTCAAAGGGAGAGGTGGTTTCTTCTCCCCTTGAGGAAAAGTGAGTAGTGATAATAAGGGATAAGGGGGTCTGAGCTGTGTGATGAGGCCCTTACCTATATATCAGAGATGCAAGGACCACAGCCATCAACACCAGCAAGATGCCCACGATCAGCGGAACCTGCCCAAGGCCTGCTTCTTGACCTGTGAGAAGAATCCCAGGCACTGCTTCACTCAGTGTCTGCTGCTTGCCAGCTGCCCTCTATCCACTCCCTTCCTCATCTTAGCTCTTGTCCAAGGACCTACCAGGCATGATAAGCTGGGTGCTGACCACTGCCAGGCTGTTGGTATCAGCCAGAGACACATTGAGGCAGTATGTCCCCGAGCCACCCTTCAGTATCTGGTGCAGAACCAGCTGGCAGGCTGGGCTGGGTAGCACAGGCTGGCACAGCCGCTGGGCAGGGGGCTGGCACCCTGGCGATGAGATCTCCATGCAGGCTTCCTTGGGCAGCCTGGAAGAAGTGTCAGCATATATAAGGGGATCTGGGAAGGGACACTAAATGCCAGAGAGCGGAGAAACAGTCAACCAAAGAGTTACCAGCACACTAGTGAGACACTCACCCGCCTTGGCAGGACACAGTCAGCTCAAATGCATCCCCCTCACCGGACGGCACAGCCTGCAGGATCTCGGCACTTTCAATACCCTCTGCAGAGTTGCAAGCTTATCAAATTAGGATTCCTCTACCTGGCCTCCCCAAAAGCCCAGAGACAGAAAAGCCCCAGGGCTGCTCCACCAATCCCATCCCTGTGCTTTCAAATGAGGACTCTGGCATTTGGGTATTCTTCCTATCTAGGTGAGTAATTCCTCCCAAGGTGTGCTTCCACTGACCAGCCCTAGGTAGCACACAGCTGCCTCCATCAGCCACCAAAGTAGGCAAGACTCACGGACAATGTCCAGGGTGACGGAAAAGGAACCATATCGATACAGAACACAATCCAGGGGGACTTGTCTCTTCACCAGCCTTAAGGTGGCTGTACCATCCAGCAGGGGGCCCAGGGAACCTGGCAGGAGAGGATCAAGGAGGCAAGATCAAGAGACAGATGACTCATCTGGAGGCAGAGGCCAAGCAGGCATTTTTTCAGGTTGAACCAGAGTTACTGGATTCTGGAGTCACAGGCTTGGAATCAGATAAGACCTGGGAAACCTTATTCTATAGATAAGGAAACTGAGGCCCAGAAGAAGAAAATGACTCCTCCAGAGTCACAGTTAGGGGTGGCATTGGAGTTTTAAAAAATCCTCAAATGTTTATCACACCCCACACTATGTCAGGTCCTAGGCTAGACATTCAACGTGTGTTAACTCATTTAAGCATCACTGTTTCATTCCTCCCTTTTTGCTTTGGGATGGGAATCCAGGGTTGGGAAATGGAAGGATCAGGATCTCGGAATCTGGGAAGGATTTTCGTGCATTTATGCTTGAACAGAAAATGAGCTATAAATATTATATAAATGATCACAGTCTGTTCCCTGGTCTCGCCAACCGTTCTCAGCAGTAGAGAAAGCAACAAGCTCTTTCCTCATGGCCTAGGGGAAGACCTTGGTTTCCTGAACTCCAGACCTATTCCATGTCATTAAGAGAGACTGGAGGGCTTTATAGCCAGGCCAGTGAGAACTCTGAGGGGACCATAGTGCTAAGCAAAGGATTGGGTAACATCTGAGTCCTGGGTAAGACTTACAGAGTAGAGTAGGGTACCCCACCTCCGTGAACCTCATTCGCACTGATACTCTTACCTGTAATACTTTCCGTAGACATGATTGAGCTGGCATCTGGACCTTCAGGCTCAGGGATAGGTAGCTCTCTAGCTGTGGTCTCCACCCACTCTGTAGTTGTTACCTGTGCAGCTGTGGTTCCAGAAAGCACCACAATTGATACCTCTGCAGGTGTCATACCTGTAGCCTCTGGAGTTGACATCTCTGCCAGTGTGGTACCCATGACCTCTGAAACTGGCACCTTCTCAGGTGTCATACCTGTGCTCTCTGCAGTTGGCATCTGCACAGGTGCAGTGCTTATGACTTCAGTGGTTGGCACCTGCACAGATGTGGTTCCAGAGGGCTCTGCAGTTGGCGCCTGACCAGGTGTAGTACCCACAACTTCTGTAGTAGGCACTTGGCCAGCTGTGGTGTTAGGGGCCTCTGCAGTTGGCCTGTGCCCATCTGTGGTGCCTGGAACTGGGGAGGAGCCACAGGAGGTGAGAGGAATGGCAGCCTGCAGGACCACCTGGGCAGTGACTGGGCCAGGCTCCAGGTAAGTATGAGTGACCACAAGTGCCCGAGAGATCAGGGTTCCACTACTGTCTCCAAAGTCCCAGGTGTAGGAGAGGTCAGCTTCAGCCAGATAGCCACTGGGGTCATGGAGCTGGAGGGCAAAGGTCAGAGGCTGATTTCTCAGGAAGTGCTTGTTCCCTCCATCCAAGGCCCGCAACTGGGACACGCTCACGGAGAAAGGCACCTGGTCTGGGATTGGAGCCAGAAAAGGTGAGAACCAGGCCTGAGCCACAGCTTCTCCTTTCACAGCCACACCCTCCAACTCCAAGCTGACTGGCTGGCCCTTCACTGGCACTAAGCCTCACATTTCTCTGCCTAGGTCTTCCTGGCCCTTCTACTTTAAGTTTGCACAGCATTTCACCTTTCTCCTTTCCAGTCCATCCAAGCCTCCCTGCCTTCTCTTGCCCTACAACTGGCCTTGCCCCTTCCTAAACCCTTACCAGTAATGGTGAAGGCTGAGCTGGAATGAGCAAGAGGCACATAGCTCCGGGATCCCCGGCGATGGTAGACAGTCACTTCCATGGTGTGTGTGCCCAGCATTGCCCTGCCTGTCCCAATGCTCAGCCCAGACACTGGGCCCCCTAGAACTTGCCAGTATTGGCCTGAAGTTTTTGGAATGAAAAGCAAGGAAGAAGAGATTACTGGTCAAAGGGGACTGAGGGACAGGCTTCGAAACGGCACTGGAGATGGGAGGTCAGGAAGTATGATTACTTCTGAGGGTGTTTGGAAGGCTGTGATATGGGGGGACAGGGAAGGGGTCCTAATGAGGCATTCCATGGGGTAGGACTACAATTGAGGAAGAGTTGCCAGAAAGAATTATGATAGAGTTGAAGGGGGCTAGGTGCTAAGAAAGAGAAAAGATCTAAGAGGAAAATGAAGATTAGAGAAAATCACAGAAGTTAAGGTGGAAGGGGCGGCCAAAAGAAAGGTGATCAGGTAGAAAGAAGTAAACACAAGTGTGGATGATAGGCTGAGAAGGGAGTCCCTCACCCCAGGTCTTCCAGACATAAACAAAGCTTCTCTTCTGAGACCAAGAGCCAGATGGGCAAGGTCCACCATCAGGGAAGATGCAGGCATCGTCAGTTTCCTGGGGATACACTGGCTGTCCTCCCCACACCTGGCTCCCTGAAAGATAAATACAGAGTCACTCTCAAACCCTGGCATTCTTTTTTGTATATCAAAACCCCTAAAATTGCTCCCAGGGTATCAGAGAGGGGCTCTGGGAATATTCCCTAGCTAGAAAGTACATTCTCCATGATATAACCATTTGGGGTGGTAGTTGGGGGTTGAGGGTGTGGAAACTACATTTTTTTTTTAGAGACAGGGTCTTAGTCTGATGCCCAGGCTGGAGTGCAGTGGTGTGATCACAGCTCACTGGAGTGTCAACCTCCCAGGGTCAAGCAATCCTCCCACCTCAGCCTCCCGAGTAGCTGGGACTACAGGTATGCACCACCATACCCAGCTAATTTTATTTTTTTGTAGAGACAGGGTCTTGCTATATTGCCAGGACTGGTCTTGAACTCCTGGGCTTAAGCAATCCTCCCACCTCAGCCTCCCGAAGTGCTGGGTTTACAGGCGTGCACCACCATGCCTGGCCAGAAGCTATAATTTAATTGGCCAGGTGTGGTGGCTCATGGCTGTAAACCCAGCACTTTGGGAAGCTGAGGTGGGAGGACTGCTTGAGGCATGGAATTCAAGACCAGCCTGATCAACATAGCAAGACCCTGTCTCTACAAAATACATTTAAAAAAAATTAGCCAGGTGTGGTGGTATGCACCTGTAGTTCCAGCTACTCCAGGGGCTGAGGAAGGAGGATCACTTGAGCCCAGGAGGTTGAGGCTGCAATTAGCTATGATCACACCACTGTACTCCAGCCTGGGAGAGAGAGAAGGACCCCGACTTTAAAATAAATAAATAAATAAATAAATAAAATAAGAAAAATAAAAGAAAAAGAAGATATATGTATATATATATAGCCACATATCAAAATATTTAGAGTGATTTGCTCTAGCTAGTGGAATAAAAATAACAGCACTAGGGGGCCAGGCGCAGTGGCTCACACCTGTAATCCTAGCACTTTGGGAGTCTGAAGCGGTTAAATCACCTGAGGTCAGGAGTTCAAGACCAGCCTGGCCAACATGGTAAAACCCTGTCTCTACTAAAAATACAAAAATTAGCCAGGCGTGCTGGCGGAAGCCTATAATCCCAGCTACCCAGGAGGCTGAGGCAGGAGAATCGCTGGAACCTGGGAGGTGGAGGCTGCAGTGAGCCAAGATCGCACCACTGCACTCCAGCCTGAGCGACACAGCGAGACTCTGTCTCAAAAATAAATACATAAATAAATAACAGCACTAGATAGCATTTATTTAGCCTTTACTGTAGGCTAGAGCAGACACTACATTAAGTACTTTACACATATTATCACATTCTAATCCTTACAACAATCCTTTTATCTTCGGAAATGGAAACACAGTGAGGTGGGCAGATCACTTGATCTCAGGAGTTTGAGTCATCCTGGATAACATGGTGAAACCCCGTCTCTACTAAAAATACAAAAGAATTAGCCGGGCATGGTGACATGCGCCTGTATCAGCTACTCGGGAGGCTACTCCCAGCTACTCAGGAGGCTGAGGCGGAAGGATCACTTGAACCCAGGAGGCAGAGGTTGCAGTGAGCTGAGATCCTGCCACTGCACTCCAGCCTGAGCGACACAGCCAGACTCTGTCTCAAAAAAAAAAAAAAAGAAAAGAAAAGAAAAGAAAAGAAAAAAAAAGAAATGGAAACACAAAACAAGTAACTTGCCCAAGGTCACATATCAAGGACAAGTTTAAATATAGGTCTGTTCAACTTCTAGGTCCCCTGAATTCTGCTGTCCTCCACTTTAGGGACTGTAATTTTCTTTTTTCTTTTTGAGACAGGGTCTCACTCTGTCACCCAGGCTGAAGTACAGTGGCGTGATCATGCAGTCTCGACCTCCCAGGCTCATGATCCTCCCACCTGAGACTGCTAAGTAGCAGGGACTACAACTGTAATTTTCTTTTCTTTTTGCTTTCTGTTTTTTTTTTTTTTTTTTTTTTTGAAATGGAGTCTCGCTCTGTCGCCCAGGCTGGAGTGCAGTGGCATGATCTCGGTTCACTGCAAGCTCCACCTCCTGGGTTCACGCCATTCTCCTGTCTCAGCCTCCCAAGTAGCTGGGACTACATGCGCCTGCCACCACGCCCGGCTAATTTTTTGTATTTTTTTTTTAGTAGAGACAGGGTTTCACCGTGTTAGCCAGGATGGTCTGGATCTCCTGACCTCGTGATCCGCCCGCCTCGGCCTCCCGAAGTGCTGCGATTACAGGCGTGAGCCACCGCGCCCGGCCTTCTCTGTGTTTTTAAATTTTAACTACAATGAGTATGTATTACACATATAACTTGTTTTAAAAATTAAAGGAGGAGGCCGGGTGCGATGGCTCACGCCTGTAATCCCAGAACTTTGGGAGGCCGAGGCGGGCGGATCACAAGGTCAGGAGATGGAGACTATACTGGCTAACACGGTGAAACCCTGTCTCTACTAAAAATACAAAAAAAATTAGCCGGTCATGGTGGCAGGCGCCTGTAGTCCCAGCTACTCGGGAGGCTGAGGCAGGAGAATGGCGTGAACCCGGGAGGCAGAGCTTGCAGTGAGCCGAGATTGCGCCACTGCACTCCAGCCTGGGCGACAGAGCGAGACTCCGTCTCAAAAAAGAAAAAAAAAAAAAAGTAGAGAAGGAAGGGGCATTCCCTGAGCTCACTGGGCATACCAGGGAACCTGAGCCCTAGGAATAAGGACCTAGAATAGAGAAGTACTCACCATTGATGATGGTATTGTTGACCCAGATAACCTGCCCATCTGGCAATACCTTTTGGCTTCCAGGGAAGTTCAAGGCAATAGAGAAGGAGGCATTTGCACCAATCAGTGTAGGCCCATCATTACTGACCTTGAGGGACACTTGACCACCTGGGAAGGAAAGCTACATTAGCTGGGACTCCTGGGCTTCCCCTCCCTGTATACGTTTCCCCTCCTTTTCTTCCCAAGCTACACTCGATGCAGTTCAGCTTGCTTTTTTCCTCATCCCACTCCCACCATGCCCTCCCCTGGAACTTCCAAGTTCCTACCTCTCCAGCAGTCAAGTCTCTGGGCTTCTGTCCACTCTGGATACAGCTGCCTGTTCCAGGCTTTGGTTCTGAGTTGCCTTGAGACACCAAGCCAGTCCTGGTTTCTGGGTACTAAAAGGAATGTGCCATGAAGGGCCCTAGGATCCTTTCAGTTCCTTCTCAGGGATAACACTCTATTCATGTCACTCCATTCATTCTCACATTCGAAGTGCATTTTTTTTTTTTTTTTTTTGAGATGGAGTTTCGCTCTTGTTGCCCAGGCTGGAGTGCAATGGCATGATCTCGGCTCATTGCAACCTCTGTCTCCTGGGTTCAAGCGATTCTCCTGCCTCAGCCTCCTGAGTAGCTGGGATTACAGGCATGTGCCACCATGCCAGGCTAATTTTGTATTTTTAGTAGAGATGGGGTTTCTCCATGTTGGTTGGTCTGGTCTCGAACTCCCGACCTTAGGTGATCTGCCTGCTTTGGCCTCCCAAAGTGCTGGGATTACAGGCGTGAGCCACTGCGCCCGGCTGAAGTGCATTTTTAAAACTCATTTATTTGGCCGGGTGTGGTGGCTCACACCTGTAATCCCAGTACTTTGGGAGGCTGAGGCGGGTGGATCATGAGGTCAAGAGATAGAGACCATCCTGGCCAACATGGGGAAACCCTGTCTCTACTAAAAATACAAAATTAGCCGGGCATGGTGGTGCGCACCTGTAGTTCCAGCTACTTGGGAGGCTGAGGCAGGAGAATTGCTTGAACCCGGGAGGCAGAGGTTGCAGTGAGCTGAGATTCTGAGATTGCACCAGTGTACTCCAGCTGGCGATAGAGTAAGACTCCATCTCAAAAAAAAAAAAAAAAAAAAAAACACAAAAAACCCCTTATTTATTTGTTTATTTATTTATTATTACTCTTTTTTTTTTTTTTTTTTTTTTTTTGAGATGGAGTCTCGCTCTGCCCCCTAGGCTGGAATGCAGTGGCGTGATCTTGGCTCACTATAGCCTCCGCTTCCTGGATTCAAGCAATTCTCGTTCCTCAGCCTCCCAAGTAGCTGGGACTACAGGCACCCACCACCACACCCAACTAATTTTTGTATTTTTAGTTTCGCCATGTTTCATGGTTTCTCCATGTTGGCCAGGTTTGTCTCAAACTCCTGACCTCAAGTGATCCAACCGCTTCGGCCTCCCAAAGTGCTGGGATTATAGGCGTGAGCCACTGCGCCTCGCCTGTTTTGTTTTAAATCAAGACATAATTCACATACCATAAAATTTACTTTTAGCCAGGCATGGTGGCTCACATCTGTAATCCCAGCACTTTGAGAGGCCGAGGCAGGTGGATCACAAGGTCAGGAGTTCGAGACCAGCCTGGCCAAGTGAAACCCTGTCTCTACTAAAAATACAAAAATTAGCCGGGCGTGGTAGTGGGCACCTGTAGTTCCAGCTACTCAGGGGGCTGAGGCAGGAGAATTGCTTGAACCCAGGAGGCGGAGGTGGCAGTGAGCCGAGATCACACCACTGCACTCCAGCCTGGGCTACAGAGCAAGACTCCGTCTCAAAAAAAAAAAAAAATTTACTTTTGAACATGATCAAATTTGTGTTTTAGAAAGATCACGATGGCAAGCAGTGAGGAGGATGGATTAGAGGCTGGCAGAGATTGGGGATGGGGACAGGGAAGACAAAATTATTGTAACTGACCAAGAGAGGTCTGAGAAGAAAAGGATATGCTGGACCTCCATCTGCCCCACCCAGGTCCAACAACTATCAACACCTTGCCACATTTGCTTTGTTTATCCTTACTAGTTGTTGTTTTTGTTTTTGTTTTGGCTAAAGTATGTAAAAGCAAATCCCAGACATCGTGTTATTTTAACCCTACAAATTTAAAATGTATGAGTATTTTCTTGCATAAGCACAATGTCATTTCATGCTAGACAAAATTATCAAACTCAGTCCATATAAAATTTCATGAATATCTGGAAAAATGTCTTATGATTTTTAAAATCAGGATCCAAAATATAAGTACAGTCTTTTTGTTAAGAGCCTTAGGTGGGTGGGTGTGAACAGACTCTTTCCAGGATACATTAAGGAATATAGTAAAAGAAAAAGACTTGAAACTGCAGCACAGCGAGGAAAGTCACATCAAGGAGAACTTCCTAGAAATCTGTGACACTAAACATCTAGGGAGAAAGCAGGGCTGGGATATAATGTATGTATTTCAGCACAGCAGAAACTACCCTCACCCCATTTTTCCCTTTCCTGCAGAAACCTCTCTCCCCTCCCCTTCCCTCCCCTCTCCTCTCCTTTCTGTATATAGTTCAGCACAGCAAAAACTACCCTCACCCCATTTTTCCCTTTCCTGCAGAAACTTCCTTCCCTTTCCTTTCCCTTTCCCCTTTCCTTTCCTTTTGATACAGGGTTTTGCTCTCTCACCCTGCGTGCAGTGGCACGTTCATCACTCACTGCAGCCTCAAACTCCTAGGCTGAAGCCATCTTCCTCATTAGCCTCCCAAGTGGCTAGGACCACAGGTGCTCACCACCAAGCCTGGCTAATTTTTTTTTTTTTTTTTTTTGAGACAGAGTTTCGCTCTTGTTGCCCAGGCTGGAAGGCTGGAGTACAATGGCACGATCTCAGCTTACTACAACCTCCGCCTCCCGGGTTCAAGCGATTCTCCTGCCTCAGCCTCCTGAGTGGCTGGGATTACAGGCATGCACCACCACGCCCAGCTAATTTTGTATTTTTAGTAGAGACTGGGTTTCTCTATGTTGGTCAGGCTGGTCTCAAACTCCCAACTTCAGCTGATCCACCTGCCTTGGTCTCGCAAAGTGCTGGGATTACAGGCGTGAGCCACCAAGCCTGGCCTAGGCCTGGCTAATTTTTTTACGTTTCGTAGAGACAAGGTCTCACTATGTTGCTCAGGCTGGTCTTGAACTCCTGGGCTCAAGCAATCCTATGACCACGG
The DNA here is from genome assembly GCF_000001405.40 of Homo sapiens. Classification (NCBI taxonomy): domain Eukaryota; kingdom Metazoa; phylum Chordata; class Mammalia; order Primates; family Hominidae; genus Homo; species Homo sapiens. Next base: position 55,964,560 of record NC_000012.12, read on the forward strand.
CCTCCCAAAGTGCTGGGATTACAGGTGTGAGCCACTACACCCGGCCTCCTTATCTCTTTTCTTTTCTTTTCTTTTTTTATTTTTTTGAGACAGAGTCTTGCTGTTGCCCAGGCTGGAATGCAATGGTGTGATCTCGGCTCACTGCAACCTCTGCCTCCCAGGTTCAAGCGATTCTCATGCCTCGGCCTCCCAAGTAGTTGGGATTACAGGTGCGTACCACCATGCCCAGCTAATTTTTGTATTTTTAGTAGAGATGGAGTTTCACCATATTGGCCAGGCTGGTCTGACCTCAAGTGATCCACCCGTCTCAGCCTCTCAAAGTGCTAGGATTACAGGCATGAGTTACTGTGCCGGGCCTCATCCCCTTTCTTTTTTTTTTTTTTTTTGAGACGGAGACTCGCTCTGTCACCCAGGCTGGAGTGCATTGGTGTGATCTTGGCTCACTGCAACCTCTGCCTTCTGGGTTCAAGTGATTCTCCAGCCTCAGCCTTCTGAGTAGCTGGGACTACAGGCATGTGCCACCATGCCCAGCTAATTTTTGTACTTTTAGTAGAGACGGGGGTTTCACCATATTGGCCAGGCTGGTCTCGAACTCCTGACCTCGTGATCCACCTGCTTCAGCCTCCCAAAGTGCTGGGATTACAGGCGTGAGCCACGGCGCCCGGCCTCATTCCCTTTCTAATGTGTGCTGTAACCCTAGTTGATTCTGCTGGGGGAGGATCTGGAATCATCTATTGAGCATCCCACCACTAGAACAAGAGAAGTCATAAGATACCCCATTCTTTCTCCACTTCCAACTCTCCTCAGAGCAGCACGGGACATTCCAGACCCTCTCACCACCCCACCCCCGCCCCTTGCTCCTGTCACGAGGCCCAATCCCCCAGAGCCCTTTCATGTGATGCTCAGCTGAGACCCCTCTGCCTATCTCTCCAGCCCCAGAACAAAAGGTCTGGGCTGTGTTCACCCGTACCCATCCCAAGAGGAGAGGATTGTATCTCCTTAGTGTTCTTACCCAATACCACATTCTCTGACTCCCCACTTTAAATCTCCTACCCCAAGAGACGTTTCCTAAAAGAGTCTCCTGCACATTTCACCCCTTTGGAGCCCGTGCTCCAGCTCACTGCCAAGGAAGCCTCAGAATCAGTGCCACAGAGACCTTCTATCCTTCTGCCCCTCCAAGCATATGAGATTATTTTCAGGCAAAATCCCAAATCTCCATGTAGGGAGGGAGCCCAGGTGCCCACATCCTCACTAAATCAAATGAGTGGGAGACGCCTGAAATATTGCCGCTATCTCCCATTAGGAGGACAGAAACCAGAGCAGGGGGAATTCATCCCCAAGTTCACACCTGCTCATGTCCACATATCCACACATACCTTTTGTAGCCCCCACAGCCAGCAAAGCACCTATCACAGCCAAATGAAGAAGGCATCTTTTTAGCACCAGATCCATTGTGTTCTTCCCTCCAGCAACCAAAGGCACTGGGGGGACTGGGATAGGCCCCTATATAAGAAAAGGGTGCTCATTTGCATAGCCCTTCCTCTTCTCCCTCAGAGAAGGCCTGGGAGGGGCCGGAGGAGAGGAAAAAGGAAAAACTGACAAAGGGATCCTGGTCCCTAGACATTGCTTTCCCATCCTGCTACTCAATGACAGTTTCTGGTTTCACTGGGTCACTCTCATCTTGATGCACTCCCGGGCAAGAGCTAACTGAAAGGCAGCTGCGTAACACATACCAGACACAACAGTTTATCATGGGAGAGTGAATTAAACCAGGAACTTCTCAAAAAGACAGAAACAGAACCCTGCATCCCAAAACAGAGACAGTGTCGGGGTATGCTATGAGGCAGAGGCAACGACTCCTCTGAGGCCCAGGATTCCTTTGCAACGAGATTCCCGGCTTCCTGGTTTCCAAAGGAGGCTCCTGGGCCAGGTGGAATTTAACCTTAGGTCGATACATATTTTCCCCAGGATTGGTGAAAATAGTGAGTTAGAAATCAAGAAATCCCTACAGACTAGAGACATAGGTAGGAAACTTGGACCCAAAGCAGGTACTTGGGAAGAGTGTTCAGCCGCCCCACCGGGGAAGAAACTTGTCTAGCCCCCAAGAACCAAACTTGCCTGGGGCGGGATCATTTGCGGGGAGGAGCGCTGGGCTCGCCCCCCGGCTCTGACGTTGACCAATAGAAAGGCCTGGGGGCGGAGCCAGGGAAACGCGGGAAGCAGGGGCGGGGCCTCTGGTGGCGGTCGGGAACTCGGTGGGAGGCGGCAACATTGTTTCAAGTTGGCCAAATTGACAAGAGCGAGAGGTATACTGCGTTCCATCCCGACCCGGGGCCACGGTACTGGGCCCTGTTTCCCCCTCCTCGGCCCCCGAGAGCCAGGGTCCGCCTTCTGCAGGGTTCCCAGGCCCCCGCTCCAGGGCCGGGCTGACCCGACTCGCTGGCGCTTCATGGAGAACTTCCAAAAGGTGGAAAAGATCGGAGAGGGCACGTACGGAGTTGTGTACAAAGCCAGAAACAAGTTGACGGGAGAGGTGGTGGCGCTTAAGAAAATCCGCCTGGACACGTGAGTGGCCTCTGTACCCGGGACTCCTAACTGGGGACCTCCTTGATTGTCCCCCCCAACCCCCCACGGGCGGGTAGCCGTCCAGGGACCGGAAGAGAGCAGGGAGGGACTTCTTTAGAAGTGGAGAGGTGGGTTGGGGGCCAGTAGAAGGTGAAGAGTATACTTATACTCCCTGGGGAGAGTATAGGGTGGTGTGGAATCCATGGAAAACTTTCTTCCCAAACTGAGCCGGATCGTGCCCCCAAATGTGCGACTACAGACTCGGGGAGAGAAAGGAGGTCTCTGAGATGAGGTCCAAGACTCTCCATGGAGTGGAGTTATGTGGGAACCGGCGAGAATCGCCTTTCTGAATGAAGAGCCCTCTTCACTGCCCCACCCTCACCTTAGAATTCTCTCCTCTTTCCAAAGAATGGCAGTTGAACCTCACTGGCCCCTCTGGGGAGGCTGGGGGCTACTCCTGCATTTTTTCCCCTCCATTACAGTCTCCCTGCTTCACCTTCACCAGGCGGCTTTACTTACCTACCCCTGGGAAAAGAGGAGATAATGGCCTTAATATATCCAAAAACCACACCCTGACTACCCAAGAATTAGCTCTTACCATCACCCTTTCTCTTCTCTCACTTTCCTAGGGGGTGCTGGGTGGTGTCTCCTTGGGGGAAAGAAATGACTAGGTGGGGGGGAAAGGAATATTTGTAACCATATTCCCATCTCTGCTTTCCCAACCTCTCCAAGTGAGACTGAGGGTGTGCCCAGTACTGCCATCCGAGAGATCTCTCTGCTTAAGGAGCTTAACCATCCTAATATTGTCAAGTAAGTATGCGTCTGAGAGGTGATCCAGCTGGAAAGGAGGATAAGTTCTGTCTGTACAGTGTGGGCATTTCTCTCTCTCACACACCTCCATTTCCTCAAACTTTCCTTCTCTAGGCTGCTGGATGTCATTCACACAGAAAATAAACTCTACCTGGTTTTTGAATTTCTGCACCAAGATCTCAAGAAATTCATGGATGCCTCTGCTCTCACTGGCATTCCTCTTCCCCTCATCAAGGTAATGCTTCTCATCAGCTCCTCTCATCATGGGCATGTCTTGGGGGACTGGTGGCAGGCAATTCAGGGTGATATTTTATGATTTTGGCCTCCTTCTGAGCCCTCATCTCCTATACACACACACTCCCCTTCTTTTTGTGTCTCCTTCCCTGCTCATTATATTCATTAACCCTAGGGTTGGACTGAACAATCAAAGTTGAAACTCTAGTGAGTCAACCTAGCAACTCAGGTGGGAGGTCAGATGAAACTCAGATAAACGGGATTTGAGAGCACTTGGTAAATTCCTCCAAAAAGCCCTTCCATTTGGTGGAAGACCTAGCTAGTGAGTCCCTATTGTCTATTTTAGGGCTGGATTCTTCACTCCCAGAGCTACTTTCAATCTATTAACAAACATTTTTTCAATGCACAGGATGTAGAAAAGGGATGGAAAATTGAGTAAGACTTGGTCCTTATCCTCTCTGGGCTGACAGTCCATTGGGAGAAATAGCTTGTAAATATGTAACTATAATCCAACATAATAAAGGCTTTAGTAGAGTTTTAGGGGCACAGAGCAAACCCAGTCTGCTCACTGTAATGGAGAAACACAGTCCTCTCTTTCTCCTTTGTCAGAGCTATCTGTTCCAGCTGCTCCAGGGCCTAGCTTTCTGCCATTCTCATCGGGTCCTCCACCGAGACCTTAAACCTCAGAATCTGCTTATTAACACAGAGGGGGCCATCAAGCTAGCAGACTTTGGACTAGCCAGAGCTTTTGGAGTCCCTGTTCGTACTTACACCCATGAGGTGAGTCCCTTTATGTCTTTTTTCTCTGAGCTTCCCAAGAGGTGTTAACTAGGGTATTCACAAAGTTACTAAAAATATCTGGCTAACAGTTTCTTACTAGGTAGAAATAATCTCTTGACATCCTAAAGAGTCTTAGGGTATGCATGGAATTCATACTGTGTTGCTAACTGGGCCCACACCTGTAATACCAATACTTTGGGAGGCTGAGGTGGGAGGATCACTTGAGCCCAGGAGTTCGAGACCATCATGGGCAACATAGCGAGACCCCATCTCTACAAATCTACAAAAAGAAAAAATTTAGAAATAAAATTATGACCAATTTGTCTCAAGTTTTTCCAGGAAGATCTCAAATTAGGGGTTCAGTCCAGAACTATGGACTGGAAATCAGTGGGAGGGGAAAGATGATGGAGGGAAGGAAACTGCTTGTTAAGAGGCCAAGAGTAAGCAGAGTAGTGTTGAGGAACTGAGATGCGGGAATTTCCATACCCTATAAACCACCCCGCCCCTCCCTATTCCCGTCCCTCAGGTGGTGACCCTGTGGTACCGAGCTCCTGAAATCCTCCTGGGCTGCAAATATTATTCCACAGCTGTGGACATCTGGAGCCTGGGCTGCATCTTTGCTGAGATGGTATGGAGGCTTGCCCAAGTTCCACCCAGCCCCCTCCCTCTCCTCCCCACATCCAAGAACAACAGAACTGCTTCTTGGCCCAGACCTATGGCCCTTCTATCACAGGGTTCTCTCTCTAAAGTAGCACCAAGGGGAATGGTGGGAAAGGATGCAACTGTTGCCCTGATATCAACCACAGTGTTAGGATATCCTCAAACAGCCTTAGTACCTGGTATACATCTCTTATCCCTGAAATAAGTTAAAGCATTTCTGCAGCTGTTTTAGCTGTAGTCTGCATATATTTGGGAGAATGATTCCATTTAGTGCCTCTTTTATTTCAGGCCTTCATTTCAAGGCTTGTAGACCTTGTTGTATGGTGCCAGCAATGTAGTGAAGACAACTGTGGTCACTTTACCCACACCTTTCATTTAAACTGCAGATTTAGGCAGGGTGCAGTGGCTCACACCTATAATACCAGCACTTTGGGAGGCTGAGGTAGGTGGATCACCTGAGGTCAGGAGTTTGAGACCAGCCTGGCCAACATGTTAAAACCCTGTCTCTACTAAAAATACAAAAATTAGCCAGGTGTGGCTACTTGGGATTACACACCTGTAATCCCAGCTACTTGGGAGGCCAAGGCAGGAGAATCGGTTGAACCCGGGAGATGGAGGTTGCAGTGACCAAGATTGCACCACTGCACTCCAGCCTGGGCGACAGAATGAGATTCCATCTCAAAAAAAAAAAAAAAAAAAAAAAAAAAAAGATTTAGATCATGTTCCCCTTCAACCTCTGGCTTTTCAGACTGAAGGATCCTTGAAGCCTGGCTTTATGTAGAAGCTCCCATCTCCTTTAATATAACAGTACAGTGGTGCAGTAGGCTGTCTTCAAATCAGCAATATGTTTTATTGTCTTTTATCTTGGTTGTAACCAAGAGCTTAAAGACCATTAGCCTATACATATGTAATGTGCATTTATCCCCCCAGTGCATTACCTTACAATTGTCCGTATTCCTCTCTCAATTCATCAAAAAATATTTGTTAAGCACCTAGTGGGTACCCAGCACCATGCTAGGTGCTGTGGGGAACACAGAAGAAATGGAAGACAGAGTCTCTGCCCGCTGTGCTCGTATCTAGAAGTGGCTGCATCACAAGGTTGGGGGATGACCGCAGTGTCTACCCCCTACCCCGTGAGTGGCTTGGGATACCTTTGCTACATGTCAGTGGCACCCCAGACATTCACCCCCTCCCAGACCCACCCAGCCTTGGGGATCTGCAAAGCCATGGTTGGGGGAAGGAAGGAGGGGGCGAGGAGACAGATGAAGGAACTTCATTGTCTCAGGTTCTGTGTGACTGACCCCATGAAAGGCCCTGGGGAGGGAGTCATGGGGCCCTGCTGACCTTTTACTGTCTGTGGGAACTCCTTTGTATAGAGGAGAGTTTTGACTGACGTCAACGTGGGTCTTGGTATTTCCTCTTTCCCCATTTTCAGGTGACTCGCCGGGCCCTATTCCCTGGAGATTCTGAGATTGACCAGCTCTTCCGGATCTTTCGGACTCTGGGGACCCCAGATGAGGTGGTGTGGCCAGGAGTTACTTCTATGCCTGATTACAAGCCAAGTTTCCCCAAGTGGGCCCGGCAAGATTTTAGTAAAGTTGTACCTCCCCTGGATGAAGATGGACGGAGCTTGTTATCGGTGAGAGTGGGCACCTGTTTTCCCTCATTCATTTCTCCCAGGGAAGGGCTTTTCCAGGATGAAGGAAGGATGAGACCCTGAAATCTGGGCCTCAGTGTTTCATTTCCCTGGTTCCTGCTCTCCCTGTTGGCACACTGATTCAGCTATGGGAGGATGGAAGTGAGAATTCTGCCTTGGGTAGAAGGAGTTCTGGTTTCCTGATTTCTGGGAACACCTGCTGCCCATTTAGTCCACTATCACATCATTGAAGTCAACATGCATCTCTCCCTCTAGCAAATGCTGCACTACGACCCTAACAAGCGGATTTCGGCCAAGGCAGCCCTGGCTCACCCTTTCTTCCAGGATGTGACCAAGCCAGTACCCCATCTTCGACTCTGATAGCCTTCTTGAAGCCCCCAGCCCTAATCTCACCCTCTCCTCCAGTGTGGGCTTGACCAGGCTTGGCCTTGGGCTATTTGGACTCAGGTGGGCCCTCTGAACTTGCCTTAAACACTCACCTTCTAGTCTTGGCCAGCCAACTCTGGGAATACAGGGGTGAAAGGGGGGAACCAGTGAAAATGAAAGGAAGTTTCAGTATTAGATGCACTTAAGTTAGCCTCCACCACCCTTTCCCCCTTCTCTTAGTTATTGCTGAAGAGGGTTGGTATAAAAATAATTTTAAAAAAGCCTTCCTACACGTTAGATTTGCCGTACCAATCTCTGAATGCCCCATAATTATTATTTCCAGTGTTTGGGATGACCAGGATCCCAAGCCTCCTGCTGCCACAATGTTTATAAAGGCCAAATGATAGCGGGGGCTAAGTTGGTGCTTTTGAGAACCAAGTAAAACAAAACCACTGGGAGGAGTCTATTTTAAAGAATTCGGTTGAAAAAATAGATCCAATCAGTTTATACCCTAGTTAGTGTTTTGCCTCACCTAATAGGCTGGGAGACTGAAGACTCAGCCCGGGTGGGGCTGCAGAAAAATGATTGGCCCCAGTCCCCTTGTTTGTCCCTTCTACAGGCATGAGGAATCTGGGAGGCCCTGAGACAGGGATTGTGCTTCATTCCAATCTATTGCTTCACCATGGCCTTATGAGGCAGGTGAGAGATGTTTGAATTTTTCTCTTCCTTTTAGTATTCTTAGTTGTTCAGTTGCCAAGGATCCCTGATCCCATTTTCCTCTGACGTCCACCTCCTACCCCATAGGAGTTAGAAGTTAGGGTTTAGGCATCATTTTGAGAATGCTGACACTTTTTCAGGGCTGTGATTGAGTGAGGGCATGGGTAAAAATATTTCTTTAAAAGAAGGATGAACAATTATATTTATATTTCAGGTTATATCCAATAGTAGAGTTGGCTTTTTTTTTTTTTTTTTGGTCATAGTGGGTGGATTTGTTGCCATGTGCACCTTGGGGTTTTGTAATGACAGTGCTAAAAAAAAAAAGCATTTTTTTTTTATGATTTGTCTCTGTCACCCTTGTCCTTGAGTGCTCTTGCTATTAACGTTATTTGTAATTTAGTTTGTAGCTCATTAAAAAAATGTGCCTAGTTTTATAGTTCATCTCTTTCCTCCTCTTATTTACTGAAAGAATGGTGGGAGACAGAATATGAATGTGTGTATGTGATCATTGATTTCAGACCCCTTTTCCTAATCTCTCTGTGCATGGCTGCCCACCCCACCCCATTTTGGCTAGTGCTGACGGTGAACAAAGTGGTTATTATCATCCCTATTTATGGCTGGGGAAACTGAAGCCTATATACTTCCTACTTCACTTTCTCCACACACCAGCAAACCTCCTTTCCCCCAGCCAACATACCACACACACACCACACCACACACACATCACATACACACACCACACACACATCATATACACACATATACCACACACACCACGTATACATATACCAAATACACACACACCACATACACACCATATATGCACACACACCCCATACATACACACACCCATGCACATACATAGCGGCAGGAAGAGGGCTCCCGGGGAATTTGCCTTTCGACACTGCATTTCCCAGTAAGCCCGCCGTTTTTCCTTTCTGTTTCATATCACAGACAGAAAAGTTTTCCAAAGATTCTTTTATTTACATTTACATACGATTCTGAAAAAGCGTCTCCAAGCTACCACTTCTTGTAGTTGCCATTGTCTCATTCCACCAAAAAACATCTCAGACCGCCCGCGGCCACCCCAAATACGCCTGTCCACTGAAGCCTCACTAAAAGGAGGAAGCGCTGATGTCAGGGTTACTTAAATTCCCAGGCTCCGGATCCCTAGAAGAGGTATTTCCCTTTACGCCCGCGAATTTGTCATAGAAGGCAGGGCACTAGAGCCAGCCCCAGCCAAGTCCAGGGGGAGGGGCGAAGGTCAGTAGCGGCCTTCCTAAGGCTTCCTTCAACCCCTCCTTGCCTGCCAGTCAAGTACCGTATTTTCGCAGTACTGGTTAAAGTTTCACTTTGACCCGCCTCCATCACTCACCTGATTAGATGTTTATGAGTCAAAAGGCGGGGTCATGGGGTGTCGAGATTTTATTGGTGGATACATACGCCTGTCGGCAGTGTACCGCCCCCTGTCTTCAGGAGCTTGCTCTTTAATGGCTCCTTACCTCGTCCATCTTCGAGGTTTCTCCCTCGCTATTGGCTTGTGGCCCCGCCTGTCGCGTCCCTTGCTCGTACTTGTTGGTGACAGCGCCCAAAGAGACTCGCCTTTCTCCAGAGGATTGGTGGATGAGTGCACATATAGCCCACCCTCGAAGGTAGGCGGGTAATCGAGCTATTGGCTGGAGCCCCGCCCCAGGGCGAGGAGGAGAAGGAGGGGCAGGAGGGTTTGGTTGAGCTGCAGCTGTTTGTCTGTTCGACACAGGCTTGGGGCCGACGGGGGAGACGGAGCCCCAGGTACCGAGCTGATGGAGCCCAAAGGGCAGGGGCGGAAGCGCCCGGGAGATGAGAGCAGCCTGGCCTGAGAGCGGAGGCGGGTCTGGTCCTAAGCGAGGGGTTAGAGTGGCCCACCGGAGAGGGGAGAAGGGGGCCGGGCCCCGGCAGGCCTAATGGGGGTCGCTGAGGAGGGGACTGGGCGGCCTGGGACCCCGAAGTTGGTGAGTCGGGAAGGCGGCTGGGCTGTGGCGGCGGCCAGGCCGAGGGCCGGGGGCTGGAGGCCTGGAGCTTGAGTGAGGGCAGGGGCAGGCCTCATTAAGCAGCGCTGAAGAGGGAGGAGCTGGGGAAAGGAACAGGGCAGCGGGTGAGGTAAGCCCATTTGCCGGGAGGTGAGGAGGGTCAGACCTGTCGCCCGAGCCCCGGGGGTGACTGGGGCTGGGTCCCTGCAGAGAGGTTCATTGGAAGGGCCTGAGAAGGGTTCTTAGTTGGGTAAGAAGCGTTCTTTTCAGGGAAAGTGCCTATTGTAAAAAGAACTGAGGGTGCTATGGTGTTGAGCTGAGAGAGATTTGGGTTCAGTGAGGGAGAACTGGGGAAAATGAAGAAGGCTGTATTAATCTAGAAGACTAAGGTAGTTGAAGTAATGGAAGCAGGGCCTGGTATCAGTTATGGGAACTTCTGGGAATGCTGAAGGGTGGGCTGGGGGCTCTGGGTCTTGGGAGTACACACTCTTTTGTTCCCTTTAGTGTTTAGATGTGGTAATTTGAAGCTTTTTAAAACTCCCAGGGTAGGGATGAAGATCAAAGTAATTTTTTTTTTTCCATGACTGTTGGCTGCTCCAAACTCAGCCCCTACACTTTCTGTTGGCCTCATAGCTGGTCTATACTGCAGTCTGTTTCTTAACTTACTGTTTCATGTCCTATGAAAGAGCTAAGAAGTTGGATTGGGGGCATGTTTTGTCCACTTCTTTCCCACTTAATAATGTGGTCTATAGCAAATACCATGTCTCCTAGAACTGAGAATCTATTTCATATCTATTTCATTATCTACATGGGAAAGGGGCTTAGAGATCCTCAGCCATCAGGAGATCTTCTGATCATAGTTGGTGAAACTTTTGTGGGACTTAGACTTGACTTGGGTATTTCCCAGGCAGGTAATGGAGTTAACAGGTCCGAAACTATGCGGTGATATCACTGAGGAAGAGATTTGGGGAAGAGTGAGAAATTCCATTTCAAAAGCTTGGCATCACCCCTTGTTCTTTGTCTACTTCAAAAGCCCAGATTTCTGTGCTGTTAGAAAGTTGGGTCAAACTATGAAGTATCTGGGGAAGATGGTGAGTAGAGAAAAAGATACAGAGGTGCAGTAGCCCACGCCTGTAATCCCAGCACTTTGGGAGGCTGAGACAGGAGGATCACTTGAGCCCGGGAGTTCGAGGGTGCAGTGAGCCATGATCTTCCCACTGCACTCCAGCCTGGGCAACAGAATGAGACCCTGTCTCCAAAAAAAAAAAAGACAAAGATTGCCAAAGCAGAGGAGTGGAGTACCCTCCTCCCCACATATTTTTAATGGTCTGCTAGCCTTCTTAGTCCCTCATAGATTGGAGCCTATTGGATTTTCCCTTACTGTACTTCCTCCTTTTCTGCGTCTCTACCAATATATTTTATCACTACATTTCTTTTTTTTTTTTTTTTTTTTTTGAGACGGAGTCTCACTGCAACCTCCACCTCCCAGGTTCAAGAGATTCTCCTGCCTCAGCCTCCCAAGTAGCTGGGACTACAGGCGTGCGCCACCACGCCCAGCTAATTTTTGTATTTTTAGTAGAGACAGGGTTTTACCATGTTGGCCAGGATGGTCTCAATCTCTTGACCTCATGATCCGCCCACCTCGGCCTCCCAAAGTGCTGGGATTACAGGCGTGAGCCACCACACCCGGCCATCACTACATTTCTTAATTACAAAAGTTAATATGTACATATTTTAAAATATGGAAGGTGTACAGCAGTTTAAGAAGTATAAATCCTCCCACACATACCTTATTCATATTTCATTTAGGAAGGTCAAGGATCAGAGACAGCAAATCAGACTAATCTTGCTTTGCTTTGGGGGATGTGTCACAAAAGGCAATTGTGTTTTCATGTTCTCATCAAACTCTAGTCTTATTCTTTCTACAGTTTTCCCTTCTGGGATGATACTCTGTTATTTATTGTGTTCCTTTCACAGTTCATTTTGTCTTCTACCAAGTCCGACAAGCAGAGGGCTGTACTGTGTGTTATTCACCTTGAGTACACACAAACACACACACCCCAAGTTGTGTGCTGGGTGTCCTAGGAAGTGCCCAAAGAGATGGAACAAAACTTTATGGGGAGAAAGGATCATTTTGGTTGGGATAATTGTTGGCATCTCTGCTAAAGAAAGGAATTTCAGACCCTTATCTCAAATTCATGGTCTCTGGATGTTCATGGTCTCTGCATGTTCACATTACTTGACTATCCCTTTCTTATCCATGATGATGATGGTTCTCCTAAGAGGCCCCTGTATTTGTCTTTCTTTTCTTTTCTTCTATTTTTAGAGACAGGGTCTTGCTTTGTCACTTAGGCTGGAGTACAGTGTGTGTCTTTCTGTAGGGATCTGAGAAGCTCCAAGCTTATCTGGATTTGAAATCGGTTTTCCTCTAAATCTCAGAGTCAGAGTACAGCTGGGGCATTTCATACTACCACCTTATTAATTGAATTTGTCCTTACTAGCTTTAAAAGCCCTCTGTTGTACCCAGCCTTTGTACAGCGCCCATTGGAAACCTCGGTTTTTTCCCCCAAGGAACTTTTCTCACCTGCAAGCCAGTCCTAGAGACAGTTGTGTAGGAGTATGTGTGTGTGTTTTTAGACGGAGTTTCACTTTTGTCACCCAGGCTGGAGTGCAGTGGCATGATCTCGGCTCACTGCAACGTCTGCCTCCTAGGTTCACGCGATTCTCCTGCCTCAGCCTCCAGAGTAGCTGGGATTACAGGCGTGCACCACCACGACCAGCTAATTTTTGTATTATTAGTAGAGACGGGATTTGACCATGTTGGCCAGGCTGGACTCTAACTCCTGACCTCAGGTGATCCACGTGCCTCAGCCTCCCAAAGCACTGGGATTACAGGAGTGAGCCACCGCGCCTGGCCGTGTGTGCGTGTGTGTGTGTGTGTTTTAATCCTATCTAATTTTTCCAACAGTTTTTTGCATCCTAAGAGAGTTTAGGAGTAGAATTATCAATAAGGAATTTCATACATAGACCTGGAGTTGCAAAAATATATTTGGAGAAGAGAGCTTTCCCATTGCCCTTCAAGTCATACCTCATATCTTTTAAAATTTTTTTCCTGGACAATCCCTACTGCATAACATACCTCATATCTTCTAACTCTTACTTTACCTGGGAGCAAATATTGCTTATTGGTATGAATTTTACTTCTGAGAAGGAGGCATAGGGTAGAAGAAGCAAGCGTATAGTTTGCTCCCTAATCCTAAAGCATTTCAGATTGGAAGGTAACCAAAGTGTGAGACAATGAACTTATAATAAGGAAATGCAGCAGCCCTCTTGGAGGAAGGATACCATAAAACCCTACATGGTATACTCCCACTTCCGTTTTGGGAAAGATTTAGCCATTGACTCAACAGTAACTGAACTGAATAAGGAGCTACCCAGGTGAACAAAGTATGTGTACATTTCTGGGCAAGGTTGTAGCTTCTGTTCAGGGACAGTGGGTACCTTTTCAGAGTGTCTCCTGGTTCTGTGGTGTTATGGCTCCTTTTTTTAAACTTGTGTTTCTCAAGTCAGGAATTAATAGATAGTGGCCCAAAGCTTTTGACCGTTCAACATCAACTGAAAATTCAGCGAACTTTGTTTTTAGCTATAGTTGCCTCAGTGTTTGGGTGGGAGGGCCACATATTGGGTGTGATTAGGCCATCTGAGGCATAGTAACGGGTGACAGGAAAAGCAGTTAGCCCATGCGAGTTGCAATAGTACCTTGTGGGCAAGATCCCAAGGGGGCCCTCCATCCAAGGGAGATCACAGAGGAGCCAGGGAGAGAATTGATTCTGAGGCCTATTAAAAATATTCCCAAATGGGGCCGTGTGCGGTGGCATGCGCCTGTAATCCCAGCACTTTGGGAGGCTGAGGCGGGTGGATCACGAGGTCAGGAGATTGAGACCATCCTGGCTAACACGGTGAAACCCCGTCTCTACTAAACAAAATACAAAAAATTAGCTGGGCGTGGTGGTGGGCGCCTGTAGTCCCCCAGCTTCTCGGGAGGCTGAAGCAGGAGAATGGCGTGAACCTGGGAGGCAGAGCTTGCAGTGAGCCGAGATCGCGTCACTGCACTCCAGCCTGGGCGACTGAGCAAGACTCCGTCTCAGGAAAAAAAAAAAAGAACCCAAATGGAATTGAGTAAGATCTGTCCAGATGGTACAGAAAGGGAGGAGTTGATTGGGGGAGAGAAGTAGAATTACTTAGCCTTAATTTAGGGAGCATTTAATGAGCACCTACTAGGGATCAGGCAGCATGCTGTGCTCTGAAGATTTTAAGATAAACTCCCACTTTTAAAGAAGTTCATAGTTTAGCAGAGCAGACAGACACAATTTATATACTGTGATAATGTGATACATACTATTATAGAAATACAGTCTTTTTTTTTTTTTTTTGAGACGGATTCTTGCTTTGCTGTCCAGGCTGGAGTACAGTGGTGCAATCTGTGCTCACTGCAACCTCCGCCTCCCGGGCTCAAGCAATTCTCATGTCTCAGCCTCCTGGGTAACTGGGATTACAAGCCTGTGCCAACATGCCCAGCTAATTTTTGTATTTTTAGTAGAGACGGGGTTTCACCATATTGGCCAGGCTGGTCTCGAACTCCTAACCTCCAGTGATCCATCTGCCTTGGCCTCTCAAAGTGCTGGGATTACAGGTGTGCGCCACCACACCTGGCCAGAAATACAGTCTTAATACTGTGGGACCCTACGGGCCTCTAGAGAATGATTAATTCTGTGGGGGAGAGGGTGATTATGTAATTTCACTGAAGTAACATTTGAGCTTGGTCTTATGAGATATATAGAATTTTGCTAGGCAGACAAGTAGGGACGGGCATTCCAATCTTACCTAGGTCAATAATAGGGAGTTTGTACTACCATACTGATAAGAGGTAAGTATGCTTTTTGCCTCTTGGAGAAATATAAGGGAAAGGGTGCGAGATGTGGAAGGAATCTCATTTAATCCAATGACTCATTAGGTAACACTGGATCAACAAAATGAAGAGCTGAGCCAAGTGGTAGAACTCTCATTTCAAGATTTTGGTGACTTGGGTTTAAACAGAGTTGGAGAGGGAGATGAAGGTATTTACTGGTTTCTGCTCTATCTTCCCTACTTAGTAAAACTCTCACATTAATCGCAGGGCCCACCAAATTCTGCAAAAGTTACCGCTTGTTTTCCTATTGCCTCTCATTGAATTGCTTCTATTTCAACTGTCCTGGCAGGGTTTGGTCATAGACCTTCTAGAAAAGAGTAGTGATGAATTAATTCTTCTGTCAGAAAGATATGGGACTGCATCCCAGTTGCCAAGGAAGGCCTGGGTCTTCTTAATTTGTTTTTAGTCCCAAAGCAAGTACTTACCTAAACTGAATAGAGGCAGGAACTCTATCCAGTCTAAGCTCTCGATCCTGTCCTGGTGTTCTCTTTAGAGTTCAGCATTTCCTGCTTCCTTAAGAAGTATAGTGGTATAAGAGGCAGGAGTACCTGACTAGGAGTCCTACATTTACTGCTTAGCAGTTGGCTGTATGGTAACACTTGACAAGTTGACTAATTTTATTTTATTTTTTATTTATTTATTTATTTTTTGTGCAAATGGTGGCCTTTAATACCAAGAAAGACCATGACAAGTGACAGAACAGGAGCAAATTCCCTAGTGTAGTGCCGAGCTAGCCCTTTGCAGGACCCTAAAACCTGATCTAGTAACAGAATAAATCAGTGTATTTACATTTATGTTTGCCCTGAAAACCCAGGTAAGGTCTGAAGCCTGAGGCATCTCTCCTTCCTTTCCTCCTCCCTCTCTTCCTACCTCCTTGCCTTCGTTCACTTCCTCAATTCATTCCTCTCCCTTCTCCCTTCCTCTCTTTTCCTTCTTTTCCTTTCTGCTTTTCCCTTTTCTCCTTTTTCTCCTCATTCTCTTTACCATCTACCTATGTGTCCCTCCAAGCCCCTCTGCTATTTCTCCCCTGCTCACTCCCTCTGCTGTTGTCTCCCTCAGGTTCAGCTTCCGGGGTGGGGAGGCAAGAAAGGGTCCTCAGCTCAGGGAGCACTTGTTGGTGTTCTTTATGTCACAAGTTTTCAGGTCAGTACTGGGAGGCTTGTTGCCGTTTCCTGATCTCCGGCCTCCTGACTTGAGCAAGATGTCCCGGGCCAGGGAACTAAAAGCCTCATCCACATTCATACTGGATTTAGCACTAGTTTCGAAAAATCGGATTCCATGCTCTCGAGCCAACTTATCGGCCTGCTCCTTCTGCACCTTCCTCTTGGCCTCCATGTCACATTTGTTCCCTAGCAAGAGGTGCTCCACCCCAGCTGAGGCATTCTCCATGATGCTTTTCATCCAGTTCTGAATATTCTCGAAAGATTTCTCATCCGTGATGTCGTATGCTAGGATAATGCCCATGGCTCCACGGTAGTAGGCAGTAGTTATTGTCTTGAACCGCTCTTGGCCAGCTGTGTCCCAGACTTGTAGTTTGATCTTCTTCCCCTCTATATCCACAGTGCGGATCTTGAAATCAATTCCGATGGTGGAGATGTAAGTGTTGTTGAAGTTGTCCTCTGCAAAGCGAATGATCAGACAAGTCTTGCCCACCCCCGAGTCCCCGATCAGCAGCAACTTGAAGAGGTGGTCGTAGGCTTTGGCCATGGCGGACACCGGGGGAGCCGGGGAAGGGATGGGGCTATTTATTTATTTTTGAGACGGAATCGCTCTGTTGTCCAGGCTGGAGTGCAGTCGTGTGATCTCGGCTCACTGCTACCTCTGCCTCCCAGGTTCAAGCAATTCTCGTGCCTCAGCCTCCTGAGTAGCTGGGATTACAGGCACGCACCACCACACCCAGCTAATTTTTGTATTTTTAGTAGAGACAGGTTTTCACCACGTTGGCCAGGCTGGTCTCAAACTCCTGACCTCAGGTGATCTGCCCATCTCGCCCTCCCAAAGTGCTAGGATTACAGGTGTAAGCCACCACGCCTAGCCCAAATTGACTAATTGTATGTGTCTCGGTTTCCTCACCTATAAAATATAGAGACTGGACTAAATGACCTCTAGACTGGCTCTGATCTGCCTGACTGACCTTAAGGCTGACAACTGGTACTGGGTTGGACTCCAGTGGCTATATATACCGAGAACTCTGTCTCTGTTGATAGGTGATAGACTTCTGGAGACTTCATATGTATTTGGTTTAGGGACTCAAAGCTAACAAGTGGAAGGGGGCTTGAGGAATGGAGTCTTACTCTAGCTGGGACTGCTAAGACACTTTTACTGTTATGCCTACTTTGCTGCACTGCTTGGGAGAGTTGCCCACATTAAAGAACATCCTCCATGGGTCTCCTGCATCTAGTGGGCTAACCCATGGTCAGGCCTCAATCCTCCCTAGTTAATGGGTCATTTTATAAGTCATTCTTGTAGAGCCGTACTTCTTTTTTTTTTTTTTTGATGGAGTCTTGCTCTGTCACCCAGGCTGGAGTGCAGTGGCAAAGTCTCGACCCACTGCAGCCTCTGCCTCCCAGGTTCAAGCAATTCTCCTGCTTCAGCCTCCCAAGTAGCTGAGATTACAGGTGTCAGCCACCACACCTGGCTAATTTTTGTGTTTTTAATAGAGACGGGGTTTCACCATGTTCGCCAGACTGGTGTTGAATTCCTGACCTTAGGTGATCCGCCCACCTCAGCCTCCCAAAGTGCTGGGATTTCAGGCATGAGTCACTGCACCCGGCAGAGCTGCACTTCTAAGGGAAGTTAAATCTGATTTCTTCTCTTCTGAGCTAAAAAGGTTGAAAGGAAGAGAAACCTGCCCCATCTCCCTTTTTTTTGTCTCGGGTTTGAAGGTAATAATCATCATACCACTTGACTGGTTTACCAAAAAAAAAAAAAAAAATTAGTATTTTTGTGGGAAAAAATGAGAATAGAAAATAAATAATTGAATCTTATATGTATTATTTCATTTCTGTACCACAGAATTTTTGAGAGTCTAGCTATTATATTTTTTAAATGATACCCTTATAAACATGATAAGATTAAAGATCAAAGCTTAGAGGTGGCTCAACAATTGCTGTGAACAGGGAGGAAGGCAGGACATATTCTTTCTTTTTCAGAGGTGGGATCTCACTATGTTGCCCAGGCTGGTCTCAAACTCCTGGGCTCAAGTGATCCTCCTGCCTTGGCCTCCCAAAATGCTGGTATTACAGGCGTGAACCATGATGTGCAGCCAGAACATACTCTTAAGGCTACATATTAGGGTACGAGGTAGTCTTTTCTAAGTCAGTAGTTACTGATCTCTGAGAATCCAAGGTTGCTTAGTAGCAAGAAAGCTTGCTGACCACATCTGGGCTCTGGCTTGACTTCCCATCTCTGAGAGTTAGTGACAGAGACTTTGCAACTCAAGCGTGTCTGCAATTGTTTCCTGTCTTTACACTCCCCCAGAGCTCAAGTGATATGTTTAGCCATGAGAATTCAGTCCATTCTAACTCCCACATTTTCCTTTATTGTAGAGTAGTAACATTGAGGCTTAATATTCTACCCCTTGGATCACATGCTTTGAAATACATAAAAATGTAAGGGAGTAAGTTGAAAAAACCAGTAACTTTTTCTATTGTTTCTTGAGAGTATAGCATATATATGTCACCTGAAGGAAACTTGATCAGCTTATCATCTGTCCTTTTTTTTTTATTATGGTGTCACCTGTCTTCTCTTTTATTTATTTTTTATTTTGAGAGACGGAGTCTTGCTCTGTTGCCCAGGCTGGAGTACAGTGGCATAATCTCAGCTCACTGCAACCTCCGCCCTCTGGGTTCAAGCGATTCTCCTGCCTCAGCTTCCCAAGTAGCTGGGACTACAGGCATGTGGCGCTACACCCAGCTAATTTTTGTATTTTTTAGTAGAGACGGGGTTTCACTATATGTTGGCCAGGCTGGTCTCAAACTCCTGACCTCTCAAACACCAGAGTGAGACTCTCTCTAAAAATGGAAAATAAATTTTAAAATGTTATAATTAAAGATACTCATTTAAATTGAATAAATTTAGCTTTATGAAAAATTTGCTGTATCATCTTTATTTTGATCCTTTCGTCATAGGCCATTGAAAACTTAATCATAAAATGGTACATGTATATCTGAATTTTTAAGACTGACTGACCAAGGGGACTACAGAATACCCAGTAGAATCAAAGTAATTGTCATGTTCCTCTGTATTAATCTAGTCTACTTTGGGACCTTGAGTTCTCACCTCTCATTCTTTTGCTAACTTCCTCTTTACCCTTTAGTTATGTCTCCTTTTTTTTTTTTTTTTTTTTCCAGAGATAGCGTCTTGTTCTGTCGCCCAGGCTGGAGTGCAGTGGTGTAATCAGCTCACTACAACCTTCAACTCCTGGGCTCCAGTGATTCTCCCACCACAGCCTCTGGAGTAGCTGGGATTACAGGCACATACCACCATGCCCAGCTAATTTTTTTAAATGTTTTCTAGAGACTCAGTCTCGCTATGTTGCCTAGGCTGGTCTCAAACTCCTCACCTCAAGCAAGGCTTCCCCTTTTATCTCCCAAACCCCTGGGATTACAGGCATGGGCCGCTCTGCCAGGCCTGTTTTTTCTCTTTTTCTTTCTCTGTACCACTTTCATATTGTGGCTTCTTCCCTGCCCCCGATCTCCCCCCTACCCACCCCAGGTGGAGTCTTGCTCTGTTACCCAGGCTGGAGTGTGGTGGCACGATCTCGGCTCACTGCAACCTCCGCCTCCCGGGTTTAAGCAGTTCTGCCTCAGCCTCCCGAGTAGGATTACAAATGCCGGCCACCAACCACACCCGGCTAATTTTTTTTTTTTTTTTTTAGACTGAGTCTCGCTGTTGCTCTGTCGCCAGGCTGGAGTACAGTGGTGCAATCTCAGCTCACTGCAACCTCCACCTCACAAGTTCAAGCAGTTCACCTGCCTCAACCTCCCAAGTAGCTGGGACTACAGGCACGCGCCACCACGCCCAGCTAATTTTTGTATTTTTAGTAGAGACGGGGTTTCACCATGTTTGCCAGGCTTGTCTCAAACTCCTGACCTCCTGATCTGCCTGCCTTTGCCTCCCAAAGTGCTGGGATTACAGGCGTGAGCCACTGTGCCCGCCTTTTATTTTTTGAGACGGAGTCTCGCTCTGTCACCCAGGCTGGAGCACAGTGGCGCATCAGCTCAGTGCACCCTCTACCTTCTGGGTTTAAGCGATTCTCCTGCCTCAGCCTCTGGAGTAGCTGGGATTACAGGTATGCACCACCACACCCAGCTAATTTTTTTTGTATTTTTAGTGGAGACGGGGTTTCACCATGTTGGCCAGGCAGGGCTCGAACTTCTGACCTCAGGTGATCCACCTCAGCCTCCCAAAGTGCTGGGATTATAGGTATGAGCTACTGCACCCAGGCTGTGGCTGCTTTTTAGGAATATATTGATAACAACTAATATTGAGATATATTTTAATAGCTATTAGCACTATGCTAAACACATCTTTCACTTATTATTTGTAGCTATGAGGATGGTATTTTTTCCATTTTACAAAGGTAGAAGGTAAGGCTTAGAGAGGTAGAGAAATTCTCTTTATATCATATTAGTAATGATTAGTAGCTTAATATTTATTTAGCACTTAGTATCTATCAAATACTTAAAATACTTTAGTTATTTATATGCATTATCTCATTTAATCCTTACAACACCCTTATGAAGTAGGTGCTTATAAGGCTATTATCTCATTTTACAGATGAGGAAATGAATGCACACATATATTTAGTGACTTGCTCAAGGTTCATAGCTAGTAAGTAGAGCTGAAAAACAAACGTGGAGAATTGGACTCCAGAGCCTTTATTCCTCTGAATTGCCTCCTGTATGATTTTCTGTCTTTACGATCTAGTAAGTGGGGTTACTGAAAATTTTTAACCCCAGTTTAACTCCAGTCCCACTAATTGTGGTGACAAAATAATGATGTTTCCCCACATATGCCATAGAGTATGATGTCTGTGAAGTCACTAGGATCTGCTTTGGAAAAGCGAAAGAGTAATTTGAACAAGCAAAGTACAACTCTCAAGCAATGCTTAGGTTTGGGAGAGAGGTTTTTGCATGCTCTGCCTATGCTAACTTCCCTTTGAATTTCATAGTTCCTTTCCGCTCAGAGTCAGGATGATGAAATGTATTCAGATTTAGACGATTAGAATCTCAAAGTCCCAACTCTTCTCTCTGTTCCCTGCCCCACCAGCAGCTTTCTTAGCCCTCTTAGAAGATAGAGGAGCTGATTCAGTGTATTCTTTCATCAAATACTGATTGCTTGCAGACTTAACGCCCTATACCATCCTCTGGAGACTTCTGCATGTCTTTAGAAGGTATACCTTTCTCTGCCTCTAATTTGGAGGGCTACAGCTGTTAGGCCCCTTTGGTGTGGAGGGTAATCTAATCCCTAGGCACCAGCAAGACAGCTGCAAGTTGAGAGTAGGTCAAGCTTACTGATTCTTGATAGACTTTCAGATTTGGAAAGATGGCAGAAACAAAGTGAAAAAAGAGTTGTTAATGAAACAAAGAGTTGATAATGAATGTGATCTGTTGGTTGTATTTCTCTCTTTACCTTCAACCAAAAATGAGAAAGGATAGATTTTGTGGCAATGGGACCCTGGTTAGATCTTTAGAAATGTCTTATCAGGGAGACCGGTCATATATAAAGGATACAGCAGCAACTACCCTTCTGCCCTTAGGAGTGGTGACTCTTATCCCACACCCCTAGAGTGAATCTCTCATTTTGACAAAGAGCTAAGGAAAAATGAAAAGAAGGCCAGGCACGGTGGCTCATGCCTGTAATATCAGCACTTTGGAAGGCCAAGGCGGGCAGATCACCTGAGGTCAGGACTTCTTAGACTAGTCTGACCAACATGGAGAAACTCCGTCTCTACTAAAAATACAAAATTAGCCAGGCGTGGTGGTGCATGCCTGTAATCCCAGCTACTCGGGAGACTGAGGTGGGAGAATTGCTTGAACCCGGGAGGCAGAGGTTGTGGTGAGCCAAGATTGTGCCATTGCACTCCAGCCTGGGCAACAAGAGTGACGTCTCAAAAAAAAAGAAGAAAAGGAAAAGAAGAGCACAGCACCAGGATGCCAAGGAGATACTGGGGATCTAGGGTACCGGTGGGTGGATCTGGATATTCTTCAGGCCAGCTAAAGGTTGATCACTTTGTGTGACTCAAACAAAAAACTTTGAAGACCTGGTGGGGAATTACTGGGGAATTAAAAACTCTCAGTTTTCAGTCTCTCTATTTCGGCTCCCTTGGCAGTTAGAGATTATGTGGTAGGGCAGACTCCAGAAGCAGTTCTTATTTTGCTCTTCCCAACTCTTACCACTGAGGATCAGCTGCCTGGGACCTTCTCAGAGCTAAGTCCTCATAGAAGCAAGGAGATGAAGAGGTTCTATCCTTCTCTGAAAAGCGATTGCAGCTTCAATGGACGTATGTTTAATTTTATTCACTTTTTTTTCTTGCAGGAGTGTTGAAGCCTGGAAATCCCCTCCCCTTCCCCCTCCCCCCTTTACAGTATCCCCCTCCCTCCACCCTTTCCCATTCTGATAATCTGGCCATGACTAGCAGAAGCACAGCTAGGCCCAATGGGCAACCCCAGGCCAGCAAAATTTGCCAGTTCAAATTGGTCCTGCTGGGAGAATCTGCAGTGGGAAAGTCAAGCCTGGTATTACGTTTTGTCAAAGGGCAGTTCCATGAGTACCAGGAGAGCACCATTGGAGGTGAGTGCCTTGGGGTAATAGGAGATTGAATGTTTGGTAAGGGTTTTTTTTTTTTTAGATGGAGTCTTGCTCTGTTACCCAGGCTGGAGTGCAGTGGCGCAATCTTGGCTTACTGCAACCTCTGTCTCCCAGGTTCGAGCGATTCTCATGCCTCAGCCTCCCGAGTAACTGGGATTACAGGTGCACACCGTGGCACCTGTCTAATTTTTGTATTTTTAGTGGAGAGGGGGTTTCACCATCATGTTGGCCAGGTTGGTCTCAAACTCCTGACCTCAGGTGATCTGCCTGCCTCGGCCTCCCAAAGTGCTGGGATTACAGGCGTGAGTCACCACGCCGGGCCGGTAAGGCTTTTGAAAAGAGATATAAGACCTGATTATGGAGCTGGCCCTCTTAGTCCCATTCTTTTCCCCAGAAATGGAAACCCTTTATAAAAACAGAGGCCGGTCCCAGTGGCCCACCACTTTGGGAGGCCAAGATGGGCGGATCACCTGAGGTCAGGAGTTCGAGACCAGCCTGCCCAACATGGCGAAATCCTGTCTCTACTAAAAATACAAAAAATTAGCCAGGCGTGGTGGCAGGCGCCTGTAATCCCAGCTACTCGGGAGGCTAAGGCAGGAGAATCACTTGAACCCAGGGGGCAGAGGTTGTAGTGAGCCGAGATTGCGCCACTGCACTCCACCCTGGGCGACAAGAGCAAAACTCCATCTCCAAAAAAAAAAAAAAATCAAAATCTGGTAAAATAGGCTGGGCATGGTGGGTCACACCTGTAATCCCAGCATTTGGGAGGCCAAGGCAGGCGGATCACTTGAGGCCAGGAGTTCAAGACCAGCCTGGCCAACAAGGTGAAATCCCCGTCTCTACTAAAAATACAAAAAATTAGCTGGGCGTGGTGGCACATGCCTATAATTCCAGCTACTCAGGAGGCTGAGGTAGGAGAACTACTTGAACCCAGGAGATGGAGGTTGCAGTGAGCCAAGATTGCGCCATTGCACTCCAGCCTGGGTGACTAGAGTGAAAATCCGTCTCAAAAAAACAAAACAACAACAACAACAACAAAGATTAGCCGGGCATGGTGGCACATGCCTGTAATCCCAGCTACTTGGGAAGCTGAGGCAGGAGACTCGCTTGAACTCATGAGGCGGAGGTTGCAGTGAGCCAAAATCACGCCAGTGCATTTTATCCTAGGCGAAGGAGCGAGACTGTTTCAAAAACAAAAAAAAATCTGGTAAAATAGAGGCTGGAACTAATGCAAAATACAAAGGGTGTCTGTCTTTCTCATCTTTGCTACCTTTTCCCCACTACTACCCCAAAATAGGGTGCTAATTCAATAAAGGATCTTTTATGAGAACTTCCAAATTATTCCTTCCCCTTGTTATTTTTATTTATTTATTTATTTATTTTTGAGACGGAGTCTCTGTCGCCCAGACTGGAGTGCAGTGGTGCAATCTTGGCTCATTGCAACTTCTGCCTCCCAGGTTCAAGTGATTCTCGTGCCTCAGCCTCCTGAGCAGCGGAGATTACAGGCACATACCACCATGCCCGGCTAATTTTTGTATTTGTATAGAGACAGGGTTTCACCGTGTTGGCCAGGCTGGTCTCAAACTCCTGACTTCAAGTGATCCACCCGCCTCGGCCTCCCAAAGTGCTGGGATTACAAGCATGAGCCACCGTGCCTGGCCTCTTTCCCCTTTTTATTAGTCATCTTGGAAATGTATTCCTGGACCTGCAGCAGATTATATGAAAAAGTAACAGCCAAATAATATTGATAATGATGGGACTTGCCATCAAGCTTTAAAATCTTCTAATTAATTCTTTTTTTTTTTTTTTTTTTTTTTGGATACTGAGTCTCACCCTGTTGCCCAGGCTGGAGTGCAGTGGTGCAGTGGTTGCCCATTGCAACTTCCGCTTCCCCAGTTCAAGCACTTCTGCTGCCTCAGCCTCCCAAGTAGCTGGAATTACAGGCGTCCATCACCATGCCTGGTTAACTTTTGTGTTTTTAGTAGAGGCGGGGTTTCACTATGTTGGCCAGGCTGGTCTCGAACTCCTGACCTCAAGCCATCCACCTGCCTTGGCCTCCCAAAGTGCTGGGATTACAGGCATGAGCCACTGCGCCCAGCCAATCCTCTAATTAATTCTTTTGTTTGTTTGCGTTTGTTTGTTTGTTTTTTGAGACGGAGTTCCGCTCTTGTTGCCCAGGCTGAAGTGCAGTGGCGCCATCTTGGCTCACTGCAACCTCCACCTCCCAAGTTCAAGGGATTCTCCAGCCTCAGCCTCCCGAGTAGCTGTGATTACAGGTGTCCACCACCACGCCTGGCTAATTTTTGTATTTTTAGTAGAGACGGGTTTTGCCGTGTTGGCCAGACTGGTCTCGAACTCCTGACCTCAGGTGATCCACCTGCCTCAGCCCCCACCTCCCAAAGTGCTGGGATTACAGGCGTGAGCTACCGTGCCCAGCCCAATCTTCTAATTAATTCTTGATGTGACTTTTATCTGAAGCTATTTTCTCTGTCATTTGTTATTCTCCTATTTTGGTTAGAAGAAGGATGACTCGTATAAGTGCCAGTTCTTCTGTCCCTCTTAGTTTATGATGTACCCCCATTCCTTAGCTAGTGACATTTCTGGCAGGAAGGACTTAGCCAAGGGCAGTCTTAATCCTGGTTTCAAGACTTACATGTAAGGAGAACTCAAAACCTTTTCCTGTAGCTGACTATCCTGGGTGGTGACTGGTCTTAGTGTAGGGCAGTTACATTTTGAAGGGGGGGAGGGATGTTCCCATTCATCCTCCCACTTACAGCATCTTCCCCTCCATTCTCTCATCCATAGCGGCCTTCCTCACCCAGTCCGTTTGTCTAGATGACACAACAGTGAAGTTTGAGATCTGGGACACAGCTGGGCAGGAGCGATATCACAGCTTAGCCCCCATGTACTACAGGGGTGCCCAAGCTGCAATCGTGGTTTACGACATTACTAATCAGGTAAGTGAGCTAAGAAGACTGTCCTTGTTGGCTGGACATGGTGGCTTACGCCTATAATCCCAACACTTTAGGATGCCAAGGCGGGAGGATCATGAGGTCAAGAGATTGAGACCATCCTGGCCAACATGGTGAAACCCCGTCTCTACTAAAATTACAAAAATTAGTTGGGCGTGGTGGTGCGCGCCTGTAGTCCCAGCTACTCGGGAGGCTGAGGCAGGAGAATCGCTTGAACCCAGGAGGCGGAGGTTGCAGTGAGCCGAGATCGAGCCACTGCACTCTAGCCTCGGCGACAGAGCAAAACTCCGCCTCAAAAAAAAAAGAAAAAAGACTGTCCTTGCTTATATTTAGAGGAGTTAGTTTGGGGCAGGGGGTAAGGGGGCAGAAAACGGGTTCTTGAAATAGCAAATAAGAGTACAAATTATGCTTCCAAGTGCTAAGAAGACAGATAATGAATTATCAGAGACCTGTGGTTTCACTGAGGGAAGACCACCTAGAAGAGGTGAATTTTGAGACTCATTTTAAAAGGTGATGGATATGGATTGGCAGTCATTCCAGCCTACTCATTCTCTTCATGTTTTCCTAGGAAACCTTTGCCCGAGCAAAGACATGGGTGAAGGAACTACAGCGACAGGCCAGTCCTAGCATCGTTATTGCCCTGGCAGGGAACAAAGCTGACCTGGCCAACAAACGTATGGTGGAGTATGAAGTAAGGTGGCCCGTGGAGTTCCTCTCTAACACTTCCTCTGTTCCTGGGACCTCTTTTTTTCCAAACCAGCCCTCTCTGAAAACGTCAACAGAGGACATTCATTGTCTCATTCCCCAGTTCTACACCAAGTTAAATACAGCAACACTGTGACCCTAATGACAGCCAGGAGATTTTCAAAGGAGTCAGGAGAAAACTCCAGAGCAGAGGGTTAGGGAGGTACCAGCTGTGGGGGTACCAGTGTGAAAACAGGAAGGAGGGAGCAATTAAATTTGTGGTAAGGGACTATTCAAGTGTCACAACCCAAAAGCCCCCAACTAACTTACCCTCTCCCCTATAATTAAGCTTTCTGACATTTGTGTGTTGGACTGAGTGGACATGGGGTCATCTTGAGGGAGTTGTCATTAAATTATGCATCTAGGCTAGCTGGCTCAAAGGGGTATTAATTAAGGGGAGGGAACCTAGGATTTTGCCTAGCTGTTGTGCTGCATGGGAGTGGAAAGGCAATACTCGTTCCCACCCTACATTCTGAGCACTAATACATCCCACTCCTTGCAGGAGGCCCAGGCATATGCAGATGACAACAGCTTATTGTTCATGGAGACTTCAGCCAAGACAGCTATGAACGTGAATGATCTCTTCCTGGCAATAGGTAAGGTCAGAACATCCTGAGGTCCTCCTTTTTCCCTCGTTTATAGGCAAAATTATAGCTAACCCAAATCAAGGATAGGTGCGAGTATCTCCTTTTGCAAAAACTTTAGGTATGGAAATACCTTAACTTTCTGTTATGACCTCCATCCTTGGCTGCAGCTTTAGCTCCCTTGTCTTCAATGTGTAAGTTTGCCGGCCAGGTGTGGTGGCTAACACCTGTAATCCCAGCATTTTGGGAGGCCGAGGCGGGCGGATCACGAGGTCAAGAGATCAAGACCATCCTGGCCAATGTGGTGAAACCCCGTCTCTACTAAAAATACAAAAATTAGCTGGGCGTGGTGGCGCACACCTGTAGTCCCAGCTACTTGGGAGGCTGAGCCAGGATAATCACTTGAACCCGGGAGGTGGAGGTTGCAGTGAGCCGAGATTGTGCCACTGCACTCCATCCTGGCAACAGAGCGAGACTCCATCTCAAAAAAAAAAAAAAAGTTTGCAAATAGTGAACCCTCCCATCTTCAGAACATTCTTTTAATCTCTCAAATTCTCCCTTTTCCCCAATTCAGTAGCCGTTTTTGGCGGGTGGAGGCAGAGGGGTAGGGAAGTAAAGTCTACCATACTTTGTTCTCTTCTCTTTTTATCTCTAGCTAAGAAGTTGCCAAAGAGTGAACCCCAGAATCTGGGAGGTGCAGCAGGCCGAAGCCGGGGTGTGGATCTCCATGAACAGTCCCAGCAGAACAAGAGCCAGTGTTGTAGCAACTGAGGGGGTGGCTAGCAGCAAACAAGTATGGAGCTAGCACAAGAGCTAAGAAATAACCTCCATCCCTACCCCTCAGCACACAACCCCTACGGTAACAGCACACTGAGCCCTGGCTCCCAAGGGCTGCCTCCTGACAGCTCCGTCATGGCACTTTTTAACGCTTCAGCAACAAACACCAGGCAGCTGTTGCCACTGGCCTCCTACCCCCTACTCTGGGGCTTGGGGGTCAACTCCCCCCAGGACTTACCTTCCAAAACAAACTTTCTTCACTTTGTATTATAGGTACAAGACAGCGACTTACGTATCTTTTCTCCTCCTCCCTAGTGTTCCTCCCCATTTTTTCAGAAAACACTTCTGACTCCTGTCCCTTCCCCTTCTGCTTTTGGTCAGTCCCTGTTCTTGAGCCTCTTTTCTCCTCTCCCCAGGATGCAGAAAGTGGTGAACCCAGGAACTGAGGAAGGAGGTTTCCAGTTCATTTACATTAAGGGCCCTGGGGGAGAATAAAGCTCAGAGCAGGAGGGAGTAAGGAAACATTTCCTTTTTGTTTTTATTTGGTTGGAGTTTCTCATATTTGAAAACATTGCGGTATCCATGATTTGGCCTTGTGGAGGGTGTTCCTAGGTAGAGGTGAGAATGGGGAGGCAAGATCTCAGGCACCAGGCAGGAGGTGCCTTGTAAGCTAACTGGGCGGAGGTGGAGGTGCAGTGTCAACTGTGGCTCTGTAACTCTTCAAAGGCCCAGTTTCCCCTCACGCAGCCTCTTAGGTAGCGTTTCCCCTAATCGTGGGGGTTGGACCCCAGAGTCTTCCAAAGAATTTTCACTGGTTGCCTGCATCTTTGGCTCTGCTGTGATCTGATTGGAGGAGGGACAGTTTCTGGTACCCATCCTCTGATTTATACATATGCATTTTTTCCCCTCTGGCCTTTAGATGGCCTCAGCCCCAGCCACCATATACCCCTGCAGTTTGCACTTTAATTGATGGTAGTTCAGTTGGGGTACTTGTTTTATGGAAGTTTTGATTGATTTACTTGCCCTCCCACCTTCTTTTTAATTCAATGAAATCTGAGGTTAATGCGAGGTTCGAGGAGAGGTTATAGATAAAACTACCAGTGGCAGCTACTCAAGTCCTATCTCCACTGTTAGCTTCCTCCAACTCTAATTATTAACCTATATTCTTGCCAAGCTAACTATTGACTATAGGTTTGCCTTTCCTGGAGAATTAATTGAGCAATTGAGGAGTGTCTCAGGATAGCACAGGCCAAGGTAGGGGAGTAAAAAGGAGGTCAGGCAAAAGGGAGGAGTTTTCTGTCCTTTCCCAGGTTTCACACTCAATTTGATATCCATTACCATGTCTTTTCTACTTCCTTGTAAATAGGTATGATCTTTATTCCCACTGTACAGTCTGTTCTATCCTCTGCCTCCCATCAGGCCCTGTTTCTTTGTTCCTTTGTTAATATCTTGAATTTAGTCCCTCCATCCTTAATCCCCCCATCCCTCCCCATCATGCAACCAGTGGTTTAATCCATGTACCAATAGGGGCTAGTACCACAGAGGCCTCCTGTGGTGCCCTCGTATCATACCACCTGTTCCTGTGGAGAGGGAATGACCGGCACTGAAGGTACCTTACAACTGGCTCATATTATCAGAGGACCTTGGTCCTTTCTAAATCTCTAGTCTCTCTTCATATCCTTCATCAGGTGTTTTAAGATGTCTCTGAGAAGCCATCAAGGCAAAAGAGAACTTTAAGTTCCTTGTTCCAGCCCGGAGTTTTGGGAAAGAAAGAAAGGAAAGGTCACAGTGACCTAGGATTGGAACCTTCCTGCCCTTTTGGCTTGCAGACTGCCTTCTATCCCAGAACAGCTGAGAAATCTATGAAGCTGAGATTCTGAAGGACCCAGCTTAGGTTCTTCCACTTAGGCCTCAATTCCCTTCCTTTTCCAGGGGCAGCCTTAGTTCCCATGGCCCTGAAACACACACATTTCCCCCTTCCTTTCCCAGAAGCCACTGGCCCCCCATAGCACCCAGTGCATCCTTTTTACAAGTGGAAGAACTAGGATGGCTTTCCAAAGTCTTCTAGAAATGAAGTTCTTTCTCTGTGCAGCTTTCCCCCTTGGAGCAGGAGTGAAGATGTTTCATTATCTTGGGCCTGGGAAACCACTTCCCCAGGCTTCTCCCTCCCCCCACCCCCATAGGAACAGGATTTGGCCTTAGCTTCTGGGCCTATCGGCTGCCTTCCCTCTACTTCCTACCACCTCTTCTGCCTTCCTTTGAGCTCTGTTGGGCTTGGGGATCTTAGTTTTCTTTTGTTTATTTCCCAGCTCATTTTTTTCTTCTGGTCAGTTTTTTTAAGGGGGGGTGTTGTGGTTTTTTGTTTTTGTTTTGCTTCTGAGAAAGCATTTGCCTTTCTTCCTCTCCCAACATAACAATCGTGGTAACAGAATGCGACTGCTGATTTACCGATGTATTTAATGTAAGTAAAAAAAGGAAAAAAAGAAAAGGGCATTGGAGTGTTGCTTTTTTTTATTTTATTGTTATTATTATTATTATTTTTGCTATTTGTCAGGTACTAGGAATTTGGAAGAAAGGATACCCAGTAATGTTCTACTGAATCAGAAACACACCTTTCCCTGCATCTTGATACATCTTTATTCCCTTTAATCTTTTCTTAAACATCTAGTTTAGAAAATAGCCCTTCTATTGCTATTTAATCACCCCTCTTCTAAGGCCACTAGATTGTTCATCAAATCAAACCCTATTATATCTTTTTAGGCCCTCTTAACAGAATGTATATGTGTAGGGTATGGTCTGTGGATCTTTGGGCCCACTGATCAGATTAGAGAGAGGGGTGCTATTTGAAGTAGTATACAAAAATGTATGTGCATATTTCTTTTTTTTTTTTTAATTGAGACGGAGTCTCTGTCGCTAGCCTGGAGTACAGTGGCACGATCTTGGCTCACAGCAATCTCCGCCTCCTGAGTTCAAGTGATTCTCCTGCCTCAGCCTCCTGAGTAGCTAGGATTACAGGCACGCACCAACACACCCAGCTAATTTTTGTATTTTTAGTAGAGACGGGGTTTCACCATGTTGGTCAGGCTGGTCTTGAACTCCTGACCTCGTGATCCACCCACCTTGGCCTCCCAAAGTGCTGGGATTACGGGCGTGAGCCACTGCGCCCGGCCGTATGTGCATATTTCTAGGATCCATTTCTATATGTTTCTCAAAGGGGTCCATGACCCAAAGGTTGAAAAACATCACTGAGTTAGTTTTCTTGTAGCTTCCACCTCAACGGGAAAATTTCCTCTGGATCTGCTCTTGACTCCTAGTGTACTTCAAACCCTTCAGTCCACCACAGTCTAAAGGTCGAGGGAAGGGAAATGAAATAGGATTATGTGTGGTTGCAGTAGGCTTTAAATTCCAAAGAATCTGAAGGTGGATAGGAAAGAGGACTGGTGCCAGACAAATCTGACATTCTAGGCCTGTCTCTGTCAACTTAACCAGCTGTGGCCTTGATCAAGTTAGTTAGTGCCTTCCGCCTCGTTTCTTCATCTGTAAAGTAAAAGCTGAAGATTAAGGTCAATTATGTAAAGTATGTGTGTCACACAAAAGTAGATGACACTATTAGGAAGGAGGCTTTTAGATAGTCCCTAACTGACTTCTCTGTATCTTCCTTTGGCTGAGACTTTTTTTTTTTTAGGTTGAAGCTCGCTTTCTCTCTCTCTCCCTCTTTCTCCCTCTCTCTCTCTCTCTCACTCTCTCTCTCTCCATATATATATACATATATATATATATATATATTTTTTTTTTAACAACTGGTAGGATAGGTTGGGCATTAGCCTTCTTCAGTGATTTGATTGTATACAGATTGAAATCCTTTCCATTTCCAAACACTTAAGAGCCAAAGCCAACTTGCCAACTTTTCACTGTCGGTTCCCTTACCTTATATCTCTTGGTAATACCCCCCACCCCCGTTCCCTGATTCCTGGTAAAAGCTCTAGTTGGAGAGCCGAAAGGAAAGGAAATGATCTTTCAAAATTAAAGGTGAACACCTTCACTTAAACTGATTAAAATTGCAGCTCCACCGTCCGGCCTCTAGAGGGCAGTGTATGGATACATTTGTCCAGATTGGGGGACTAGGTTTGATAAATTTTGTCCTGCATCAAATGACAAAAGGGTAATAGGAAATGTATTATATTTATGCCCCTTACTTTGAGATAAGAGACTACAACCTTCATACTTCGGGGTGTTAAGCTGCCATTGCTCTTGTTAAGGGGCAGTTTGTTTTTTAAGAGATGGGGTCTTGCTCTGTTGTCCAGGCTGGAGTGCAGTGCCGCGATCTTGGCTCAGTGCAACCTCGAACTCCTGGGCTTAAGCGATCCTCCCGCCTCAGCCTCCCGAGTACTGGGACTACAGGCGTGTGCCACCAAGGGGCGATTATTATTTTTTTTTTCTACGCAAAATAAAAGACGGCTATTCAGTGTTGTTGTTTCATTTTTGTTTGGGGAGAAATTCGACTAGCCCAAGGAATCTCAAATTCTTGGAACCACTATTTTAGGCATTTCTGTTATCATTCCTGGAATACGAGAACTAAGCGATTGACTTTGCTTTCCCTAAAAGATAAACAGGGTAGTTGTAGTTGCAACAGAGTAGATAGAGGTAGGTCTACCCTGGGTTTAAAGTGGAGATCACAGCCGGGGAAAACCGGACTGGATCCCGAGGCCTCCTCCAGGGAGGGGCGGCAGGGGTGTCTCAAAATCTCCCACCTGTCAGCCCAACTTTTGGATTCCTTGTCACCTTCCACACTGCCCGAGCTCCGGACATACAGCCCTGGTGCACAAGGGTCCCATTCTTTGCACACCAGGGGTATAATGGACTCCGGACTGTTGGCGAGAGTGACAGCAAAAAGAGCCAGCCTCTTCTCCCAGGCTTCTTAGCAACCTGCCTGTCTCGGCTCCAGGAGGCGGGTTCCAGCCAATGGTTGAGCCACCCGCTTCCAGCCAATGGCTGAGGGATAAGCTGAGGGGAGTGAGAGGTCACTTACTGCAGCCGGACATAACGGCGCTGGCCCCGCCCCTTCTCGAGAACTCGCAGAGCTGGGCTGGTAAAATTGCAGTGCTGAAGACACTGGACCCGGTAAGGAGACTGGGGGTGGTAAAGAAGCTGGGGAGGAAGGGCTGCTGAGCTGGGCAGCGGAGGGGGCCTTGGTGTCCAGCTGTGCTCCGAACCTCAAGGGCAACAAAACTATCAGTACCTGCCTCCACTCCTTCTGTCTGGGTGCTCTTGAGATCGCGGGGTGTTGCCGCAAGACCCTTTTGTGCCTGGATGCCGGACGTATGTTCCTACCTAACGTGCCCATGGGGAGTGAGGGGTCATCACCTGCACCAACGGGTGGCATTTCTGTATTACAGCAAAAGGCTGTCCCTCCCAAACCTGGGATTCTGGGCTCACTGAGTTCACCTGCGAGTCAGCCCTACCTGCACTGCTCTGGTCTAGTACAAACAGGCTGCTGGCATTGAGGTAGGTGGCAGAGAGAGTAATGGTCCCATGGCCCAGGGGCAAGGTGAAGACTGCTCCTATTCCCATCTCTAGGTTTCCTTTCCTCCCTACCCACGACCCACCCACCCCAGCACATTGGTCTCCAGCATCTCATCAGCAGTTTAGACATTTGTCACCCCTCCTCACTTTGGCCCTGCTGGGTCAGTGCTCTCTGTTCAGCAATTTGAGGAAGAAACTTGCAGGGCAGAGAGCAGAAAAATTACCTTCCTTCTCCAGCCTGCCCCTGACACTCTGGCCATTAACTCCTCAATTTGCTGAGCTCACTACAGTGGCACAGAGAAGATTGAGGTGGTCCGGGACCCTAGGTTGGGGTCCAGTTCCCAGCTGGGTTCAATTTTTTTTAGGGTGAATGGAGGGAGAGTTGGGGACTGAAAAGCCTTCAAAGACAATGTTATTACAGCAGTCTCCCCTTATCCAAAGTTTCCTTTTCCTGAGTTTCAGTTAGCTATGGTCAACCGCTTGGAAAATAGTTGAACACAGTACAATAAGATATTTTGAGGCTGGGAGTGGTGGCTCATGCCTGTAATAATCCCAGGACTTTGTGAGACCAAGTTTGAAGGATCACTTGAACCCAGGAGTTTGAGACCAGCCTGGGCAACATAGTAAGACCTCATCTCTACAAAAAAAAAAAAAAAAAGACCATGCATGGTGGCACACGCCTGTGGTCCCCGCTACTCAGGAGGTTGAGGCAGGAGGATGGCTTGAGCCCAGAAGTTTGATGCTATAGTGAGCTGAGATCACGCCACTGCACTCCAGCCTGGGCAGAGCAAGACCCTGTCAGGGGCAGGGGGAGGGGAGGGGAAGCCGGACAGTGGCTCATGCCTGTAATCCCAGCACTTTGGGGGCTAAGGCAGCAAGAGGCCAGGAGTTCAAGACCAGCCCTGACAACATAGACTCCCATGTCTACAGAAAAATTAGCCAGGCTTGGTGACACACACTTGTAGTCCCAGCTGCTGGGGAGGCTAAGGCAGGAGGATGGCTTGAGCCCAAGAGGTTGAAGCTTCAGTGAGCCATGATCGACACTTGCTCCATCGCCCAGGCTTTTTTTTTTTTTGAGACAAGGTCTTGCCCTGTTGCCCAGGCTGGAGTACGGTGGCGCCATCATAATTCATTGCAGTCTCGACCTCCTGGACTCAAGCCATCCTCTCATCTCAGCACTCCTCTCCCCACCACCCCGGTAGCTGAGACTACAGACAGGCACCACCATGCCCAGTTAATTTGTTTTTTTTTTTCTAGAGACACAGTCTCACTATGTTGCCCAAGCTGGTCTTGAACTCCTGGAGTCAAGTGATCCTCCTTCCTTGGCCTCCCAAAATTTTGGGATTATAGGCATGAGCCACCATGACTGGCCAAAAAAAAGTATATTTTGAGAGAGAGACCACATTCATATAACTTTTTTTTGTTTTTGTTTTGAGACAGGGTCTCGCTCTCTGTTGCCCAAGCTGAAGTGCAGTGGCAC
The DNA here is from genome assembly GCF_000001405.40 of Homo sapiens. NCBI lineage: Eukaryota > Metazoa > Chordata > Mammalia > Primates > Hominidae > Homo > Homo sapiens. Next base: position 55,999,222 of record NC_000012.12, read on the forward strand.
AGTCAGCTCACTCTGTAACCTCAAACTCCTGGGCTTAGATCTTCTCAGCCTCCAGAGTAGATGGGACCACAGGTGCGCTCCACCATGCCCAACTAACTTTTTATTTTGTAGGGACGGAGTCTCCAACTCCTGGCCTCTAGCAGTCCTCCTGTGTAGGTCTCCCAAAGTGCTAGTGTGTCCGGAATTGGTGGGTTCTTGGTCTCACTGACTTCAAGAATGAAGCCGCGGACCCTCGCAGTGAGTGTTACAGTTCTTAAAGGCAGCGTGTCCGGAGTTTGTTCCTTCTGATGTTCAGATGTGTTTGGAGTTTCTTCCTTCTGGTGGGTTCGTGCTCTTGCTGGCTCAGGAGTGAAGCTGCAGACCTTCACAGTGAATGTTACAGCTCATAAAGGCAGTGTGGACCCGAAGAGTGAGCAGCAGCAAGATTCATTGTAAAGAGGGAAAGAACAAAGCTTCCACCGTGTGGAAAGGGACCCAAGCGGGTTGCCACTGCTGGCTTGGGCAGCCTGCTTTTGTTCTCTTATCTGGTGCCACCCACATCCTGCTGATTGGTAGAGCCGAGTGGTCTGTTTTGACAGGGTGCTGATTGGTGCGTTTACAATCCCTGAGCTAGACACAAAGGTTCTCCACATCCCCACCAGATTAGCTAGATACAGAGTGTTGATTGGTGTATTCACAATCCCTGAGCTAGACATAAAGGTTCTCCAAGGCCCCACCAGAGTAGCTAGATACAGAGTGTTGATTGGTGCATTCACAAACCCTGAGCTAGACACAGGGTGCTGATAGGTGTATTTACAATCCCTGAGCTAGACATGAAGGTTCTCCACCTCCCCACCAGACTCAGGAGCCCAGCTGGCTTCACCCAGTGGATCCCGCACTGGTGCTGCAGGTGGAGCTGCCTGCCAGTCTCGGTGCCATGCGCCCGCACTCCTCAGCCCTTGGGTGGTTGATGGGACTGGGTGCCGTGGAGCAGGGGTCGGTGCTCCTCGGGGAGGCTTAGGCCCCACAGGAGCCCACGGCGAAGGGGGGCTCAGGCATGGCGGGCTGCAGGTCCCGAGCCCTGCCCCGCGGGGAGGCAGCTAAGGCCCGGCGAGAAATCGAGCGCAGCGCTGGTGGGCCGGCACTGCTGGGGGACCCAGTACACCCTCCGCAGCTGCTGGCCCAGGTGGTAAGCCCCTCATTGCCCGGGGCCGGCAGGGCCAGCCGGCTGCTCCGTGTGCGGGGCCTGCCAAGCCCACGCCCACCCGGAACTCCAGCTGGCCCGCAAGCTCCGCGCTCAGCCCCGGTTCCCGCTCGCACCTCTCCCTCCACACCTCCCTGCAAGCTGAGGGAGCCGACTCTGGCCTTGGCCAGCCCAGAAAGGGGCTCCCACAGTGCAGCGGCGAGCTGAAGGGCTCCTCAAGTGCCGCCAAAGTGGGAGCCCAGGCAGAGGAGGCACCGAGAGTGAGCAAGGGCTGTGAGGACTGCCAGCACAATGTCACTTCTCACTAGGATTATAAGGGTGAGCCACCACACCCAGCTCTTTTATTACAGTATAATGTTATAATTTTTTTCTTTTTCTTTGTTTTTTTTTTGAGACGTTTGAGACGGAGTCTCACTCTGTCGCCCAGGCTGGAGTGCAGTGGCGCGATCTCGGCTCACTGCAACCTCCGCCTCCTGGGTTCACGCCATTCTCCTGTCTCCGGAGTAGCAGGGACTACAGGCGCCCGCCGCCAAGCCCGGCTAATTTTTTTTTTTCTATTTTTAGTAGAGATGAGGTTTCGCCGCGTTAGCCAGGATGGTTTCGATCTCCTGACATCGTGATCTGCCCGTCTCAGCCTCCCAAAGTGCTGGGATTACAGGCGTAAGCCACTGCGCCGGGCTAATTTTTCTATTTTGTTATTGTTGTTAATCTCTCTTTTTTTTTTTTTTTTTTTTTTTTGAGATGGAGTCTCTCTCTGTTGCCCAGACTGGAGAGCAGTGGCGTGATCTCAGCTCACTGCAACCTCCACCTCCCAGGTTCAGGTGATTCTCCTGCCTCAGCCTCCCGAGTAGCTGGGGTTACAGGCACGTGTCACCATGCCTGGCTTATTTTTGAATTTTTGTAGAGACAGGTTTTCCCCATTTTGGCCAGGCTGGTCTCAAACTCCTGACCTCAGGTGATTTGCCCGCCTCAGCCTCCCAAAGTGCTGGGATTACAGACGTGAGCCACTGCGCCGGGCATTGTTGTTAATCTCTTACTGTGGGTAATTTAGTAATTAAACTATAAGAGGTATGTATGTATGGGGGAAAAAACAGTAATATAGGGTTTGGTGCAATCTGTGGTTTCAAACATCTACTGGGGGTCGTAGAACATATCCCCAGTGGATAAGGGGGTACTACTGTACTTGTTGGCTCTTCATGTTAGCTCTGCTAGGCAGATGTCATTTCAGAGATGAGGAAGCAAGTTCAGAACGGCTTGGAATCTTGCTCAGGAAATCGGGCTGGTTAATGAATAACAAGAGATCCAGTTTCACAAACCCAAGGCATTTTGCCCCCAGAATCTGGGCTTCTTCACCCATTTAGGCTGTCACTACTTTTTTTTCACTTTTTTATCCCTGTTTAAGTCAGTCTGACCCACAGTTGTCCTCTGCTGACTTCAGAAATAATAATCTGGCCAGTAGACATTTGGTTTCGGTCCTTTAGGCCCTTCGCCCCAGGCATCGTTCTCTATGGTGGACAAAGTTCAGAATGGAAGATGGGAGAAAGGTGATTCTGATTCTAGAAGCACCCATCCCTCCTACCCCATTCCCCACCCGCATTACCTGCCATCCTGTCAGCACAGTCTGTCTCTGAAGTGCTCCAAGTTTTCTCTAAGGGCCCATTTGGACTCCCACTCTCAAGACTCCTCACTTGCCCAGAAAGCTCCTTGCTGACCTTCTCTGTGTCTTCCTCTCACCCATTCCCTTAGGCCTCCCTAATATCCCCTCCCAGGGTCTCCCTATCTTGATCCCAGAATCTTCCTTCTACAGGTCTGCTACAATGCTGCTGCTGCACAGAGCTGTGGTCCTCAGGCTCCAACAGGCCTGCAGGTAGGCCAGCCCATCCCAGGACTTGCCTCCTAGCCCCTATCTGCCACCCTTAGTGTCTTTTACAATGTCATACCTTGCAAATAAGACAGTTGAGAGAGTGTGTCCAGGGAGGACAGAGAAAGCCAGATCCCACTTTTCCCACCTATCCCTGGAGAAACTAAGTTCCAACTTAAGGAACCAATGGCCAACCAGGGAGAAAGAAGTAGACCCCAAGCCTTCACTAGCCCTTTCACATGACCATACGTGCTACTAAGACCGACCTCTCTTCCAGACTCAAGTCAATCCCCTCAAGGATCTGCATTCAGGCCTGCTCCACAAATGATTCATTTCAGCCCCAGCGCCCCAGCCTCACCTTCTCTGGTGATAACTCCAGCACCCAGGGATGGAGAGTCATGGGGACCCTATTAGGTCTCGGTGCAGTGTTGGCCTATCAGGACCATCGGTGTAGGGTAAGTAGGGAAAGTGCTTCATTGTCAGAACAGACTGGGTGCAGTGGCTCACGCCTGTTATCCCAGCACTATAGGAGGCCAAGGTGGGTGGGTCACTTGAGGTTAGGAGTTTGAGACCAGCCTGGGCAACATGGCAAAACCCCATCTCTAGTAAAAATTAGCCAGGTGTGGTGGTACATACCTGTAATCTCAGCTACTTGAGAGGCTGAGACACAAGAATCACTTAAACCCAGGAGGCTAAGTCTGCAGTGAGCCAAGATCAAGATCAGGCCACTGCTCTCCAGCCTGGGTGACAGAGTGAGACTCCATCTCAAAAAAAAAAAAAAAATTGTCAGAATAAAGGAATCAGTCCTAGTAAACTCCACAGGCAACCCAGGCTGTGACCCATGTTCTTGTAGTTACCACAGAGTTCACAGTGACGCAGTCTTCATGCACAGTGGAGATGAAATCTGCTAATCTGCTACCTTCGCTTCCCAGTGGCCAACACCGTGGGTTGGGTCAGGGTGAGCTCAAGTGATTTCTTCTTATTCTTCTTCATTTTTTCTTTTTTTTTTTTTTGAGATGGAGTTTCACTCTTGTTGCCCAGGCTGGAGTGCAATGGCATGATCTCAGCTCACCACAACCTCCACCTCCCGGGTTCAAGTGATTCTCCTGCCTCAGCCTCCCAAGTAGCTGGGATTACAGGCATGCACCACCATGCCCAGCTAATTTTGTATTTTTAGTAGAGACAGGGCTTCTCCATGTTGGTCAAGCTGGTCTTGAACTCCCGACCTTATGTGATCCGCCCACCTCGGCCTCCCAAAGTGCTGGGATTACAGTTGTGAGTCACCACGCCCGACCAAGTGATTTCTTCTTAATAGTCTCTTCCCTTTTATCTTACTCCTTCCCTGCCAATAGGCTGCTCAGGAGTCAACACACATATACACTAAGGAGGAAGTGAGTTCCCACACCAGCCCTGAGACTGGGATCTGGGTGACTCTGGGCTCTGAGGTCTTTGATGTCACAGAATTTGTGGACCTACATCCAGGGGGGCCTTCAAAGCTGATGCTAGCAGCTGGGGGTCCCCTAGAGCCCTTCTGGGCCCTCTATGCTGTTCACAACCAGTCCCATGTGCGTGAGTTACTGGCTCAGTACAAGATTGGGGAGCTGAATCCTGAAGACAAGGTAGCCCCCACCGTGGAGACCTCTGACCCTTATGCTGATGATCCTGTACGTCACCCAGCCCTGAAGGTCAACAGCCAGCGGCCCTTTAATGCAGAGCCTCCCCCTGAGCTGCTGACAGAAAACTACATCACACCCAACCCTATCTTCTTCACCCGGAACCATCTGCCTGTACCTAACCTGGATCCAGACACCTATCGCTTACACGTAGTAGGAGCACCTGGGGGTCAGTCACTGTCTCTTTCCCTGGATGACTTGCACAACTTTCCCAGGTACGAGATCACAGTCACTCTGCAGTGTGCCGGCAACCGACGCTCTGAGATGACTCAGGTCAAAGAAGTAAAAGGTCTGGAGTGGAGAACAGGAGCCATCAGCACTGCACGCTGGGCTGGGGCACGGCTCTGTGATGTGTTAGCCCAGGCTGGCCACCAACTCTGTGAAACTGAGGCCCACGTCTGCTTTGAGGGACTGGACTCAGACCCTACTGGGACTGCCTATGGAGCATCCATCCCTCTGGCTCGGGCCATGGACCCTGAAGCTGAGGTCCTGCTGGCATATGAGATGAATGGGCAGCCTCTGCCACGTGACCACGGCTTCCCTGTGCGTGTGGTGGTTCCTGGAGTGGTGGGTGCCCGCCATGTCAAATGGCTGGGCAGAGTGAGTGTGCAGCCAGAGGAAAGTTACAGCCACTGGCAACGGCGGGATTACAAAGGCTTCTCTCCATCTGTGGACTGGGAGACTGTAGATTTTGACTCTGCTCCATCCATTCAGGAACTTCCTGTCCAGTCGGCCATCACAGAGCCCCGGGATGGAGAGACTGTAGAATCAGGGGAGGTGACCATCAAGGGCTATGCATGGAGTGGTGGTGGCAGGGCTGTGATCCGGGTGGATGTGTCTCTGGATGGGGGCCTAACCTGGCAGGTGGCTAAGCTGGATGGAGAGGAACAGCGCCCCAGGAAGGCCTGGGCATGGCGTCTGTGGCAGTTGAAAGCCCCTGTGCCAGCTGGACAAAAGGAACTGAACATTGTTTGTAAGGCTGTGGATGATGGTTACAATGTGCAGCCAGACACCGTGGCCCCAATCTGGAACCTGCGAGGTGTTCTCAGCAATGCCTGGCATCGTGTCCATGTCTATGTCTCCCCATGAGCATGGAAAGGAGCCACCTCCACCCCTTTCCCCACCCATTAGCCTCACTGCTTCAGAAAAATCTTTCCCACCTTTCAACTTCTTGGATCACAACTCTGGCCTTCCTAAGCCATACCCAAGTACACATATAGCACATTTCACCCAAGGACCTTCCCTCTTTGGACACTATGTTACATACCCCTCTTGGCCTTTGAACCTGTGCCAGGAAGTGTGAGCTGTTACAGCAAGGGGCTAGAAGTGAAAAAAGTAATTCTGGAGACAAGCACTATTTTCTCTTCCTACCCCACCTCCATTTCTAATGCCTACTGCCATCAAGGCCTTGTTTTGCTTTTCTTTTTGGATTGTTCAGAGAAATGTGTGTGGCATGTGTAAGAAAAGTGTATATACTATCTTATACTACCTCTCCAGGTTGCCAGAGAGTTGCGAGGAGAGCAAGGGGCACAACCGTCTCCCTTTATAGTTCTACTTTTCTAATAAATAGTCTGTTTAAGATCATAACTCTTGGGCCTGGGGAGTGAGCCTATTGCAGGAGGAAGGATGCATTTGTACTGGGATGTATAATGAGATTAGACCAAAACAAACAAAACTGGGGAGGAAGACAGAGAGGAAGTAGGCTTGTAGGTTAAGAAGTAGGGCTTCCGGCTGAGCACAGTGGCTCACGCCTGTAATCCCAGCACTTGGGAGGCCAAGGCAGGTGGATCACTTGAGGTCAGGAGTTCGAGACCAGCCTGGCCAACATGGCAAAACCCAGTCTCTACCAAAAATACAAAAATTAGCTGGGTGTGGTGGTGGGTGCCTGTAATCCCAGCTACTTGGGAGGCTGAGGCAGGAGAATCGCTTGAACCAAGGAGGCAGAGGTTGCAGTGAGCCGAGATCACACCCACTACACCCCAGCCTGTGCGACAAAGCGAGATTCTGTCTCAAAAAAAGGGGGGCTTCCTTCTCTGAGGTTTGGCAGTATCTGCAGGGACACCTAGGTGATTGACCTCAGGATACCATGAAGAGAGGAGAGGTGACAAAAACATGTACCCTCCAACTCCTTTCCCCAACAGTTCCAATGCACTTGGCAGGAAAGGCAAAGGGTGCTAGGAGTTTAAAATCAATATTGTCTTAGGAGGTCGTGAAAGCAAAATAAATCTTGAGGCCCCAGAATCACTAAGCTAAAGGGAAAAGTCAAGCTGGGAACTGATTAGGGTAAACCTGCCTCCCATTCAAAGTCATCCCTCTGCTCACTGAGATAAATGCATACCTGATTGCCTTCTTTGAGTGGAATACAACCATTTGCCTCTTTTTTTTTTTTTTTTTTTGTAGAGACAGAGTCTTGCTCTGTCACCCAGACTGGAGTGCAGGAGTGCGGTGGCACGATCTCCGCTCACTGCAACCTCCGTCTCCGGAGTTCAAGCAATTCTGTCTCAGCCTCCCAGGTAGCTGGGACGACAGGCGCACACCGCCACGCCCGGCTAATTTCTTTTGTATTTTAGTAGAGATGGGTTTCACCATGTTGCCCAGGCTGGTCTCGAACTCCTGAGCTCAGGCAGTACGTCTGCCTCGGCCTCCCAAAGTGCTAGGATTACAGGCGTGAGCCACCAAGCCCGGCTTTTTTTTTTTTTTTTTTTTTTTTTTGAGATGAAGTCTCACTCTATTGCTCAGGCTGGAGTGCAGTGGTGCGATCTCGGCTCACTGCAACCTCCGCCTCCCGGGTTCAAGCGATTCTCCTGCCTCAGCCTCCCAAGTAGCTGGGACTACAGGCGCGGGCCACCACACCCGGCTAATTTTTTATTTTTAGTAGAGATGGGGTTTCACCATGTTGGCCAGGCTGGTCTTGAACTCCTGACCTCAGGTGATCCGCCCGCCTCGGCCTCCCAAAGTGCTGGGATTACAGGCGTGAGCCACTGCGCCCCGCTCCATTTACCTCTTATCTACCTATGACCTGGAAGCCTCCTCCCAGCTTGAGTTGTCCCGCCTTTACATATATTGATTGATGTCTCTTGTCTCCCTAAAATGTATAACACCAAGCTGTGCTCCAGTCACCTAGGGCACATGTCGTCAGGACCTCCTGAGGCTGCGTTACGGGCGTGCGTCCCTAACTTTGGCAAAATTAAGTTTTGCCAAAAACTTCCTAAACTGAGACCTGTCTCAGATTTTTGGGATTCACAAGGTACAGAGGGAAAACTTGGCTCTAGGGCCTGACGTGCCAGGCCACATCGGGCGTCCAGCGTGTGCTTAGATTGCAAACTGGGTGCAGATTAAAGGCTAGTTTTTGGGTTACCTTCGGCAGACGATGGTGCCTTTCGGATTTGAATCTTTCGGCGCTCGGCTACTCTCCCCTAGCTCCTCTCCCATTTTCCCCCAGCAGTCTCCCGGGCTTGGGGACGCTCGGTGTTCGGCCACGCCGCCTGTCGCCTGGTAGTGGGACCGGAAGTTGTTAGGGGGAGGGGGACGGCTGTGATGGGGGGGGATATTTGGGGGGGCAAGTCCCTTCTCAGGTGAAGCTGCTGATGGAGATGGAGCCGCCGCCACCGCCGCCTCTGAGCGCCCGGGTCCTGGCTCCGGCCCGGCGACTGCCGCCGCCTCAGTGACCCCACTCCCCCCGCACTGGGCCGCCCGGGCCAGAGTGGGGGACCCCCGCCCCCTCGCCTCCCTCTCCCCCAACACTGTCCCCTCTCCCCAACCCCTCACAGCCTGCGCGCGCGCGGAGACACCTCAGGTGAGTGAGGGGCGGGGCTTGGTGGGGGTAAAGCGGGGGCGGGGCCTCGGTAGCCGGGGGCGGGGCCTGAGGGGCTCTGGCGTGAAGGAGGGGGGAGACGTGGGCGGGGGAAGGGGCCAGGCTGAGAGAGGGTCGCGGGTTGGGCTGGGGCCGGAGGGTTGGAAGATGGCCGGGGGAGTTTGGCCCGAGGCCCCAGTATTAAGAGCGAGGTAGCAGGGACTCGGGGGTCCTAAAAAGGCGGGAGACAGATCAAGGCAAGGGGCCGAGGACAGGCAGGAGCTGCCAGGCGCGGGGCTCCTCCGTGGGGATGTGGCTTGGGTATACAGCAGAAGGACAGCGAGGAGAAAGGAGCAGCAAAGAGGGTATCTGAACAAAAAAAGCGAGGGACCCGGGTGTTGGGTCGAGGAATGCTGAAGACAGGAATCTGGGGATAAAGACGTAGGCCTAGGTGAGATCTGGGAGGCAATGAGCATATTGGGAGAAACATGTAGAGAAGAAACTTAGGATGGAGTGAGAAGTGCACAGTGTAGGGTGAGAGGTGTAGGGAACTTGGGAAGCAAGGCTGGGAAAGAAGAGATTCACTGCTTGAGAGCCCTAAGAAAGAAATGCAACAGAGGAATCCCCAGGGCAGACATCCAGACGGGAGCTGCAAACTTGGGAAGCAGGCTGCCTGCTCCTGTGTACCAAAACAGCCCTCCCTGTACCTCCTCACACAAACCCCATCCCGTTATTTTCTTACCTCATGGCTGCTAGAGTTGTAGGTTCTCACTTTTTAAATTTTCTATATTATTTCTGTGCCTTTAAAAAAAATTATGACTAGTCCTTTCTGGGAACAGTGGAGTGTTTAATGGAACGTGGACCTTTCGATATGCTTATGAAATATTGTACCCCAATCCCCATCCAAGGTCAAGAAGTTACGAACTCTGCTTCCAGGAAATTTTTTTTTTTTTTTTTTTTGAGACGGAGTTTCACTCTTGTTGCCCAGGCTGGGGTGCAATGGCGCGACCTCAGCTCACTGCAACCTCCATCTCCCAGGTTCAAGAGATTCTCCTGCCTCAGCCTCCCAAGTAGCTGGGATTACAGGCACCCGCCACCACCCCTGGCTAATTTTTTGTATTTTTAGTAGAGATGGGGGTCTCACCATGTTGGCCAGGCTGGTCTTGAACTCCTGACCTCAGGTGATCCACCCGCCTCAGCCTCCCAAAGTGCTGGGATTACAGGCATGAGCCACCGTGCCTGGCCAGAAAATTTTTTGCATACCTTATTTCGCCCCATTCCCTTCTCTCATGAACAAAACTGTCTATTGTTGTTACTCTTGTCAACCCTCGCTTATATGTCTAATAGTTCCTACTGTGCCTGTCTCCCCAGCCTGTGCCCTCGAAGCATCAATGGTGGGCATGGTATGTTCCTGACATGCTCACATGTCAGCTTTAGATGTTCCAACGTCATGGTCAACCAGATGACCATTGAAGCCTGTCTCCCCTTACTGATACTTGCTCACTTTGCCTGGGTGAAGATACATGTTCATATCCTTAAGGAAGCATGAAAATGTTATCTGACTACCTAGAATATTTCCACTTAACGATAACTCAGATTCTGAGGACAAGGCCAGATAAAAGGCCAAATCAGACAATCTTTGAAAGCATAGTGTTTCGTTTGGTTGGGGTGTATGGTAATCCCTCACCTCCCCATGGACCTGCCAGTAGGTCCGTGAATCTTGCTTTATGGTTTGCAGGAGGACTTCAGCTTTCCCTACTAACAGCCTAAAGCCAGAGAATCCAGACAGACCCTTGGGTCATGAGAACAGTCAGATGAGTAGCTCCTGAGATAAAAATAAAATCTTAAAAGAAGAAAATAGCTTTACCATTGGGAAGCAAGAGAAGTTTCACTGGAGCTTCTGGGGTGGGCTTCAGAATGGTGAGAGCTGCCCTCATTTTGGCAGCTTCAGAATTATACCTTGCCCTAGTCAATAGAAGTTGATGTCTCAAACACAAAATATAATGTCTTTGTTGCCCACTGAGTGCAGTTAGTTAGTTGAATTGTAGCTTCTGGGCAATCCCCTTCCTCTGAGTAGGTTAAGGGTAAGGCATATTTCAGGACTTGGCTCAGAAATAAGTCCTGACTTTTTTCCAGTGAAAATGCAACTGAAAGTCTCTTTATGTCCTCTTAGTTTGAAATCTGCAGCTTGAACTTCCCAGCATGGGAGAAACTTATCCCACCTTTCACCGTACCCCCTGCCCCCCCACACACAGTAGTATCCACAAAGGAATTATTTTTTTTCCCCAACTGGCCATCTCTCTCTCTGTCTCTCTCTCTCTCTCGCCACACACACACACACCAAAGAAAAAGAAAGATAGGTATTTCTAGCCTCGTTTTACTCTGTAGGAACAAATAAGAGTGTGGGACCCTGTGAGTGTGGACAATGCCACAGGCAGAGGGACTCCCTTTCTTTATTGGTCTGTTGACTCTGCTGAAGAAAGCTTTGAATTCCAGGCTTTGATTTGCTTCCTCTTCTTAGAAGAGTTATGGACTCTGTTCTGGAAACAGAGAGATAGGTTCAAAGTTTATCAGACAAAGGCATCTAAGAAAGGGTAGTGCTGATATGAATGACCTGGTCCAGCTGCGGGGAGGATCCACATTGTAGGCTCTGATGCAATACCTATGCTGGGGTAGTCCTCAAGCTAAGAGGCCGTTTCTACTTTAGAGACTTAATGACCATCTAGTTTGGTGTTTTCCTCAGGTCCATTATCTCTGAAAAGAGACATAGGAGGAAGAGGATTATTTATCCTCCCATCCATAAGCCTGTGTTTCCAGTTCAAGGATTTAGGTCAGCAAGACGCAGACCCAAAAACCATTCATTTAATAACCCAAGAAAGAAGGCAAGCAGGGTGGCCCAAATCTTCCAACTGGGGCAAGATTTAATATAGTGTTCCAGTGGAAAGAATCTTCTAATGGTAACTTGGACTCTACATGTCCTAATTCTGTTGTTAATGAGATTGATGACTCTGGGCTTAGTTTCTTCTGTTAAAAACTAGGAAATTGTAGATAATCTCTCAACTCCATTTCAGCTCCAGGATTTCTCAGTTCCTGGAGTACCCCTGCCCTAGACCCTCCACATGAAGAAGAGAGTCTTACCAAATTGGATTATCAGAGCAAGACTATTAGCAGAGAAGCCTGAAAACATCTTTCTGGCCCAAACAACAGTGAACTTTTTTGATCAGCATGTATTAGGGACTTTTGGGCACAATTGCAATCAAAGGCAATTGTTCCTGTCTCTTCTACATTTTTTTTGCTACTGTACCCTAGTCAGAATAGTTCACTGAGACTTCCCTGTAATTTCAAACTTCACTTGAGAGTGCTAACCCTGTTTTGGGCATCTTTGGCTTTAAAACTGATTATTATAAAACTCAAATTGAATTTCCCTGCTCTACTTTCTCCACCCCTGCCAAACATACCACTGAACAGCAGTGATTTTGTGAGGCCTTTCTATAAACAGAGAGCTATACTTGGGGGTACACCCAAAAACCCCAAAAAGTATCATCTCCTATGTATCATATCTAGTGATTTAAAGTGTTTAGTTTGGCCCTTTTCCTTAGTTCCTTATGTCCTGAAATGAGACATGGGAGGGATAGGATCGTTTCTTCTCCCACTCATAAACCTTAGCCTTCTCTCTCTTCTGCAGTCTACATGGGGAGGACAGAGAAGCGCAAAGAACAAGAGAAAAGATGCATCCATCTGAGATCTAAAAGGAGACAATGAGGTGATATTTTCCCCCTGCCCAGGTGTTGTGTTTTCAGCTCTTACCCCTTTTTATTTTAGAGACTGGCCATTCCTAGGATGACCTGGGAATTTATCCCCTCTGCACTGCTCCCCAAGCACTTGGATAATGAAGCTGAGCTGTCTTCAACTGTATTATATGTAGACAGAAGGTCACCATCTACAGCCTGGTGAAAAATGAGTCAGACCTTTCCACTGTAAAGACAAACACATGAGCTGAGCTAAGGTTGGTGGGTTTCCTTCAGAGAGCACTAGGTTGACCCTAAAGATAATTTCAGAGCTGCAAATTGCTTGATGTCTAGGTCTTTTTCCTGGAAAGGGGCTTGCAGACAGTGGCTAATTCCATACCTTTCCCTGGCCCCTTTGCGTCTTCTCCCTCCTCAATTATGCAAAGCTTTGATAGAGAGCAGAGCCAGCTATGTGATTTCAACATATTTTTGCTCAGATTTCACTCAGTTCAGGAAGGCATAGACAGTAGAGGATGATGCTGTGGGTTTGCTCTACTTGTAGCACCTGAATGGCTCATACCCAAGGCACATGGGAAGTTCTGTCTTGTTAATAACTACTGCTCTCCACCGCAGAACCCAGGTACTAAGGGAAAGTGGAGAAAATTTTTCTACTTCTGCCTGTTATAGTTTGGGAATAATAACAAAAACATGGTATGGATCCTTGCCATTCTCTCTACCTTCACCATCTTTCCCAACAATATTCTTCTCATGACCTTTTACCCCCTAGGCCACATTAAGCATGTGTTAAATGACTTTTTTTTTTTTTTTTTTTGAGACGGAGTTTTGTTCTTGTTGCCCAGTCTGGAGTGCAATGGCCCGATCTCGGCTCACTGCAACCTCCGCCTCCTGGGTTCAAGCGATTCTCCTGCCTCAGCCTCCTGAGTAGCTGGGATTACAGGCATGAACCACCACCCCTGGCTAATTTTGTATTCTTCGTAGAGATGGGGTTTCTCCATTTGGTCAGGCTGGTCTCGAACTCCTGACCTCAGGTGATCCACCCACCTTGGCCTCCCAAAGTGCTGGGATTACAGGCGTGAGCCACCACACCTGGCCTAAATTACTTTTTTTTTTTTTTAGTGTCTCAGTGTGTTGCCCAGGCTGGCCTAGAACTCCTGGCCTCAAGCAGTCCTCTTGCCTTGGCCTCCCAAACTGCTGGGATTGGCCCTCACTGCTGCCTGTCAGGGAGCCTGGTGGGAAATCTTCTGTCTAGAAAGGATGCCCATTCCTGTTCAAATGTGTTGTAATGTTGATAGGAGAAAGCCAGGGCCATGGAGGACTCTTGTTTATGCCAAGTGGATTCAAACAAATGGGGAAGAGCTAGGCACAGTGGCACATGCACCTGTAGTCCCAACTACTCATTAGGCTGAGGAAGGAGGATTGCTTGAGGCCAAGAGTTTGAGGCTGTAGTGTGCTGTGATTGTGCCCATGAACAGCCACTGCACTCCAGCCCAGACAACATAGTGAGATCTCATCTCTAGTAAATATAATAAATAAATAAGAACAGGGAAGAAAATTTGTGTCTCCAGAGATTACAATGACCAGCGTTTCCTCCCTCCTCACAGAGATATTCCTTTTGAATTGGAACACTGATTGTTTCTAGTTGCTTTGTATTCAGCTCACAGCTGAATTTACAGTACATATGTGCCTACCCGCCATCACTGAGTGACGGTTATGTTGCTTTATTTATTTATTTAGTGACAGAGTCTCACTCTGTCACCCAGGCTGGAGTGCAATGGCGTGATCTCGGCTCACTCCAACCTCTGCCTCCGGGGTTCAAACGATTCTTATGCCTCAGCCTCCCAAGCAGCTAGGACTACAGGCATGTACCACCAAGCCCAGCTAATTTTTGTATTTTTAGTAGAGATGGGGTTTCGCCACGTTGGCCAAGCTGATCTTGAACTCCTGACTTCAAGTGATCTGCTTGCCTCAGCCTCCCAGAGTGCTGGGATTACAGGTGTGAGCCACCGCCCCCAGCCGACAGTTATGTTGCTTTAAAGCTAATCTCCTTCCAAGATCTTTGATACAAAACTGTCTCATGTAACTAACTTCCCTCTCCTTATACCTCCTCCTCCTGCAATGTGTCTCCAATTGGCAGTGCCTAATTTGACCCAGTTCCTCTAAGGAGACGCTAAGATCTGCCTGGCTGGTTAGGCAGGGGAGGAGGTGCTTTAAGGGGTAGAGAGTGGGAAGGCTGGGCGGGATGTGCTGCAGGGAGACTTGAGCAAAGAGTAAAGTACATCTGCTGATTTGCTCCTGGTTTGCACAGAAAACCAGGACTGAGAACAGCAGTTTCAATCCAATGCCCTCTCACTTCCAGGGTTACCAACTTGGTATTAAAACCAGCTGGAGAGCCGGGAGCAGTGGCTCACGCCTGTAATCCCAACACTTTGGGAGGCCGAGGCGGGCAGATTACCTGAGGTCAGGAGTTCGAGAACAGCCTGGCCAACATGGCAAAACCCTGTCTCTACTAAAAATACAAAAATTAGCTGGGTGTGGTGGCGCACGCCTGTAATCCTAGCTATTCAGGAGGCTTAGGCAGGAGAATCACTTGAACCCGGGATGCAGAGGTTGCAGTGAGCTGAGATGAGATCGTGCCACTGCACTCCAGCCTGAGTGACAGATCGAGACTCCGTCTCAAAAAAAAAAAAAAAAGAAAAGAAAAGAAACAAACAAACAAAAACCCCCAGCTGGAGGCAGCTAAGTACAGCTAAGTACTGATTTTGCCCAAGATGTGTCACAGAGCACGTTAAGAGCAATTAAGCAGGAAAGCTCAGTTTACTGTTAGAAAGAAAGTCCAGCTCAGAAAACAACTCCTTCAGACCTTTCTGGAAATTGTTTTGGGGCCATCTGGGCAAAAGTCCAAGAATGAGATACACTTCCTGAGCCAGTGCTAGCTGAATGGTATGCTTCACCTGTTCTACCCACCTAGTGCTTGTCTAGCCCTTCATTCACACAGGCATTAGGCATGCTGCATGCACACAAACACACACACACACACAAAATAATATGAGCATATTTCTTCCTGTAGAGCCAGCTCGACTTGTTCTTCCTTTTTAAGTAACAGACCCCACTCCCACAGGGATCACACCAAAGGAAAAGATGACTTACCTGATGTTAGAACCAGGGAAAAAGCCGAGTGTGGTGGTCCATGCCAGTAGTCCTGGCTACTCAGAAGGCTGAGCCAGGAGAACTGCTTGAACCCGGGAGCCAAACTCATGCCACTGCACTCCAGCCTGGGCAACACAGCGAGACTCCGTCTCAAAAAAAAAAACAAAAACAAAAACAAAAAAAACAGGGAAAAGCAAGAAAACCCATGAAGGCCTTGAGTAGCCTGGCTTTTGAAAGGTTTAATAGAAAGAGGACACCTCAGAGAGGCAGGCAACTTGTGTTCTTGTTCTTGTTCTATTCTCACCATGAACCTTGGGACAAGTAACTTCACTGCTCTCAGCCTCAGTTTCTCTCAGTTTCTCCAAGCAGAAAACAGGAAAATCCTGCTCACTCTTGCCTCTCCTGCATGGGGAGGTGTGTGAGGGAAGTTTCAAGTGGCACTTTGTGGGCTTGTTTTGTTTTGTTTGAGACAGAGTCTTGCTCTTGTCGCCCAGGCTGGAGTGCAATGGCACGATCTCGGCTCACTGCAACCTCTGTCTCCCGGGTTCAAGCAATTATCCTGCCTCAGCCTCCTGAGTAGCTGGGATTACGGGCGCACCCCACCACGCCCGGCTAATTTTTGTATTTTTAGTAGAGATGGGGTTTTGCCATGTTGGCCAGGCTGGTCTCAAACTCCTGACCTCGTGATCCGCCCGCCTCCGCCTCCCAAAGTGCTGGAATTACAGGCGTGAGCTACCACGCCCGGCTTCAAGTGGCACTTTGAACTTTGCATTCTTTTTTTTTCTTTGAAATGGAGTTTCCCTTTGTTGACCTGGCTGGAGTGCAGTGGCGTGATCTCCGCTCACTGCAACCTACACCTCCCCGGTTCAAGCAATTCTGCCTCAGCCTCCCGAGTAGATGGGATTATAGGTGTGTACCACCACACCCAGCTAATTTTTTTGTATTTTTAGTAGAGATGGGGTTTCACCACGTTGGCTAGGCTGGTCTCGAACTCCTGACCTCAGGTGATCCACCCACCTCGCCCTCTCAAAGAGCTGAGATTACAGGCCTGAGCCACCAAACCCAGCCTGAGCTTTCCATTCATTTTGAAAAACACCAAAGGGCAATTGTGAATCTAATGATTTGGAAATGAAAGGGCCCCTCAATACCAGACTGCCCTCCTTTATCTTTTGATCTCTATCTCAAGTTTTGTGGCTAGTTCCAGAGAGTCTGAGTTCTCTAACAACTGTGGACTTGGGCTCTTCTAATGATTGTTCCTAAGGGACCCTTCAAGGAACCACTTATTGTGTGGCTTGTTCTAGTGGTCCAGTCCCAAAGTTCAGTCCATCCCAGGAAGGATGTCAAGAAAAGAGGGTTAATAAACTTAGAGAATTTTTTTCTCCATGCCCTGGCTTCCTAGGGAAATAGGGTTGATACTAGGAATCTCTCTGACAAAATGTAAGAGAGAATTGCTTTGTGAAGTGAAGGTAAGCGCATGTTTCAGGTTTTCTCATGAGCCTTCAAAAGGAGTCTCAACTCCAGACAAGAATTGGGTGGGGGTGGGGGGGCAGGAAAACAGATACTTTACTCTGTGTGCCTTCCTGCACCCCCTCACCCCCACCCCTACCTCTCTCAATATACCATTACAAGCAAACCAAATCTTTATCCATCTGCCTCAGTGAGATCCTTCAAAAAGACCAAGAATCCCCACAGCAGCTCAGACTGTTCCCTTGCCCCATTCTTGCTTCTGCCTCTGCCTCAGGGCGTTTAGTTTTCATCAGATGAGTGGGGAATGCAATTTTCTTTTTTTTTCTTTTCTTTTTTTTTTTTTTTGTGACCGGGTCTCACTCTGTCGCCCAGGCTGGAGTGCAGTGGCAGGATCTCGGTGCACCGCAACCTCCACCTCCCAGGCTCAAGCGATTCTCCTGCCTCAGCCTCCCAAGTACCTGGGATTACAGGCTCATGCCACTACCGCCCAGCTAATTTTGTTTTGTTTTGTTTTTTTAAGAGACGGAGTTTCGCTCTTGTTGCCCAGGCTGGAGTGCAACGGCGTGATCTTGGGTCACCG
Organism: Homo sapiens; assembly: GCF_000001405.40. Lineage (NCBI taxonomy): Eukaryota > Metazoa > Chordata > Mammalia > Primates > Hominidae > Homo > Homo sapiens. The sequence goes on from NC_000012.12 coordinate 56,016,675, forward strand.
CAACCTCCGCCTCCTGGGTTCAGGTGATTCTCCTGCCTCAGCCTCCCTAGTAGCTGGGATTACAGGCATGCGCCACCATGCCTGGCTAATTTTTTTTGTATTTTTAGTAGAGATGGGGTTTCTCCATGTTGGTCAGGCTGAACTCCTGACCTGAGGTGATCCGCCCGCCTCGGCCTCCCAGAGTACTGGGATTACAGGTGTGAACCAGTGTGCCCAGTCATAATTTTGTATTTTTAGTGGAGACGGGGTTTCACCATGTTGGCCAGGCTGGTCTTGAACTCCTGATTTCAAATGATCCACCCACCTCAGCCTCCCAAAGTGCTGGAATTACAGGTGTGAGCCACCATGCCAGCCGCAATTTTGGAGGTATGTAAATTTCCACCAGATAGATTTTTTTTTTCTCTCCTCCCACAGGCTCCTAAAGAGATAATTCATTGCAACAAATTATCACTTTTAAGTGTTCTCAGTTCCCGATTGTTTAATACTCTACTGCCAATTACTGCTTGCCTTCCCTCAAATAGACATTAACCTTCATTTTAAATTCAGACTCCCCCCCCGCCCCCCCCGTCCTTTTTTCTTTTTTAAAATAAGCGTGGTAGAGTAATTGATGAGAGGGTGGGGATAACCATTTACAGGTTTAACTTGTTTATTACACCTTCAGTAGAGGACTTATCACTGAACCCTGAGTGGGCTGCTCTCCTCCATCTTCTCCTTTTCCTGTCACCCTCCCTCACACCACATACTCCAAGACAGAATCCCTTGAATGACTGAACCCAGCTTCTTAATACTACCCCCATCTTTAACTGAGGTATAGAGCCTCTAAGGGGCTGTTTCTTTGCCTCCTCAGGGCTGAGGTGTAATCTCCACCTACATACACGGTCTAATCTCAAAATCAAGGACCACTCTGGATTAAGATAGTGTTTCCACCTCAGAGGCTGGGGAGGCCTGCAGAAGTTGTAAATTGGAGGAAATATTGGGGTTTGTAAATCAGGGTATGTTGTCTTTCACCAGGACAAAGTGTAAGGTTTTTCTTGGAGACAGGGTCTCGCTCGGTTACCCAGGCTGGAGTGCAGTGGTAAGATCACAGCTCACTGCAGCCTCGACCTCCAGGCTCAAGTGATCCTCCCACCTCAGCCTCCTGAATAGCTGGGACTACAGGCACATGCCACGATGCCTAATTTATTTTTATATTTTGTAGAGATGGGATCTCCCTATATTGCCCAGGCTGGTCTCAAACTCCTGGGCTCGAGTGATCCTCCCACCTTCTTTCCAAAGCACTAGGATTACAGGTGTTGAGCCACAGTGCCTGGCTAAGGTTTTTCTTCTTTAGGATAGTATCAGACCATGCTTAAGTGCTCCTTTAGGTTTCTTGCTAACTCAAGAATATTAAAGAAAAGCCTCCTCCCTTCCCAGAGCTATCTTCTAATAGCAGCTATTTTCTTTTTCAGCAGAATCTCTTTAAAATGGACATAGAAGACTGCAATGGCCGCTCCTATGTGTCTGGTATGCCTTCTGTGTGTTCTATTTGTTAGGGGCTGGAAGCAGACACTCTCCTGTAGAGCAGAGCAGAGAGCCTTCAGCCTAGGCACACAGCCTCTAAATGTCCTAGTCACACAGCTAACACTCATGCTTGGTGGCCCTTGGTAGTGTGCAATTATTTTGGTGATCTTACATTCCCTAAATAGTAATTTTCTTTTCCAGACTTCTTGGGGTATAGAGGAAGGGAATAGGAGGGGAATATGAGCAGACATCATTAGAAGAATAATTTGAAGCAAATAGATGGAAACAAGATGTGGTTCCTTCTCCTTTGCTCTGAAGTCACCAGCCAAACATGAAATCCTGTTCTATCCAGATAGAGCGGCACAAGGTTTCAAAGCTCAAAGGCCTGCAAGGGCCAGGTAGTCATGTGAATGAGTGAAGTAAGGTTAGGATAATAAGCAGAAAAGAATGGTGGGGGCTGTCATGAAGTGGAGAACATATGTCCCACTTAAAGGGACAGCAGCTTTCAGTGTCCACTAGAACTTGTCATGCAGGAATGTGTATCTAGTGTGGCCAAAACTTCTAAATTTTTAAGAGATACCAGAAATCCAAATTTTTATATGAAATGTCTCCATTTTAAAATAATGACTCAAGGCTGGGCATGGTGGCTCACGCCTGTAATCCCAGCACTTTGGGAGACAGGCAGATCACCTGAGGTCAGGAGTTCGAGACCAGCCTGGGCAACATGGTGAAACCCCCTCTCTACTAAAAATACAAAAATTAGGCCAGGCACGTGGCTCACGCCTGTAATCCCAGCACTTTGGGAGGCCGAGGTGGGCAGATCACGAAGTCAAGAGATCAGGACCATCCTGGCCAACATGGTGAAGCCTCATATCTACTAAAAATACAAAAATTATCTGGGCGTGGTGGCTCACGCCTGTAGTCCCAACTTCTCAGGAGGCTGAGGCAGGAGAACCCAGGAGGCGGAGGTTGCAGTGAGCTGAGATCACGCCACTGCACTCCAGCCTGGCGACAGAGTGAGACTCCGTCTCAAAAAAAAAGAAATAATAGAAACCAAAACTGGGTTTTGATGTGATGAGTATCCCTATCAGAAACCCAAGCACCATTTTGGAAATGACCTATAGCTTATTTTTTACTCTAAAGTAGGACCAATGAAGGAATTATTGGCATGCACTAAAGGAGATAGCAAGATGGGTCAGACACACATATGAGAGTCATTGGCAACACCCGGGTAATGTAAGGTAAGATGTTGACTCTGACCCCTTTCTTGTTTAAGGAGGGAAGGAGTTGGAATGGGTAAAGGCATTCAATATCTGCCACATGCTTGACAGAATGACAGGGATCAGGTAGACTCATTTAATTGGAAGAGACTTTATTAGAACAAAAGTCATGGCCTTGTGAGGAGCGAGCCAGTCCTCCTACCTCCTGCTCAGTTAAGCCTATTCAGAAAACCACTACTGAGCAACAAGTACACTTGGGACCCTGCTTTAGTGCTGGGGAACACTCAGATGGATAAAATCCAGTCCCTACCATAAAGCAGGCAAATGAGAAACTACAAATCCTGTGGAGCTCTTTTCAAACCTGTTTATGGAGAATATTGGATACTCATGGAGGTGATTTGCTTCACCGTGCTATGAAACCAAGTTTTCCCTGCTTTCAGCAGATTGGCATGTCCTAGATAAGAAGTGGCCTCTGCACAGGATGGTTTTTGAATGGAAGTGGAGGCCAGGAACTCCTCCTCTGTACTTTGAGAATTTTAGATGTCAGCAGCTACCTTAGAAAGGGAAAAGAGAAAGTCAAAGTAAGGCTACCATTAGCCCTGAAAAGTACCCCTCTTAGGACTGGGCATAGCTGCGCTCATCACTGACCCATCTCTCCTGGAAGAGTCATATGGAAGCAGAGGGAAAGGCTGCAGCATGCAGCCCTCCCGAAGCACACTGCGGGCCTCCACAGGCCATCATAGTTCTTCTGCTCCACGCCAGGTGACCTTCCCTCATCAGGCCACTTGATGAAAAGGGTATCTCTCCTGTTCTTCCAAGAGATTTGAATTCCTCACAGAATGTGATTCAGAAAATCCATCTTTTCTCCCCTTTTCTCTTTTTAAAGGTACAGATCATTCCCTTCTGGGGCAGGGAAAAGGGGGAGATAAGCAGGAGTCTATTAATTTATGGCACAGATAACCACCCCCTCCATTTTCCTATCTTTCAAGGGAAACAGAGTTGCTGAAACCCAGCTCCTGCCATTAATTGACTGAGCAGGGCTTGCCCCAAGTTTTCTGAGACTGTGAAATGTTTTAGAGAACTTTAGTAGAAAGGGATTCAGGGGTAGGCAGCCCGAAGTTTCACAGCCCCTCCCACCCCCAAATTCTTGGAATCAGAAAATGTAGTCTTCCAAAGTAGGTCAGTTTGTCAGTGAGCAGCTCCTCTGAAAGGGAAGGGAGCAGAGGCCTTGTCCTGATAGAGGGCGGATTCATCCAGGGCTTTCGGCTGCTGGGGCCCCAGGGGCACAGGAAGGGGGGGAAATGGGGAGACCGTACCAGCCTTTTTGCCCGGGATCTGAAAGGTCTCAGGGCCACGGAGCAACACTAGCCTGACACCAGACTCTGCTGGGCCCTCTCACTGCTGGAAAGGAGGAGGCTGTCAGTCCCCACATCTAGAGAGCAACCTTCCTCCTGGAGGAGGAGGGAAAGAGTTCGGTGGGGGAGGGGCTTTCTGCCTCTCTGAGAGCCTTGAAGCTGTCCGTGTCCTGGGCCCCATGACCTCTGGGGCCTTGGCTTCCCCAGCTGGCAGAGGATTGGGCCTTCCCTAGGGCCCCCCCTTTCTCCCTCCCACCCGCAGGCCCATCCATCTCTCTCTCTCTCTCTTGCACACACTCTTGCCTCTCTCAGGCATTTGTTGTGCAGTTCCTCTTTGTCTGCTGGGCACGAGGGGCAACAGCATCTGCCTTTCCCTCCCTGTGCACACACCCACCACCCACCCCCTTCACTGTCTTGGAAAAGGGATGCTGTAGCCTAGCATCTCCCCCACTATATACACATATACATTCTCTCCAGCCCCCTCCCCAAGCACATCCAAGCGTGCTCTCCCCTCTCCTTCTCTCCCTCTCTCTCTCTCTCTCTCTCACACACACACACACACACACACTCAACACACATACACCCTGGGCTGAGCTGCTCTTGCTGGCTGCAGCCGTGGGCCTCTGCTCACCGTGCCGCTGCTGCTGCCTGCGAAATGACGGCGGTTCCCCTCACTTCCAGGAATCCACGCTTCCTGGAAGGTGAGTGGCTGGGCTCACCCCTGCCTGCCACTGAGACGCAGACATGCATACACCACCCGCACTCCCTCGCCGTTTCCAAGGCGGCGGCCGCGTTCGCACCCCAGGGTCTCACCGGCAAGGGAAGGATAATGTAAGTTCAGGCAGAAGGCGGCTAGTGGAGGGAGGAAGGGGGGTGCTGGGGCTAGGGAGCCAATTCAGTAACTACTCCCAAGCCTGAGGAGATGGAGAGGATGGGGGCTGTGTGTGTGTGTGTGTGTGTGTGTGTGTGTGTGTGTGTGTGTAGCGGGGGAGGGGGCGTTCCTCCTTATACTTGCGGAGGATGGGAAAGGGTGTTTGGTGTTGCTAAGCAAAGACGGCGACTTGGACAGTGGGAGCCTATGGTGACATCTTGATTAGGCCTTGGGGATAGAGGTAGAGCTGCCTGGGGTGAAATGCCGAGACAGGCCTGGGTGGGAAGGGGTAGTGGAGAAAATCAAGGTAAGGAAGAGGAGCCTTGGCAAGCAGATGCCTCAGCCTGGAACAGAGATCTGAGGGGCCTCAGCTTCCTCCCCACAAAAGAGCTGAGGATGGGCGTCTTTCTTTGCTCTTGTACCCACTATTCCCTGCTAGCAGGCTAGGATCCTGCCACCCTGGAGCCCGTGGTCAAGAAAGGGAAAGCAGTTATGATGAGGTGCCTTGCAGAGAAGTGTGGAGGTTCTCCATGTTCTCCAAGCTCATGGCTATTCCCTAGATGTAGCCACTATTTAAAGGTCTCAAGGAAAGGCAGCAGGAGTGGAGGCTAGCCTCCTTTAACATATGAAACACCTTTAGCTTGTGGCCTGTTTCCCAGTTCCTTTCTCTCCCTCCTGCTTTTCAGCCTTTACCTACCTCCCAGTTCCTCTAATGTGAACCTCATGATTTGGCTTTGCCCTCTGGGGGTTCAGCCAATCTATGATGACTTTGAGCAAGAAAATTTCTCAGAGACCTAAGAGCAGCCTTAATTCTTGGCTTTGACAGTCTGGGATTTCTTGGGAGTCCCAGACTTTTGAGATTCCCTCACTGGGGTTTCTGGGGCTGAGAGAGGAACTGTTAAACTTCCTAAATCTTACTCTAGTCCCCTCACCCCTGAGCTAGAATTCAAAATCCTTGGTGCCCAAGAAAGCCTTTCTGACTCCTGAAACAGATTCATTATACATATATTTTAGCCCCATGAAAGTAGACTTGATCCTGTTTTTCCCCTTACCTTAATCTTAGGGAGGGCAACAGCATCAAAGAGCCTCTTGAATTACTGGTGTGACTCCTGCTTCTCTTCCTGTTTCTGGGCCTTAATTGGGAAAGCCACAAAGGATGCTTTTCCCTCAGTGTTTCTTTTTTTTTTTTTTTTTTTTGAGACGGAGTCTCGCTCTGTCGCCCAGGCTGGAGTGCAGTGGCGCGATCTCGGCTCACTGCAAGCTCCGCCTCCCAGGTTCACGCCATTCTCCTGCCTCAGCCTCCCGAGTAGCTGGGACTACAGGCGCCCGCTACCATGCCCGGATAATTTTTTGTATTTTTAGTAGAGACGGGGTTTCACCGTGTTAGCCAGGATGGTCTCGATCTCCTGACCTCGTGATCCGCCCGCCTCGGCCTCCCAAAGTGCTGGGATTACAGGCGTGAGCCACCGCGCCCGGCCGCCCTCAGTGTTTCTAAGTGTACTTTTAAATATATTTTCCTCCACATAGCAAGTCGCTGGCCTCAAGAGGCAGCCTCAGCCGAATAAGCTGGGACCAGTGATGGATTTCCAACAAGTTCACTCATCCTTTTAGGGTCAAGGCCTCAAAGCCAAGTGCCCTGTTCTTCCCTGATAGTAACATCAAGTGATTTAGGGCAATTCAGCACTAATAAAGGGAATAAGAAGATAACATTTTCAGCCCTTTTAACCCTAGTAAACCCTACACTTAGTTGAAAGGATATATTTAAAACTGGCTCTGAGTCTACAAGTCTCAACCCACAATCCTGAGATGCTCACTTCATGATATGTGTGTGGTTCTGATTTCGGGCAACATTTTTAGGTAACCATGGCTCACCTAAAAAGCCCCAGCTGGGAAAACTCAGATTCAAGCCATAAGGCTTTTTCTATAGATAGTGAACATTTTTCCTCAGGCTTTGACGGGATAGAATGGGGAAAATGGGACTTTAGGAGAGGATATGAATGGGAAATGGTCCCAAAGTCCTGAGTGGTTGTTTTCTTCCCACTGACCAAAGCTGGAGAGGGATCCCTCAGGAGGGTGTGTTCCGGATTTCTTGCCTCAGGCCCAAGACTCCAACCATTTTATAATGGAATCTTTATTTTGTGAAAGTAAGTATGTGCATAGCTGGGCAATTGGGTAAAGTACTAATAGGTGGACTTCAGGGATGAATTTTAGGCTTCCTCTCTCTTTCTTGCACTCTCCCTTGCTTTCTCTTTCTCTCTTCCATATTTAGGCCTGTGTGCACACATCCATGCATGTTCATGTTAGCAGATAATGTAGAAGGCTACCAGTATGTTTATCCCAATAGGTATGTTCTCTTTATATGTATCTACATATGTGTTGTGTCTCTGTGTGTGTTTATCTACATGTATTTTTATTTCACCTATATATTTGTGTAGAAGATTGTGGGGAGGAGGGATTTTTTTAAAAAAGACATTCATATCTTCCTTTAGGTATGTTATCTGATTTTGAAAAACATTATGAAAGCCTCAAAAAGCATTTTTACAAAGCAATTTATCAGAAAATTAAAACAAATATACTGAGAATAAGTTGATCACTTAACTGTCAATGAATATCAAATAGTAAACACGTGATTGGAATCAGATCAGTAGGAGACTTTCTAGAGTAATCAAATTTTTGCTGAATTTAGAAAGTCTAAGAGGCCCAATTCTTCCCTACTAAGATTGTGACCACCAATTGGCTGTGTAGGTGCTGGTTAAGGACATGGACGCTTACTGTCTATGATCCCAGTTCCACACTAGCAGCTATGTAACCTTAGACAACTAACATAACCTCTTTTGTACCTCAGTTGCCTCATCTGAAAAAATCATGATATTAGCACCTACTTCATATAGTTGTTGTGAGGATTAAATGAAATTATTCATTTCAAGTGCACAGAATAAAGCCTGGCACATAGTAAGTACTCAATTAATATTATTAGCTGCTATGATGATTACTAATATTATCATTAGATTCAAGGACAATTCCAGTTACCTTTCCTGCAGATCCTGAACCGGCTGGGGGCTCCAGAGAGGAACAGTAGGGAAGAATGTCTGTCCTGAACATCTGTCCCTTCTGCAGCCCCCATTTTCCTCTCCGCCCTGGCGCACCCAGCCTCAGCCCTGCTTCCTGTGGACGTCAGGCAGTGATGCTCTTGCCCTCAGGCCTAGATAAAGGTAGGGTAGGCAAGGCCCAGCCACTGAGCTCACAGAAGGCAGCACCAGGCATCCAGACTGGCGGGGGCACAAGGTATGGTGCCCAGCATACAACACTGCTTTGTACATGGCTATGAAGGAAATGTTTGTGAAATTTAACTGAATTTTTTTAAAAGATTAGGCAATGGACAGTAGATATCTCCAGCTCCAGCTTTACCTGCCCTCTTGTTCTCTCCTCCAAGGTAGCGGGGACTCATCTCTGGAGAAGGAGTTCCTCGGGGCCCCAGTGGGGCCCTCGGTGAGCACCCCCAACAGCCAGCACTCTTCTCCTAGCCGCTCACTCAGTGGTAAGTGTAACCTCCTACCACCTCCTGGCAGTAGGCACCCCCTGTTGCATTTGGCCTTCAATTCACCTTCCACTGGCAACCATTTCCCCATCGTCACCTCCTGCTGGTCTCCTGCTTAGTCTCTAAGAGCAATGAGGAGCCCAGTGTCTAGGGTTTTTCTGGCTTCTGAAAGGAGAGTGAATAGTCAGTCACTGGCAGACTAGGGTGGAATTAAAAGAGGTATGGGTGGGATTAAGGTAAAAGTTTCAAAGAGAAATTATGGAATTAGAGAAGCAGGTAGATAGAAATGGTCATCAGATGGAGTTAGATAGGAAATAGAGAGTAGAAGGACCTCCCCATCTCCCCACAGCTCATTCTCCTACCCAGACAGGGTCCCCATGACTGCCTCTCCCCAGCTGGCCCTAGATCTGTGACATTCTCTAAATGGTTGGAGTAGCCAGGAATGTAGGTCGGAGCTAGAGCCAAAGCCTTCTCCTCAATGGTTCCTCCTTCCTTTACCCCTCCTGCCCTGCCTCAGAGTTTTATGGAGGTGGAGGGGGTAGAGGGATTCAATCTAATGAGGTGGGAGGGAACTGTAAGCATGTCTGTCTTCCAGGTTTGCTCTCTTTGGCCTGTTGTCCCCCTTCAGTCTTCCTAGATCTGTTTTCCCGCCACTGTTAACTTGCTGGCTTCCTGCCCAGGGCCAAGCCAGACATCTTTCTTCATGACAAGAGAGTAGAGAAAAAAGCTCCCCTTAGTCGCCTCCTCTCCTCAGCGACAGAAGACATCCTATGTACCCCCAACTTTTTTCTTTTTGAGATGGAGTCTTGCTCTGTCGCCCAGGCTGGACTGCAGTGGCGTGATCTCAGCTCACTGCAACCTCCGCCTCCCAAGTTCAAGCGATTCTCCTGCCTCAGCCTCCGAAGTAGCTGGGATTACAGGCGTACACCACCATGCCCAGCTAATTTTTGTATTTTTAGTAAAGACAGGGTTTCACCATGTTGGCCAGGCTGGTCTCAAACTCCTGACCTCAAAAGAATCCACCCGCCTTGGCCTCCCAAATTGCTGGGATTACAGGCGTGAGCCACCACACCCGGCCCAACTTTTTTCTCTTGAAGCCTATTTGCCTGGTGGGTGGGAGAAAAGGTTGTCTCAGGTTCCAGTAGGATTCTGATATCAGCAGCAGGGATACTAGGGTGTTAGTTCCATTTAAGGCTTGAATGTCTCAGGGCCTAAAGACACCCTCTTAAACTTTAAGAGTGCCATTCTGGGCCAGGCGCAGTGGCTCACACCTGTAATCCCAGCACTTTGGGAGGCCAAGGCAGGCAGATCACCTGAGGTTGGAAGTTCGAGACCATCCTGACCAACATGGAGAAACCCTGTCTGTTCTAAAAATACCAAATTAGCTGGGTGTGATGGTACATGCCTGTAATCCCAGCTACTCAGGAGGCTGAGGCAGGAGAATCACTTGAATCTGGGAGGTGGAGGTTGCGTCGAGCCAAATTCGTGCCACTGCACTCCAGCCTGGGCAACAAGAGCGAAATTCCATCTCAAAAAAAAAAAAAAAAAAAGAGTGCCATTCTGGCCTGGGAGCAGCTTCCCCCTTTGCCTCTCTCTATTCTAAACACCATCCCACCCCTCAGCCAACTCCATCAAGGTGGAGATGTACAGCGATGAGGAGTCAAGCAGACTGCTGGGGCCAGATGAGCGGCTCCTGGAAAAGGACGACAGCGTGATTGTGGAAGATTCATTGTCTGAGCCCCTGGGCTACTGTGATGGGAGTGGGCCAGAGCCTCACTCCCCTGGGGGCATCCGGCTGCCCAATGGCAAGCTCAAGTGTGACGTCTGCGGCATGGTCTGTATTGGACCCAACGTGCTCATGGTGCACAAGCGCAGTCACACTGGTAAGTAAGCCAGAGGGGCTCTGGGAGGAGCTCCCAGGGTGGGGTTGAGAGGCAGGGGCAGTGCTGGGACAACAGCAGGTATGGGGCTGGAGGAGGTCATGCAGGGAGTGGGTAGCCTCAGAAAGGGAAGGGTCTCACCCAGCACATTTTCCAGCTGACAAAACGAGGCAGGGTGGGGGTGGGTACAGAATTTGAATTCCCCTCAATACCTTTAGTTTCCTGGCACTCTCCTCAACCGCTGTTATAAAGAAAAGGTGATATTTTTCTCAGTATATGAGGGAGGGGAAAGTGTAGACTCAAGAATGAGCCAATGGTCCAATAGGGGTAAGACTCCTGGGTATTCTTTGGGCCCTCCCATCTAATAATTAAAAAACAACAACAACAACAACAACAACAAAACAGAAAACAAAAGCCTTCTCTTCTCAGCTTCCTTGGGCCTTGGGCTCCTAGGGCAGAGTGGGCCCTGTGGGGCTCAGTTTTTGGTAACAGTCTTTTGGCCTCGTGTTCCAGGCCCCTCTCCCTGCCACACACCTCTAATCCACACCTTCCCCAGGGTAAGACCCCAGGGATCCCCAAGGGATCTTCATAAATCAGGGTTTGTGTGCATTGCACTTCTGCCCGTCAGCAATGTGTTCAGAGCACCTTCCCTTGGGCAAGGTAGGGCAGAGGGTGGGTGATAGGTTCAACCTTCAAAGTTCCTCACATGCAGTCCTCTGGGATTTGTTCTTTCACTTGCAGGTGAAAGGCCCTTCCATTGCAACCAGTGTGGTGCCTCCTTCACCCAGAAGGGGAACCTGCTGCGCCACATCAAGCTGCACTCTGGGGAGAAGCCCTTTAAATGTCCCTTCTGCAACTATGCCTGCCGCCGGCGTGATGCACTCACTGGTCACCTCCGCACACACTCAGGTCAGTGTCTGTCCAGTGGGAGGAGGGAATGAGGCTCCAACACACCCAGTATGTAGAGCTCAGTGACTTCTCTTGTATTTGGGGAGTTCCAGTGTCTGTCATTGAGGAGGGGGGAGCATTTACAGAGCAGATAGGGCCCCCTGCCTCTCTCACCCATCCTCTGGGCAGCAAGGCTTCATGGGAAATTTGGGAGACACCTTGATGGGGTATTTTACATCCACCATATGGATGTAAAATCCATCTACTTGGAGCAAAAGGAATAGGAGCAATGTTCTTGGCTGTTAACGGTCACCCTTGGCCTGGCGCGGTGGCTCACGCCTGTAATCCCAGCACTTTGGGAGGCCAAGATGGGCGGATCACGAGGTCAGGAGATCGAGACCATCCTGGCCAAAATGGTGAAACCCTGTCTCTACTAAAAATACAAAAAAAAAAAAAATTAGCCGGGCATGGTGGCAGGCACCTGTAGTCCCAGCTACTTGGGAGGCTGAGGCTGGAGAATGGCGTGAACCCGGGAGGCGGAGCTTGCAGTGAGCTGAGATCGCGCCATTGCACTCTAGCCTGGGCGACTGAGCGACACTCAGTCTCAAAAAAAAAAAAAAAAAAAAAAAAAAAAAGTCACCCTTCCCTGACTTTTGTTTGTTTTTTGTTTTTTCAAGACGGTGTCTCACACTGTTGCCCAGGCTGGAGTGTAGTGGTGCAATTTTGGCTCCCTGCAGTCTTGATCTCCTGAGCTCAAGCCATCCTCCCACCTCAGCTTCCTGAGTAGCTGGAAGGATACTGCCACACCCAGCTAATTTTTCTATTTTTTTGTAGAGACAGGATCTCCCTATGCTGCCCAGGCTTGTCTTGAACTCTTGATCTCAAGCAATCGGCCCACCTCAGCCTCCTGAAGTACTGGGATTACAGGCGTGGTGTCAGCCACTGTGCCTGGGCTTTCCTGACTTTTATATTTTAGATTGTTGATGCCACAATCCATGCCCTATTACCCCCAACATCTAAGCCCCTGGGAAATCCCTCCTCTCACTCCCATCTGCCTCAGGCCCCACACCTGTCATCATCTTCACCCTCCTTCCTCCCACACCACCAGAGGTCTTGAGCAACCAGTCTGTCCTCTCCTTTACTTCCTTCTGGCTCCTGGAAATATCCATAGCCCTCTCAAATTGCAAAAAAGGGAGCCTAGGACTTCCAAATAGGAAAAGAGTATCCTATTTCTGTTCCCTATCCCAAGAGGTTGTCACCTTCCCAGAGGCAAGAGAAAGTCCAGAGGGTACCTAGAGATCAATGTTTGGAACAGTGCTGGGAAACTGGATTAACAAGGTTTTCTAGCCCAGTCAAGACTGTTTGAATCAGTATCTGTCTGAATCAGCTGGACAGATAGCACTTTTTAGGCATTTTACTAAGCTTTAGGCTTTTGGCTTGGACTTGGGAAGAGGCCAGGAGCTGAGCTGGCAGGAAGGAGGGAGCTCAAGATTGGGAAAAGGCAGGAAGAAAGGAAGGGGGAAAGAATTAGTAGGGTCTGTCCTTGGAAACTTTCCTGGCTATTTTTCTCTTCTTAAACTCTCCTGAGCCAGGATTTAAAGGGACAGAGCAATCATTTCATCACCCTCTACTTTCTCCATCCACTTACCTTGTTCCAGGTTCTCCCACCTTGTAATTGGGACCTCTTTATCTCTATGTATGTGGAGAAACAGGGAGAAAGATCATCGTTGATACATGCTTTATATCTACAGAGCATTTCACTTGTGTTTCTCCATGTGATCCTCATAACAATTCCAAGGTAGATGTGATTATCCCCATTTTGTTGACAAGGAAAATGAAGCTGTTGGGGGGAAAAATGAGTTGCGGGTCACATAGCTATTCTTCAGCCTAGCTGGAACCCCATCAAGGTCCAGTGCCAGAAATACATACTCCTTTTCCTCAGAAAAGGGGCTGCTCCCCCTGCTGGTTTGGAACAAGGATGGCTTGGCCCCTAGAATTCTTACCAACTACACAGTGAGGTGAACTGGGTAGATTTTGGATGTTGATCTGTAGATTATTAACAACAGAAGCAGACACAGATATACTGTCAGGTCCCATCTCTGTGAAGTGCTTTCTGTTGCAACCCCTATTATAAGAAAAAAGAGACTGGATGCATGTTCTCACTCATGTGGGAGCTAAAAAAGTTGATCTCATAGAAGCACGGAGTAGGTTGGGTGCAGTGGCTCACGTCTATCATCCCAGCAGTTTGGGAAGCCAAGGCGGGTGGATCGCTTGAGCCCAGGAGTTTGAGACCAGCCAGAGCAACATAGTGAGACTTCGTCTCTACTACAAAAACAAAAACAAAAACAAAAACAAAAACTAGGTGTGGTGGCACACACCTGTAGTCCCAGCTACTCAGGAGGCTGAGACAGGGAGGATCACTTGAACCTGGGAGGTCAAGACTTCAGTGTCCTGTGATCATGTCATTGCACTCCAGTCTGGGTGACAGAGTGAGACCCCATCTTGGGGAAAAAAAAAAAAAAGCCAGGCACGGTGGCTCACGCCTGTAATCCCAGCACTTTGGGAGGCCAAGGCGGGCAGATCACCTGAGGTCAGGAGTTCAAGACCAGCCTGACCAACATGGAGAAACCCTGTTTCTACTAAAAATACAAAATTAGCCAGGCGTGGTGGCGCATGCCTGTAATCCCTGCTACTCGGGAGGCTGAGACAGGAGAATTCCTTGAGCCCAGGAGGCAGAGGTTGCAGTAAGCCAAGATCGCGCCATTGCACTCCAGCCTGGGCAACAAGGGTGAAACTCCGTCTCAAAAAAAAAAAAAAAGTAGAGAGTAGAACAGTGGTTACCAGAGGCTGACTGAGAAGGGTTGGGAGTAGGTGGATAGCGAGAGGCTGGTTAATGGGTACAAGATTACAGTTAGATGGGAGGCATAAGTTGTAGTGTTCCACAGCATAGTAGAATGACTGTAGTTAACAATAATTTATTGTATATTTCAAAATCGCTAGAAGAGATTATTTTGAATGTTCCCAATACAAAGAAATGATAAATGTTTGCTGGGCATGGTGGCTCACGCCTGTCATCCTAGCCTTTGGGAGGCTGAGGCAGACAGATCATGAGGTCAGGAGATTGAGACCATCCTGGCTAACATGGTGAAACCCGTCTCTACTAAAAATACAAAAAATTAGCTGGGCATGGTGGTGGGCGCCTGTAGTCCCAGCTACTGGGAGGCTGAGGCAGGAGAATCGCTTGAACCCAGGAGGTAGAGGTTGCAGTGAGCCGAGATCGTGCCACTGCACTCCAGCCTAGGCAACAGAGTAAGACTCTGTCTCCAAAAAAAAGAAGAAAAAAAGATAAATGTTTGAGGTGACAGATATGCCAGTTACCCCAACTTGATCATTACATGTCGTATACATGTATGAAAATATCATATGTATCTCATAAACATGTATAATTATTATGTATCAATTATCAATTAAAATTTGAAAAAAAAGAAAGCGGTTGGAGGATCATTCCTCTCCCAGATGTTAAACTGTTTCCCCAAGGGTCTTTGGGTGGATAGGGACCATGGTGTTCATTTCATCCCTAAAATACAAGAGTTTACAGAGCCTGAGTAAAATCCAGTAGATTGATTTAGTCAAGGCCCAGCTTTGGCATGGCAAGGTTAGGGGTGAATAGTAATTACCAGCTTCCTAGAGATACCTTCTCCTGTCTCCCTGCTCAATAGCAGCAAGATACATCAAATATACAATACGTTGTTTCTCTCCACTTTTTTCTCTCCTCTCACAAATATCTCTTAAGAGTTATCTTTAAATGAAGTACCACTCTGTTTTCCAATTTTCTTTCTTCGGTAGAAACAAGACCTTTATAACCTGTTCCTTATTACAAGCACATAAACAAACAAACCCAAATTTGGTGTTCTCTTTTTTTTACTCTTCTTTATTTTCTTCTCTGTTCTTTTATTCTTTTTCTCTTTTCAGAATTACTCTATCAGTGATGGGCTTTCTAGACCTCTCTTGGTATCTCAGCGTAGAGAGACAGAGAGACAAAATAATCAGTAAACCAGGCTAGGGCTGGAGGTCAAAATACAAGTAAAGGTCAATGAAAACTGCCCCCTCCCCACATTGGCAGATCTAAGGGCTCTCATTTCTGTCATGCCAGCCCACCAGTTTCCCCCAAACCAAAGCAGATAGTTCATAAAAAGCAAAAAATCCCCTTGTCTGATAAACAGCACTTACATCCGCCTGCCAAATGGAAAGGTTAAACCACAGTCTGGGCCCCAGACTCTGAGATCCTGCAGTGGGGCCTGCCTGTCTGCTAGGGATGATCCTCTACAAAGTCCCTGGGTCCTCACTTCCTTTAAGCAACAATTTGGCCATCTTGAACAAACCCACCACCAGTCTGAAGCCACATGCCCTAGGATTCCCTTGCCCCCATAACTGCACATTATCCTTCATCATCAAATATTGTTCATCTGTCCGCGGTTGCAGTTGAAGTTGGGAAATGAAAGACAAGTAGAAGAACTCAATTTAGCAACATCCTTTCCTTCCCATGCCAGTGTATACTTGCTCTTGGCTGAATCTGCAGAGCCAGGGCACAGCGAGAAATAGCTCTGATGCCATCTTTCCACTCTCCTCCACAGTCTCCTCTCCCACAGTGGGCAAGCCCTACAAGTGTAACTACTGTGGCCGGAGCTACAAACAGCAGAGTACCCTGGAGGAGCACAAGGAGCGGTGCCATAACTACCTACAGAGTCTCAGCACTGAAGCCCAAGCTTTGGCTGGCCAACCAGGTAGGGCTATTGATGTACTACTGGGGAGTTAAAAGGGGATGGTGAGAGGGAGTGCTAGACAAGGGTGACTCCAGTATCTCCCACACTGAGGGATGAAGTCTGTGGAACAGGGGATGATTACCCCAGTAAATCTGCCAAACACCCCATTCTAGGTAACCCAGTTGGTGGAGAGCCTTGTCTGTGGTGGGTGCTTTAGGGAGATCGACAGGTAGGGGAAGTTTGGGTCTATATCCTTGGCCTAATGGGAGAGAGAGAACACAAGAAGTATAAAACCAAGGGCCAGATGTGTATGATTGTCCCCAAATGATCTGAAATTTTATTGGAGTGAGCTTTAGGTAGGGTAAACAGAGCCCAGTTTCCCAGGCAACTGGTATGTCCTTCCTTGGCTACTGACCTGCTGGTTTTCTCCAGGCAAAGGCTGTGGGGCCAATGCTACCCCTACTCAACTGCTACTACTGTCTCCACCTTCTTCCCACTAGGTGACGAAATACGTGACCTGGAGATGGTGCCAGACTCCATGCTGCACTCATCCTCTGAGCGGCCAACTTTCATCGATCGTCTGGCCAATAGCCTCACCAAACGCAAGCGTTCCACACCCCAGAAGTTTGTAGGTAAGAATCCAGTTGGAAAGACGTATCAGCTTTAAGCCACAGCTCAAATAAATCTGAGCTGTGTGGTCTGGAGATTCGGTTTGGGGAAAGAAAGCAGTCTGGTGGGCTGGGTGCAGTGGCTCACGTCTGTAATCCCAGCACTTTGGGAGGCCAAGGTGGGCAGATCAAGAGGTCAGAAGATCAAGACCATCCCGGTTAACACAGTGAAACCCCCTCTCTACTAAAAATACAAAAAATTAGCCGGGCGTGGTGGCGGGCACCTGTAGTCCCAGCTACTCGGGAGGCTGAAGCAGGAGAATGGTGTGAACCTGGGAGGCGGAGCTTGCAGTGAGCGGAGATCGCGCCACTGCACTCCATCCATCCTGGGCAACAGAGCAAGACTCCGTCTCAAAAGAAAAAAGAAAAAAGGAAAGAAAGAAAGCAGGCTGGTGGCCTCTGATACTGAAAATCTATCCTCAGGACAGGAGGAAAGTAAAGAGGGAGGATGTACTCAAAGAGAGTGGAGAAGGGTTGGCACTGAAGACTCTCGTGGTGGTTGTAAGGGACAGGGTCGAGGCATCGGGCTGTCTCAGTTTTTTGTTTGTTTGTTTGTTTTTGAGACGGAGTCTTGCTCTGTCGCCCAGGCTAGAATGCAGTGGCACGATCTCGGCTCACTGCAACCTCTGTCTCCCAGGTTCACGCCATTCTCCTGCCTCAGCCTCCCGAGTAGCTGGGACTACAGACGCCTGCCACCATGCCCGGCTAATTTTTTTTGTATTTTTAGTAGAGACGGGGTTTCACCGTGTTAGCCAGGATGGTCTTAATCTCCTGACCTCATGATCTGCCCGCCTCAGCCTCCCAAAGTGCTGGGATTACAGGCGTGAGCCACCGCGCCCGGCCCGGGCTATCTCAGTTTTTAAGAATAACAAGAACTTCAGTCTGTGTGGGCCCTTAGAGAGTCAGAGAGAGGAAATAAGTATGTGGTTCCCCCTATCCCCAGCACTAGTCATGAGCTCTCTAAGGACCTGGAGCTTTATGGAGAGTAATAAAATGAAGTATTAAAAATCAATGGGCTGGGATTGAGTCCTTCTCTAAGATTATAGCCTAGAGTCAGGGAGCAGTCCCACAAAGGACCTGACCCTGCGAAAGTAAATGCCACGTAGTAAATAATGTTACACCCAGCCCCACAGGTAAAAAAACAAAGAAGTAATCCTGAGGAGAGTGTAGGAATTCTCCAAACCCAGCCCTGCTGAGTTCCTGTTCTCCACAGGCGAAAAGCAGATGCGCTTCAGCCTCTCAGACCTCCCCTATGATGTGAACTCGGGTGGCTATGAAAAGGATGTGGAGTTGGTGGCACACCACAGCCTAGAGCCTGGCTTTGGAAGTTCCCTGGCCTTTGTGGGTGCAGAGCATCTGCGTCCCCTCCGCCTTCCACCCACCAATTGCATCTCAGAACTCACGCCTGTCATCAGCTCTGTCTACACCCAGATGCAGCCCCTCCCTGGTCGACTGGAGCTTCCAGGATCCCGAGAAGCAGGTGAGGGACCTGAGGACCTGGCTGATGGAGGTCCCCTCCTCTACCGGCCCCGAGGCCCCCTGACTGACCCTGGGGCATCCCCCAGCAATGGCTGCCAGGACTCCACAGACACAGAAAGCAACCACGAAGATCGGGTTGCGGGGGTGGTATCCCTCCCTCAGGGTCCCCCACCCCAGCCACCTCCCACCATTGTGGTGGGCCGGCACAGTCCTGCCTACGCCAAAGAGGACCCCAAGCCACAGGAGGGGTTATTGCGGGGCACCCCAGGCCCCTCCAAGGAAGTGCTTCGGGTGGTGGGCGAGAGTGGTGAGCCTGTGAAGGCCTTCAAGTGTGAGCACTGCCGTATCCTCTTCCTGGACCACGTCATGTTCACTATCCACATGGGCTGCCATGGCTTCAGAGACCCTTTTGAGTGCAACATCTGTGGTTATCACAGCCAGGACCGGTACGAATTCTCTTCCCACATTGTCCGGGGGGAGCATAAGGTGGGCTAGCAACCTCTCCCTCTCTCCTCAGTCCACCACTCCACTGCCCTGACTACAGGCATTGATCCCTGTCCCCACCATTTCCCAAGGAGTTTTGCTTTGTAGCCCTCACTACTGGCCACCTGACCTCACACCTGACCCTGACCCCTCCTCACCTATTCTCTTCCTCTATCCTGACCGATGTAAGCATTGTGATGAAACAGATCTTTTGCTTATGTTTTTCCTTTTTATCTTCTCTCATCCCAGCATACTGAGTTATTTATTAATTAGTTGATTTATTTTTGCCTTTTTAAATTTTAACTTATATCAGTCACTTGCCACTCCCCCACCCTCCTGTCCACAACTCCTTTCCACTTTAGGCCAATTTTTCTCTCTTAGATCTTCCAGCAGCCCCAGGGGTAGGAAGCTCCTCTTAGTACTAAGAGACTTCAAGCTTCTTGCTTTAAGTCCTCACCCTTTACATTATCTAATTCTTCAGTTTTGATGCTGATACCTGCCCCCGGCCCTACCTTAGCTCTGTGGCATTATATCTCCTCTCTGGGACTCTTCAACCTGGTACTCCATACCTCTTGTGCCCTCTCACTTTAGGCAGCTTGCACTATTCTTGAATGAATGAAGAATTATTTCCTCATTTGGAAGTAGGAGGGACTGAAGAAATTCTCCCCAGGCACTGTGGGACTGAGAGTCCTATTCCCCTAGTAATAGGTCATATTCCCCTAGTAATATGAGTTCTCAAAGCCTACATTCAGGATCTCCCTCTAGGATGTGATAGATCTGGTCCCTCTCCTTGAACTACCCCTCCACACGCTCTAGTCCCTTCAACCTACCGGTCTATTAAGTGGTGGCTTTTCTCTCCTTGGAGTGCCCCAATTTTATATTCTCAGGGGCCAAGGCTAGGTCTGCAACCCTCTGTCTCTGACAGATTGGGAGCCACAGGTGCCTAATTGGGAACCAGGGCATGGGAAAGGAGTGGGTCAAAATTCTTCTCTTTCTCCTCCACCTCTCAAACTTCTTCACTATAGTGACCTTCCTAGGCTCTCAGGGGCTCCTTCAGTCCCCATCCTATGAGAAACTAGTGGGTTGCTGCCTGATGACAAGGGGTTGTTTCAGCCCCTCAGTCATGCTGCCTTCTGCTGCTCCCTCCCAGCAGGATTCACCCTCTCATTCCCGGGCTCCTGGGCCCTGTTCTTAGGATCAGTGGCAGGGAGAAACGGGTATCTCTTTTCTCTCTTCTAATTTTCAGTATAACCAAAAATTATCCCAGCATGAGCACGGGCACGTGCCCTTCACCCCATTCCACCCTTGTTCCAGCAAGACTGGGATGGGTACAACTGAACTGGGGTCTTCCTTTACTACCCCCTTCTACACTCAGCTCCCAGACACAGGGTAGGAGGGGGGACTGCTGGCTACTGCAGAGACCCTTGGCTATTTGAGTAACCTAGGATTAGTGAGAAGGGGCAGAAGGAGATACAACTCCACTGCAAGTGGAGGTTTCTTTCTACAAGAGTTTTCTGCCCAAGGCCACAGCCATCCCACTCTCTGCTTCCTTGAGATTCAAACCAAAGGCTGTTTTTCTATGTTTAAAGAAAAAAAAAAGTAAAAACCAAACACAACACCTCACAAGTTGTAACTCTTGGTCCTTCTCTCTCTCCTTTTCTCTTCCCTTCCTTCCCCTTCCATCTTTCTTTCCACATGTCCTTTCCTTATTGGCTCTTTTACCTCCTACTTTTCTCACTCCCTATCAGGGATATTTTGGGGGGGGATGGTAAAGGGTGGGCTAAGGAACAGACCCTGGGATTAGGGCCTTAAGGGCTCTGAGAGGAGTCTACCTTGCCTTCTTATGGGAAGGGAGACCCTAAAAAACTTTCTCCTCTTTGTCCTCCTTTTTCTCCCCCACTCTGAGGTTTCCCCAAGAGAACCAGATTGGCAGGGAGAAGCATTGTGGGGCAATTGTTCCTCCTTGACAATGTAGCAATAAATAGATGCTGCCAAGGGCAGAAAATGGGGAGGTTAGCTCAGAGCAGAGTAGTCTCTAGAGAAAGGAAGAATCCTCAACGGCACCCTGGGGTGCTAGCTCCTTTTTAGAATGTCAGCAGAGCTGAGATTAATATCTGGGCTTTTCCTGAACTATTCTGGTTATTGAGCCCTTCCTGTTAGACCTACCGCCTCCCACCTCTTCTGTGTCTGCTGTGTATTTGGTGACACTTCATAAGGACTAGTCCCTTCTGGGGTATCAGAGCCTTAGGGTGCCCCCATCCCCTTCCCCAGTCAACTGTGGCACCTGTAACCTCCCGGAACATGAAGGACTATGCTCTGAGGCTATACTCTGTGCCCATGAGAGCAGAGACTGGAAGGGCAAGACCAGGTGCTAAGGAGGGGAGAGGGGGCATCCTGTCTCTCTCCAGACCATCACTGCACTTTAACCAGGGTCTTAGGTACAAAATCCTACTTTTCAGAGCCTTCCAGCTCTGGAACCTCAAACATCCTCATGCTCTCTCCCAGCTCCTTTTGCATAAAAAAAAAAGTAAAGAAAAAGAAAAAAAAATACACACACACTGAAACCCACATGGAGAAAAGAGGTGTTTCCTTTTATATTGCTATTCAAAATCAATACCACCAACAAAATATTTCTAAGTAGACACTTTTCCAGACCTTTGTTTTTTTGTGTCAGTGTCCAAGCTGCAGATAGGATTTTGTAATACTTCTGGCAGCTTCTTTCCTTGTGTACATAATATATATATATACATATATATATATATTTTTAATCAGAAGTTATGAAGAACAAAAAGAAAAAATAAACACAGAAGCAAGTGCAATACCACCTCTCTTCTCCCTCTCTCCTAGGGTTTCCTTTGTAGCCTATGTTTGGTGTCTCTTTTGACCTTTACCCCTTCACCTCCTCCTCTCTTCTTCTGATTCCCCTCCCCCCCTTTTTTAAAGAGTTTTTCTCCTTTCTCAAGGGGAGTTAAACTAGCTTTTGAGACTTATTGCAAAGCATTTTGTATATGTAATATATTGTAAGTAAATATTTGTGTAACGGAGATATACTACTGTAAGTTTTGTACTGTACTGGCTGAAAGTCTGTTATAAATAAACATGAGTAATTTAACACCTCTGGTTGTTTTTGCAGACTTCCTTTGCCTTGCTTTTCTACTAAGAGGGAGGGGTCCTCCTTGCAGTATGTTATACCAACTACTGAACAGTTTAGGAGGTAAACAAAAACGAAGAATTTTCAGCCTAGACTGGGAAATGGAGGAGATTTTCCTACCAGGAAGGAGTGCCTTCAGGATAGGAGAGAAAGTCTGACTTGCCTGTCTACCCAAAGTAGAAATTAATCAAACATTTGTTGAGTACCTACTGTGCACAAAACACATTCTATGCCCAGGGTGAAATAATGCGAATGATGACAATCATAGGGTCTACCACTGCTTGAGCATCTCATAAATGCTAAGTACTCATTGAATTGTAGAAACACCTACAAAAGGATGATCACAATTATTGGTAAAAAAATAAAAGCCCAAGAGAGAATAAATACCTTATCCAAGGCTCATCAGCCAGTAAGTGACAGAACCAGAATTTGAACCCAGGGGTGTGTGATCCAAAGCATGTGCTCATCGCTTTATGCCAGGGAATGCAGCCAGTGAAACCCCTAAGCTAGAAAAATCCAAAGTAGGAACATAAATTTGTTTCTGTCTTAAATAGTAACTATTTTCTGTTCTCTTCACTCTGAACTTTTTTATGTTCTCTTCCATCTACCTCATTGCTATTCCATATAGTAATGTCTGCCTTCTGTTTTCCACAAGATTACAGTGAAGTGAAAATTAGAGACACTCCTATCTAGAGTCTATTATTTTCCATGTCCCACTGAAACTGGCAAATTCAAAGTCAAAACAGACAGGAAAGCTGGAAGTGGTGGAGGACACCTGTCCTCCCAGCTACTTGGGAGGATCACTTGAGCCTAGGAGTTTGAGAACAGCCTCAGCAACACAGGGCAACACCATCTCTACAAGAAATTTTAAAATTAGCTAGGCATGGTGGTGCATGCCTGTAGTCCCAGCTACTCGGAAAGCTGAGACGGCAGGATCACTTGAGCCCAGGAGGTCAAGCCTGCACTGAACTGTGATCATGCCACTGCAGCCTCCAGACCCATCTTAAAAAAGAAAAAAAAGCGCTGGGCACAGTGGCTCATGCCTGTAATCCTGGCACTCTGGGAGGCTGAGGCAGGCGGATCACGAGGTCAGGAGATCAAGACCATGTGGCCAACATGGTGAAACTCCGTCTCTACTAAAATACAAAAAATTAGCCGGGCATGGTGGTACGTGCCTGTAGTGCCAGCTACTTGGGAGGCTGAGGCAGAAGAATCGCTTGAACCCAGGAGGCGGAGGTTGCAGTGAGCCAAGATCGCACCACTGCACTCCAGCCTAGGCAACAGAGCAAGACTCCATCTGAAAAAAAAAAAAAAAAGTCTGGGCACAGTGGCTCACGCCTGTAATCCTAGCACTTTGGGAGGCCGAGTCGGGTGGATATCCTGAGCTCAGGAGTTCGAGACCAGCCTGGGCAACATGGCGAAACCCTATCTCTACTAAAAATACAAAAATTAGCTGGGGCCGGGTGCAGTGGCTCACACCTATAATCCCAGCACTTTGGGAGGCTGAGGTGGATGGATCACGAGGTCAAGAGATCGGGACTGTCCCAGCCAACATGGTGAAACCCTGTCTCTACTAAAAATACAAAAATTAGCTGGGCATGGTGGCGCCCACCTGTAGTCCCACCTACTCGGGAGGCTGAGGCAGAAGAATCGCTTGAACCCGGGAGGCAGAGGTTGCTGTGAGCTGAGATGGCACCACTGCACTCCAGCCTGGGTGACAGAGCAAGAGTCTGTCTCAAAAATAAAAATAAAAAAAGAAAGGAAAAGAAAAAAGAAAGTAAGAAAACAGATTTTAGCCCCAAGAAGTGGGTTAAAGGTTAAAAGAAACCATGATGGGTTGCTGGAGGGAAGGTGAATCTGGTGTGTTCAAACTCTAGAGTGAGTCATAAATGAACAATGGTTTCCATCTGTACCATCCTGGGTCTGAATGCTAGGAGGTCCCCTTGCCACCCTAGTGTCTTCAACTTTGGAGACAACTGGGTGGTTGGCTGTGGACAGCCATTCCTGCCAGGCTGAAGCTTGCTTGCTTTTTTTTTTTTTTTTTTTGAGACAGAGTTTCGCTCTATTGCCCAGACTGTAGCACAGTAGCCCAATCTCAGCTCACTGCAACTTCTGCCTCCCGGGTGCAAGCAATTCTCCTGTCTCAGTCTCCCGAGTAGCTGGGATTACAGGTGTGCGCCACCAGGCCTAATTTTTATATTTTTAGTAGAGGTGGGGTGTCACTATGTTGACTAGGCTGGTCTTGAACTCCTGACCTCAGGTGATCCGCCTGCCTTGGCCTCCCAAAGTGTTGGGATTACAGGCGTGAGCCACTGCACCCAGCCTAAGGCTTAAGTCTTTCCGATGGCTCTTCAGAGGTAAATGGAGCTTACACATAATCTTTCAATTAGGGGTCAGATTCACTAATGAGTGGTGAAATAATTTTCGTGGTTTTTGATCAGCATTTATTAAAATAGAGAACAGAAAGATTAAGTAAAAATAAAGAATAGAACATACCAGCACACCTATGACAAGGGTAAGTATCGTTTCATAAAGCTTGTGTTTCAGTTTTGCATGTGCATGTAATCGTGTTTGTGTGTGTACTGGGTACCAATGTAAAATGTATTCGTGCTATGAATCTGGGTGAAAAACGTTTAAGTCATTAGTCCAGGCTATTCCTCCATCCATTTGTTAGGTGACATACAGCATAGTACAGCGGAGCCAGAATACCTACTGCACGTCAGTTCTTCAATCTTTTTTTTTAATTGATTTATTTATTTTTGAGACAGAGTTTCGATCTTTTTACCCAGGCTAGAGTGCAGTGGCGCGATCTCGGCTCACTGGAAACTCCGCCTCCCAGGTTCAAGATTCTCCTGTCTTAGCCTCCTGAGTACCTGGGATTACAGGCGCCCACCACCAGGCCGGGCTAAATTCTTCAATCTTTAAAGTGAGGATAATAATAGTAGCTACCTATAGGCTTGCTCAAAGTTAAATGAGTTAATATTTATAAAGACGCTTACCACAGGGCCAGGCACTGTGCCAGAGATAAAAAGATGAATGAGAAATAGCCCCAGCCTCAATGCACTTCATTGTGGGATTTTCTCCATATTGGAAGGAGGGATTCACAAAATGCTTGTTTCCTCTCAGGCCTTCCTCTTCGTAATCCTACACCTACCTAGTAGAAGGACTGTCAGAGAAATGAGCCCAGGGCGTCCCCCGGTGGCGCAGCGCCGCCTTCGGTCTAAGCACTTGGGGCAGGGGGGAAGGGGGGGAGGGGGGAGCCTCTTGGCTTCGCACTACAATTCCCACCAAGCATCTGTCCCTCTCTGGCCTCTAATAACGAGTGCGCCTTGTGGTCCAGCGTCTGGCAACTTTCACGCCTAGCGTCGCGTATACCGGAAAACTGCATCGTCCAGAATTGCTTCCGAGTCGGCGCGGCGCAAGGCTTGCTGGGAGACACATAACCTCGATTTTCTTCCGCCATCCGGCTAAATAGTCCCATGTGCACTTTGTTCCATGGATAAATAAACACTAGGAACGCATTTCCACCCTAGATTTCAGCAGAAATGCTGAATGTAAAGGAATATTTGAGTAAAGTGAGTTGCCGTTCTTGAAGCCCGTCTCCTAAGGATTCTCCCGGTGTCCGCGTAGGGATCTCATGCTATATAGGAGGGCCCTGCCAGGCACCGTCTCCTCTCTCCGGTCCGTGCCTCCAAGATGGTGAGTCTTCTTGCGTGGTGAGGGTGGGGGTTCGGGTGCAGACTCTGGGATTGTGGGGAAGTGAGAGCCTGGAGCACGGCTGAGGGGTGGACCGAGTGTACATTTCATTTGCTCTGGGGGTCGGCGGGATTTGCGGAGAAACAGGAGATCCGAGCGGCGCCTTCCTGGAGGCTGCCGGTGCGGCTTGTGGCCGGAAAGGGACTGAGGCTGGGTGAGTTGCGCCGTTTTCCTAACAGTTTTCCCATCCTGTCGCAGACAAAGAAAAGAAGGAACAATGGTCGTGCCAAAAAGGGCCGCGGCCACGTGCAGCCTATTCGCTGCACTAACTGTGCCCGATGCGTGCCCAAGGACAAGGCCATTAAGAAATTCGTCATTCGAAACATAGTGGAGGCCGCAGCAGTCAGGGACATTTCTGAAGCGAGCGTCTTCGATGGTAAGTGGGTCACCGGCGCGAACTGTGTGAGGATCCCAGTATCTTAAAGCCTTCGCCCAACTTCGCCCTTTTGGAGGCTCTGTTCTTTGGAGCCTCTCAGGCAATTTCCACGTATTTAAGGTTGTTACTGGTAGAAGAGAATTCTCTTGTTTGCCGTTTTGATTCTTTTCTGGGCAGAGGGTGACTTTGTGATAGAGTGCACAGCCTTTACTCTGAGGTAAAGGTTTGCCTGTTTCGGTTATGAGATTGCAAAAACTAGAAACTTGGTAAATTTGACAATTCTTGTGCTATTGATTATTTGAATATTTGTGAAAATATACAGGTGAGGAAGAATGTCTTCAACGTTTCGAGAATGGAGGCCGTCTAGTTTGGTGTGCAAGGATGATGTTTGGAGCAATAAGAACGTCGCTTTGTTTTTTTCCTTTTATAGAAAGAGCAAGGTTCAGGGTAGGCATTAGGGCGGGTGTAGGTGTAGAAGGAACTGGATTATTGGTTTATTGCATTTAGAATGTCAGTCTGGTCCTTGCGGTGTCAAGATGAACTCACGTGGGATGTTAATTCACTTGTAAAACTGAGGGTTATACATATGTGCTCAGGTATTGGGCTGAACAGGTGCTTTGGGGGTGCTTTTATGTGCCCGACAGGCATTTAAATAGGTTTAGTTTTAATTGACGTAAACATGTAAGGTGCTCTTCATTCATGTAACAAAAAAGCAAGGTAGGTATATAATACCAGTATAACTCTATTTTCTATTCCTTAGCCTATGTGCTTCCCAAGCTGTATGTGAAGCTACATTACTGTGTGAGTTGTGCAATTCACAGCAAAGTAGTCAGGAATCGATCTCGTGAAGCCCGCAAGGACCGAACACCCCCACCCCGATTTAGACCTGCGGTGAGTATTTTAAAAGGAGAATGGAAGCCAGGGGAGTGATGGTTAAAATTTCATCCTGGAGGGTCAGGGTGTCCTATACCTGTAACCTCAACACTTTGGGAGGCTGGGACAAGAAGATTGCTAGAAACCAGCAGTTCAAGACCCCATCTCTTCAAAAAATATTGAGAAGGAAGCCAAGCATGATAGTGTGAACCTATAGTCTGGCTGCTCGAGAGGCTGAGGCAGGAGGATCACTTGAGCCCAGGAGTTTGAGGTTGCAGTGAGCTATGATTATACCACTTGCGCTCCAGCCAGGGCAAAAGTGAGACCTTGTCTCTTAAAAAAAAAAAAAAGTTGCTTCCTCCTGTGGTGCAGGGGGTATCAAATTAAGGTCTGTGCCTCAGGTTAAGCTGTAAGGCAGGTGAGACCCACACCTGAACATGCTTAGAGACACTGCAAAGCAGTGTTAGAATCAGAATTGGTTTTTAGGATGCAGAGTAGTGTTCTCCCTCCACCTCTATCAGCTTCCCATGCATTTGTAGCCTGAATACATCAGTTTGTGAGAGGATGGTGGTCAAGTTCTTTGGGGGAAGGGAGTCTTGGATCCATGGGTTTTAATTTACTCTTTTGTTTCTTTGTCTTTCAGGGTGCTGCCCCACGTCCCCCACCAAAGCCCATGTAAGGAGCTGAGTTCTTAAAGACTGAAGACAGGCTATTCTCTGGAGAAAAATAAAATGGAAATTGTACTTAATATTGCATGTTAAGTGTATCTGTGCCAGATAAGGTGGGGATTTTGTGTGTTAGACCAAGTGTGAAGTGACACACATTATTTTCATGGGGAAGAAAGCTTATTCATGTAATTTAATTTTTTTCTTTTTTTTTTTTTTTTTTTTGAGACGGAGTCTTTGTCGCCCAAGCTGAATTGCAGTGGCGTGATCTCAGCTCACTGCAACCTCCGTCTCCCGGGTTCAAGTGATTCTCCTGCCTCAGCTTCTTGAGTAGCTGGGATTACAGGTGTCTGCCACCATGCCTGGTTAATTTTTGTATTTTTGGTAGAGATGGGGTTTCACTATGTTGTCCAGGCTGGTCTTGAACTTCTGACCTCAGTTAATCCACCAGCCTTGGCCTCCCAAAGTGCTGGGATTACAGGCTTGAGCCACCTCGCCTAGCTATTTATGTAAATTAAACTTTAATTGTGGTCGTATGGTTGGCCTCACAATTCGCATAGCTGTGTGAAATGGAGATTAGGCATCTGAATTTTGGATTTAACCACATCAAGTTTAAGTTGGCATCCTAAAAATGGGTAAACATTAGGAGAATGAGGAAAAGCTATTAGTTGAGTGAGGAGCACATTGGGAAGTGACCTAAACTGAGGTGTTTATACCCCTGGAGGGGGAACTTGAATAGTGGATGTATGACTTGGATAGCTTCAGAGCATAAAAGGATTAATGTTCAGATGCTCATCTTCCTACCTTGGAAAAGACACTAAAGGCATTTCTAGAAACGAGACATCCCGGAAATATAAGGTAGAGAAAGGCTCTACCTTATTTTTGTCTGTATGACAATAGTTTAATTTGTCCTAGAATTCAGGAAAAAAAAAATCTATTTGGGAGTAAATTGTTACTGACTTCGCCAGTGAAAGGTAACACCTGTATAGCTTGGAGATTTTAGACACTTGGGAGTCACCTGCACCCCTGCCCCCTTTCAAGCAGTTCTGCCTCAACCTCCCAAATAGCTGGGATTACAAGCATGCACCAGCTAGTTTATTTTTTTGGTAGAGATGGGGTTTCACCATGTTGGCCAGGCTGGTCTCAAACTCCTGACCTCAAATGATCCACCTGCCTCGGCCTCCCAAAGTGCTGGGATTATAGGTGTGAGCCACTGCACCCAGCCTAAGGAACGGGTAGAGATTTTAGAATGTGGAGGTTCTGTTAATTGGAATGCACTCCCCAACAGAAATCTGAGACAAGAACTGCTGACCTGACTTGACTGTCAGTACACCAGTGTTTGTACTGGAATATCTGTGGCAAACCCGGAGTGTGTAAGAGCACTGAATGTAGGCGATAATCTATATCCTTCAGGGAGTCTCAAGACATCAGTGCCCCTTGCAACCTGATCACACCAAGGGTAAACAGGAAGTGATAGAAGAAAATTAAGAGGTCCAAGGCAAAAATGGGTACTGAATCTGAGTGATCCCAAAGTCCAGCTTGCTCAACAGAACCAGATTCAAATAGTAAATCGTGATTGTGGGTGTACTTACAGAGCTGATCCAAGATTCCTCTTGAAGTGTCTAGAGTCACAGCCTGTCACGTGGGTCCTAACTACTACCTCTTCTGTGGGTTTACAAACTCACAACATACTCTGCATTCTAAGCGCAGAGTATGTTGTTTGATTGTCTCCATAGATTCTACTTTCAAGAACCTAGCTGGTAAGAATTGACTTAGTTTTTCGTCTTAATAATCCCAAACTTTGTTGTTTTTGAGATGGAGTCTCTCTCTCTTACCCAGGCTGGAGTGCGGTAGCCCGATCTCGGCTCACTGCAACCTCCGCCTCCCGGGTTCAAGTGATTATCCTGCCTCAGCCTACCAGTAGCTGGGATTACAGGTGCCCGCCACCATGCCCGGCTAATTTTTGTATTTTTAGTAGAGATAGGGTTTCACCATGTTGGCCAGGCTGGTCTTGAACTCCTGATCTCAAGGGATCAGCCCACCTCAGCCTCCCAAAGTGCTGGGATTATAGGCGTGAGCCACCGCGCCTGGCCAGGAATCTGCATTTTAATAGTGTCCCAAGTGATTGTGATGCAACTGGTCTGTGGACTATACTGCAGAGCAGATGGTGAAGGGAATGTTGCATTTGGAGGATTTTATTGATGATGAATCCTGGGTTCCAGAAAGCTGTGAAAGGGTTTCAGGAGATGGGGAAGAGTGCAAATGGGGTCAGAAAGGACTGCATGAGAACCAGAATCTGAGAGACGTGGAATGAGCTGGAGGCTTGGGCTTCTGGTGGTGACTGCACGAATAGGTGCAACTGAGCCATGGTGAACATCATGCTCACAAGCCAAGTGTGCAGTGTGACTTGGAGTCCCAACTCACTATCTACAGGCCCAGGGACCCTGACTTCACAGCTGCCTCCCAAGGCTATTTTCCTAACCTTTTCTCTCTACTCTCTTAGATCAGTGTTGGACTCATCATTTCTGAAATATGAGAATGTGTGGGAAGGCAGCAAGGTGAGATAGGCCCAGAAACATTGGGAGGGGTGTGGGGAGCACTAGGAGAGGAGGAGATCGATTGGGGTGGGGAAGAGGAATACAGTCTCCCTCCCACATCCCTGGACCCCAGAAAGAAGTCCTGAAGACACATCCTTTTTTCTAGTATAATGCACTATTTACCCTGATTCAGGCACTCTGAATGAAAGGTGACTTCCGGATCAGGCGCCCTGGCTCACGGCTGTAATCCCAACACTTTGGGAGGCTGAGGCGGGTGGGTCACCTAAGGTCAGGAGTTTGAGACCAACCTAACCAACACGGGGAAACCCCATCTCTACTAAAAAATACAAAATTAGCCGGGCGTGATGGCACGCGCCTATAATCCCAGCTACTTGGGAAGCTGAGGCAGGAGAATAGTTTGAACCTGGAAGTGGAGGTTGCAGTGAGCCAAGATCATGCCACTGCACTCCAGCCTGGCGAAAGTGCGAAATTCTTTCTGGAAAAAAAAAAAAAGAAAAAGAAAATTGGGTGACTTTCTCAGGCTACAGTTAAAGATGATGTCATGAGTAGTTAACCAGGCCTCATTGATGTTAGTACCTCGGGATGACCATAGAGGGCAGTGTCGTGCAGGAGTTAAGAGCCCAGCTTCGGAGTCTGACAGACCTAAGTTTGAGTCCTTCCTTCGCTCTTTGGTAGCTTTGTGTGTAGCTTTGGGCAAGTTACTCTATCTAAACCTCCAAAAATTAATTTAAAAACACTTCACAAGAACATTTTGAGAACTAAATGAAATAATCTTTGCAAAGGACTTTGCAAAGAACCTGCCAGATAGGCCGGGCGCGGTGGCTCACGCCTGTAATCCCAGCACTTTGGGAGTCCGAGGCGGGTGGATCACGAGGTCAGGAGATCGAGACCATCCTGGCTAACATGGCGAAACCCCATCTCTACTAAAAAATACAAAAAAAAAATTAGCCGGGCGTGGTGGCGGGTGCCTGTAGTCCCAGCTTCTCGGGAGGCTGAGGCAGGAGAATGGTGTGAACCCGGGAGGCGGGGCTTGCAGTAAGCCGAGATCACGCCACTGCACTCCAGCCTGGGCGACAGAGCGAGACTCCGTCTCAAAAAAAAAAGAAAAAAAAGAACCTGCCAGATAATGCAACATTACAAATGGCAGTGGTTACTATTTTTGGCCCAGTCTTACTCTGTAAGTCTTAAAAAAAAAATCAGTGTTTTTTTGCAGATTTATTGAGGATAATTGAAGTATAATACATTGTAGGTATTTAACGTGTACAATTTGAAAAGTTTTGTGTTTGTTTTTTTGAGACAGACTCTCACTCTGTCACCCAGGCTGGAGTGCAATGGCGCCATCTCGGCTCACTACAACCTCCGCTTCCCAAGTTCAAACAATTATACTGCCTCAGCCTCCCGAGTAGCTGGGATTACAGTCATGTGCCACGAGGCCCACTAATTTTTGTATTTTTAGTAGAGACGGGGCTTCACCATGTTGTCCAGGCTGGTCTTGAACTCCTGACCCCATGATCAGCCTGCCTCCGCCTCCCAAAGTGCTGGGATTACAGGCATGAGCCACTGCGACTGGCCGAAGTTTTGACATATACCCAAGTGTATACCCATGAAACCATCACCATACTCAAGATAATTAACATATAGATCACCCCAGAAGTTGCCTCTTGCTCCTTTGTAATCTCACCATCCTGCCACTCCCAGCACTGTCCCCAGGCAACCACTGACCTGCTTTCTGCAACTATAGATTAGTTTGCATTTCTAGAATTGTAGAATCGTACATAAATGGAATCCCACAGTATATATGTGTGTATACTAAAAACATATAAATTAGCCAGGCATGGTGGCAGGCGCCCATAATCCCAGCTACTTGGGAGGCTGAGGCAGGAGAACTGCCGGAACCCGGGAGGTGGAGGTTGCAGTGAGCCCAGATCGTGCCACTGCACTCCAGCCTGCGTGACAGAGTGAGACTCAAAAAAAAAAAAAAAAGAAAAAGAAAAAAAACTTGCTACAAACATTTGTGTACAAAGTCTGTGTGGACATATGCTTTCTTTTCTCATATGTAAATAGAGTCATGTGTCCTCAAGAACAGGGATATGTTCTGAGAAATTCATCCTTAGGCAGTTTTGTCATATGAACATCTTAGAGTGTACTTACACAAACCTAGATGGTATAGTCTACTACACACCAAGGCCATATGGTAGAGTCTATTACTCCCAGGCTACCAACCTATGCAGCATGCTACTGTACTCAACGCTGTAGGCAATTGTAACATAATGATATTTGTGTATCTAAACATAGAAAAGATACAGTAGGCCAGGCACTGTGGCTCATGCTGGTAATCCCAACACTTTGGGAGGCTGAGGCGGGCTGATTTCTTGAGACCAGGAGTTTAAGACCAGCCTGACCAACATGGTGAAACCCCGTCTCTACTAAAAATACAGAAATTAGCCAGGCGTGGTGGCAGGTATCTGTAGTCCCAGCTACTTGTGCGGCTGAGGCAGGAGAATTGCTTTAACCCTGGAGGCGAAGGTTACAGTGAGCCAAGATCGCGCCATTGCACTCCAGCCTAGGCAACAAAGCAAGACTCCATCTTGAGAAAAAAAAGAAAGAAAGAGGGAGGGAGGGAGGGAGGGAGGAAAGAAGGAAGGAAGGAAGGAAGGAAACGAACAGTAAAACTATGGCATAAAAGATTAAAAATGGGCCGGGCTCAGTGGCTCACGCCAGTAATCCTAGCACTTTGGGAGGCCGAGGCGGGTGGATCACGAGGTCAGGAGTTCAAGACCAGCCTGGCCAACATGGTGAAATCCCATCTCTACTAAAAATACAAAAAATTAGCTGGTTGTGGTGGTTAGCGCCTGTAATCCCAGCTACTTGGGAGGCTGAGGCAGAGAATTGCTTGAACCCGGGAGGCAGAGGTTGCACTGAGCCGAGATCACGCTACAGCACTCCAGCCTGGGCAACAGAGCGAGACTCTATCTCAAAAAATACAAATAAATGGGCCGGGCACGATGGCTCATGCCTGTAATCCCAGCACTTTGGGAGGCTGAGGCGGGTGGATCACCTGAGGTCAGGAGTTCAACACCAGCCTGGCCAAGCTGGCGAAACCCTGTCTCTACAAAAAATACAAAAATTAGCTGGGTGTGGTGGTGGGCACCTGTAATCCCAGCTACTCGGGAGGCTGAGGCAGGAGAATCACTTGAACCCGGGAGGCAGAGTTTGCAGTCAGCCGAAATCGCACTATTGCACTCCAGCCTGGGCGACAGAGTGAGACTCTGTCTCAATAAATAAATAAATAAATAAATAAATAAATAAATAAATAAATGGGCAGGGCGCAGTGGCTTACGCCTGTAATCCCAGCACTTTGGGAGGCTGAGACAGGTGAATCACGAGGTCAGGAGTTTGAGACCAGCCTGACCAACATGGTGAAACCCCATCTCTACTAAAAATACAAAAAATTAGCTAGGCATAGTGGCAGGCGGCTGTAACCCCAGCTACTCCGGAGGCTGAGGCAGGAGAATCGCTTGAACCCAGGAGGCGGAGGTTGCAGTGAGCCAAGATTACACCACTGCACTCCAGCCCGGGTGACAGAGTGAGACTGTGTCTCAAAAAAAAAAAAAAAAAGATTAAAAATGGTACACCTGCATGGGGTGCTTACCATAAATGGAGTTTGCCAGACTAGATGCTGCTCTGGGTGAGTCAGTGAGTAGTGAGTGAATGTGAAGGCCTAGGATATAACTGTATACTACCATTGACTTTATAAAGACTGTACACTTAGGCTACATTAAATTTATTTATTTATTTATTTATTTATTTTATTTTTTATTTTTGAGATGCAGTCTCGCTCTGTCGCCCAGGCTGGAGTGCAGTGGCGCGATCTCGGCTCACTGCAACCTCCATCTCCTGGGTTCAAGCGATTCTCCTGCATCAGTCTCCTGGAGTAGCTGGAATTACAGGAGTGTGCCACCATGCCCAGCTAATTTTTGTATTTTTAGTAGAGACGGGGTTTCACCATGTTTGTCAGGCTGCTCTCAAACTCCTGACCTCGTGATCCGCCTGCCTCGGCTTCCCAAAGTGCTGGGATTACAGGCGTGAGCCACCGTGCTCAGCAAATTTGTTTTAAATATTTTTTCTTCAATAATAAATTAACCTTAGCTTACTGTAACTTTTTTTTTCTTTCTTTTTTTTTTTTTTGGAGACAGGGTCTTACTCTTGTCACCCACACTTGAGTGCTGTGGCACAATCATGGGTCATTACAGCCTCTACCTCCCAGGCTTAATGGATCTTCCTGCCTTAGCCTCCTGAGTACTGGGACTACAGGCATGCTCCATCATGCTTGGCTAATTTTCCTTTTCTTTTCTTGTTTGTTTGTTGTTGTTGTTTTTTGTTTGTTTGTTTGTTTTTGTAGACACGAGATCTCACTCAACTAGCAGGGGAGGCTTGTCTTGAACTTCTGAGCTCAAGCAATCCTCCCACCTTGGCCTCTGAAAGTGCTGGGATTACAGGCACGAGCCACTGCCTCTGGCACCAGGTTACTATAATTATTTTACTTTATAGACTTATCAACTGTTTTACCTTTTTAACTCTTTTGTAATAACAGTTTAAAACACAAACACTTTGTACAGCTGTACAAAAATATTTCTTTCTTTATATCTTTATTCTATAAGCTTTTTTCTATTTTAAAAATTCTTGATCTTTTTACTTAAAATTTTTTTTGGCCGGGTGCAGTGGCTCACGCCTGTAATTCCAGCACTTTGGGAGGCCGAGGCAGGCAGATCACAAGGTCAAGAGATTGAGACCATCCTGGCCAACATGGTGAAACCCCATCTCTACTAAAAATACAAAAATTAGCTGGGCGTGGTGGTGTGCGTCTATAGTCCCAGCTACTCGGGAGGCTGAGGTAGAAGAATCACTTGAACCTGGGAGGCAGAGGTTGCAGTGAGCCGAGATCCTGCCACTGCACTCCAGCCTGGCAACAGAGCAAGACTCTGTCTCAAAAAAAAAAAAAATTATTAAAGACTAAGACATGGGCCGGGCGCAGTGCCTCACACCTGTAATCCCAGCACTTTGGGAGACCAAGGTGGGTGGATTGCTTGAGGCCAGGAATTCGAGAGCAGCCTGGGCAACATGGTGAAACCCTGTGTCTACTAAAGTACAAAAAAATAGCCAGGCATGGTGGCACGCACCTGTCATCTCAGCTACTCGGGAGGCTGAAGCACAATAATCGCTTGAACCCAGGAGGCAGAGGTTCCAGTGAGCCGAAATGGCGCAACTGCACTCCAGCCTGGGTGACAAAGCAAAACTCTGTCTCAAAAAATAAAAAATAAAAATAAAAACTAAGACATGTCCGGGCACGGTAGCTCATGCCTATAATCCCAGCACTTTGGGAAGGCCAGGATGGGAGGACTGCTTGAGTCCAGGAGTTCAAGACCAGCCTGGGCAACATGGTGAAACCCCTGTCTCTACAAAAAAAAAAAAAAAAAAAAAAAATAGCCAGGTATGGTAGCGTGTGCCTCTCTCGTCCCAGCTACTCGGAAGGGTAAGGTGACAGGATCGCTTGAGCCCAGAGGCAGACATTACAGTGAGCTGAGATCACACCAGTGCACTCCAGCTTGGGCAACAGAGGAAGACCTTTTCTCAAAAGAAAAGAAAAGAGGCCAGGCACGGTGGCTCACGCCTGTAATCCCAGCACTTTGGGAGGCCGAGGTGGGCAGATCACGAGGTCAGGAGATCGAGACCATCCTGGCTAACACAGTGAAACCCCCGTCTCTACTAAAAATACAAAAAAATTAGCCAGGCGTGGTGGCAGGCGCCTGTAGTCCCAGCTACTCGGGAGGCTGAGGCAGGAGAATGGCATGAACCCGGGAGGCAGAGCTTGCAGTGAGCCGAGATTGTGCCACTGCACTCTCGCCTGGGTGACAGAGCGAGACTCCATCTCAAAAAAAAAGGAAAAGACAACTAAGACATGAACACATACATTAGCCTAGGCCTACCCAGGGACGGGATCATCAATCCACCCGCCTGGGCCTCCCACCTCCACATCTTGTCCCACTGGAAGATCTTCAGGGGCAATAACACTCACCTTTTGTGATAACATGCCTTTTTCTGGAATACCTCCTAAAGACCTGCCGGAGGCTGTTTCACAGTTAACTGGTTTCTTTTTTTTTTTTCTTTTTTTTTTTTTTTGAGACGGAGTTTTGTTCTTGTTGTCCAGGCTGGAGTGCAATGGCACAATCTCAACTCGCTGCAACCTCTGTCTCCTGGCTTCAAGCGATTCTCCTGCCTTGGCCTTCCAAGTAGCTGGGACTACAGGTGTGCGCCACCATGCCCGGCTAATTTTTTGTATTTTTAGTAGAGATGGGGATTTCACCATGTTGGCCAGGCTGGTCTTGAACTCCTGACCTCAGGTGATCCACCCACCTCGGCCTCCTAAGGTGCTGGGGTTACAGGTATGAGTCACTGTGCCTGACCAACTTGTTTCTTTTAAGCAGAAAGAGTACACTCTAAAATAACGATCAAAATAAATAGGTAAACCAGGCTGGGCGTGGTGGCTCACACCTGTAATCCCAGTACTTTGGGAAGCTGAGGCAGGTGGATCACGAGGTCAGGAGTTCAAGACCAGCCTAGCCAAGAAGTGAAACCCCGTCTCTACTAAAAATACGAAAAATTAGCCGGGCATGGTGGCAGGCACCTGTAATCCCAGCTACTCGGGAGGCTGAGGTAGAAAACTGCTTGAATCCAGGAGGCAGAGGTTGCAGTCAGCCGAGATCTCACCACTGCACTCCAGCCTGGGCGACAGATCGAGACTCCATTTCAAAAAAAATAAACAACTAACATCAGTCACTTTCTTGGGATAGTCCCTCCTATCCGGGAAGTTAACTCAGGAGACCAAACTATAAAACTAAGGCTTGTTTCATCAGCACAGGATTAGGGCTGGAGTAGTAAATTGCTCCTCTACTCTAGGGACAGTTTTATCTAGGAAAGATAATCATTTCTGTATAAACACAACAAGCTCTCTATGACTCTATAAACAAGATACACTTCTAGTAATCATTCTTTTTTGTTTTTGTTTCTTGGGGGTTTTTTATTGAGATGGAGTCTCACTCTTGCCAGATTGAAGAGCAGTGGCACCATCTCAGCTCACTGCAACCTCTGCCTCCTGGGTTCAAGCGATTCTTCTTGCCTTAGCCTCCCGAGTAGTTGGGATTGCAGGCATGTGCCACCATGCCCAGCTAATTTTCTAGTAATCTTTCTTTTCTTTTTTTTTTTTTTTTGAGACAGAGTCTTGCTCTGTCACCAGGCCTGAGTGCAGTGGCGCGATCTTGGCTCACTGCAACCTCCGCCTCCCGGGTTCACGCCATTCTCCTGCCTCAGCCTCCTGAGTAGCTGGGATTACAGGCACCCACCACCACGCCCAGCTAATTTTTTTTTTTTTTTTTTTTTTTTTTGGAGACAGAGTCTCACTCTGTCGCCCAGGTTGGAATGCAGTTGCGTGATCTCGGCTCACTGCAACCTCCGCCTCCCGGGTTCAAGCAATCCTCTGCCTCAGCCTCTCAAGTAGCTGGGATTACAGGCATCCGCCACCACACTCGACTAATTTTTGTATTTTTAGTAGAGAAGGGGTTTCACCATGTTGGCCAGGCTGGTCTTGAACTCCTGACCTTGTGATCCACCTGCCTCGGCCTCCCAAAGTGCTGAGATTACAGGCGTGAAACACCGTGCCTGGCCTAATTTTTATATTTTTAATAGAGACAGGGTTTCACCATGTTGGCCAGGATGGTCTCGATCTCCTGACCTTGTGATCCGCCCGCCTCAGCCTCCCAAAGTGCTAGGATTACAGGCGTCAGCCACCATGCCCGACCGTTTTCTAGTAATCTTTCTAAATTCTCCTCTTAAAAAACAATTACAGCATGTAATCCCAGCACTTTGGGAGGCCGAGGCAAGCGGATCAGGAGGTCAGGAGGTTGAGACCATCCTGGCTAACATGGTGAAACCGTCTCTACTAAACATACAAACAATTAGCCGGACATGGTGGCATACGCCTGTAGTCCCAGCTACTCAGGAGGCTGAGGCAGGAGAATCGCTTGAACCTGGAGGCGGAGGTTGCAATGAGCCAAGATCATGCCACTGCATTCCAGCCTGGGCGACAGAGCGAGACTCCGTCTAAAAAAAAAAAAAAAAATTACACATGCATTTGCTATGTTTGTGCATGGAATATTTCCAGAATGATTCTCAAGAAACTATTAACAGTTGTTGCCTCCAGGGAAAAGAAATGGGTGACTGGAGGGCAAATGGAAGAGAGATTTCTTTTTCAGTGCTGTGGTACTTGTTCAGGCCACCATTATCTCTCACCTAGATTATATTGGGGCCTCCTACCTGGCCTTCTTGCCTCTATTCTTGTCCACCACAGTTCTTTTACCACACAGCAACAAGACTGATTGTTTTAGTTTAGTTTAGTTTCTGAGACAGAGTCTCACTCTATCACCCAGGCTGGAATGCAGTGGTGCAATCTTGGCTCACAGCAACCTCCACCTCCCAGGTTCAGCGATTCCCCTGCCTTAGTCTCCAAGTAGCTGGGATTATAGGCATGTGCCACCACACCCAGCTGATTTTTTTTTTTTTTTTTTTTTTTTTTTTTTTTAGCAGAGATGGGTGTCTCACCATGTTGGCCAGGCTGGTCTTGAACTCCTGACCTCAAGTGATCCATCCGCCTCTGCCTCCCAAAGTGCTGGGATTACAGGCATGAGCCACCACACCCAGCGAAGGCTGATTATTTTAAAAAGCAAACCACTGCCAGGTGCAGTGGCTCACACCTGTAATGCCAGTGCTGCAGGAGGATCCCTTAAGCCCAGGAGTCCCAGACCAGTCTGATCAACATGGTGAAACCTCGTCTCTACAAAAAA
Organism: Homo sapiens; assembly: GCF_000001405.40. Taxonomy (NCBI): domain Eukaryota; kingdom Metazoa; phylum Chordata; class Mammalia; order Primates; family Hominidae; genus Homo; species Homo sapiens. Next base: position 56,055,596 of record NC_000012.12, read on the forward strand.
AATTTTTTAAATTAGCCAGGTGTGGTGGTGTATGACTGTAGTCTCAGCTATTGGGGAGGCTGAGGTGGGAGGATCCCTTGAGCCTGGGAGGTCGAGGCTGCAGTGAGCCAAGATAGTGCCACTGCACTCCAGTCTGGGCAACAGAGCAAGATCCTGACTCTTAAAAAAGAAAAAAAAAAAGGGCTGGGAGTGGGGCCTCACGCCTGTAATCCCAGAACTTTGGGAGGCCAAGGCAGTAGATCATGAGGTCAGGAGTTTGAGACCAGCCTGGCCAACATAGTGAAACCCCATCTCTACTAAAAATACAAAATTAGTCAGGTGTGGTGGCACATGCCTGTAGTCCCAGCTACTCAGGAGGCTGAGGCAGGAAAATCGCTTGAACCTGGGAGGCGGAGGTTGTGGTGAGCCGAGATCACACCACCGCCCTCCAGCCTGGGCAACAGAGCTAGACTCCATCTCAAAAAAAAAACAAAACAACAACAAAAAAAAAAACAAAAAAAAAAAAACGGCCAGGTGCAGTGGCTTATGCCTGTAATCCAAACACTTTGGGAGGCCAAGACTAGTGCGGTGGATTATGAGGTCAAGAGATCGAGACCATCCTGGACAACATGGTGAAACCCCGTCTCTACTAAAAATACAAAAATTAGCCAGGTGTGGTGGCACTTGTCTGTAATCCCAGCTACTTAGGATGCTGAGACAAGAGAATTGCTTGAACCCAGGAGGCGGAGATTGCAGTGAGCCAAGATCAAGCCACTGTACTCCAGCCTGGGCGACAGAGCAAGACTCTGTCTCAAAAAAAAAAAAAAAATACAATCTCATCACTCCCCCACTGAAATTCTTAAGCTTCTCTCTGTAATTAAAATGTACACTCCTTACTGTGGTATATATGCCCCTGCATGGTCTGGCCCCTCCCTTCCTCTCTAACCACCTCCTCTGCCATGGCCTCCCCATGATTCTTTCTGTTCCACCACACTGGCCTCCTTTCTGTTCCTCAGACCCTCCAAGCTCATTCTTCCTTCAGACCTTATCCCCTCACTAGTTGCTCTGCCAGCAATGCTCTTCTTTCAGGTCAACACAAAACTGGCTCCTTCTTATTTAAAGCTTAGTGCAAATGACACTGCCTCAGAGACCCCCCTTCTTGACCACTCTGTCTAAATTAACTCCTCCAGGTGAGCAGCAGTGGTCACTTTCCCAGTATCTTGTTTCGTTTTCTTCATGCCACTTACTACTGAAGTTATTTCCTGAGTTGTTCATTGGCTGTCTGCACTCTCTAGAATGTAAGCCCCTTGAAGGCAGAAACCTGTCTCTTGTTCTCCTGTGTCCTCAGTGTTTGGAGCAACACATAACACTGAATGAATGAATGCATGCATGCATGCATGTATGGGGGCGCATGAGAAGGATGCAGGTGGCAGGCAGTTGTATTTGTTTCCTCTCGGTGCTGTAACAAATTACCACAAACTCAGTTTTATTATTATTATTATTTATTTTAGTTTTATTTTTTTGAGACAGAGTTTTGCTCTTTTTGCCCAGGCTGGAGTGCAATGGCGTGATCTCAGCTCACTGCAACCTCCGCCTCCCGGGTTCAAGTGATTCTCCTGCCTCAGCCTCCCAAGTAGCTGGGATTACAGGTGCACACCACCACACCCGGCTAATTTTTTGTATTTTTTAAGTACAGACGGGTTTCACCATGTTGTCCAGGATGGCCTCGATCTCTTGACCTCGTGATCCACCCGCCTCGGCCTCCCAAAGTGCTGGGATTACAGGCGTAAGCCACCGTGCCCGGCCAGTTTTATTATCTTATAGTTCTAGAGGTCAGAATCTGAAACGGGCCTTACAGGACTACAAGGTGTTGGTGAAGATGGGTTCCTTCTGGACGCCCTAGGGGAGAATCTATTTCCTTCCCTTTTCAGCTTCTAGAGGCTGCCCGAATTCCTTGGCTGAGGTTGCAGTGAGCCAAGATCGCGCCATTGCACTCCAGCCTGGGCAACAAGTGCAAAATTCTGTCTCAAAAAAAAAAAAAAAATTGGTCTGGGTGCACCAATTTTACTAGTCCCTGGATGTTTCAAAGATAAATCAGATGCAGGCCAGGTGGCTCATGCCTGTAATCCCAACACTTTGGGAGGCCGAGGCAGAGGATTACTTGAGGACAGGAGTTTGAGATCAGCCTGGGCAACATAGCAAGACCCTCTTTCTTTCTCTCTTTCTTTTTTTTTTTTTTTTTTTTTTTTTGAGACGGAGTCTGGCTCTGTCACCCAGGCTGGAGTGTAGTGGCGCCACCTCGGCTCACTGCAAGCTCCGCCTCCCAGGTTCATGCCATTCTCCTGCTTCAGCCTCCCAAGTAGCTGGGACTACAGGTGCCCTCTGCCACGCCTGGCTAATTTTTTGTATTTTTAGTAGAGACGGGGTTTCGCCATGTTAGCCAGGATGGTCTCGATCTCCTGGCCTCGTGATCCACCCACCTCGGCCTCCCAAAGTGCTGGGATTACAGGCGTGAGCCACAGCACCTGGCCTCTTGCTTTCTTGCTTTCCACTCTCTTTCTTTCTTCCTTCCCTCTCTCTCTTTTCTTTTCCTTTTCTTTAATTTTCCTTTTGTTTTCTTTCTTTTTTGAGACAGAGTCTCACTCTCTTGCCCAGGCTGGAGTGCAGTGGCACACTCTCAGTTCACTGCAACCTCCGTCTTCCAGGTTCAAGCGATTCTCTTGCCTCAGCATCCTGAGTAGCTTACAGGCACCTGCCACCACGCCCAACTAATTTTTATATTTTTAGTAGAGACAGGGTTCACCATCTTGGCCAGGCTGGTCTTGAACTCCTGACCTTAGATGATCCGCCTGCCTTGGCCTCAACTTAGACCTTAGCATCACCAAAAACTGTACCATCTTAGAAATTTCAACCCCAAATCTCCAATAATCTCCTTTTAGCTCACTTACTCAACCATGCCACCTCAACAATTTGTGTCCTTCACGTTCACTGCAATCCATTGATCTTACCATTTCCCCAGCATCCAGCAGTCTCCACATATTTCTTCAAGAATCTTGGTTTCTTTAATGAGAAATGATAATTAGAGTTGGGCATAGTGGCTCACACCTGTAATCCCTGTGACTTGGAAGACTGAGGCAAGATGATCACTTGAGTCCAGGAGTTTGAGACCAGACTGGGGAAAAATAGTGCCCAATGGTCTCCACAAAAATAAAAAACTTGGCTGGGGGGCTGGGTGTGGTGGCTCACACCTGTAATCCCAGCAATTTGGGAGGCTGAGGAGGGTGGATCACCTGAGGTCAGGAGTTCGAGATCAACCTAGCCAACATGGTGAAACCCCATCTCTACTAAAAATACAAAAATTATCTGGGCATGGTGACGGGTGCCTGTAATCCCAGCTACTCGGGAGGCCGAGGCAGGAGAATCACTTGAACCTGGGAGGCAGAGGTTACGGTGAGCTGAGATGATGCTGTTGCTCTCCAGCCTGGGGGACAATAGTGAAACTCTATCTCAAAAAAATAAAAAGTGAAAAAAAACTTGGTAGGGTGCTGTGGCATGTACCCATAGTTCCAGCTACTTGGGAGGATGAGGCAGGAGGATTGCTGCAGTAAGCTATGATTGGGTCACTGCACTCCTGCCTGAACAACAGAGTGAGACTCAACTGTAAAAGAAAAAAAAAGGTCATTAGAGACTACCATCTCTGCACCAGGATGCTCATTACTATTGAAGATGCTCATTACTATTGGGTTTGTCAAATTTGGGACTACAAAACTACAAAAAGTCTGTGTTTTCTTTCTTCCATCAAGAGTCATGGTTCTTACGGACACAGAAATGGGAGAATTAGAACATTCCATAATTCCTTATTTGTTTTATCCTACACAATACATTAAACAGTCTCAGAATAACTAGTAGTACTACCTTCGTCATTATGATTACTAAAAACATATTTAAACTTTTTTTGTAAATGCTATTTCCTTTCTCCTTATTTTTTATGGTTATAATGTCTACATTATCAGATCATATGGCCATTACATACTATACTCTCTCTTTTACCTTCATTAGTCTCATTTCCATGAGTAACTAATATACAGTACTGACTCTCAGCCCTTCTGTTGACATCTCTCTAGTTGTCTGAAGTGCACTCTCTAGTGGATTTCTCAGGAAGGGGTCGTGGGAAAAATAATCCCTGAGTCCCTACATATTGATAACAATTTGTCTGTGCCCATTATCGTTGAAGATTAGCTTTGCTTTGGCTCACCTGTTCTTCCTTTTTATTTATTTATTTATTATTATTATGTTTTGAGATGGAGTCCCGCTCTGTCGCCCAGGCTGGAGTGCAGTGGTGCAATCTTGGCTCACTGCAAGCTCCGCTTCCCGGGTTCAAGCGATTCTCCTGCCTCAGCCACCCAAGTAGCTGGGATTACAGGCACACGCCACCATGCCTGGCTATTTCATATATATATATATTTTTAGTAGAGATGGGATTTCACCATGTTGGCCAAGCTGGTCTCCAACTCCTGACCTCAGGCGATCCGCCCACCTCAGCCTCCCAAAATGCTGGGATTACAAGGCGTTGAGTCACCACGCCTGGCTTGTTATTCCTTAAATATTTAAAATATGTCAGCTAGGTGCGGTGGCGCATGCCTATAATCCCAGCACTTTGGGAGGCCAAGGCAGGCGAATCACTTTGACATCAGGAGTTTGAGACCAGCCTGGCCAATGTGGTGAAACCCCATCTCTACCAAAAAAAAAAAACACAAAAACCCACAAATACTAGCCAGGTATGGTGGCAGTTGCCTGCAATCTTTTTCAAATTACAATATTTGTCATTTTGGACTAATGAGATCACTTAATCACTTTGGATCACTTGAGGTCAGGAGTTCAAGATCAGCCTGGCCAACATGGCGAAACCCCATCTCTACCAATAATGCATAAATTAGCCAGGTGTGGTGGTGCATGCCTGTAATCCCAGCTACTCGGGAGGCTGAGGCATGAGAATCGCTTGAATCTGGGAGGTGGAGGTTGCAGTGAGCCAAGATTGCACCACAGCACTTCAGCCTGGGCAACAGAGACTGTCTCAAAAAAAATTATTTATTTCTTCATTTATTTATTTATTTTAGAGATGAGGTCTCACTCTATTGCCCTGGCTGGAGTACAGGTGCAAGCCACAGTGCCTAGCTTCTTTCATGTCTCTCTCTTTTTTTTTTTTTTGAGATGGAGTCTCGCTCTGAAATGCTGGAGTGCAGTGGCATCGTCTCAACTCACTGCAACCTCCACCTCCCAGGTTCAAGTGATTCTCCTGCCTCAGCCTCCCGAGTAGCTGGGACTACAGGTGCACGCCGCCATGCCTGGCTAATTTTTGTATTTTTAGTAGAGATGGGGTTTTGCCATGTTGGCCAGGCTGGTCTCAAACTGCTGTAATTCGCCTGCCTCAGACTCCCAAAGTGCTGGGATTACAGGCATGAGCCATAGCACCCGACTTTATATCACCTTCTTAATGTCTTTTAGCTCATTTTAAAATAAAATGTTATGATTTTCGTCTGTTTTGGGAGCATCTCTCTGGCATGAATCTTTTTCTGTCCTCATTATCTGTTTTCTTTTTCTTTTTTTTTTTTAACCTACCTATTCTCAATTCTCTTTTCTTTTTTTTTAACTTTTTTTTGAGACTAAGTCTCACTCTTGTCCCCAGGCTGGAGTGTAATAGCACGATCTCAGCTCACTGCAACCTCCGTCTCCCAGGTTCAAGCCATTCTCCTGCCTCAGCCTCCCGAGTAGCTGGGATTACAGGCGCCTGCCACCATGCCTGGCTAATTTTTGTATTTTTAGTAAAGACGAGGTTTCACCATATTGGCCAGGTTGGTCTCGAACTCCTGACGACCTCAGGTGATCCGCCCACTTCAGCTTCCCAAAGTGCTGGGATTACAGGCGTGAGCCACTGCGCCCGGCCTCAATTCTCTTTTTCCTTATAGTAACTTTGTGTGGAATTTAACACGATACTCTTCTGTTGCTCACATTTATGTAAATTTAATTTTTCTGAAAGATTTCTTCAGATGGCTTTCCTATGTAGACTGAGCTCCTTCTTCTGTCTGTCGTTTTCTGGTAGTGTTCAAAAACATGATGTCTTGCTCTCTGAGGCTCTCTACCTCTACCCCACTTTTGTCCAAACCTCCTCTTTCTTTGTCTTTATTGTCCATGTCCTACTAAGTTTTTGGGATTTTTGTTTTTTTTTTTAAGACAGTGTCTCATTCTGTCTCCCAGGCTCACTGCAGCTTTCGCCTCCCAGGTTGAAGCAATTCTCCTGCCTCAGCCTCTTGAGTAGCTGGGATTACAGGTGTGCAACATCACGCCTGGCTAATTTTTGTATTTTTTGAGAGATGGAATTTCGCCATATTGGCCAGGCTGGTTTCAAACTCCTGACCTCAAGTGATCTGCCCTCCTTGGCCTCCCAATGTACTAGGATTATAGGTGTGAGCCACTGCATCCAGCCCATGTCCTACTAAGTTGTTTTGTTTTGTTTTGTTTTCTTTAGATGGAGTCTCGCTTAGCTGCCCAGGCTGGAGTGCAGTGGTGTGATCTTGACTCACTGCAGCCTTGAATTCCCAAGCTCAGGTGATCTTCCCACATCGGCCTCCCAAGTAGCTGGGACTACAGGCGTGAGCCACTGTGCCCGGCAAGGAGGGGATTATTAACTGAGTCACTCGAAGAACAATGAGAGGACACAGAGATGTTTAGTTGGAGAAAAGAAATGTAAGGGGAGCCACACATGGTGTCATGCACCTGTAGTCCCAGCTACCCAGGAGGCTGAAGCAGAGGGAGGGGGATCCCTTGAGTCCAGGAGTTCGAGGTCAGCTTGGGCAACATAGCAAGACCCCGTCTCTAAAAATTAAAAATAAAAATATTTTAAAGGCTGGGCACAGTGGCTTACACCTGTAATACCACTACTTTGGGAGGCCAAGGCAGGCAGATCCTCTTGAGCCCAAGAGTCTGAGAACAGCCTTGGCAACATAGAGAAACCCCATCTCTACAAAACACCTAAAAATTAGCCAAGCATGGTGGTGCACACCCGTAGTCCCACCTACTCGAGAAGCTGAAGTGGGAGGATCACTTGGGCCTAGGAGGTTGAGGCTGCAGTGAGCTATGATTGTGCCACTGTACCCCAGCCTAGGTGACAGAGCAAGACCTTGTCTCAAAATAAAATAAAATAAAACAAAATTAAATTAAATTAAAAAGAAAACTAAAGGGGAAAAGAGAGACATTTTCAAAGATCTGAAGGATTGTTATATACAAGAGGGATTAACCAGAGGTTAGAATTAGACTTGCTTGGTAGAAGTTATAGAGAAACACAACTGGTCTAAAATTTTTCTTCCTTCTTCCTTCTTTCCTTTCCAATTATTTTATTTTTGATCACATAAAACATGAAAAAAATATAAAAAGTACAAAAGAATGTATAGTAAAGTCTTGCATTCAGTTCCTCTTCCTAGAGCCAGTTTCTTGTGTATCCTTCAAGATACATTTTAAGCATATATAAACATTTTTTTATTCTTTAAAAAGAATTTAATATGCTTTTAGATAATGAAAATATTTCTTATTCTTGTAGCAGCAGTCTTGCAATGACTGTCTCAGGCATTTCCTGTCCTGGAGCTATTCAGGGGAAATAGACAAGAAATCATCTGAGGTATATTTTTTTCTCTCTTGCAAATTATTTGTTGAAAAAACTGGATTGTACCTCCTTCCCTGTTCCAGGTGAAAAAGAAGAAAAAAAGAAAAAAAAAATGGATTGTTGTCCTATAGAATTTCCTGCATTCTGGATTTTGCTGATCATGTGGCATCTTTCCTCTGTCCTATGGATTTTTTGTAAATTGGTATTGGATTGAAAGGTTTGATCAAATTCAGATTTGATTATTTTGGTAAGACTACTTCATAGACAGTGGCGAGTTTTTTTGTTTGTTTGTTTTGTTTTGTTTTTTGAGATGGAGTCTTGCTCTGTCACCCAGGCTAGAGTGCAATGGCACGATCTCGGCTCACTGCGATATCCACCTCCTGGGCTCAAGTCATTCTCCTGCCTCAGCCTCCTGAGTAGCTGGGATTACAGGCGCCCGCCACCATGCCTGGCTATTTTTTGTATTTTTAGTAGAGATGAGGTTTCACCATGTTGGCCAGGCTGGTCTCGAACTCCTGACCTCGTGATCCGCCCACCTCGGCCTCCCAAAGGGCTGGGATTACGAACGTGAATCACTGCGCCCAGCCAGTGAGTTCTTCCATCAGGAGACACATAATATCCGGTATCTCTTTTTGTGATGGTCACAACTCCGGATGCTCAAAGCCTAAATCTATAAACTCATCAGAAGTGGACAAATGGTTGGCTGGTTGGGGTGGCTCACACCTGTAATCCCAGCACTTTGGGAGGCCCAGACGGATGGATCACCTGAGGCCAGGAGTTCAAGACCAGCCTGGGAAAAAAAGTGAGACCCCCATCTTTACAAAAAATAAAAAATTCAGCCTGTTTGTCGCAGCTACTTGGAAGGCTGAGATGGGAGGATCACTTCAGTCCGGGAGGTCTAGGCTGCAGCAAGCTGTGATTTTACAAAAATTAAAAAATATAGGCCGGGCACGGTGGCTCACGCCTGTAATCCCAGCACTTTGGGAGGCCGAGGCGGGCGGATCACCTGAGGTCGGAAGTTTGAGATCTGCCTAACTTGGAGAAACCCCGTCTCTACTAAAAACACAAAAATTAGGGTGTGATGGCGCGCGCCTGTAATCCCAGCTGCTCAGGAGGCCGAGGCAGGAGAATCTCTTGAACCTGGGAGGTGGAGGTTGCGGTGAGCCGACATCACGCCAAAAAAAAAAAAAAATGGCACAAGAAGTATGCTGAGGAAACAGGCGGATGGTGGTATTCTCTCATTACTCTCTTTTGTTTTTCTTCTATTTCTTTTATCTCTGCTTTGGTCTTTATTATTTCCTTCCTTCTACCACTTTTGAGTTTAGTTTGCTCGTCTTTTTCTAGTTTGAGATATAAAGTTGGATTACTGATTTGAGATATTTCATTTGTTTTATTTATTATTATTATTATTATTATTATTATTATTATTATTATTGAGACGGAGTTTCGCTCTTGTTGCCCAGGCTGGAGTGCAATGGCATGATCTCAGCTCACCACAAGCTCCGCCTCCCAGGTTGAAGCTATTCTCCTGCCTCAACCTCCCGAGTAGCTGGGATTACAGACATGTGCCACCAAGCCTGGCTAACTTTTTGTTGTTGTTGTTTGTTTTTTGAGACAGAGTTTCCCTCTTGTTACCAAGTCTGGTGTGCAATGGCGTGATCTCGGCTCACCACAACCTCTGCCTCCCGGGTTCAAGCGATTCTCCTGTCTCAGCCTCCCAAGCAGCTGGGATTACAGACATGTGCCACCAGGCCTGGCTAATTTTGTATTTTTAGTAGAGATGGGGTTTCTCCGTTTTGGTCAAGCTGGTCTCGAACTCCCGACCTCAGGTGATCCGCCCGCCTCGGTCTCCCAAAGTGCTGGGATTACAGGCGTAAGCCACCGCACCTGGCCTATTTCTTCTTTTGGAAAGTTGGCATTTACAGCTACAAATTTTCCTCTGAGCACTGCTTTTACTGCATCCAGTAAGTTTTGATATGTTGTGATTTCATTTGCATTCATCTCAAAGTATTTTCTAATATTCTTTGTGATTTCTTCTTTGACCCACTGGCTTTCAACAGATTGAAAACAGAAAACCAAAAGTTTGGTTATTTGAAAAAAAATCAATAAAATTAGCAAACACTTAGCTAAGAAAAAAGAACACAAATAATTAAAATCAGAAATAAAAATGAGGCTGGGCATGGTGGCTCACACCTGTAATCCCAGCACTTTGGGAGGCCAAGGCGGGTGGATCACAAGGTCAAGAGATTGAGACCATCCTGGCCAACATGGTGAAACCCCGTCTCTACTAAAAATACGAAAATTAGCTGGGTGTGGTGGCACGTGCCTGTAATCTCAGCTACTCAGGAGGCTGAGGCAGGAAAATCGCTTGAACCTGGGAGGTGGAGGTTGCGGTGGGCCCGGATTACACCACTGCACTCCAGCCTGGCAACAGAGTGCGACTCCGTCTCAAAAAAAAAAAAAAAAGAAAAAGAAATAAAAATGAAGCCTGGGCATGGTGGCTCACGCCTGTAATCCTAACAATATGAGAGGTGAAGGCAGGAGGATCATTTGAGCTCAGGAGTTGGAGTTCAGCGTGCACAACATAGTGAGACCTTGTCTCTATACTATAAAAATAAAAAATAGACCAGGCGCGGTGGCTCATGCCTGTAATCCCAGCACTTTGGGAGGCCAGGGCGGGCGGATTCCAGCTACTGGGGAGGCTGAGGCAGGAGAATCGCTAGAACCTGGGAGGCAGAGGTTTCGGTGAGCCATGATCACACCATTGCACTCCAGCCTGGGCAACAACAGCGAAAATCCATCTCAAAAATAAAATAAAATAAAAAATAATAAAAATAAATAAATAAAAATGAAGACATTACTACCAACCATACAGAAATAGAAGGGACTATAGGAAAATACTATGAGTATTCAAACGAAACCCTGGTTTCAACACTCCAGTATGCCCTCACCTAGTGCCATGGGGGTGATGCTGCCACCCCAGTGACTCTGGAAGGTGAAGCATCAAGCCAAAAAGGATTATTTTCTTTTTCTTTCTTTTCTTTTTATTTTTTTTGAGACAGAGTCTCACTCTGTCGCCCAGCCTGGAGTGCAGTGGCACGATCTCGGCTCATTGCAAGCTCCGCCTCCCGGGTTCATGCCATTCTCCTGCCTCAGCCTCCCGAGTAGCTGGGACTAAAGGTGCCCGCCACCATGCCTGGCTGATTTTTTTGTATATTTTTTTTAGTAGAGACAGGGTTTCACCGTGTTAGCCAGGATGGTCTCAATCTCCTGACCTCGTGATCCACCCATCTCGGCTTCCCAAAGTGCTGGGATTACAGGCGTGAGCCACCGCGCCCAGGCAAGAGGATTATTCTTAAAGCTTTCGATCTAATGGAGTTTGCCTTGCTCAATTTTTTTGTTTGTTTGTTTGTTTGTTTGAGACAGAGTCTCACTCTGTCACCCAGGCTGGAGTGCAGTCGCATGATCTCAGCTCACTGCAACCTCCGCCTCCTGGGTTCAAGCGATTCTCCTGCCTCAGCCTCCCGAGTAGCTGGGATTACAGGCACCCACCACCACACATGACTAATTTTTTGTATTTTTAGTAGAGATGGAGTTTCACCATCTTGGCCAGGCTGGTCTTGAACTCCTGACCTCGTGACCCACCCGCCTCGGCTTCCCAAAGTGCTGGGATTACAGGCATGAGCCACCGTGCTCGGCCTGCCTTGCTCAGTTTTTTTACTTGCATGGAACTCATCACCTTCTTCTTTGATTTCTACCTTTTGGAATGGGAATATCTAACTCATGGCTGTTTCACCAGTGTATTTTGGAAGCACATAGTCTGTCTGGTTTCATAAATTCACAGCTAGAGGGAAATTTTACCTCAGTATGAATCATTTCTAGAGTCTTACCCATACCTGATCTGATTTAGATATTTAGATGAGACTTTGGACTTGGAACTGATTCTGAAATGGTTTTAGCCTTTAGAGAGTGTTGGGGGGTGATAGACTGAATGTATTTTGCATGTCAGAGGTACATGAATTTGGAGGGGGCAGAGAGAAAGATGATATGGAGTAAATTGTGTTCCCCAAAATTCATATGTTGAAGTCCTAACTCCTAGTGTGACTATCTTTGGAGATACGGCCTTTAAGTGATTAATTAAGGTTAAATGGGTCATGAGCGTGGGACCCTAATCCAAGAGGACTGTTGTCTATAAGAAGAGGAAGGGACTCCAGAGCTCTCTCCATGTGTGCGCAGAGAAAAGTCCATGTAAGGACATACAGAGAAGCTGCCATCTGCAAGCTGAGGAGAGAGGTCTCACCAAAACCCAATCCTATCAGCACCTAAATTTTGAACTTCCAGCCTCTAGAACTGTGAGAAAATAAACTTCTTTTGTTTAAGCCACCCAGTCTGTGATATTTTGTTACAGCAACCCGAGTAGACTAAAATACTATATATAGGAAATTCCAAAGAATTTATAAGAAAGCTATTAAAGTTAAATGAATTCAGCAAAGTTGCTGTTATGAGATCACCACATGAAGATACATCAACCTAAAAGGAAGAAGCCAAGGCAAAATTAATGGTTTTTTTTGTTGTTGTTGTTTTGTTTTTGAGACAGAGTTAGGCTTTTGTTGCCCAGGCTGGAGTGCAATGGCTTGATCGCGGCTCACCGCAACATCTGCCTCCTGGGTTCAAGCGATTCTCCTGCCTCAGCCTCCTGAGTAGCTGGGATTACAAGCGTGGGCCACCATGCCCGGCTAATTTTTTTGTATTTTTAGTAGAGACGGGGTTTCTCCATGTTGGTCGGGCTTGTCTCTAACTCCCAACCTCTGGTGATCCGCCCACCTTGGCCTCCCAAAGTGCTGGGATTACAGGCGTGACCACCGCACCCAGCCAAAATTAATGTTTAAGTAGAGAGTTTGTTTGGGCCAATCTTGAGGATTACAACCTAGGAGCACAGATTCAAGTTGTCCTGAATATACTCGCTGATTAGCAGCAGTTACAAGTGGATTTTTTTCTTTTCAAAAAATTTTTTAGAGAGAGTATCTCACTGGCCGGGCGCGGTGGCTCACGCCTGTAATCCCAGCACTCTGGGAGGCCGAGGCGGGCGGATCACGAGGTCAGGAGATCAAGACCATCCTGGCTAACACAGTGAAACGCCGTCTCTACTAAAAATACAAAAAAAAAATTAGGCGGGCGTGGTGGCGGGCGCCTGTAGTCCCAGCTACTCGGGAGGCTGAGGCAGGAGAATGGCGTGAACCCGGGAGGCGGAGCTTGCAGTGAGCCGAGATCGTGCCACTGAACTCCAGCCTGGGCGACAGAGCGAGACGCCATCTCAAAAAAAAAAAAAAAAAAAAAAAAAAAAGAGAGTATCTCACTATGTTGCCCAGGCTGGTTTTGAATGCCTAGCTTCAAGTGATCCTCCTGCATTGGCCTCACAAAGTGCTAGGATTACAGTCATGAGCCACCCTGCCCAGCAAGCAAGCAGTTTCAAGAGATGAATGCATAGCTCAAACGGGGGGAGTAGAACATGATTGTTGTCTTTTTTTTTTTTTTTTTTTTTTTTTTTGAGATGGAGTCTCGCTCTGTAGCCCAGGCTGGAGTACAGTGGTGCTATCTCGGCTCACTGCGAGCTCCGCCTCCCGGGTTCAAGCAATTCACCCTGCCTCAGTCTCCTGAGTAGCTGGGATCACAGGTGCCCGCCACCACGCCTGGCTAGTTTTTTTGTATTTTTTAGTAGAGACGGGATTTGATCATGTTGGCCAGGCTGGTCTTAGACTCCTGACCTCAGGTCATCTGCCCACCTCGGCCTCCCAAAGTGCTAGGATTACGCCCAGTCTATTGTCTCTTTTTTTTTTTTTTTTTTTTTTTTTTGAGACGGAGTTTCACTCTGTCGCCCAGGCTGGAGTGCAGTGGCGCGATGTCGGCTCACTGCAACCTCCACCCTCCGGGTTCAAACGATTCTCCTTCCTCAGCCTCCTGAGTAGCTGGGACTACAGGCACCTGACACCGCGCCCGGCCAATTTTTTGTATTTTTAGTAGAGATGGGGTTTCACCATCTTGGCCAGGCTGGTCTTGAACTCCTGAACTCATGATCCACCCACCTTGGCCTCCCAAAGTGCTGGGATTACAGGTGTCAGCCACCGCACCCGGTCTATTGTCTCATTTTAATGTATCTCAGGGCCTCATAATTAAAAGTACTGGCATTCCTCAGATAAAAGTTATTTTCTTTTATCATTTCTCTCTCTCTCTTTTTTTTTTTTTTTGAGACAGAGTCTTGCTCTGTTGCCCAGACTGGTTTCAAACTGCTAAGTTCAAGCAATCCTCCCACCTCAGCCTCCCAAAGTTCTGGGATTACAGGTGTGAGCCACCATGCCCCAACCATAAACCACTTTTTGAGAAGAATCAAAGTAAAACAATAATTGTCTGTGGATGACAAAAGACTTTTGGTTTGACTATTCTAGCCATGGTTAATGACACAATTGAGAAATAATATTTCTGTAGCATATAACAATTTAACATAATAACCGTAATTATTATTGATAACATTTATTAAGACATATCAAAATTTTAGGAATTTCAGACGATTTTGAAACATATATATTAATAACATATTTGTACAAATATAACCCAAAGAAAGTTAAACACCTTCAAATTCATATGGAATTAACCAGGGATCCAGAAAAGCCAAAACAACCTTGAAAAAGAACAAAGTTGGGTAACTCACACTTCCCAATTTCAAAACTTACTACAAAGCTACAGTAATCAAAATAATGTGTAACTGGCATATAAATAGACATATAGACCAACAAAATAGAATTGAGAGTCCAGAAATAAACCCATATGTCTATGGCCAATTAATTTTCAACAAGGGTGCCAGGACCACTCAATGGGGAAAGGATAGTCTCTTCAACAAGTGATGCTGCAACAACTGGACATCCACATGCAAGGGAAGGAAGCTGGGCCCCCATTCACACCATATATAAAATTAACTCAAAATGGACCAAAGAGTTAAATCATAAAACTTAGGAGAAAACATAGGGGTAAATCTTCATGACTTTGAATTTGGCAGTTAATTTTTTCTTTTCTTTCCCTTTTTTTTTTGTCACTCCAGCTTTCTTTCAATTGGCAGTTGATTCATTCTTTGTTTTTTCTTTGAGACAGAGTCTCGCTCTGTTGCCTGAGCTGGAGTACAGTGGCGCAATTTCAGCTCACCGCAACCTCCACCTCCTGGGTTCAAGCGATTCTCGTGCCTCAACCTCCTGAGTAGCTGGAACTACAGGCGCATGCCACCACACCTGGCTAATTTTGTACATATTTGGTAGAGACGGGGTTTCACCATGTTGGCAAGGCTGATCTTGAACTCCTGACTTCAGGTGATCTGCCTGCCTCGGCCTCCCAAAGTGCTGGGATTACAGGCATGAGCCACCGTGCCCGGCTTCATTCTTAAATATGACACCAAAAGTATAAGCAGCAAAAGAAAAAAATAGATAAATCAGATTTCATCAAAATTAAAAACTTAGCCAGACATGATGGCATGTACCTGTAGTCTCAGCTACTCAAGAGTCTGAGACAGGAACATCACTTGAGCCCATTAAGTTCAGGCCAGCCTGGACAAAAACAAAATTTCTTTATAAATTAAAAAGGCCAGGAGCAGTGGCTCATGCCTGTAATTCCAGCACTTTAGGAGGCTGAGGCAGGAGGCTTACTTGAGCCGAGTTTGAAACCAGCCTGGGCAACACAGTGAGATACCATCTCTAAAAAAATAAAATAATAATAGTAATAATAAATACAAATTTAAAAAAAAATTAGCCAGGCATGGTGGTGGGTGTCTGTAGTCCCAGCTATTCAGGAGGCTGAGATGGGATGATCACTTGGGCACAGGAGTTTGAGGTTACAGTGAACTGTGATCAGGCCACTGCACTCCAGCCTGGGCAACAAAGACCCTGTCTCAAAAGAAAAAAAGAAAACAGGTATTCAAGCAAGTATAAATACTTGTGCAAAATGTTCACTGTAGCACCATTCACAATAGCCAAAAGGTGGAAACATCACAAATGTCCCTCTACAGACAAATGGATAAACAATTTGCGGTAGCCAGGTGCTCATGGCTATAATCCCAGCACTTTGTGAGGCCAAGGCAGTGGGATTGCTTGAAGCCAGGAGTTCAAGACCAGCCTAGGCAGCAAAGCAAGACCACATCTCTACCAAAAAAAAAAAAAAAAAAGGGCCGGGCGCAGTGGCTCACGGCTGTAATCCCAGCACTGTGGGAGGCTGAGGCGGGCGGATCACCAGGTCAAGAGACCGAGACTATCCTGGCCAACATGGTGAAACCCATTTCTACTAAAAATACAAAAATTAGCTGGGCGTAGTGGCACGCACCTGTAGTCCCAGCTACTCGGGAGACTGAGGCAGGAGAATTGCTTGAATCCGGGAGGTGGAGGTTGCAGTGAGCCGAAGTTGCACCACTGCACTCCAGCCTGGTGACAGAGCAAGGCTTTGTCTCAAAGAAAGAAAAAAATTAGCTGGGCATGCTGGCACGTGCCTGTAGTGCCAGATACTTGAGAGGCTAAGGCGGGAGGATCGCTTGAGCCCAGGAGTTCAAGGCTGCAGTGAGCTATGATTGCACCACTGCATTCCATCCTGGGTGACAGAGCAAGATCCCATCTTTATTAAAAAAAAAAAAAATTTTGTGGAACCCAGTGGAATGTTATTCAGTCATAAAAAGGAATGAAGTATTACTCATGCTACAACATAGATAAACCTTGAAAACATGCTAAGTTGAAAGAAGTCAGACATAAAAGATTACATATTGTATCATTCCATTTATGTAAATTATCCAGAATAGGTAAATCCATAGAAATAGAAAGACTGGTGTTTGTCAGAGGCTAGAAATAGGGGGAGATAGGGAGGAACTGTCTAATGGATATAGGGTTTTATTTTGGGATGACAAAAATGTTTGGGGCTGTGCAGTGGCTCATGCCTGTAATCCCAGCACTTTGAGAGGCTGAGGCGAGCAGATCACCTGAGGTCAGGAGTTTGACACTAGCCCGGCCAATATGGCGAAAACCTATCTCTACTAAAAATACAAAAATTAGCTGGGCGTGGTGGCACCACAGGCCTATGTTAACTCTCTTGCCCTCTATCATAAAACAATATGAACAGATCTGACCAGCTAAAGGTCTCTCAAAACATCACTGTATTGATCTGTTACATTGATAACATCATGCAAATTGGACTGGTTGAGCAGGAAATGGCAAGTATGTCAGATGCCTTAGTAAGACACTTATCCTCCAGAAGGTGGGATATTAACTAACTTTAATCCAGAGTTCTTTTCAGGATTAACTGAAGTGTTTTTGGGGTGGTGGGGCGGGCGGAGACTGAGTCTCACTCTGTCACCCAGGCTGGAGTGCAGTGGTGCAATTTCGGCGCACTGCAACCTCCACCTCCCGGGTTCAAGTGATTCTCCTGCCTCAGCCTCCCAAGTAACTGAGATTACAGGTGTGTGCCATCACGCCCGGCTAATTTTTGTATTTTTGGTAGAGACAGGGTTCCACCATGTTGGCCAGGCTGGTCTCAAACTCCTGACCTCAAGTGATTCACTCTCCTCAGCCTCCCAAAGTCCTGGGATCACAGGACTGAGTCACCGCACCTGGCCTTCTCTTTTTTTTTTTTTTTTGATACGGGTTCTCACTTTGTCACCCAGGCTGGAGTGCATGGTGCGATCACAGCTCACTGCAGCCTCAACCTTCTGGGATCAAGCTATCCTCCCACTTAGCCTCTTGAGTAGCTGGGACCACAGGTCCCCACCACCATGCCTGGCTGCTGGTGGGGTGTCTACTCTGCAGCCCAACTTCTCCTTCTGTCCAGTCCTGCTTCTTCCTTTCTTTTCCTGCAAGTATTGATCCCAAGTGCACTCACTCACAAGCTTCCCACACTCTAGTTTCCACCTTAGAATTGGCTTCCATGGAAACTAGAGTGTGGCAAAGCTTTGTTTTACCAGGCAAAAATAACTCAAAAGTGAGGTGAGTTTTTTGTTTGTTTGTTTGTTTGTTTTTGTTTTTTTTTAGACGGAATCTCGCACAGTCGCCCAGGCTGGAGTGCAGTGGCACGATCTCCACTTACTGTAACCTCCGCCTCCCAAGTTCAAGTGATTCTCCTGCCTCAGCCTCCCAAGTAGCTGGGATTACAGGCACCTGCCACAATGCCTGGCTGGTTTTTTGTATTTTTAGTAAGGACAGGGCTTCATTATGTTGGCCATGCTGGTCTTGAACTCCTGACCTTGCGATCCGCCTGCCTCAGCCTCCCAAAGTCCTGTGATTAGAGGCATGAGCCACCGCGCCCAGCCTAAGATGAGATTTTAATATGTGACAAAATTCAAGGGAAAAAGTTCGGGACAAAAGAGAAAGTGTTACATAATGGTAGAATAAACAAGAAAGCAAGAAAATATAACCACTGCAAATGTACTTGCCAATATAGATTCAGAATATACAAATACCTCTTCTAAATCTTCTTGTAAACAAGAAAAAAGAAACACAATATACAAATAGTAATAGTTAACTTTATTGAGTACCTTTGATGTGTCAGGCACGTGCCATAGGCTTTATATTTGTTTGTTTGTTTGTTTTTTGAGACAGAGTCTCACTCTGTCGCCCAAGCTGGAGTACAGTGATGCGATCTCAGCTCACTGCAACCTCCGCCTCCCAGGTTCAAGCTATTCTCCTGCCTCAGCCTCATGAGTAGCTGGGACTACAGGCATGCACCACAATGTCTGGTTAATGTTTTTGTATTTTTGGTAGAGACAGGGTTTCACCGCATTAGTCAGGCTGGTTGCAAACTCCTGACCTCGAATGATCTGCCCGCCTCGGCCTCCCAAAGTGCTGGGATTACAGGCGTGAGCCACCAGGCCTGGCCTTACCTAGGATTTCTTTATTATTTTTGTATGATGTAGAGATGGGGAGTCTGGCTATGTTGGCTAAGCTGGTCTTGAACTCCTGGCCTCTGCAATCCTCCCACCTCAGTTTGCCCAAATTGTTTGGATTTCAGGCATGAACCACCATGCCTGGCCTTACCTAGGATTTCTTACTGTTCTACTGAGACTAGTGATCTGCCCACCTTGGCCTCCCAAAGTGCTGGGATTACAGGCATGAGCCACTGCACCTGGCCCAGGATGATTTCTTTTACTTTTATTTTCACAGTAAAATAATAGCCAAAGTCATCAGCTAAGAGTAAGGAAAGATAAAGGGATGCTGGAAAACTGCAGAGATTGTTCATAAATAAAGCCTCCCTTCTTTCATTTATTCAGTCAGGACAGCACCCAACAGAGGTGGCCAGTTACTTGGCAGCTTTATCTACTGTGTATATCCGGGATGCTTAGCATGACGTGTCCCTAAGTGTTGAAGAATCCATCGCATCTTGGGATCTAGCTGAGAGGGAAGGGTTGGGGTTGGGAAAATAGCAATAGATACAGCTAGCGTTCATTGAATGCTTCTTAAAGGTTGAGCACAGTAATTCAGAGCTCCACCTGACTTTTCTCATTGAATCCAAACAACAGTCAGCCAGATGCAGTGGCTCACGCCTGTAATCCCAGCACTTTGGGAGGCTGAGGCGAGTGGATCACCTGAGGTCAGGGGTTCAAGACCAATCTGGCCAAAATGGTGAAACCCCATCTCTACTAAAAATACAAAAATTAGCCAGGCGTGGTGGCAGGCGCCAGTAATCCCAGCTACTCGGGAGGCTGAGGCAGGAGAATCACTTGAACCCAAGAGGTGGAGGTTGCAGTGAGCCAAGATCACCCCATTGCACTCCAGTCTGGGCAACAAGAGCGAAACTCCGTCTCAGAAAAAAAAAAATCCAATCAACAGTCTTTTTTTTTTTAAGGTTTTTTTTTTTTTAATTTATTTTTTTATTGATAATTCTTGGGTGTTTCTCACAGAGGGGGATTTGGCAGGGTCATGGGACAATAGTGGAGGGAAGGTCAGCAGATAAACAAGTGAACAAAGGTCTCTGGTTTTCCTAGGCAGAGGACCCTGCGGCCTTCCGCAGTGTTTGTGTCCCTGATTACTTGAGATTGGGGAGTGGTGATGACTCTTAATGAGCATGCTGCCTTCAAGCATCTGTTTAACAAAGCACATCTTGCACCGCCCTTAATCCATTTAACCCTGAGTGGACACAGCACATGTTTCAGAGAGCACAGGGTTGGGGGTAAGGTCACAGATCAACAGGATCCCAAGGCAGAAGAATTTTTCTTAGTGCAGAACAAAATGAAAAGTCTCCCATGTCTACTTCTTTCTACACAGACACGGCAACCATCCGATTTCTCAATCTTTTCCCCACCTTTCCCGCCTTTCTATTCCACAAAGCCGCCATTGTCATCCTGGCCCGTTCTCAATGAGCTGTTGGGTACACCTCCCAGACGGGGTGGTGGCCGGGCAGAGGTGCCCCTCACCTCCCAGACGGGGCGGCTGGCCGGGCGGGGGGCTGACCCCCCCACCTCCCTCCCGGACGGGGCGGCTGGCCGGGCGGGGGGCTGACCCCCCAACCTCCCTCCCCGACGGGGCGGCTGGCCGGGCGGGGGGCTGACCCCCCCACCTCCCTCCTGGACGGGGCGGCTGATCGGGCGAGGGGCTGACCCCCCCATCTCCCTCCCGGATGGGGTGGCTGCCGGGCGGAGACTCTCCTCACTTCCCAGATGGGGTGGCTGCCGGGCGGAGAGGCTCCTCACTTCTCAGACGGGGCAGCTGCCGGACGGAGGGGCTCCTCACTTCTCAGACGGGGTGGTTGCCAGGCAGAGGGTCTCCTCACTTCTCAGACGGGGCGGCCGAGCAGAGACGCTCTTCACCTCCCAGACGGGGTCGCTGCCGGGCAGAGGCGCTCCTCATATCCCAGATGGGGCGGCGGGGCAGAGGCGCTCCCCACATCTCAGACAATGGGCGGCCGGGCAGAGACGCTCCTCACTTCCTAGATGTGATGGCGGCCGGGAAGAGGCGCTCCTCACTTCCTAGATGGGATGGCGGCAGGGCGGAGACGCTCCTCACTTTCCAGACTGGGCAGCCAGGCAGAGGGGCTCCTCACATCCCAGACGATGGGCGGCCAGGCAGAGACACTCCTCACTTCCCAGACGGGGTGGCGGCCGGGCAGAGGCTGCAATCTCAGCACTTTGGGAGGCCAAGGCAGGCGGCTGGGAGGTGTAGGTTGTAGTGAGCCGAGATCACGCCACTGCACTCCAGCCTGGGCACCATTGAGCACTGAGTGAACGAGACTCCGTCTGCAATCCCGGCACCTCGGGAGGCCGAGGCTGGCGGATCACTCGCGGTTAGGGGCTGGAGACCGGCCCGGCCAACACAGCGAAACCCCGTCTCCACCAAAACCAGTCAGGCGTGGCGGCGCGTGCCTGCAATCGCAGGCACTCGGCAGGCTGAGGCAGGAGAATCAGGCAGGGAGGTTGCAGTGAGCCGAGATGGCAGCAGTACAGTCCAGCTTCGGCTCCGCATGAGAGGGAGACCGTGGAAAGAGAGGGAGACCGTGGGGAGAGGGAGAGGGGGAGGGGGAGGGGGAGGGGGAGGGACCAATCAACAGTCTTATAAGTAGATACAACAGTGTATAAACAAGGAAACCAAGGAAGATTTTTCTCCTTCAGAACTCGGACCCTGAATACCAGGTTGAGCTGGAGCTGAGTGAGTAATAAAATGAAAGGCCCTTTAATGTGGGGGAGGGTAGGTAGGAGTGGAGACCCTTAAGTAGTATCAGCACTGTTGTCTGATGGGAGTGTGAATCTGAACACATGAAGCTCCAGTCTCAGTAGAACAGTAAGAAATCCTAAGTAAGGCCAGGCATGGTTCACATCTGAAATCCTAACAATTTGGGTAAACTGAGGTGGAAGGATTGCAGAGGCCAGGAGTTCAAGACCAGCTTGGGCAACATAGCCAGACCCCCACCCCCACCCCCGCATCTCCATATCATACAAAAATAATAAAGAAATCCTAGGTAAGGCCAGATGGTAAGGCCAGGTGTGGTGGCTCATGCCTGTAATCCCAGCACTTTGGGAGGCCGAGGTGGGTGGATTGCCCAAGGTCAGGAGTTCAAGACCAGCTTGGTCAACACAGTGAAACCCCGTCTCTACTAAAAATACAAAAATTAGCTAGGTGTTGTGGCAGGCACCTGTAATCTCAACTACTCAGGAGGCTGAGGCAGGAGAATAGCTTGAACCCAAGAGGCAGAGGTTGCAGTGAGCCAAGATCGAGCCATTGCACTCCAGCCTGGGCACCAAAAGCGAAACTCAGGAGAATGCCTTGAACCCAGGAGGCAGAGGTTGCAGTGAGCTGAGATCACGCCATTGCACTCCAGCCTGGGTGACAGAGCGAGACTCCATCTCAAAAACAAACAAACAAATAAACAAAGTAGCCAGACATTTTGGTGCCCACCTGTAGACTCAGTTACTAGGGAGGCTGAAGTGGGAGAATCACCTGAGCCTGGGAAGTTGAGGCTGCTGTGAGCCATGATTGCACCACTGCACTCCAGCCTGGGTGACAGAGGGAGATCCTGTCTCAAAAAAAGGAAAAAAAGCCAGGTGTGGTGGCTCACACCTGTAATCCCAGCACTTTGGGAGGCTGAGGTGGGTGGATCACCTGAGGTCAGGAATTAGAGACTAGTCTGGCCATCACAGTGAAACCCCATCTCTACTAAAAATACAAAAAATTAGCCGGGCTTGGTGGCGCACGCCTTGTAGCCCCAGCTACTTGGAAGCCTGAGGCAGGAGAATCACTTGAACTCAGTAGTGAGCTGAGATCAGGCCACTGCACTCCAGCCTGGGTGACAGAAACAGAACAAGATTCCGTGTCAAAAAAAAAAAAGCAACAGACCAGAAGGCCATGAGGTCAAACAAAACAATGTTTTGTTTTTGTTTTGAGATGGCGTCTCACTCTGTCGCCCAAGCTGGAGTGCAGTGATGCAATCTCAGCTCACTGCAACCTCCACCTCCCGGGTTCAAGCGATTCTCCTGCCTCAGTCTCCTAAGTAGCTGGGATTACAGGTGCCCACCATCATGCCCAGCTAATTTTTGTATTTTTAGTAGAGACGGTGTTTCACTATGTTGACTAGGCTGGTCTCGAACTCCTGACCTCAAGTGATCTGCCCGCCTCGGCCTCCCAAAGTGCTGGGATTACAGGCATGAGCCACCGCGCCCAGCCGAATGTTTTGTTTTTTAAGATGGAAGATATCCCAGCACTTTGGCAGGCTGAAGCAGGTGGATCATTCCAGCTTGGGCAACAAGAGCGAAACTCTGTCTCAAAAAAAAAAAAAAAGAAAAGAAAAAAAAAGAGAGAAAGAAACCCTAGGTAAAAGTCTGAGCCCCACCTCCCAATCACCTGATCACCTCAACCACTGTCACCAGGTGGATGACCTTGGAGAGGTCACACACTTCTAGTTCTGTAAAATGGGGAGTTATATTGCCTAAATCATATAATTTTTATGTTAAGTGACACATTCTCTAAGGCACTAAGTTTGAGGACATACTTTGTAAATGAAATGATATATGGAAATGTTTGTATATGTTAATGGTTTTGTTGTTGCTATTATTATTATGACTACTATACACATGGTCTGGAGAAAGCCAACCTCCCCAAAGCGGAGATTCTCCAGTAGAGAACAGGCCCTCTAGGTTGCATATCAATAGGGAGCATGTTTAAGGAATGTTAGCCGGTAGTCTTTGCTAGGTGTGAGGGGTGAAATTTTTCTTTATCAAGGCTCAACTGTTTTCGAAGTCTTCAGGCTTGAAGTTCTGGAGAAAACAACTAGGCTCTCCGGGCGAGATCCCGAATACCAGTTTAAGGGATTTGAAATGCAAGGCCGTCTGGGACTCCACTGCCACGGATGGGCACCAGGCGGCGCCGGTCGGATCCGTCCCGGGACTAGCAGGGCTTTGGGCAGCAACCCGCAGGGAGCCCGACCGCCTCTGGCCAGGTCCGGGCAGCTGGTGGGGGAGGTTCCAGAGGTCCACGCCATTCGTGGACGCAGTCTCTAGTGTCCTCTCCGCGTCCCACTTCACTGCCCCATCCCCTTTCCTGCGAGAGCCTGGACTTGGAAGGCACCTGGGAGGGTGTAAGCGCCTTGGTGTGTGCCCATCTGGGTCCCCAGAAGAGCGGCGGGAACTGCGGCCGCCCGGACGGTGCGGCCAGACTCCAGTGTGGAAGGGGAGGCAGCTGTTCTCCCAGGCGGCCGTGGGGGGCAGCAGAGGGGACGGCGACAGGTGCGGGAGCCCCTCCCGGGGTAGAAGTGGAAAGGCGGGCTCCGGGGTCTGTTCCCAGGCTGGAAACCACCCCCGCCCCCCATCCAAATCCCCGGGAGAGGCCCGGCCGGCGCCGGGTCTGGAGGAGGAAGCGGCCAGAGACAGTGCAATTTCACGCGGTCTCTGTGGCTCGGGTTCCTGGGCTGGGTGGATGAATTATGGGGTTTCGAGTCTGGGAGAAACTGAGGTGGCCTGGACGTGAGGCAAAAAACACCCTCCCCCTCAAAAACACACAGAGAGAAATATTCACATTCTGAGAGAAAATCCACCAAGTGAACCAACCGGCTAGGGGAGTTGAGTGATTTGGTTAATGGGCGAGGCCAACTTTCAGGGGGCAGGGCTTTGGAGAGCTTTCCACTCCCTCATTCATTACCCTTCCCTGGATCTGGGGGCTTTCGGAATCTCGACCTCCCCTTGGCCTATCTCCTGCAGAAAAATTAGGGTGAGCCCCATCCTCGATCTGCTCCGCCAAGTTGCGGGACCGCGGGGCGTGGCACGCTCGGGGCAGGCGGTCCGAGGCTCCGCAATCCCTACTCCAGCCTCGCGCGGGAGGGGGCGCGGCCGTGACTCACCCCCTTCCCTCTGCGTTCCTCCCTCCCTCTCTCTCTCTCTCTCACACACACACACCCCTCCCCTGCCATCCCTCCCCGGACTCCGGCTCCGGCTCCGATTGCAATTTGCAACCTCCGCTGCCGTCGCCGCAGCAGCCACCAATTCGCCAGCGGTTCAGGTGGCTCTTGCCTCGATGTCCTAGCCTAGGGGCCCCCGGGCCGGACTTGGCTGGGCTCCCTTCACCCTCTGCGGAGTCATGAGGGCGAACGACGCTCTGCAGGTGCTGGGCTTGCTTTTCAGCCTGGCCCGGGGCTCCGAGGTGGGCAACTCTCAGGCAGGTAAGTGGCGCGAGAGCACCGGCGGGCTCGGCACCTGGGAGCCGGAACCCAGTGCGCGCAGCCTCGGAGGGTATGGGCACGGTCTCAGGCGGCGCGGGGTTGTGGGTGCTGCCCCCGGTTTGCCAGGACCACCTGGGAGAGGGGCGGTCAGGCTCGGGTTATCGGCGTGGTCCGGCCGAGGGCGGCATTCCGGGACCCTCACGCCACCCTTCTCCAGAGCGTCGCCGACCCTCTAATTGGTCTCCCCAGAAGAGGCTGAGGCCGAAACAGTAGTTCACACTTCTGAGGGGCCCTGCAGGGAGGGGAGCAGGGAACTTCATTCTGTAAACAGGAGGTGCTTGGAGGTGGGGGCCTTGGCGGGAAGGGTCTCGGTTTGCTCGCCAACCCCCTGCCCCCCACCCGCGCCGATTTCAGCTACCCCTAGTTTCGTTGTTTTGCCGACAGGGCGGAGCTACAGAAGGTTGGAGGGGGTTGTTGTTCTCTGGTGTTGGAAAAACAGGAGCGGCACCTCCTCTTCCGTGAGTGAGCCTGCCCTGGGGAGGTCTGAGATTAACCAGAGGGCCAAGTTCAGGTGACATCAGGCAGGAGGCCCAACAGAGGCTGGCGCCCCCTTTCCTCAGTATAGCAGAGCTTAAGCAACATCTCTTTGTCAAGACCCAGGTCAACACAACTCATATTTATTGAGCATCTACTATACACAAGGCCCTGGGCCAGGAGCTGTAAGGGCAAGGATGTCCAGCCTCTGGTCTTTTCTCTCCCCAACCTGAGGATCAAGAGGGCACCTCTGCTACTTTCTAAGCCTCCTGCCTTGGGGAGTCCTTCCTGGGCTCAGCTTGTGCCTCCCGCCCCCATTTTGCTTATTGTCTGACACTGTCTCTAGGACCCTAGACAGAGCCCCGGATTGCTCTTCTCCAGTCCTCCCCCGACTCCCATGCTATCTGAGCCCACCCCTTTGGGGTGTCTCTGGGACCGTGGACACCTGAGGACTGAAGTTCTGTGGATCTCCTCCCCTCCCCTCAGATCTCAGCTTGGGGTTTGGCACAGCCAGGGCCCCTTCCCCAGTGTGGGAGTGGAAGAAACCACCTGTGCTTCCCTCACAGTTGCTGGGCCTAAATTTAGATCCTGGGATTTTTAGATGTGAACACTCCCAGCTGGTGGAGGGGGGTGGTCTGGGGACTGGCGTGGGAGGGAGCAGTGGAGTGACTGTATAACTGTCCCATCCAGACTCCTGCAATCTTCACCCAGAAACCCAGGAGTACCAGAGTCTGGCCACCCTCCCTGGGGAGGCAGGAGGCAGGCATGGTTGGGTCTCTTTACCCTTTATCTGGGTCCTGCAGCCTCTGGGCATCCGGCCCTGTCTCAGTCCTTCTATAGCCCCTTTGTCCTGGCTGTGATGGGGGTGGGGGATGTTGGAGGGGAGGCCTCTGGTTGAGGAGGGGCTGGAGATTCTGGCTCTATCCCACCCCTAGTGCTCTCTACCAAAGGAGGGCCTGTGACACTGCCCCTCCCTATGCTCCCGGTTCCTGGGTACAGCAGGGATTTTTATGATTCCCTTCCCCTGCCCTGCTCCCCAAGCTGCCTAGCTCCTCCCCAGAGGTGTTGTTTGTGCTCCCTTCCTGCCCAGGCCCTTTGCCCCCTGTTTGTGTAATATGGACTTTACCCTCAGGGTAGCAGGGAACTGGGCTACCTCTAACACTGTAGCCTTCCAAGCACAGACACAAAGTCTGCACAAACACTTATGGGCACGTGGGATAGATGGGGCCACCTGAAATACTTCCTGCAAGGAAACCCAACTATAGATTCCTGAGCCAGCAGGACCAATGTGTACGTGTTCGTGTGTACATTGTGTGTGTATGTGTGTGCCCACACTACTACTTCCCTGTGCAGAAAGCTTGGCTCCTCCCTTATCTGGGGAGAAGTGTTGGCACTATAACTTGGGAAAGGGGGTATCCTGCCAGGAAGGGGATTGGGGTGGGGCTGTTCCAGAAATGACTAACCTTCCTAGTCTCTTTCATTTCAACCCAAGGACCCTGGAGTTCCCAGCTCCTCTGGAACTAGCTCTCTTTGCTGGGACTAGCCAACCTTCATGGGGAGTGATAAGGAGCCCTCCAAGGTCAAGAAGTCAGACTAGGGGTGTATGTTATAGGAGGGATTGGGGCCTCACCAGTCTCCCTCCCTCCATTCCCACTGTTGCCTCCCACTGAGCTACCACCGCCTCAGGGAAGGGTGGCTGGAACAGGTGGTATCTACCCCCTACTCCCCACCCCACACATGGTCTTTCCCTGAACCAGAGGAAAGAGACTGGGGTAGGGCTTCAGAGTCCAGGACTTCCCATAGCCCGTTGTCCACCACATTTGCAAAGAAGAGTGAACTCCCAAGGCTGACATGCCATGTACCTCTAGTCTAGGCTCTCCCCTAGTGTGGGTGAGGATTGCCATGGTGAAAGGCTTTTTCATGAACCTCTTCTAACAATGAAATTGTGTGGAGGCTCAATATGGGGCATCTGCTACTATCTCTCTCCAGGTTCCTCTGTATTTGCTGAAAAATACTCTAGGGCTGGAAAGTGATGCTGAGGTTGCTAGAGTGTGTTGGGATGGGGGAGAGAGTGAGAAGGAAACCCTGAGTTTAGGAAGGCGGGGAGGCAACTAGCTCCTTATCTTTCAGCTTTAAAGACAAAGCTCCCATTGACCCCCCCTCACCCCAGCACTGCCAGAGCTCCCCCCTCTACTGAGGTCACTTGTCTGAGCCCAAGGCTTGAGGGTGGAGGGGAGTGCTGCTGAGGACGGGGTGTCTAGGGACAGGGTGGGGCAGCCCCCCTCCTGGATAGAATCGCCTCATTGTGGGCTGGACTGTGGCCCCAGGCACTGCCCCCACCCTCTGCCCCCATCCCACCCTCAGTAGACACAATAGGGGCTGTGTACTAGTCCCAAAGAGATATTTATTCCAGGACCTAGAGAGAGGCAGGATGAGGGTAGAGAAGTGAGTGCCCTAGTTGGAGGGGGAGAGGAGGGTAATCAAAGTTGCGGCCTTTTCCTAACTTCTCTTTTCTAGGGAGAGAAACAAATTCCCTGTCTTCCTTCTCAGTTAACCCCTTAGTACCCAAAAGAAGCACAGAGGGGTCCCAGGTTGAAAAAGGAAATCTTTTCACCTTCCCATTCATGGAATGGTAAGGGGATTCTGAGAAGAGAGAAAGCTCTCAGGCCACTACAGCTTCTGCCTATCGCTTGTGGGAGGGTTGGAGGCAAATGCCATCTGATCCTGTCTAATGTAACTGGAAGAGGGCAACCAAGGGGGTGATCTTTGGGGATGGCAGATGGGCTGAGAATTTGTGTCCAGCCCTCAGCCACTCTTCCCTCTGCTTTGAACAGTGTGTCCTGGGACTCTGAATGGCCTGAGTGTGACCGGCGATGCTGAGAACCAATACCAGACACTGTACAAGCTCTACGAGAGGTGTGAGGTGGTGATGGGGAACCTTGAGATTGTGCTCACGGGACACAATGCCGACCTCTCCTTCCTGCAGGTTAGTGAGCCCACCCTCCTTCCTCAACCTGCTCCTCTTTATTCTCCCCTAGAACCCTCCTTCCTTCTTCAGGGCTACCTTCTGCTGGAGTTCACCCTTCCTAAGACTCAGGAGTTCCTAAGATTCAAAACCGTGTATTTATGGGGACAGTGGCTGTCATCTGGGACCTATGGTCTCACTGTTGTAGCCAGGGATATATAGGGGGCAGGGTCAGGGGCAGGTGGTGTTCTGTGGATAGTGCAAGGTCAGCAGGGACTAGTGCAGAGAGAAACCTGAGGACCAAGAGGTTACCTGGGGAGATGAGGAAGGGGCCCTACTGGTATGAGGCACTTTGAGGAGAAAGCTGCCTGTCTTCACTCCCAGAAGTGACACAGCAGTGTGACACAGTCTACTCCCTACTCCCAAATAGGAATTAGCAAGAGTTAAGGCCAGGTGCAGTGGCTCATGCCTGTAATCCCAGCACTTTGGGAGGCCAAGGAAGGCAGATCACTTGAGGTCAGGAGTTCAAGACCAGCCTGGGCAATGTGGTGAAACGCTGTCTCTACAAAAATACAAAAATTAGCTGGGTATGGTGGCATGCACCTGTAGTCCCAGCTACTTGGAGGGCTGAGGTGGGAGGATTGCTTGAGCCCAGGAGTTTGACGCTGCAGTGAGCGAGATTGTGCCACTCGTAACAGAGCGAGACCCTGTCTCACCAAAAAAAAAAAAAAAGGCCAAGCTCGGATCACCTGAGGTCAGGAGTTCGAGACCAGCCTGACCAACATGGAAAAACCACATCTCTACTAAAAATACAAAATTAGCCAGGTGTAGTGGCACATGCCTGTAATCCCAGCTACTTGGGAGGCTGCGGCAGGAGAATTGCTTGAACCCGGGAGGTGGAGGTTGTGGTGAGCCAAGATCGCACTATTGTACTCCAGCCTGGGCAACAAGAGCGTAACTCCGTCTCAAATTTTAAAAAAAAGAAAAAAAGAAAGGAAAGAAAGAAGGAAGAATTAAAACAGTTAAAGAGTCTTTAATGCCTGAAGGAGGAGAGGAGATTGAGATTATTTTGCCCTGTTGTCTCTCTCATTTACATAATCTGCTCTGTCACAGTGGATTCGAGAAGTGACAGGCTATGTCCTCGTGGCCATGAATGAATTCTCTACTCTACCATTGCCCAACCTCCGCGTGGTGCGAGGGACCCAGGTCTACGATGGGAAGTTTGCCATCTTCGTCATGTTGAACTATAACACCAACTCCAGCCACGCTCTGCGCCAGCTCCGCTTGACTCAGCTCACCGGTCAGTTCCCGATGGTTCCTTCTGGCCTCACCCCTCAGCCAGCCCAAGACTGGTACCTCCTTGATGATGACCCAAGACTGCTCACTCTAAGTGCCTCTTCCAAGGTGCCTGTCACCTTGGCCGCTGTCTAAAGGTCCATTGCTCCCTAAGCAATAGAGGGCCCCCAGTAGGGGGAGCTAGGGGCATCTGCTCCAGGGAAAGGAACCCTGTGTCCTTGTGGGGCTGGAGTCAGAGCTGGATCTGTTAACCGTTTTTCTAATTTCAAAGTACAGTGTACCGGAGGCCAGGCCTGATGGCTTACACCTGTAATCCCAGCATTTTGGGAGGCCAAGGAGGGCAGATCACTTGAGATCAGGAGTTTGAGACCAGCCTGGCCAACATGGCGAAACCCTGTCTCTACTAAAAATACAAAAAAATAAAATAAAATAAAAAATTAGCTGGCTATAGTGGTGCGCACCTGTAATCCCAGCTGTTCATGAGGCTGAGGCAGGAGACTCGCTTGAACCTGGGAGGTGGAGGTTGCAGTGAGCTGAGATTGCACCACTGCACTCTAGCGTAAGTGACAGTGAGACTCCGTCTCAAAAAAAAAAAAAAAAAAAAAAAAAAGCCTGGGCGCGGTGGCTCACGCCTGTAATCCCAGCACTTTGGGAGGCCAAGGCAGGTGGATCACAAGGTCAGGAGATCGAGACCATCCTGGCTAACACGGTGAAACCCCGTCTCTACTAAAAATACAAAAAATTAGCCAGGTGTGGTGGCGGGCGCCTGTAGTCCGAGCTACTCGGGAGGCTGAGGCAGGAGAATGGCGTGAACCCGGGAGGCGGAGCTTGCAGTGAGCCAAGATTGCACCACTGCACTCCAGCCTGGGCGACAGAGCGAGACTCCAAAAAAAAAAAAAAAAAAAAAAACCAAAGTACAGTATACCTGGATGTCCCTCCTTCCCTAGGAATTCTACCTTTACTCTCCTAAACCAAACCCCTATGAGCTGGAGGAATATAGGGGTTAAAAACCACCTGTCCATCTTCTGCTTCTCCATGTCCCAGTCAGTTGGAAAACATATGGGCAGGGCTTGGGGGAGGGAATGTTGAGTCAGAAATCTCTCCCTCTCTCCCTTCCCCTCCCCCACTAGCTAAACCGGATCTGGACAGGTGACTGAGGAGGCAGGAGTTTCTTTTGGCCTGACTCCTCATCTTATAAAGGGAGTCTTCTCTGCAGCTTAGATTTAATTGGACCTATCTGTCTGCCTCATTCTCCCACTCCTGAGTCTCAGGTGTCCTTTTGGATGGGTGGAGAGGTAAGGAAGAGGCGTTCCGCTGCGGCCCTTAACCCTGTCACTTCTTTCCCTACCTCAGAGATTCTGTCAGGGGGTGTTTATATTGAGAAGAACGATAAGCTTTGTCACATGGACACAATTGACTGGAGGGACATCGTGAGGGACCGAGATGCTGAGATAGTGGTGAAGGACAATGGCAGAAGCTGTAAGTGGCCGTGATCAAGATTGCTCCCCAGTCCCACCAAACCAGAGTGACTCCCTTCTTTCCATCATCCTTACATTCCTGATCTGAACCCGCCTCCCCAGTGAACAAACACCTCAGGTCCCTGACTCAGCAGCCCACCAGGGCAGACCATTCCAGTCTCCTGGAATCTAAACCACAGAGGAGGTGTTTCAAGAAAAGGAGCAGGCCGAGCATGGTGGCTCATGCCTATAATCCTGGCACTTTGGGAAGCCAAGGTGGGAGGATCGCTTGAGCCCAGGAGTCCAAGACCAGCCTGAGTAACATAGCAAAAAATCTACAAAAAATTAAAAAAATCAGACAGGCGTAGTGGCTCGCACCTGTAATCCCGGCTACTCAGGAGGCTGAGGCAGAGGATTGCTTGAGCCCAGGAGGCTGCAGCTGCAGTGAGCTGTGATTGTGCCATTGTACTCTAGCCTGGGCAACAGAGTGAGACCCTGTCTCAAAAAAAAAAAAAAAAAATCCCTGAGTACTAAGCAGGGAAGCCAGATCTTTAGACTCCACATCTGTTACTCGTTCCACTAGAATATACTCCCATTTCCTTGGAGCCCACCTTCCCCTGACCATTCACATGCATATATTCCTGCATATATTCAGTTTGCCCAGGAGGAACTAAGTTCCTGGGTTGGGACTAGGACTAAGGTTGGCATTTGCCCCAGTCCCTCCCCTTCAGCTGCCCAGTGGGTGGTGTGGAGGCGTGGCCGCGCCCCTTGTTGACAGGTCCACTTGAGCCCAGCCCTGCTCTCCAAGGGCAGGGAGGGACACAGCCCTGGCTTTTTGCTTCCCGGGATTGAGGTGCCTGTGTACTGACATCATACCCCGTTGATTAAAACAAGCCTTTCTTAGCCCTGATGGCCCCTTGTGTTGCCTTCCTTCCCAACCAGGTCCCCCCTGTCATGAGGTTTGCAAGGGGCGATGCTGGGGTCCTGGATCAGAAGACTGCCAGACATGTGGGTTTGAAATTCCCTCCAAAAACTTCACTCATACGCTTTCATATCCCTTCCTCCCCAAGCCTGGGTCAACACTGTGGGGGAGGCATGAGCAGTGGCCTCAGAATTCAGTCCTAGGAGCCCTAACAGCCATGCTTTCTCTCCTTCCATAGTGACCAAGACCATCTGTGCTCCTCAGTGTAATGGTCACTGCTTTGGGCCCAACCCCAACCAGTGCTGCCATGATGAGTGTGCCGGGGGCTGCTCAGGCCCTCAGGACACAGACTGCTTTGTATGTACCCTTTCCATTGCCTGGGTTCTGAAATTGGGATGTGGCCTTTGAGGAGGAGGTAGGGGTACACACGTAACATAAATCTGATGAGCCTCCTTTTTTCCCAGGCCTGCCGGCACTTCAATGACAGTGGAGCCTGTGTACCTCGCTGTCCACAGCCTCTTGTCTACAACAAGCTAACTTTCCAGCTGGAACCCAATCCCCACACCAAGTATCAGTATGGAGGAGTTTGTGTAGCCAGCTGTCCCCGTAAGTGTCTGAGGGGAAGGAACAATGATCAACAATAGTAGATCCAAGATTTTAGACAAAATTGTGGAAGGGAAAAAGAATCCAGTTGGTGATAAATAGGGAGATTGGTGAATGGTTATGATCATCTAACCACTCCAGTGAGTGACCCTTACGTCCAGTCCTCCCATGACTTCAGCTATCACCCTTACTTCTGCTCCTTGTAGCAACAAATAGTGAAGAGACTTTTGAATCTATAGGGCAGCACTTAAGGGATCTAGGGTGGCAGATGGGGACAAATCCAGTGCAGAGCTGGAGGGAGCCTAGGCCCAGAGCAAGGGTTCCATTGGTAGCTGGTGATGTTCCTCCCTCATCTCTAATGGTGTCCTCCTCCTCTTCCCTAGATAACTTTGTGGTGGATCAAACATCCTGTGTCAGGGCCTGTCCTCCTGACAAGATGGAAGTAGATAAAAATGGGCTCAAGATGTGTGAGCCTTGTGGGGGACTATGTCCCAAAGGTGGGTAGGAGATGGTAAGAAGTTGTAAAGAGACAGCCTTTCCTCTGAGCCTGCGCAGACCACCCCCACTGAACCTCTCTTACATTTGCAGCCTGTGAGGGAACAGGCTCTGGGAGCCGCTTCCAGACTGTGGACTCGAGCAACATTGATGGATTTGTGAACTGCACCAAGATCCTGGGCAACCTGGACTTTCTGATCACCGGCCTCAATGGGTTAGAGATCCTGCCTTCCCTCCTTAGACCCCAGCCCACGCACCCCTCACAGTTCATTTCATTGGCCAAAACTTTCCTATGTGGAGCTGACTAGGAATCAAAGTCATAAAATTCTAGCCTGTTACAAAGGACCTGAAAGAATGCTTAACACATCCTCCATCCAGGCCTTCGGTCCCCTCAGGAACATCTTTGAGCAATTCAATATCGCCCTGCCAAGGAACAAGGGACAGGAACAACATATCCTCCTTCTTAAAGTTTTCTTTTTTATTCTTTTTTCTTTTTTGAGATAGGGTCTTGCTCTGTCACCTAGGCTGGAGTGCAGTGGCGTGATCTCGACTCACTGTAGCCTCGACCTCCTGGGCTCAAGTGATCCCAAGTAGCTGGGACTATAGGCACACACCATCATACTTGACTAATTTTTTTGTATTTTTTTGTAGAGACAGGGTCTTGCTATGTTGCCCAGGCTGATCTCGAACTCCTGTGCTCAAGCAATCCTCCCATCTTGGCCTCCCAAAGTGCTAGGGATCACAGCACCCAACCTCCTTCTTAAAGTTTTGTAAAAGTTCTTCCTTAGATTTGGATAAAAATCTGTCTCCAGGCTGGGCCCGGTGGCTCATGCCTATAATCCCAGCACTTTGGGAGGCCGAGGTGGGCGGATTACGAGGTCAGATCGAGACCATCCTGGCTAACATGGTGAAATGCCATCTCTACTAAAAACACAAAAATTAGCTGGGTGTGGTGGTGCACATGCCTGTAATCCCAGCTACTCAGGAGGCTGAGGCACGAGAATCACTTGAACCCAGGAGGCGGAAATTGCAGTGAACCGAGATTACACCACCGCACTCCAGCCTGGCGACAGAGCGAGACTCTTTCTCAAAAAAAAAAAAGAAAAGAAAAGAAAATTCTGTCTCCCCATGACTTTTAGCTGTTTTCACTCATTCTGCTCCTTGGAGCAAAAAGAACAAAGGGACTTTCTAGTCTATAGGACAGCATTTAAAATGTGTGTGTGTGTGTAAAAAAAACCCACTATGACCACCTGTTTTTTTTTTTCCTTTAATTTTTTATTTTGACATAATTTTAGATCTACACTAAAGTTGCAAGAATGGTATAAAATTCCCCATATACTTTTTTTTTTTTTTTAAGACAAAGTCTCACTCTGTTCCCCAGGCTAGAGTGCAGTGGTGCAATCTTGGCTCACTGCAACCTCCGCCTCCTCTGCCTCCCGGGTTCAAGCAATTCTCCTGCCTCAGTCTCCTGAGTAGCTGGAATTATAGGTGTGTGCCATCATGCCCGGCTAATTTTTGTATTTTTAGTAGAGACAGGGTTTCACCATGTAGGCCAGGCTGGTCTCGAACTCCTGACCTCAAGTGATCCACCCGCCCCAGCTTCCCAAAGTGTTGGGATTACAAGTGTGAGCCACCGCGTCTGGCCCCCCATACACTCTTTTACCCAGATCCTCCAAATGTTAACATACCACATATGGCCGGGCACAGTGGCTCATGCCTATAATCCCAGCACTTTGGGAGGCTGAGGCAGGTGGATCACTAGGTGTGGATCACGAGGTCAAGAGATTGAGACCATCCTGGCCAACATGGTGAAACCTCATCTCTACTAAAAATACAAAAATTAGCTGGGCGTGGTGGTGTGCGCCTGTAGTCCCAGTTACTCAGGAGGCTGAGGCAGGAGAATAGCTTGAACCTGGCAGGCAGAGGTTGCAGTGAGCCGAGATCGCGGCACTGCACTCCAGCCTGGTGAAAGAGCGAGACTCTGTCCCCCGCCAAAAAAAATACCACATACGCTTTATCACTTCTCTCTCTCTCTGTCTCTCTCTACACACACACACACACACACAAAACACATGCTATTGTTTTTCTGGACCACGTGAGGGTAAATTTTCACACATGGTTCTTTCTTACCCCTGTTATATTTCAGCGTATATTCCTTAAAAATAATATTTTCTTACATAACCACAGCATAGTTGTTTGAATCGGAAAATTAACATTAACACAAAATATTATCTAAGCTACAGACCTTATTCAGATTTCACTAATTGTCCTCCTAAGGTTTGGGATCATACATTACATTCAGTTATCGTGGCACTTCAATCTCCTTTATAACAGCTCCTCAGGTTTTGTTTATCTTTCATGATATTCTTGATGAGTATAGATTAGGTAATGGGCAGCATGTTCTTCAGTTTGGATTAGTTTGATGTGTCCTCATGATTAGATTCAAGTTTTTGTAGTTTTTTTTTGAGACAAGGTCTGGCTCTATTGCCCAGGCTGGAATACAGTGGCATGATCTCAGCTCACTGCAACCTCTGCCTCCCGTGCTCAAGCGAGCACCTCAGCCCCCTGAGTAGCTGGGATTACAGGTGCATGCCACCATGCTTGGCTAATTTTATATATATATATATATATATATATATATAAATAATATATATAAATATAAATATATATATATAAATAATATATATAAATATATATAAACATAAATATTATATACTATTTATATATTTATATATGTGTGTGTATATATATATATATTTTTTTTTTTTTTTGAGACGGAGTCTCGCTCTTGTTGCCCAGGCTGGAGTGCAGTGGCGTGATCTCAGCTCACGCAACCTCCACCTCTCAGGTTCAAGCCATTCTCTATAGAGACAGGGTTGCACCATGTTGTCCAGGATGGTCTCGAACTCATGAGCTCAAGTGATCCTCCTGTCTCAGCCTCCCAAAGTGCTGGGATTATAGGCATGCGCCGCTGCCAGGCTGGAGTTTGATAAGAACACCACAGAGGCTGTGAGCTCAGGGCATCCTATTGAGGATGTACGTGATGTTGATTTGTCCCAGCACTCACAATGATGTCTCTGGTCACTTAGTTAAGGTGATATCTGTCAGGTTTTTCTACTGTAAAGTTACTATTTTTCCATTCACAATTAATGAATGTCTTGGGATAATTGCCTGAATCAATTATTGTTATGATAGTTGCCAAATGATAATTTTCTAATTCCATTATTCCTTCTGCATTTGTTTGTTGGCATTCTACTGTTAGGAAGAGTCTTTCCAGCTGAGCACAGTGGCTTATGCCTGTAATCTCAGCCCTTTGGGAGCCAGTGGGAAAATTGCTTGGGCCCAGGAGTTCAAGGTTACAGTGAGCTATGATGGCACTACTGCTCTCCAGCCAGTGCACTCACTCTGCACAACAGAGTGAGACCCTGTCTCTTAAAAAAAAAAAAAAAAAAAGGCCAGGTGCAGTGGCTCATGCCTGTAATTCCAGCACTTTGGGAGGCCGAGGCGGGCGGATCACAAGGTCAGGAGTTCAAGACCAGCCTGGCCAGCATGGTGAAACCCTGTCTCTACTAAAAATACAAAAAATTAGCCAGGCATGGTGGTGTGCTCCTGTATTCCCAGCTACTTAGGAAGCTGAGGCAGGAGAATCACTTGAACCCAGGAGGTGGAGGTTGCAGTGAGCTGAGATTGCTGCCACTGTACTCCAGCCTGGGCGATAGAGCAAGACTCTGTCTCAAAAAAAAAAAAAAAAAAAAAAAAAAAAAAAGGTCTTCCTTTCCTATTTACTCTTATGGATACTTATTTTATTCTAGTCAATGGTTATAATCCTTTACAATCATTATTTATTTTAGCCAGCCCCTCCAAGTTGGCTCCTGTGTTCTTTGGGCTGTACCCTTAATTCTTTGAGTCTTGTCTTGTTTGCACAAGATGCTCTGGGCTTATATTATATTTCCCCCATCCCAGCCATTTCTCCAAGGAATGTTTCCTTTTAGTGGAGAATGATATTTAGAAACCAAATGCTGAGGCTGGGTGTGCTCATTGCCATTGAGTTATACCTTTACCTTATTGACTGGTTTCTACTGTTCTATTCAGAGACCCCTGGCACAAGATCCCTGCCCTGGACCCAGAGAAGCTCAATGTCTTCCGGACAGTACGGGAGATCACAGGTGAGTGGCAGAGAGTTTGCCCTTTCTAGAAGAATAGGTGAACCACTGGCATAAATTGCGGTAT
The DNA here is from genome assembly GCF_000001405.40 of Homo sapiens. Taxonomy (NCBI): domain Eukaryota; kingdom Metazoa; phylum Chordata; class Mammalia; order Primates; family Hominidae; genus Homo; species Homo sapiens. Next base: position 56,092,885 of record NC_000012.12, read on the forward strand.
AACTACTTGAGAAAATCACGTCCCAAGTTATAGGGGAGGAGCCAGGAGAACCCAAGAAAGAAGAAGGCTCCCTGCCCATATGCCTCTCTCCAACCCCTCAGGTTACCTGAACATCCAGTCCTGGCCGCCCCACATGCACAACTTCAGTGTTTTTTCCAATTTGACAACCATTGGAGGCAGAAGCCTCTACAAGTGAGTAAAGGGTATGGAGGAAATGGCATCTTCAGGCAATGAAGCCTGTGTCATAGGCATTCTTTAGTAAAATACAAGGCACTGTCTCATACAGCAGTGCCTCAAAACCAAAGGGTTTCAGAGTTTCACGAGGAAAAGGCAAAAGGAGGGGGATTCCCTCTCAGTGGATCTGACTAGCACTGAGCAAATTTCTTGACTAACATGAATCCTTTGAATAGTTAATGTTCCCTTAGTAGTCTCTCCTCTCATCCTGTCTCCTTATTCTCAGCCGGGGCTTCTCATTGTTGATCATGAAGAACTTGAATGTCACATCTCTGGGCTTCCGATCCCTGAAGGAAATTAGTGCTGGGCGTATCTATATAAGTGCCAATAGGCAGCTCTGCTACCACCACTCTTTGAACTGGACCAAGGTGCTTCGGGGGCCTACGGAAGAGCGACTAGACATCAAGCATAATCGGCCGCGCAGAGACTGCGGTGAGGGAAAGGGTCTGCTAGGTGGTGAGAATAGGGAGTCAGGGAGGAGAGGGCTGAAAGGACTATTCTGCCCTAGACGTGGGAGTAGGGTTGAGGGATGGAACCAAGGAGAAGGGGGCTGTTAGGCTGGAAGCAGTAACGAGGAAGAATAATGAAGAGAGGGCTTGCTGGGAGTCCTCAGACTCCTCTCCTAACCCACCCCTTCCTTTCCAGTGGCAGAGGGCAAAGTGTGTGACCCACTGTGCTCCTCTGGGGGATGCTGGGGCCCAGGCCCTGGTCAGTGCTTGTCCTGTCGAAATTATAGCCGAGGAGGTGTCTGTGTGACCCACTGCAACTTTCTGAATGGGTACAGTAAGGGGAGCCAGTCAAGGATGGGTGGGGGTGGGGCCCTGCAATGGAACTGTTCAGGTGGCATACAATAAAAGTCTTTAGACAGCTTTCTGCATGTGCCTTGGTGGGATTGAGGTAGGAGACCTGTGGTTGTGAGATCGGAGCATGAAGGTCAGGACTTGGAAGTGACCCCCCCCTCCCTTTATTCCCCACTACAGGGAGCCTCGAGAATTTGCCCATGAGGCCGAATGCTTCTCCTGCCACCCGGAATGCCAACCCATGGAGGGCACTGCCACATGCAATGGCTCGGTATACTAGTAGCACCAGGATCTCCAAGGGAGACAGAGAAGGGGCAATACTTGGAGCATCTGGGGAATGATATGGCTAAGGATAGCACAGAGAGGCCAGATAATGCTAGGGCCTGCAGATAGAAGATCCTGAATGTCTGGGTTGGTCTTTGCTGGGAGGTATGGAATTGACCTTGGGATCTGATTCTTCCTGACCTTCTCTCTTCCACTCAGGGCTCTGATACTTGTGCTCAATGTGCCCATTTTCGAGATGGGCCCCACTGTGTGAGCAGCTGCCCCCATGGAGTCCTAGGTGCCAAGGGCCCAATCTACAAGTACCCAGATGTTCAGAATGAATGTCGGCCCTGCCATGAGAACTGCACCCAGGGGTCAGTGATGGGATAATAAGGAGAGGGGGTCAGGTGGAAGGGTAGGAGCACAGAACTAGAGTGAGGGAAGCAGAAAGAAGAGAGAGGCTGTGATTCAAGAATCACTCCCAGCTGGCCGGGCGCAGTGGCTCACACCTGTAATCCCAGCACTGTGGGAGGCCGAGGTGGGTGGATCACCTGAGGTCGGGAGTTCGAGACCAGCCTGACCAATATGGAGAAACCCTGTCTCTACCAAAAATTTAAAATTAGCCCGGCGTGGTGGCGCATGCCTGTAATCCCAGCTACGCGGGAGGCTGAGGCAGGAGAATTTCTTGAACCCAGGAGGCAGAGGTTGCGGTGAGCTGAGATTGCATCATTGTACTCCAGCCTGGGCAACAAGAGTGAAACTCTGTCTCAAAAAAAAAAAAAGAATCACTCCCAGCTGTGTAGCGAAGGATTGGAGAAAGGGAAAATCAGTAACAGCACAAAATTACACCACAGTTTTGGGAACCTGGAATAACCTCAGTTCAAGGGAGTTTCACAGAAGAGGGGCTTGGGGAGAGCTAGTGAGCTGGAGGTGGAGGCCATGTCTTGGGATCAGCTCTGGGCTCCAGGATGGGATGCCACGGTAAGTTCTGAAACAAGCTTTTATATGTTAGGCTGTTGAAATTGAGCCTCTGCTGTCCAAGCTCTCATTTAAGGTGGTGACTTTCTTCCCTAGGTGTAAAGGACCAGAGCTTCAAGACTGTTTAGGACAAACACTGGTGCTGATCGGGTATGATGGGGTTGGAGATTCTGGAAACTGGGGATATTTGGGAGTTGGGAGAGAGGTGGTTACCTGGAGAGAAGAGGGAGGCTGTCTTCATTCTGGCCTTTTATGTATGCAGTCCACTATCACTGGACACTTGGGACTCAAGAATGCAGGCTTCTGGACTTCCCTTCCTAAAATTAACTTTCAGTAGTCTAAGACTGGTCCAGATTTAGGTTGGTCCCTTCAGTGCTTAAGGATATATATGTGAATGTTAATTTCTTGCCCCAGGTCAGCATCATACCTTCAACACAAGTATAGTTGACATTTGTAAGGAAGATGCAAACCCAGGATAATGTTGGGTTTCTATATATCCCATAGCAAAACCCATCTGACAATGGCTTTGACAGTGATAGCAGGATTGGTAGTGATTTTCATGATGCTGGGCGGCACTTTTCTCTACTGGCGTGGGCGCCGGATTCAGAATAAAAGGGCTATGAGGCGATACTTGGAACGGGGTGAGGTGAGTACTTAGCTTACTTTTGTTTTTTCTTTTCTTTTTTTGCATGTCCTGGAAGTCTCTTTATAGCTTAATTTTGAGTGGTACCCTGTGCACCCAGGGGTCAGTGATGGGATAAATGTCACTCCCCTCCTCTTTCCCCAGAGATTTGATCCCTTTCTTCAAGGAAGTAGTGTGGTCCCCTAGAAGAACACTGGTCAGAGAAATGGGAGGCATGCATTCTAGTCCTGATTTTGCCATTAATTTGCCACATGACTTTGAAGAAGTTACTTATCTTCTCTGTGCCTCGGTTTATGCATCTATACAGAGGAAATAACATTTGTCCTTCCAGGATGGCTGTAAGGGTAAAGGGGGATGATGTATGTGAAAGTGCTTTGGAAAGCACAGAGCACTGTATAAAAGGTACTCAAGGTGGTAATAGTACTACCAACTCTCCCTAGCTGTCCCCTTCCCCACTTTGTGCTCCTCCATCAAAGGGAAAACCCAACCCCTTTGATTCCTGATCTCATGAGCACAAATAACTTCCTCAGTTCTCAGGGTCTGTACCTCAATATGCCTATAATCCATTCCAGGACTAACGGTGCTTCCTCTTCCTGCCCTTTCAGCTGTGCTGCTTTTGGCATTCACCTATGAGGAGCGGGTTGGAGTGGGACATGGGAATGGCCTTTCCTGAGTAACTCCTTCCCATTTGCTCCTCAGAGCATAGAGCCTCTGGACCCCAGTGAGAAGGCTAACAAAGTCTTGGCCAGAATCTTCAAAGAGACAGAGCTAAGGAAGCTTAAAGTGCTTGGCTCGGGTGTCTTTGGAACTGTGCACAAAGTGAGTGACCCATAGGAATTCTGGAGAGGTGGGGAAGGCATCTAGGGCAAAGGGGTGAAAGATTTTTGCATAGGATTGACCTAGGGAGAATGACCTTATGCCAACTCCTGCCCCAAACTTCCCAGGGAGTGTGGATCCCTGAGGGTGAATCAATCAAGATTCCAGTCTGCATTAAAGTCATTGAGGACAAGAGTGGACGGCAGAGTTTTCAAGCTGTGACAGATGTAAGTGAAGGAAATTCTGTATGCCGCTAGGAGAGAGGACAATATTAGATACAATCATGTAGAAGCAGGGTCCTGTGCTTCTCAGCAGCTACTATGTTAGCCAGAATGTTGGGGGTGGGGGGGCCTGGGCTGGCTGTGCACATGCTGAGTGTATGTGAACCTGTTGGTTTCCTAGATAATACCTTTTGTGTCTCTTAGCATATGCTGGCCATTGGCAGCCTGGACCATGCCCACATTGTAAGGCTGCTGGGACTATGCCCAGGGTCATCTCTGCAGCTTGTCACTCAATATTTGCCTCTGGGTTCTCTGCTGGATCATGTGAGACAACACCGGGGGGCACTGGGGCCACAGCTGCTGCTCAACTGGGGAGTACAAATTGCCAAGGTGAGAGAAGCCTGGAGGAATTCTGTGATAAGAACTGCTTGTCTGGGGGCCAGCCAGGAAAAAGTGAGAAGGTTGAAGTTCTGAGAGGTGAGGTCCCCAACCCCCGGGCTGCAGACTGGTACCAGTCCATGGCCTGTTAGGAACCAGGCCACAGAGCATGTGAGCGGCAGGCAAGCGAGTGAAGCTTCATCTGTATTTACAGTCAGTCCCCATCACTTGCATTACCGCCCGAGTTCCGCCTCCTGTCAGATCAGGGGCAGCATTAGATTCTCTTAGGAGCTTGACTTCTATTGTGAACTGTGCATGTGAAGGATCTAGGTTGTGCACTCCTTATGAGAATCTAACTAATGCCTGATGATCTGAGGTGGAAAAATTTCATCCCAAAACCAACCCTCCCCTTCCCCTGGAAAAACTGTCTTCCACAAAACCAGTCCCTGGTGCCAAAAAAGGTTGGGGACCACTGCTGAGAGGTACCTTCAAGATTTGGGGGAATTCCAGATCTCAGTGACTGATTCCCCCAACCTTAAGAATACTTTCTTCCCCTATACCTACAGGGAATGTACTACCTTGAGGAACATGGTATGGTGCATAGAAACCTGGCTGCCCGAAACGTGCTACTCAAGTCACCCAGTCAGGTTCAGGTGGCAGATTTTGGTGTGGCTGACCTGCTGCCTCCTGATGATAAGCAGCTGCTATACAGTGAGGCCAAGGTGAGGAGACACAAAGGGTAAGGAGGCGGGGGTGGAGTGAAGCATGGGGATAGGGAGCAGCCAGTGGTCTCTTCCAGAGGCAAGCAGATGCTTCATGGTAAGTTCAAGGAGAGAAGGCTGCAGATGCCAGATATTTTAGTTCAGAGGGCAACAAATAAAATAATGATCAAGAACTTGGGACTGGCCGGGCGCGGTGGCTCACGCCTGTAATCCCAACACTTCGGGAGGCCAAGGCGGGTGGATCACAAGGTCAGGAGATCAAGACCATCCTGGCTAGCACGGTGAAACCCCGTCTCTACTAAATATACAAAAAAAAAAAAAATTAGCCAGGCGTGGCGGCATGCATCTGTACTCCCAGCTACTCGGGAGGCTGAGGCAGGAGAATGGCGTGAACCCAGGAGGCGGAGCTTGCAGTGGGCCGAGATCGCACCACTGCACTCCAGTCTGGGCGACAGAGCGAGACTCCGTCTCAAAAAAAAAAAAAAAAGAATTTGGGACTTGGAAATCCTAAGAAAATTTGTGGAAATAAACTTGTGATACCTCTATCTTTAATCCGCAGACTCCAATTAAGTGGATGGCCCTTGAGAGTATCCACTTTGGGAAATACACACACCAGAGTGATGTCTGGAGCTATGGTCAGTGCATCTGGATGCCCTCTCTACCATCACTGGCCCCAGTTTCAAATTTACCTTTTGAGACCCCCTCTTAGAATCTCTAAGCACTTCAGATTTTTGTGTTAGATCAGGTTCTGCCTTCCCTTCACTTCATGCCCATGTCTACTATTTTGCCAGTGACTAGTCCATGTCTTCCTGCAACAGGTGTGACAGTTTGGGAGTTGATGACCTTCGGGGCAGAGCCCTATGCAGGGCTACGATTGGCTGAAGTACCAGACCTGCTAGAGAAGGGGGAGCGGTTGGCACAGCCCCAGATCTGCACAATTGATGTCTACATGGTGATGGTCAAGTGTGAGTTACCTGCTGAGCCCAACCATTTTCTCTTTTTTTCTTTTTTTTTCTTTTTTTTTTTTTTTTGAGACAGAGTCTCACAATTGTCACCCAGGCTGGAGTGCAATGGTGCAATCAATCTTGGCTCACTACAACCTCCGCCTCTCGGGTTCAAGAGATTCTCCTGCTTCAGCCTCCGGAGTAGCTGGGATTACAGGCGCCCGCCACACCTGGATAACTGTTACACTTTTAGTAGAGATGGGGTTTCACCATGTTGGCCAGGCTGGTCTCAAACTCCTGACCTCAGGTGATCCGCCTGCCTCAGCTTCCCAAAGTGCTGGGATTACAGGTGTGAGCCATCATGCTCGGCCTGACTGCAGCCATTTTCTGACTTCCCTCTGTACTCCTCTTATGGCTCTATTCCTTTTTTTTTTATGGAGTCTCGCTCTGTTGCCCATACTGGAGTGCAGTAGCGTGACCTTGGCTCACCGTGACCTCCACGTTCCAGGTTTAAGTTCTTCTGTCTCAGCCTCCCAGATAGCTGGGACTTTAGGCGTGCACCACCACGCCCAGCTAATTTTTTTTTGTCTTTTTAGTAGAGATGGGGTTTCACTATGTTGGCCAGGCTGGTCTCAAAGTCCCGACCTCAGGTGATCCACCCGCCTTGGCCTCCCAAAGTGCTGGGATTATAGGTGTGAGCCACCGCGCCCGGCCATGGAATGTATTCTCTTTTATGTCTCTACCTCCTACATCTTATCTCCAGGTTGGATGATTGATGAGAACATTCGCCCAACCTTTAAAGAACTAGCCAATGAGTTCACCAGGATGGCCCGAGACCCACCACGGTATCTGGTCATAAAGGTGAGTAGGGAGTAGGAGGTGCTAAGGAAATTTAGAAAAAGGAGGAGTTGGCTGGAACCAGGATTCCCCCTAACAATCACCTATCGATATAGAGAGAGAGTGGGCCTGGAATAGCCCCTGGGCCAGAGCCCCATGGTCTGACAAACAAGAAGCTAGAGGAAGTAGAGCTGGAGCCAGAACTAGACCTAGACCTAGACTTGGAAGCAGAGGAGGACAACCTGGCAACCACCACACTGGGCTCCGCCCTCAGCCTACCAGTTGGAACACTTAATCGGCCACGTGGGGTAAGACAACTTCTAATTACCCAACACTTTGCACCCTGAGCCCTCACAAACCCTACAGATACCCAGATTAACTACTCAAAGGCCCCCATGGTGAATGTAGATTTCTCCCTTCATCTTAACCTTTTCCTTATTTTTTCATCCTAGAGCCAGAGCCTTTTAAGTCCATCATCTGGATACATGCCCATGAACCAGGGTAATCTTGGGGAGTCTTGCCAGGTAAGTTCTGTTGCTGAGAGGCTGGGTTTTAGGATCAGATTGATACGAGTAGTATGGAAGACATTAGAAACCTCTGAGGTTTAATCAGTGTCCTGCAAAAAAGAAGGCAGTGAGGGCCGGGCGAGTTGGCTCACACCTGTAATCCCAGCACTTTGGGAGGCCAGAGAGAGTGGATCACCTGAGGTTAGGAGTTTGAGACCAGCCTGGCCAACATGGTGAAACCCCGTCTCTACCCAAAATACAAAAATTAGCTGGGTGTGGTGGTGCACACCTGTAATCACAGCTACTCAGGAGGCTGAGACAGGAGAATCGCTTGAACCCGGGAGGCAGAGGTTGCAGTGAGCTGAGATTGTACCACTGCACTCCAGCCTGGGTGACAGAGCAAGACCCTGTCTCTTAAAAAAAAAAAAAAAAGGCCAGGTGCGGTGGCTCACGCCTGTAATCCTAGCACTTTGGGAGGCCGAGGTGGGCGGATCATGAGGTCAGGAGTTCGAGACCAGCCTGACCAACATGGCAAAACCCTGTCTGTACTAAAAATACAAAAACTAGCTGCACATGATGGCAGGTGCCTGTAATCCCAGCTACTCGGGAGGCTGAGGCAGGAGAATCACTTGAACAGGGAAGCAGAGGCTGCAGTGAGCCAAGATAATGCCACTGCACTCCAGCCTGGGCGACAAGAACAAGACTCCACCTCAAAAAAAAAAAAAAAAAAAAAAAAAGGCAGTGAACAACCCAATATCCTTCTAAACAAATCTCTCTTCTTTCCTCATCATGTAAATTTCCTTGCATTATTTTCTGTTTATTTTCTTCCTTAGGAGTCTGCAGTTTCTGGGAGCAGTGAACGGTGCCCCCGTCCAGTCTCTCTACACCCAATGCCACGGGGATGCCTGGCATCAGAGTCATCAGAGGGGCATGTAACAGGCTCTGAGGCTGAGCTCCAGGAGAAAGTGTCAATGTGTAGGAGCCGGAGCAGGAGCCGGAGCCCACGGCCACGCGGAGATAGCGCCTACCATTCCCAGCGCCACAGTCTGCTGACTCCTGTTACCCCACTCTCCCCACCCGGGTTAGAGGAAGAGGATGTCAACGGTTATGTCATGCCAGATACACACCTCAAAGGTGCCTGACTCTTCCTAGGGCTTTCCTCAATTTTTCCTCGAATTCTTTCCCCGGGCTCCTCTTTTTTCTTCTCTGATCATATGCCTCTCTGTCCTATTAATTTTTTCAAACTTTCCCCTACCCTCATGAAGTTCTTCACATACCTAGCCTTTCTTCTCAACCCCCAGGTACTCCCTCCTCCCGGGAAGGCACCCTTTCTTCAGTGGGTCTCAGTTCTGTCCTGGGTACTGAAGAAGAAGATGAAGATGAGGAGTATGAATACATGAACCGGAGGAGAAGGCACAGTCCACCTCATCCCCCTAGGCCAAGTTCCCTTGAGGAGCTGGGTTATGAGTACATGGATGTGGGGTCAGACCTCAGTGCCTCTCTGGGCAGCACACAGAGTTGCCCACTCCACCCTGTACCCATCATGCCCACTGCAGGCACAACTCCAGATGAAGACTATGAATATATGAATCGGCAACGAGATGGAGGTGGTCCTGGGGGTGATTATGCAGCCATGGGGGCCTGCCCAGCATCTGAGCAAGGGTATGAAGAGATGAGAGCTTTTCAGGGGCCTGGACATCAGGCCCCCCATGTCCATTATGCCCGCCTAAAAACTCTACGTAGCTTAGAGGCTACAGACTCTGCCTTTGATAACCCTGATTACTGGCATAGCAGGCTTTTCCCCAAGGCTAATGCCCAGAGAACGTAACTCCTGCTCCCTGTGGCACTCAGGGAGCATTTAATGGCAGCTAGTGCCTTTAGAGGGTACCGTCTTCTCCCTATTCCCTCTCTCTCCCAGGTCCCAGCCCCTTTTCCCCAGTCCCAGACAATTCCATTCAATCTTTGGAGGCTTTTAAACATTTTGACACAAAATTCTTATGGTATGTAGCCAGCTGTGCACTTTCTTCTCTTTCCCAACCCCAGGAAAGGTTTTCCTTATTTTGTGTGCTTTCCCAGTCCCATTCCTCAGCTTCTTCACAGGCACTCCTGGAGATATGAAGGATTACTCTCCATATCCCTTCCTCTCAGGCTCTTGACTACTTGGAACTAGGCTCTTATGTGTGCCTTTGTTTCCCATCAGACTGTCAAGAAGAGGAAAGGGAGGAAACCTAGCAGAGGAAAGTGTAATTTTGGTTTATGACTCTTAACCCCCTAGAAAGACAGAAGCTTAAAATCTGTGAAGAAAGAGGTTAGGAGTAGATATTGATTACTATCATAATTCAGCACTTAACTATGAGCCAGGCATCATACTAAACTTCACCTACATTATCTCACTTAGTCCTTTATCATCCTTAAAACAATTCTGTGACATACATATTATCTCATTTTACACAAAGGGAAGTCGGGCATGGTGGCTCATGCCTGTAATCTCAGCACTTTGGGAGGCTGAGGCAGAAGGATTACCTGAGGCAAGGAGTTTGAGACCAGCTTAGCCAACATAGTAAGACCCCCATCTCTTTAAAAAAAAAAAAAAAAAAAAAAAAAAAACTTTAGAACTGGGTGCAGTGGCTCATGCCTGTAATCCCAGCCAGCACTTTGGGAGGCTGAGATGGGAAGATCACTTGAGCCCAGAATTAGAGATAAGCCTATGGAAACATAGCAAGACACTGTCTCTACAGGGGAAAAAAAAAAAAGAAACTGAGCCTTAAAGAGATGAAATAAATTAAGCAGTAGATCCAGGATGCAAAATCCTCCCAATTCCTGTGCATGTGCTCTTATTGTAAGGTGCCAAGAAAAACTGATTTAAGTTACAGCCCTTGTTTAAGGGGCACTGTTTCTTGTTTTTGCACTGAATCAAGTCTAACCCCAACAGCCACATCCTCCTATACCTAGACATCTCATCTCAGGAAGTGGTGGTGGGGGTAGTCAGAAGGAAAAATAACTGGACATCTTTGTGTAAACCATAATCCACATGTGCCGTAAATGATCTTCACTCCTTATCCGAGGGCAAATTCACAAGGATCCCCAAGATCCACTTTTAGAAGCCATTCTCATCCAGCAGTGAGAAGCTTCCAGGTAGGACAGAAAAAAGATCCAGCTTCAGCTGCACACCTCTGTCCCCTTGGATGGGGAACTAAGGGAAAACGTCTGTTGTATCACTGAAGTTTTTTGTTTTGTTTTTATACGTGTCTGAATAAAAATGCCAAAGTTTTTTTTCAGCTTCCTGTCTGTCAAATGAAGACATTTCGTATGTTAGATAAGAGATCTGCTCCTCAGCAGTGGATACTCACCTTTCTGTGTTCTGACAGTGCTACTCTGTCCCATGCAGCTTTCTCTAGTCCTACTATTACTTCTATTTCTTTAGAACAACCATAGCGCATAGTCCTTTTCATTAAGGGTTTTAGTAGGAATCTACAAGGCAACCAATTGGGAATAACAAAAAGAACCTACGTGCTTTAGGACTTATAAAAAGCCCTATAAGCCCTCCTTCAGAGGCCAAACACTGAAACCTCCAGATGCTTCTGAATTCATTATCTTAGAAAAGTCATCAAATCTTTTTATTTTTTCACGGTAAGAACTCTCAACAAACATGTCTTTCTGAACACTTCCCTTAGGTGCTCCATCCAGGTGCCTGTTATTGGAACAATAAAGTCATGTTACTTCATTAGGAGTCCGGCCTCTAGATTGCGAGGCCTTTAAATGGATGATCCCTCCGGTGTCTGGCTGCCCAGTTAGCCCCCGTTACCAGCACCCTTGGTCTTCTTCCACCTGTCTGCCCCTCCCTGTTCTCCCAGCTTCGGAGGACGACTGGACCGGCTGGGCGGGTTTCGCCAGCCGACCCAGGGATCCGAAGAAGGGCGCACCCAGCCTCCCCGACCTAGGTGTAGACACTGCCCACCCGCTGCGGCTCCACTCTACTCCACCCCTGCCCGCTCGACTTTAAACCTATTTCCCCGCCGTAGCTCCGCCCCTCTCCCCTCAGCCCGCCCCTCTCTGTTACTGGCTCTCGCTCAGCGTTCTCGGTGGAAGTGGTTTTTCCGGGAGAGACCACGCTTCCCCTCAAGCTCCCCAACGGCTCCGCCTTCCCGCCGGAGCCTGACCCTTCCCAGAGTGCCCGGCGATTCCGGCGTGCGAGGCCCTTGGAGGGCAAGGCCCCAGGGCCTGGCTTAGGAGCGCGAGAGGCAGGCTGGGAATTGTAGTTCGAAGGCCCTCGAGAGCGGCTAGAGTCTGGCGGCCGAGAGGACTAGTTGTCCCAGCGTGCCCTGCGCCTCAGCCCGCGCGCTCGCAGCTTCTCGCTCTCGCCTGCCTGCCCGCTCCCTTGCTTGCTCGCGCTTTCGCTCGCCCTCTCCTCGAGGATCGAGGGGACTCTGACCACAGCCTGTGGCTGGGAAGGGAGACAGAGGCGGCGGCGGCTCAGGGGAAACGAGGCTGCAGTGGTGGTAGTAGGAAGATGTCGGGCGAGGACGAGCAACAGGAGCAAACTATCGCTGAGGACCTGGTCGTGACCAAGTATAAGATGGGGGGCGACATCGCCAACAGTGAGTGCGGCCTCGGGGGTCGGGGAATCAAGGCTGATAGGGAAAGGTAACAGGCTGGCCCGGAAGGGGCTGGAGCGGAGGGGTCATGCGGACTGAGCTACTGAGGGGCCCGCACCGGTCCGCTGGGCACGGCGTGGTGGGAAGACCCGGTGTCGCGCCTGGGACCTGAGCGGGCAGGCCCAGGCTGAAGTCTATGGAGGTGCGGGTCGGCGACCAGGATGAGCGCAGAGAGGGGACCCTGGCAGGCTCCGACCCGAGGCCGTTTGTTAGGAGGCAAGACGTGTTTTCTCTTGTTCCTATCCTTCATTCCCGATTATTGCTTCCTCTGATTCTGGCAGCGGCGAGGCCACCTCGAAAAGGAAGCGCCCAGCTATTGGCGACAGAAGTGCCCCTCTGTTTTTGTAGCGTCTCCGGGGCGTCAGGAGCCAAGCCGGCACGTGTTGCTGGGTCCCATTGCGGATGGCTGGCCCCCTTCTTACTCCGCTAGTGTCCCTGACACCAGCTTCCCCACCACCAGCTTCCCCACCACGTGCTTTGCTGGAGCCTTTCCTTCTTTACTTCAGCTCTTACCCTGGTGGGGGCCCCCTTCTACCTTGGGCCAGCTAAGGAGACCGTTGGAGAGCACTCCTGGAGCTTCTAATGCAAGTCTTGGAGATATATATGGCTTTTCTTGAAGTTACTCATTACTACCACCTTTCCAATCTGTGCAGATAGTCTTAGTTAGCATTCACATTTGTTGTTCTCAGTGACTTGACAACTCAAATGTTTTGGGGTCTCCGTCTTATCCCAACTAGGCAAGCTTGTGAACATTACTGGAAAAGGGAGGACTGATTTTAGGATTTTCACAAGTCATCCTTACTCCAGGTGTGCTCTGACGATCTCAGCAGTTGCCTGTCACTCTAGGCAGATGCCACTTTCTCTTTTCTCTCTTTCCAGTTAGCCTTTCCATTTTATTCCAGTTAGGGAGATACAAACTGCTTGTCATTGTGCTTTTAAATGGTTTTAACAGCAAAGATGGTGGGGAACAGGTATTTAGGATGCCTCCCGTCCTGTGGGTGAAAATCTGAGTTTTACCAGCTTTCAAAGAATCACCAAAACTGAGATACCAAAAGTCAAACCTGTGCTTTATATCACAGTGGACATTTAGTATCGTACCCTGGTTTTTGGTGCCTTTTAGTATTTGAGATACTAGTGGTTTGAATCAGAAAATCTCTTACAGTTTATAACTTTGGCCTCATATTTCTTTTAGATAAGCCATGATCCCCCGAAATGAAACCCAGGGACCTTAGATTAAGTTTCCTTGGCTTATGCACTTGTTTATGAGGAAATAAGTCTATATAGATTGAGATTCCTAACACCTAATTAGAGTGTCTGAGAAAGGAATGCGGTAACATTTAACAGTGCATCGGCTTCGAGTCAGCAATTCTGTCTACCTTCTTGTCCCTGATGCCTATAAATTTCATCTAGTCTTTGCGTGTATGTGGGGATACCATGGCAAGAACCCTCTGAAGTTCATAACTCTGTCCTGTCACACCAAAGGTAGCATCTTTGGAAAGTCTGAGGCCTTGCCTAGGGAGATGGATTGTATATACCCAGTTGTCACATAATGTAAGGAAGAGAAGGGAATGTTGACCTTTCAGCCTCAGGGCAATGGCACCAGGGAGTATTATGGAAACTCTTAAATTCAACTTCCAGGTATTCCTTGGGTGGTAACTAGACAATGAATACATACAAGGCTGACATGATGGGATTCTGTCCTCAGGGGTACTTCGGTCCTTGGTGGAAGCATCTAGCTCAGGTGTGTCGGTACTGAGCCTGTGTGAGAAAGGTGATGCCATGATTATGGAAGAAACAGGGAAAATCTTCAAGAAAGAAAAGGAAATGAAGAAAGGTAAAAAAAAAAAATCCCTCACTAATTTTCCGTTTGACCCTTATTTGGTCCTATATGTTTTTATTTTTTTCACTGTAATGACGCAGTCCCCACCCCAGCTCTGGCTGAGGTATTTGGAAATTTGGAATGGCAAGTGGGATACAAGCAGTTTCCTACCTAATCCAAACTGATGAAACTTAAGCAAGACCCTGAAAAAATCCTTCTACATTTCTGAAGGGCACTAGGGCTCCCGGGAGACAGCAAGGCAGTAGGCTGATGATTCTTTCTTTACAGGTATTGCTTTTCCCACCAGCATTTCGGTAAATAACTGTGTATGTCACTTCTCCCCTTTGAAGAGCGACCAGGATTATATTCTCAAGGAAGGTGACTTGGTAAAAATGTAAGGTTAAACCGTTTTAAAGCATTTTTCTTTTTTTAAAGCATTTACAAAATGCCAGTTCCTAATGCAGTACTCTGATCTTGCCTTTCAGTGACCTTGGGGTCCATGTGGATGGCTTCATCGCTAATGTAGCTCACACTTTTGTGGTTGATGTAGCTCAGGTAGGTGGCCTGCTTTTGATCTCTGTTTAGCCTTGGGGTAGAGGGAATGCACTGCCATTTGCTTCTTATCCCCACCCCCAATCACCACGTAAGTTGAGAGAGTCTCTAGAGAAGCAAAAGGAGAAAGGTTTTTGTTGTTGTTGTTGTTTTTACCCTCCTGTTCATTGGCTGGTCTTCGCATATGGGCTCACAGATATTAACCAGATAGCCAGCTGAGTTAACAGACTTTCCAGGAAGATACTGATTGCATGTCCTTATCTACAGGGGACCCAAGTAACAGGGAGGAAAGCAGATGTTATTAAGGCAGCTCACCTTTGTGCTGAAGCTGCCCTACGCCTGGTCAAACCTGGAAATCAGGTAAGCTATTTTATCCAATTCCAAAGCTCGTTTGAACCAAAGATGCATTAGGCACCTATAGCTACTCTATATGAAACTACCAACCTCCCCTACAGACCCCTTATAAAACAGCTTTTTAAAATTAGCTATATTTAGCTGGGCACAGTGACTCACATCTGTAATCCCATCACTTTGGGGGGCCAAGGTAGGAGGATAGCTTGAGGCTGGGAGTTCAAGACCAGCCTGGGAAACATGGTGAAACCCCATTTCTACAAAAAATACAAAAATTAGCTGGGCGTGGTAACATGTGCCTGTATTCCCAGCTTCCAGGGAGGCTGAGGTGGGAGAATCACCTGAGCCTGGGAGATTGAGGCTGTGCTGAGCTATGATCATGCCACTGCACTCCAGCCTGGGCAACAATGAAACCCTGTCTCACAAAAGAAAAAGGAAAAATAAGCATTTGCTGTCCCCACAAAACAGATTAGAATGCCAGGTAAAAAAGGATAAACACTGGACTTAATATTATAGGCATGTGGTGGCACATGCCTGTAATCCCAGCACTTTGGGAGGCCAAGGTGGGAGGATTGCTTGAACCCAGGCATTTGAGACCAGCTTGGGAAACATAGCGAGACCCGTCTACAAAAAGAAAAAAGAAAACCCAGGTTTATGACCAAGTTCTTTCACTTAACACTCATTTAACCTGGGGCAAATCATTTAACCTGAGACTCAGTTTCCTTGTCTTCTAGATTGGGATATACATCTGCCCTGTTCACATGCAAAATTTATTGAGTTAGACCATCTTTGTGAAAGCACTGGGTAAAATGATATGCAGTTACAGCTGGTCCTCAGCTTGATGCTACATTCAGTAGAAGCTATACTTTGAGTACCCATACAACCATTCTGTTTTTCATTTTCCATATAGTATTTAGTAAATTACATGAGATATTCAACACTAATATAAAATAGGCATGTGTTAGATAATTCTGCCCAACTGTAGGATAATGTTTTTTAAGTGCTCTGAGCACATTTAACATAGGCTAGGCTGTGATGTTAGGTAGGTTAGGGGTATTAAATGCATTTTTGACTTAGTGATATTTTCAACTTATGAGTTTTTTGGAGATGTAACCCCATTGCAAGTTGGGGAGCATCTGTATAAAGTATTTTTAGATTGTAGGGATAATCAAGCTATGAAATGAAAAACCAGTGAATGACAATCATTGGGGCTTGATGGAGGATATTAGAACGCTCAGTTCTGCCAGGTGCAATGGCTCATGCCTGTAATCCCAGCACTTTGGGAGGCTGAGGTGGGCAGATCACGAGGTCAGGAGATCGAGACCATCCTGGCCAACATGGTGAAACCCCGTCTCTTCTAAAAATACAAAAATTAGCTGGGCGTGGTGTTGCGTGCCTGTAATCCCAGCTACTCAGGAGGCTGAGGCAGGAGAATAGCTTGAACCCGGGAGGCAGAGATTGCAGTGAGCCAAGATCACGCCACTGCACTCCAGCCTGGTGACAAAGCCAGACTCCATCTCAAAAAAAAAAAAAAAAACGCTCAGTTCTTTTATGCTTCTTATTCTCATTGTAGAGAACTTATTAGCTCCTGATATCTCACCTTTCATTTGATGTTGTACTTCTAGAACACACAAGTGACAGAAGCCTGGAACAAAGTTGCCCACTCATTTAACTGCACGCCAATAGAAGGTGAGAACAGATAACAGGGTTGAGGGTCTAAGAATGAGTGGCTTTGCCAGGTGCGGTGGCTCACGCCTGTAATCCCAGAACTTTGGGAGGCTGAGGTGGGCGGATCACCTGAGGTCAGGAGTTTGAGACTAGCCTGGCCAACATGGTGAAACCCCGTCTCTACTAAAAATATAAAAATTAGCTGGGCGTGGTGGTGGGTGCCTGTAATCCCAGCTACTTGGGAGGCTAAGGCGAGATAATCGCTTGAACCCGGGAGGAGGAGGTTGCAGTGAGCCAAGATTGCGCCACTGCACTCCAGTCTGGGCAATAAGAGCGAAACTCCATCTCCTCCATCTCAAAAAAAAAAAAAAAAAGAATGAGTGGCTTTGCAGAATTGAGGCTTTTGCTCCCTTGAAGATCTATCCTGGCTATAACCCAGTCTAAGCCAGAAATCTCAGAGCCCTGTGTTTCCATAACCAGGTAGTTGTCTCACTGCCTACCACTTCAAACTACTGAAGTGGGTGGATTTGGAAACCTTTTGGGATACTGGATAGCTTGTTCCATAGGTTGTGTACTATCTACAGGTATGCTGTCACACCAGTTGAAGCAGCATGTCATCGATGGAGAAAAAACCATTATCCAGAATCCCACAGACCAGCAGAAGTAGGTGCCAACCCTACTTATTACCTTCTACCACACAAGACTAGTCATCAGGTTTTTTTCTATACTCCCAACTGAATCTTGTCCGCCCTCTACTCCATGTTTTCAGGAGTGACCTGTTGCTCTTAATATTCCCTTTCTCTAGGCCGGGCGCGGTGGCTCACGCCTGTAATCCCAGCACTTTGGGAGGCTGAGGCGGGTGGATCACCTGAGGTCACGAGTTCAGAACCAGCCTAACCAACATGGCGAAACCCTGTCTCTACTAAAAACTACAAAAATGAGCCAGGCCTGGTGGTTTGTGCCTATAGTCCCAGCTACTTGGGAGGCTGAGGCAGGAGAGTTGCTTGGACCCGGGAGGTGGAGGTTGCAGTGAGCTGAGATTGTGCCACTGCACTCCAGCCTGGGTGACAGAATGAGACTCTGTGTCAAAAAAAAAAAAAAATTCCTTTCTCTCTATTCCTTTTAGGAAGGACCATGAAAAAGCTGAATTTGAGGTACATGAAGTATATGCTGTGGATGTTCTCGTCAGCTCAGGAGAGGGCAAGGTGAGGAGAGTACCAGAGTTGGCAAAGAGGGGTGACTGAGAGTGTTCACCAGACCAAATGTTACTTAAATTACTCTTTCAGGCCAAGGATGCAGGACAGAGAACCACTATTTACAAACGAGACCCCTCTAAACAGTATGGACTGAAAATGAAAACTTCACGTGCCTTCTTCAGTGAGGTGGAAAGGCGTTTTGATGCCATGCCGTTTACTTTAAGGTACTAAGCAATGATAGTACTTGGAACCAGTCTGACTCACAGACCATACACCCAGGAACACTTTTTCCTCTCCCTTCCTGCCTAGACTTGTAGCGTGCATGTGCTCACTCCCTCCCTCTCTCTCCCCATCTCCTTCTCATTGAAGGTAATGTAAAAGAGCAATCCTAAGCATGATTTCTGCCTGAGGGTAGGAGCTATTTTAAAATATGAGCAAAATGGTAAGACTTGATGGGGAGTTAAAGATACCTCTGAATATCATCTTCCCTGCCAGAGCATTTGAAGATGAGAAGAAGGCTCGGATGGGTGTGGTGGAGTGCGCCAAACATGAACTGCTGCAACCATTTAATGTTCTCTATGAGAAGGAGGGTGAGTTCCAAAAAGAGCTTCACTTTGGATTCCCTGATTATAAGATATCCTTCCTGTAAGTTCAGAAGAGCTAAGTATGACAAAGGAACTTTTTATCAAAACACATCTTCATTTTTGCCATAGGTGAATTTGTTGCCCAGTTTAAATTTACAGTTCTGCTCATGCCCAATGGCCCCATGCGGATAACCAGTGGTCCCTTCGAGCCTGACCTCTACAAGTCTGAGATGGAGGTCCAGGATGCAGAGCTAAAGGTTAGTATGGAATAGAAGGTGGTGAGTATGTACATGGTATCCTGCTTGGGAGTGAGGGCTAAATGCCAGCAAAGTCCTGAAAAGAGCTGCAGTACTGAAAGTAACCCTTTATTTTTAATTTCCTCCACATTTCTCAAAATTTTTTTCCCTTCTTCCTGTTTTCCAGGCCCTCCTCCAGAGTTCTGCAAGTCGAAAAACCCAGAAAAAGAAAAAAAAGAAGGTGTGTTATTAACGATCATTCCTCTCTGGCAGGGTGAACCTGATCCCTCTTTCTCCCACTGTGTTAAGTTGTAGTGAAATACGGATTTTTATACAGATGCTCCTCAACTTATATGATAGAACTTTGTCCCAGTAAACCCATCATAAATTGAAAATACTGTAAGTCAAAATGGATTTTAAAATATATATATATATATTTTAAGAGACAGAGTCTCAAACTCCTGGCCTTGAACAGTCCTTCCACCTCAGCCTCCCAAACTGTTGGGATTACAGGCATGAGCTGCCATGCCCAGCCTTGCTTTGGCCGGGCACAGTGGCTCATGCCTGTAATCCCAGCACTTTGGGAGGCTAAGGCGGATGGATCACCTGAGGTCAGGAGTTTGAGATCAGCCTGACCAACACAGAGAGAAACCCCGTCTCTACTAAAAATACAAAATTAGCTGGGTGTGGTGGCACACGCTTATAATCCCAGCTACTCGGGAGGCTAAGGCAGGAGAATTGTTTGAATCTGGGAGGCAGAGGTTGCAGTGGGCCGAGATCGCACCATTGCGCTCCGGCCTGCGCAACAAGAGCGAAACTCTGTCTCCAAAAAAGAGATGATCTCACTGTGTCACCCAGGCTGACGTGTAGAGGCATGATCATAGCTCACTGTATCCTCAAACTCCTCCTGGGTTCAAGTGATTGTCCTGCCTTGACCTGCTGAGTAGCCACCACCATGCCTGGCTCAAAATGGATTTGATGTACCTTAACCTACCATGAACCTCATAGCTTAGCCTGGCCTACCTTGAATGTGCTCAAAACATTTATTGAACAAATTATCATGTATCGAAATATCCATATTGCTTTCACGCCATTGTGAAGTTGAAAAATCACAAGTTGACCATTGTAAGTCAGAGACCTGTATGTCTTTATTTCAGCTGTGACCCAGAGGATTGAGATAACTTTATGGCTGGGTGTGGTGGTTCACACATATAATCCCAACAGTTTGGGAGGCCTAGGCAGGAGCATCACTTGAGCCCAGGAGTTCAAGATCAGCCCGGGCAACATGGTGAAACCTCATCTCTACAAAAAATACAAAAAAGTTGTACATGGTGGCATATGCCTATAGTCCCAGCTACCTGGGAGGCTGAGGTGAGAGGATCACCTGAGCCCAGGGAAGTGGTACCACTGCACTCCAGCCTGGAAAACAGAGTGAGACTGTCTCAGAAAAAAAAATACTTTTATCTCTGGTCCCAGACATCCCCAAGTAGTTAGAAACTGACAGGTCTTCTCCCTCTCCTTTTCTTGCATATAGGCCTCCAAGACTGCAGAGAATGCCACCAGTGGGGAAACATTAGAAGAAAATGAAGCTGGGGACTGAGGTGGGTCCCATCTCCCCAGCTTGCTGCTCCTGCCTCATCCCCTTCCCACCAAACCCCAGACTCTGTGAAGTGCAGTTCTTCTCCACCTAGGACCGCCAGCAGAGCGGGGGGATCTCCCTGCCCCCACCCCAGTTCCCCAACCCACTCCCTTCCAACAACAACCAGCTCCAACTGACTCTGGTCTTGGGAGGTGAGGCTTCCCAACCACGGAAGACTACTTTAAATGAAAAAAAGAAATTGAATAATAAAATCAGGAGTCAAAATTCATCGTCTTCAAGCCCCTCTTTCTAGCCTTTTCTACTACTCTCTGCTTGGTCAAGGTTTGTGCCCCACTACAGAACAGGGCTAAATTAGCCACCACCACTGAAAACTCAGCCGAATTTTTTTATACCACTCTGATGTCAGCATTTTTTCCATCTGTTTGGGGCTTTTTCCTCTTTTTTCCATTCTCCCCAAATATTTTATCTGGCTTCAAAATTAAGAGGATTATTTTTCAGATTGTTTTTATTCAGTGTGGCCGATTCCTCATCTGATTCAGGCTGTCCAGTCAGGCCCCTCCCATTTTAGGAGCTGGAGCCTTCATTTATGAAGAGATTCTCATCTATGAAATGGATCCTCATTTGTAAATCTTTTTTCTTCCATTTTCACAAAGCTGTAAAGAAATAATCCATCTCAACCTTACCCTTTTTCTCTGGAGTCAGTGGGGTCTTTCCTCGCTCCATCTTACACAGACCTGAGCTGGAAGCTCAACTGGTTTTGTTCCCTGTTTGAAATATTGTGATCTCCCTCCCATGAAAGAAAAACCAAGAACCAGAGGCGTAGACTGACTGAAGACACAACTCCTGGCTTTCTGAAGCTATGGACTTGGATTGGATTGCTGGGGGTTTGTAGAGAAAGGTGACAAATTTCAGTACCTCTGGCATGCTGTCCCAGGAAACTAGGGCTCCCACTAACTTATGAGGTTTTTAAACACATTGAAAATGACATGACATTAAAATAAATTTGGATTTGCTCATAATGATGTGCTTTGTATGCTGCTCTTGTTTGATGGAGGTGGGGAGAATGTCAGTTGAAGTGGTATTGGAACTGTTCCTCCACAGTGCCATGCTCTACCTTCCCAAAACGAGGAATGTCTTGACTTGCAGAAGACACAAATCTTAGAATCTTTGATGATATAGTAATCTGCTGGAGTTGGGTGGTGTAATTTTCTAAGTAGAAACAGTCCTCACTGCTAAGATTTGTTTGGGGCTAGGACACAATGTCTACTGCAAAAACAGTACTGCAAGTGTTTATCTTGAATTCAAGAAGCCAGGAAGAATGGTACACTAGTTTTCAGGGCCAGACTAAGGTCAGATGGGTAATTAGTTTATCTTACTACATGTCAGGAATTGCTAAACTAGAGATACTACAAGTGAACAGAACTGAACACAGGTCAAATGTGTAATGATGTATATCTACCATTAAAATAGAGTAGTTTTAGTGCCCTAAAAATCCTCTGTGTTTTGCCTGTTCATCTCTCTCTCCTTGCTTACGCATTTGTCCAAAGGCAAAGAATGTACAATGCCAATGCCAAGAGTGAACCCTAGTGTAAACTAAACTATGGATTTGGGGTGATAATGGTATATCAACGTAGGTTCTATTGTTAACAAATGTACCACTCTGGCAGGGTGGAGTGATGTTTATAAAGGGGGAGGCTATATGTGTGGGAAATGTCTATACCTTTCTCAATTTTGCTGTGAACCTAAAACTGTTCTAAAAAATTAAGTCTATTAAAAAAAGAAAAAAACAGCCAAGTGCGGTGGCTTATACCTGTAATTCCAGCACTTTGGGAGGCCGACGCAGGCAGATCACCTGAGGTCAGGAGATCAAGACCAGCCTGGCCAACATGGTGAAACCCCATCTCTACTAAAAATATAAAAAGCCAGGCTTAGTGGCGGGCGCCTGTAATCCCAGCTACTTGGGAGGCTGAGGCAGGAGAATCGCTTGAACCCAGGAGGCGGAGGTTGCAGTGAGCCAAGATCGCGCCACTGCACTCCAGCCTGGGTGACAGGAGTGAGATTCCATTCCGTATCAAAAACAAGCAAACAAAATTTCCCTCAAAGAGCTTATAAACTAGTTGGCAATCATCAGTTGAAATCTTGGTGGAACTGATACAAAATAATTCTGCTAGGATTTTTTTTGTTTCAAAAAAATTGTCATATATATTTGGGTGGTGACAATACTACAACTACTTAGAAGGAACCTAATTTTAAAAACGTTTTTCAGGGATTGAAAGTGAAATGCTATCCTGGAATATAATAAAGGGAAACCACAAAAAAAGAGGGATTGTAACAATCACATACAAAATGTTACAGTATTTTAAAACTGTAAGATGAAGTCTCTATAGGGAAAGGGTTCTTTTTCATCCCCCATTAACTCAAAAGTTTCCTGTAGCCAAATCTTAGGGGATCTGGTTGTTTTCCAGTGCTTCTCACCTGAGCATACAATCAAACTGGGAAGTTCTTTATCTTAACACCAAATGTCATACTTTCCCTAGATTTAGGTAATTTTCTCCCTATGTCCGTTGGTTCGCTCTTCACCCCTAGAGAATCACTGCATAGGTCACTGCAGCCTCGACTTCCTGGGCTCGAGATTCCCCCACCTCAGCCTCCCAAAGCGCTGGGATTACAGGCATGAGCCACCGTGCCCAGCCCGCTGACGTATTTTCTGAACAAATGATGCATTGTAGCCAGGAATCTCTAGTGATATTTTGCTTCGGGCATCGTGGGGGAAGACCATAATCAGCTATTTTATTCTTGAAATTTAGGAAAAATAATTGCTCTATCTTAAACAGTGAGAAAATATTTTTTGAAGTATGGCAGCTTTCCCGAATCCCCACTTTATATCTTCCTATGTTCTGAAATCTTAGGACCTTCGATGGTTCCGGAATCGAATCACCCTGCAGCAATTTATTTTAGAAAATAAGGCAAACCGGCTGGGCGCGGTGGTTCATGCTTGTAATCCCAGCACTTTGAGAGGCCGAGGCGGGCGGATCGCTTGAGCTCAGGAGTTCGAGACCAGCCTGGGCAACACAGCGAAACCTCGTCTCTACTAAAAATACAAAAATTAGCCAAGTGGCGCGCGCCTGTTGTCCCAGCTGCTCGGGAAGCTGAGGCGGGAGAATCGCTTGTATTCAGGAGGCGGAAATTGCGGTGAGCCGAGATCGCGTCACTGCACTCCAGCCTGGGTGACACAGTGAGATCCTGTCTCAAAAAAGAAAAAAAGAAAGAAAGAAAGAAAAGAAAGAAAGAAAGAAAGAAAGAAAGAAAGAAAGAAAGAAAGAAAGAAAGAAAGAAAGAAAAGAAGGCAAACCAGTAAAACAAGAATTTCTGTACAGTCCGCGCCTATCCATAGCAAAATGGAGGACTTCTCCAGGGAACTGCAACTCCCAAGAAGCAATGCGAGGGAAGGTGGCGGTCACTATTTTTTCCCCGTCTGCACCTCTAGGTCCAATATTGGAAATAGGTGCTGACGTTTAAATAACACAGCGTCCTCATACTAAATCTGGGGGGGAACTGGTAACTCGAAAACCAAATACTCGGTCTTCCGAAAGAACTAACTCAACCTACCCTTCTACAAGAGGGTCCGAAAACCACTGTTACGCCCATTGGGTAGCCCCGCCCTTGGGGGGGGCAAAGGGCGTGAAAGCGGAAGTGACGACACCCGGCGCTCCATTAAATAGCCGTAGACGGAACTTCGCCTTTCTCTCGGCCTTAGCGCCATTTTTTTGGGTGAGTGTTTTTTGGTTCCTGCGTTGGGATTCCGTGTACAATCCATAGACATCTGACCTCGGCACTTAGCATCATCACAGCAAACTAACTGTAGCCTTTCTCTCTTTCCCTGTAGAAACCTCTGCGCCATGAGAGCCAAGGTGAGCGGTTCCTGGTAGTAAGCTTGGGAGGTAGGAGTTGGCGAGTAGTAGCGAGGAGACGAAGGCAAGTCCGCCATACCTCCTGAACTACTGGGTTTCAAGGGTGCCCAAGAGCTGGTGGGAGAGAGAAGGTAGTTTGTGAGAGAGCTAGCGGTTAAGTGCTATGGGTAGAGAGGGTGGGCTTAGAAAAGGGTGGAATTCTGATCTTATGTTGGGAGGGTGTCCAAGTTACTGATGTAGTTGTTACGACCAATCTTTCATACTTCTTGGTTAAGAATCTGTCCGGTTCTAAAGAGTGCATTTCATATCCTTGCTAAGCCTACTAATAAGCTTCATCCCTTTTTTTTTTTTTTTTTTTTAATTATCTGCTGCTTGTGATCGGTTGCTAGTGGAGGAAGAAGCGAATGCGCAGGTACGTTGAGACTTTGCCAGCCCAGGAGGAGGGAAGTTCCTTGGACAAAACTTAGGAGAAACATTTGGTTTGGAAATCTTAAAAGATCTTTAGGAGAAAAACGTTTGAGTGTTTTCTCCCTGGAGCCAGGATTTAACAGAACAGAGAACGATAGAACCGTAGTGCTTGTTCATTTTACCACCTCATTCTTTATGTGGACGTTTGATTTAATGTGGGAGGGAAAGGCAACTCTGGTTTGAGGTGTATTCCATTCCTGTGTCTGCTTTTCAGGCTGAAGCGCAAAAGAAGAAAGATGAGGCAGAGGTCCAAGTAAACCGCTAGCTTGTTGCACCGTGGAGGCCACAGGAGCAGAAACATGGAATGCCAGACGCTGGGGATGCTGGTACAAGTTGTGGGACTGCATGCTACTGTCTAGAGCTTGTCTCAATGGATCTAGAACTTCATCGCCCTCTGATCGCCGATCACCTCTGAGACCCACCTTGCTCATAAACAAAATGCCCATGTTGGTCCTCTGCCCTGGACCTGTGACATTCTGGACTATTTCTGTGTTTATTTGTGGCCGAGTGTAACAACCATATAATAAATCACCTCTTCCGCTGTTTTAGCTGAAGAATTAAATCATCTTGTCTATTATGTTTTTTATGGTTCCATCGGGTGGGGGTTTTCTGTCATTAGAGTTTGCCCTGTCACTACCTGTGCTATGGAGGGTATCAAAGCTATAAAGGCAACAGCCCGGGTTACGTGGTGTGGTTTGCATCTCGCTGGAGTTGGATGGGATATGGTACGTCTCTGGAGGCAGGTTTTAGGTTTCGCGGGTTATTAGGGGCCAATGCTGGTACCGCCCCTTTCCAGGAGGGCTGCCTTGGCGACTACCGCTTAGACCATGTCGTGCCTTTGGGTTGGGTTGCCATAGTGACACGCAAAGCGTGCTGGGAACGCCCTGCGGCATGTCGCACGCGTACTTCATACACCATAGAGTATGGTTCCGGGTCTGCTGGCTAGAGCGTCACTTCTTCCGCAGGAAGCGGAAGAGCGATCGGGTAGGCGGCTCTTTGTCGAAGCTAGAGGACCGGCAGGCGGCAGCAGCAACTACGGCGGCGGCGGCAGGTGAGGGAGGCGGGAGACTTAGGTGGAGGCCGCGCCCGGAGGGGAGGAGTCGGGGCCGGCCCAGCGGCTGGGCTCGGCCAGGCCACAGAAGGCCCCCCAGAACCGAGCTGGCTCGTCCTCACACCCCAGGGCAGTGCCCCTTTTCTGAGTGACCCCGCATCGCGAGCAAACGCCAGCTTCGTGACGTCACAACCCTGCCCATCCCCTCAGCTTGATGACACCTGGAGCTCCAGCTCCCCGCTTCACTTCGCGCGCCCTTAGTGTCCCATTCACGTAGCCCACGGCTGAGCGCCGGCGGCACTGCACGGAACCTGCCAAGCTAGAAGACTTGCTGCGGGAAAACTCCTAGGACTTCTTTCGCAAACTCTAGGGTGTTGGGAAGCGTCACAATCACTGCCTTCAAGTCTAATCGGCCATCCCAATGCACTGTCAGACGCTGCCTTTTTGAGGTTCCTCACTAGCCATTACTAACTCCAGCCCTTGGCGGTGCTCTGACCCTCACATCCTCTTTCATCTTGAGGCAGGGCGCCCCGCACTCTTTGTTCACTCAGGGCTGGTTTTCCAACCCCTCCTCCCAGTCCCTCCGAATTAGTTTTACTCTTCTTACTGGCAACTTCTCCCTTGGACAGGTGAAGTTCAGTTTGAACCCTGAGGAAATCCTCACGTTCTCGAAGCTTTGCCGTTTTGTCAGATTTCTTGTGACAACCACCCCATAGTCCTCCACTCTTACTCCTTCTTCCACCCAAGTCTCTGTTTTTTTCCTGCTCAGAACCCAGCAGTGATGTGGAGGTGGAGACCCACAGGAGCCCCGGACTTCACCTGAGCTACCTCAGGTATCAATTCTGGGAGAGTGGGGTGGGGAGGAGCATCATAACTAATTATCTGCTGCTGGTGCGACTTGCAACGTGAGCCAGGCTTGGATAGATGGCATTTGTACTTCACCTGGTCATTCCCCTTTACTAAAAGTTTGTATCTTCTTTTACCACTTCTTTCCTTGATTGCTTCTATTATTCTGGGACTACCTCTCTTTAGAGGAGGAGGACCCTCTTACAGATTCTCTTGTAACTCTGGCCTCTGGTTTGGTTAGTTCATTTTAGGGAGATCTGAAGGCAAAGTCACAGTAGTGGGGTGGGGGTAGGTCAAGGCCAAAGGAATTAGGAAAGATTCCCTTATTCTCAAAGGGAACAATATGAAGTTTTCCTATTTCAGCAGCAGGGGGAGCCTGAACACCGCATAGGAAAGGCTTGGGAGGTCAGACACGTGGTAGCAGGGACTCCAGGTCTTACTGGGGGTGGAGAGAGGGGAGGGCTAGAACCAGGGCAGTGGACTGACATTCCAAAGCTCTCTTGGGAAATAGGAGACTTAAAAAGCTTTTATGGAGTCTATAAATAAAGAGGATCTTTCTGGGTTGAGGAATGGTGTGGTTGGATGTCAGTGGGATCTTCACATAGGGGAGTAGGAAGGGGGTGGGGAATGGGGAAAGGTCACTTGTTCCTGTGAAATTAACTCCTTCCCACTTGACCTTATCACAAATGGTTTGTCCTAGGAAATCTAGAAGTGGAGACTCTAACTTAGAACTCCTATCCTGAAATAGAAGGGGCTTACCTCTCTGCCGTTGACAGTGATGATGGCTGGGAGGGAATACTAAAATATGACAGGTTTTGAGACTCCCCTCAAGCTGGTGACACCAGTCTCTTCACCCAGGATTTCTTGGCTTCTAGAGATTTGATGTGTACAGAGCCCTTACCTGAGGAAAAGGAAAGGGGGTTAAGGAAGTTTTGTTACCAGTGTCCCATCTTCTACAGCCCTAGTAGCTCAGTAGCCCATCTTGGGCACTATTCCCAGTTTCCTTCCAGACTATTCAGATACTGACTGCAGTTTTAATTTCACTTCCACAACTTTAATAAGGTCAGCTCAAAAGGAAAGATGAATTCCAACACTATTTTTTCCCTGCTCCGTCCTGGGCCTATCCCTCCTCCGTTAGCCAGGCAAGTGTGAATCATTCTGACCCAGACCAGGTGCACAAAACCCTGGGAGGGGCTTTTGATGAGTCAGACATTTCAGCCAGAATTCTTATCCCTTAGATTCTCCATCTCTAAAGCCATTGCCCCTCTGGGCCACCTGCTTTATAGTCAGGAAGAGTGGGATCTCCCTGGAGGACTCCTGTTTGATACAGTTCTCCTCTTTTGTAGTGGTCACCAAGAGTGGCAAGATAAAGAAAACCCTGAGTTGGGCGGGACCAGGATGCCTGACCGGGACAGCTATGCCAACGGTACCGGGAGCAGCGGTGGAGGCCCTGGAGGTGGTGGCAGCGAGGAGGCCAGTGGGGCAGGGGTAGGCAGTGGCGGGGCCAGCTCAGATGCCATCTGTAGAGACTTCTTGAGGAATGTGTGCAAGCGAGGCAAGCGTTGCCGATATCGCCACCCAGACATGAGCGAGGTGTCCAACTTGGGGGTGAGCAAAAACGAGTTCATCTTCTGCCATGACTTCCAGAACAAGGAGTGTAGCCGCCCAAATTGCCGTTTCATCCATGGCTCCAAGGAGGATGAGGATGGCTATAAGAAGACAGGAGAGCTTCCCCCACGGCTGAGGCAGAAAGTAGCAGCTGGCCTTGGCCTTTCACCGGCTGACCTACCAAATGGCAAGGAGGAGGTCCCTATCTGCCGTGACTTTCTCAAGGGTGACTGTCAGAGAGGAGCCAAGTGCAAGTTCCGTCACCTGCAACGGGATTTTGAGTTTGATGCTCGGGGTGGAGGAGGCACTGGTGGGGGCTCAACAGGCTCAGTCCTCCCAGGACGACGTCATGATCTCTATGATATCTATGACCTTCCTGACAGGGGCTTTGAGGACCATGAGCCAGGCCCAAAACGCCGGCGAGGTGGATGCTGCCCCCCTGATGGCCCTCATTTTGAGTCATATGAATATAGTTTGGCTCCACCGCGAGGGGTGGAGTGCAGACTGCTAGAGGAGGAGAATGCCATGCTCAGGAAGCGGGTAGAGGAGTTAAAGAAGCAGGTCAGCAACCTGCTGGCCACCAATGAGGTACTACTGGAACAAAATGCTCAGTTCCGCAATCAGGCCAAGGTCATAACCCTGAGCTCCACTGCACCAGCGACTGAGCAGACTCTGGCCCCCACTGTGGGCACTGTTGCCACTTTTAACCATGGCATTGCCCAGACTCACACTACTCTCAGCAGCCAGGCTCTACAGCCTCGTCCAGTGTCCCAGCAAGAACTGGTGGCCCCTGCTGGAGCTCCAGCTGCTCCCCCAACTAATGCTGCACCTCCTGCTGCTCCACCACCCCCACCCCCACACTTGACCCCAGAGATCACGCCACTGTCAGCTGCCCTGGCTCAAACAATTGCCCAGGGAATGGCACCTCCACCTGTCTCCATGGCTCCTGTGGCTGTATCTGTGGCTCCTGTGGCCCCTGTGGCTGTATCGATGGCCCAACCCTTGGCAGGAATCACAATGAGCCACACCACCACTCCCATGGTGACTTACCCTATCGCTTCCCAGAGCATGCGCATCACGGCCATGCCACACTGATGGGGCTAATGGACACTCCCCTGGTATAGCCTCGCAGGGCTGGGGTCAGGGGGCCCTTGCCCACTCACCTAGCCTTCCCCATCCCTGTCTGAAGGGCTCCCTTGAGAACTAGGACAAGAGACTACAAGGAGTATGTCCTGAGGAGGGGTTGGGATGGTGTGTTTTCTCTCACCTCCCTTTTATGAGGGTCCTCTTGTCCATCTTCAAGCCTCACAGTGGGGGCTTGCAGAGGAGTGCAGACTGAAGCCAGCAGAGAGGAAGGACTGACTGAGGGGCTGTGTCCTCTTATGGGAATTTGGGAACATCCCTCGTCTTGTCCTCTCTTCTGCACAGCACAGGTTCCAGCACTGGTTTTAGAAGAAAAAAATACCCTGCCCAGAGGGAAAGCCAGGAAAGATTGGGAAGTGGGTGGTCAGGAGAGAAGGCCTGATAGGAGCCTTCAGACAATTTGGGTCCTAGTTGCTTGGGTTGGACAATACAGGAATTGCTTCTGGGCCCTGGGAAAGCTGGGACCATAGTGCTCCAGCCCAAAGACTAGGGGAGCATTCATTACCCTAGTTTGACCTGAAAATCCATAGGGCAGGGCCCACTACTTTCCAAAGAAATAAAAGAACAATTATTTTTAACAAATGGAGGCAGTGAAAACTTGCTTAGCTATTCTGTGTGGAAGATGGGAGCAGTAAATAGATCTCATGCCAAAATGGGATAAAGACCCCAGCCTCACATAGCTTTGGTAAGATGGATAGAAGCCAGTGAAGAAGGGTAGGGACCCAGAACAAGACCAAATGGGGCTTTGGGGAAGGCACTTTATGGGGTAAAAGCTTTGGAGCCACCCAGTCTAGTTTTAAAAATAGTCCCATCTGTTTCTGGTCTCTGTCTGTATGTGCTATTCCCAGGTTGCCTCAGTAACCAGGGCTCCTAGGGTCATTTAGCAGGGCAGGCAGTAAGGAGAGTGTATTTGCTGAAATGCGGATGGGATGTTACATAGTTGACAGATCCTTATTCAAACAGAGCAGGACAGGTGGAGTTGATGGCCATTGAGTTGATGGCAGTTGCCGCTCAGTTGATGGCAGTTAATGTCCCTCCTACCCCACCCCTTCAGTGGCCAGTTCCTGAAGCCTTCAAGGCTTGGGAGGTCTGGGAAAAGAGAGTCCTTCTAGGGACACAAGCCTCAGGGTCCATCCCTTTCCTCTGTCTCCACATAGGACCAGAAGTTTTAAATCTACTTAAGTCAGTAAGGCCAGGGGCCCCAATAGTCAAACCTCAGTTCCTCCTCAGCTCACGGCTGATGTAGGGAAAACAACTCAGGTGTCTAGTCTAATGGGACAGTAGATTTGGGGGTAGAGAGTGATCCTGGATTGTGTTCCCCCTCATCATGTCTCCTGCTACCTCTTGCTTTCTTGTCTGGTTGATCACTCAGGTCACATCTGGGATTGGAGATGGTGGGCTAGGTCAAGGCCAGTCATTAAAAAAAAAAGCCTAAAGACTAAAAGTGGGCTAACATTGTGGATTTTAGAAACAACACATTGATAAGCTTAATGTTTTTTGGGACACAATTTTTTTTTTTTTTTTTGAGATGGAGTCTTGCCCAGTCACCAGACCGGAGTGCAGTGGCGCAATCTCGGTTCACTGTAACCTGCGCCTCCTGGGTTCAAGCGATTCTCTTGCGTCAGCCTCCCGAGTAGCTGAGACTACAGGCGCCCGCCACCACGCCCGGCTAATTTTTTTATTTTTAGTAGAGACGGGGTTTCATCGTGTTGGCCAGAATGGTCTCTAT
Organism: Homo sapiens; assembly: GCF_000001405.40. Classification (NCBI taxonomy): domain Eukaryota; kingdom Metazoa; phylum Chordata; class Mammalia; order Primates; family Hominidae; genus Homo; species Homo sapiens. The sequence goes on from NC_000012.12 coordinate 56,123,645, forward strand.
CTCTCGTGATCCGCCCGCCTCAGCCTCCCAAAGTGCTGGGATTACAGGCATGAACCACCGTGCCCGGCAATTCTAGACTATTAAAAGAGATGGTTTAAGAGCATTTAGAGAAGAATGTAACCATAGATACCAACATGAATTCTCAGTCAAATCCTGACTGACTTTATTTCCTCCTTGCCAGGTTATCTCCAAAGAGGTAGATTTGGGAAATTTTAGACATTGTATGTCTTGTATGTATTTACTCCAGCTGAAGACCACCAAGAATACACCTGGTAATTGAGCAAGTTGGGTTTAATGCTCATTGCAGTGAGGGGGAGGGCTCACCATTGGGGATAACGTGGTGTGTCTCAGCATGAGGGTGTTAGGAACGACTTAGAGAACTTAGACTTTGGTTAAGTGATTTTGGGGAAGATTCAAGAAAGTGGGTGTTCTTTTGGATTGGGTGCTGTTAAGGGAATCCAGGATAATTGGGTAGCTTGTCTAGAAGAAGGGCAGACAAGTGAACCTAAGCACAGTCGATGATGAAGTCACTCACTAGCTGGGAAAGGGGATGTTTGCTGTTTTGTGGTTTGCACACTGACCTTGTTTTGTGCTTAAACAAAATTGTGTAGTGATTTTGTTTTTTGTCTCACTTCATCGCAGTCACTGAGTGACCTTGTCTGATGCTGGTGTTTTGTGAGATTGTTTGTGTCCAAGAGAACTCATTGGCTACCTGTGAGCACCAGGTCAGCCCTAACAGCTCTGAAGCCTGGCTGTGTCAGGCCAGTTCCCAGATTACAGGAGCTACTTTCCTCTCTCTCACCTGCTAAGTCATCACAGATAAGAGGAAAATTACGGGTCAGTTAATCGTAGCATTTTTTCCATGCAAATGGCTCTGGTTAAAAAATAATGAGAAAAAAATAGTAGCATTTGGTAGAATCAAACTGAACACTTGTACTTAGTGTTGGTTAGCGCATTTATGTTAGAGAAATCTCTGTTCTCTAGTGATAAGCCCAAGGGCTATGTTTTATTGTAAAAAGAAAAAACCCAACTCGGGTAAACATGTAAAAAACCCATTTATCAACAGTAACACAGGAAGAGCTAAATAATATTCAAAGTGTCTGTAACTTGAATTGACTAAAACACTGGAGCACTCTCACACTAAAAAATTGCTTAGATCTTGAACTAGTTTGAGGAACAATGTTAGAGATTTATATTAGCAATAATTCACATGAGAACAAACTGGGACTTCCAGTTGGCTGCAAAAAAATAGAATCTTAGCCCTCAAGATGTCCATTTATAAATATTTATTAAGAGCCTGCTATGTTCTAGGCATCTTTCTAGGAGCTCCATAAGGGTAGTAGAACCTTGGTAATAGATTACAAATACAGCAGTTCTATGTTCTGCCTAAGTGTAACCACTTAGTAGTGTGTTGTTCTAAATGTAATTTTTAAAGAGGGCCATTGACAAACCAGTGTGTTGCTAGAAAAAAAAGGCTGGCAAGAGAAAGCTTCAAATAGAAGTCTTCAAATATTTGAAGGGCTGCCCAGTGGAGGAAGATCCTGTTTGCTACACAGGAAGTAAAAAGGGATTTCTAGAATAATGGCTAACTTTTTTTTTTTTTTTTTTTTTGAGACGGAGTCTAGCTGTGTGGCCCAGGCTTCAGTGCAGTGGCACGATCTCTGCTCACTGCAAACTCTGCCTCCAGGGTTTACGCCATTCTGCTGCCTCAGCCTCCAGAGTAGCTGGGACTATAGGTGCCCAGCTAATTTTCTTTTTGTATTTTTAGTAGAGACGGGGTTTCACCGTGTTAGCCAGGACGGTCTCCATATCCTGACCTCGTGATCCGCCCACCTCGGCCTCCCAAAGTGCTGGGATTACAGGCGTTGAGCCACCGCACCCAGCCGGCTAGCATTTGTTGACTGCTTAATATAAGCCAAGGCTCTGTGCTAGGCACTTTACATGCAACATCTCATTGACACAATGGGTAATATTATTGTACCCATTTTACAGAGGAGAAAGCAGGCTTAAAAAGTAACCTGCCCAGGGTTCTGCAAGTAAGGAATGGGGCCAGGAATCTATTCAGGCAGTCTCACTCCAGACGACAAAAGAAAGTTCTAATGATATAGCCATCCAACAAAGCGATCACTACTTGGCAGTAATTTTTTTTTTTTTTTTTTGAGACGGAGTATCACTCTGTTGCCCAGGCTGGAGTGTAGTGGCGTGATCTCGGCCCACTGCAGCCTCCGCCTCTCGGGTTCAAGTGATTCTCCTGCCTCAGCCTCCCAAGTAGAGTAACTGGGATTACAGGTACATGCCACCATGCTCGGCTAATTTTTGTATTTTTAGTAGAGACGGGGTTTCGCCATGTTGGCCAGGCTGGTCTTGAACTCCTGACCTCAGGTGATCCAACTGCCTCGGCCTTCCAAAGTGCTGGGATTACAGGCATGAGCCACCGCGACTGGCTTGGCAGTAACTTTTGAGGAATAAAGAATACAGAAGGAGTTTCCTCAAATCTTGTTGCCCTTCCCATCTTTGTGAGCTGAGATCAGAGTACCGTATCTCACCCTCTGCCTCTTGGAGGTGATTATGGTTTACATATAAATGCAGATTGCAAGTCCAGGAAGTTTACTCTCTCTCCTCCTGTAGGCCTCATCCTGTAAGACACTTCCTCTAACAAATGGGCATCCCTTCCTGTTGTCCACTTACTGCTTATCACCACCAGGTGGCACCTGGGCAGCAGAATTGTCAGTGGGCGGGGACCCACCCTGTTTACTTGTGTTGGTAACTGCATTGCAGCTGCTGATCCTGTGGCTCCTGGGCCCCAGCTGGGACAAGAACTTCCTGAGGATGAAGTTTTATCCCCTATATAATTTCTGATGATCTGGATGAGGTGAGGAAGGGAGAAGTTTGGAAAAGAACCTCCATAGGTCACCCTCTCCATTCCCCCATTCTCAGGAACCTCCTTGCCTACTCCAGTGCTTGGCAAATTTCAGTTTATAGAGAGGTTTCTCTCTAAGGTTCATCCATGTTCCTTCTGTAGTTCTGCTTTATCAGTTGGTGAGCAGGTCACTCATAATTCCTCCAATTTCCTTGTTTCCCTTTTCTACCTGCTTACCTCTGGGAATATGGAGGATATAGGAGACAGAATATTGTTTCTTAAATAGTTCTGCAAACTGAATGAAGCAGTCAAGATACTGCTAGCCCTAGGGAAGTAGAGAAAAGGAAGTGAAAAAATTTAAGTGATAGAGGCTGAGCAGGGACAGGTTTTAAGCAGCTTTGGTAAACACAGGCTGATGAAATCTATGCCCTGCAGAACCAGATAAAATTTATCAGCTGCAGGCCTCATCCTGTAAGACACTTCCTCTAAGAAATGGCTAGTTTCTTCCCAGTGATCAACCCCAGTTCTTCTGCTGCATCTGACAGATTTACATAATATGCCCCATATATACTGCATTAAAAGGTAATCATCTTATGACCAACACTTCCCTCATCAACTTCCAATTAGTCTAGTTCCTAGATCCTAGGACAACACTCCACCTCTAACGCCAGTTAACTAGTAACAATAGTCATCGGTGTACCCTGCACTTTTTCCTTCCTAAACCTACACCGTACACTGTGGGACTGCACTAGTTCTGCACCTGACTGTATGGCAAACCTTCCTTCTAACTCAGGCAAATGTGAAAAGGAATTGTCTTTCCCTTACTCTTGATCCCTCATTTTAGTGTCCTAGAAGTTCTTCAGGGTCAGAAAATTATTGGAAAATGTAATAATTTGCGCTGCCTCCCTCCCTTTTGGAGCCAACTAGTCTTACATCCATCCTCTAAGATAGAGATGACTTACTAACTCTTGGAAATTTCCAAAAAGAAATAAAGCCTCACTTTCTATTCACTCTGCTTTTTTTCCCCCTTTCCCTGAAGGCTGGATTATCTCAACTCTGTAATTCTCTGACTCTCCAGTTTTCTCCAGGGTCAGTCGTTACACCACACAAAGAAGGTAGGGGATTAGGGACGGGATAGACGGGGTTAGTTTTCAAACACTTTCATTCCAAATACGATCGTATCCTTTCCTTTTGTAAGGGCAGGCAGGAAAAAGTTGAAGGATAAGGAATGTGCTTAGAGTATGAAAACTAGAGAAAGTCGGCAAAAGAACATATATATATATCCCAGACCAAATCCTGCCAAACCGAATGAGTAGAGGGAAATCCTGAAGCTCCACAACCCCTCAACTTCGCAACTTGGGCTTTCTCCAAAACCAAGAAATTGGCGGTGCAGCTCTGCATGACGTCATACCACAGGCACTCCAATCCCACGTGGGGGAGCTCTTGGTCCCGCCTCTCCTGAAATGGTGCGCCACGCCTCCTCCTCTTTATTACCAATCGAATGCCGCCCCTGAGCCCCTTTCTTCCTTTTCCCGCCATCTCAGACCTCCCATCTTGGCCTTCGGGCCCAATCAGGGAGGCCCTACCTATCCGAAACCCGGTCCGTTCCCCGCGGAAGAGGGGTGGAGTTTCAACCTTTTAACTCCACCTTGGTCTGTGCAGCGCGGACCAACCCAAATCGCCAGAAAGGAGGGGCGTGGCTTGAAGTCCCCTCCTCCATCCCGGGGATCACGTTTTGCCTGGGGGAGCTGATCGCAAGACTAGGCAACCTCCAGCCAGTCCCTGGGTCGGGCGGATCCTCCCAGAGGTGGCACAATGGAGCGATCTCCAGGAGAGGGCCCCAGCCCCAGCCCCATGGACCAGCCCTCTGCTCCCTCCGACCCCACTGACCAGCCCCCCGCTGCTCACGCAAAGCCAGACCCAGGTTCTGGGGGCCAACCTGCTGGCCCTGGCGCGGCGGGTGAGGCCCTGGCGGTGCTGACTTCATTCGGGAGGCGGTTGCTGGTGCTGATACCTGTGTATTTGGCCGGGGCAGTGGGACTCAGCGTGGGTTTCGTGCTCTTCGGCCTCGCCCTCTACCTGGGCTGGCGCCGGGTCCGCGACGAGAAAGAACGGAGCCTTCGAGCAGCGAGGCAGCTACTGGACGACGAGGAGCAGCTCACTGCGAAAACTCTCTATATGAGTCATCGAGAGCTACCTGCCTGGGTGAGCGACCACCCTCGGTCCTCTGTGCAGCATAGCCCCCTTCCACCCCTTCCATCTGGGGCTTTTCCTCCTTATGCCTAGAGTCAGCTCCCTGCCTTGGGACAGTGGGCCCCAGACTTTCCCCTCTCTCCCCGCTAGCCGCCTGCCTGCTGGACGCGCCACTCTTGGAACCGACTGCTCACTCTCCCCACCCACCCTTTCGCATGCCCAGACTGGATCCTTCCACAGAATCAGGACTTCTTCCTCTACTTGGGCAACAGCAGTAATAACATCTGGGGACCCCGTCTCAGCCGAAGCTCTCCCTCCTAGCCAAGCCATCTTGAACGTCCCTCTTGCTTTTGGTGCCACTCGCGGCTTTGCTGCTCCTGGAAATCCTGGTCCCGTTACCTCTCAAAGGTTTCCCTAGTCTTTCCCATCCTCCTCGAGACTTTTTACCTACTTAAAGCCATACGGTTCTCTCTTTTCTCGCTTTTATCCCCGGGTACCCGCTAGGACCCAGCCCCGGCCCCTGGACGACCCTCGGGCAGCCACCTTCAAGCCTCCAGCCGCCAGACTGCAGCGCGGCAGAGGCGGCTGCTGGACGGAGGGAGGGCTACGGGAGGAGGTGGTGCGGCTGCTGCAGTGCCCGCGGCGCACACTCCCCCGCACTCCTCGGCCGGCCACACCCTTTTCCGGACTGTGGGCTGCGCTTGTTCCGTTGGGGCAGAGACCCTTATTTCTGCGGCGGCCGCGTCTCCTGTGCTGAGGCGGATGCCTTCTCTCTAGTCTTGCAGAGGCGAAGCCGGTTACCCGGCCCCTCCCAGCAGAGGTGCCAGTCTAGGGGGAGAATGGCAGCAGAGAGGAATCAAAATTGACACTAGACAGACACAGCCAAGCTTCCCAGGCCCTGGACTGGAAAGGGGAGGAGAAAGAGGGCCAAATGGCTCTAGGGGACCTGTAGCCTAGGCAGCAAGTGTTTGTCTCCTCCTCATCATCATGGAAACCAATCTTCCTACCCCCAATACAAAGCGCAGGTGTCCTTTCCCTTAAAAGGAGTCACACAGAGAAAGATAGAGGAAAACACACACACACACCCCAAAAAACCCACAAAGCCAGGCCTAATTAGGTCTTCTGGCCCCTCCCTGACTCAAGGAAGGACTTGCTTCCCTCTTCACCTTCCTGCTCTAGAAGCCCCGTCTGAGGGGAGTTGAGAAGGCTGGAAAAGGGGACTTTTTTTTTTTTCTTTTTTGAGACGGAGTCTCGCTCTGTTGCCAAGCTGGAGTGCAGTGGCCCGAACTTGGCACACTGCAACCTCTGCCTCTTCAAGCGATTCTCCTGCCTCAGCCTCCTGGGTAGCTGGGATTACAGTCACGCGCCACCACGCCCGGCTAATTTTGTATTTTTAGTAGAGACAGGGTTTCACCATGCTGGTCAGGCTGGTGTCGAACTCCTGACCTCGTGATCCGCCGGCCTCGGCCTCCCAAAGTGCTGGGATTACAGATGCGAGCCACCGCGGCCAGCCTGGAACCAGGACTTTTTAAATCCCAGGATTCCCTCAAACTCCAATTTGACTGGACCTCCCCCTCCAGAAAGAATGCGCCCTTCTCCTCCTCCCGCTCCTCTCTCTCTCAGCAGCTGTCATTTCACCACGTCCCTGAGCTATCCACAGGGCAACAGCGTGACCTCTACCTTGTCAGCTCCCCTTATTAGAGAGACATCAGCCCCCAAACTCTGTGAGGAATGAACCTTTGGGGCATCCTCGCCCCTCGCCCACCCTGAGTGTGAGGAGTCACACACACTCCCTCTCCTCTGTGGCACACCACCAGCATCTTAGTAGGAAACCAGAGGCGAGGGTGTGCTGCACGTCACTGTCTCTGCCTTCCCCACCTCCAGGTCAGCTTCCCAGACGTGGAAAAGGCTGAATGGCTCAATAAGGTGAGGATTGATTTGATTTTTAGTCTTCATGAGGGGAGAATGGGAATTTGTTTCTTCTTGCCAGACCCATCCTCAACCCTCAGTGCTCTCCGTGGGGAGGATTCTGAAGGAACTTGCCTTGAGAGGGAAGACTGGACTCTCCTCTGACCATCTCTCTTTCCTCCCAGATTGTGGCCCAGGTCTGGCCCTTCCTGGGCCAGTATATGGAGAAGCTTCTGGCTGAAACTGTGGCTCCGGCTGTTAGGGGATCTAACCCCCATCTGCAAACATTTACATTTACACGAGTGGAACTGGGTGAAAAGGTATGTGTGGAGGAGGGAAAGTGAGGAGGTAGGCTAGGGAGGGTGAGTGGCCCGGAGTAGACTCAGGTACTTCTCCCTATCCCTGCCCTCTCTCAGGAATTTCTCTCTCCCTAGCCATTGCGCATCATTGGAGTCAAGGTTCACCCAGGTCAGAGAAAAGAGCAGATCCTGCTGGACTTGAACATCAGGTAATACCACTCACCACTCTTACTGCTTCCCCTTCAATGTGTCCTGTTCAGTCCAGGCTACTTCACTCCCCCTCCCCGCAACTTCAGCCAAGGACTAACTCTCTTGGTTCTCTTCTTCACCAATCCCCAGCTATGTAGGTGATGTGCAGATTGATGTGGAAGTGAAGAAATATTTTTGCAAAGCAGGAGTCAAGGGCATGCAGGTAGGCCAGATGTCAGGGGCCACATAATAGGGAATGTTTGTCCTGCGTTTCATGGGATATGGGGAAGTGTGAGGTTGGAAAGACCAAGGCTGAGAAAGTCTGGGAGGACAGAAGAGGGACTTTTCTGGGGAAAGGCTTTGATTTTCTCTTCTTGCCTCAGCTACATGGCGTTTTGCGGGTGATACTGGAGCCACTCATTGGGGACCTTCCCTTCGTGGGGGCTGTGTCAATGTTCTTCATCCGACGCCCGGTAAGGGAAAACAATGAAGGGGTATGGGGAAGCAGGAGAAACAGAGGACTGGGAGGATGAGGGCAGCCAGTGAAGGGGAATGAGAAGGGAACTGACAAGAAGGCCGAGGGGTTCTGGCAACTGTTTGATGGGTATGACCACACCCCATAGGATCTGTCCTGACCCCTGCTCTTTCCCTCCAGACCCTAGACATCAACTGGACAGGGATGACCAACCTGCTGGATATCCCAGGACTTAGGTATCAAGGACTTACTGAGCACCTGCTGAGTGTTCCAGCGCTGGGTTGGGGGTTTAAGGGACACAGAGCAGTCAAAGATGCTGCTTGTGTCCTCTAGGAGCCTCAACTTCATTTGGGGAGCAAAGACAAATACCCCTGCAAAGTTTGATACTGTGATTTTTCTTTGGGTTGGGGGAGCAGGAAGGGAATGCAGAGGGCTGAAGACTGCAAAAGGCAATGGGGATGGCAGTGAAGAAGGGAGAGAGCAGTAGGTGGGGAATTAGGGTAGAAGAGTAGCACAAAGGATTTTCACAAAAGGACTTTCTTACAGCTTTAGGTCTCTCTTGGGTGTGGGAAACATAGTTGGGGTTAGGAGAAAATTGGAAGTTGAGGCCATACCCACTCCTTTCTACTCCCCCATTCAGCTCACTCTCTGACACCATGATCATGGACTCCATTGCTGCCTTCCTCGTGTTGCCCAACCGATTACTGGTGCCCCTTGTGCCTGACCTTCAAGATGTGGCTCAGTTGCGTTCCCCTCTGCCCAGGGTATGGCCTTTCCCCCACTAGATAGATCCTTCTCTCAGGAACCCCTTGCTGGGTCCTTAGTTTCTCACCATCTGATTCCTTCCTCCAGGGCATTATTCGAATTCACCTGCTGGCTGCTCGAGGGCTGAGTTCCAAGGACAAATATGTGAAGGGCCTGATTGAGGGCAAGTCAGACCCATATGCACTTGTGCGTTTGGGTACCCAGACATTCTGCAGTCGTGTCATTGATGAAGAACTCAACCCACAGTGGGGAGAGACTTATGAGGTGGGAGAGTTGAGCAGCTCTGTGAAATGGGGAAGCCCCAGGAGGTTGTGAGAGAAGATGCTGATTGGATGATCCTCACAGCTGCAGCCCCATGAGACACTCAGCCTTCTGTGTTCCCCAGGTGATGGTACACGAGGTCCCAGGGCAGGAGATTGAAGTGGAGGTGTTCGACAAGGATCCAGATAAAGATGACTTTCTGGGCAGGTGAGACTCTGCCTGTTAGGATTCTAAAGCCCATGCTGGCCAGGCACGGTGGCTCATGCCTGTAATCCCAGCACTTTGGGAGGCTGAGGCGGGCGGATCACGAGGTCAGGAGATTGAGACCATCCTGGCTAACACGGTGAAACCCCATCTCTACTAAAAATACAAAAATTAGCCGGGTGTGGTGGCGGGCGCCTGTACTCCCAGCTACTCGGGAGGCTGAGGCAGGAGAATGGTGGGTGAACCCGGGAGGAGGAGTTTGCAGTGAGCCGAGATCGCGCCACTGCACTCCAGCCTGGGCGACAGAGCGAGACTCTGTCTCTAAAGAAAAAAAATAAAAATAAAAAAAATAAAGCCCATGCTACCGAGGTTCTGGAGGTAATTATACTCACTTTCTGGGCCTGGGAATCATGTATCATTTTCCTTCCTAACCTCCCCACCCCCAGCCCCTACCATGCACATACTCACGCATGCAGGTGAATATCTTCTGAGAGGAATAAGGGAGTCTGAGATCTGCCAGTCATTTCTGGGTGGGTGAGTGGAGGGCCACTGACATGCTGCTAATTACAACACTACCCTTTTCTTCCTTTCACTACCCTCTCCCCCGCCAACCCTCAGAATGAAGCTGGATGTAGGGAAGGTGTTACAGGCTAGCGTTCTGGATGATGTAAGTTGGGAGAAGAGGAAGGTGGGGGCTGATCTCACCCTTTGGGTAGATAGTAGTTGCTACATTGGTAGGGAAGTAGTTGAGCAGGTATCTGATCTCTACTACATCTCAATTTCTTCTAGTGGTTCCCTCTACAAGGTGGGCAAGGCCAAGTTCACTTGAGGCTAGAATGGCTGTCACTTTTGTCAGATGCAGAGAAACTGGAGCAGGTAAGCCACATGGGAAATAGGAAGCTGGCAGGGGAGAAATAGGTAGCTGGAAGTGTAGGGGACTTGGAACGGGGACCAAGATCTGACTACTACCACCCCTCCCCAGGTTCTACAGTGGAATTGGGGAGTCTCCTCTCGACCAGATCCCCCGTCAGCTGCCATCTTAGTTGTCTACCTGGATCGGGCCCAGGATCTTCCTGTGAGTTTGGCTGGGTGAACAGGAGCCCTGGATGTAACATTCCCCAACCCTGCCTTGCTGAGGATGCAAATGTCCCTGCCTGCTTTGCTCCAGAAGTATCAGCATGTAACATAAGGGTCCCAGGGAGGGGATCAGATCCATCTCAGGGAAAGGATTCTGATGCGATCCCACCTTCCTTCACCAAAACCAAAACCGAATCCCCCAAGATGGTGACCTCTGAATTGTACCCACCACAGCTGAAGAAGGGGAACAAGGAACCCAACCCTATGGTACAACTGTCAATTCAGGATGTGACTCAGGAGAGCAAGGTGAGGGCCAGGACATCATTGTGGGTGGCCAGGTAGGACAGGGAGAGGCCTATTCTTGGGATGGTTTCCCCTTTAGAATGCCTGTTACATGCAGGGGTTTTCTGCAGAAACAGGAATGGTGCTGTGGTATACACCCTTAATCCCTCCTCTACATCTCCAGGCTGTCTACAGTACCAACTGCCCAGTGTGGGAGGAAGCGTTCCGGTTCTTCCTACAAGACCCTCAAAGCCAGGAGCTCGATGTGCAAGTGAGATAATCACCTCTTCATCCCCTCCCGAATACCCTATTCTGACTTCCCAGATCTGTACCATTTCTCCTCTCCTTCTTTTCCCTTGATTCCTATTTTTAATCCATCTACCTAGACTCCCCACCTCCCTGAATATCTCTCCATTGTTCCCCAACTGTCGCTCCAGAATAATATTTTTTTTTTTTTTTGAGATGGAGTCTCGCTCTGTTGCCCAGGCTGGGGTGCAGTGGTGCGATCTCGGCTTACCGAAACCTCCACCACCTGGGTTCAAGCAATTCTCCTGCCTCAGCCTCCCGAGTAGCTGGGATTACAGGCAGGCACCACCATGCCCGGCTAATTTTTGTATTTTTAGTAGAGACAGGGTTTCACCATGCTGGCCAGGCTGGTCTCGAACTCCTGACCTCAGATGATCCGCCTGCCTCAGCCTCCCAAAGTGCTGGGATTATAGGCATGAGCCACTGCACCTGGCCTTAGTTCATAGGTACTTGTTCTTGAATGATTTTATATATGTGTGTCTTGTCTATGAAACTGGCCAGTAAGCATTGTGAAAGCAGATGCTATGTTTCGTGCTTTCTCCATGACCTTTAAAATGCTGAATGTTAACAATTTTATTGAGGCATAATTTACATACCATAGAATCACTCATTTTAGGTATACAAAAATTATTCTGAGGCTGGGCACGGTACCTAAAATGAGTGATTTTATGGTATGTAAATTATGCCTCAATAAAATTGCTAACATTCAGCATTTTTTTTTTTTGAGACAGTTTCGCTTTTGTTGCCCAGGCTGGAGTGCAATGGCGTGGTCTCGGCTCACCGCAACCTCCACCTCCTGGGTTCAAGTGATTCTCCTGCCTCAGCCTCCTGAGTAGCTGGGATTACAGGGATGTGCCACCATGCCTGGCTAATTTTTTTTGTATTTTTAGTAGAGACGGGGTTTCTCCATGTTGGTCAGGCTGGTCTCGAACTCCCAACCTCAGGTGATCCGCCCGTCTCAGCCTCCCAAAGTGCTTGGATTACAGGCGTGAGCCACCGTGCCCGGCCCAACATTCAGCATTTTAAAGGTCATAGAAAAAGCACAAAACATAGTATCTGCCTTCACAATACTCACTGGCCAGTTTCAGTTTCATAGACAAGACATACACATATAAAATCATTCAAGAACAAGTACATATGAACTAAGGCCAGGCATGGTGGCTCACACCTGTAATCCTAGCACTTTGGGAGGCCAAGGCAGGTGGATCACCTGAGGTCAGGAGTTTGAGAATAGCCTGGTCAGCATGGTGAAACCCTATCTCTACTAAAAATACAAAAATTAGCCAGGCATGGTGGTGCGTGCCTGTAATCCCAGCTACTTGGGAGGCTGAGGTAGAATTGCTTGAGTCCGGGAGGCGGAGGTTGCAGTGAGCCAAGATAGCGTCACTGCACTCCAGCCTGGGTGACAGAGTGAGACTCCGTCTCAAAAAAAAAAAAAAAATCAAAAATTTGCCAGGTGTGGTGGCATGTGTCAGTAATCCCAGCTACTTGGGAGGCTGAGGCAGAAGAATCATTTGAACCCGGGAGGTAGAAGTTGTAGTGAGCTGATTTCAAGCACTGCACTCTAGCCTGGGTGACAGAGCAAGACTCTGTCTCCAAAAAAAAAAAAAAAAAAAAAAGGAACAGAAGAATAGCAACAATTACATATGAATTTGTGGGAGTAAAATATCCATAGTATAGGACTAAGGAGGGTCAGAGAAAGGGATAGGCTGGAGTAACTAGGGAGATTTTGTGAAGCAAAAAATTGGATTTTAATTGAGTCTTGAAGGATGAGTAGGATTTAAATAGGCCGAGGGAAGAGAATGAGGACTTTCCAAATAGTGGGAGCAGAATGAACAAAGGTGGAAGGGGCCATGGATTGGGCAGAGGACTATAAAAGATGGCTCTGGCCGAGGTGGGCGGATTGCCTGAGCTCAGGAGTTTGAGACCAGCCTGGGGAACACCATGAAACCCTGTCTCTACTAAAAAATACAAAAATTTAGCTGGGCGTGACGGCATGCGCCTGTAGTCCCAGCTATTTGGGAGGCTGAGGTAGGAGAATGGGTTGAACCCAGGAGGTCGAAGTTGCAGTGAGCCAAGATGGCGCCATTGCACTCCAGCATGGGCGACAGAGTGAGACTCTGTCTCAAAAAAAAAAAAAAAAAAAAGATGGCCCTGAGTGGAGCAGGAGGTTTGTGATTGGTACAGAGAGGAATGAAGTTGGAGCCATGTTATCATTTTCACAGTATGCCTCCCTTTCCCCTAATCCCTTCACTACAGTCCTTCCTCCTGTGCCTGTAGGTGAAGGATGATTCCAGGGCCCTGACTTTAGGAGCACTGACGCTGCCTCTGGCCCGCCTGCTGACTGCCCCAGAACTCATCCTGGACCAGTGGTTCCAGCTCAGCAGCTCTGGTCCAAACTCCAGACTCTATATGAAACTAGTCATGAGGGTATGGAAATAGAGGAGGTACTGAGGTGTGGGGGAAAGGCCTGTTGATTCTTTGGTATTAAGAGTAAGGAAAGGGACCCCCCTAAGATTAAAAGAGCTAATACATGTAGAAGTGCCAAGCAGGCACAAAAACATATATTGATCTGACTGGTGGAAGGAATGGCTTATGAGTTGAGGGGGTGTGGAGGGAACCCTGTAGAGATGAGCCCAGCCAGGGCAGCACCTAGTTCCCCTGTCACAGCCCCTCCTCTACCCCACCCCACATGCTTTGCCTGCTGGTGACGAGCTGCACTTCTTTGATTCAGCATCATACTACCCTTCCTAGATCCTGTACTTGGATTCATCAGAAATATGCTTCCCCACGGTGCCTGGTTGTCCTGGTGCTTGGGACGTGGACAGTGAGAATCCCCAGAGAGGCAGCAGTGTGGATGCCCCACCTCGACCCTGTCACACGACTCCTGATAGCCAGTTTGGGACTGAGGTGAGTCTATATCTGGAAAGGACTAGGGTCTGTTTGCCCCGCTAAGTATGCAAAGCCTGTTTCAGGGCAGATTCTGACAGGTCTCTCTCCCTTTGCCATCTGGCACCCCCCCGTCCCTTTTGCAGCATGTGCTTCGGATCCATGTATTAGAGGCCCAGGACCTGATTGCCAAAGACCGTTTCTTGGGGGGACTGGTGAAGGGCAAGTCAGACCCCTATGTCAAACTAAAGTTGGCAGGACGAAGCTTCCGGAGCCATGTTGTTCGGGAAGATCTCAATCCCCGCTGGAATGAGGTTTTTGAGGTCAGAATTGAGTGGCTGTGACTCCTGGTTCTGCCCCATTTTTCCCCCAATCCCAAAAGTGGTCCAGAAACCTCTGAGGTTCAGTTGACTGGGGGGTCCAGTCATTTGCAGAGGAAAAGGAGAGAATCTTTCATCTGCACTATTTTCTCCCACTAGGTGATCGTCACATCAGTTCCAGGCCAAGAGCTAGAGGTTGAAGTCTTTGACAAGGACTTGGACAAGGATGATTTTCTGGGCAGGTGAGAGCATAGGAGTCTACGTGAAAAACAGGCTGGGGCTCTTTAGGCCATGGAGTCTGGCCTCCTTGGTTCTCACCATCTAGCTTTTGTCTTAATCTTTCTCTTCAACAGGTGTAAAGTGCGTCTCACCACAGTCTTAAACAGTGGCTTCCTTGATGAGGTGAGCATTGAATTAGAGTCAACAACCCCTCCTGATCCTGCCCAAGCTTCATTCTCAAAGTTCTCCTGTCTGCATATCCCCAAGTCTTCACCCTGCCTACTTCCACAGTGGCTGACCCTGGAGGATGTCCCATCTGGCCGCCTGCACTTGCGCCTGGAGCGTCTCACCCCCCGTCCCACTGCTGCTGAGTTAGAGGAGGTAGGGCAGGAGACTTGAGGAAGGAAGGGACCCAAGGTGGGGCAGGATGAGCTCTTCTCTTAGCGTTCAAGGCACATGCCAGAACCCAAGGTGTCAGTTACCACTCCCCAGCCCCGTGTGCCCCTCCACAGGTGCTGCAGGTGAATAGTTTGATCCAGACTCAGAAGAGTGCGGAGCTGGCTGCGGCCCTGCTATCCATCTATATGGAGCGGGCAGAGGACCTCCCGGTGAGATCCCGCTCCCCATGCCCCATAACTTCCTGGCCCTTCTTCCACCTTCCTCCGGTTTGGATGGTCCTGGAGTATTTAGAATAAGAAAAATGGCCCCTCTCTTTCTGAGGGTAGTGCAGGGGTGGGAAAAGTTGTCTGTTCAAGGCCACGGGTAGTGGCTGCCAAGTAATAATGGAGACATGGCTGCTGGCTGTGGATATAATTTGTGAGGGGGATCTGCCTAACTAGGTCCAAATTTAAGACTAACACAGTATTGTCTTTCTAGCTGCGAAAAGGCACCAAGCACCTCAGCCCTTATGCTACTCTCACTGTGGGAGATAGTTCTCATAAAACCAAGGTATGAAGAAATGCTGCAGGGTAAAAATGGGAGGGATAAGAGAAATAAGAGTATCAGCTACTGATCATAAGCCCTCATCTCCACCAGACTATTTCGCAAACTTCAGCCCCTGTCTGGGATGAGAGTGCCTCCTTTCTCATCAGGAAACCACACACTGAGAGCCTAGAGTTGCAGGTACTGTAAATTCATTCTTCAAATATTTAGCAGATTTCTGCCATGGCCAGGCAGGAAACCAGGCACAGAGCATTCAGAGATGAGATAAAAGGTTGACTTTTTTTTTTTTTTTTGAGACAGAGTCTTGCTCTGTCGCCCAGGCTGGAGTGCAGTGGTGCTATCTTGGCTCACTGCAAGCTCCGCCTCCTGGGTTCACACCATTCTCCTGCCTCAGCCTCCCAAGTAGCTGGGACTACAGGTGCCCGCCACCACACCTGGCTAATTTTTGCATTTTTTTTAGTAGAGATGGAGTTTCACCATGTTAGCCAGGCTGGTCTCGAACTCCTGACCTCAGGTGATCCGCCCACCTCGGCCTCCCAAAGTGCTGGAAATACAGGTGTGAGCCACCGCACCCGGCCAAAAGATTGACTTCTTATCTTTATGGAGCTCACACTCTGTTTTGGGAGAAAAATAACCAGATGAAACTTTCAGAATGATAACTGAGGTAAAAGGCACTGTGGGGAAGAAAGGAAGGGTTCAGGCTGGGGAAAGGCTGGAGATAGAAAGGCATCCTTAGATGACCCCTGAGCTTGAGGGTAGATTTTTTTTTTTTTTTTTTGAGACTAGAGTCTCACTCTTATTGCCCAGGCTAGAGTGCAGTGGCGCAATCTCAGCTCACTGCAACCTCAGCCTTCCAGGTTCAAGCGATTCTCCTGCCTCAGCCTCCCGCGTACCTGGGATTACATGCGCGTGCCACCATACCCCACCAATTTTTAGTAGAGACGGGGTTTTGCCATGTTGGCCAGGCTGGTCTTGAACTCCTGACCTCAGGTTATCCATCCACCTCAGCCTCCCAAAGTGCTGGGATTATAGGTGTGAGCCACTGCACCCGGCCTTTTTTTTTTTAGACAGGGTCTTACTCTGTCGCCCAGGCTGGAGTGCCGTGGTGCAATCAGGGCTCACTACAGCCTCAACTCTTGGGCTCTAGCAATCCTCCTACCTCAGCTGGGATAACAGGTGCACACTACCACACCTAGCTAATTTTTGTATTTTTTTGTGGAGATGAGGTTTTACCATGTCATCCAGGCTGGTCTCGAACTCCTGGACTCAAGCATTCTGCCCGCCTCGGCATCCCAAAGTGCTGGGATTACAAGCGTGAGAACCGCGCCCCAGCCTAAGGGTAGATTTACTGGTTCTTTCGGACCACGAAAAGAAGAGCAGGAAAACTCTTTAGGCTGAGAAAAAAAATGGAGGAGAGAGAAGGCATATTTATTATAGATCAGAGAGGCAGGCAGAGCAAGATCATAGGAGCTGTTGAATAGTATGCTAGAAATATGGATTTTATCCTAAGGCTTAGGGAAGCCTTTGTTTATTTTATTTATTATTTTTTTGAAACAGAGTCTTGCTCTGTTGCCCAGGCTGGAGTACAGTGATACGATCTCAGCTCACTGCAACCTCCCTCCTGGGTTCAATCGATTCTCCTGCCTCAGCCTCCCGAGTAGATGGGATTATAGGTGCCCGCCACCACGCCCAGCTAATTTTTGTATTTTTAAGAGAGACGGGGTTTCACCATGTTGGTCAGGCTGGTCTCTAAGTCCTGACCTCAAGTGATCCACTGCCTCGGCCTCCCAAAGTGCTGGAATTACAGGCGTCAGCCACCACACCCAGTCAGGGAAGCCTTTAATGAGAGGTCACATATCCAGATTTGCATTTTGGGAAGATCATAGGGATAAGAGGGTAAAGAATGGACTGGAGAGGGACAACACTGGGGGCAGGGAGATCAGTGAGGAGACTGTTAGAGCAGTCAAAGCAGGAAACGACTAAAGCCTGATGGGATTTGAAGATTGCTGTGATATGGAGCAGGTGGAGGAGCAAGGAACAGCCTAGACACTAACTCTGGGGTTTTTGGCACAGGGTGGCTAGATGGATAAGGGTGCCGTTGCTGACTTAGGGAGTGCACAGAGAGGGAATTTTGGAATTTGAGATCTCTGCAGGACATCCAAGAGAAGACATGCAGAAAACAAATCTATTGTCCATGAGGTGTTCCTCCCTTGCCCTCTTATTGGAACATCATGAGCAAGCAACCACTCATAAGTGTAGTCATGGGTGAGATCTCTTAGGCAGCGTGGAGAGTGAGGAGACAAAAGATGGCCATGAGCCATCTTACAGGTGTGAACCACTGTGCCCGGCTGAAATTAATAGAATTTAAAATAATGTAACTTAATGCTAGCAGAGTAGAAAGGAGGTACAAATGAGCTCAGTTCTTCATCTTTTATAGCAGGGAATCAATAGATACAAGCATATTAGAATTCCGTGAGAACAAAGAAAACAGGAGGGTTTTAAAGGTTGTTACATTTGGAATATGGCAATAGGAGTAGGATGGGCAAGAAACATTTACTTTTAGTTCTGTTTTTACTGTTGTTTTCTGTATGCTGTAGGTATTACTGGTATAATTTCTGAAAGCTAGGTTGGGCGCGGTGGCTCACGCCTGTAATCCCAGCACTTTGGGAGGCCAAGGCGGGCAGATCACAAGGTCAGGAGATCGAGACCATCCTGGCTAACACGGTGAAACCCTGTCTCTATTAAAAATACAAAAAATTAGCCGGGTGTGGTGGCGGACACCTGTAGTCCCAGCTACTTGGGAGGCTGAGGCAGGAGAATGGCGTGAACCCAGGAGGCGGAGCTTGCAGTGAGCTGAGATTGCGCCACTGCACTCCAGCCTGGGCAACAGAGCGAGACTCCGTCTCAAAAATAATAATAATAATTTCTGAAAGTTTATGAGGTAAAGATGGTCCACTCTACTCTGGTTAAGAAAGGAAGGACAGGCCAGACACAGTGGCTCACACCTGTAATCCTAGCAATTTGGGAGGCTGAGGTGGGTGGATCACCTGAGGTTGGGAGTTTGAGACCAGCCTGACCAACATGGAGAAACCCCAGCTCTACTAAAAATACAAAATTGGCTGGGCGTGGTGGCAGGTGCCTGTAATCCCAGCTACTCAGGAGGTTGAGGCAGGAGAATCGCTTGAACCTGGGAGGCGGAGGTTGCGGTGAGACCAGATCACGCCATGCACTCCAGCCTGGGCAACAAGAGCGAAACTCTGTCTCAAAAAAAAAAAAAAGGAAGGAAGGACAGAGGGAGGGACTAGCAACTGTTACCATGGCTTCCCTGCCTTTCTCAAAGGGAAATCTCACCAAACCACCTATGAGTCCAAGCGTTTGGACCTTTAAAACACCAGGATTAACTCATTTGTTGATGCATTCGCCTCTTGATCATGGTCCTGTTGCCCCACAGGTTCGGGGTGAGGGCACTGGCGTGCTGGGCTCATTATCCCTGCCCCTCTCAGAGCTCCTCGTGGCTGACCAGCTCTGCTTGGACCGCTGGTTTACACTCAGCAGTGGTCAGGGGCAGGTGCTAC
The DNA here is from genome assembly GCF_000001405.40 of Homo sapiens. Taxonomy (NCBI): domain Eukaryota; kingdom Metazoa; phylum Chordata; class Mammalia; order Primates; family Hominidae; genus Homo; species Homo sapiens. The sequence continues at coordinate 56,142,409 of NC_000012.12, forward strand.
TGAGAGCACAGCTAGGGGTGAGTGACAGGAGATGGTGGGCAGGATGAGAGGGAGGAGGGGAGGGCCTTCACAGGTGAGGGACACCCAGGAGGGTGGGAACAGAGGGCCGTGTCCTTAGAGTGAGGGAACTGAGAGAACTCTGCCCAGCTCACAGCTTTCTTGCCCCTAGATCCTGGTGTCCCAGCACTCGGGAGTGGAAGCTCATAGCCACAGCTACAGCCACAGCTCCTCATCGCTGAGTGAAGAACCAGAGCTCTCGGGGGGACCCCCTCACATCACCTCCTCAGCCCCAGAGCTCCGGCAGCGCCTAACACATGTTGACAGGTAAAGGGCTGGGACAGGAAGGTGGGACGCAGTCAGAAATAAAAAGTATTACAGGTTCACTAGGCTCTAGCTTTCCCCAGACCTACTGATATTTCTCCACAGTCCCCTTGAGGCTCCAGCCGGGCCTCTGGGCCAGGTGAAACTGACTCTGTGGTACTACAGTGAAGAACGAAAGCTGGTCAGCATTGTTCATGGTTGCCGGTGAGACCCCATCCCTCCTGTCCTCCAGATCGCCTCCATCCCTTCCCTCAGGTTACCATATCACCTACATCCTCCTGTTGTAGGTCCCTTCGACAGAATGGACGTGATCCTCCTGATCCCTATGTGTCACTGTTGCTACTGCCAGACAAGAACCGAGGCACCAAGAGGAGGACCTCACAGAAGAAGAGGACCCTGAGTCCTGAATTTAATGAACGGTCAGTCAGTGGGCATTCAGGTGGAGAGATGGCAGGCTTGGAAAGGACTCCTGGCCCCTAACATCCAGTCCTACCCCAGGTTTGAGTGGGAACTCCCCCTGGATGAGGCCCAGAGACGAAAGCTGGATGTCTCTGTCAAGTCTAATTCCTCCTTCATGTCAAGAGAGCGTGAGCTGCTGGGGAAGGTAAGAGGGCAGGATGGCAGGGCAGAGGTGAGGGCTGGAAGCTGCTGGCACCAAGGTTATAGTCCCTGTGAGGAAGGAAGTACCCCACGTGATCCTTTAGAGGTGACTCACCTCTGCAATGGTTTGGGACGAGTATGTGATGAAGGAACATGGTCTTTGGAGATTTCAAAACAGCATCATCAGAATGAGATCCTGTCTCAAAAAATAAAAGAAATAACATCTTTCCCCTATCATCTTCCAACACAGGTGCAGCTGGACCTAGCTGAGACAGACCTTTCCCAGGGTGTAGCCCGGTGGTGAGTGTCTGCGTGGGTGGGGGATGGTCTGGATATTTCAGTGGGAGAAATTCCAATCACAGGAAAGGAAAAAAAGATACAATCTGAGCAGAGAACCATTGATTCTATCAAGTAGAGAAGCCCTTGGATCGTGTCTCATTTATAAATATGATGACACAAGAGTCATCTTTCTACATGAGCCCTCTTTTCACAGGTATGACCTGATGGACAACAAGGACAAGGGCAGCTCCTAGGAGCTGGCGAGTCCCAGCCTGACTGCTCTGTCTTCCTGCCTTCGTCTCGCTCCATCACCGCCTCAATGTGATGAGCCTAAAGCTAGGGTCCAAGGGCAGAGCCTGTGCCCTTCAGCCCTTTCACCTAACAGGCCCATATTCGGGCCTTTGCCTGACCAAAGAGAAGAACCGTATGTTCCCTTTACTGCACGGCCTTTATCCTTCTGGGCCCCTGGGGCGGGGACCTGAGCTGGCTGTTTCCTGCTTTGCCTGCACATTGTTCTCCCTTCCTCCCAACTCCTCAGGGCCTTCTGTATCTGTGCCTGGCCAGTGGCAGCACTAGCAGTGGTATTAGCTTATGCCAAATACAGCTTTGGAAGGATCTTTTTTTCTTTAACTAGATGGTCACCTTCTTCCCTACCACACATGGGTGGGAAGGTGGACAGGCTAACCTCTCCAGCTGTGAGCCTCTTAGACTACTGCATGTAGCAAATGTTCAGCAGCTCAGGCCCCCATGTCCAGTTCTGTCCCCACTGTCCTCAACCCTGTCCTGAAAATTCTACTGCTTTGATGGCTGGGGCCAGTCTCTTGTCACTTTGGAAACTGAGGACGCGTGGATTCTACTCAAGCCTCCAAGTAGTGGCATATCAGTCTTGGAGCTCCTAGCTGGTGATACGGAGAGGGCTTTGGAGGACTTGGGACAGCAGGGCCAATTTTTTTGCCCAAGTGCCTAGGCTGCTAACTCACTGACTAGAACTTAATCTGGTACTTTACAGTTTTGCACCAACTCTGCCAAGCCACTGGATCTTACATTAAACATCATACTCAAACCAGCTGTGGTTCTTTTCCTTAAGGATAGGGAATCAATCTACCCATCTGATGTTTATTCCTACTGTCAAAAGCCTTTATCCAATTCGTGAATCATGTCAGTTTAATTAATGGTCAAAGCCTACTAAGGTTGCAGCCACCAAGAATGTTGAGGATGGTCAAGAGACCTGTGTAAAGTAGCTGCTGTTGCATTTCAGGTGAGACTCATTTCCAGTCACAGTGATGAACTCTGTTACCCATCCAACTTGTCTGCTGACCACTATAGGCTTTCCAGGGAAGGGATTCCTAAACCTGGTAAACCTGGGAGCTCTGTGCCACTGCACAGGCTCCTGGTGTCTCTGTGCCACTGCACAGGCTCCTGGTGTCTCTGTGCTGTCAGGGCATGCTCAGCTACATTCAAAAGGGCTTCAGGCCCATCTAGCAGGAGCTGAGAAATACACCCATTTCGATCATCTGTACACCTTGAACTCTGCTCCTTGCAAGAACTTTCCTGGAATGCAAGCTAGAGAAGCTGTGCTCCATCTGTTCTGCCAATTGAAAGGAGAGAGATGGACAGAGTGAACTACTGAAAACAGGGTCACTGGCATAGGAACTTGGGGATTTCATAACTGACTCAGAGAGACTTTACTATCGTCTCTTGAAAAATATAAACCTTCCTTAGGATGCTGCCCACTGGGAGAAGAGGGAAGACTCAGGGGAAAGGATTCCTGCTCAGTTCCACAAGTTGTCGAAATTTGCTTAATTAGCAAAAACTGAATTTAAACTCCACACTGTCCACAAACTCAGCCTCTATGTTCTCAGTGACCCTTTTGTATTCACTGCTGGTTCCTCTACCATCTCCACTTCCTTCCCATCAAAGTAAGAGGACCCCAAGCCTTGGCTTTGAGCAAGGAGGTCTTATTTATTTGCTCCATTCCCCAACTCCGGCTCTAAAATCACAGGGGGAAAAACTCCAAAAACAGAGCAAAGAAAATTTTTAAGGTCTCTTGTCAAATTTCTAGATACTGGCCACGCGCAGTGGCTCACACCTGTAATCCCAGCACTTTGGAAGGCCAAGGCGGGCGGATCACGAGGTCAGGAGGTCGAGACCATCCTGGCTAACACGGTGAAACCTCATCTCTACTAAAAATACAAAAAAATTAGCTGGGCGTGGTGGTGGACGCCTGTAGTCCCAGCTACTCGGGAGGCTGAAACAGGAGAGTCGCTTGAACCAGGGAGGCGGAGGTTGCAGTGAGCCAAGATGGCGCCACTGCACTCTAGCCTGGGCGACACAGCGAAACTCCATCTCAAAAAAAAAAAATTCTATGGCGTGAACCCGGGAGGCGGAGCTTGCAGTGAGCCGAGATCCCGCCACTGCACTCCAGCCTGGGCGACAGAGCGAGACTCCGTCTCAAAAAAAAAAAAAAAAAAAAAAAAAAAAAAAAAAATTCTAGATACTAGCTGGGCATGCAGCCCAAGGCCTGCTGTTCTAGCTGGCTTCAGATAATACAACCTAGGATTTTGTAATGTGTGATTTTAAGAAAACATTCTTGAGCTAGTTTATCACTTCAAGTAATTACATTTCCAGAAAACTAGAGGACATGGCACAAATTCTTCCATCCCAGAAGGGTCCCTACTCTTTCCTAACCTTTTTGAGTTCAATATATATAAGGGAAGAGGTACTACTATACATATTAAATACAAGATGATGGCTAAGTGTGATGGCTCATGCCTGTAATGGCAACACTTGGGGAGGCCGGCCGAGGCAGAGGATCCAGAGAAAACTACCACCCTTAAAAAAAATTAGCCAGGCTTGGTGGTATGCACCTGTAGTCCCAGCTACTCAGGAGTCTGAGGCAGGAGGATCGCTTGAGCCCAGGAGTTCAATGTAATAGTGAGCTAGGCTCGTGCCACCACTCTACTCCGCCCTGGGTGACAGAGTGAGACCTTGTCTCCAAAAAAAAGAAAAAAAAAAAAAAAGATAACAACCAGAAAAAAGAAAACAACTAAATACATACAAGATGAGACACAAAACACAATTGCACATTTATATATGAAGATGGAACACATTTTAAGGGTCATTAGTCACATGAATTAAATATACTTCTGTCATTTCTCAAACAACTGACTTTTAACACACATACACGATGCACACCTTTTCTGGAGAAAGATATGACTGCATATGGTTACGCTATCACTGATTGCAAATACTATCCTCTTGGAATGTGTTTTTATTGGACCAAACAACGTGCTGTAGTTAACTAGGTGTGGCAACACAGTTGTCTACCCAACAGCCATTTCCCCTCTTCCCTACATACAGAATCCCAGAATGTCCCTGGTGGCAGTATGCCAGCCCCAGGAAATTAATCAAGATCCCCTTTGCTGAATAATCACTTTCCCTTGCAAGTTGAAATGACCCTGACCCAGTTTTGGTCAACAAGATGTTAGAGGAAGTCAGGGACTGTAGCATCTAAAGAAGAAAGCCCTCATTGCCCCTTCCTTTCTGCGTAGGTTATTGGTATGAGGATATTATGTCTGGAACTGCAGCAGCCTTTTTTTTTTTTTTCTTTTTTTTTCTTTTTGAGACAGAGTTTTGCTCTTCTCACGCAGGCTGGAATGCAATGGCGTGGTCTCGGCTTGCAGCAACCTCTGCCTTCGGGGTTCAAACAATTTTCCTGCCTCAGCCTCCTGAGTACCTGGGATTACAGGCACCTGCCACCATACCCAGCTAATTTTGTATTTTGAGACAGGGTTTTCATCACGTTGGCCAGGCTGGTCTCAAACTCCTGACCTCAAATAAGCTGCCCGCCTCGGCCTCCCAAAGTGCTGGGATTACAGGCATGAGCCACCGTGTCAGGCCAGCAGCAGCTTTTTTTTTTTTTTTTTTTTTGAGACAGAGTCTCATTCTGTTGCCCAGGCTGGAGTGCAATGGTGTGATCTCGGCTCACTGCAACCTCCACCTTGCGGATGCAAGTGATTCTCCTGCCTCAGCCTCCTGAGTAGCTGGGACTACAAATGCCCGCCACCACGCTGGGCTAATTTTTGTATTTTCAGTAGAGACGGCGTTTCACCATGTTGTCCAGGCTGGTCTCGAACTGACCTCAGGTGATCCGTCTGCCTCGGCGTCCCAAAGTGCTGGGATTACAGACATGAGCCATTGCACCTGGCCATGAAGATATTTATATACATCTCACATTATTTCCTTAAGTGGGGCCAGGCGCCGTGGTTTACACCTGTAATTCCAACACTATAATCCCAGCACTTTGGGAGGCAGAGGCCAGCGGATCACGAGGTCAGGAGTTCAAGACCAGCCTGGCCAACATAATGAAACCCCATCTGTACTAAAAAGACAAAAATTGCTGGGCGCGGTGGCTCACACCTGTAATCCCAGCACTTTGGGAGGCCGAGGCGGGCAGATCACGAGGTCAGGAGATTGAGACCATCCTGGCTAACACAGTGAAACCCTGTCTCTACTAAAAAATACAAAAAATTAGCTGGGTGTGGGACGCCTGTAGTCCCAGCTTCTTGGGAGGCTGAGGCAGGAGAATGGCATGAACCCGGGAGGCGGAGCTTGCAGTGAGCCAAGATTGCACCACTGCACTCCAGCCTGGGTGACAAGAGTGAGACTCCATCTCAAAAAACAAACAAACAAACAAAAACTATAACAACTAAATATAAGAAATAGCCAGGTACGGTGGCGCACGAATTTGAGGTTGCAGTGAGCTATGATTGTGCCACTGCATCCAGAGCCTGGGCAACAGAGCAAGCCCCTGTTTCTCGGGGGAGAGGAAAGGAAATGTATACAGAGGCCGGGCGCAATGGCTCATGCCTATAATTCCAGCACTTTGGGAGGCCAAGGCGGTGGCTCACCTGTCAGGAGTTCGAGACCACCCTGGCCAACATGGCAAAACCTTATCCCTACTAACAATACAAAAAAAAAATTAGCCAGGTATGGTGGCACACACCTGTAATCCCAGCTACTTGGGAGGCTGAGGCATGAGAATCACTTGAAACCAGGAGGTGGAGGTTGCAGTGAGCTAAGATGCACCACTGCACTCCAGCCTGGGCCACAGAGCAAGACTCCTGTCTCCCAAACAAAACACAAAAAGGAACGTATACTGAATAAACATGCTTGAAGAGAGCAGCTAAAGGGCCCTAATACAATCTCCTTCTGCTTCTCTTCCTCTCAACCTTTTCCACTGTGCTCTCTGGGAGCCTATTTCCACATAACACTTCCCACCCATTCCACCTTTCTTTTTTTTTTTTTTTTTTTTTTTAGGGGGGTACAGAATTTCACTCTTGTTGCCCAGGCTGGAGTGTAATGGCATGATCTCGGCTCACCACAACCTCCACCTCCCGGGTTCAAGCGAATCTCCTGCTTCAGCCTTCCTGAGTAGCTGGGATTACAGGCATACACCACCACGTCTGGCTAATTTTGTATTTTTAGTAGAGACAGGGTTTCTCCATGTTGGTCAGGCTTGTCTCGAACTCCCGACCTCAGATGATCCGCCCACCTCGGCCTCCCAAAGTGCTGGGATTACAGGCATGAGCCACGGCGCTCAGCCTTTCTCTTTTTTTTTTTAGATGGAGTCACCCTCTGTTGCCCATGCTGGAGTGCAGTGGCACAATCTCAGCTCACTGCAACCTCCGCCTCCTGGGATTCTCATGCCTCAGGCTCCCAAGTAGCTGAGATTGCAGGCGCCTGCCACCACGCCTGGCTAATTTTTGTATTTTTAGTAGAGACAGGGTTTCACCATGTTGGCCACGCTGGTCTCAAACTCCTGACCTCAGGTGATCCACCTTCCTTGGCCTCCCAAAGTGTTGGGATTACAGGAATGAGCCACTACGCCCGGCCTGCTTTTTTTAAAAAATTTTTTAAGGACAGGGTCTCACTCTGTTGCCCAGGCTGGAGGGCAGTGGCACAAACATGGCTCACTGCAGCCTTGACCTACTGGGCCCAAGTGATCCTCCCACCTCAGGCTCCTGAATAGCTGGGATCAGAGGCACACGTGCCACCATGCCTGGCTAATTTTTGAATTTTTTTTGTAGAGTTGGGGTCTCTTGCTATGTTGCCATGGCTGGTCTTGAACTTCTGGGCTCAAGTGATCTTCCCACTTTGGACTCCCAAAGTGCTGGGAATGTTCATGTCTGATTAACCCCAGTTTTGGGAATGCCTCTAAGATTTCTATTTTATCTACTGTTCTTTGTGTAAGAGCATGTACTTACCATAATTTCTCCTTAGATCAAAACAATCTTGATCATAAAGCCTGGCTTACTGAGTATTCTTGCCTTTCCCTGCAGGGTAGACTTCAATTGTCCTAGAGGTTCCTTCCCTGTGGTAAGTCCTGGGGTCAGGACTTACTCCAGGGGATGATGTCCTGGGGATCCACCATCGTGTCTCACCACTACCCAAGACACAGACATGGCTTCTGTTCATAAATTCCTATTAAATATTTCTAAGAAACTGGATTTGTCAGCCTCCTTCCTCAACCTCTTAGCTTCCTTGGACTTTGGGGGTAAGTGTGCATAGACCTGTGCACTGCGGAACAGCTCCCCAATGGCTTTCCATATTCTTTCAATCTAATGGGCCACTCTGGACAGCTGAACATGTGGAGGTTCCTGGAGGACGGCATGCCTAGGGAAGGCAAGCAAGCTTCGGACTCACCTCCCTCCCTGCCCACAAAATGCAATCTCTAAGAATATACAGGCCAGTCAAGGTAGGTCATACCTATAATCCCAGCACTTTGGGAGGCACCTGAGATGGGAAGATCACTTGAGCTCAGTTTGAGACTGGGTAACACAGTGAGACCTCATTTCTAGAAAAAAACAAAACCAAAGAAAAATAAGAATATACAAATCACATGCTAAGCAGGGAGAGGAGAGAGGAGAGACAGGCATTTCTCACAGATAATTCACATATATAATCACCCTATGCCCAGTTAAGACCATGTTTCGTCCAGTTCCTGTTATTTATGATCAAGACAGGGATGGCACAGAAAATGAAGGATAGCCTTCCCATCTCTGCAAGGGTCTTAACGTTTTTTCCCTGTACTACTTCTCTATAGAAAATGCTAGAAAGTCAGATGATGCCATAACCACTCATACTTGGCAAAATGCCAAAAATGGGAAAAGGAAAGAAAAAAAATTACAAGAGCCATATTTTGAAATCAATGTCTGCAAAAGTAATGAAAGCCACACAAAGGCATCTATAATGTGGCCCTTTCCCAGTCTTATAACCACTTAAAAATGTATTCCTTCTTCCTCTCCGTCTCTTCACAACACCTATTGATCCTTACTTCATTGATGTAAAATGGGGAAAATATCAGCGACCTCATACCTTGGGAAGATTAAAGGAAAGTTATTTAACAAAAACTTATACAGCACTTATGCTGTGCCAGGCCTATTCTATTTTACACTTTTTTTTTTTTTTGAGTTGGAGTCTCACTCTGTCACCCAGGCTGGAGTGCAGTGGTGCGATCTCGGCTCACTGCAACCTGCCGGGTTCAAGTGATTCTCCGACCTCAGCCTCCCAAGTAACTGAGATTACAGGCGCCCGCCACCAGGCCCAGCTATTTTTTTTTTTTTTTTTTTTTTTTTTTTTTTTTGTATTTTTAGTAGTGACAGGGTTTCACCATGTTGGCCAGGCTGGTCTCGAACTCCTGACCTCAGGTGACCCACCTGCCTCGCCTCCCAAAGTGCTGGGAGGTGTGAGCCACCAAGCCCGGCCCTATTTTACCAATAATAACACTTCGAATCCTCCGAAGAGCCCTATGAGGTAGGTACCATTATCATTATTTTACAGATGAGGAACTGAGGCCCAGGAGAGATAACTAAACCTGCTGAGGGTCACTAACTAGGACCTGGTAGAACCAGGATTTAAATCTGAGTAGGCTGTCTGAACCCCATCCACTTGAGCACCCTCTGAGATAATTTAGCCCCTTCACCGGTACGAGATCTATGGCGGCCTCCAGAAATGGTTGCTAACTTACTATTATCGTTATTTCTGTCGTACAATTCATTTCTACCTTTCCAATAAACTTTCCCCAACCAGTGAACCTCACTTACTGCCCATAAAGTTCACCTGTGCCTCACCACCCTGCCATCGCCCGAGTTTTCTGCTCTGATCTAATCCTCACACGCCTGTGCAGCACCAGCTTCCAACACCAGGTGCACCGCCAGGGTATTTACTGATCCAGTGAGTGAAGGTGGGCCCGGCCGGGCTGGTTCCCATCCTCTGATCAACGCCTAGGGGAACCAGTGAACTCCAATGCTGACCATAAGAGTTTCAGAAAGTAGGGCTGGAAAGCCCAGCCCTCCGCTCAGAGACCTGTGAAGATCGAGGAGGATGGCGCATATGCTGCCGCAGGATGGAAACCTCGATCAGAGAAGGCTGGGGCAGGTGACTGGGCTTAATTGCAAATTTTAACATTTACTTCAGCAACCAGCTCATTAAAAACAAACTACTCTGAGGCCTCTTTTTTTTCTACCAAACCGCGAGAGGAAGCAAAAGAGAGTGCAGCGGTTCTCCCCGGGGCCGTTAAGTGCTTCCAGCTATCTGACCTCCACGCTGCCTGCTGCAGCCTCAATCTTTCCCCAGGTTCTGAGTTCTTTCAGCAGTAGGTCCAGGAAAACAGCCGCCCCGCCCCCTCCACCTCCCGAGACTAGGAGCCCGCCAGGGTTAAGTAGGAGGGATACCCTAGGGGCCCCGCAGGGTTTTTAGGGTTGGGGTGGATTGGAAATTGTTCATTGCCTTTCAGTTCCGGGACATAAAGCGCGCTGGAAGGACACTGAGTCACCAACCACCGCCATGGGCCGGAAGCCACCGCCCTCGCGTCAACTGCAATCTAGAGCGCGGCGCATCCCGTGAGCCCGCGGGGAACTACGACTCCCGGCATGCTCCGCGGCCACCGGAATTAACCCTTCAGGGCTGGGGGCCGCGCTATGCCCCGCCCCCTCCCCAGCCCCAGACACGGACCCCGCAGGGTGAGTTTTTGGGGGCTGAGGAGGGCCATTTTCTTTAAGATTTAGTGGGGGTGCGTGAGTGTGTGTGTGTGTGTGTGTGTCGTGTGTGTGTGATGTATTTTGTAAAAATGGGACAATTTGCAGTCATGAGATTCAGACGCTGTTTTGCGAATGGGAGACCCAGCATCAACCCCGGGGCCTAAGTGGAATCACTGCTATCTTCCTCAGAATGCTACCTAAATCCTTTCCTAATTTACCCCAGAACAAAAGTAGCCTGCAATCCCTCCCCACTCCCAAACGCCCCCCAACTTGGACTCTCTCCCAGCGCCCCTGGCAAGGTTTGTGACCTGGCCCCTGAGTCAGGATTTTTATTATACCCCTGGTTGTGGGGTGAATACTCATGGAGCCATAGGAGCGCCCACATCCTCTTGGATTAGGGAATTTAAGCCGTCTCCCAGAGCCTGCCCTTCTCCTCAGGTGCCACCAAAGGGTCCCCACAGGTTCAGCAAGCACCCTACCTTTTGTTTGTCTTGAATGACCGTGGGCTTGTGGAAGGTTTCTTCCATGGAAGAATGGGTAGCAGATGTTAAACCTGATCTTTGCCCCCACTCCTGCCCCTAAAACAACACTGGGCACAGGAGACAATGAGGGATGTCATACTCCTGTTTTTATGACTATTCTTCCTTTATACTGTGAATAGTTCCAGTTCTTGGCTGGGTGGGGGCTCAGGAACTACAAGTATTAGGGATCATTAGACTCTAAGGTTAACTACCCCTGCTCTTTACAAAGCCATGGTCAGAAGGGAGTGGAGGGGCTGGGCAGATGGGCTTCTTGTTTTTGTCATTGCTCCCAGACCACACTTTAACTTGTTCCAGTTCACACAAGCCTCCCTGGCTGCTACCCCTCACCCCACCCTTCAAGAAGACTAAAGCTGCTGGATCACCTGCTTTGCCTCACCACCCCCATCTCAGTGCCACTGGCAAGCATCCTATCCTCACCCTGGAGGTTAACTACCTCATTCTGGGCAGTCTCTGGCTTCCTCCCCTACCCCTAAAGGAAACATTGTTCTTTTCTGGTCAGCCTTTGGGGATAAGGGGACAGAGGGAAGAAGACCTTGGGGCAGGAGTCCTGAACCATAGGAGGCCAGGGGAGTGAGGGCAGGCGGTTATATCTCTCCTCTACCTCATCTTTGCCACAGCCAACTGGCTCCCTGCCCCTGCCCCCGCCCCTTGACATCCCAGACTCCCTGGCTATTTAAACAGAGATGGGTGCCCCCATCCGCACACTGTCCTTTGGCCACCGGACATCATGCCTCCCAAGAAGGATGTTCCCGTGAAGAAACCAGCAGGGCCCTCCATCTCCAAACCTGCTGCTAAGCCAGCAGCAGCAGGGGCTCCTCCAGCCAAGACCAAAGCTGAGCCAGCTGTCCCCCAGGCCCCTCAGAAAACCCAGGAGCCTCCAGTCGATCTCTCCAAAGTGGTGGTGAGTCTCTGGAAAGTGAAGATAGAATTGGAGGGGGTGGTTTGAGGGTGGGATACAGCCTAGGGGATTAGGGGGTATCTAGAAGGTAGGGAATCAGTGAGCCCTGGAATGAGATTGGGGCTTTCCCTTAGTCCCCCATTTGGAAGCATCCAGTCTTATGACTCTGCTGTTGTCTTTGCTGTTCTCTCCCTCTAACCTATAATCATGTGTGTACAGCACATACACACTCACTTACCCCCTGCTGGAGGCAGGGACTCTTAGATGGGGAACATCTGGGTTCTGAGAACAGTTTCAAGGTGAAGGGAAGAGAGCTGTTGCCTGCCCCTGGCTGGTGGTTCAATTCAAAAGGCCTGCAGCTCTGAACTCCAGGAGGGGAGGCTGAAGAGGACAGACTTGTTAGACAATCACAGCTGGGGGCCAGGGGTAAATTTAGCCTTTGTTCAGCCCCCAGTTATGTGTGGGATGCAGGGCTCAGGGCAATGGAGGGAGGGAAACAGGTGGCATGGGATTAACCCTGTTCCCAGGAAACCCTCCCCACTGTAATTCCTCTTCTTGGGATTCTCCCAAGGCCCAGAGCTGGGAATGGGACTGAGGTGGCTGGGCTTCCAGCCTGGTCCCTTTGGGCCCCTCCTCAGAAGTGGCTGCCAGTTGGTTGGGAGGAGTGCGGGAGAGGGATTGAATAAACTCTCATCTCTCCCCACCTGCTTTTTTCTTCCACAGATCGAGTTTAACAAGGACCAGCTGGAGGGTGAGGAGAAGCTCATCTAAGGCCACTGTCCCATCCCCAATCCCCTGGTCAGATTCTCTTTCTATTCCCCTAACCCCAGTCCTGACCTTGAAACCTCCCATACTAGTCCTCTTTTCCTCCCTTGTTCTGTTCACATAGTTTCTGAAATTCCCTTCTGTCTGGGGGTGATGGGAACCCTAGTCAGTGTCTACACTGACCCTTCCTTATACTTTAGAGTTCAAGGAGGCCTTCGAGCTGTTTGACCGAGTGGGGGATGGCAAGATCCTGTACAGCCAGTGTGGGGACGTGATGAGGGCCCTGGGCCAGAACCCCACCAACGCCGAGGTGCTCAAGGTCCTGGGGAACCCCAAGAGTGATGGTGAGGGGACCCTTGGGAACAATTTGGGTTTTTAGTTTTCAAAAGTTGGATGTTGGTAACAAAAAGAATGAGGTGGATCTCAGGACTTCAAAAACTGTCAAACACAGAAGCAGGAAAATATCCTAAATGCTGAATAGGATGAAAGCATTGTGGTAGGGTTGGGAGCTGGGTCCTATGTAATACTACAATGACCTCTCCTTTACCTCTCTCCAACCTCCAGAGCTGAAGTCGCGGCGTGTGGACTTTGAGACTTTCCTGCCCATGCTCCAGGCAGTGGCCAAGAACCGAGGCCAAGGCACATATGAGGACTACTTGGAGGGGTTTCGTGTGTTTGACAAGGAGGGGAACGGCAAAGTCATGGGAGCAGAGCTCAGACATGTTCTCACCACCCTTGGTGAGGCAGGCAAGGGGGACCAGAACTCCTTTAGAGTGGAGAGGGGGATGGGGTGGGCCAGAAAGACTGGACAGATAAGCAGAGCTAGCAGGAGGCTTACTGTCCTGCAGGTTGTCGGCAGGAGACTGAGAAGGTCAGAGCTATGGGGGTAGAATCTGAAGGACTCGCTCTTCCAGAGGCTAAAGTGCCATCCGGAGGGCAGAGGAAAAGGGATGAGGCGGGAAACCTGAATTTTCATTTTGGAAGAGACGTGTGGGTTGTGTGTTCTGGTACAAGTCTCGTAACCTCCTGGGATTGTTTCCTTGTGGGTCAATACTTTCAGCAGTACTAGGGTGAAATGGAAAGCAAGAGGCATCCATGACCAGGGGAGGATTCCCTTGAGGACTGAGGCTATGGGAGAAGAAGAGGTACCACTCTAAAGAGCGTGGCCTGGCCAGGTATGGTGGCTCACGCCTGTAATCCCAGCATTTTGGGAGACCAAGGCGGGCGGATCACCTTAGCTCGGGAGTTCGAGACCGGCCTGGCCAACATGGTAAAACCCCATCTCTATTAGTAATATAAAAACTAGGCGGGCATGGTGGCACGCACCTATAATCCCAGCTACCCAGGAGGCTGAGGCAGGAGAATCGCTGGAACCCGGGAGTCTGAGGTTGCAGTGAGCCGAGAGATCATGCCACTGTACTCCAGCCTGGGGGACAGAGCAAGGTTCTGTCTCAAAAAAAAAAAAAAAGGCCAGACACGGTGGCTCAAGCCTGTAATCCCAGCACTTTGGGAAGCCGAGGCAGGCGGATCACTTGAGATCAGGAGTTCAAGACCAGCCTGGCCAACATGGTGAAACCTCGTCTCTACTAAAAACACAAAAATTAGCCAGGCATGATGGCGGGTGCCTGTAATCCCAGCTACTTGGTAGGCTAAGGCAGGAGAATCGCTTTAACCCGGGAGGTGGAGGTTGCGGTGAGCCGAGACCGTGCCACTGTACTCCAGCCTGGGTGATAGAGCAAGACTCAGTTTAAAAAAAAGCAAAACAGCATGGGCTGGCCGGGAGCAGTGGCTCACTCCTGTAATCCTAGCACTTTGGGAGGCCAAGGCAGGAGGATCGCTTGAGCCCAGGAGTTCGAGACCAGCCTGGGCAACGTAGTGAGATTCTATCTCTATTTAAAAAAAAAAAAAGTACAAGGCTGGGCGTGGTGGCTCACACCTGTAATCTCAGCATTTTGGGAGGCCGAGATGGGCAGATCATTTGAGCTCAGGAGTTCGAGACCAGCCTGAGCAACATGGCAAAACCATGTCTCTACAAAAAAATTTAAAAATTAGCCAGGCGTGGTGGTGCACGCTTGTAGTCCCAGCTACTTCGAAGGCCGATGTGAATCACTGGAGCCCAGGAGGTGGAAGTTGCAGTGAGCCATGATGATGTCACTGCACTCCAGCCTGGGTGACAGAGGGAGACCCTATCTCAAAAAAAAAAAAAAAAAATTACAATTGTTATGTTTATATTGTTGTTTACAAAAATATATGGAAAAAGCCAGGCGCGGTGGCTCACGCCTGTAATCCTAGCACTTTGGGAGGCCGAGGCAGGTGTATGACCTGAGGTCAAGAGTTTGAGAGCAGCCTGCCCAACATGGCGAAACCTCGTCTCTACCAAAAATACAAAAAATTAGCCGGGCGCCTGTAATCCCAGCTACTCGGGAGGGTGAGGCAGGAGAATCGCGTGAACACGGGAGGCGGAGGTTGCAGTGAGCCGAGATCGCTCCGCTCCACTGCACTCCAGCCTGAGCGACAGGAGCGAAACTCCGTCTCAAAAAAAAAAAGGAAAAGCGTGGCCTGGGTGAGTGAAGGAGGGAAAGGAGGGCCTCAGACGTTGTGTCTGGGATTCAGGAGAGAAGATGACTGAGGAGGAGGTGGAGACCGTTCTGGCAGGACACGAGGACAGCAACGGCTGCATCAACTACGAGGGTGAGGGGACAAAAAAGCGGGAGCGGGGCCGAGGGAGGAGGGCAGCCTGGCGTCTTGCCGCGTGTGGGCGGGGGCACCCCTGGATTACCTAGAGTCAGATGTATTATCCAAAGGCCTGCTTCTGAAGCCCCTCTTGCCTCCTCTCTCTGCAGCCTTCTTGAAACACATCCTAAGCGTCTGAGTGCTGCAGGTAGGGCCCTCCCACCCCTTCGCCGCGCCTTACGAGGCAAGTCTCCCGCCCTTCTCTCAGCCAACATAGAAAAGCAGCGGAGTTCATTCTGCTGTCCGGTTGCTGCACGGGCTCCAGCGCTTCGCAACTTTGGTTTTTTTCCACAGATCCAGTGGGGTCCGGACACTGGGCCCCGCAGGCGAAAGCACGTTCCAGCCACCAGGAGGCCACCTATTGTTTCAAAATAAAGACTGGGTTCCTCTCTTGGTTTCAGACTGCTATTTTTTTCATGGTTGGGGGAGCAGCGGGAGACGGGGAGGGTGCTAGGAGGAGAGGGCGGGAAAAGAGGGCTCTCTCCTCTTCCAATCCTCTGATCTTCCTGCTGTTGGGAGGTGCAGATTCATTGTGCCCCAGCCCACGTCCCCCCACGACCCCCGCCCCCCCACCTCCCCCCACGACCCCCCCCACCTCCGAGCGGGTTCTGTGCCCAGGTGGCGCTGGAGAAAGGAACAGCGGACCCCGCCCAAGTCATTACTAATGTAGCAATCGTCTGCATAAACCCAGGCCACGGTTCCTATTGGCTGAGTCCTCTGAGGGTGACGTCATCGGGACGTACTAAGACTAGGGTTGGGCCGAGAGTCGGAGCCATTACTGCAGGAAAAGGTCCCGGAGAGCTGAGCAGTCAAGATGGTGGGGCCCAGGTCTTGGGAGACGGGCAGGATTGGGGACGAGAGGCAGGAAGAGACGGGTGGGGGGCGAGGAGAAGGCAGGGGTAGGAGGCAAAGGGAATCTGAGGACCCGAAAGGTTGGAGGTGGGGTTGGAAAGACTGGGGCCCTGCGGGGAAGCGAGTCTGCAGCCTGAAACAGGAGTTTGTGGGTCAGAGTTTGTGGGTCAGAGTTTGTGGGGCTGGGATAGAAACTCGGGGGATTGGCGTTCAGATGCTGACCACTTCCCTCTTCTCTGAGCAGTGTGACTTCACCGAAGACCAGACCGCAGGTAGGTTATCTCTGATCCCTACCGAGGTCACCCTTAGGGAGAGGGACACCCTCCCCCCAGCACCTATCCTCTAATCTTAATCTGTCATCTCTTTAGCACCCCCATGAGATTACCCCCTGGATTATTTTCTCTTCTTCTGGATCCTCCATTTTCTTTTCTCACTTTCTTCCTCCCTCCCCTTCCACTCTAGATCTGATCCCAAGCACTGGGTGAGTTTTAGGTGGTGTGGGTATGTGAAAAAACTTGGTCACTTAATGCCTGCTGTGTGTGGGGTCTCGGGAGGGTGTATAAAGCTGCCTGCTTTCCTTTGTCCTTTAATCAGCTACTTCTGCCTCTTTTCTCCTCTTGTGATAACTGTCCCCGCCCTCCCAGCTTGCAGTTGTGAAGATTGTAGAGCAGTGACCTGATATTCTGTGCAGATGGGGACAAGACAGGGGAGTTTGCTAAGGATATGACTGTAGCTATACCCTCTGGAAGTTCTCTTTATACTGGAGGGGTGCGAAGTGGCAGGTTGGGATGACCCTAGTCCCAGGCTGCTGCTCCCACTTCCTTATAAGGACAGGACTGAGACTGGGCGGTGGCGAATTCCTGCCCTGAGAAGTGTAGTAGCAGCAGTGGAGATTGGCAGGCCTGCCGCAGGCAGAGGGGTTGTGTAAATGGATGTTACCAGGCTGCCAGAAGGGGAGGAAGCCTCTATATAGAACACTTGAGTTGGGAGGAAGAGAAATAGAGCCCTCTTAAGTAGACTTTGGTGTACAGTTTGGTGCAGATATCTCGTTTCCTCAGCATGATCAAAGTTGAATGGGCAGCAGAGCTCTGAGGTAGGGTTTGGATTAACCCTCAAATCCTGTGTTGACATTCATCTGAATCCTCAGAGTTCAAGGAGGCCTTCCAGCTGTTTGACCGAACAGGTGATGGCAAGATCCTGTACAGCCAGTGTGGGGATGTGATGAGGGCCCTGGGCCAGAACCCTACCAACGCCGAGGTGCTCAAGGTCCTGGGGAACCCCAAGAGTGATGGTGAGGGGCCTAAAGAACAACTCCTCAGTGTGGTCATGGGCCCACAGTTCTTCAGCTAAGAGCTTCCCTTTATCTTCATAGGCCCCAAACTCAAGCAAGTCTGGATTAGCAAATCCCATGGATTTCCTTGCTTTTAGTGGGGAGTCATCTGTCATCTCTCTGTTCAGTTGAGGTCTCTATAATCCCCTGTCCTGAGAACTTGTGTTACTTCTCTGGCCTGACACTTCCACCTCCTTTATGGCAGAGATGAATGTGAAGGTGCTGGACTTTGAGCACTTTCTGCCCATGCTGCAGACAGTGGCCAAGAACAAGGACCAGGGCACCTATGAGGATTATGTCGAAGGACTTCGGGTGTTTGACAAGGAAGGAAATGGCACCGTCATGGGTGCTGAAATCCGGCATGTTCTTGTCACACTGGGTAAGGTTCTGTGTCCTTGTCCTTGAGCTGAGATGGCACCCTGAGGTACCTCACTTGTCACCCAATTCCAAAAATGCTTTCTTTCCCCCTGCAGGTGAGAAGATGACAGAGGAAGAAGTAGAGATGCTGGTGGCAGGGCATGAGGACAGCAATGGTTGTATCAACTATGAAGGTAAGAGGTGAACTGCGCTTTCTCAGAGAAAGCAGCCATATGGGGCAGGTCAAGTATAGTGTCTGGGGCTTTCCCTATCCCTGGACTTGGGCTCCAAAAAGAGCCAGGAGGCAAGGTGCAGGGCCCTGCCCAGCCCAGCCCAGGAGTGGGAGGTCAGGGCGGTATAACAGGAAAGGAAGGGGGTAGTATTGTAGAGGGTGGGAAGGAATGAGAAGTGAAATAATGGAATGTCTGTCCCCACTGCCTGACCCCTCACCCCATGTCTTTGTCTTGTCTTCACCATGAATGTCTCTTCCTTCCTGCAGCGTTTGTGAGGCATATCCTGTCGGGGTGACGGGCCCATGGGGCGGGTACGGCTCCTCCCAGCCTCTCCTCTAGTTGATCTCCCCAGTGTTTCTTTTTTCCCCAACCTGTGCTCTTTATCCCCTGCCCTTACCCTACTACCATCTGACTTCCTCCTGGCATGTTTCTGCATGGAGCTGACTAGGGAGGGGAGGGATTCCTCAAAGAGGAAGACAACCTGGGGGTACAGTACCTCCTTACCTCTAGAATGGGCCCTGAGGTTTTACTTATGCGGCCCTGGGTGCTGGTGTCTGGGAACTCTCACCAGCCTGTATACCAGTCTTGCTTTAGGGTGACCTTCTGGCCCTGGAGCATGGGTAGCTGGCATAGAGGGGTATGGGTTGCCTGCCCCATTCTGCTGCTATAGCTGAACAGTCCTTTCCCCTTCCCTCGCTGGGCAGCTTGGAGGTACCCTAACCCAAAACTCTGTCCTCTCCTCCCGCCAGTGGCTGACAGTAGCTGTAGGTGTAGTGGAGAACTTTTCTGCCTCTGCTGTGTTCTTGCTGCTTAGGTTTGGGTGGGGGACTAACAGCTGCTGGGAGGGGAGCTAGGGGCATGGAGAACTGGTCAGACTCAAGGTGGCTCCTCTGCAAACTGACCCCAGGGTTGGTTGCTGTGGGCATGTTCCCGCTTATGCTACCTTTGCAGTCTGGTAGTCCCCTGGCCCTTGGCGTACCCCTCCACAGCCCTGTTCCCTGGCTCATCCCACCTTTCCTTTCCACAGAGCTCGTCCGCATGGTGCTGAATGGCTGAGGACCTTCCCAGTCTCCCCAGAGTCCGTGCCTTTCCCTGTGTGAATTTTGTATCTAGCCTAAAGTTTCCCTAGGCTTTCTTGTCTCAGCAACTTTCCCATCTTGTCTCTCTTGGATGATGTTTGCCGTCAGCATTCACCAAATAAACTTGCTCTCTGGGCCCTCGGTTCGGTTCTTTCTTTCCTGAACAGGGTAAAGGGGAAGAAGGTGAGATGGTGATGATTTCTGCCCTGAGGCAGAGTCCAAGGTCAATCAATGGTGCAGGGGTTGAGGAAAGCTGGGGGAGGCCCTGTACTAGCCATCTGGGCTTCATTTAAAAACTACTGGCCCCATTCATCCATCTTACACAAGCTACCTCTTGGGAGATTAGGAAAGCCATAGATCCCAGTAGGACTAAGGCTGGCCATCCCTGTTCCATTCCATATCAGGCTGTCTTCTCCTACCCTTCCAGCTCCTTAAATCTGGCCCCCGCCCTCCCAAGCTCCCAATAAGGCCTTTTGTGGGGAAGCCTGTGGAGTGTTTATTGGAGCTAAAGCCAGGCCATTATTAGCACTGCCTAAGCCTGTCCGTCACCTCAGCAGGGTGAAGGGCCAATTATAACAAAAGTAGGTAAGGGGCTTGCCTCCTCTCTAATAAGGGAAGGAGTGAAACCACTACTTCTGAAGGGACAGAGATACAAAATTCCATGTTGTGGGAATGTCCTTCCAAGTCTTAAACAGCTTTTAGGGCAGGTGAGAGCCTCTGCTCCTATACCAGCACATAGTCTCGACAGTTGTGCTGCCGTTCGTGTTTTGTGGGGAGGCGCAGTGTCTGTAGGCCGTGTGGCTTGCAGAGTGTCTTTCGGCCCAGGTAAACGCCGCTGTGAAGGACTCCAGGAAAGCTGCTCCCATCACAATCCCCCTGCCTGACAGCCACAGGTAAGAACACAGAATGCACCCACAAGATGGAACTGAAAGCAAATTAATTTATAAAAAAAAAAAAAAGAAAGAAAGAAAAAAAGAGAAAATTTACAGAAAACTTTGAACAGAAGAAAGGTGCTAAGACGCAGAGGGAGAGAAACATGGGGACATGAGGAACAAAGGGCCTGGTGGGAGGAACCAAGAAGAACCAGTGCAGAGCCTGGAGTCACACCTGCCTTCCCGTCACAGGGGAGAAGCTGGGACACGTGGAGCAGGAATGCGGGAAGCAGAGTTGAGCTGCGAGCCAAGGGTTGGTCCAACCCAAGGTTGGGCACCCTCTTCCACTGCTCCCAAATCCCTGCATCCTCATCTGGGGAGCCCCCAGCTATCAGCTGAAGTTCTCATAGTCTTGGTGGGAGAGGGAGGAAGCTAAGGGGTGACCCACCAAGTCATAATATGGAGGTGCTTAAGTGCTTTAAAAAACAATTTCAGGTTTTAAAACTTCACATCCTCTTATAGCTCCCTTCTCTGTGCCTTCCAGGAGTCCATGGATACAGCCCAGGGAAGGAAGGAGAACAGCCCCCAGTGCCCTTTCTTCTCCTATTACCTACCACAGAAATCCCCGAAATTAGGTTTTCCCCACCAAATACACATACGCTGACATCAACTAAGCAAGTGACTTTTAAAAACAAAACTGACATTCAGAGGGAAAGGAATCATTGGCTGAGCTGGGGTGGCCTAAAACAGCAACAATGAGGAAGCCGCAGGAGGGATTATTAGTACGAATGAACTCGAATAAGCTCAGCGTAGGGTGGGGGAGGGGAGTTGGGGCCTTGACTTAGTCACTAAAAAGGGGCTTGGGGAGAGATGGAATCTGCGCCCTGTTCTATCCCCAGAGCTCTCCCTGGAATCTTAATTCCCCTTTCCTAAAACTCACTCCCCCTCAAAAAATGTAAAAATTGGTTATTTTTTAGTGGGTAGAAGGGAGCTCCAATGTGGCTTTTTAAAATCTACTTTTTTTTTTTTTTTTTAATCCATAGAAAATGCAGTAGTTTGGAGGGAGGTGTACCCTTAGAAGTGGTTAATAGAACCTTGTATAAACACCTTTCACCAGCCCTTCCTTTAGGGCAGCATTCCCATCCTATCCTCTCTCCCAGACATTATAAACATCTTTTAAACAGAAGTCCTTGAATAATCTGATATAAAAATGCATGCCTCTGTTAGGCATGGTGAGGGCTTTGGAGGGGCGGAAGGAGCTTTCCTTACGTAGTGATGAACTCTCCAGGCTGGGGAGGGTCCCAGTGGTGGGGGAAGGGCTGTTCCTGGAACCGTGATGTCCACAGGGGGTGAGGGGGAGAGATGTCTGGCTGGCTCCTCACTGTGGAGGTGGCACAGGGGTGACCGTGCCTGGGCTCGGGGCTGTGGGGTCTGGAGGCAGGGGGGTGCCTGGGTCTGTGGAGAAAAGGAAGATAAATCAGTTAGAGTACGCCGGAGAGATGGCTCCAGACCCAGACCACCACAGACAGACAGAACCGGGCATGGCATGCAGTGGCTGGGTGGATGAATGAGGTACCCATAATGTTCAACTTCTGTTCCCAACACTCTTTTCTACCTCATACTCAGAAAAACATATAGAAAGACTCTCTATATGGGGCATTTGAACGTGATAGGAATAAGCAAAGGGATGCCACTCAATCATCATGCAAACAGCTGCTTTTCAAGTTTACAACTGAGATGCTCTCTGCCACAGGATTGCTCCATGACCCACCAGTGAAAGGCCCCAACATCATCCCAAAGGTGGCAGCTGCCAGGCTGGGGAATGGTGGAGGACGGCCAGAGAGGCCCTTCCTCCTGTATTCTAATTTTACCAGAGTGTTCAAAAAGGATTGTGGAAACTCTAATACCTGACCTCTTCCCCACCTGCCCGCTCACCCTCCCTCCAGGTGGACCCCTCTCCCTCACCCTTCTCCCCTCTTGGCCCCTTCTCACCTGGCAGTGGGCTGGCACTGGGCAGGAGGTTGCCCTGAACAGCTGCCACAATGGCAGGGCTTTGGGCTGCGGCGGATCCGAGCCCCGGCCCGAGAGGCAAGGAAGATGGCATGGTGGTGGTCGCCGGCAGGTTAGGATGTAGAGGGTTCGCCATGGACACAGGCAGGTTAGGTGGGGGGAGAGTGCCCGGGGCGAACGGGAGATGGTGGTGATGCCCATGCAGGTTAGGAGGAGCGGGGAGGTTAATACTGATGGAGTCAGCTAGACTACCAAATGGGATGATGGATGGAGCAGGAGGAGGAGGAGGAGGCGGCATGCCAAAAGGCAAACCCAAAGGAGCATTACCCGCCACGCCTGGGTGCCCGCTGCCTGGCACTGCCCCTGGCATCATTGAGGGAGGAGTTTGTTGGTTGGGGAACGGTGAGGGGCCTGAGAATAAAGATGAGAGATGGAGAAAATTAGGTATAAAATTTTGCTTAACAACTCACCTTTTCTATTTTTTTTTTAGACGGAGTCTCACTCTGTCACCAGGCTGGAGTGCAGTGGCACGATCTTGGCTCACTGCAACCTCCGCCTCCCGGGTTTAAGCAATCTCCTGCCTCAGCCTCCCGAGTAGCTGGTACTACATGTACGCACCACCACGCCCAGCTAATTTTTGTATTTTTACTAGAGACGGGGTTTCAACATGTTGGCCAGGATGGTCTCAATCTCCTGACCTCGTGATCCACCCATTTCGGCCTCCCAAAGAATAACTCACTTTTACAAACAAGGATAATCTAGCCATTCCTTGGCACTATCTTCCCCTTTTCTGACACTAGAGTAAGTGAATAAAATTCCAAAGCTCTCGAGTTTGGGGAAGGACTCCTGCTGATTTAGGGGCCTAAGAGAGATGGGCCCATCTGTAGAAATTGAGGCTAACCTCATCTCCACACTCATCTTGTATCCCCTTTGAGGAGAACTGGGACATTCACCTGGATTCCTCTAGCCAACAAAAGTTCTGGAACATAACACTTACCATGGGGTCCAGGGGGGGGAACCCCTGGTGGGACTGCCCCAGGCTGGGGGGCTCCAGCTGGTTGCTGCTGCTGTGGCCCTGCAGTTGACCCTGCCTGCCCAATCTGTTCAGAAGGGCCCAAACTTCCTGGAGGGGCCCCACTGCCAGCAGGAGCAGGGACTACAGAGGCTGGAGCCACAGCCAAGCCATGGACTGCGGGTGGCCCAGCAGCCCCTGTTGGGGGGATAGGCTGGGAGCCTGGGGGCAGGGCTGGTGGTGGCTGCTGCTGCTGTTGGTGCATCTGTTGGAAGTGCTGCTGCCGAGCCCTCATCTCCGCATACTTCAGCTGCTCCATGTGGAAGGCTTGTCTGTCGGCCAGGAGCTGCTGCCTCTGATACTCCAGCTGCCAGTGCCAATTGAGTATTGTTATCCAATTTTCAGCAGATCCCAAAGGCAAATGCCTCAACCCCTGCTTTGTCTTCTTCTGAAAGAGCCTGCCTCTCAATCAGAAGGTTCCCAAAATCTACATCTTGTGCTTGTGCTCCCTCTGTCCTCCCCACCCGACTTCGTGCAAATTCCCATGACCTTTATGTCTCCTGAGTGCCCACATGGTTTCTTATTGCAATGACTTTAACCTGGCCCAAGCTCACTTCAGCTACAAAGCTTTGAACTTGCCATTACCTTGATTTGGAAAATGCTTCCAGTTCCTTTTGTCAATTCAAGTTCTTTTCTTACTTCAAAATTCACTAAAAAGTCACTGTTCTTAGGAAGCTATCCCAGATCAATTCATTTGCCTCTGAGCTTTAGCTTTATTCTATGATCTCAGGACTTAGAAACTTGATGTGCAATCTCTTTATTTTTTTGAGACTGAGTCTCACTCTGTCACCCAGGCTGGAGTACAGTAGCGTGATCTCAGCTCACTGCAACCTCCGCCTCCCCGGTTCAAGCAATTCTCCTGCCTCAGCCTCCCGAGTAGCTGGGATTACAGGTGTGTGCCAGCATGCCGGGCTAATTTTTTGTATTTTTTTATTCTTTAGTAGAGACGGGGTTTCACCATGTTAGCCAGGATGGTCTCGATCTCCTTGATCTCGTGATCCACCTGCCTCAGCCTCCCAAAGTGCTGGAATTACAGGTGTGAGCCACCGCGCCCGGCTGATGTGCAATCTCTTAATGTGAATTTGTCAGATACTTTAAACCTTCTTAACTGTTTCTGATGTCTCCATATTGTATATTCATTTGATGTCTCCCATTAAACCTTAAGTTCTCTGAGGTCCCTATCTTCTATTTCTTTTTCTTCTTTTTTTTTTTTTTGAGATAGGGTCTCACTCTGTCACCCAGGCTGGAATGCAATGGGGCAAACATGGCTCAGTGCAGCCTTGACCTCCTGGGCTCAAACGATCCTCCCACCTCAGCTTCCTGAGTAGCTGGGACCACAGGCTCGCACCACCACGCCCGGCTAATTTGTTTATTTTTAAAAAATGTTTGGGCTGGGCACGGTGGCTCATGCCTGAAATCCCAGCGCTTTGGGAGGCTGAGGTGGGCGGATCACCTGAGGTCAGGAGTTTGAGACCAGCCTGGCCAACATGGTGAAACCCTGTCTCTACTAAAAATACAAAAATTAGCTGGTCATGGTGGCATGTGCCTGTAATCCCAGCTACTCGGGAGGTGAGGCAGGAGAATCGCTTGAACCCAGGAGGCGGAGGTTGCAGTGAGCCGTGATTGCACCACTGCACTCCAGCCTGGGCGAAAGAGTAAGACTCCATCTCAAAAAAAAAAAAAAAAGCGTGATGACTCACCTGTAATCCGGCACTTTGGGAAGCAGAGATGGGCTGATCACCTGAGATCGGGAGTTCGAGACCAGCCTGACCAACATAGAGAAACCCCATCTCTACTAAAAATACAAAATTAGCTGGGCATGGTGGCACATGCCTGTAATCCCAGCTACTGGGGAGGCTGAGGCAGGAGAATCGCTTCCCAGGAGGCGGACGTTGTGGTGAGCGAAGATCACACCATTGCACTCCAGCCTGGGCAACAAGAGCGAAACTCTGTCTCAAATAAATAAATAAATAAATAAATAAAATAAATTGTTGAGACAGAGATCTCACTATGTTACCCAGGCTGGTCTTGAACTCCTGGGCTCAAGTGATCCATCTGCCTCAGTGTACCAAAGTACTAGGATTACAAATGTGGGCCACTGTGCCCAGTCCCTATTGTCTATTTCTTTTTATGTCCTCCAAAGACAAAATGGTTCAACACTGTGTCGGTCCCATTCCCTTTCCAAGTTCACCTCCTGGATCTGAGGCTCTTACCCTCTCTCTCATCATCCGTTACGCCCATTCACTCAATCACTATTTGAGTCTACTATGGGCCAAGCACTGTTCAAGGACCTGGAGATGCAGCAATCAAAACAACCAACTAGAGTCCCTGCCTCATGGAGCTGACCTTCTGTGGGACTTCAGTCCCCAGACTTCACTTGTGAGACCACTTAACTGTCTCTAACTGGCTGCCCTACTCCTGCCCTGTTCCTGCCCTGCTCTGCTTTGAAGCCCTGTCTGTCTCAGGCTTTCCCCACTGTTGCTTATCTTTCACTGAAACACACACACACACACACACACTCAGGCTTTCCCCACTGTTGCTTATCTCTCTTTCACTGAAACACACACACACACACACACACACACACACACACACACACACACACACGCCCCTCCGATTTTAAACTGAGGCACAGCGCAGCAGGGTTCCAGGGCTCCTGCTACTCACTGCTTCTCGCTCCCGGTCCATGATAGTCTCCAGCTCCTCAAAGTGCCGAAGTTTGATCTCCAACTTTTTCATCTGGGTCTCCACCAGCAGGGCCACCAAAGATTTGATCTTCCTTTCCTCAACAGCAGCCAAGTGCTAGGGAAGGAGGGGCGAGACAGCACATCAGTGGGAGGACCCAACTGAAGACAATACAGAAGAAAGGTAGGGTGGATGCTGGCAGGTATAAGAACAAATTTGCTGTGGTCACAACCCATGGTGAAAGGGCTTGACTTTTTTGTGCTGGGATTATAGGCGTGAGCCACCGTGTCTTTTTTCTTTTTTCTTTTTTTTTTTTTGGGACAGTCTCACTCTGTTGCCCAGGCTGGAGTACAGTGGCATGATCTCAGCTCACTGTAACCTCTACCTCCTGGGTTCAAGCAATTCTCGTGCCTTTGCCTCCCCAGTACCTGGGATTACAGACATGCGCCACCACGCCGGCTAATTTCTGTGTTTTTAGTAGAGATGGGGTTTCACCATGTTGGCCAGGCTGGTCTCAAACTTACAACCTCAGGTGATCCACCTGCCTCAGCCTCCCAAAGTCCTGGGATTACACGCGTGAGCCACTGCGCCCAGCCTTTTTAAAAAATTAAATTATTTTGGCCAGGTGTGATGGCTCATGCCTGTAATCCCAGCGCTTTGGGAGGCTAAGGCGAGCAGATCACTTGAGTCCAGGAGTTTGAGACCAGCCTGGGGCAACAGGGTGAAACCCCATCTCTGCTAAAAATACAAAAATTAACCGGGCATGCTGGCACGTGCCTGTAATCCTAGCTACTTGGGAGGCTGAGGTGGGAGAATCGCTTGAACCTGGGAGGTGGAGGTTGCAGTGAGCCGAGATTGTGCCACTGCACTCCAGCCTGGGCAACAGAGTGAGACTCCATCTCAAAAAATACATAAATAAATAAACAAGCATGGAGGCTGGGCACGGTGGCTCACGCCTGTAATTCCAGCAGTTTGGGAGGCCAAAGCGGGTGGATCACCTGAGGTTAGGAGTTCAAGACCAGCCTGGCCAACATGGTGAAACCCCATCTCTACTAAAAATACAAAGAGTTAGCCAGGCGTGGTGTAGCACGCCTGTAGTCCCAGCTACTCGGGAGGCTGAGGCAGGAGAATCACTTGAACTTGGGAGGTGGAGGCTGCAGTGAGCCGAGATCTGACAGAGCAAGACTCCGTCTCAAAAGAAGAACATGGAGATAGTGTGGCAAAGGGTAACATGGAGTCAAATACTGACAGGGTTGAAAACAGGCCCAATGGTGATATATTTTTTAAAGCTTAGAGAAGGGATGACTAACTTTACCTCCTCCTGAGATAAAAATAAAAAATAAATAGGTCAGCATTATTTAAGGTGTGAGTGAGGAAAGATTTCCTCTAAGTGAGATGAGATTAGAGAAGTGGACATTTTCTTCCCTGAGGTCTTCAAGGTCTGGCCTCACCTTAGCTTTCACTGCGGCGGCGGCCAGGGCGGCGGCAGCAGCGGTGGAGAGGTTGCCCTCGCCAATGTCCCGCTCCACCTTTGTCTTCCTTTCCCCCTCAGACTCCACCACTTCCTTCAGCACTTCCTCCTGCCCTTCCTTTGGCTCCTTCTCCTTCTCAGGATCGACTGGGCCAGGACAAGGGTTGAGTTAGCCCCACAGCTTCACCTCTGTCCTGCACCCCCACCTACCCTTGTGGGAGGCTCACCTATTGGGTCTCCATCACTCTTCTCGGACTCCTTCTCACTGTCGCCTTCTTTCCCTTTCTCCTCATCCTTCTTGGGAGCCTCGCTGGTTTTCTCTTTTGCTTCCTCCTCTATAGCACCCCCTCCTTCTCGGGGTTCCTGAAATTCCAGTGATAGAAAAGGAGAGTTATCAGGGATTAGGGTGATTAGTTCTCACACAGAGGGGCCAGACGGGGAACTAAATTTATTCCTCTTACTTTGGAGGTGATCTGATTCTAGGAGACAACCCCGTCCAAAACCAGCCCTTGCCCACCTAAGCTGAACAAGGCCAACTTCCCCATCACCACAGTGCTGCACGCAGCCCCTGCAGCTTCCAGAAATCCCTCTATACCTTGGGCTCCTTCTTCTCATCTGTGGCCTGGCCTTCCACCCGAGCCTCGTCATTCCCGCTCTCCTCTGGGCCCATGAGAAAAGAAAGAAAACAGGAAATGTTTAATACACAGTCGTCTGTGTCTAACACTTTTCTTTTTTTTTAGAGACAGGGTCTTGCTGTGTTGCCCAGGTTGGTCTCAAACTCCTGGGCCCACGCAATCCTCCCACCTCAGCCTCCTGAGCAGCTTGGACTATGGGTGTGAGCCGTTGCACCCAGCTTCTCCATAACACCTGTTTTTTTTTGTTTTTTGTTTTTTTGTGACAGGGTCTCACTCTTGTCGCCCAGGCTGGAGTGCAGTAGCACAATCATGGCTCACTGCAGCCTTGACTTCCCAGGCTCAAGTGGTTCTCTCACCTCAGCCTCCTGTGTATCTGGGGCTACAGGCGCATGCCACCATGCCTGGCTAACTTTTTTGGTATTTTTTGTAGAGACGGGATTTTGCCATGTTGCCCAGACTGGTCTCAAACCATCTGCCCACCTCAGCCTCCCAAAGTACTGGGATTACAGGCATGAGCCACTGCACCCAGCCTTCACAAGACTTTTTTTTTTTTTTTTTTTTTTTTGAGAGACGAAGTCTTGCTCTGTTGCCCAGGCTGGAGTGCAGTGGCTTGATCTTGGCTCACTGCAACCTCTGGCACCCAGGTTTAAGTGATTCTCCTGCCTCAGCCTCTGAAGTAGCTGGGATTACAGGCACGTGCCACCACGCCCAGCTAATTTTTGTATATTTAGTAGAGACAGGGTTTCAGCATCTTGGCCAGGCTGGTCTTGAACTCCCGACCTCGTGATCCACCCACCTCGGCCTCCCAAAGTGCTGAGATTACAGGCATGAGCCACTGCGCCCGGCCTTCACAAGACTTTTCTAACAGCCCCTTCTACAAGCAAAGATTTTTCTACCCAAAATCTTCATGAGAGGACTAGTAGGGCTCCAGAGCCCCTGAGGTAAACTCATGGGGAAAATAAAAACCCTACCAATGTTCTCATTCATGTTGTGCTCTAATGCCAACTTGAGGCAGAAATGGCACAGGAGGCCAGGTAGCTCTGGATCTTGTGAAAGGCAAGAAATCTGGGAACCTGCCTGGCCTTACCAATCCGCTCAGGCTCATCAGAGGTGGTTCCTGCAATGCCACTGCTTTCCAGACCGAAGGCAGGGTCCGCCTTGCCTGTTACTTTGGCTGCTTCTTCCACTTTTCGAACATGGGCCTCCACCAAGGCCGTGGGTACCTCTTCCTTCATTTTGGAGAACTCCTCTGCAAGACCCAGAAAGAATGAGGCTGGGAGCGGCACAGTGGAACAGTTCTGGCAATCCCTGCAAAAGCTTACTCACAAGCCCATGTCTTCATCTAAGCTAGTATGGAGCCTAGACAGGTGCCTGAGCTGAGGCCCGCACAGACAAGGCCAGCAGGGCAGCCAAACTTGAGAGGATTCACAGTCTGAGTAACTAGCCCTTCAAAAGCAAACTAAGAAGGCCAGGTGGAACCACCCACCCCCATTACCTAGGGCTGACTTTGCAGCAGCAGAGGCGACTCGGGGATCGACGACAGAGGCCAGGAAGGCAACAGTGCTCATAACAGGGTTGCCCGACTGACTGAAGGGGATGGGTTGGTAGGCCAGGGGGCCTAGGGAGGCCTCTGAGTCCTCCAGGTATGGGTCTTCAATGGGAAGACGAAGAAAATGCAAGATGCACTCGTCCTGTGTGCGGCTTCCCACATGCTCGGACACTTTGTTCCAGTCATCTTTGTACATTTCCAGTGCCTGGTGGTAGTGGTGGAGACATAACTCCGCTTACTTAGCCACTTTTCTCGAAGGCTGACTCCCCCCATCCTACTAAGGGCAGCTGGTTTCAAAGTTCTCTATGTTCTGGTATTTGTGTACTCTGCTAGGTCCAAGGGGGATCTTGAAGTAGCACTAAGAAAGGATATGAAGTTAATGAAATGGCCCAAATCCCCAGCCTGGAGCTGGTCCTGAAGCTCACTGGAGCCTTGACCTCCTAGGCTCAAGCAATCCTCCCACTTAGCCTCCTGAGTAGCTGGGACCACAGGTGTGTGCCACCACACCTGGCTAATTTTTAAAATTTTTCGTAGAGACGGAGTCTCACTATGTTGCCCAGGTTCATCTCGAACTCCTGGACTCAAGTGATCCTCCTGCCTTGGCCTCCCAAAGTGCTGGGATTACAGGCGTGAGCCTCTACACGGAGCCCACTTCTGTTTTCAGAGAAAAACTCTCTTTTCTTTGCCCCAATTACCTCCAGGAGAAGCAGGGTTTCCTGTTCTGTCCACTCACGAGTGGCACTGGCTGCAGCCTTGCTCTGCAGGGGAAACACAGGCAGGTGAGAAGAAAGGAGCCTGTGACCTCTGAGGAGCGAACATTCTCTACCCCTAGAGTCGGCCCGCACCTCCTACCTTGGAGGGAACATTCTTTTTTGTGTACATGTCTGTGCGCAGCCCAAAGTTTTGCATGTCTGTTGGTTTCTCTTTGCCTTTGTCAGGAAAGTTGAGCATTTGTTGGGAAGCAGAGGTCTGCTATTTGTGGAGGGAAAGAAACAGGTGAGTACAAGTGACCACCGGGAGCCAGGGGCTGACAGAGAGAAAAAACAGACAGAAGGAGCTTCTTTCCCAAAGCCAGGGACACCCCTGGGTGGGACTTCCTCCCTTACTGCTGTAGTTCCTCTGCTCTCATGTCTCTTCTTCCCGGGCAGGGGCCCCCCAATAAAGGGGAAAATGAGCAGCCCAGCAGGGTCTGCACCCCACCTACCAGCTCTGGCTTGCCCTTAGCCGTCTCTGGCACCAGGTCATCCAGCTCTTTGCCCTTTCGCCCAGCCTTGGTATCAGCATCAACCTGGCGGCCCTGGGGGACAGAGCTTGGCGTCATGGAGGCTGGGCAGGAAATGACCAGGCCAAGGCCCTGGAGGCCTCAAGACCATATGCTGGGCGGCCCACAAGCTCTGGGGGCACTCATGCCACTGTTCCATGTTCCCTTCATGATTAATAAGACATGTCGTTGGCATGATATCCATACATATTCACATTATCTTTATAGGTTCTCTTAGGAGCTGGACAATTAGGTTCTAATCCTAGATTTGGTACTCTGTGACCTTGGGCAAGCCACATAACCTTCTTCCTAATTTTTGTAATGGATGAAGTGGAAATGGAAAAAAAAATGAAGATGATAATTATGAGGCAAAAATGAAAAAATGTGGCAAAGATGACAAAGTTTAAAAATTTCATGCAAGTTAATTTTAAGCCATTTTTCTCTATTGACTCCCCTACATTAGCCTGTCTACTCCTTGAGTAAAAGGATAATCTCTTCTCCCTCAGCAATTACAGCCTTAGGTACAAAGGCTGAGAGAGGATGCTAAACACATGGGGCTGATTCCCGTGACCCTTTGCATCCCATGGAAAAGGAAGAAGCCTCAAAACACTCCTGAACCATTACCCTAAAAACCAGAAAAAGAAAAGTTCAAAGAAGCCCAATCTTCCCAACCCGCCCCATCCCCATAGCACCTCACCCTACCTGAGGTGTCTTGGGCTGCAGAGGCACCAGCCCTGATGGTGTGTCAGCCAAGACATGGAAGTGAGAGGTAGGCGGAGGCCCCATTGGGGTTGGTCGACTCTCAGCATCCACCTGGTAGTTAATAAGACCCCACTGTTCTAGGAAGGCATGGACCCTGTGCAGAGAGAGGCAGAGACAGGGTCACACGGATAGCCAGAAAGGTGCACGAGGAAGAGGAAAAGTGGGGGGTAGAAGGGGCATAAACCCCCTCCCCACCCAACCCCGGCCTTTTCCTCTGTTCATTGTACTCCTTAAGAAATCTCACCTACTCCAGTTGTTCATTTATCACCTAAATGCCAGTGACACCCAAGTCTACATCTTCAGCCTGGGCCAATCTCTATATCTACCTACCTACCGAACATTTCTTCCTGAATAGCTAGTAAAACTGAACCAGTTTCTTTCTTTTTTTCCCTAAGAGAGACTGAAGTGCAGTGGTGTGATCACCGCTCACTGCAGCCTCCACCTCCAGGGCTCAGGGGATCCTCCCACCTCAGCCTCCTGAGTCACTAAGACCACAGGCACGTGCCACCATGCCTAGCTAATTTTTTTGCATTTTCTCTAGAGATGGGGTTTTGCCATTTTGTCCAGGCTGGTCTCGAACTTCTGGGCTCCAGCAATCCTCCCACCTTGGTCTCCCAAAATGTTTGGATTATAGGCATGAGCCACCACACCTGGCCTGAACCAGTATCTTTCAATTACAGACATGCTCCTTCTTTGTCCTATATTCTACACTTCAGAGAATGCCATTGCTAATCCCTCAAGTCATTCATTCCCCAAACCTGTACTTCACCTTTCTCTAGAGGTGCTTTTTTCTGTCTGCTCCTCTGTGTTCCTTGCTGGCATCTCTACTGTTGCCAAAACACATCCATAGGCAGGCATCCTCATGTACCCCCTTCCCCTCAGCCACAAGACCCACCTCATGATGGCACAGACATCACCCGCTAGGTTTCGGCGGCAGGCGGTAGAGGTAAGATACTCTTGGGGGTTCAGTCGGTAAGTGTCAATCATAAAGTTTCGATAGGCCAGGTAGCTTAGAAGAAAGAGAGAGAGAAACAAGAAGAAGAAAAATAAATGTTTGTTAAAGGGCTAAAGGAAAAAATGGTAAGAGAGCTAATGACTTCTCCTGCATGATAAAGATGGAAAAAAGTAGATTATTTGACTCTACATGCTGAGTGCCTGCTATGTGCTAGATGAAAGGGTTTCAAATATGTCTTACTTTTCCTTGATGGGGTTTTCTTTAAATGAATTATCTCCTTGGCTATACTTAGGGATATTTCATACAATTTTTTTTTTTGAGATGGAGTTTCCCTCTTGTTGCCCAGGCTGGAATGCAATGGCATGATCTTGGCTCATGGCAACTTCCGCCTCCTGGGTTCAAGAGATTCTCCTGCCTCAGCCTCCTCAGTAGCTCTGATTACAGGCATGTGCCACCACGGCCGGCTAATTTTGTATTTTTAGTAGAGACAGGGTTTCTCCATGTTGGTCAGGCTGGTCTCAAACTCCTGACCTCAGGTGAGCCTCCTGCCTCAGCCTCCCAAAGTGCTGGGATTACAGGCATGAGCCACTGCACCTAGCCATTTTATACAATTTTTAAACAAGGAATTAGAAGTTAAGAAAATACTCATTTCCAAACTCAGATGTTAAAAGGAAGTCCTTATTCATGCATATAGCTAGTCAGCATACCACGGTAAAAAACATATGTTTTGAAGTTGAAAAGATCTAAGTTCAAATCCCAGTTCTACCATGAGGACCTTGGCAATTTACTTCGAATTTTTAAACCTCAGTTTCCTCATTTGTAAAATGGAATGTCTGTTGAGAGGTCTATAAAGTACTAGTATAGTGCCTGGCGCATTGTAGGGGCTCAAAAAAATGGCAGCTATCATGTGGTACAGTGTAAAGTTTCAGATCATGGGCCAGATTAAAGGATTCAGATCCTGGTTTTATTTACTAGCTCTGTGACTTTATGCAGGTGACTTGACTCCTCTATACCCTATCTGTCAACTGAAGATGATATCTACCTCTAAGGTTGACGTAAAGATTAAATTACTCAATGTAGGTTGGACATTTAGTATAGTGCCTGGGAGATACTAAGCTCTCAATAGATGCAGGCAATTATCATCATTTACTATTTTTTTTTTTCTGAGATGGAGTTTCACTCTTGTTGCCCAGGCTGGAGTACAATGATGAGATCTTGGCTCACTGCAACCTCCACCTCCCGGGCTCAAGTGATTCTCCTGCCTCAGCCTCCCAAGTAGCTGGGATTACAGGTGCGTGCCTCCACACCCAGCTAATTTTTGTATTTTTAGTAGAGACGGGGTTTCACCATGTTGGCCTGGCTGGTCTCGAACTCCTGACCTCGTGATCTGCCCGCCTGGGCCTCCCAAAGTGCTGGAATTACAGGCGTGAGCCACCATGCCCAGCCATCATTTACTATTTTATACCAAGAGTTCAGTTCCTACTCCAACCCTGCCTGCATGTCATGTTGAATTCATTTCACCTGATCACTACTTTCTTTTCACACATACTGCTTTCTCCAGGAAGAGAAGGAAGAGAGAACCATAGCAAGCTATGAAGAAAAAACACGGAGGGACCCCCAGAGAGGGGAAGCTGTGGAATAGCTGGGAAGAAAACTTGTTCAGTTCTCAGTCTCACCCACCTCATCAATGTGGTTATCTTGAAGTATTCCTAACCAAAGAAGACTGCCATGTCTTATCCAAAGCCAAGCAGGTTTGGCCTGAGGCAAAATCTTTTTTTTTTTCTTGAGACGGAGTCTTGCTCTGTCGCCCAGGCTGGAGTGCAGTGGCGCAATCTCGGCTCACTGCAAGCTCTGTCTCCCAGGTTCATGCCATTCTCCTGCCTCAGCCTCCCAAGTAGCTGGAACTACAGGCGCCTGCCACCACGCCCAGCTAATTTTTTTTTTTTTTGAGACGGAGTCTCGCTCTGTCACCCCGGCTGGAGTGCAGTGGCGTGATCTCGGCTCACTGCAACCTCTGCCTCTCAGGTTCAAGTGATTCTCCTGCCTCAGCCTCCAGACTAGCTGGGACTACAGATGCATGCCACCACGCCCGGCTAATTTTTTTTGTTTTTGTTTTTTTGTTTTTTTTGAGACGGAGTTTCACTCTTGTTGCCCAGGCTGGAGTGCAATGGCGTAATCTCGGCTCACTGCAACCTCCGCCTCCCGGGTTCAAGCGATTCTCCTGCCTCAGCCTCCCTAGTAGTTGGGATTACAGGCACGTGCCACCACGCCCAGCTAGTTTTGTATTTTTAGTAGAGACGGGGTTTCTCCATGTTGGTCAGGCTGAGCTCGAACTCCTGACCTCGGGTGATCCGCCCGCCTCAGCCTCCCGAATTGCTGGGATTACAGGCATGAGCCACCGCGCCTGGTCTTTTTAGTAGAGATGGGGTTTCATCATGTTAGCCAGCATGGTCGCGATCTCCTGACCTTGTGATCCGCCCGCCTCGGCCTCCCAAAGTGCTGGGATTACAGGCGTGAGCCACCACACCCAGCCTTGTTCATTAATTTTTTTAGATACGGGGTCTTGCCGTGTCAGCCAGGCTGGAGAGCAGTGGTGTGATCATGGCTCACTGCAGCCTCAAACTCCTGGGCTCAAGCAATCTTCCCATTTCAGCTTCCGAAGTAGCTGGGACCACAGGTATGCCCCACCAGGCCCAGCTAATTTTTTTTCACTTCTTTAGAGATGGGAGTCTTGCTATGTTGCTCATGCTATTCTTGAACTCCTGGCCTCAAGGAATCCTTCTGTCTCAGTGTCCCAAGTAGCTGGGATGATTTACAGTCGTGAGCCACCGTGGCTCCTACACTTCTTTCCCAGTGAGCCCTCTCCATCCCTTAATTTATATAAACTGGTCTTCTATTAGTTCCTTCTCTTGTTTTTCTATTAAAACCTACTCTCAGGAACCAGCCTGGTAATAGTAATTTACACTTTAATCAAAACTTTTGTGCTAGGAATATCTGCAGTATAGACGATATCAGTAATATGGATTTAAAGGCTCTATACCCTGTTAAAAAGAAGTTGAGGCACTGGAGTAGGTACTTGTTATGTATAGAACATGCTTAATATCACCCTTGGGCAAATCCTAAAGAACATGTGTCTACATGCTAGGCCAGGGCTGCCTAAAGGCAGATATTGTGCCTTTGTAAGCCTAGCATAGTGCCTGGCTCATGGAAGATGCTCAAGAAATGTTTGCTAAACTGAATGTTACTGGATCAGGAAGGGTGAATGTGGGGACAGGAGGGAGAAGGAGAATCATGAGATGAGATTTCCTTACATCTCTGGAGTCTTGGACTTGTTCTTGCCGTTGAAGAACTCGGGGAGAGCCCTCCGCTCAATGGCATGAACACTGCAAGAAAAGCCAGAATGGTTTCAGAAGAAGGCATTGGTGAAGGGATGGGGGCCCCAAAGGGAGGAAAAGCCTAGAAGGCAAAGAAGGAAAAGAGCTCGAAATTGCTGAAGTTAGAAGCTTGGGGAGAACATCCCACAGGCTGTAAGACTCAAAAGGACACAAGGAGCTCCCCTAAAACTAAAGTGTACTCTGGTCTATTTGGGTGAGGAAAAAATAACTTATTTGGAGGAGGCAGGGAGAAGAACAGCCTGTTGACCCCTGGAGGCAGGGAAATAAGGACTCAGTGAGAAGTTGGGGACAACCATACCTATTGTAGTCAAACCAGGCAGCGTAGCTGGGAATGATGATGTGGTGGGTCTGTTCAGTCACATTGTCCTCATGCAGGTCTGGATTCTTGGTCTGCTCTCCCTTGTTCCCCGTACTGTTCTCATCCTCATCCTACGAGTATGGAGGCTGCTGGACACTCAGCATTCCTGCTTCCTCCCTAGCAACCCTCTGCTTCTCCCACACCCCAGGAATGTGGACACTAAAGATGGGTGATGGGACTGAGCAGTCATGGGCCCCAGGACTCTGAAAGGGTCAGAGTTTTGAACAAAGCTGGAATTAGTCTACAGTGGGTAAAGTCTGGGCAGTGAAAAGTTTGGGCAGAATGAACTTTATAATCACAAATCAGAATCACATAGAGAGGTAGGGCCTCTCTAAACTGGCTCCACCTTGCCCGTCGTCTCCATGCTTTCATCTTCCTGTTCATCTGAAAGAGAAAAACCAAGATGTAAGGCTGGAGCCTCCTGAGGGGCAAGAAAGCCCTACCAAAAGCCCATCAGGCTAGCGAAAAGGGGGCAGCTGAGCCCTCCCCTTCCCTTGGCTCTGACTGCCGTGCCCAAGAGGCTCCTGTCTTACCCAGGTCGGTCATGGTGCCGCCTTTGACTGGGGCCGACTCTGAGTCTTTCTTTGTGTTGACTGCGAAAACAGAGAGTCATTTTATCAGACAGATTTTGCCTAATTCAAGCCTTCAATTTAATAGTTCCAGACATCCTACTTTCTCCAAAAATTGTCTCCACCTGATTGCAAAATATAGTAATTCTCTCCAGTCACAATTATTCTAGGGCTTCAAACTTCTTGCTACTTTCCCCACTTCTCCAACCAAAAATTAATTTAACTTATTTCTCTATGTACATTCATAAATGATTCTTGTCTTTGACAGGCCTTTATCTCCATCTATGTATCTGTAAGCTTTTAATGGTCTGATACTGAATCTGACCAAATCACTCTGTGGAAGAATGGTTAAGTGTTAAACATTTTTGAAAGCAGAGGATACTTTCCTCAACTGAATTCATATACATATGCTCAGGAGCAAACATAGAGAAGAGAGAGAGCTGATTGATGAGGAGGTAGAAGCCAGAACTCTTCTTGGTGGCAGCCCTAATCCTACCCCTGAAATACACTTCTGGAATACCTGGGGTGAGTCTACAGAATACAGACTGTAAACCAGTATTGGTGGAGCAATGTCTCCAAAGTGGGGTTCTAACATAGGACGCAAAAGATGATCCACTGCAACTCAGGGAGAGAATACAGAACTTCTCTTCATGTTTTTTGTTTTGTTTTTTTGAGACGGAGTCTCGCTCTGTCGCCCAGGCTGGAGTGCAGTGGTGCGATCTCGGCTCACTGCAACCTCCACCTCCCAGATTCAAGTGATTCTCCTGCCTCAGCCTCCCGAATAGCTAGGATTACAGGCGCCCACCACCACGCCTGGCAAATTTTTGTATTTTTCGTAAAGATGGGGTTTCACCGTGTTAGCCAGGATGGTCTTGATCTCTTGACCTCGTGATCCGCCTGCCTCGGCCTCCCAAAGTGCTGGGATTACAGGCGTAAGCCACCGCGCCCTGATTCTTCATGTTTGTTTTTATCATTCTTTACATTTTTCAATTTTTTAGATATGTTTGTGTTTTAAAACGTTCCCATGGTAGCGGCTTAACAGTACAAGTACATAATTAATGCATATATACATTTTTTTTTCTTTTTTTTTATTTGAGATGGAGTCTCGCCCTGTTGCCCAGGCTGGAGTGCAGTGGCGTGATCTCAGCTCACTGCAAGCTCCGCCTCCCAGGTTCACGCCATTCTCCTGCCTCAGCCTCCTGAGTAGCTAGGACTACAGGCACCCGCCACCACGCTCAGCTAATTTTTTTGTATTTTTGGTATAGACAGGGTTTCACCATGTTAGCCAGGATGGTCTCGATCTCCTGACCTCGTGATCCGCCCACCTCGGCCTGCCAAAGTGCTGGGATTACAGGCATGAGCCACCGTGCCCGGCCCTTTTTTTTTTTGAGATGGAGTTTTGCTCTTGTCGCCCAGGCTGGAGTGCAGTGGTACAATCTCGGCTCCCTGCAACCTCTACCTCCCAGGTTCAAGCAATTCTCCTGCCTCGGTCTCCCGAGTAGCTGGGATTACAGGTGCCCACCACCACGCCCAGCTAATTTTTGTATTTTTAGTAGAGATGGGGTTTCACCATGTTGGCCAGGCTGGTCTCGAATTCCTGACCTCAGGTGATCCGCCCGCCTCGGCCTCCCAAAATGCTGGGATTACAGTCATAAGCCACCGTGCCTGGCCATGCTCAAATATATTTTACTGTCAGAAACACATAATCAAAGAGTTTGGAGACAACTACTATCAGGCACAAAGCACAGTCCACAACTCAGATATGAATATACAGTTAGAGGATTTTCCAGGGTAATGACCGTAATTCCAATAACCAGCTAAATTTAAGGAAAAGATCCTGTAGACTGGGAGGTGGACCTGAGAAATCAGCTCACTTGGGGTTTGGCAAAGGAGAGTCAAGACGGGGAGTGGGGGTGGATCCCAGGAGCTCAGCCTGGCCTGTACCTGTTTTGGGAAGTGTCACCTCTTCTACATTGGGGACTGGTGAGGGCTCGTCCATGTCCTTTGTCAGGTCTTCTTGCTCCTCTTCTCTGTGGCCACGCTTTGACTTAGTGTAAGGTGTTGAGGGACTGGGAAGGAAAGAGAGTGAAAGAGAACCCAGTCATCCTTGGACAAGGAGTCCCTGGAAGTTGAAGTTCAAGGGAAGGGAAGTGACAGAGAATTCCAAGGGTAGAGCTGAGTACAAACAGAAACCAGTAATCACACAGTAATGGGAAGTGGCAAAGGCTTTTCACTTGATAAAGCTCTCTTTAAATGTACTAGTGGGGCCAGAACCAGAACTAACAACTGAGCAGCTAAAGATCTCCTCATCTTCCCTCTCAGGACACCTGCAGTATTATGGCACACCCAGGTCAGGGCCAGGTGGTTATAGGAAGGGATTTGTCTTTCCTTCCTTCAACATGATGTGGAGAGAATGGTGAACACGGGGGCAGGCTAGGGGCTGGCACACCCTTTCTTAGCATTTTTCTTCTTTGCTTCTGGGGTTGGTGAAGGAGAGGGGGAGCGCTTCCTCTTCTTATAGTTTCCCCCCTTCTTGTCCCGTCGATCTGAATCTGGGCTGTTCACCTATAGGATGGAGAATCAGGACAAATGTCAGCCTACAATCCCCACTGAAGATTTGTTCTGAGACTTATGCTAAGGGCGCCAGGAAAAAAAGAACAGGATTTGTCACCTCATCTGTCAGTGTCTTGGCTGAAATCTTCTTTCGGCGGGAGACAGGGTTTTTGTCATCATTTACTTCATAGTCTTCCTCATTCATCCATTCATTGAAGGTGTCGGTGTCCAGGATCCACTTTGCATGAACCTAAAGTACAAAGGCAGATCATGCTGCAGAGAAGCCTGGAAGCCACAGCTCTGTCTGGGGACCCTTAACAGAAAAAGCTCAAGGGCATACAAGCCTCTGTTTCACTTCCAAAGGGTAGACTGTTCCTGGCATTCTTTTTGGGGAAGAGGGGATACAAGAAAAGCTCACCTTCCTAGGTTTCTCAGGAGTTGGAGCATCTTCCACAGATGCCTCAATTTCACTCGCTGGGATCCACGTGTCGTAACTGCCATGGGAAATTGAGCACACAGTAGAATCAATGGGATAGAATTGTGGAAAAGTAAAGTGCAGATCTTTTACCCTTTCCATTTACAGAAAGTATTGGGTTCTTGGCTTATTTTTTTTGTATTCTATTCATTATAAAGTAGTAAAAGCACATTAC
The DNA here is from genome assembly GCF_000001405.40 of Homo sapiens. Taxonomy (NCBI): domain Eukaryota; kingdom Metazoa; phylum Chordata; class Mammalia; order Primates; family Hominidae; genus Homo; species Homo sapiens. The sequence goes on from NC_000012.12 coordinate 56,182,236, forward strand.
GAAACATTTCAAAAATAGAGAACAAAAAGAATCACCCTTACGTAACTACTCTTGATACTTGTATATCTGTTTTTCCTCCACAGTAATTTTTTTTTTTTTTTGATACAGAGTCTTGCTCTTGCTCTGTCACCCAGGTTGGAGTGCAGTGGCGCGATCTCGGCTCACTGCAACCTCCGCCTCCCGGGTTCAAGCGATTCTCCTGCCTCAGCCTCCCGAGTAGCTGGGATTACAGGTGCCTGCCACTGCGCCCGGCTAATTTTTATATTTTTAGTACAGACGGGGTTTCACCATCTTGGCCAGGCTGGTCTCAAGCTCCTGACCTCGTGATCCACCCACCTCGGCCTCTCAAAGTGCTGGGATTACAGGCATGAGACACCGCGTCCAGCTGGGGTTTTTGTTTTTGTTAAGACAGGGTCTCACTTTGCTGCCTAGGCTGGTCTTGAACTTCCAGCCTTTAGTGATCCTCCTGCCTTGGCTTCCCAAAGTGCTAGTATTATAGGAGTGAGCTACTGTGCCTGGTCCACAATTTTCTTTTTACATAATCATAACCATACTAGATGATGTTTTTACATAATCATAACCATACTAGATGATATTTTACATGCTTTTTTTTTTTGAGACAGGGTCTTGCTCTATTGCCCAGGTTGAAGTGCAGTGGTGCAATCATGGCACAATGCAGACTCAACCTCCTGGGCTCAAGCAATCCTCCCACCTCAGCCCCCCAAGTAGCTAGGACTACAGGTGCATGCCACCATGCCCAGCTAATTTCTGTATTTTTTTTTTTTGTAAAGACAGGGTTTCACCATGTTGCCTAGGCTGGTCTCAAACTCCTGGGCTCAAGCAATCTGCCCACCTCAGCCTCCCCAAGTGCTGGGATTATAGGCATTAGCCACTGCACCCAGCCTACGTGCTATTTTTTGTTTTGTTTTGTTTTGTTGAGACAGAGTCTCGCTCTGTCGCCCAGGCTAGAGTGCAGTGGTGTGATCTTGGCTCACTGCAACCTCTGCTGCCCCGGTTCAAGCGATTATCCTGCTTCTCAGCCTCCTAAGTAGCTAAAACTACAGGCGTGTGCCACCACGCCCTGCTAATTTTTTTTTTTTTTTTGTATTTTTAGTAGAGACGGGGTTTCAGCATGTTGGCCAGGCTGGTCTCGAACTCCTAACCTCAGGTGATCCGCCTGCCTTGGCCTCCCAAAGTGCTGGGACTACAGGCGTGAGCCACCATGCCAGGCCTACATGCTACTTTTTGCAATTATTAATAATATTCACTTATAAATTATCCATGTTATATCACTTTAAAGACTGCATAATAGTCCACTGAGTAGATATACAAATTTACTGAAACATTTTCCTACTGTTAGACATTTAGATTGTTTCTAACATTTACTTATCGAAAATGATGCTGGGATAATCAATTCACACATAAAGCCTCAATCCTTTTAGCCCAAGGCTTGTCCACTAAGTCCAAACCTCCCCCAAGACAGAGGTTCACTTACTAGGTGAGAGGAAAACAAATTAAGTGATCTAAAAATAACTCTGAAAGAGTGGCCTCTTGCTCTGCTAGATGTCCTAGGGCTTCTGGGTCTGGCTCTTATACTTAAACCTGCCCCAGGAACCCATCCTCACCTGTCAGGATAGTAGCCCCAGTGCAGAAGAACCTGCTTATCCCTCTTCATGACTGGTCGTACCCATTCCTCTGGGGATAGAGGAAGAGAAGGGAGAGATATAAGCTAAAGGGGGACACAAAAAAAATACTGTACAAAAGCCCTAACTAATGCACTCTCCTGTTGTAGCAGGGGACTTGGTAATAGGAACTTAAGGTGGTAAGAGGATTCAAGATTGAAAGAAGAGGAGGAGCCCAGGTACTGAATGGTGATCTTAGTCCTCTGCCTCCTAGTCCAAACCATCCACTCAAGTGGACAGGAAAACCCAGGTCTCACCTTCTTCTAGATTCCCCGGGACAGGATACACAACATGGGAGGCATTGTTCTTATCCTCAGTGACTGTTCCCTGGATGGTAAAAGGAGAAGCGGGTAAATTATGGTCCCCTCTGAATTACTCAAGGTTTAGCCACAGAGCTGCCTTCCTAACCATATTTTGCTTATAATAGTATTAAAGTTAGTTTGTATTCTCTAAGCACACACCAGCTAAGTGGCAGAGGGAAACAGCTGGGATTGTGCTAATAATGGAGAAAAGTCAAAGAATTAAAAATTGCCAAAAATAATCTTCTGAACAGATAATCTATACATGGGAAATTTAAAGTCCACTGTACATCCTTATCAATGACATCTATTCATTACTATAAAGTTCCAAAGAGCAGGAATTTCATTTATCTGAGATCACGCAATCTCTAGCTCAGTAGAAGTGGATACTATTTTTCCCCAGGCCAACATAGTCTCTAGAACAGTAATGCAAACCTGTCAGGACTGAAAAATGGGAGAAGCAGACAGAAAAAGACAGACTCAAGGCTTTAACTCAAGTCTTTTTCCAAGTAGACAGAGCCACCTCTGAAGCAGAAAACATGGTAATTCAGGGCTGCTGCTTGGTATAGAAAACACTGGGAAAACAGTCATGGAGTTTCTGAAACCTCTCCTCACCAGACCATTTACCTGGTGTCTCTTGATAATGTCCTTTAATTTCCCTAGTAGTTTGGGCTCAATTTCTGGGCACAGAAAAATGTTAGGTCGAGACAGGCAATTATTCTGTGGAGAGAAGAAATAGAATGAGATTATAGGAAAGGGGTGTTTTAGATTCTCACTGAGGGAAGGGAGATAAATAGGGTATATGCCTATTACCTGCACCAAGGACTTCTCAATGGTCATAAACATTTCCACATTGCGGTCCATGCGTGATGGATTCTGGAAATCGTAACGCCGCCTTGTGAAGAGGCAATAATCTAGTGAGTGGTATAGCTCAGGTCTGCAGATGAGGTGAGGGCACGTGACTTTTTTGTTTGTTTTTTGAGATGGAGTCTTGCTCTGTCACCTAGGCTGGAGTGCAGTGGCGCGATCCCGGCTCACTGCAACCTCTGCCTCCCAGGTTCAAGCAATTCTCCTGTCTCAGCCTCCCCAGTAGCTGGGACTATAGGCACACACCACCTCACGTGGCTAATTTTTGTATTTTTAGTAAGTAGAGACGAGGTTTCACCATATTGGTCAAACTGGTCTTGAACTCCTGACCTCAGGTGATCCACCTGCCTCGGCCTCCCAAAGTGCTGGGATTACAGGCATGAGCCACCACACCCGGCCTTTTTTTTTTTCTTGAGAGGGAGTCCCGCTCTGTTGCCCAGGCTGGAGTGCACTGGCGCGATCTTGGCCAGCTGCAACCTCTGCCTCCTATGTGCAAGCCATTCTCCTGCCTCAGCCTCCCAAGTAGCTGAGACTACAGGTGCCCGCCACCATGCCCGGCTAATTTTTGTATTTTAGTAGAGATGGGGTTTTGCCAAGTTGGCCAGGCTGGTCTCAAACTCCTGACCTCAAATGATCCACCCACCTCGGCCTCCCAAAGTGCTGGGATTACAGGTGTGAGCCACTGCGCCCAGCCATGACTTCTTAATATGGGAAATTAGGAGGCAAGCTTGCTCACAGCTATTGCCAAACATCACCTGGGATCTGAGGTTCACTGATCTCAACTCCATGAATCACTCTCTGTGCTTACTTCAAAGGGACAAAAAAAGGTTTGAGATGCCAACCTAAGAATCCCTTTTCCTCTACAAAACACACAGTGATACTCACACACTCACTCTTGGAGACTGTTTTGGCTCTGACTCCCAACCATCTTCCTGACGTAGTAAGTCAGGTCTACTGACCCAGCAAAATAAAGAGACTCACAAGAATTTCTACCCCAGAAAGATCCCAGGGAATCAAAAAGGGGGATTTCCTCTAAACTAAATATAAGAAGAATAGAGAGAATCATCTCACCATCCCTGGTCACTCTTGAATTTGTAGGCAGCTGCAAGAATGTGGCACAAGGAGCCTCCCGCTTTGAAATCTAGGAAACATTTGATCTACAAAATCAAGATACGGAAAAAGCATGTCAAGGTTCCACTGTAAATTCTCTCATCACTTAATAATCTAATAATCCTTTCACAAAATCCCATGCTGAATTGATCTCCCTTTTTTTTTTTTTTTTTTGAGATGGAGTTTCACTCTTGTTGCCCAGGCTGGAGTGCAATGGCGCGATCTTGGCTCACTGCAACCTCTGCCTCCCAGGTTCAAGCAATTCTCCTGTCTCAGCCTCCTGAGTAGCTGGCATTACAGGCATGAGCCACCACACCCGGCTAATTTTGTATTTTTAGTAGAGACGGGGTTTCTCCATGTTGGTCAGGCTGGTCTCCAACTCCAGACCTCAGGTGATCTGCCCGCCTCGGCCTCCCAAAGTGCTGAGATTACAGGCGTGAGCCACCACGCCCGGCCTCAAAGCTGAAATTCTTTAACCCTTGTGCCATTGCATCATGTGGCCTGGAAGAGGGGAGTGAAAGAAACCAACACACAGAAAGCACCACCTTGTGCTAACACTTTACTGGATTACCTCAGGTACCATTAAGGAAACTCTACAAGGTAGGTTTACTAATCCCATCTAGAGATGAAGGAACCAAGACTCATGAATGTTGCCCAAGATCACAGAGCCATCCAATGGCAAAGCCAGGATTTGAACACAAGCCTGCACAAATCCAAATCTCAAGTCCCCTTTTAACCATGCCATGAGAGACCTGTGGACTGATCCCAGGTACTCTGAAATAATTTGTTGCACAAAATATTACTAAGACAAAAAGAATGGTAAACTGGAGACTAGGCCAAGCCAATAATGCCCTGATCAGGGATAGGGATGGTGGAAAATAACCCAAATTTCAAAAATTACAAAATTCACAAATCTTTTTTTAAAATACAACTCTTCAGTTTGAAGGATTCACCACCACCACCCCCCACCCTCCCTGCTACTTCTGCACTCACCGGCAGTTTAGTGAGCGGTGCATTGCTGACATGTTTGCCAAAAACTTCTTCCTGAAATTGTAGCAACTGTACAACCAGGCTAGACAGGGACTTGTTGGTGGGTGGTTCAGCTTGTATATACTAAGGAAAAAGAGGGAAAGGAAAGAAAAATAGATCTCAGATAAATTGTCCACTATCTCCCATATTTCTCCCCCAGGGGCTCTGGAAGCATGTGGAGCAAAGAAAATAGTGCCCTTCTCCCCATTTAGTCTCTATAAAGAAAATGGCAAAAGGGAGGCCCTGGACACCCCAACCAGGAAGCTGAAATTCTGCTGCCACCAGCCCAGGTGGCCAGTGTTGGGGGGAACAGGGAAGCTTACTACTCTTCCTCAGTTATACTCTGAAATTGGAGTTGCAGGACCCTATTATCTTGGCACCTCATCTTTAACCAACAGCACTGAGGGTTGTAAAATTCTGGAGGTTTATAAAGTTCAGGTCATGGAAGCAATACCTCTGGGGCTCTAAGAGAGACATTTCTTAGGGGAACTCTGTAAAGCCATGATTCCCCCTATAATGTAGCCTAACAAGAAAAGGTACAAGGAAGTGAAGGAGGGCAAGTTGACTGAGTGAGCTTGTGCATTTTGCTTCTGAAGACTGGGTATAAATGTCTTCATAGGCCCTCCTAGACAGGAAGGGCCATCCACTACCCAGCCTGATGGAGAAGAGCAAGACAACATCTACCCTGTCCGAGGAAACTGTATCTGAGACAAGTAACCCTGGCCCTACTTCTATGTTTCCACACTCTGCTACCTAGTAGCATCCTAGCCTTCCATTCTAATTTGAACCTGAGCCAGGAGACTTTCTTTTTACTTTTTGACCCGTTTTCTCCCCACTCATCACAAAGAAGACAGTGCCTCTCAGTGAGAGGTGAAAAGAGATAGATCTGTGAAGGGAAAGGTAAATGACAAAGAGCTAAGAGCATGGAAGCTGAACCAGGTCACAACTGTCAATTCCCCCAAGGCCGGAGGCTAAGCCCCTAGCCTGATCTCCCTGCAAAAGGTCAAAGGTAGAAGCCTGGGAATAAGAGCCTCTCACAGGCGTAGAGACATGCCATAGAAATAGCAGCTATTTGTCAGGATTCTCACACCCAGAGAGACCCCAAGGGCAGGGCCAGGCTCACAACCAGCATCAGTAGGAAGTTCTCCTAAGCCACTAAGCACACTTCTGACGAGCTGCAAAGCCGGCAGGAAGAACTGGGGAGCTGAAAGAAAGCCATAAAGAGAATCCCTCTCTGAGGGTAGTGAGAAAAAGAGAGGCAGACCATTTCCAGAGAAAACCAGGCCTAGAGACAAAGACGACACCAGGAAGAGGTTTGGTAGAAAAGACAGGTAAGGATTCTTGAACCTTTTGTTCACCACCTTATGATCTCCAGTTATGGGGTTTGGGTGTGAGGGGCTAGAGATAGGAAGCTCACCCTAACCTCTCGACCCCAAACCCAGGGTACTGCAAAGCTAGGTTGCAAGGTGACTTCATTGTAAAATCGAGGAAAGGTTTCGGAAGGGGCCGCTACCCAGGAACTCCTATACCCCGGCTCCCTGAGAGATTCTGTTGCCCCTTAGATGAAGGTGGGGGATGAGCGGCGGAGACAGGTGATCCCTGGGTGGAGACCTTTTTCAGGCTGATGAGCAGCCAACGGCTTGCTCTGTGACTGTTTACCCTCCTGCTTTCCATTCTCTCTCTCTGAACATACACAAAGCACCGGAGAGGCCTCAGCCCCGCTGGTACCTGGCTCCGTGGGGAGCTCTGGCGGGCACGCTCCGGGTTGCGGGGGAGCCCATTGGGCACCCGGTCCACACCCGGCCGGCCGCCTCTCCCAGAAAAGCCAGGAGGGCGATGGCTGAGGGGAAGGTGGGCTAATGGCACCGGGGCCCGCCGGGCAGTAGAGAAAAACAAGGGGCAGAGGGCGCAGCAGTGGGGGCGGGGGCTGGGCTCAGAGGCTGGGGGTGCGGGGAGAGGGAGGCTGGGGGAGGGGCGCGGGAGCGCAGGAGGGCGCGCGGGGGGCTGCTTGGGAGGCCGCGGGGGAGGGGCTGGGGCGCCTGGAGGGTAGGCAGGATCCCGGGGCTGCAGGGCCGCGGTCCCTTTGTCCCGCCCCCGGTCCCCGCGCGGCCCGGCCCGGCCCGCGTACCTTCTTGTAGTTCTTGCCGAGCCACAGCCGCACGTTGTCGAACTGGGTCACGGTGTCCGCGGCCTCGTAGTACTTCACGTTGGGGCCGCCGTCCTTCTTCCGCACCGCCATCTTCTCCGGCTCGGGCCCCGCCGCCGCCCGCCCCACTCAGCTCAGCTCCCGCCTCCTCCGCCTCCTCCTCCGCCCGCCTCCCGCCGCCTCCCGCCGCCGCGGCCGCCGCCTCCCGCCGCCTGGGCCGGCCCCGGTCCGCGCTGCGCCCCCTGCCGGCAGGCCGGGCGCGGCGGCGGAGCTCCAGGCGCGGGCCGACCCTGGCGGCCTCCCCGGCAGCGGAGGCGGGAGCCTCCGGGGAGAAGGACGCTTCCTGGAGGGGGCGCCATTCTCCTGAGATCGCTCTTACCAGACGCGAAGCCCTTTCCCTCTTTTTGCCTCAGCTCGGGAGTGTCACCTCGCTATCCCACTCCAGGCGGCCGCCAGTCGCTGGAGCAGCCCCAACCCGTAGACCCGAGTGGTCCTCACCTTGCGCATTCCTAACCCGACGAAGCCCCTCGTCCCCCAAAACCCCAAACCCCTTTCCCCAAGAAGTTCCTTCCTTCCATCCATTCACAGCAGCTCCCCATTTAAACTTTTCAGAGTCTCCCTCACTCCTCGCGCCTTGTCCACCCAGCACTCCCCTCACTTGTTAACCCAAATGTCCCCTAGTCGCCACCCTGGCGGCCCAGTGCCTTCCCTCAACTGCTTCCTCCGCAGGCCTCGCTGTCGCCTCCTAAGTAGGTGTGAGCTCCTACTCGAGACCCCGACTCTTCGCTAGGCAGGAGACCCTCCCTCCCTGGGTCACCCAGTCCATCCGACTCTTTTTCTTTGGGTGGCGTAGATAGGAGGTAAGGAACCGAGGGGTGGGGAGTCCTCAGGTGTGTGTGTGTCGGGGCCGGTACCCTGCTTCCGGTTCCCGCACGCATTCCCGGATTGCAGTGCGGACCCCTTCTGTAAGCGCGCGATAAAGCGCGGTTTTGGAAGTCACGGTGGCCGAGTGGTTAAGGCGTTGGACTCGAAATCCAATGGGGTTTCCCCGCACAGGTTCGAATCCTGTTCGTGACGGGTTTTTTTTTTTTTTCTTTCTTCTTCTTATTATTAAAAGGGAGTCTCGCTCTGTTGCTCAGGCTGGAGTGCAGTGGCGCGATCTCGGCTCACCGCAACCTCCGCTTCCCGGGTTCAAGCAATTCTCCTGCCTTAGCTTCCCGAGTAGCTGGGACCACAGGCATGCGTCACCATACCTGGCTAATTTTTGTATTTTTAGTAGAGACAGGTTCACCATATTGGCCAGGCTGGTCTCAAACTCCTGACCTCAGGTTATCTGCCCGCCTCGGCCTCCCAAAATGCTGGGATTACAGGCGTCGACTTTTTTAACCCCTTTCACAGCACATAAAGGTAACCCCAGTTCTCACACGTTTCTTTCGTGCACTTTCTCTCTCCAAAAGGGAAGCCGCCAAAAGGTCTTAACCCCTGGATTTGGGAGGATGGGAGTGATCTTGGGAAGTTTAATTATGCACGACTGTATTGGCTGCTAGACTGTGAGGCATTTTCAGAATTTTGTAACTTCAGGCTTCCTGGGAGAGCTTTGGCACATGTCTCATTCTTTTGAGGGCATAGGGAAGGATTTGGTTGAAGGGTTACATTTTGGGAATGTGAGTGGCTGTTTTGCAATATTAGTCAAACTTAGAGTTTCCTCTAAATTTCATGACCAGAAGTCACACCTTGTAGGTCTGATTACACCGAAGACCCAGGAAACAGGATTCTCTCATCTGGATTTCCTTGAGGTGTACAGGGCTAGAAGGGAGTAGTCTATTGAAACATCATTGCAGATCCAGTTAGAGCCAAGGTATGGGAAGATAATTCTCACTTTTTATTGAGTGCTTATTATGTGCCAGATACTGTTTTAAATTATCTATGTGTATTAACCAAGCAAGGAAATTAATCTCATCTTTAACCTTTAACCCTCCTATACTCATCTCACCCCATTTTTCCTATCCCCTAATTTCTGATTGTGGGGAGGATCTAGGCTGCTTGTTGAGGATTTTGTTGTTTGTTTTGGGGGGTTGTTTTTGTGACAGGGTCCCGCTCTGTCGCCCAGGCTGGAGTGCATTGGTGCGATCTCAGTTCACTGCAACCTCAAACTCCCAGGCCCAAGCAATCCTCCCTCCTCAGTAGCTGGGACTACAGGCATGCACCACCACGCCCAGCTAACTTTTTGTATTTTTAGTAGAGACGGCGTTCTGGGATTTCGCCATGTTGCCCAGACTGGTCTCAAACTCCTGGACTCAAGCAATCCGCCTGCCTCAGCCTCCCAAAGTGGTGGGATTACAGGTGTGAGCCACTGTGCCTGGCCAAGGATGTTCTTTTTGTATTTCTTGCACAGCCTTTTGTCCAAAAGGAATCCCAAAGGGCAGGGGGCTCTAGGGTAATACATAGAGCTTTCTACACATTTATACCTTAGAGTTTCCCACCTTCATACCACTGCTCAGGCTGTTATTTCCAGCATGACCCTCACATTGCCTCCCTGTCCCTCACCATTAACACTTTCCAAAATTCTTTAGGCCCCTCCTCTTTGATGCTCTTGATCACTCCAGCTGCCTGTCAGTCTACCACCACCACCATTCACTAAATTGCATGCAAGGACTTCTCCCTTGATATGCTAACATAAAAATAAAATAAAAACAGGGGTGGGTGTGGTGGCTCACGCCTGTAATCCCAGCACTTTGGGAGGCTGAGGCAGGCGGATCACGAGGTCAGGAGTTCAAGACCAGCCTGGCCAATGTAGTGAAATCCCATCTCTACTAAAAATGCAAAAATTAGCTGGGTGTGGTTGGCGGGCGCCTGTAATCCCAGCTACTTGGGAAGCTGAGGTAGGAGAAATCACTTGAACCCAAGAGGCAGAGGTTGCAGTGAGCCAAGATCGTGCCACTGCACTCCAGCTTGGGCGATGCAGCAAGACTCTGTCTCAAATAAAATAAAATTAAAATAAAATAGAAACAGGTTCCATTTATTTTACCTTCTAAATATGTCTCAAATATGCTCACTTTTCTCAGGGGTGAGTGCAGGCTGAGCTAGAGCCTTCATTTGGAAGGTAGTGGTATTTGTGAGCACCATACGAGGTAATATATAGAAAACTGCACTAAAGCATCCACACTGCAGTCCGGGACCTTAAACCCTTCTATGGCTGCTTTCTGTGTTGCAGGATATGACCCCTTTTCTCTCACCACTCTTCCATATTCACTACATTCTGTCCACTGGCATTCTTTTAGTTCTTCCTGGTAGTTATTTAGCCTTGCTCATGGTGTTCTCTGCCTGGAATAATCTTTCTCTTCCACACTTTCTACTCATTCTCCACCTAAATGTTGGTTCTCCTGTGGAGTTTTCTCTGACCACTTGTTGCCTACCACATCCTATGCTCTCAACTTATTATGTGAAGTCTTTCTTCCCCTGTGGCATATAAACACATTAAACACAGATAAGGAGTCAGTTTTTAAAATTTTTTTGCATAAATGGGTGTTTTTTACAGTAGTTATGTGTACATGTTTTAATCTTTAGACTGGTATATAAGCTTCTTGAGAGTTAGGGCTGTGTATTTTATTTATTTGTATCTTCTCTACAAGGCCTTATAGATGTGATCAACTATGTGTTGAATGAATTTATAAAATCTCATAGGCTCATGATTCTCCTTCCTACCAAATCCCAATTTGCACAGGTTCTCATATTTAAATATCTGGAGAGCCAAGACCAGAATTGACCAGCAGAGGGCAACCAACAACTATGTTGTGAAGGGAAGAAGGCTCCATGGTTTACAAAATGGAGGATCTGGACCAAGAAGGGAAATATGGCAGAGGTAGTTTGCTACTTGAAGTTCATCCCTTTTACTCTCAAATGCTTCTCTTGTAACTTTTGTGGGTGAGAGGCCGAGGCTTCAAACCTTCATATACAATAGATCATTTTAAATTTCTACCATCCCCATGTACCCACCCCATCTCCCCAATTCCTTCACCCTTCCTCTTCCACTCCAACAAATCCTAACTATTCTTTTACCTTTCTTTACCTTGCATGATCTGGCCCCCTCTCTCTCACCATTCTTACATATTTACATATCACCCACTGGCATTCTTTAGTTCCTGCTACAGTATGTGGCCTTCCATATTTTCCCTGAAGTAACCTTCTCCACTTAAGCCTGTAGTCCCACTCATTTAAACCTCCTAAGGAACCTTCCATAAATATCCTTCCATAACACCTTAAAATTCCTCTACTCCACTGGATCAATCCTTCATGAATTCAGTACAAACAAAACCCCACCTTCATTTGACACTTTCAAATTTCCACATTGTTTTCTACTTCCTTTTATTTTTCGAATAAAATGTATACCTTTCTGCCTCCAGTTCCATACTATCAGATACCCCGTCATCTGGTTTCTGCCTCCTGAAGTGTTTTGGTTTTTTTTTCTTTTTTACTTTTTTACTTTTTATTTTTTTTTGAGACAGAGTCTTGCTCTCTCACCTAGGCTGGAGTGCAGTGGCACAAGCTCGGCTCACTGCAACCACCACCTCCCAGGTTCAAGCAATTCTCCTGCCTCAGCCTCCCAAGTAGCTGGTATTACAGGTCCCTGTCACCATGCGCCTGGCTAATTTTTTTTTTTTGTATTTTTAGTAGGGACGGGGTTTTGCTATGTTGACCAGGCTGGTTTTGAACTCCTGACCTCAAGTGATCCACCTGCCTCAGCCTCCCCAAGTGCTGAGATTACAGGTGTGAGCCACCGCGCCCGGCCTCCTGAAGTTTTTTAGACGTTAATAGAAACCACTGGACAAATTTAATAATCTCTTCTCAGTCTCCATCCTTTCTGTGTTTGAAACAACATTGATTTCTTACTGGCCTTCAGAAACACTTATTGTTTTTCTCCTTCTCAGTATACTGCTTCTCCACCTCATTTGCTTTCTTCTTCCTCCTGTGGAATTTCCACCAAAGCTTCATTCTCCCGAGACAAAATCTCAGAGCCACCTTTCCAGGTATGTCCTCAGCTAAACCATGGTCCTTTATCTCCAGCTGTTCACATCTCTGCACAGCTGACCTAGTGTCACCTAATATGCAAACAAAGCTTCTCTTCCTCTCTCACAATCATCGTTCTGAACTTTTCCCACTTTTGTTGATACCACTATTCACTCAATTCCTTCATTTCCAGCTCTAAGAATTAATTATCTGAAGTTTGTTTTCTCCCAAGCCCATCACACTGATTCATCAGTTGCTTCCCCAAGCACATCATCTTAATTCATGCCTGTTACGATGGCCTTCAAGGTGCCCTAGTTTCACCACACTGAAATCCACCCTATATTAGTGTGATTACACTGCTTTCATCATATTATTCCCCTGTCCAGGAACTCAGTTCCCCATCTAAACAAACACATGATCCTATTATCAACATACCCTGCCTAAATTGCCCGTTTTTCTTACCCTTACATCTTTCCACTAAGATACCTTCCATCTAATCTGGCTGGTCATCTCCGTGTGACAGCCCAACCCCTGCCATCCCTCATGAAGTTCCTTCTCTTTACTAACTAGGTAGTCTCACCATATAATGATCTTTTCAGCAATAAATTCTTAGATCTTAAAAGTATTATTATTTTGCCTGGACACGGTGGCTCACGCCTGTAATTCCAGCACTTTGGGAGGCCGAGGCGGGTGGATCACCTGAGGTCAGGAGTTTGAGACCAGCCTGGCCAACATGGTGAAACCCCGTCTCTACTAAAAATAAAAAAATTATCCGGGCATAGTGGCGCATGCCTGTAATCCTAGCTACTCAGGAGGCTGGGGCACGAGAATCGCTTGAACCCCGGAGGCAGAGGTTGCAGTGAGCCGTGATCGCACCACTGCACTCCAGCCTGGGCGACAGAGTGAGACTTTGTCTCAAAAAAAAAATTAGTCTCACTTTGTCGCCCAGGCTGGAGTGCAGTGGTGCGATCATGGCTCACTGTATAACCTCTGCCTCCCAGGGTCAAGGGATTCTCCTGCCTCAGCCTCCCGAGTAGCTAGGATTATAGGCGCACGCCACCACACCGCCTTATTTTTGCATTGTAGAGACAGGATTTTACCATGCTGCCAGGCTGGTCATGAACTCCTGACCTCAAGTGATCCTCTCACCTCGGCTTCCCAAAGTGCTGGGATTACAGGCATGAGCCACTGGGCCTGGACTTAAAATTATTTTTATGTAACTAACTTTTTTTTTTTTTTTGAGACAGAGTCTCACTCTGTCTCCAGGCTGGAGTGCCGTGGCGCCATCTCGGCTCACTGCAACCTCCGCCTCCTGGATTCAAGTGATTCTCCTGTCTCAGCCTCCGGAGTAGCTGGGACTATAGGCACATGCTACCACGCCCAGCTAATTTTTGTATTTTTAGTAGAGATGAGGTTTTACCATGTTGGCCAGGATGGTCTCACTCTCTTAACCTCGTGATCCACCTGCCTTGGCCTCCCAAAGTGCTGGGATTACAGGCGTGAGCCACCGCACCGGCTGGTAATGTTTTCTTTTTTTTTTTTGAGACAGAGTCTTGCTCTGTCACCCAGGCTGGAGTGCAGTGGCGCGATCTTGGCTCACTGCAAGCTCCACCTCCCGGGTTCACGCCATTCTCCTGCCTCAGCCTCCCCAGCAGGTGGGACTACAGGCGCATGCCGCCACGCCCGGCTAATTTTTTTGTATTTTTAGTAGAGACGGGGTTTCACCGTGTTAGCCAGGATGGTCTCAATCTCCTGACCTTGTGATCCGCCCGCCTTGGCCTCCCAAAGTGCTGGGATTACAGGCGTGAGCCACCGCGCCCGGCCAGTAATGTTTTTTAAAGCTAAAGTTGGGGAAGAACTATATATAAGATTTGAGATAGGATCTTGCTCTGTTGCCAAGGCTGGAGTGTGGTGGCACGATCTTGGCTCACTGTGACCTCCATCTCCCGGGCTCATGCGATCCTCCCACCTCAGTTTCCCCAGTAGCTGGGGACTACAGGCATGCACCACCACACCCAATGAACTTTTAAATTTTTTATAAAGACACAGTTTCACCATATTGCCCAGGCTGGTCTTGAACTCTTGGGCTCAAGCAATCCACCCACCTTGGCCTCCCAAAGTGCTGGGATTACAGGCATGAACCACTGCACCCAGCAATAACTTAGTATTATCCTCTTTCAAGTTGTCGACTTGTTCCAAATTCTAAGAGGCTTGGGTCTCTGCAGTTTTTTTTTTTTTTTTTTTTTCTTGAGACGGAGTTTTGCTCTTGTTGCCCAGGCTGGAGTGCAATGGCGTGATCTTGGCTCACCGCAACCTCTGCCTCCCAGGTTCAAGCGATTCTCCTGCCTCAGCCTCCTGAGTAGCTGGGATTACAGGCATGTGCCACCACACCCGGCTAATTTTGTATTTTTAGTAGAGATGGGGTTTCTCCATGTTGGTCAGGCTGGTTTTGAACTCCCGACCTCCAGTGATCTGCCCGCCTCGGCCTTCCAAAGTGCTGGGATTACAGGCATGAGCCACTGTGCCCAGCGGGTCTCTGCAGTTTATCCAGTAAAGCAAATCATTTTAAGACTTGGGCTGAAATGACCTCATCCTACACTTGCATCAGGGATGCTCTCATGGCAGAAAACATTTCCGGAACTCCTTCACAGCTAGTTTATGAGCCACATTTAAGTGATTCATTACTTCAAAATTACTTTTAAAAAATTAGCCAACTTTATTATGCATCTATTTGCCAGATTTTGTTCCAGATTTTATCTGGAATTCCTCATTCCAGATAGCTAAGAAGTCCCATTCTTAGCCTTCTTCCTGTTCTTAAGTGTTTGCATGCATTCCTAGCATTTCTTGATCTCTTCTGGGCAGATAACTACTCCATACACATCTTTAGCCCTAGCTTCTTGTTTTGTTTTGTTTTTTTTGAGACGGAGTCTCACTCTTGTTGCCCAGGCTGGAGTGCAATGGCGGTGATCTCATCTCACTGCAACCTCTGCCTCCTGGGTTCAAGTGATTCTCCTGCCTCAGCCTCCCAAGTCGCTGGGATTATAGGCATGCACCACCACGCCCAGCTAATTTTTATTATTTTTAGTAGAGATGGGGTTTCGCCATGTTGGCCAGGCTGGTCTCGAACTCCTGGCCTCAGGTGATCCACCCACCTCAGCCTCCCAAAGTGCTGGGATCACAGGTGTGAGCCATTGCACCTGGCCCCTAGCTTCTTGTTCTTAAGCTCCAGACCATGTTTCCATTTCCTGACTAAACACATCTATGTGGGGGCACTCCCAACCCAGTGTTCCCCAGATGAACTCATTTCTTCACCCCCAAAACCTGCTCATCCTCTTCTACTCCCTATTTAGGCTAATGATACCATGTTCTCATCCACAGTCTGGAAATCTCCATCTTTATCTGTGACTCATTTTTGGTTACTTGTCCATGTTTTTTGTTTGTTTGTTTGTTTGTTTTTGAGAAGAGTCTCACTCTGTCGCCCAGGCTGGAGTGGAATGGTGCGATCTCGGCTCACTGCAACCTCCACCTCCCAGGTTCAAGCAATTCTGCCTCAGCCTCCCAAGTAGCTGGGATTACAGGTGTGCACAAGCACGCCCAGCTAATATTTGTATTTTTAGTAGAGACGGGGTTTCACCATATTGGCCAGGCTGGTCTCAAACTCCTGACCTCAGGTGATCCACCCACCTCGGCATCCCAAAGTGCCGAGATTACAGGCATGACCCACCGCGCCTGGCCTGTTGTTGTTTTTTAAGAGATGGGTCTTACTCTGTTGGCTCACCATAGCCTCTGGGCTCAAGCAATCCTCCTGCCTCAGTCTTCCAAGTAGCTAGTACTACAGTCATGCACTACCATGCCCAGCAATAGTGTCTTTTTATTAAAAGTTGTTAGGATGACTAAATTAATGTTTAATGTTTACAGTAGTGCCTCACAGTAAATAATCTGGCCATTACATTTCTTTATTGCCAGTGTCCAATCCTGTTCAGAACTTAACCCTGATGATTCCTTTACGAAGCCTTCCTTCCCACATTCCACCAGATATGTAGTTGGCCCCTTTCCTCCTCATTGTCCCATTGTACTTAGTCCCTATCTATTAGCAACATACTATTCTATATTTCCCATTATTTGTTGTTCTAGTGTGTGTCACCTACAATGCTGCAAGTTCCTTTAAAGTCTGTTCTTATTTTTTTTCTGAGACAGGGTCTCATTCTTGGCACTCAGGCTAGAGTGCAGCGGCGCAAACACAGCTCACTGCAGCCTCAATCTCCCAGGCTCAAGAGATCCTCCCACCTTAGCCTCCCAAGTAGCTGGGACCACAGGCATGTGCCACTATGCCACTTTTTTTTTTCCATAGAGACAGGGTCTTGCCATGTTGCCCAAGCTGTTCACAAACTCCTGGGCTCAAGGAATCCTCCCACCTTGGACCCCAAAGTGCTGAGATTACAGGCGTGAGGCACTGGCCCCTTTAAAGTCTTATTTCTCAATTATTTATACATCTTAAATGCTTGGTACTATGTCTAACACATGACAGGTACACCATAAATGTTGGCTGAATCTAATCAGTTACTAAAACCTGTCAATTTTTCTTCCCAAATGTCATTCTCTCTTTCCTGCAGTATTTCAAGCCCTTATCCTCTGCTTCCTTGAATTACTACAAAGCTCACTAACACTGCCAACACCAGTTTCTTACATTCTTCCCATTCTTGCATTCTCTCAGTTTCTTGCATTCTTTCCAGAGTAATGGGTTGGAAGTCATTCCTCTTCTCAAAAACTTACCGGTAAAGTCCAAATTCCCTAGCATGCATTCAAGGCCTTCCAATAATTGGCCCCAAATTACTTCTAGTCTTATCTTCCATTATTTCCCTTCATTATTCGTCTTCCAGTAAACTCTATGCTCCAGATTACATTAGTCTCTGCCTTCTTCAACATTTTCTTCACCCTTTTTTTTTTTTTTTTTGAGACAGTTTCACTCTTGTTGCTCAGGCTGGAGTGCAATGGTGCGATCTCGGCTCACCTCAACCTCTGCCTCCCAGGTTCAAGTGATTCTCCTGCCTTAGCCTTCCGAGTAGCTGGGATTACATGCACCACCACGCCCAGCTAAAGTTTTTTGTATTTTTAGTAGAGATGGGGTTTCTCCATGTTGGTCAGGCTGGTCTCAAACTCCTGACCTCAGGTGATCCACCCGCCTCAGCCTCCCAAAGTGCTGGGATTACAGGTGTGAGCCACTGCACCCAGCCCTCTTATTTGTTTTTATTCATGCTGGGATCTCAACTTAAAGTGCATATTGGTGGACCTTACTTTTTGTTTTTTGCCCACAAGCATTTTAAGCAGATGAGGTCTCAGGACAGGGCGGTGGCAGTGAGCCAACATCACACCACTGCGCTCCAGCCTGGGTAACAGAGTGGGACCCTGCCTCAAAAAAAAGGAGACGGGATCTCAGTCTCTCACCCAGGCTGGAGTGCAGTGGTGCAATCACAGCTCTCTGTATCCTTCAATTCCTGGGCTCAAGGGATCCTCCCACCTCAGCCTCTCAAGCAGCTGGGACTACAGGCACATGCCACCACACTTGGCTAATTTTTTAAAAATTCTTTTTGTAGAGACAAAGGCTCACTGTATTTTGTAGGCTGGTCTTGAACTCTTGGGCTCAAATGGTCCTCCCACCTCAGCCTCCCAAAGTACTAGGATTACAGGCATGAGCCACTGTGCCTGGCCCACAAGCTTTTTCTTTTTTTTTTTTAATTTGGGCCAGCACTTAAAAGCTGTGAAATTTAGCATAGCCAGGCACGGTGGCTCACACCTGTAATCCCAGCACTTTGGGAGGCCGAGGCAGGTAGACCACCTGAGGTCAGGAGTTCGAGACCAGCCTGGCCAATGTGGTGAAACCCTGTCTCGACTAAAAATACAAAAACTAACTGGGCATGGTGGTGGGTGCCTGTAATCCCAGCTACTCGGGAGGCTGAGGCAGGAGAATCACTTGAACCAGGGAGGCGGAGGTTGCAGTGAGCACCACTGCACTCCAGCCTGGGCAACAAGAGCAAAACTCGGTCTCAAAAAAAAAAAAAAAAAAAAAAAGAATCAGGCTAATGATGGGGCAATAGGGCATATCTCCTAATGTTACAAAATGAAGAACTTCTCTCTCCTGTGATGTGTTCTATCCCCAGAACTGTCTAACTTGAATCTCTCAAGGCCCTATCTAATTTTGTTTAGTAAAACGGGCTAGGCCAGGCGCGGTGGCTCATGCCTGTAATCCAAGCACTTTGGGAGGCCAAGGCGGGTGGATCAGTTGAGGTCAGGAGTTCAAGACCAGCCGGCCCAACATAGGTTTAAAACCCCGTCTTTACTAAAAATACAAAAATTAGCCGGGCATGGTGGCACGTGCCTGTAGTCCCAGCTACTTGGGAGGCTGATGAGGCAAGAGAATCACTTGAGCCCAGGAGGTGGAGGTTGCAGCGAGCTGAGATCGTGCCACTGCACTCCTGCCTGGGGGACAAAGCGAGACCCCATCTGAAAAGAAAAAAAGCAGTCAAGTTCAAACGACCATTCTCCAGAAAACTGGCTCAATCTTTTCTTTTCTTTGAGACGGAGTCTTGCTCTGTCTCCCAGGCTGGAGTGCAGTGGCACGATCTCGGCTCACTGCAAGCTCCGCCTCCTGGGTTCACGCAATTCTCCTGCCTCAGCCTCCCGAGTAGCTGGGACTACAGGCGCCCGCCACCACGCCTGGCTAATTTTTTTTTTTATATTTTTAGCAGAGACGGGGTTTCACCATGTTAGCCAGGATGGTCTCGATCTCATGACCTCGTGATCCGCCCGCCTCGGCCTCCCAAAGTGCTGGGATTACAGGCATGAGCCCCCGCGCCTGGCCAATCTTTTCAACAAATTAGGGTTACACAAAAAAAGGTGGTTTCATGAACCCAGATAGAGGGTAAAAGAGAAATAACCTGATGTAATTCGTGGTCCTGGATTGGACCCAGGTTTAGACACAAATTAGCTACAAAAGGACTTTTCAGACAGGTGCAATGGCTCACACTTGTAATCCCAACACTTTGGGAGGCTGAGGTGGGCAGATCACTTGAGCTCAGGAGTTTGAGACCAACCTGGGCAACATGGTGAAACCCTGTCTCTACAAAATATACAAGAAACAAATCAGCTGGGCATGGTGGTGCACATCTGTGGTCCCAGCTGCTTGGGAGGCTGAGATGGGAGGACTGCTTGAGCCCAGCAGGAGGTCAAGGCTATAGTGAGCTGTAGTGAGTCGTGATTGTGCCACTGCACTCTAGCCTAGGTGACAAGAGTGAGATCCTGTGTCAAAAAAAAAAAAAAGACTTTTCTTGGGACAATTAGGGTAATGTAAACATGGGTTTGTAGTAGATTATTCATTATACATTGTTAATTGTAAACACTTGTTATTTAGGTAATGTCAAAAATATTTTTATTTTTCCAATGTATATACTGAAGTAAAAAATTAAGACAATGAAGCCAGGTGCAGTGGCTCACACTTGTAATCCCAGCACTTTGGGAGGCCAAGGCAGGTGGATTCCTTGAGCTCAGGAGTTTGAGACCAGCCTCAGCAACATGGTGAAACCCCATCTCTACAAAAAATACAAAAAATTAGCCCGGTGTGGTGGCGCATGCCTGTGGTCCCAGCTACCTAAGAGGCTGAGGTAGGAGGATCACTTGAGCCTGGGAGGTGGAGGTTGCAGTGAGCCAAAATTACGTCATGCACTCCAGCCTCAGCTACAGAGCCAGACCCTATCTAAAAAAAAAAAAAAAAAAAAAAAAAAAATTAAGACAGTGTATCAAAGTCACTGAAAGAGATGAAACAAAAAAAATTTTACTAGTATTAAAACAGATTAAGACAATTCCAGGTGCAGTAGCCCCAGCTACTCCAGAAGCTGAAGTGGGAAGACCACTAGAGCCCAGGAGTTTGAGGCTACAGTGAGCTATATGATGGTGCCACTGCACTCCAGTCTGGGTGACAGTGTTCTTTCTACTCCCTCCTTCCCCCAGTTCTCCTGACCTTAAAAGTTTAGAACAGGTTGGCAAATTTTTTTCTGTAAAAGACCAAGTATTTTAGGCTTTGTTCCAGCTACTTAACCCTGCTGTTGTAATGTGAAAGCAGCCACAGACAATATATAAACAAGTGGGCATAACTGTATTCCAATAAAGTTTTTTACAAAAGCAGGCAGTGGGGTTGTAACCTGTAGTTTGCTGACCTCTGACCTATAACAAGTAACACTTCCTGAAAAGCCTTTCCTGATACCCATCAGAATCAGGAGCTTTATCGTCCTTGGCTCACATATTACTAGTAAATCCACTTAGCACATTTATGATCCCTTATTATATATTCATCTCCATTAGGGACTAAGTTCTTTGCAGGTAGGTGCCATTTTGCTACATAAGCCTCCTCATGTTCACTCTAGTGAGTATCTCACAGGGCAGACATTCAATGAATATTTGTTTCTAAAAATCGTATCTTCTGTAAAAGGACAATATGACACCATTCATAACATTCACAAGAATGAGCAGCAAGTTCTAAAAGTAATTTTAAAGGAGTTTAAGGGGGGAAAAGCACTGCTAATGTCACTAGGATACATACATTGCCTCTTATGCTCTATACTGTGACATGCTTATCAGTATTTTATAAACATACCTTGTGTGCATAGAAGCGCAGACTCAGCACAGAAATGCCTTTTTTTTTTTTTTCAAGCCACTAGAGTATCAAGAGTACTATTAGGTTTACATCAGGTGCATGATAAATGCTCAAATTTAAAACAAACTTCTGGGAGGAGGAAAAGATATCCCTTTTTCTTTTCTTTTCTTTTTTTTTTTTGAGACAGGCTCTTGCTCTGTCACCAGGCTGGAGTGCAGTGGCATGATCTCAGCTCACTGCAACCTCCACCTCCCAGGTTCAAGCGATTCTTGTGCCTTAGCCTTCCAAGGAGCTGGGATCATAGTGGCGTCCCACCATGTCTGGCTATCCTTTTTCTTATGACAGGGAAAGGTAGCAGCAAATACTTATGAAGACTGGTTTTTTTTTTTTTTTTTTTGAGACGGAGTCTTGCTCTGTTGCCCAGGCTGGAGTGCAGTGGCGTGATCTCAGCTCACTGCAAGCTCCGCCTCCCAGGTTCACACCATTCTCCTGCCTCAGCCTCCTGAGTAGCTGGGAGGACAGGCGCCTGTCCGGCTAATTTATTTATATTTTTAGTAGAGACAGGGTTTCACCATGTTAGCCAGGATGGTCTCGATCTCCTGACGTTGTGATCCACCCACCTTGGCCTCCCAAAGTGCTGGGATTACAGACGTGAGCCACCGTGCCCGGCCTATGAAGACTTTTTTTTTTTTTTTTTTTTTTAGACGGAGCCTTGCTCTGTCGCCCAGGCTGGAATGCAGTGGCCCAATCTCTGCTCACTGCAAGCTCTGCCTCCCGGGTTCACGCCATTCTCCTGCCTCAGCCTCCTAAGTAGCTGGGACTACAGGTGCCTGCCACCACGCCCGGCTAATTTTTTGTATTTTTAGTAGAGACGGGGTTTCACTGTGTTAGCCAGGATGGTCTCGAACTCCTGACCTTGTGATCCACCCACCTCGGCCTCCCAAAGTGCTGGGATTACAGGCGTGAGCCACCGCGCCCGGCTATGAAGACTATTTTTATAAGTAAATAATTATGAAACCTCTGCAAGTACATTTCCCTCCTCACATTTACGTTCTTAGCTAGGAAACACTGGGAGGTAGAGACTTCTCTGCCTGCAAAGGAATTCTAGATTCTAAAGCAAAGTTGCTTGTGGGACAAAGGAAAAAGATATATACATATCTTCTGTAGAAATTATCCCAAAAACTCAGGACCACTCAGGGAAGACATGGAATTTAGGATAAAGGCAGACCCTGGGAAGCACACAGTTCAGATCACTAGAGAGCTTTGGCTGCTACAGAACAGGAGATAGGAGGGAAGAATGCAGGAGGGTACATGGGAAAGCAGCTGTGAAGTGCACACTACTCCCAGACATCCTCCTGAAAGAGAAGTTAGCACTAAGATAAGGGTAGGTAACAAAGTAAGGAAGAAAGGGAATTAAGGTGAGAGAAAGGCAAAAGCAGAGGGGAAACCTTCTCAAGAAAGGGAGTAATGCTGAAGAATTTAGAGAGTTGAGTAAAAGGTTTATTATTAGTGCAGTCAACACCATGGAACAGCACATACAACACAACCAGCAACCTGCAGAGACACTAGTGCAAAGGGTAGGGAAGCCTTTCACTGAGCTTCCTGGCTCCATCTGAGGGTAAGGACAGGACAGTATGAGCCTTGGTTAAGGCAGGTAGGGGAAAGGGGAGTGGAAGAAATGTAGTAACCAGAGTAAGTATAGCAGCGTTTTCAAATTCCTGAGCACAATGTCCCAGAGCTGGAACCCTACTCCCCTCAAGCTTTCCACCCCAATCCCAGTGGAGCCATGATCCAACTACCCAGACCTGCAGCAAGCTAGCCTGGAATAAAATTCTGAGAGGAAGCCATTACATGGTGGGGAGGAGCCTTTCTATCTCCAACCACACTCCCACCTCCATATTAAAATAATCACACCTATTATCTCTCCCCTTCTCTTACTCTGCCAGTCACTCTAGGGATCAAGGTATACCCCAGGTAACCTGAAATGGAACTGAAGTCCCCAGGGGGGTGTGGGTGAGACACGGCACAGCCTGTACTTAGAGATAAAATTTCTGATTTGCATGGTGAAGCTTAGAACCCAGCTATACAGCTCCAAGGAAACTTGGGGAAGGGGGAGTTGCCTTCAAAATGAATACTCTAAATCCAGAGTTTTATGATAAGGCCCTGGAAGGGCTAGGAGGAAATTTTTCCAGAGGGCACAGGCATCGATGCTGGACTGTCATATCCTTCACAGGAAGAGAGGAAGCTCCTCATTTCAGTTGGGGTTACAGAGGTTTGGGGCAGATATCGTAAGTTCAGCCGAGGACTCCCTTGGCTCTTCCTATATTAAAGCCAAAGGTTGTGCTGAAAAGGAAAAAATATAAAACACACCCCCATCCCTGTCCCACCCTATCCAGAACCCCCACAATAGGAACATCAAAAGAAAAGTTTCAAGTTTGATTTTTTTTTCTTTTTTCCTTTCTTAAAAAAAAAAAAAGGAAGTAAATAAATTAAATTGCCAACAATGTGGCTGAGATAGCCATGATCAGGCCATTCTTAAAAAAAAGAGGGGGGGGGGCAGTAGGTGGAGTTTGTGAAATATAAACAAACAATGGCCAAAGAAAATTATCAAAGTAACTAACTACAGTCACAGGGCTAGAGAGGGGTCTATGGAACAATTATGGCCTGTGCCACAAGAGGCAGTGCCAACCATATTTTAGCAAAAGCTAGGAGTAGCTTCTTGCTAAACACATCAACCCCCAACAGATTAACCCCTACCCTAAACCCTGGCATTCCCTAATTATGAAAACTTGTAGGAAAGAAGAGCTCATCTGGAAATTTTCAGTATCCCAACCTGCATACTGGTAGACCCAGTGGGTGCCTACACCTTTAAGGTGGGCTGAACAGGGATACTGCTTGGCACAGAGGTCCAGTCTTTCCCTAAGGGCCATCAGTGATGGCCAATTAACGGCCTCACTACTTATTTCTAGAGATTTGGCTCCACCCTTACCATTTCTTCAGGATGTCTGCTGCTTAGAGTCAACAGGCCTGACTGCTCTGATTCCCTGGTTTTGGAGGAGAGGGACGATTAGAGATTCCTTCCTCTGTCCTGATCCTCCAGGGAAATTGAATCTCTTTGTGCTTTCTGAAAATAACTGGAACCAGGGACCCTAAGCAGGAAAATGGATGGAGGTGGGGGCTTTCCCACCCAGACTGATAATTTATAGACATTTTAGGGGAATATGGCAAAGGGAGGAAATCTGGGTTTCCCACCTGAAAGGCTGAGCAAACTACCCCAAGGCCCTTCAGTGCCAGAAGGGCAGGGAGATGTGTGGCTCAGGTATAAGCCACAGTATTAAGAATGGTGGGTAGGACTCAGGTCCCAGCTGCTGGAGTGATGGGATTTTCTGATTTCCATCTCTTCCTGATAGCCAGTCGAGTTCTCTTATATCTCTTCCACGCCATGCGCAAATATCATGACAAGGCCTGGCTCTTGCACCATGTCATCCCCCATGTGCTGGTTCTCACAGGCCATCACGACAACAGCCTGCTTGCCAGGGATGCGCTTGGCCACGTAGTTCTCATAGTAGCGTCGGTTCATCTGTCTAGTCTCTAGTGTGGCCAGACCCTGGGGCCAGCTACGCTCGTGGGCATTTTCAATCAGCTCGTTGACAATAGAAGCAGGACAGCCACTCTCCACCAGGGAGCGCTTGATTACAGCCTGGAGCACAGCATCAGGAGTCGAGATCATCCCTCCCCAGCGGGTCACTCTTGCTGGCTGAAGGGAGTTCACCCACCTGTGTGGAGGTGGTTAAAGATGGTCATTCCAGCTCATCTCCTTTCTCTGTATTGGCTTTTTCTGCTAATAGAAATAACTACCCACTCTGCACTCAGCTTACCTATTCTTCCTTCTTTCCTTCCATCATTGGCTCAGAAACCCCAAATCTTTCCCCACTTGGTCCCAACTGAGTCACCACATGTTACTCACCAGATTAAATTCCACAAGTCTGCACTCTGTCTCTGTTACTTTTCTTTGAAATTCCAATACTTAGCACATATAGCGCCTAACACAGTTAGTGCTCTATGTTTAGTGAATAAAACAATTATTCCTCTATCCTATGTCCCACTCAGCACTATTTGCCCTGTATATATTGATTCACACTTACAGTTTACTCTATGAACTGTATAGGACTCCAGAACTGAAAGAGATCTTAGACTTCACTTGTATACTTCGCTTGTTTTTGCTGCATTTTAGAGATCACTTTCCTGGACTTGCACTCTGCCTCCTCTTCTCTGGGTTGTAAGCTACCTGAAGACAGGACGATATCTTCTATTTCTTTTTGGCCCTCCTAGCACTCCACAGCCTTTAATACAGGGCTTTGTACATGGGTACTCACCTAATTCTGGATAAAGTGCATCCTTGGGCAGGCTTTCCCTCCATCCACCCAAACACATAAGACATCCTGTAGTGGAGCTAAGGGTTATCCTCTTCTCCTCTGCCCCTGTCCTTAATGCCAATATCTGAGAAGCAGTGACCCCCAGCCCAGCTCTCCAATGCCCTCCTTCTGCTACTCTCCTGCTCTTCCTCCTTTCAGGCCTTGTTGTCAGGACATGAAATCACTCCACGTCCTGAGTGACACTCACTCTAGGATCTCGTTGTATTCAATTGTCTCCTCCAGGTTCTGAAGGTTGGGGTTGACACTGCGGATTGCACGCATGTATGCCTTTAGCAGCTGGATGTCTCGCTTCTGTTGTGGGGAAGAAGAACAGGAATAATGGTTAAGGCAGACAGCAGAAAAAAGACAAAAGTTTATCCAAGAATGAGGGCAACTGAGAGATCTGAAGAACAACCAGTTTGTAAGCTTCAGGAAGACAGGGATAAGACTGTCTCACTCACAGCTGTCTCCTTAGTACTTACAAATGTGCCTTCACAGAGGAGGCATGTGATAACTGGTAGGTGAATTAATGCTATGAATGGGATGAAGAAAAGTCAAGGAGAGCTCCAATCTGATTCCCTGCTAAGCCACAGGCAGAATATCCACTCATCTAGGCTCACAAGTGTAAGCACTGGTCTGTGTGTTCACAACTGGTTTTTATTACCCACAGGCAGGCAGTTATCTGCATATGAGGGATATGTTCTCCCCCGTGTCTTGGGGCCTACCTGCTCCGCCAGCTGGTGTTTGTGTTCAGCTGACGTCTTCTCCAGCTCTGCGATGCGTGTCTGCTGCTGCTGTACCACTGAGCGCAGGTGCTTAATGCAGTTATGGTTGGGCAGCTCATCTTTGGGCATCTCCAGGCTGCAGACCAGGGTGGGGAAAGAGCAGAACAGAGGTGATCCCTGGGACATGTATGCAAATGGCCTATTCTGTGGCAGATAACTGCTAAGTAGATTTTGTCCTACCCAAAATTTCTAACATTCATTTCAGGCCTCCCTCTTGTTTATTCCCTTCACTTTCTTCGTCCAAGCTTCCTACTTGCCCCTTTGCTGTCTATTTTCCTTAAATTTCTTTCCCCAATCAAGACACAGTGTTTTATCTATTTTTTAAATTTATTTTATTTTGTATTTTTATTATTTTTTTTGACACGGAGTTTCGCTCTTGTTGCCCAAACTGGAGTGCGATGGCATGATCTCAGCTCAGCGCAACCTCTGCCTCCCAGGTTCAAGCGATTCTCCTGCCTCAGCCTCCCGAGTAGCTGGGATTACAGGTGCGCGCCACCATGGCCGGCTAACTTTTTGTATTTTTAGTAGAAATGGGGTTTCTCCATGTTAGCCAGGCTGGTCTCAAACTCCTGGCCTCACGTGATCTGCCCCCCTCGGCCTTCCAAAGTGTTGGGATTACAGGCGTGAGCCACCGCGCCTGGCCTTTTTTTTTTTTTTTCGAGACCAAGTTTCACTCTTGTCACCCAGGCTGGAGTGCAATGGCACGGTCTCAGCTCACTGCAACCTCCGCCTCATGGGTTCAAGTAATTCTTGTGCCTCAGCCTCCCGAGTAGCTGGGATTACAGGTGCCCACCACCACACCTGGCTAATTTTTATATTTTTAGTAGAGATGGGGTTTCACCATGTTGGCCACGCTGGTCTTGAACTCCTGACCTCAGGTGATCCGCCCGCCTCGTCCTCCCAAAGTGCTGGGATTACAGGCGTGAGCCACCGCACGGGGCCTATTTATTTATTTTGACACACTGTTTTTATCTACTGCACAGCTCTCCTTTTCCTCCTACAGATTCTGCCTGTGCACTTATTCCTTCAGAGAAGCCCTATATTCACAGCCCCAGCTATCAACATTCTTTTTATTTTTTAGTTAGGGGGAACAGAGTCTCATTCTGTCACCCAGGCTGGAGTGCAATGGCGCGATCTCAGCTCACTACAACCTCTACCTCTGGTTTTAAGTGATTCTCATGCCTCAGCCTCCTGAGTAGCTGGGATTACAGGCGAGCACCACCACACTTGGCTAATTTTTTTTTTTTTTTTTTGAGACGGAGTCTCGCTCTGTTGCCCAGGCTGGAGTGCAGTGGCTCAATCTCTGCTCACTGCAAGCTCCCCGTCCCAGGTTCATGCCGTTCTCCTGCCTCAGCCTCCCAAGTAGCTGGGACTACAGGTGCCTGCCACCACGCCTGGCTAGTTTTTTGTATTTTTAGTAGAGACGGGGTTTCAATGTGTTAGCCAGGATGGTCTCAATCTCCTGACCTCGTGATCCACCCGCCTTGGCCTCCCAAAGTGCTGGGATTACAGGCGTGAGCCACCGCGCCCGGCCCCACACCTGGCTAATTTTTGTATTTTTAGTAGAGACAAGGTTTTGCCATGTTGGCCAGGTTGGTCTTGAACTCCTGGCCTGAAGTGACTTGCCCACTTCGGCCTCCCAAAGTGCTAGGATTACAGGTGTGAGCTAACATGCCCTTCAGCTATCAACATTTAGTCGAATATTTCATAACCCACAGAAATAAAAAAATAGGGCAAGAGGAAATATGAGAAGGCTGGCAATTATAGCAGTCAACCTGACAAACGGAAAGTAGTATTGGACTGAAAGGGAAGAATAGAGTCAATCAAGCTTTAATGTTATTACACAAATTTACTAAATTGCTGTGCCCCTTCTTTTGTTAAAGCAAGAGCAAAATGATTATAGTTG